>NC_000012.12:84960128-87460128 GCF_000001405.40 Homo sapiens | reverse complement strand
TGATATGGTTTGGCTGTGTCCCACCCAAAATCTCATTTTGAATTGTAATCCCCATAATCACCAGGTGTCAAGGGGGAGACCAGGTGGAGGTAATGGAAACATGGGGGCAGTTTCTTGCATGCTCTTCTCATGATAGTCAATGAGTTCCCATGAGATTTGATGTCATTGTTTGGCAAGTTCCTCCTTCTGACAGTCTCTCTCCTGCCACCTTGTGAAGAAGTTGCCTGCCTTCCCTTTGCCTTCTGCCATGATTGGATTGTAAGTTTCCTGAGGCCTTCCCAGCCATATGGAACTGTGAGCCAATTAAACCTCTTTCCTTTATAAGTTACCCAGTCTTGGCAAGTTTTTTTATAGCAGTGTGAGAATGGACTAATACAGAGAATAACATCCTAAATTGCTACCATGGTTATAAGAATCAAAATAATCTAGCTCCTGCCTAATTCTTCTATATCAGTTTCTGCCAATCTCCTACTTACTTTCTCTTTTGGAGCCCCACTGGTGTTATTTTTTCCTTGAGCAGGACAAACTTATTTTCAGCTTAAGGCCTTTGAACATCCTGTTTAACTCTGCCTGCTATGCTGATATCCAGATTTCATTTGATTTTCTCCCTCACCTCATTCATGTCTCTTCTCAGAGTCCTTTTCCAGAATAACATTTATGATCACCTCACCTATAATGCACTCTGATGCCCTTATTTTATGCTTGCATTAGTCTGCATATTTTTGCTTTATAGTAAATATTTATACAAATAGTTGTTGAATGCCTGTTTTCTGTAGCTGGAAAAAGGGGGAAAAAGATTTCTATATCCTCAGAGCTAAAACAGTTCATATACCATCACATGCATTTTAAATCTTTCTTAGATTTATTCATATTTTTTCTTATTTTTATTTTTTAGCTTTTCTTTCTTTTTATTCTTATTATTCATTAGATTAATAGTTTTTTAAAATACTGGTTAGATTTTCTCTATAATAAATGACTAATTCAAGTCTGCCAAATGAATGAATCTGAGTCTTTCTTCTTGAGAATAACACAGGATATTCAAGACCTGAAAACAATTTCTATATCTGATTGTGTCAAATAATATATATATATAATTTGTTAGGCAAAATGAAGCTATTTTGATTATTGGTTATTATTACTAACTTCTATATAGAATATAACACATAGTCATATATTTCAAATATTTACATGCATGAAGATCATATGGGGAACAGTTATATAACAGATTCTTAGGCTCAAACTCCAGAAACAAACAACAAACAAAATAACAGTTGGGAGCCAAAATATCAGCATTTATCAGGAAATGTCCTTAGTGATTCTGATGTAGGTAATCCTCAAGTACAACCTGATTAGCACATATAGACTATGTATAGGGCATTACTTTTTATATAGCCAACTACTTCATCAGAGTAGTGTCTCTGCAATTTGCTTTTTACCTTGGAAACACATAAACCAATAAATGAAAGTATGAGGCTTATAAAATGTATTTTAACCAGATCTAATTAGTAGGAAATAGTAATTTCTTGACTTTTAAAAATCTGTAGTTGTATCTTCATGTAAAGTCTTGGATTTCTCTCATATTACTTAATGTTACAGAACTGCACCATCCAAAATGCTGTTAGCCACATGTGTCTAGTGGGTACTTGAGAGATGGCTGTTTCAAATTGAGATGAGCTGTAAGGGTAAATATATACATATTTATTTTAATGACAGCATAAAAAGGTAATATATATATCAACATGTAAAACATATATAACTGTAAATATTTTAAATATGAATTAAGTGGTAAAATGATGTTTTGGGTATTTTGGATAAAATAAAGTGTAGTGTTAAAATTAATTTTACCTATTTACTTTTTCAATGTGGCTCCTAGAAAATTTAAAAATAAATATAGAGCTCATATTGAACAGTGTTGTTCCAGACAATGAAAAGTTTTTATTGCTTTATATTTAGTTCAGGGAGACAGCAATTCTTTCTTTAACAATTTTAAAGAGTTTTTTTAATCCTTATAATGCTTAGGTTTTAGGTAAACTTGAAAATTTAAATCATAATTATCTCAACTTTTTCTCACTGTAGGTATACTTAAAAAAATTTTAAATTGATATGTAATAATATACATATATTCAGAGTACATGTGTTAATTTCATATGTACATATAATGTGGAAAGATCAGATCAGAGTAATTGGTATATCTATCACCTTAAATATCCTTCTTATCTTTATGCTATAAAACATTTAAATTATTCTCTTTTAGCTATTTTGAAATGTACAGTAGATTACTGTAAACTATAATCAACCAACTCATCTATTGAATACTAGGTCTTATTTCTTCTAAGTGTATATTTGTACCCATTAATTAATCTCTCTTTATTTTCCCTCTTCACTACACTTCCTGGCCTCTGGTAACTAACAACCTACTTTCTATCTTCATGAGATCCACTTTTTTATTTCTTAAGTGAATGAGAACATGCAATATTTGTGTTTTTGTGCTTGGCTTATTTCACTTAATATGATTCCCAGTTCCATCTATGCTGCTGCAAATGACAGGATTTTATTTTTCAATTCTTTGAAATAATATTTACATAATATTCCATTGTGTGTGTATACACCATATTTTCTTTATCCATTCATTCATTGATAGTTAATTTGATCCCATATTTTAGCTATTGTGAAGAGGCTTTGATTAAGACTATTTTACCTAATATAAGTATAGCTACTCATTCCATATTTTGATTTCTAACTGCATGGAATGTCATTTTGTGCTCCGTCACTTTCAGCCTGTGTGTCTTGATAGGTGAGGAGGGTTTCTTGTAGATAGCATATAGTTAGATCTTCTTTTCTTTTTTTTTTTTTTTTAAGACGAGTCTCTCTCGCCCAGCCTGGAGTGCAGTGGCACAATCTCGGCTCACTGCAAGCTCCGCCTGCCGGGTTCAAGCCATTCTCCTGCCTCAGCCTCCTGAGTAACTGGGACTACAGTTGCCCGCCACCATGCCCAGCTAATTTTTTTGTATTTTTAGTAGAGACAGGGTTTCACCATGTTAGCCAGGATGGTCTTGATCTCCTGACCTCGTGATCTGCCTGCCTCAGCCTCCCAAAGTGCTGGGATTACAGGCATGAGCCACCATGCCCGGCCAGTTAGATCTTATTTTCTTTATTCATTCAGCCTATGTATGCCCTTCAATGGGATAATCGAGCCCATTTTCATGCAATGTTATTATTGATAAGCAAGGACTTACTCCTGCCACTTTGTTCTTTGTTTTCTGATGTTTTGTAACTCTTCTTTTCTTACTTTCTTTCTTTGTAGTTAAGTGAGTTTCTCAAATAGTATGTTTTAATTGGTTTTTGCATTGTGGTTACCATGAAGCTTACAAAAAAACTTATAAGAAGTTATTTTAAAGAGATGACAAGTTGTCTTAGATCACAAAGAATAGAAACAACCCCCCAGATTTTTAAAACTCTACACTTTAACTTCATTCTCCCACATTTTGACCTTTAATTGTGTAAATTTGCATGTTGTTATATTGTCTATGCCTTAACATGTTGCAGTAGCTATTATTATTTTTGATAGAGTTATCCTTTGTGCTTCAAATAGAGTTATGAGTGGATTATACCCCTTGCTCTTGGTTGTTGCAGGAAGTCAGGGACCCCGAACAGAGCAACTGGCTGAAGCCATGGCAGAGGAACATAAATTGTAAAGATTTCATGGACATTTATCAGTTCCCCAAATTAATACTTTTATAATTTCTTATGCCTGTCTTTACTGCAATCTCTGAACATAAATTGTGAAGATTTCATGGACATTTATCAGTTCCCAAAATTAATACTCTTATAATTTCTTATGGCTGTCTTTACTTTAATCTCTTAATCCTGTTATCTTCATAAGCTGAGAATGTACGTCACCTCAGGACTACTATTGTACAAATTGATTGTAAAACGTGTATTTGAACAATATGAAATCAGTGCACCTTGAAAATGAACAGAATAACAGCGATTTTAGGGAACAAGGGAAGACAACCAAAGGTCTGACTGCCTGAGGGGTCGGGCAGAATAGACCCATATTTTTCTTATTGCAGACAGCCTGTAAATGGACGTGCAAGTAGGAGAGATATTGCTGAATTCTTTTCCCAGCAAGGAATATTAATAATTAATACCCTGGGGAAGGAATGCATTCCTGGGGGGAGGTCTATAAACGGCTGCTCTGGGAGTGTCTGTCTTATGCGGTTGAGATAAGGACTGAAATATGCCATGGTCTCCTGCAGTACCCTCAGGCTTATTACGGTGGGGAAAAGATTCCACCCTGGTAAATTTGAGGTCAGACCAGTTCTCTGCTCTTGAACCCTGTTTTCTGTTGTTTAAGATGTTTATCAAGACAATACGTGCACAGCCGAACATAGACCCTTATTAGTAATTCTAATTTTGCCCTTTGCCTTGTGATCTTTGCTTTGCCCTTTGCCCTGTGATCTTTATTGCCCTTAAAGCATGTGATCCTTGTGACCTACTCCCTGTTCATATACCCCCTCCAGTTTTAAAGTCCTTAATAAAAACCTGCTGGTTTTGCAGCTCAGGGGACATCATGGACCTCCTGATATGTGATGTCACCATCATAGGCCCAGCAGTAAAATTCCTCTCTTTGTACTCTTTCTGTTTATTTCTCAGACCGGCTGACACTTAGGGAAAATAGAAAGAACCTACATTGAAATATTGGGGGCTGGTTCTCCTGATACTTGGTCAACCCCCTCTTGAACATTAATAGTTGACTTGGACTATTAATTATCTTATCTTTTAAGGTAATTCTCCATATCTTGTAAGCAATCTTTTTTCTTTTTATTCTTTTTTTTCTCCTCTGTGCATTTTCAAATAACCTGTCTTTGGGCTTGCTGATTCTCCACTGTCTTATCCATTCTGCTATTGAAAGCCTCTAAGGAGGTTTTCAGTTCAGCAAATGTATTTCCCAATTCTAAGATTTCTGTTTGATTTTTCAATTATTTCAATCTTTTTGTTAATTTTCTCTGATAAATTTCTGGGTTGCTTTTCTGTACTATCTTGGAGATCATGGAATTTTCTTTAAACTGCTATTGTGAATTCCTGGTCAGAGAGCTCATGTATTATTGTCTTGTTAGGTTTAGTCACTGATTCCTTGCTTTCTCTGTTTGGAGAAGTCATGGTTCACTGTTTACTGTTGTTTCTTGTGGATGTATGTCTATGCCTTTGCATCAAAGAATTAGTTATTTATTCTGGTCCTTTCTGTCTGGCTTATGTTGGTTCTTCTTGGATATGTTTGCTTAGAGATTCTTTGTAATTTTTTTCTGTTAATTTCCTTTTTTTTTCTTTTTGCATGCTAGATAGCTGTCTCATTGATGGCCCTAGATGCTGCTTTAAACCTAGGTTTACCTTGGCTCTAGTAAATAATCAGAGTGCCTACTGCCCCAAAGGGGATATCTTGATAGTGTGGGAAGGCAGGCTAGGAGTTCATGCCTAAGGAACCCATGGAATAAATCTCCTACCAGCATGGTGTTGTTGAACAGTCACTCTGATATGGGGTCTACTTTAGCCAAGTTACAGAGCAGAGTTTCCAATGCAGGGAATGATAGTTCTGCCCCCTGCCTATGTATCTGGCTGTCCTCAGGAATATTTCTCCTTTCAGCCACTCCTGATACTTCCAATTGATTGTTCCTGGGACAGGTATCCTGCCAGGAAACCCAAACTGGTGGGGAAGCTGGTTGTCAACCTCAATCTCACTTTTTCCACTGTAGAAATCATGAGCTGGGAGGAAGTTTTCCATGTGCTTGTTGCCATTTAGACTTGGGGGAGAGGCATTGCAGATATGGAATTTCAATTTTCTTAATGTCTGCTCAAAGGTTTTTTTTTTACTTCTCTGTTGCCTTGGGAACTGTCTCATCCTCATATTTAAGTTCTGAGATATTGCTGGTGATAATCTCTCCACTCTATATCTGTATTTGGCTTTCTGTGGGGGGAGGGAAGTGGAGTCAGATTGCTTCTACAATGCCATTTTGGAACCAGAACAGCTTGTTTGTCCTATAGGTACACTTTTGTCATTGTTCTTTCAGTATCTGTGGAGTATCAACCTCTAGTAAAAAAAGTTATTTTTACACATAAGTAAAGTACTAAAATATATATTAAGGTATAATGGGAAGAACAGAATAAGTGATAAGAAATTTACATTAATAGTGCCAATTTTAACTTAAATATAACTCCAAATCACTAAAATTTGACTTCTACAATAATGAACTAAAGAAAAAACAGAAATATAACAAACATCTGCCCCAAATGTTAATAAGATACATTTTATAGAATATCCACAGATAAAATAAACCAAATATTTTGTTTTGTGTTTGGTTTACTCCAGATCTCAATAAAACTAGACATCAAAGTGTGATAGTTAAAAAAAATCAGTATTGATTATAATAATCATATTTTGTTTGAATAAATTAGTTATCATTCCATTATGCAACTACTTTAAACTAATTGTTTTATAAGATATTCCACAAAGGTCAAAAGATACTAATGATGTCCTGTGTAATTATCTACCTGTGAAACTGGCTCCCTGGCTAGGGTGGCACCTAAGAACAGTGTGTGATGCATGGTACTGGGTCAACAAATTGTTGAATAAATGAATTAATAAATGAAAGCATGGGTGGATAAGTGAATGTCTTTGATAGGTTAGATATATTAACCCATCAAGAATTAGGAGTCAAGAAATAGCTGGTTTGGGTGATTTCATGTTTTTATTTGTTTACCTAAGTGCTTCCAAAAACTTAGTCTCCTAAATAATTGTGACTGAAATAGACATTTGGTGTTTTGACCCTCTTAGCATCCACTTCCATTTTATTTTAGAGACACTTTCCTATGAGAAACCGATTCCATACATGTTATTTCATGTTGTTTATTTTTATTTTTCCCAGCTTTCTTGAGGTACAACTGACAAATAAATATTGTATGTACTTAAGATGTAAAAACATCATGTCTTGATATATGCTTATTCTGTGAAGTCAACACCACAATCAAGCTAATTAACATATCCATCACCTCATGTAATTTCCCTTTTTGTGTGTGCATGTTGTAAGAATAATTAAGATATAACCTCTTAGCAAATTTCAAGTATAAAATACAGTTTTATTAACTATCTTAATAAACAATTTAGTTACTATGCTGTTCATTAGGTCTTCAGAACTTATTCATCTTGTAACTGAAAGTTTGCACCCTTTAACATGTATTTCCCCATTTCACCTACCACCTGTCCCTGGTAATGACAATTCTACTCTTTCTATGAGTTCAAATTGTTTAGTTTCTACATATCAGTTAAGTCATGCAGTATTTGTCTCCGTGTGTCTGGATGTTTTCACTTAGCATGATATCCTCCTGGTTTATTCACGTTGTTGGAAATGACAGAATTTTCTTCTTTTTAAGGATGATTAATATTCCATTTGTGTGTGTGCGTGTGTGCGTGTGTGTGTGTGTGTATGTATTAGTCTGTCTTCACATTGCAGATAAAGACCTACCCAAGACTGGGAAGAGAAAAACGTTCCATGGAATTACAGTTCCACATAGCTGGGGAGGCCTCACAAACATGGCAGAAAGCAAGGAGGAGAAAGTCACAGCCAAACCATATCATTCTGCCCCTGGCACCTCCTAAATCTCATGTTCTCACATTTCAAAACCAATCATGCCTTCCCAACAGTCCTCCAAAGTCTTAACTCATTTCAGCATTAACTCAAAAGTCCACAGTCCAAAGTCTCATCTGAGACAAGGCAAGTTCCTTCTGCCTATGAGCCTGTACAATCAAAAGCAAGTTAGTTACTTCCTAGATACAGTGGGGGTACAGGTATTGGGTAAATACAGCCATTCCAAATGGGAGAAATTGGCCAAAACAAAGGGGCTACAGGCCCCATGCAAGTCTGAAAAATCAGCAGGACCGTCACATCTTAAAGCTCCAAAATGATCTCCTTTGACTACATGCCTCAAATCCAGGTCACGCTGATGCAAGAGGTGGGCTCCCATGGCCTTGGACAGTTCCACCCCTGTGACTTTGAAGGGTATAACCATCTCTCCTGGCTGCTTTCAGGGGTTGACATTGAGTATCTATGGCTTTTCCAGGTTCACGGTGCTAGCTGTCAGTGGATCTACCATTCTGGGGCCTGGATGATGGTGGCCCTCTTCTAATAGCTACACTAGGTGGTGCCCCAGTAGAGACTTGATGTGGTGGACCCAAGCCCATATTTCCCTCCTGCATTGCCCTAGCATGAGGGCTCCACCACTGCAGCAAACTTCTGCCTGGCCATCCAGGTATTTCCATACATCTTTTGAAATCTAGGTGGAAGTTCCAAAACCCCAATTCTTGACTTCTGTGCACTCGCACGCTTAACACCATGTGGAACCTGCCAAGGCTTTGGGCTTGCACCCTCTGTAGCCATGGCCCAAGCTCTACTTTGGCCCCTTTTAACCGCGGCTGGAGCAGCTGGGATGCAGGGCACCAAGTCCCTAGGCTGTACACAGTATGGGGACCCTGGGCTTCGCCCACAAAACCACTTTTTTCTCCTAGGCCTCCAGACCTGTGATGGGAGGGGCTGCCATGAAGACCCTTTGACATGCCATGGAGACATTTTTCCATTGTTTGGGGGGTTAACACTTATTTCCTCGTTACTTATGCAAATTTCTGCAGCCAGCTTGAATTTCTCCTCAGAAAATGGATTTTCTTTTCTATTGCATTGTCAGGCTGCAAATTTTCTGAACTTTTATGCTCTGTTTCCTTTATAAAACTGAATGCCTTTAACAGCACCCAAGTCACCACTTGAATGCTTTGGTGCTTAGAAATTTCTTCCACCAGATACCCTAAATCATCTCTCTCAAGTTCAAAGTTTCACAGATCTCTAGAGTAGGGGCAAAATGCCACCAGTCTCTTTGCTAAAACACAACAAGAGTAACCTTTGCTCCAGTTCCCAACAGTTCCTCATCTCCATCTGAGGCCTCCTCAGCCTGGACCTTATTATCCATGTCGCTATTAGCATTTTGGGCAAAGCCATTCAACAAGTCTTTAGGAAATTCCAAACTTCTGTACATTTTCCTGTCTTCTTATGAGCCCTCCAAACTGTTCCAAGCTCTGCCTGTTACCCAGTTCCAGAGTTACTTCCACATTTTCAGGTATCTTTTCAGCAACATCCCACTCTATTGGTACCAATTTACCATATTAGTCTGTTTTCACACTGTGGATAAAAACATACCCAAGACTGGGAAGAAAAATAGGTTTAATGGACTTACAGTTCCACATGGCTGGAGAGGCCTCACAATCATGGTGTGAGGCAAAAAGGAGCAAGTTACATCTTACATGGATGGTGGCAGGCAAAGAGAGCTTATGCAGGGAATCTCCCCTTTTTAAAACCATCAGATCCCATGTGACTTATTCACTATCATGAGAACAGCACAGGAAAGACCTGCCTCCATGATTCAATTACTTCCCACCAAGTTTCTCCCACAACACATGGGAATAAAGATGAGATGTGGGTGGGGACACAGTCAAATCATATCAGTGTGCATCTGTGTGTGTCTGTCTGTAAAATTCTATTATATATATTACATTTTCTTCATCCATCAATGAACACTTAGGTTGTCTCCATATCTTGGCTATTATAAATAATGCTGCAATGGTCATAGGACTGCAGATATCTCCTTGAGATACTGATTTCAATTACTTTGGGTCTATACCCAGAAGTGGGATTACTGAGTAACAAGGTAGTTTTAGTTTTTTGAGGACATTCATAATATTTTTTATAATGGCTGTACCAATTTACAATACCACCAACAGAAAAAGAGTTTCCTTTTTTTAACATCCTTGCCAATACTTATTATCATTAGGCTTTTTGGTAACAGCCATCCTAACAGGTGTGAAATATTTCATTGTGGTTTTTAGTTGTATTTTCCTGAGGAGTAGTGATGGTTCATTTACCTATTAGTCATTTATATGTCTTCCTTGGGAAAAATGTTTATTCAGGTGCTTTGTCCATTTCTATTCAGTCTATTCATTTTCTTACTATTGAGTTGTATAAGTTCCTTATATATTTTGGATATTAGCCCTCTATTGGAAACACCATTTGCAATTATTTTTCCATTCTGTAGGTTGTCTTTTTATCTTGTTATTTCCTTTGCTCAGCAGAGACTTTTTAGTTTGATATAATCCCACTTCTTTATCTTTGCTTTTGTTGCCTGTACTTTTGAAATCTTAGTTATAAAACTTTTGCCAAGACCAATGTCAAAAAGCTTTCCCTCTAGGTTTTCTTTTAGGATTCTTTACAGTTTCAGGCCTTATGTTTAAGTCTTTAATCCATTTTGAGTTTATTTTCGTGAATGGTATAAGGGTCCAATTTCCCTCTTCTGAATGTGAATATCCAATTTTTTCAATACCATTTATTGAAGAGACTATCTTTTCCTCACTTTTGTATTCTTTGCATCTTTGTCAAAGATCAATTGACCATATATGCATGGATTTATTTCCAGACTCTCAATTCTGTTCCATTGATCTATGTGTCTCTTCTTATGACAGTGCCATACAGTTTTGATTACTATAGCTTTGTAATATTATTTGAAATCAGGTAGTGTAATGTCTCCAGCTTTGTTCTTCTTGCTCAAGATTGCTTTGTCTATTCAGTGTCTTTGTGGTTCCATATAAATTTTAGAATTTTAAAAAATATTTCCATGAAGAATGTCATTGAAAATTTGATAGCGACTTCATAGAATTTTTAGATAACCTTGAGTACATTTTAAATTAGGTTTAGCCTACTTCAACTCCAGCTAGCTATAGGAATAGGTACATGGTCCCAGATAGGTCAACCAAAAGTTCAAGCTGATTATCACAGTTTTGAACAGTATTTTTCTTCCAGAACTGTAAGAAAATAATTTTTTTCATAATCCAGCATATAAACAGAATAAAGACAAAAACCACATGATTATCTCAATAGATGCAGAAAAGGCCTTTGACAAAATTCAACAGTCCTTCATGCTAAAAACTCTCAATAAATTAGGTATTGATGGGATGTATCTAAAAATAATAAGAGCTATTTATGACAAACCCACAGCCAATATCATACTGAGTGGGCAAAAACTGGAAGCATTCCCTTTGAAAACTGGCACAAGACAGGGATGCCCTCTCTCACCACTCCTATTCAATATAGTGTTGGAAGTTCTGGCCAGGGCAATCAGGCAGGAGAAAGAAATAAAGGGTATTCCATTAGGAAAAGAGGATGTCAAATTGTTTGCAGATGACATGATTGTATATTTAGAAAACCCCATCGTCTCAGCCCAAGAATATAATTTTTCTTTTACTTACTAAAGTGAGCCCTGCTTTATTCTTCAACATCCCAGTTATATAAACCAATATAATTATTTATGCTTAGGTTAACCTGAGATAAGTTTCTGTCACTTTTATCGTGAATGACCCTATTTAATTCTATGACAACACACACTTTGTGGGTCTATGTAGTGCTTCATTCATTCATTCGTTAAACATTTTTGAGCTCCTGCTAAGAATTAAATGTCTGGTTCTTCATGAGGTGCTAAATATACTAAAATGAATTATATTGGATCCCTGCTTTTGAAGAATGAAGGATGGAGGCATGCAGGGAAAAGGTTGGGGCTGTAATACAGAAAAAATATGCAAAATGTACAGGAACACAGAAAAAAATAGGAACTAACTTTGCATGACAGAAAGACGTCAAAGAGAAAGCATTTGAACTGTGTTTTTAATGAGAAGCTAAAGCTGTATTTCTCAGCTGCATTTTTTATTACTAAAGTTCCTTATATTTTCATGAGGATTCAGTGATGCTAGTTAATGTTGACCATATTTATTGAATAATTGGGCTTTTATTTTCTCTTCTCTATATCTCTATTACAGGATAATTAATTTACACTTAAGAAGAATTTCCCCAAAGTTGCATAATGCTCTACATTAGAAACATAGTGTATGACCTCGATAAATCTCAGACATCCATAAAGAAAAGGACAGCTTTTGGCAAGGATGCTCCATATTCCACTGCCCATATCTTTCCTTTTTATCCTCAGGTAACTTAAGTAGCAGACATGTCACCATTTGAATGGTGGTGTAGAAAGAAGCCAATTAAATTCAAAAAGCTCATAAGCTCATAGAGAAAGCAGGTTAGCATTCTGTACAACCAACAATTTTAATTGCCTTACATTGTATCTCAGTGGGTCAAATGCAAAACAAGAAAAAAAAAGAAAAAATGGAAAAAAAAAAAACAGCCACCCAATCCTTTGTTCTGCGTATTATCACTCAATACCTTAGCATGTTCAGAAGGGTACTCTTTGTGGAAGGGGACAGGCAAAGTCAAAGTTCATTACTCTTTGAGGAACAAGTCCCATGCTTTAATTAAAAGCAATTAAATAAAAAGCAAAAGAGAATTGTCTTACATTAGAGGAATATCACTGAGTTGACAATAAATCCCCACAATGCTAAAATATTTTTCCCAACTAGAAATATTATTTTGGAGTGTGGGCACTTTCTCACTCTGGATTTTAGTATACATACACACACCTGCATGCGTGCTCTTAAATACCCACACGTAATATAAGCAAATAAGCACAGTCCCAGGTATCCCCCTTCTTTCTATACATGCCATACAGAATAAGTAATTAAATTTTCTAGTTAATTAATTACATATATTACACATACACACATATACTTTTAATGCACAAATGGTAGTTTTATAAAATAATCAACTTTTTTTAAGAGGGGGTGAGGTTTACATAACAAATAATGGCATTTTGCTTTATCAGATTCAGAACTTCTTTCCATAGGACATATTGGAAAATCTTTGAACCTCAGAAAGAGTAAGCAATATGCTTTCAGGTGTACTGTTTTTACATGTGCAGCCAAGATGCAAACCCAGATTTGTCTGATGCCAAAGTCAACACTCTTTTTGCCACAAGAGATATAAAATAATCCAGTCTAGTCCGCAGGACTACTAATGAGAGTGATCTTTACCCAGAGGACTCATTTTAATATAAGGGTAAAAAATAATTTGAATTAGCAAATTAATTAGTTGTACTTAATGAATGGCAACTATCACAGATACTTTTTTCCCTAAGTATACCTATAACCATAATACCTATAACTCATACTAGCACTGTTATCTTTAACTTTTTGTTGAAATGGTTTTTCAAAGTAAATTTTAGCTTTAGTCTCATATCCTAGTGAATTTTGTGGTATTTTACTTATGGCTAAAATGAATTGCATTGTGTGAAATGTCCAAAGAGGCCATGGTCTTCTCGGCAGTGTTAAAAGTCTCAGAGTCACAATGCAAACAAAAGTGTATTTTTTTCTGGCAAAAATTTTACTCTCCAGGAATTTTGTATTGTCGGTATATCATGGGGTCTCTATTTATTTAACTTAACTAGGAAATAATGTCTATGAAAAATTAAAAATTAATATATTCATCATTAGAACCATCCAGAACTTCTTAAGCAGTGTAAAATCTAGTTGGGTATTTAAGAATACAAATAATTCATAGACTTTAAAGAAAATAATAGAAAATAGAGATGCTTGAGTCTATAATTTGATAAAAATTAGTTTATGGGTACTATCTTCCATGATATCTCTCTGGAGAATTCATCATCTCCTATAAATACTACACTAAGATCTTACACAGCTTGGTAAGTGCACATGAAAGTTACTGAATAATGCTTTCATGGGACTCCACTATCTTATGTTACTTTGTCCTAGACCTCTAGTTGCTTATATTTTAATATTGTAGTATCTATAATTAATCTCACTAGGTATACTTGCATTTTTAATAAATTAATAAATAAATCCATTCAATAATTCTCACACCAGGGTCCACATTGACAACTGCTACAAGGCAAAGGCCTGAGGAGATGGAAGTTACGCTAATATAAGTGAGACATAATCCAAGTAGGGGAAATAATCTTTTAACAAAATCATTAAAATATGGTAAGAGAGGGATAAAATAGATACGTGGAAAAGAGTGATTAGTGAGGCAATGTTAGGCAGGCTTCACGGAGAAAGTGATGTTTAAACTTGGACTTTGGGATGGTAAATGAGTTCATTGAGTAGAGGAAGTGAAAGTGGGCAATCCAGGTAAAGGGAAGAAAGTGTGAAAAGGCACAGATACTCTCCTGGAGCATGGAGTTTTATATAGCACATTAGAGATAAGTTTTTGGGTTTACACTACAATTGAGAGGGTGCATAAATATATTAAAGGATTTTAGAATAATCATACTTTTAGATATATAACTGAAAGCACTATAATGAATGAATGAGAGTAGAACATAAAGACAAGAAAATTATAGAAATAGTGTAGAAACAAGATCTTGAATACTACCTCAATTAAAGCAGTAACTAAATAGATGTCAAAGGGAGATTTACTGACAGAAAATAAAGGCAGCAAACTTTAGTTACTAATTAGATGTTTGCATTTTGGATGGTAAAGAAATGGTAGTCATGCTCTTTTGTGACTGGCTATCTTAATTCTTACATTCATTCATTCAATAAATATCTTTTGAGTATAATTGTACATCAGGTTCTGAAAAAATAGCTGAATAAGACCTGTTTTTATCATGCCTTGCAGGGAAAGGCAGACACAAACCGTCTAACGAAGAGGGATGTTTAAGGTGATCATAAACATTCAGGCATGACTATCCATTCTATTTAAATTTAGAGACTACTTCAGTCTCTTGAAATAATTTCTTATGTTACTTCATCATAGTGGTGTTTTTTTCTGGGGAGGATGCTTTCATTAATCGAACTTTGTGTTTCTTCTTGGAACTCAGTGACAATACATCACCATCACTATCCCAGAAATGTCTTCAGTTGCACATCACTGTTTACTGTCCTCATTTACTAGGCCTGCTGCAACAAATTACCTCCAACTGGGGGGCTTAAAACAACAGAATCCTATTTTCTCAAAATTTGGAGGCTAGAAGTCTGAGATCAAGGTATTGGCTAGAAGCAGGGTTGTTTCTTTCTGGAAGCTGACCAAGAAACCCTTCACACTCCCTTAACTTGGCTAACTTTAGTCAAGTTTCTTCCTGCCCTAAGGCCCAAGACTTTTCTTTTCTCAGAACATTTATTTTAAGAAAATACGTAATTGTAAATTCTTTCTCTACCACTTTGAGATGCAAATCTTTTTAAAACCTTTTCATTAATTTTATAACCTGGGAATGTTCTTCTCAAGAAACTGGGAGTCATTCCTTTGAAATATAATTAAGGAACATAGTGCTCCTATCTCCAGGCATCTGTGAGGTCTGTGAGCAGGTAGGAGCCTAATGTCTTATAAAGACATCAGTCATTGGATTCAAGCCCATCCTAATTCAGTATGATAACATCTTAATTACAGCTGCAAATGCCCTATTTCCAAAAAACATCACATTCACAGGTACCAGGGGTTAGGACTTCAACATATCTTTTTTGAGGGACACAAATCAACTCACGCATTTACAAAGAGTTTAAATGTGTTTATGGCAAAACAATTCATCCTTGAGTCTTCTCCTTAGGACTAGGCTTAAAAGAGTTTCATATATTTCCTTTAAATCCTTGGTGTGAAGGTCTACTAGCAGCACATGTTCAAGACTATTTATGTGCAAATATAACAGCGTCTCTTTTATTCTAGGTTTCTATGGTTAAATTTTCCTTCTTGCCATGCATTTGCTCTTTAGTAAATCATTCTTATATCCTCTTCCTCCTCTGACTCATTAACAGGGCAAGATTCTGGTAGTTGTTGGGTCATCCAGCTAGGGCTCATTCTTTCTTTTCACAGGAAGGTATCAAGGTTCCCATACTGGCCAATATCTCAATTGATGTAGGAAGCGTTAGAAAACAGTGGCTCATGCTCGCATAGGTCCCTAGTTTGGCACTGAATTTGCCCAACTCAGGAGATTATAGGGCCAGGCATGATGACTCACACCTGTAAGCCCAGCTCCTCAAGAGGCTGAGGTGGAAGGATCACTTGAGACCAGGAATTCAAGACCAACCTGGGCACATAGTGAGAACTTGTCTGGACGAAGAGAAAAATTAGCTGGATATCGTGGTGCATGTCTGTAGTCCCAGCTACTCAGGAGGCTAAAGCAGAAGGATTGCTTGAACCCAGGAGTTTGAGGCTGCATTGAGCTATTATTGTGCCACTGCACTCCAGTGTGGGCAATGGAGAGAGACCCTGCCTCAAAAACAATAACAACAAAACAAAACCTTTAAAATTAAGACACTGTCATAAAACATAAAAGTCTTTGGGCCAGGTGTGGTGACTCATGTCTATAATCTTAGCACTTTAGGAGGCCAAGGCAGCAGGATCACTTGAGGCCAGGAGTTTGAGACCAGCCTGGGTAACATAGCAAGACCCTGTTTCTAAAACAAAAACAAAAACAAAACAAAGTAGCCTGGCATGGTAGCACATACCTGTAGTCCTAGCTACTTGGAGGCGGGGGCAGGAGAATTGCTTGAGGCTAGGAGTTTGAGGCTACAGTGAGCTACGATCATGCCATTTCTTTGTATTCCATCTTGGGTGACAGAGCAAGACCTTGTCTCTAAAAAAAAGAAAAAAAAAAGAAAATTATAGGCTGTAGTTTTGCTAAGCCAATTCAGCATCTCTTTTCTCTCCTAAAATTTCTTCTCCACTCCTGACAATTTTTTTTTTAAGATTCACAAGTACTGGTACTATTATTGTCAGAGGTGTTCGAACCAAAGAGACTCCATTTTGAGTGAGGGCTAGGAAAATGAGGCTGAGACTCATTCTCAGCATTTCTGAGAATGATGGACTGCATTCTCAGAAAATTAGGTGTTCCTAACCTTTAGATGTTTACAGTTAAGGGAACAAATTAACAATGTTTACTAAACAGACCCAGATTTGGGAGTGTCCAGATATCCCAATATCTGGAGAACAAAGGCATTCCTAATTTTGCTTTAAAGATAATAGTATTGATTCTTGCAAAATATAGTAATTAAGAAAATTAATCCTTTATCACAAACCCTTGTAGCAGAGCACATCTCCCCATATATGAGTATTGTACCTAGGGTGGACGCATTCCACTTCTTACTTTCAGGAATGTCCTACTCTGTAGAGTAGCTGTTCTTTCACCATTTTACTTCTTAATAAACTTGCTTTTACTTTGCACTGCGGACTTGCCCTGAATTCTTTCTTGTGTGAGATCCAAGAACCCTCTCTTGGGATCTAGATTGGGATCCCTTTCCTGTAACATATTTTTGGCGACCATGAAGGGACTATAGTGAGGAAACCACCAACTTTGGGTAAGTGATGGGGCCCTGTAATGTATTTCCGGTGACCACAGAAGGGACTATAGTGCAGAAACCCTGACCAATGGCTACCTTTGGGTGAGTGGTGGGGTCCTGTAACATCTTTCTGGTGACCAAAGAAGCAATTACAGTGCAGAAACCCTGACCCAAAAGCTACCTTTGGGTAAGTGGTGGGGTCTTGTAATGCTACTGAGCTATTGGTAGTTAGAGTGGTGTTGGGGCTCAGAAAATGATACTGCAGATTGGAGGTCTCAGAAGCAAAGTTTCTTTCTGACCTTCTCTTGCCCTCCTGTCTCTTGCCCCTCATTCCTTCCTGGGTCAAGCCATAGAAACTAGAATTCCTCTTCACCAAGATGGATCATAGAAACCAGACCCCCTTTTCCCCAAAGCCAGCTGTAAAACCTAAAAATATTATTCTAAACTTCCCTAGATTTTCTATGTAACAGCTGCCCTTAAATTAATCAAGGCCTTTATTCCAGAGGAGTCCTGTCCCCTACCTAGGCGAAAGAAATGCTATAAAAAGTGACAACCAAATAGAGTGACTAGGGCATATGTTTCAATCATCAAGGTTTTTATTAAGCCATCTTTAGGGTATGTCCCAGAAAACACATGCCACAGACACATGTGTGACTGTTTTTCTAAAGATATTTTTCAGGAGGTTTAGTGTTTGCTCATTTTCTTAAAGTGGGGGAAGGCATACAGGTAGAGGAGCAGGTAGGTGGTAAAACAAATAGTTACATTCCTGGGAGACTTTATTTAGTCCCCAGTAAATACACATTTTACATGAGATAAAGTAAGTGTCTTAAGAGAAAAAGGTAGTAAAGGAAGAGTCGATTACGTAAACATCTCTGGGGAGGTGAAGGAATGAGTCTTGACTTTGTTCTGCATCTGGGAAGGTAAGCTTGTAATGGACATTTTCAGTGTGGAATTGAACAGGTTTTAGTTTTAGGAGCTAGACTTAGATTCTAGACCTAAAATTACCATTGAAATGTCCTCGTTTATGGGAGACCAACAAGGAATTTGCCTATAATTGATCTCTTGGGACAGTCCTTTGCAGATGGCCAAGATCGTTTTACCTTTCTGTGGAAATCTGGCTGATGCATAACGTTAGCAACAGCTCTTCACTTGGAAGAGGGTGTTGCAATGGCTCAGTGTCCAGGAGTAATCTTCTCTTTTGCAAAATAAGTGTGGGGGAATTCTGGTTTTTTTTTTCCTTTATGGGAGAATCAAAGAGGAATATTACTGAGCACACAGATCTTGTTGAGTTTTCCCACTCAATCTGCTTAGCTCAGACTCTTTTGTTCAATCACATATCTGCACAGTTGCCCCTGCTTCATAAAACCCAAAGTGTAAAAACTGAACAGTTTTCCCTGTATCTTTTGGGTCACTATTCTGAAGACTTTCATATCTTAGAAAGCTATTATCAAATAAATCTGCTATTCTTTTCTCTTGTTAACTGATCTTTTGTTAGAGAAGTGTTGACTGTCACCCTTTATGATAAAAGACATACCCCCTTTCCATTCCTACAAGGTCAAGATTTCTACATTTTATAGTACTCTTACCCTGTGGAAAAGAAAAGCATTTTATGTTTTCCTTTATCCTAGTTTAGGGATTATTTTTCAATATGTTGAAGAGCTACCTTGCAAACCTTCTCTGAATAGGGTCCCTTCTTTTACAGCAATGTCTACATTTTTCCTCCCAACCACCCTCTCTGTCCATTTCACAGTACACAGTGGCCTGAACACATGGGGGTGGGTAGGACAACCATTCCTAACATTTCTTGAGTTTTCCTGTGGCAAACTTCCTAAGGCAGCACCAAGGCCTTCTAGATCAAGGAATTTTTATATTATGTATTTAAATTTCTTAGAACACAAAAGCTATGTATAGTCCTTAATATTCTTTCATATCAAATATTCTTTCCTGAGTTTCCTCTGTTATATTAATGATGCTGCTAAGGTATAAAAGTAAGATAAGCTATGAACTGTAGAAGAAAAAGTACTTCTGATATTCTCTGACTAATATAAGGGGATATCATTGATTGATATGGGAAATAGGTTTGGAGGTGTAATTAGTTGTTTTAGGATGCAAATATCTGATTAGAGAGAAATATTCCACAGAGCATTCACCTTCCAATCTTCATAATGCCTATCAGCATATCCAGTTTGTCACCAAAATGTTACAGCCCAAGGAGTTTTTATTGCTCCCTGCACAAATAAAGCCAATTCATTGAGACAGTGTTTCATATAAGAGAAGGAGTTTAATTATTTCAAGGGGAGTGGAAGGATGGGAGATTTTTTTCAATTCTGCCTCTCTGAGAGCTTGGAGGCTAGGGTTTTTAAGGATAATTTGGAGGGCAGGGGGCTAGATGACAGGTGCTGCTGATTGGTTGGAGATGAAATTATAGGAATATCCAAACTGTCTTCATGTGCTGAGTCAGTTTCTGGGTGAGGTCACAGGACCAGTTGAGTGAGTTCCTTGGTATGAGTCACAAGTCTGGCTGGAGTCAGTTCATTTACCCAAATGAAAAAGCCTGAAAAATATCTCAAAGATCAGTCTTAGGTTTTGAAAATAGTGATGTTATCTATAGAAGCAATTAAGGAAACGATTAATCTTGTACCCACGGCTACATGAGTCTTGGGCAATAATAGAAAAGCAAGCTAGGGAACAATAGCTGGTTATTGTTTAACTATGCCTACATCTTAGTAGAATTGAGGCTTCTCCCATAATCTTAACCTTTGGCCTTTTGTCAGAGGCATTCCAACTAGAGATACTCCATCTTGAATGAGGGCTAGAAAATATAAGGCTGGGATTTGCTGGGCTGGGTTCCCAGGAGACTAGGCATTCCCAGCCTCTAGATGTTTATGGTTAAGGGAACTGAGCAATAATGTTTACTAAACAGACCCAGTCCCAGGAAAGTCCTGATACCCCAATATCTTGAGAACAAAAACATTCCTAATTTTGCTTTAAAGATAATATCAATTTTTGCAAAACATAGTAATTATAAAGTTAATCCTTTATCACAAACCCTTGTAGTAGAGCACATCTCCCTATGATATTTTTTTGTTATCCTATATATAAACAAGCATTGTACCTAGGGTGGGCACGTTCCTCCTCTTTTGAGAAAGCCCTGCTCTATCTATGGAGTAGCTAATCTTTCACCCTTCTACTTTCTTAATAAACTTGCTTTTGCTTTGCACTGTGGATCCACCCAGAATTCCTTCTTGAATGAGATTCAAGAATGCTCTCTTGGGGTCTGGATCAGGACCCCTTTCCAATAACACTTTCATTAGTCTTACAGAGGTGGTTTTAGTCCACAAGCAAAAAGGAAGTTAGTTTCAGGAAGGTATTACTATCATTAGTCTTTTAAAGTTAACAAAAGCAGTTAACTGGTGAGGTTAGAAGCAAGATGGAGTTAGCGATGTTAAATCTCTATCACAGTCATGATTTTTGTAAAAGTGATTTCAAAAGTGCACCTCAAACTCTAAAATTAAAACGATGCTTCTATGCTCTAGAAGAGGGATCAGTAGTCTATAGTCTGAGGACCAAACCCATGCTACCAACTGTTCTTATACGTGAAATTTTATTGAAATGCAGCCATATCTATTTACTTATGTTTTTTCTATGGCTGCTTTTTGCCTACATTGGCAGAGTTGGGTAGTTGCACCAAAGACCATTTTACTTGCAAAGCCTAAAATACTTTCTGGCTTTTCACAGAAAAGTTTGCTGACTCTTGCTCTAAACAAGGGTGTTCAATCTTCTGGCTTCCCTGAAGAAAAAATTGTCTTGGGCCACACATAAAATACACTAACACTAACAATAGCTGATGAGCTGAAAAAAATAAAAAATAAAAATAAAGGCAGTGGTGCATAATGTTTTAAGAAAGTTTACAAATTTGTGTTGGGCTATATTCAAAGCCATCCTGGGCTACATGCAGCCCACAGGCCATGGGTTGGACAAGCTTTCTCTAAACAAACTAGAGCCAGGTTATAGAGGTTATATATGTCTATTATTATTTATTCACATTGAACACTTTGCTTGAAATTTTTCTGCATTTTTCTTTGAATAAATCATTTAAGTTTAGTTGCTGAAATTCTACTTATCTTTTAAGATGTTACTCATGCTTTATTTCTTTTAGAAAGTTGTTCTTAGTACGTTTTTCTTAGGTATAACTGACCAACAACTGAGTTTGCTAAATATATCCCTCTATAGTTTTCTCAAGAACCAACATGTTTCTTATTTATCTTTATGCCATTAGTGCATATCCCAGTATCTGCCACATAGTAGAGCTTAAATATCTATTGATTACATGCAGGAATGAATGCAGTAAAGGAAATATAGACGACTAGTTTTCAATTTTTAGTGTTAAAAAGCTTTAAGTTACAAAATGTAAATGTAAATATAAATAATTACATGGAGTATACTCCATTCAAGTCTTCTCCTGTTTCCCTTTATTAAAATCAGAGGCTAAACAATAGGAAAGGCTATTAGCTATTGTTTTTTCTCTCTTCTGGCTTCATTTTCTTCCCCAATCTGAATCTTATCTGTACTCCAAGTTTGAGGAGAGGGAAATGTATTAGATATTTTTATGTTGTTATGCTGATTTTAACTACTTTTTGGCTGACTCTTGTTGGCCCTTATGCTCTCCATTGCATTGTGACAAGCATCCAAATTATTTCATACAGCATATTAGTGAGTTTTGCAGAGACACTCTCCCATGCTAAACTCAATAAAACACCAATACTTTGGCTATCTTTAATGACTGCACCCCATCTCCCATCTACCATCGCTCATAGGATTTACCCATTCCCCTTTTTCAGAAGTGCAGCTTTTTTAGATTTAATTCTCCCATATCTCTTAGCTACATACTTTTCTGCTTTCTACCTCTTAAGTAGCTCACATATTATTATAATGTCAAATGGAAGTGCAGCTTGTACAATGTTTTCCATCCTGACTCCACACCATATAACCACTGATAGCTTCAGGCAGCTTCTTAGGTTTATTTTATTTTTTTTTCTGAGGAGAAGAAAACATCAGACAGTTGATGACTGATAAATTACCAAACTCCAGGGAACTTATTTCAATTTCCTTTTAAAATTATCTCTCAATCATTTGAGATGCTTTCAACTTCAACTTTAGAGTGAAAGGAGAAGAAATAAAAGAGGAATGATTATCAGTCTTACTAACTTGCTTATATATATATGACCTGTCTGTTTTTCTCCTTAGCTTTTCCTTTACATTGTCAGTACTCTGAATCCTAATGATTCTATATATATATACACACATATATGTATATATATATATGTGTATATATATATGGATTATGGACTATACATTATCTTCTCTCTTTTATCAACAATCTTTTTCTTTTGACTTGCTCCTTCTCAAAATAATGTAACATACTTTAATTGCCTACATTTAAAAAATAAAGCAAAACAAAACAATCTCCCTTGAGAAACTCCATTACTTCTTCATATACTGGTTTACCTATCCCCTTCTAGCAACAGTAAGCACTCTTGACAAAGTAGGCTACTCTTGCTTTCTCCATTTTTTACCTCATACTCATTGCAATCTGTCACTTAACTGAAAGTGCTAAAATTACTCCATGCAATTGTAACTGATGTTAAATTTGAAGTACCTTGAAACATCAAGATAAATGCATATGGATAACCTGAAGTGAGGTACTAACCTAAAGTTAACATTGAAAAATTAAGTATGAGAGAAGGGCTTAGATGACTCTTAAAGTCCTCAAACACATGGGTATTATGAAAGGGTCTAAAGTTGAAGATTACAGAGGATCTGAAGTAAATGATTTATTTAGAGATAATTGTCACATTGATGTGATTAATGATGTCTGCCCCCATTCAAAAGAAAGGAGTAAGTTTCCTACTTCTTTATCTCAAACTAAGAAAAGCAAACTTGAAAATAGCTATTAGAGAATTTATGTGCCCACAGTGATTGGAAATGGGTTTGACTCCTACATAGTAAATCTAAAGAGGCAGAGAATAGCCTTAAGCTGAGAAACCTATCAATTTTGTTTTCTTAGATATTGTTAGAGAAAAGGGTATGAGAGAGAGAGAGAGAGAGAGAGATAGAGAAGAAAGACAAAGATAGATATACTGAGAAACTTAGACTCTATTCAATATGACTACCAAAGGAGAAAATAGGCATCAGTAAAGACAAGCTAAATATATCATCAAATTTTTAGGTAAACTAGAATATAAGAGTGGATAAACAAGAATAAATCAACTTAGAGGAACATATCTGGGACATAGGCTTTAACACCTTGGCAGATATTCCATGGGATACAGAGAATTTATGACTAGAATAGATGTTAGAAGAATGGAGTAAGTGGAGGCTAATGCTGAGCAAAAGTAAAAGATGTTTGGGTTGAAATGTCAGATAGTAGAAGAAATCATAATATGGTTTAGAAATATGGGCTAGCTGAAATAATTATATTATATGAGTCACCACAGCATTATGCTCCAGAAGAAGACCCAGAGGACACAACTTTCACCAAGATCACCAAAAACATGCTGGTGAAAAAGGTACTGGCAATTATATCATGAAGTTCACTGTTGCTTCATAGGTAAGTCAAGGCTGCCAGTAGGACAGGCAGCCTTAGAACCCAAAATTGGCTTATTAAATGGCACAATGGGGATGATGGGTCCCAAAAGAAATTGCTGTTATTGGTAGTGGTAGTATTTAACTATCCAAAGGCAGAGGGGTGATAATTTTTATAATGACTGTCAATGTCAAGGGATACTCAAGAAGTCTTGACCCACAGGTGGTTGTGTAGATAGTTAATGGAACGTGGCATCCCTAGGGACAAATAGCAGGGCAATTACCCAGTTTTCTATTTAATATCTACAATCAGAAGTCAAAAGTGAAGGAGCAATAGGTTGAGGACAATAACCCAGATATGAAGTCTCAATCTCTTGCTCAGTTTTCATGCCTGAGTCAATTTTAAAGTCTGTATACCACTGAAAAAGGAGATATCTAAGTTTACAGGAGGAACGATCCTATAATACAACAGCAAGTACATACTACAAAGATTCCTCTAGTACTTCCCCAGAGGAATCTATGGTCGTTTACTTTGTTGAGTGAGTGCTGGGGAAAGAGAAGTATCACAACATTTGAAAGACAATTAGACCCAGGTTGTTAGTTGACATTAATACTTGAAGATAAAAAGCATAATCATAACCTCCTGATTGGTGACATATGACAGCCATGTTGTAAATGGATTCCTGGCTAAAATTCAGCTTAGACCATCTCTGCAGTGTCAAGAGATCCAACAATTGATTATTTTGCCAATTTCCAATTCTATAATTGGAATGACACACTTGGCTATTGGATAACCACCATGTTGGATGCTTGGCTTCTCAGGTAAGAATGACCAAACTCTAGAAGGGTATTAAAAGAAAATCCTTAGCCAAATTAAATTTAACTGAGTTTAATTGAGCAAAGAACAGTTCACGAATTGGGCAGCCTCTCCAACCCATGTAGGCTGAGAGAGACTCCAGTGCAGCCATGTGGCAGAAGATTTATGGAGAGAAGGAAAATGATTTACAGAAAATAGAAGTGAGGTATACAAACAGCAGATGGGTTACAGCTTGGCATTTGCCTTATTTGGTTACAGTGTGAACAGCTGATTGGCCAAAACTCGGTGATTAGCAGAAGAATAGATTACAGTCTGTTACAACTATACTTAGATTATAGTTCACTATATAGAAGAAACCTTAAGGCCAAACTTAAAATACGTGAGGCAGCTTTAGGTTAAACTTAACATTTCCCCAATTTTGGTCATCCTCTAAATTTTGAGATTGACCAAAACTTTAGTTATTGATGTTACTATCACCATCGTAAATGTACTTATTGTGTCTCAAAATACTCTGTACTTATTTGGTCTCAAAACGCTCTGGAAAATAGCAGAACAGTGGGTTTTTTAAGGTGGAAACAAAGACTTCAGGTTATTCTTTTTTAACAATTATTGTACAGCATCCCTCCTTGTGTTGGAATATCCTATTTACAGGAGAAAAGCAAAAACTGGTCTGTTCTAGGATCTATCTGTTTCCTTAAAGTCTTAGTTTGACTATGTCACATATACCATAAATGATCCTATTTTAGTTTGGTCTGGTCTGTTGGGGTCTAGTGCATGAGCTCAGACAGAAACAAAGGCCTTCCACAATTTTGCTTAAAATTTCCCCCCTTTTGGTCAAGTTCTCACTTTGGTGAGCATATGGTCAAAACTTAGGGCCTTAGCAGCACTCTCAGTTACCACCATTTTGGGTTTCTGGTCTTAGCATGTCATTAATAGGTTATGGTGCCCACATGGTCACACATTTCTTTCAGGTCTTTCCATTCCAGGTGAAGATATACAGTTTGACATTCTGTAGATGGCTGCATGCAAACATTGTAGACTTTTGAGAGAATGCAGTGTACCAGAGAGACTACTATTATGACTATTGAGTTTGGAGTATGCTCCTTAGCCAAGGTACCCATGAACCCAACACACTAAAATCAAATAGATCAAATAATAAGTTAGGTAAAAGTCTACTGGCTTTATCCAACCAGTCTGTTTGCTAATTCCCTGCAATTGAATATAATACTGATGTATTTCTCCATGTGCAATGAGACATGCCAACAACTGCACAAATACATCTCTGTTTAGCCAGTAAGTAATCTAGAACAAGTCTATTATTTAGTATAACTTTCACAAGGTAATTTGAAGTCTGCTGTGTAACCATAGCCTTTATATTAAAATCTCCTACACAGCCTATCATGAGGAATTAAATTTTTAATCATTGCCTCATTTACTCCAAACCATGACATAAAGACCTAATAAATCATGTCCATCTAGAAGAACGAAGACCTCTTGGCAACCTTTGCTTTAACCCATGATGCATGTCAAGATGAGTGAGCCAATATTCTGTTTCAGACTGATTATGAGGCAACAGATATATTCTTAAGAATTTTCACATGCATTGACATTTTGTCTTCCACCTATCAGGGCAAAAGGTTGTCATGTATAAGGCTGGCTACAAAATTTTTCTTAAATAAAAGTATACCTCACAAATGCACATGAAAGACTTATTTTTCATTTCTATAGTTCATATAGGCTTAATTTTTTAAAAAAATAGAAAGATAAGTATCTCACGAGAGCAAAGATATCTTGATTCATGGTCTTGGGAAAAAAGTTGTCCATGTCAAGCGTGCCGTCTGCTTCTGGGGAGACTGGGGATAAACTTCCCTGATTAGCTTTACCTTAAGGTTTCCAATGGCTATACATTCAAGAGTGTGGAGGGAACCTTCTGAGTTGTAAGATTATGAACCCAAGGTTCAACGTTCCCAAGTTTTGCTTCAGTGTGGATGGCAAGGGCAATCTTTCTATGATGTTCTCAGAAGATTGAATCTTTGGGTTCTAGATTGTGAAGAAGTTGACTGTTCTCAGTCAGGAGACCATAAAAAGCTTTCTTAATCTGGTGAAAGTACACTTTGGTATATGAGCTAGTGTTACAACATCAGCCCTTTTGCATGGGAAAGCTTTCTTACAACCAGAAAACATGCACTGAACATGACAAAGGTTCAATTCAAATCCTTCTATAAATGTTTAAGTGGCACATTGGGTAGCAGAAATGTACCTGAAGTTTGATCGTCTTTCCAAGCATATGGGTTTGACAAACCAAACATTGGTCATAAACTATTACAGCAATTTAGAACAGTCACCACATCTATGAAGGTTAGAGCCTGTCTAACTCTCTCAAAACAGCCAGGAGACAAAACAGGAAAAGCAGGAAAGAAGGGGCCATATTGGTGAGGACTAAACTCTGATTTTTTATCTTGCCCAAATGCCAACCTAAGGGGTCTGGAGAGTCATGCCCTACAAAATCATAAATTCTCATCAGATTGGTTTTAATTGACCCTGTATGTCATGACTTACTTTCCAATCTGACTCTGGCATAATAAAGGAGAAAATCAAAATGTTTTACCCCAAATTATATTTCCTAGCTATACCTTGAAATTGCCCTGCAAAGTCTCTTGTGGGAAAAACCCACGTTCTATATCCCTTTTCCCCTTTGTTTTCCTTTCTTCTTTCCTTCCAAAACCCAGGAGATAATCAGCTATGAGCCAGGCACCCTTTTAGGTCTGATAAGAAACATTTTACAACCTACTCTCTCTCTGAAGTTCACTATCTGAGAGATTCCTCTGCACAATAAAACTTGGTCTCCACAATCCTTTACCTTAACCTAAACATTCCTTTTCATTGATCCCAGGTCTTCAGATAAGCTCAACCAATTGTCAATCAGAAAATGTTTAAATTTACCTATAGCCTGGAAGCCCCTGCTTTGAGTTGTCCCGCCTTTCTGAACTGAACCAATGTCTTCCTTCCTTCCTTCCTTCCTTCCTTCCTTCTTTCTTTTTTTTTCCCCAGCATCTCACTCTGTCACCCAGGCTGGAGTACAATGGTGCGATCTCGGCTTACTGCAATCTCTGCCTCCCAGGTTCAAGCACGATTATCCTGCCTCAGCCTCCCAAGTAGCTGGGATTACAGGCACCAGCCACCACACCCAGCTATTTTTTGTATTTTTAGTACAGACAGGGTTTCACCATGTTGGCCAGATTAGTCTCGAACTCCTGACCTTGTGATCCACCGCCTCGGCCTCCCAAAGTGCTGGGATTACAGGTGTGAGCCACCATGTCCTGCCGTATTTCTGAAATGTATTTGATTGATGTCTCATGCCTTCCTAAAATATATAAAACCAAGCTGTACCCCAACTGCCATGGGCACATGTTCTCAGGACCTCTGAGGGTTGTGTCATAGGCTATGGTCACTCATATTTGGCTCAGAATAAATCTCTTAAAATATTTTACAGAGTTTAACTTTTTTCATCAACAATCACATACACATAATATATATAGACATACAAACACACATAAGCAAATCTCATAGCTTTCATAAAGAATTATCATTAGCCAGCTGTTAGTTTTTCTTTTCTGCATTCAGACTATTAATCCTCCAATTACCCATTTCATTGCTCTAAGCAATTGTTAACTAAGGGGAAAAAAAGGCATTCCTGAAGGGACAACTCTTAAGTGAAACAAGAAATTTGTATTTCATAAATACAGAGCTAAGATTTTAGGCCTAAACAGTGTCATTTGCACAAACCAAGAGAAAAAAAGTGGTGTCAAGTAAAAGTTTCATCAAGATGAGATGGCCAGAAAAGCACCTTATACAAAGGTTTGACTTATTATATAAATTTAAAACAATGGTAAGAGTTTCTAATGCACATAGGCAGACATCCTTAAAAATGGAGATTTCCTTTGTAGATGTACATTTCTTTTACAGAATGGTTTCAAGATAGCCAATTAAATTACAAAAAGTTGTATTTTAGTTTGATAGGTGTTCTTTTTAACTTAGTTACTTTTTCTTAGTCAAAATTACTAAAATTACTGAGTTCAGGGTAGAGCCCTTTAAAGAATGGGGCAAAGAAAGCATTCTTTATGCCTGGCCTCTTCATGGATAGATCTGAAAAAGAAGCAATTTTACTTGAGGGCCTATGTTTTATAAACACTTTATTTAGAAGAGGTTTTTCTTTTCACCTTTAGGTAGAATAGCACCTAAGCCAAAAGGTTAGCAGATTTAATTTTTCTTATCAATTAGTCACTTAAGTTTTTATTTGCCTTTTATAAAGAGTCTTTAAATAAAAATACTGAAATCTTTTCAGGAGCTTCTGCATATCAACAGACATCGCTAGATGAAATTAATTCAGGAGTCCTAATTTTCAAATGCACTTCCTCAAGCACAATGTGGTTCATTTGGAATGTTCTACTTTAACTTTAAATGATCTTTAGTAAGATTTTACCATTTCTGTAAGACTTTGCTATTTCTGGGGCCTAATACTTATGCAAGTACAAGCCAGAAGGTATTCAGTTTTTCAGAAATCAAGGACCCCATTTTTACCTCAAATATTGGCTTTAGCTCTCAGATCAACTTAGCCAATGATTTTTCCCCTACATTAATATGCAAGAAAAAAATGGGGATAGAACAAAATAATCCCTGCAAATTTCCAGAAGCTGAAGTTTATACCCACTGCAATATTGCCATTTACTACTGTTTTTTGTGTTTTTTTTTTTTTTTGTCTCTGACTCAGTCAGACATAAGAGGCATCTAACTGGATCCAAGCCAGTTAACTGTTGGATCCACTCCAATCCTGGACCCAGAACAGTCCCTGTTGTAACTTTCATACCCAATTTGGATCAGAAATTTTCTCAAACTCAGGGAACTCAAAACAAAAATCTGTGGAGCTTTAAAATCTGAGAGAGCACTTACCATGATCCCCAGTTGCTGCAAGAGCACAATCCACACAGTGGGCCTGGCAGATACCTTGCCTGGTCACTCAGTGCTCCTGGAAGTTTCTGGAAGCTCTACTTCAAATCCCACTTCTGACACCACCTGTTGAAAGAAAATGCTTAGCCAAATTTAACTGAGATTAATTGAGTGAAGAACTATTCACAAATTGGGCAGTCTCTCCAACCAGAGTACATTCAGAGAGACTCCAGCACAGCCATGTTGTGGAAGATTTATGGACAGAAGAAGAAAAGTGATGTACAGAAAATGGAAGTGTGGTACACAAACAGCCAAATTGGTTACAGCTTGCCATTTGCCTTATTTGAACATGGTTTGAACAGTCGGTCCCCTTTGACTGGCCAAAACTTGGTGACTGCACAAAAGTAGGTTATACAGTCTCTTTAGACCTCCATTTAGGTTATAGTTCACTATGTACAGAGAAACTGAGAGACAGGACTAGCTGGATTTCCTAGGCCAACTAAGAATTCCTAAGCCTAGCTGGGAAGGTGAACGCACCCACCTTTAATCACCGGGCTTGTAACTAAGCTCACATCCGACCAATGAGATAGTAAAGAGGGTTCACTAAAATACAAATTAGGCTAAAAGCAGGAAGCAAATAAATAGTCAAATCATGTATCACCTGAGAGCACAGGGGGAGAGACAATGATTGGGATATAAACCCCAGGCATTTGAGCCGGGAGTGGGCAACCCCATTTGGGTCCCCTTCCATTGTATGGGAGCTCTGTTTTCACTCTATTAAATCTTGCAACTGCACACTCTTCTGGTCTGTGTTTGTTATGGCTTGAGTTGAGCTTTTGCTCATTGTCCACCACTGCTGTTTGCCGCCATCGCAGACCTGCCACTGACTTCCACCCCTCTGGATCCGGCAAAGTGTCTGCTGCATTTCTGATCCAGTGAGGCGCCCATTGCCGCTCCCGATCAGGCTAAAGGCTCACCATTGTTCCTGCATGGCTAAGTGCCCAGGTTCGTCCTAATCAAGCTGAACACTGGTCACTGGGTTCCACGGTTCTCTTCCGTGACCCACAGCTTCTAATAGAGCTGTAACACTCACCGCATGGCCCACATTTCCATTCCTTGGAATCCGTGAGTCCAAGAACCCCAGGTTGAGAACAAAAGGCTTGCCACCATCTTGGAAGCTCTAACAACAAAGACCTGCCCATAACAAAACCTTTAGGCCAAACTTAAAATATAAAAGGAGACAGCTTTAGGCTAAACTTGATTTAACAAGGCCGATTTGAAACCTCTAAAACTGTACTCAAATCTCTTTTCAGGAGAGAACTTGTCAGGGGTAACATTAGCTGTCAATATGTATTTGTAGGATTTTCCTCAGGGCCCACACCAAGATGAGTCACTCTCCAAGCTGCTGCCAGCCAATGACTGAGCACAGTGGAAAAGTTCTAGAACTGGACTATTAGTAACCAATACAGGACTCCTGTAGTGGGCAGCCTGGGTAAGACTTCACTGGTGCTGTACAACACTCTTCAACTCTTCTTAAACAATCTCCCTTTCTTCCCTCAAATGTCAGCCTTGCATTATGGTATGAAGGTTTTCCCTAACTACTATAAAGTTTTGCTGGCATTTTTGGCAATAAATCTTTTACATTTCTAATTATATCTTGGCATCTGCTTTCTGGAGTTCTTGAACTGAAACAGTATCTGTAATTTGGCCTAAAAAGGAACTTAATAATTTGACTTTTTCATTAGTGCACAGGCCTTGCCAAATGCAATTTTTTCCTTTTGATCTGTAAGAATACAGTGCTATTTTCATTTTTTATGAAGTCATGTGCTACAGGAATTTCTGATTTTAGCCCATTTTCTGTTCTGCTTGGAATCCTTTTCCTCCTCATCTCCTCACTTTAGTTATTGTGACTCTAAGAATGGGATAGATAATTTTAGGGACCCAGTACAAATAAAAATATAGGCCTTATACAGAAAATATTAAGAATTTCAAGACAATATAGCAGAGCATTAAACCAAGTGTGGGTCCTGCTAAACTCAGGATTCTGTGTAACTGCACAGGTAACATAACGATGAAGCTTGCTCTGCTTAGTGCTTATTCTTCTTTTGTGACTGAACTATGATGACATTTTATCAAGAAGTCTTGGCAGATCTTCTGCATACCAGGAGTCTGCAAATTTGAAATGAGGATTCTTTTTTTTTTTATTGAATGACAATCAAAATCCCTACTTTGTCTTTGTGAACTCTTTTAAGTATATTCAATTAATCAAATCAAAGGAAAACATATTAAAAGTTTTTAAATAAACCTGTTCTTTGTAGTGCAAAGATTCCATTTTTAAAATTGATGTAAATTTGATTTTTAAATAGCCCTAATACTTTTTTTCATTCAGTCTTTCTTCATCAGGTATTGCTGAGTAGTTTGTCCATTTACTATTCATCCCTTCAATGTGTGCTAGTTCTGACTTGCCTTAAGAACACTTATAAACTGGGTGTGGCCCTTGTATTCTCAATGTGCCCTTTCATTCCAAGGAGATGAACTGCACCAATTTAAATAGTAATCTTAATTGCTTTGCAATGTACTCCTGATAAATGTCTACTGAGACTGATTGCGCCCTTCACCTGTGGTTTGGCATTCTATCAATCTCATAAGTTCCTATTGTTAATAAAAGGCAAAGTAACTAGTGATATTGTTTGAATGGTGCTACTTTCTTTATGTCTAGTGACAGGGTAGAAAATAAAATTGCCCTCAGGTTTTTATGTGTGTTCATACATATTTTAAGATTTTATTATCAGTGACTTCAGTCTCCAAAATGGGGTTAGATAATTTAATATGCTTTTTTTGGTTTGATAGGAATGTATTTTTATAATTAGGAATATTTAAAAGGCATCTTAAATTATTAAATTTATTATCTTTAATTATTAAATAATATAGTTTCATTGTGATAAATGAGATATATAGAGAAGTGAAAATATGATGGTATATATGTCAATCATAATCACGTCCTATAGAGCTAACCACAGCCAATCATTCTTATACATTTTTTTCTGTATCTAAACCATATAATCTAGTTTACAGTGGGTTCTCCTGACTTTAAGACATAGAAAAGATTAAAAAAGATTGGCTCAAATCTCTTCCTTCTTTATCCTCTGAAAATTCAGCTTCTAGGATTTTTGGAAATTTCTATTCACTTCTGGTTCTAAGCTTATCTCTCCACTGAATTGGTAATGCTTAATGATTTGCTGCAAAATCTAACCACATTATTTCACAAAGTAACATAAGATTATGATCATTTTAAATAATGTGTAACATCTTTTAATTGCTTATTTGCCATTCATATGTTCTCTTTTGTAAAGTATCCAAACAAATGTTTTTTCCCATTTTTGTTGGATAATCTTTTTCTTTTAATTTCTGAGTTCTTTATACATGGTATAAGTCCTTTATCAGATACATTTCACAAAAATTTTCTTACCCAGTCTATGATAGTCTATTATTTTACAGTGTGTTTTGTGAACAGATATTTCTAATTTTGAGGAAGCAATAATATGTGATTTTTTATTTTGTGCTGTTCTATTTAAGAAGTCTTTACCAAAACCAAGGTTATAAAGATACTCTCTTATGTTGTCTTCTAGTCATTCTATATTTCTAGGTTTCATTATGGGTATAAGTTCTATTTTGTGTTAGCCTCTTTACAACTTTCATTTTCTTTTTATTTTCTTTTTGGTATGGAGATATCCAATTATTTTATAATAATTGGTTGAAACAACTATCATTTCTCCACTGACTTTCCCCTGCACCTTTGTAAAAAATAAATTGCCCACATATAAGTGTGTCTATTTCTGGACTCTCTATTGTGTTCATTGTTCTAGGTCACTAGCTTTATGCCAATGCCACATTGTTTTAGTAATGGTAGCTTTATAATAAGTAAAAATCAGGCAGCATTAGACTTCTAACTTTATTCTTTTTGAAAGTCATGTTGTCTATTCCAGTTCCTTTGCATTTGCATGTGAATTTTAAAATCAGATTATCAATTTCTACAAAAATCCTGGTGACATTTTTATTGGGATATATTACATCTATAGGTCAGTTTGGGTAGAATTGACATTGGAAGTAAATGCTTGATGCCACAAAGTGAAAATAGCACTCAGGCAAAGTTTTCTCAGCAAGGCAATTTTCTTCTATAGGAGAGTGCATCTCACAGATGGAGCAATGGTGAGAGCACACTGGACAAGGGAGGGGATGGGGTTCTTATTCCTGATGCAGCTAGTTCCTACTGCTGTGTCTTTCCCCTGTTAGCTAGGGTTGGACTGCACAGTCTAAGCTAATTCCAGTTGGCTACTTTAAAGAGAGAAGGGGTATGAGCCAGAGCGGTGGAGTGAGTAGTTTTGGCAGGAAGGGTGGTTACAGAGCTGGTGACTAAGGATGACTAAGGACAGAGCAGGTGATAGAAGCTAGGAGGGGGTTGTTTACTAAAACTAGGGGCAAGGAGACATAAAGAACGAGGAAGTTAAACTTTAAAATGGAGAACAAAGAAGAGGGAAGCTGAACATACTGACATATTGTTCTCTGAGGAAGAGCTCAGAACTTAACAATTTTCCCCCTCTTGAATTTTAAAGGAAGTTAACAGGCTAAAACCTTGCCCTTTTTATAGTTTTTAATTTTATATTTTATAGTTTATAATTTTTATAGTTTTTCCTCTTTAAACCTTTTTAACATGTCTTGGCTTTGAAAAGCTTATCTGAATAAGGTGGAGGAGAGCTAAGGGAGGTTTTTTGTGTCTAGTGGAAAGGTGATTTCAGTCCTCGTTACTTCATCTTCATCAGAAAGAAAAATCCTCTTGATTTCTTAATATCTATTTTTAAAATTGTCATTTATAGATTTTAAATTTTCTTCTTGTATTTTTTCAAAATATACATTTATTGAATCTTGAGAACTAAATTACATATAGTTTCATAGTTGCACATTTTTGTTGTGATGGTAGTTGTTGTTATTGTTATTGCTTGGTTTGGGGTTTTTAGATTGGGAGTTTAACATAATTCCTTCACTCTGGGAATGAGGATAATTTCCCTGTGATCTCTGTTAGCAAACAAGCAAAAATGATGGTTCATTATATCTTTATATCATGGTTTTGTTCATTATACAAATTATTCTTTCAGTATGTTCTTCTCATATTTATTTATTTATTTTGTTTTTGAGACAGAGTCTCTGTTGCCAGGCTGAAGTGCAGTGGTGTGATCTCCGCTCACTGCAACCTCTGCCTCCCTGGTTCAAGCGATTCTCCTGCCTCAGCCTCCCGAATAGCTGAGATTACAGGCATGTGCCACCACGCTCAGCTAATTTTTGTATTTTTAGTAGAGATAGGGTTTCACCATGTTGGCCAGGATGGTCTCGATCTCCTGACCTCATGATCCGCCTGCCTAGGCCTCCCAAAGTGCTGTCTTCTCATATTTTAATCAAAAGAGAAGCTACTGTAAAAAATAACTACTTTTTTACCTCAGTAATTCAACTTCCTGGGAGAAAAGTGTCTAGAACTAGATTTTTGATGTTATCAAAGGCTACACCTCAGGGTAACTTAATTTCTGCATCAGGTTTTCTATAGGTTCCATGAAGCTCTTGAACAAAAAGCCAGCTTCATGAATACCATTTCCTTTCTGCCCAGCCCAACCACCAGATGCAAGCTGGCACTGACCTACATTCTAAGTTCTTTCCATACTGTGGATATTCTCTTGGCTCTAACCATGAAACCAGTTTCAAAGCATTTTTTGCTACTGCTTTCAATTTCTACTGATCCTTAGCAGAGAAAGTGGTAAATTAGTTGTTTCTCTCTACCCAACATATTTGCTTTGCTTAAAGTGTCTTTTCCTCTAAAATGGTAAGAATTACTGAATTGTACCATCATGGATGCTGTACTTTCTCCAGCTGTATGCTTGTAGATCACCCCTTGGAGGTTTCCCACCTGCAGTGGACCCAGCAGACATCTTTGGTAAGTTTTAGCACTGAGATTACAGACCTTTTGCACAAGAGATTTCTCTGAATGAAATCCAGGAACAGAATGGTAAGAAAGCCAAATGCCTTTGTTTACATTGCTATCTTCTGCCTAAACATTTGTATGGCTTTTAAAGGTAATAACATTTGCCCACTTTTTAATGTACGTTTTGTAAATATCAAAACTTTTTAGTATGTATTTTCTAATTTGGTCCACATGATACCTGTATAAAAACATGGAAAGCATTTGTAAATCACGTTTTCCCCATCAGAAAACTTTCAGGGCAAAAAATTTATAAGTGATCTAAATGGTACACTTTATATACAACAAAGCCAGGTATAAAAGTAAGTCCACTATACATTTACATTAGTCATGGGAAATGATTGACATTTGACTAGTTTTTGAAAGTAATTGCAAATTATGTATCTATATTTAGGCTATATTCAGATCTATAACTGGTTAAAGTTTGTTAAAGGTTTAGGCAAGTATCATTTTGCTTGGAATTATATATATTTATATCAGCCATATTTTGCCCTGTTCAGTTGGGAAGAGAGTTTGTTAGTTATTAAGCTATTATCTCACATATAGAGACCCTCACTTTATTCTATGCTTTGTAATACAGGGGCTATGCTTTTTGGCAATTATGTTTTCTCTTTCCCAAGGGACTCCCTGTTACAGTTTATCAATAAGGGTTCCAGCTAAAGGGAAACTGGAAAACTAGTAATGACCTTGCCTCTTGGCAGCAGCAGTTAGTTCCCTTATTGCTCTCTTACTTTCACACTTCCAGAACTAGCCTCATTGTGTGCCCTTCAAAGAGTAACAGCACAAACCAGGCATAGACCTTTTCAAGGGCCTATGTCTCACATTTGTGGATCTTCTGATCGTCTTCTAGACTCCTTGGTTCTAACAGCACCAATTCTTTCCCTTTGTTCCCCCACCCCTTCGGTGATGGTAAATGCTTTCTGAACTTAGGAGATTTTTATTACCTCAGTGTTACTTAAAAAATATTCTTTAAAATGTATTTAATTGATTTCTTATATTAAATGATTGTAAATAAAATAACAGATGTGGTTTTTATTTCATCAACTTGTCTCTGTCTGATTGTTAAGTTAGAAGAGGGCATGCAGTTGAAAAAGAAGAGAAAATAGTATTGCAGCATATTAATTAATGGATTGATAAAATGATAAAAATTTGCAGGATGACTCTCTTCTTATATGTTCAGAAATATGTAAACATATCTATAACTCTGCCATGCTCATTTGTTTTCATGTCCTGATTTGTTGATTTTATATATTAAAAGAAAAATTTTTAAATCCCTCTCCTTTGGAAAGAGTGAAAACTTTTTCTTACTTCTATTTGCTCCTGAATCCTATGAATTAGTAAAATGAAAAAATTACTATGAGGAGAGGCTGGCAAGATGGCAGAATAGGAACAGCTCCAGTCTGCAGCTCCCAGTGAGATCAACACAGAAGGCAGGTGATTTCTGCATTTCCAACTGAGGTACCTGGCTCATCTCACTGGGACTGGTAAGACAGTGGGTGCAGGCCACGGAGGGAGAGCCAAAGCAGGGTGGGGAGTCACCTCACCTGGGAAGTGGTAGACGTTGAGGACCTCCCTCTCCTAGCCAAGGGAAGCCATGAGGAATCCTGCCGTGAGGGAGAGTGCACTCCAGCCCAGATATTACACTTTTCCCATTGTCATCACAACCCACAGACTAGGAGATTCCCTCAGGTTCCTATGCCACCAGGGCCCTGGGTTTCAAGCACAAAACTGGGCGGCCATTTGGGCAGACAACGAGCTAGCTGCAGGAGATTTTTTTTTTTTTCATACCCCAGTGCCACCTGAAATGCCAGCAAGACAGAACCATTCACTCCCCTGGAAAGGGGACTGAAGCCAGGGAGCCAAGTGGTGTTGCTCAGTGGATACTACCCCCATGGAGCCCAGAAAGCTAAGGTCCACTGGCTTGAATTCTTGCTGCCAGCACAACAGTCTGAAGTTGACCTGGGGTGATCGAGCTTGGTGGGGGGCGGGGTGTCCACCATTACTGAGGCTTGAGTACGCGGTTTTCCCCTCACAGTTTAAACAAAGCCTCTGGTAAGTTCAAACTGGGTAGAGCCCACTGCAGTTCAGCAAATCCGCTGTAGCCAGACTGCCTCTCTAGATTCTTCCTCTCTGGGTGGGTATCTCTGAAAGAAAGGCAGTAACTCCAGTAAGATGCTAATAGATAAAACTCCCAACTACCTGGGACAGAGCACCTGGGGGAAGGGCGGCTGTGGGTGAGAGGTGAAGCCAGCTGGACTTCCTGAGTCAAGTGGGGACTTGGAGAACTTTTCTGTCTTACAAGTTAATTGTAAAATTCACCAATCAGCACTCTGTAGCTTGCAAGAGGTTTGTAAAATGCACCAATCACCACATCCCAAATAGACTCTTTGGCAGCAGTGACTCTCCAAAACTGCTGAGGCCTAGACCTCCTCACTGCTGAGAAAGGAGGACTTTGCACCTTCTTAGGGGAAGAATGTTGTTTTTACACTAACTGATCAGGGATAGTATGAGATTTTGCCCAGTGTTTACAGGAAAAGGCTTCTGAAATCAGACAACGCCTTTCAAACTCTGATACCAACCTCTGGAGTTGGGCGACATGGCTTCTCCCCTTTCTAGGTCCCATGACAGCCATCTTGTGATTACTCGCCTTCCAGCCCTTTATTTTTAACCTCCTTGTCAAATTTGTTTCCTCCAGGATTGAGGCCATCAAGCTACAGATGGTCTTACAAATGGAACCCCAAATGAGCTCGACTCACAACTTCTACCAAGGACCCCTGGAATGACCCACTGGCCTTTTGACTGGCCTAGAGAGTTCCCCTCTGGAGGACACTACAACTGCAGGGTCCCTTCTTTGCCCCTCTCCAGCAGGAAGTAGCTAGAGAGGTCATCACCCAATTCCCAACAGCAATTAGGGTGTCCTGTTTTGAGGGGGGATTGAGAGGTGAAGCCAGCTGAACTTCCTGGGTAGAGTGGGGACTTGGAGAACTTCTCTGTCTTACAAGGGGATTGTAAAATGCACCAATCAGTGCTCTGCAGCTAGCAAGAGGTTTGTAAAATGCACCAGTCAGCACTCTGTAAAATGGAACAATCAGCGCTCTGTAAAATGGACCAATCGACAGGATTCCAAAAGTAGCCAATCATGGGGAGGATTGAGAAAAGGGCATTCTGATAGGACAGAAACAGGACATGGGAGGGGACAAATAAGGGAATAAAAGCTGGCCACCCCAGCCAGCAGCAGCAACCTGCTCAAGTCCCCTTCCATGCTGTGGAAGCTTTGTTCTTTTGCTCTTCACAATAACTCTTGCTACCACTCACTCATTGGGTCCGTGCCATCTTTAAGAGCTGTAACACTCACCGCGAAGGTCCACAGCTTCATTCTTGAAGTGAACAAGACCACGAACCCACCGGAAGGAACCAACTCCGGACACATAGGCACAGCTTTAGCAGACTTAAACCTTCTACCTGCCAGTTCTGAAGAGAGCAGCCAATCTTCCAGCACAGTGCTCAAACTCTGCTAAGAAACAGACTGCCGGCTGGGCACGGTGTCTCATGCTTGTAATCCCAGCACTTTGGGAGGCCGAGGTGGGTGGATCATGAGGTCAGGAGTTTGAGACCAGCCTGGCCAACACAGTAAAACTATCTCTACTAAAAATACAAAAATTAGCTGGGTGTAGTGGTGGGCACCTGCAATCCCAGGTACTTGGGAGGCTGAGGCAGGAGAATTGCTTGAACCCAGGAGGTGGAGGTTGCAGTGAGCTGAGATTGCACGACTGCACTCCACCCTGGGCTTCAGAGTTAGACTCTGTCTCAAAAAAAAAAAAAAAAAAAAAAAAGAGACTGCCTCCTCAAGTGGGTCCCTGACCCCCATGCCTCCTGACTGGGAGAAACCTCCCAGCAGGGATTGACAGACACCTCATACAGGAGAGCTCTGGCTGGCATCTGGCAGGAGCCCCTCTGGGACAAAGCTGCCAGAGGAAGGAATAGGCAGCAATCTTTGCTATTCGGCAGCCTGTGCTGGTGATACCCAGGCAAACAGGGTCTACAGCAGACCTCCAGCAAACTCCAGCAGACCTGCAGCAGAGAAACCTGACTGTTAGAAGGAAAACTAACAAAAAGAAAGGAATACCATCATCAACAAAAAGGATGTCCACGCAGAAACCTCATTTGAAAGTCACCAACATCAAAGACCAAAAGTAGATAAATCCACAAAGATGAGGAAAAACCAGTGCAAAAAGACTGAAAACTCCAAAACACAGAACACCTCTTCTCCTCCAAAGGATCACAACTCCTTGGTAGCAAGGAAACAAAACTGGACCAAGAATGAGTTTGACGAATTGACAGAAGTAGGCTTCAATATGTCGGTAATAACAAACTCCTCCAAGCTAAAGAACCATGTTCTAACCCAATGAAAGGAAGCTAAGAACCTTGAAAACAGGTTAGAGGAATTGCTAACTAGAATAACCAATTTAGAGAAGAACATAAATGACCTGATGGAGCTGAAAAACACAGCACGAGAACTTCATGAAGCATACACAAGTATCAATGGCTGAATCAATCAAGTGGAAGAAAGGATATCAGAGATTGAAGATCAACTTCATGAAATAAAGTGTGAAGACAAGATTAGAGAAAAAAGAATAAAAACCAATGAACAAACCTCGAAGAAATATGGGACAATGGAAAAGACCAAACCTATGTTTGATTGGTGTACCTGAAATTGACAGGGAGAATGGAATCAAGTTAGAAAACACGATTCAGATATTATCCAGGGGAACTTCCCCAACCTAGCAACACATGCCAACATTCAAATTCAGAAAATACAGAAAACACCACAAAGATATTCCTTGAGAAGAGCAACCCCAAGACACATAATCAGCAGATTCACCAAGGTTGAAATGGAGGAAAAAATGTTAAGGGCAGCCAGAGAGAAAGGTCAGGTTACCCACAAAGGGAAGTCCATCAGACTAACAGTGGGTCTCTCTCTCTAGAAATCCTACAAGCCAGAAGAGAGTGGGGGCCATTATTCAAAATTCTTAAAAAAATTTTTTTCAACCCAGAATTTCATATTCAGTCAAACTAAGCTTCTTAAGAGAAGAAGAAATAAAATCCTTTACAGACAAGCAAATGCTGAGAGACTTTGTCACTACCAGGCATGCCTTATAAGAACTCCTGAAGGAAGCACTAAATATGGAAAGGAAAAACAAGTACCAGCCACTGCAAGAACATACCAAATTGTAAAGGCCATAGACACTACAAAGAAACTGCATCAACTAATGGGCAAAATAACCAGCTAGCATCATAATGACAGGATCAAATTCACATATAACAATATTAACCGTAAATGTAAATGGGCTAAATGCCCCAATTAAAAGACACACAGTGGCAAATTTGATAAAGAGTCAACACTCATCGATGTGCTGTATTCAGGAGACCCATCTCATATGCAAAGACACACATAGACTCAATATAAAGGGATGGAGGAATATTTACCAAGCAAATGGAAAGGAAAAAAAGCAGAGGTTGCAATCCTAGTCCCTGATAAAACAGACTTTAAACCAACAAAGATCAAAAAAGGCAAAGAAAAGCATTATGTAATGGTAAAGGGCTCAATGCAACAAGAAGAGCTAACTATCCTAAATATATATGCACCCAATACAGAAGCACCCAGATTCATGAAACAAATTCTTAGAGACTACAAATAGACTTAGATTCCCACACAATAATAGTGGGAGACTTTGACACCCCACTGTCAATATTAGATCAATGAGACAGAAAATTAACAAGGATATTCAGGACTTGAACTCAGTTCTGGACCAAGTGAACCTAATAGACATCTACAGAACTCTCCACCCCAAATCAACAAAATATACATTATTCTCATAAAAACATTGCATTTATTCTAAAATTGACTACATAATTGGAAGTAAAGCACTCCTCAGCAAATGCAGAAGAATGGAAATCATAACAAACAGCCTCTCAGACCACAGTGCAATAAAATTAGAATTCAGGATAAAGAAACTCACTCAAAACCACACAACTACATGGAAACTGAACAACCTGCTCCTGAATGACTACTGGGTAAATAATGAAATTATGGCAGAAATAAGTAAGTTCTTTGAAACCAATGAGAAAAATGACACAAGGTACAAGAAGCTCTGGGACACAGCTAAAGCAGTGTTTACAGGGAACTTTGTAGTACTAAATGCCCACATGAGAAAGTGGGAAAGATCTAAAATCAACACCTTAACATCACAATCAAAAGAACTAGAGAAGCAAGAACAAACAAATTCAAAAGCTAGCAGAAGACAAGAAATAACTGAGATCAGAGCAGAACTGAAGGAGATAGAGACGCAAAACACCCTTAAAAAAATCAGTGAATCCAGGAGCTGCTTTTTTGACAAGATTAACAAAATAGATAGACCACTAGCCAGATTAATAAAGAAGAAAAGAGAGAAGAATCAAATAGGCACAATAACATATGATAAAGGGGATATCACAACTGATTTCACAGAAGTACAAACAACCATCAGAGAATACTCTAAATAGTTCTACACAAATAAACTAGAAAATCTAGAAGAAATGGATAAATTCCTGGACAACCACACCCTCCCAAGACTAAAGCAGCAAGACATTAAATCCTTGAATAGACCAATAGCAAATTCTGAAATTGAGGCAATAATTAATAGCCTACCAACCAAAAAAGCCCAGGACCAGATGGATTCACAGATGAATTCTAGCAGGAGTACAAAGAGGAGTTGGTACCATGCCTTCTCAAACTATTTCAAACAATAGAAAAAGAGAGACTTTTCCCTAACTCATTTTATGAGGCCAGCATTATCCTGATACCAAAACCAGGAAGAGAAAAAACAAAAAAAGAAAATTTCAGGCCAATATCCCTGATGAACATTGATGCAAAAATCCTCAATAAAACATTGGCAAACCAAATCCAACAGCACATCAAAAAGCTTGTTCACCACAATCAAGTCAGCCTCATCCCTGGGATGCAAGGCTGGTTCAACCTATGCAAATCAATAAACGTAATCCATCACATAAACAGAACCAATGACAAAAACCACATGATTATCTCAATAGATGCAGAAAAGGCCTTCAATAAAATTCAACACCCATTGATGCTAAAAACTCTCAATACATTAGGTATTGATGGAACATATCTCAAAATAATGAGAGCTATTTATGACAAGCCCACAGCCAATATCATACTGAATGGGCAAAAGCTGGAAGCATTCCCTTTGAAAACCAGCACAAGACATGGATGCCCTTTCTCACCACTACTATTTAACATAGTATTGGAAGTTCTGGACAGGGCTATCAGGCAAGAGAAAGAAATAAAGTGTATTCGAATAGGAAGGGAGGAAGTCAAAATGTCTCTGCTTGCAGATGACAAGATTGTATCTCAGCCCAAAATCACCTTAAGCTGATAAGCAATTTCAGCAAAGTCTCAGGATACAAAATCAATGTGCAAAAATCACAAGCATTCCTATACACCAATAACAGACAAACAGAGAGCTATATCATGAGTGAATACCCATTCACAATTGCAACAAAGAGAATAAAATTCCTAGGAATATGACTTACAAGGAATGTGAAGGACCTCTTCAAGGAGAACTACAAATCACTGCTCAAGAAAATAAGAGAGGACATAAACAAATGGAAAAACATTTCTTGCTCATGGATAGGAAGAATCAATATCATGAAAATAGCTATACTGCCCAAAGTAATTTGTAAATTCAATGCTGTCCCCATCAAGCTATCACCGACTTTCTTCACAGAATTAGAAAAAACTACTTTAAATTTTATATGGCCAAAAAATGGCCCATATAGCCAAGACCATCCTACACAAAAAGAACAAAGCTGGAGGCACCATGCTACCTGACTTCAAACTATACTACAAGGCTACAGTAACCAAAACAGCATGGTACTGGTACCAAAACAGATATATAGACCAATAGAACAGAACAGAGGCCTCAGAAATAATGCCACACATCTACAACCATCTGATCTTTGACAAACCTGACAAAAACAAGCAACGGGGAAAGGATTTCCTATTTAATAAATGGTTTTGGGAAAACTGGCTAGCCATAAGCAGAAAACTGAAACTGGACCCCTTCTTTACACCTTATACAAAAACTAACTGAAGATGGATTAAAGACTTAAGCGTAAGACTTAAAACCATAAAAACCCTGGAAGAAAACTGAGATAATATCATTTAGGACATAAGCATGGGCAAAGACTTCATGACTAAAACAACAAAAGCAATGGCAACAGAAGACAAAATTGACAAATGAGATCTAATTAAACTAAAGAGCTTCTGCACAGCAAAAGAAACTATCATTAGAGTGAACAGGCAACCTACAGAATGGGAGAAAATTTTTGCAATCTACCCATCTGAGAAAAGGCTAATATCCAGAATCTACAAGGAACTTAAACAAATTTACATGAAAAAAACAACCCCATCAAAAAGTGGGCAAAGGATATGATCAGACACTTCTCAAAAGAAGATATTTATACAGCCAACAAACTTATGAAAAAAAAGCTCATCATCACTGGTCATTAGAGAAATGAAAATCAACACCACAAATGAAATACCATCTCACACCAGTTAGAATGGTGATCATTAAAAAGTCAGGAAACAACAGATGTGGCAGAGGATGTGAAGAAATAGGAATGCTTTTACTCTGCTGGTGGGAGTGTAAATTAGTTCAACCATTGTGGAAGACAGTGTGGTGATTCCACAAGTATCTAGAACCAGAAATACCATTTGACCCCGCAATCCCATTACTGGGTATATATCCAAATAATTATAAATCATTCTACTATAAAGACACATGCACACGTATGTTTATTGCAGCACTGTTCACAATAGCAAAGACTTGGAACCAACCCAAATGCCCACCAAGTATAGACTGGGTAAAGAAAACATGATACATATACACCATGGACTACTATGCGGCCATAAAAATGGATGAGTTCCTGTCCTTTGCAAGGACATGGATAAAGCTGGAAGCCATCATTCTCAGCAAACTAACACAGGAACAGAAAAGCAAACACTGCATGTTCTCACTCATAAGTGGGAGCTGAACAATGAGAACACATGGACACAGGGAGGGGAACATCACACACCGGGGCTGTCGGAGTGTCGGAGGGTAGAGGAGGCATAGCATCAGGAGGAATGCCTAATGTAGATGACAAGTTGATGGGTGCAGCGAACCACCATGTCATGTGTATACCTATGTAACAAACCTATATGTTCTGCACATGTATCCCAGAACTTAAAGTATAATAAAAAAAAGATTATTAGCAGAATACGTTTTCATGACATTTGTTTTCTTTTCCTGATGCAATAGAAATTCCCAAAGTGAAATTTTATTCTATAAAAATAATCTCTTCTTTCTAGGCTCTTTGTAGTTAGTGTGTGGTATTGTGCCTGAGGCTCTACAGAACTGATGCATCTGCTGGCACACTTTGAACATAAGTTAATGATACAAAGGAGCAGGAACTACACAGAAACTATCAAATTAAGGGTAAGAGCAGTCATCAATCTTTTTATTTCCAAATGGAGCCAACTTTGCAAATCAATAGACAGTATAGTGTCCAGCTCTTGCAGTTTAGTGGCAATGTGGGTGTCAGTAGCTGCAGTATTAGTCTTCAGAACGAGTGCCATGGTATAATTTGAGCTGTTTTTCCTCCATATTCCGCCAGTTACCCAGTATTTTTGTAATGTGTTCTTTTTTTCTTATTTGGGGGGAAGTTAAATATACTAATTTACTTCTGTTGCATGCAACTAAGAAATATTAATGATATGTTCAATTTGGGCTGTCACCAAGATGGGAGATGAAAAAAATTAAAATGATTTTATAATTAAAACCTATATTATATATGTAAATTTAAGCAATAGCATGTAAATAGTATATATAATATAGTATCCATAATATATATAGCATCTACACATATATACATAGGTGTATATGTACATATATATTTTAAAATACACATATATGTATAATGTGGGTGCCCATACATGTATACACTGACAAACACAATCACACACACATACACACACACACAGACAAATTATGAGTTAACTATGGTCAAGTTCAAATATTTCATACATTTCATAGTTGTTACTTTTATAAAAGAACTTATATGCTTTTTTAAGGAAAATATACTTAATTCCTATTTTGCATTTCTTTTCTTTTCCCATTTTTTTCCAAGTTTACATTAGAAACTTAGACAATTAAATTGGCTGGGCCCAGTATGGAGACTAAGGAGCATCTACTAAATAAAATTTGTGATTTATAATTTAAGTGAAGCATGCTTTCTTATATCTGTAACCAAGATAACATTTTTCTTTTTTAACTAAGACAACTTTTTCCTATTTTTCCTGACATAGCAAGAGCATTATATATCAAAATCTGAGACTCTCAGTTGGAAACAGACATTGGTAGACGGAAAGCAGATGTAAGAAGTGGGCATTCTGCCAAAGTTGAAATACCAGTAAGAATGCAAAGTATTTTTTTATGTCTGACAATGCCAAGAAAAAAATTGGGGGCTGTCATCAGCACTTTGGATTCCAGGGAGTAGCTTGATAAGGTGAGCCTGTGTAATGCTAGATAGAATTATAATAATTTTCAGCGACCTATTAGTATCAGTTATAGCATAATAGATTTGCCATAAAAGCAATACTTCTAGTATTAATTAAAGATGAAGAAACATCCCACTACCTTCAGGCACCAAGTTTATGAAGCTGGGACAAATACAAATGATTACTTTTATTCCCACCCCTAATCACCATATTTTATTTCAGAATTCTGTTTCAATTTTAGCCTGAAGAAAAAAAAATGCTATCATATAATTTTCAGATTCTGTATGATTAACTTGATAAAACTTTGACTTATTTGATGTCTTTCGTTCTTGTATCCATCAACTCCTTCTTGTATTTAAGTCCTAATCCCAGTGTTTACCACTTTAATGCACTTTTGCTGATATCTTACATTTTTTCTGCCTCCCCGCCTTTTCCCCTTTTCCTTTGTTTTCTTTTTGTGGCGAAAATGCTAACACAACAATCGATTGTTTTCTCTGCTCCTACACCTGGGTGTTGTGCTGAAATAATTCACGTATTCTCTCAGGTTGGTGTCGCTACTTGTCTCTCCCCTCAATTGGGTTATCAGTTTCTGCTATAAAATTATTTAAATTTCTTCAGTAAGTTGTTCCCACCAGCAACTGTTTTAAACCTTTTACCTTCAGCCTGCTAACAATTTATCTTTCTCTTCATACAGTGGCTTACACTTACTTAGTGAAATGCCCTCTGTAAACATGTCCTCGAATTACAGCCCATTCATCATTTCTTCCTAACATTTTATAAAAATGAATAGATTTCTTTCGTCAAATCCAAAGTCAACATTCCACCTATGTCCTGAATGGCACCTCCTTTTCCTAATTCTATTAAATTTACACTTACTTTCATCTGTTAGCTACATTTTTTGTCTATTATTTACTTTCAGTCTTTGTTTAAACAGACTTGAGTGTCTTCCATTATAAAATACCCTTTCTACTTGACATCACTTCTTCTCTAAGGCCCTCTATCTCCCTTCCTCTTTACGGTTAAGTAATCTAAATGTGTGTTTTTCCCTATCTTACCTAATATTTACTAAGATATGTTCTGAAATCTGTGTTCTACTTCTATCTACTCCCCATAGCGACCTCTCAACTACTAAAAAGAATGGAAACGGCTCGGCGCGGTGGCTCACGCCTGTAATTCCAGCACTTTGGAAGGCCAAGGCGGGCGGATCACGAGGTCAGGAGATCGAGACCATCCTGGCTAACATGGTGAAACCCCATCTCTACTAAAAATACAAAAAGAAATTAGCCGGGCCTGGTGGTGGGCACAGTGGCGGGGGCCTGTAGTCCCAGCTACTCAGGAGGCTGAGGCAGGAGAATGGCGGAAACCCAGGAGGCGGAGCTTGCAGTGAGTGGAGATCGCGCCACTCACTCCAGCCTGGGCGACAGAGCAATACTCCGTCTCAAAAAAAAAAAAAAAAATGAAAACCTATGTTCCCGTCCTTTTTTCACTTTCTGCCTCTTTTGACTCTATTGACCACTCCTTCTTTCTTAAAATTGTCTCTTTTTAAATTTTCTTTTTCTTAGTGTCTTTTGTGAGCTTCTTGTTCTTTCCCAATTCCTTAGGTGTCTGTGCTTTTTTGAATATTGCCTTTAGATCTCTCTTTTCTCTTTACTTATTCTCTTTGGGATAAGATATCACTTCCAATGGCTTCAGTTACCAGCTCTATGTTCATGATACCCAAATATATATTTCTAGTCTGAGATTTTCCTCCCAAACTCCTGTCTTATTTATCCAACTGTTTGTTGTTATTTCCTGCCTCTCTTGAAATGCGGTATGACCCAAACACTCAAACCTCCCCTAATGAAGTAATGCCTCCTGGTTTTTGGATCTTAGTAAAAGATTCCCACCACCAGTGCAACTACTTAAGCTAAATGCTGAGTATACATTGATGACTTTTTCTAGTTCAGTGTCTACTCTAACTCCAGATCAGTTAATCACAAATTATTTTTAAATGTCTCCAGGATATGACTCCTTTGCCACTGCCATTATCTTTATCTAGGCTCCCTCCTCTCTTGCCTGTATTATTGCCCCAGTCTTTTTACCTAGGCACTCTGGATTAGTCCATTTTCACACTATTGTAAAGAACTTCCCGAGACGGTAATTTATAAAGGAAAAAGGTTTAATTGACTCACAGTTCTGCAGGGCTGGGGAGGCCTTAGGAAACTTACAATCATGGTGGAAGGGGAAGCAGGCAGGTCCTTCCTCACATGGCTGCAGGAAAGAGAAGTGCTGATCAAAGGGGGCAAAGCCCCTTATAAAGCTCACTTACTATCACGAGAACAGCATGGGAGTAACCATCTCCATGATTCAATTACCTCCCACCGAGCCCTCCCACAACACAGGAGGATTATGAAAACTGCAATTCAAGATAAGATTTGGGTGGGGAAACAGCCAAACCATAACATGCCCTGACTGTAATTTTACTCTCTAGCCGTGGTCATCTTTTAGAAATAAAAATCTGATCAAGTCTCATTCCTGCAGAAGATTTTTTTAGTGCACCACTTCCTCAAAAGGTAAACTTCTTGACTCAAAACACAAAATCATTTAATATACGTAACTCTTGCTTATATCTCCACCCTAATTTGTTGATTTCTTCAACAAACGTGTTTATTAATTATTTCAACAAATATGTGCTTGTTTATTCATTAATTCATCAAAGTGGTCTTGACATGCATTATGTTTTAGGCATTGTTATATATACTGAGGATATAGCACTGTAAAAAAATAGACAAAGTTTCTACCCTTATGACAATCATATCAAGGATGGTATATTAGTCCATTCTCTCATTGCTACAAAGAAATACCTGATACTGGGTAATTTATAAAGAAAAGAGGATTAATTGGCTCACAGTTCTGCAGGCTGTATAGGAAGCGTGGCTGGGGAAATCTCAGGAAACTTACAATCATAGTAGAAGGCAAAAGGAAAGCAGACACATCTTATGTGGTTGGAGAAGGATGAATAGATAAAGGGGGAAGGTGCTACACACTTTTAAACAACCAAATCTCATGAGCACCCACTTACTTACTATCATCAGAGCAGGCCTGAGGGGAAATCCACCACTATGATCCAATCACCTCCGACCAGGCCCCATCTCCAACACCAGGGATTACAATTTTGTAATTGTAATTGTTTGTGATTACAATTTTGTAATTGCAAGCCAGGTCTCATTAACAACTGTTTCAGTACTGACTGAGTGGTTAAGTTAAATAGTAGAAGCCCATGCCCTTATACAATGGCTGGGATGTAACAAAAGCCCATCAAGACTTTTGCCTTGGCCTTTCCTGGTCCTTAAAGCATGAAAAAGTACCTAAGGAATTCTTAAGAGGACCCAGTTAGAATTGAACAAGATTCATTGTGGGTCTGAAGACACTTCCCAGGCCTCCACAAACAAGTTTATTGGGGGTCTGAAGGAACTCTACAAACCTCTGTGATTTAGCAGGAGACAAGATAAGAGTAATCACCCCAGCACCTAGACCCATTTACATTAAGTAAATTTACTGAGGCTCTAGAGGAAGGTCTTCAGGACTCAGACCTTAGTTATCATTTAAAAGAAGTTAATCACTTAGGTCTTTAGATGAATGCAAATTTACATGGAGACATATAGCTTAGAAGATATGTAAGCTCTGGAAAACTTTGTAATTTTGAGTTGATCTGGTGATAATCTCCAGGTCTTCTCCCTGTAACTGGGTAGAGAAATAAAAACTCTCTTCCTCCCCAGTTCATCTGCCTCTCATTATTGGGCCATGAGAAATAGCAGCCTGACCCTCTGTTGGGTCTTGGAACAATTTGACATGAGATTTGGGTGAGGATGCAGACCCAAACCATATCATTCTGCCCCTGGGCCCTTCCAAATCTTATGTCCTTCTTGCATTTCAAAATATAATCATGCCTTCCCAATGGTCTCCCAAAGTGTTAAATCATTCCAGCATTAACTCAGAAGTCCAAAGTCTTATCTGAAATGAAACTAGTCCCTTCTGCCTGTTAACCCACAAAATTAAAACAAAACAAAACAAAAACAAACAAAAGTCAGTTACTTCCAAGATACAATGGGGCTACAGGCATTGGGTAAATGCTTTCATTCTAAAAGGGAGAAATTGACCAAAAGAAAGGGGCTATAGGCTCCATGCAAGTCCAAAACCCAGCAGAGCAGTCATTAAATCTTAAAGCTCCAAAATAATCTCCTTTGACTCCATATCTCACATCCAGGCCACACTGACACAAGGGGTGGTCTCTCAAGGCCATGGGAAGGTTCACCCCTGTGCCTCTGCAGGGCTGTTCCCATGGTTGCTCTCAAGGGCTGGCATTGATTGACATCACTTTTCCACGTGCACGGGGCAGGCTGTCAATGAATCTCCCATTCTGGGGTCTGGAAGACAGTGGCTGTCTTCCCACAATTCCACTAGGTAGTGCTCTAGTGGGGACTCTGTATGGGGGCTCCAATCCCACAATTTCCTTCCACATTGCCCTAGTAGTGGTTCTCCATGGGGGCTCTGCCCTTGCCGCAGTCTTTTACCTGTACATCCAGATTTTTCTATACATCTTCTGAAATCTAGTGGAGGCTCCCAAGCTTAAACTTTTATACTCTGTGTACCTGCAAGCTTGATATTAAAGCCACCAAGGCTTATGGCTCACACCCGTTGAAGCAGCAGCCTGATTCTCCGGGCCCCTTTAAGCCTAGGCTGGAGCTGGAGCAGCTGGAATGCAGGAAGCACTGTCCCAAGACTGCGCAGGGCAGCAGGGCCCTGAGCCTGGCCCATGAAACCACTCTGTCCCCCTATGCTTCTGGGAAGAAGCCTGTGATGAGAGTGTCTGTGATGGGAGTGTCTGGCCCAAAAGTCTCTGAAGTGCCTCCAGGGCTTTTTTATCATTGTCTTGACCATTAGTACTTGCCTTTTTTAGTTATGCAAGTTTCTGGAGCCTGCTTCAATTTCTTCTGTGAAAATGGGTCTTTTGTTTCTACCACAGGACCAGTTTGCAAATTTTCCAAACCTTTACCTTCTGCTTCCCTTTGAAATGTAAGTTTCAGTTCCAGATCATTTCTTTGTTCAGGCATATGAGCATAGGCTTTTAGAAGCAGCCTGCCTACTTTTGAAACACTTTGCTGCTTAGAAATTTCTTCGACCAGATACCCTAAATCATTTCTCTCAAGTTCAAAGTTACACATATCCCTAGAGCCAGGGCACAATGCTGCCAGGTTATTTGCTAATGCATAACAAAAGTGACTTTTGCCCCAGTTCCCAATAAGTTCTTCATCTCCATCTGAGACCTCATCAGCCAAGCCATCTCTGTCCATATCACTATCAACATTTTTGTCAAAACCATTCAATGAGTCTCTAGGAAGTTCCAAACTTTCTTCTGAGCCCTCCAAAGTGTGCCAAGCTCTACTGATTACCCAGTTTCAAAACTGCTTCCACATTTTAGGCATCTTTACAGCAATGCCCCACTCCTGGGTACAAATTTTATATATTAGTCCCTTTTTGCATTGCTATAAAGAACTATCTGAGACTGGGTAATTTATAAAGCAAAGAGGTCTAATTGGCCTATGGTTCTGTAGGCTATACAGGAAGCATGGCTGGGGAGGCCTCATGAAACTTACAATTATGACAGAAGATGAAGGGGAAGGAGGCACATCTTACATGGCTGGAGCAGAGGGAAGCAAGGGAGGAGGAAGGTGCTACATGATTTTAAATAACCAAATCTCACGAGAACTCACTCACTATCATGAGAGCAGCACTAAGGAGGAAATCCACCCCCATGAATCAATCATCTCCCACCAGCCCCATCTCCAACATTGGGGATTAGAATTTGACATGAGATTTGGGTGGGGACACAGACCCAAACCATATCAGAATGAATACAGACAGAGACAGCCACAGGTGATGCAGTGATAAGAGGATGGGAGAGGGTGGCCATTTTAGATAGGCTTGTCAGTTGAGGCCACTTTGAGGAGTTACCATTTAAACAGAGAATGAAGTAAAAGAGTAACCCATGGAAAAATTCATGGTAATATTCAGAAGAAAACAACTGGTGCCAAGCCTCTGTGTGATGTATGCTTGATGTGTTCAGGGAAAAGATATGGAGGCCAATGTGGCTGGAGTGTTTACCAGAGTTTTTAATGAAGGTAATGGTATGATATGATCTACTTTTTAGAATAATTACTGTGGTTGCCAAGTGGAACGTAGACATTAGGGGAGAAAAAGTGGAAACAGAGACATAAGTTGTGACATAATAACAGATAATAGTTGATTTTTAATGCCTGTTTTTTCCAGAAATAGTTTCAGGGTGATCTCTACATGTAAATACAGACAAACTTGCCATGTTCCAGCTATTGTGTAGTTTTTGCATGAACCATATTGCCTCCCACCTTTCAATCTTCTTCTATTCTGTCAAATGTTCTTGCATCATTTGCTTATAATATCAACTCATCACTAGGATGCAGCCTAGATGATAGCTTTTCTCACTTTTAAAGCTTGGATAATATGTAATTCCTATATGCTCTCAGTTCATACCCATATTATAGGAATTATATTATAACATGCATCTGGTTACTTATTTACTTTCCAATTTACTCCACTAGATGAAGGATCTTACTGGATGTAGTATTTCCTGTATCTTATCACAGTGGTTAGGTGATACTTGAGTAAGTTTATAAAGAGCCGTTTGTGTAGATAAATTAGGAAATTTAATAAAGCAAGTAGAAATATAGCAGCTGCAAAGACTTTGAGGTCAAGTTGGAGTTTGGTGTCTCTCCAGAGCAACAATAAACTAGTGTGGTTAACAGGAAATGAGGCAGAGAAGAGAAATATGAGGTGAGGTGCTTACTGGCCAAAAAAAAATATATAGTTTTTTAAAAAATGCTTTTATCCCTATGTGTAATTTATTCTATTGCATTTGTATAAGGCATTTTAGATTACAAAATAATTTTTCACACACAATAGTTTTATTTTCTCCTACTTAGTATTCTAAGAACATTCCTAAACATTTTTTGTCTGCCTCTATACTTGAAACCTTCCCAAATCCAGGCCCATTCCCATACACACATACCTTGTTTCTAGTTGTCTTTCCTTTGTGAATAAATACTTTCAAATTCTCTCATTTTTGTCTTTAAAATCATTCTTATTTCTTCATATCACTACTAAAATTTTACTTTCCTCTAAAAATTCTCTTGAAATAAGTAAGATATAGCATTCCAACCTTTATTTCAAAAGAAGATCAGAATTTACGTTATTTCTCACTGCCATTTGTCTAGTTTTGTTCTGTTACCATAATTCTCAATTATTGCCTCTCAAATATTCACCCAAAGTGCCAATCCCCTTTTTTATCCATTCTCAATACCATTATTGTGATGCTATGGGAATATTTATCTAGGCTTCAATGAAATGAATAATAATGGCACTAGGTTTCTGAGTTCCTTTACTACATATACTTGAATTACCTTCTTTTACATTCTACATATTCATACATGTTGCCACTTTATATAATATTTTATTACAAAAATCTTATCCACTATCAAGAACTGGGTCATAACTCTGATTATATTTTCCTTAATCATAGCTAATCTTAAATTTACTTTTTGTTTCTTTCTTCATCTGTTTTCTGACATATAGTTCCCCAAATCAGCTCTAATTTCCCAATCCATCATGCTTTATCTGTCTCTTTAGCCAGATCAAAATGCAATGATTCATCATACAAAATATGTTCCCTGAAGTTTTTTCTAGAATTGATTTTATTTCCAGCTTGAGAGGAACTGTGTCCATTCATTTCAACAGACATATAATGAGCATTCACTATTTCTTAGGTACTATTCTAGGTACATATGACAGAGCAATGAATCAGACAGTGATTCTGCTCTTTGATTCTAGTTGGGGAAGATAGACAATAAGAAAATAAGTGAGTATGCATGTGAAGTAAATAGATATATGGTGGTAAAATGTGCTGCAAAGAGAAGCAAAGAACGATAAAATGATGGAGAGAAAATATGCCCATATTTAAAATCACAGGTTGGCTCTATGAGACTTTCTGGTAAGGGGACATTTGAACAGAGAACTTGAGAATACTATTCAGATCTTTGAGGGAAATACTCTTTTGGACACAGGAACAACAAATACAAAGAAAAAGAATTATATTCAGCTTTCATGAAGATGAGCAAAGGTGTAAATGTGATTGGAACAGAGTGGGCAAAGAGGAGTGTAGTATAATAGACAATAAGTTCTGAGAGATAACATGTTTTATTTGTTTATTGTTTTTGAGACTGAGTCTCATTCTGTCACCAAGGCTGAAGCTCAGTGGAGCAATCTCAGCTCACTGCAACCTCCGCCTCCCATGTTCAAGCAATTCTCGTGCCTCAGCCTCCTGAGTAGCTGGGATTACAGGCATGTAGCCCCATGCCCAGCTAATTTTTGTATTTTTAGTAGAGACAGGGTTTCACCATGTTGGCGAGGCTGGTCTCAAACTCCTGACCTCAAGTGATCCACCCGCCTCAGCCTCCCAAAGTCCTGGGATTACAGGAATGAGCCATCGCACCTGGCGCATGTTTTCTTTTATGCTATGTGTTTCTTCTTTGCCATAGCCAACGTGACACTATTCCATAATTCAATTTTCCCCTTATTTTTAGTTTGTTATCATTGATTTTTCATTAAATTCACTGGAAAGTTATGTCTTTCCTCCAAGCATATATGTAGCCAAATATTTTACAGTGAAAAATGTAAAAGAGCCACAGAGAGTTCCATTTAAAATTTGTATCTATGTGCTCCTACTTCGTTTCTACCTCTGTTCTAAATGAAGTATTAAAAGTGTTCAAAAAGGAAAGAAGGAAAGAAGGAGAAAAACTAACATTCCAATTTGGCTTATTCCTACTTTGGGTTCTAGTAACAACCTGTGCATTTTGTGTAACTGAACCTATACCATTCATTACAATATTTTATTTATATCTTATTTATATTGTCTACTTTTTCAGAAAATATGCACATTGTTGGTCAGTACTCAATGTTTTTCTTTTCTATATTCTGATCTCAGAGCATGATGTTTAACAAATGTTCATTATATTTTCCTTAATCATAGCTATTCTTAAACTTACTTTTTGTTTCTTTCTTCATCTGTTTTGTGACATATAGTTCCCCAAATCAGCTCATATGTGGTTATAAATTGTTTGTTTGATGAACTCATCCAGTGATGGAGTAATTGTTTCCAAAGACAATCCATTGTGTTTTTAATCTTTGTATCAGAAAATGTTTCTCATATTAAGAAACTAACTCCATTTTTGCATATGGAGAAGCAATTATTTTTTAATACAAAGATAACATTTAGAATCATTGATTAAAGAACAAAAAGTCACATGCCATATGACATACATGTTTACGCCATTTCTTTGACACATGTAAGGCCTCAAATATTTTCAAGATAAAACCTAGGACTCAAAGACGTGAAAGCAGACATAGTGGCTTATGCAGAAATATATTGGTGTTGTGGAAGAGGCTTTATATGAGTGACAACAGTTTTAAAAGAAGATAGTTTTTTTGTTTGTATGTCAAACCTGACATTCTAAGAATTATGAATTCTTGAATCCTGGGTTATAGAACTAATCAGGTTTATTTAATAGTATGTTGAAATTTAGAGATATCATTTTAATTGGTTTCTCTCCAAACTATTTTACAATTCCATCATTTCATTACTTACTACATAGATCCAATAAAATAAGTGTTCTTTGCTTCTTCAGTTGCTTGCAAAGCATATTGCTATTCACAGTTCTCATGAACTCATGGTCAAAAGAAAGACTTACTCAAAAGTAATAAAAGTATTGTTCAAACAAAAATTGTATTCAAATATCTTCAAGCTATAAACTGATTGCACAGTCATTTAAAATGATATGGTTCCAGGACAACAAAATATATACAAACTGTTCCTTGAAGTTGTAATGAATTTGACTTGTAATACAACACTTCATTGGAGCACTCAAAATTAGTAAGTTTTCTGATATCGTTGACTAAAAGTTCATGGCAAGGGCCCAGACTTTTAATTAGCCCCTATGTAGAATTTGGCTTAATAATTATAACAATTTTGATAATAATATCAATAGTAATAAGTGTAGCATTGTTTCCAATCACTATTACTTAATAAATAATACAAAATTCACTTTGAAGATTATACTTTTCAAGGGTCCTGGTAAATATCAAGAATTTTTTTTTCTAATATGACTATTACCACTTATTAAAAATAACATGGTAGGCCAGGCGCAATGGCTCATGCCTGTAATCCCAGCACTTTGGGAGGCCGAGGTGGGCAGATCACAAGGTCAGAAGATGGAGACCATCCTGATCAACATGGTGAAACCCTGTCTCTACTGAAAATACAAAAATTAGCTGGGCATAGTGGCACGCACCTGTAGTCCCAGCTACTCGGGAGGCTAAGGCAGGAGAATCGCTTGAACCTGGGATGTGGAGGTTGCAGTGAGCCGAGATTGTGCCACTGCACTCCAGTCTGGTGACAGAGCAAGACCCCATCTCCAATAATAATAATAATAATAAGATAACATGGTAATAAAAGTATTCTGTATGATACTGTAATGGTGGATGCATGATGTTATGTATTTGTTCAAACTGGTAGAACTTTACAACACAAAGAGTGAGCCTTAATATATGTAAATTTAAAAAAATCCTTAGGAGGTTGGGGAACCCCAGAAAAGAATGCAGACTGTGATGATGTAATCTAACTGTATTACAAATGTATGAACCAATCTCACCAAAGTGGGAAGATAAAAAGGTGCCAATCTAACTAACTTTGGAAATGATTAAAGACAAAATAAACTGTGCATAAGCATTGTATTCTAGTTGGTAAAGTTGTTTTTGATGAGTGTATGGGTTAAAAACTCTTATGCTGCTATCCATGTATATTTAAATTGAAAAATTATGTAAATGGATAGTGGGAATCAGGTTTCTTATTTTTAGTGTGGAAATTTACAGATAGTAAAGGGGAGAAGGCTAGAGTGATCAATGTGGGTGTGTATTAGAGTTGGAGACAACAATATAAACATATCTTACTTAATATAAATATAAATAGTTACATATAAAAATGCCTACAAATATTTGTATATACACCAGTTAATGACACATGCATGTTTCTTTTCTTTCAACTGAGACGGCCTAACAAAAATGACCCAGCAGTATCCATGAGCACACCTAGCAACCAGATATTGCTTTCTAATACCATTCTCCACAAAAGAAATCAGGACTTACTGGAGAAATGCCTAAGTCTAGGACTGGGGCAGGAAATACACCATATGAACATAAAGACTCTTGCTTGTGATGCCAGAAAGTGCTGAAAACAAACAAAATATCCATTTATAGAAATACATTAAAGGAGCACTGGAACTAATTGAAAGAGCTCCCCAAAACCAAACATAGACCAATTTAAGCAACAAAATAAAATACTGGATTATAGCCCAAAGTATAAATATTTCTATATTTATATAGCCCATATATATAAATATAGCTTATTTCTATACATATTCATGAGTCCATATTGATAAATGATAAAAATAACTAAATAAATATAAAGAGACAACTCTCCTTTGCAAAAGAATTCCAAATAAATTTTGTAGATACCTCACTCTGAAAGAGAGGGAACTTAACTCCCCAGTCCTATGTGTGGACTTTGTGTAGTAACTTCCTTCCAATAAGCTGACTGTGGAAAGGAATAGGAGGGAAGAGTAACTTTACAGTAGAGAAACATTACAAACTCCACTTAGCCAAGTGATCAAGGTCAACATCAAAAGTCATAAATCATGTTGATAGATGTACCCTTGATATGATGTGATGAAAATGCCACTTTGCCTCAGTGATCGTCTCCCCTCAAATCTATAATCCCACTCTGATCATAAAAGCAGCACATCAAAAATTCTATCAAAGAGACATCTTAAGCAATATACTTAACCAGATCTCTTAAAAATCATCAAGATCATAAAAAACAAGGAGAGTTTGAAAAAATGCAACAGCCAATATTAGTCTAAGGAGACATATGGCCAAATGTATCATCATAGTTTGGGTGGGATACTGAAACAGAAAAAAAAATAAGTAGAAAAGAAGGAAATCTTAATTAACTATGTACTCTAGTAAAAAGCATGGTATAAATATTGGTTCTTAATTGTAACAAATCTATTATAGTAACATAAGATGCTAATAATAGGGAAAACTGTGTGCGGGTGTGTGAATAACATGAGGATTCTGTATTGTCTGCCCAGTTTTTCTGTAAATCTTAAACTGCTCTAAACGATAAAGTCTATGAATAAAAAATATATTGAATAGTATTTATAACATTCATTTTAATATTTCTAATTCCTTTTTCTTTGTCCTGAGAGAGTTTACACAGATATTTAAAGTTTATAACTTACTTTTGAAAGTTTTCCCATGGTGGATAATATCTGGCTTCATATTTATAAAAGACATAAGCAGCATTACTGTGTTTAATACCTAAGCAGGCACAGCTACACAAATTTGGAAACTTTGTTATTGGAGATGACAATGAGAAGACACATAATATTTTTATTGTTACTGAAATACTTTAATTGGAGTTATTTTATAAAAGAATAAGTTCTGAAAAATTTGTGAAGAAATAATAAAAAACCCATTTCTATCACAAATATGAATTGCATGTGGTACACAATGATGCTTTTACTATTATACCAAATGATAAATTTTGGACATTAATATTATTGACATCATTCCAAGCACCAGTAATGTTGTAAGTGGATCAAAACGAAATAATGCCAAAGTAACCCAACTTTCATTATAAACACTTTTGTGGGATCAGACGAAGTCTGGTCTCTTTTCAAGCTACATTTCCCTACACTGCTCCACTTCAGCAGCCATACCTGTTATGCTTTAATGTGTCATAATTGCCAAACTCCCTCTCAAAACAAGGCCTTTACACTTACAATCTCCTCTTTCTGGAATGCTAAGTGTGCACATGTTTGTGTGTGAACTTTTGTTTAATGAATTCCTAATTAGTCTGTGTGTAACATACTTAAGAATGATTTTTCTGATATCCATGATTAAGGCAATTTTCTACTATATGCTTTTATAATATTCTATATCTTGCCTTTGTGAATCATTTAACAGTTTTACATTTAAATTACTTTGTGGGATTGATTAATGTTCATCTGTGACACTACTATGAAGACATCTTCAGAGTCAGGCACTCTGTCTTGTTTGATGTACCACATACTCCCTAGTGTCTCAACACTTTCTGGCACATTAAAAAAACTCAATGTAAATAATTATGGAAGAAATAACAAGACAACTTGCCTCATTAAGCTAATACAACCATGAAGCAAGGTGGAAGAAAGGTCGTCTTTGTTGTTTGGTCTTTGTTATCCATATTCTTCCAGAACAGACTGACATTAAATGCTTCCTGAGGAAGAAAAATAAGATGTCACTCCCCACCAAATACACATAGACTTAATATTATCAATTCCTATAACAAGTATTGAAAGATCAACTTTTCCATTGACTTTTATAGTCAATACTTAGATAAATGAGATGATTTGTTTCAAGAGTAAAATGATGCAGGAAGTTATTTCAAGGCAGCTGCTCTACTACATATTTCTGGATACTTCAAATTTTAAATAGAACCCATTTAAACCCATTCCTCATGGATTGTATGTAAAAGATATTCCAAACATAAAGTAAGAATTTTAGCACATAAAAAGTAAGAATAAATTGAATGCCTTCTAACAATTTGTATTATGTTACATTGTTTGCATTTGCTTTTTAATATAATAGCTTTTTTTAATATATAAATTTTTATTATACTTTAAGTTCTAGGGTACATGTGCACAAAGTGCAGGTTTGTTATATATGTATACATGTGCCATGTTTGTGTGCTGCACCCATTAACTCGTCATTTACATTAGGTATATCTCCTAATGCTATCCCTTCCCCCTCCCCCACCCCACAACAGGCCCCGCTGTGTGATGTTTCCCTTCCTGTGTCCAAGTGTTCTCATTGTTCAGTTCCCACCTATGAGTGAGAACATGCGGTGTTTGGTTTTTCGTCCTTGCGATAGTTTGCTGAGAATCATGGTTTCCAGCTTCATCCATGTCCCTACAGAGGACAGTAACTCATCATTTTTTATGGCTGCATAGTATTCCATGGCGTATATCCCACATTTTCTTAATCCAGTCTATCATTGTTGGACATTTGGGCTGGTTCCAAGTCTTTGCTATTGTGAATAGTGCCGCAATAAACATACATGTGCATGTGTCTTTATAGCAGCATGATTTATATTCCATGGGTATATACCCAGTAATGGGATGGCTGGGTCACATGTTATTTCTCGTTCGAGATCCCTGAGGAATCGCCACAACAACTTCCACAATGGTTGAACTACTTTACAGTCCCACCAACAGTGTAAAAGTGTTCCTATTTCTCCACATCCTCTCCAGCACCTGTTGTTTCCTGACTTTTTAATGATTGCCATTCTAACTGGTGTGAGATGATATCTCATTGTGGTTATGATTTGCATTTCTCTGATGGCCAGTGATGAGCATTTCTCAAGTGTCTGTTGGCTGCATAAATGTCTTCTTTTGAGAAGTGTCTGTTCATATCCTTTTCCTACTTTTTGATGGGGTTGTTTGTTTTATTCTTGTAAATTTGTTTGAGTTCTTTGTAGATTCTGGATATTAGCCCTTTGTCAGATGAGTAGATTGCAAAAATTTTCTCCCATTCTGTAGGTTGCATGTTCACTCTGATGGTATTTTCTTTTGCTGTGCAGAAACTCTTTAGTTTAATTAGATCCCATTTGTCAATTTTGGCTTTTGTTGCCATTGCTTTTGGTGTTTTAGACATGAAGTCCTTGCCCATGCCTATGTCCTCAATGGTAATGCCTAGGTTTTCTTCTAGGGTTTTTATGGTTTTAGGTCTAATGTTTATGTCTTTAATCCATCTTGAATTAATTTTTGTATAAGGTATAAGGAAGGGATCCAGTTTCAGCTTTCTACATATGGCTGGCCAGTTTTCCCAGCACCATTTGTTAAATACGGAATCCTTTCCCCATTGCTTGTTTTTCTCAGGTTTGTCAAAGATCAGATAGTTGTAGGTGTGTGGTATTATTTCTGAGGGCTCTGTTCTGCTCCATTGGTCTATATCTCTGTTTCAGTACCAGTACCATGCTGTTTTGGTTACTGTAACCTTGTAGTATAGTTTGAAGTCAGGTAGCATGATGTCTCCAGCTTTGTTCTTTTGGCTTAGGATTGACTTGGCAATACATGCTCTTTTTTGGTTCCATATGAACTTTAAAGTAGTTTTTTCCAATTCTGTGAAGAAAGTCATTGGTAGCTTGATGGGGATGGCATTGAATCTATAAATTACCTTGGGCAGTATGGCCATTTTCACGATATTGATTCTTCCGATCCATGAGCATTGAATGTTCTTCCATTTGTTTGTGTCCTCTTTTATTTTGTTGAGCAGTGGTTTGTAGTTCTCCTTGAAGAGGTCCTTCACATACCCTGCAAGTTGGATTCCGAGGTATTTTATTCTCTTTGAAGCAATTGTGAATGGGAGTTCACTCATGATTTGGCTCTCTGTTTGTCTGTTATTGGTGTATAAGAATGCTTGTGATTTTTGCACATTGATTTTGTATCCTGAGACTTTGCTGAAGTTGCTTATCAGCTTAAGGAGATTTTGGGCTGAGACGATGGGGTTTTCTAGATATACAAGCATGTCATCTGCAAACAGGGACAATTTGACTTCCTCTTTTCCTAATCAAATACCCTTTATTTCTTTCTCCTGCCTAATTGCCCTGGCCAGAACTTCCAACACTATGTTGAATAGGAGTGGTGAGAGAGGGCATACCTGTCTTCTGCCAGTTTTCAAAGGAAATGCTTCCAGTTTTTGCCTATTCAGTATGATATTGGCTGTGGGTTTGTCATAAATAGCTCTTATTATTTTTAGATACATCCCATCAATACCTAATTTATTGAGAGTTTTTAGCATGAAGAGCTGTTGAATTTTGTCAAAGGCCTTTTCTGCATCTACTGAGATAATCATGTGTTCTTTGTCTTTGGTTCTGTTTATATGCTGGAATACGCTTATTGATTTGCATATGTTGAACCAGCCTTGCATCCCAGGGATGAAGCCCACTTGATCATGGTGGATAAGCTTTTTGATGTGCTGCTGGATTCGGTTTGCCAGTATTTTATTGAGGATTTTTGCATCAATGTTCATCAGGGATATTGGTCTAAAATTCTCTTTTTTTGTTGTGTGTCTGCCAGACTTTGGTATCAGGATGATGCTGGCCTCATAAAATGAGTTAAGAAGGATTCCTTATTTTTCTATGGATTGGAATAGTTTCAGAAGGAATGGTACCAGCTCCTCCTTGTACCTCTGGTAGAATTCGGCTATGATTCTGTCTGGTCCTGGACTTTTTTTGGTTGGTAAGCTATTAATTATTGCCTCAATTTCAGAGCCTGTTATTGGTCTATTCAGAGATTCAACTTCTTCCTGGTTTAGTCTTCGGAGGGTGCATGTGTTGAGGAATTTATCCATTTCTTCTAGATATTCTAGTTTATTTGCATAGAGGTGTTTATAGTATTCTCTGACGGTAGTTTGTATTTCTGTGGGATTGGTGGTGATACCCCCTTTATCATTTTTTATTGCATCTATTTGATTCTTCTCTCTTTTCTTCTTTATTAATCTTGCTAGCGGTCTATCAATTTTGTTGATCTTTTCAAAAAACCATCTCCTGGATTCATTGATTTTTTGAAGGGTTTTTGTGTCTCTATCTCCTTCAGTTCTGCTCTGATCTTAGTTATTTCTTACCTTCTGCTAGCTTTTGAATGTGTTTGCTCTTGCTTCTCTAGTTCTTTTAATTGTGATGTTAGGGTGTCAATTTTAGATATTTACTGCTTTCTGTTGTGGGCATTTAGTGCTATAAATTTCCCTCTACACACTGCTTTGAATGTGTCCCAGAGATTCTGGTATGTTGTGTCTTTGTTCTCATTGGTTTCAAAGAACATCTTTATTGCTGCCTTCATTTCGTTATGTATCCAGTAGTCCTTCAGGAGCAGGTTGTTCAGTTTCCATGTAGTTGAGCAGTTTTGAGTGAGTTTCTTAATCCTGAGTTCTAGTTTGATTGCACTGTGGTCTGAGAGATAGTTTGTTATAATTTCTGTTCTTTTACATTTGCTGAGGAGTGCTTTACTTCCAACTACGTGGTCAATTTTGGAATATGTGCAGTGTGGTGCTTGGAAGAATGTATATTCAGTTGATTTGGGGTGGAGAGTTCTGTGGATGTCTATTAGGTCCGCTTGGTGCAGAGCTGAGTTCAATTCCTGGATACCCTTGCTAACTTTCTGTCTCGTTGATCTGTCTAATGTTGACAGTGGGTTGTTAAAGTCTCCCATTATTATTGTTTGGGAGTCGAAGTCTCTTTGTAGGTCACTCAGGACTTGCTTTATGAATCTGGTTGCTCCTATATTGGGTGCAAATATATTTAGGATAGTTAGCTCTTATTGATGAATTGATCTCTTTACCATTATGTAATGGCCTTCTTTGTCTCTTTTGATCTTTGTTGATTTAAAGTCTGTTTTATCAGAGACTAGGATTGCAACCCCTGCCTTTTTTTGTTTTCCATTTGCTTGGTAGATCTTCCTCCATCCCTTTATTTTGAGCCTATGTGTGTCTCTGCATGTGAGATGGGTTTCCTGAAAACAGCACCCAGATGGGTCTTGACTCTTCATCCAATTTGCCAGTCTGTGTCTTTTATTTGGAGCGTTTAGCCCATTTACATTTAAGGTTAATATTGTTTTGTGTGAATTTGATCCTGTCATTATGATGTTAGCTGGTTCGTTTGCTTGTTAGTTGATGCAGTTTCTTCCTAGCCTCGATGGTCTTTACAATTTGGCATGTTTTTGCAGTGGCTAGTACCGGTTTTTCCTTTCCATGTTTAGTGCTTCCTTTAGGAGCTCTTTTAGAGCAGGCCTGGTAGTGACAAAAATCTCTCAGCATTTGCTTGTCAGTAAAGGATTTTTTTTCCTCCTTCATTTATGAAGTTTAGTTTGGCTGGATGTGAAATTCTGGGTTGAAAATTCTTTTCTTTAAAAACGTTGAATATTGGCCCCCACTCTCTTCTGGCTTGTAGGGTTTCTGCCAAGAGATCAGCTGTTAGTCTGATGGGCTTCCCTTTGTGGGTAACCCGACCTTTCTCTCTGGCTGCCCTTAACATTTTTTCCTTTATTTCAACTTTGGTGAATCTGACAATTATGTGTCTTGGAGTTGCTCACCTCAAGGAGTATCTTTGTGGCGTTCTCTATATTTCCTGAATCTGAATGTTGGCCTGCCTTGCTAGATTGGGGAAGTTCTCCTGGATAATATCCTGCAGAGTGTTTTCCAACTTGGTTCCATTCTCCCCGTCACTTTAGGGTACACCAATCAGACATAGATTAGTTCTTTTCACATAGTCCCATATTTCTTGGAGGCTTTGTTCATTTCTTTTTATTCTTTTTTCTCTAAAATTCTCACTTCATTTCATTCATTTGATCTTCAATCACTGATACCCTTTCTTCCAGCTGATCGAATCAGCTACTGAAGCTTATGCATTCATCATGTAGTTCTCATGTCATGGTTTTCAGCTCCATCAGGTCATTTAAGGCCTTCTCTACATTGGTTACTCTAGTTAGCCATTTGTCTAATCTTTTTTCAAGGTTTTTAACTTCTTTGCGATGGCTTCAAACTTCCTCCTTTAGTGCAGAAAAGTTTGATCTCTGAAGCCTTCTTCTCTCAACTCATCAAAGTCATTCTCCGTCCAGCTTTGTTCTGTTGCTGGTGAGGAGCTGCGTTCCTTTGGAGGAGGCAAGGCACTCTGATTTTTAGAATTTTCAGTTTTTCTTCTCTGTTTTTTCCCCTTCTTTGTGGTTTTATCTACCTTTGGTCTTTGATGATGGTAACATACAGATGGGGTTTTGGTGTGGATGTCCTTTCTGTTTGTTAGTTTTTCTCCTAACAGTCAGGATCCTCAGCTGCAGGTCTGTCCACTCCAGACCCTGTTTGCCTGTGTATCAGCAGCAAAGGCTACAGAACAGTGAATATTGCTGAACAGCAAATGTTGCTGTCTGATCGTTCCTCTGGAGGTTTCGTCTCAGAGGGGTACCCAGCCATGTGAAGTGTCAGTCTGCCCCTACTGGGGATGCCTCCCAGTCAGGCTACTTGGGGGTCAGGGACCCACTTGAGGAGGCAGTCTGTCCATTCTCAGATCTCAAACTCCATGCTGGGAGAACCGCTACTCTCTTCAAAGCTCTCAGACAGGGACATTTAAGTCTGCAGAGGTTGCTGCTTCCTTTTGCTCAGCTATGCCCTGCCCCCAGAGGTGGAGTCTACAGAGGTAGGCAGGCCTCCTTGAGCTGAGGTGGGCTCCACCCAGTTTGAGCTTCCTGGCCGCTTTGTTTACCTACTCAAGCCTCAGCAATTGTGGGCCCCCCTCCCCCAGCCTCACTGCTGCCTTGCAGTTCAATCTCAAACTGCTGTGCTAGCAATGAGTGAGGCTCCATGGGCGTGGGAACCTCCGAGCCAGGCACAGGATATAATCTCCTGGTGTGCCATTTGCTAAGACCACTGGAAAAGCGCAGTATTAGGGTGGGAGTGACCCAATTTTCCAGGTGCCATCTGTCACTGCTTTGCTTGGCTAGGAAAGGGAATTCCCTGACCCCTTGCACTTCCCGGGTGAGGCGATGCCTTGCCCTGCTTCGCCTCACCCTCGGTGTGCTGCACCCACTGTCCTGTGCCCACTGTCCGACAAGCCCCAGTGAGATGAACCCAGTACCTCAGTTGGAAATGCAGAAATCACCCATCTTCTGCATCGCTCATGCTGGGAGCTGTAGACTGGAGCTGTTCCTATTCGGCCATCTTGGAATCACCACAATATAATAGCTTTTTAAAACATAATACTGGCGGGGTGTGGTGGCTCATCCCTGTAATCCCAGCCCTTTGGGAGGATGTGATGGGTGGATCACGAGGTCTGGAGTTCAAGACCAGCCTGGCCAACATAGTGAAACCCCATCTCTACTAAAAATACAAAAAAAAAAAAAAAAAAAAAGCCAGGCATGGTGGCAGGCACCTGTAGTCCCAGCTACTTGAGAGGCTGAGGCAGGAGAATCGTTTGAACTTGGGAGGTGGAGGTTGCAGTGAGCCAAGATCACGCCACTGCACTCCAGCCTGGGTGACACAATAAGACTCTGTCTGAAAAAAAAAAAAATCGTACACATATCCATAAAATCTTTGAAATCTTTTAATAACCAACTCTGTCCTGAATAGCATTATAAGGTTTAGTCTTGGGAAACACTATTGTAATTAAGGTTGTTTTGAGTCAAAGAGTTCAGAGGAGATAAATTTTAAGCTTTGAAAACCCCATGACACCTAGTATAGTGGTATGCATCCTAAAGCTAATCTAATTACTTGATGATTCCAGCACTGAAGATTATTTCACTTAATTGTTTTTACTTCTTTGGAGACTACTCTCTGAAATAAAGCCAGAATTTTTTTATTTCCTAGGTGTAACTGGATCTAGTCTTCAAAGTGAATTAGCTGACCAATTGTGTCTGCTTTAGTGAAATTAATTGGAAGAATATTTTCAGTGAATTGAGGTGGGGTGTGTGTGTGTTGTTTTATTTTAATAAAATTCACTTACTAAACATAATATAAACATATCCTATATCATTCGGCATACTGATACAGTTTATGTTATAGTGACAAAAAATGAGACAAAAAATTTAAAATAAATCTTACAGGTTCAGTTCTTCTTTGATGCTCAGTGTGAGCCTCAGCATTTCTCCAGAAGAGTGGCTATTTATGTGATGGCTTATTGTGTACATCCACATGTAGATATGATCTTGTGATCATGGAATCAGAGAAGAGATACTTAGAAAGACGAGCAAAACCAATTAAATGACTCCACACAGAAATGCCAAACATCAATTCTGCTCATATTTAAGTGCTCAGAGCAAGTCATATATCCTTGCCTTACTTCATATGTGGGAAGGGACAATTCTCCTATTTGTCTGGACATAGAAAGGAAAGGGATATCAATGAATTTTGTCAATATATACCACATAGGCTCAGCAATAAAAAAATAAAATTTAATTCCTTCTTCTTCCTTTTTTTTCAGTTTAGGCAGACTCCATGCAATGACTGTTGTAGTTATTTTCTTGATATTTTTTCCAGTCCTAAGGTTGATAAAAGCATGTGGAAATAAGCATCTTCTTTATGAGCATCACATTTAGGAACTGGGCAATTCGTGATTACATCTTGTATATTAATTTCTCATTTTTGGCCAGCGGTTCTCTTCATGTCCATTAGAATTCTCTTGGAAAATAACCCAGGTAATTCTTAATGTGGAGATCTAGGTTTGAAGATTTATATTTTAAATCACCCTTACAGAGGCTAATAAAAATTTCCCATAAGTGAAACTTTTGAGGAACACTGACCGAGTGGCATGAAGTTCTCATGTGCTTACCCAGTTGAAAACTAAATTCAGCTGTACTATTTTTAATCCCACATTACAGTTTAGGGTTTTAGTTAGAAATAGGAATAGAGGCACCCATAACTGTGTCAGCTGTTTTTCCTCTAAGAGACTGCAAAACAGAAGTAAAAAGGGCCGAGAATTTAGAGAATGAAAGATCTAGACTTGAATCATAATTATCTTACTAATTAGACATTTGACTTTGAGAAATACCTTCACCTCTGTAATTCATGGTATCTCCCATGTTTAAGTCGAGATTACAATACCTACCACAAAGACTTATGGAGAAAATCTAATGAATGATTATTATAAAGCAATTAACACAAGTTATTAGTCATCCCATTCAACATTTATCACGTGCTACCAAAGTAAATAGATGAGAAATAGAATTAAAGAATTTTAAGCCCAAGGAAAGATAAATAAAGGTACATCAAAAAGTAGTTAGGAGTTAAATTATTAGATTATTATGTATTATGTAGGTAAAGTAATTTAGGAGGCCACAGAGCTAAGAAGTGTATATGAGCATGGATTTGAGTGAGTCCTAGCAGTTTAACTCCCCCCTGCTAAACAGAGAAAACAGGGTGCATATATATGCTAAGGTTTTTTTTTTTTTTCTTTGAAGACTATAGTGAACCCCTGAAAGAATTTTTTTTTTTTTTTTTTTTTTTTTGAGTTGGAGACTTGTTCTGTTGCCCAGGCTGGAGTGCAGTGGAACAATCTCGACTCACTGCAACCTCCGCCTCCTAGGTTCCAACAATTCTCCTGCCTCAGCCTCCCGAGTAGCTGGGATTATAGACGCATGTCAACATGCCTGGCTAATTTTTGTCTTCTTAGTAGAGATAGGGTTTCACCATGTTGGCCGCTGGTCTTGAACTCCTGACCTCGTGATCCACCTGCCTTGGCCTCCCAAAGTGCTGGGATTACAGGCGTGAGCCATGCACCTGGCCAAACCCCTGAAAGAATCTAAGCAGAGGCATATTATTATTAGATTTCTATTATATAAAAAAGCATTCTGAAAGCAGTAAAGATGAATTTTGCTTTGTTTTGAGAGAAGAAATTCTGGAGTCAACTTTTGAAAGGCTACTGCAGTAATCCACAGAAGAAAAAAGAAGGATTATGCTAAGGTAGGGATAATTAGGAGAAGAAACATTTTAAAAGTTATGTGAAATATTGATGTATAGAATTAAATAAGTAATTAGATATAGGTATTTTAGGAGAATAAATATTCGAACTTCTGAATATTTTTCCTTGGCAGGTGCATCATTGGTTTTCACAATCACCAAGGTTGGAAAAATCATGAAGAGCGTGATAATGTGAAGGGAATATGGTGATACATTCATATTTGACTATTTTAAGGCTGAAATTTGGTGTGATATCCATACCATACTAGTCCTATAGAATGTGTGATACATGTGCTGGAGCTCAAAGAGGGCAATTCAGACTAAAGATGGAGAAGGAATTCATTAGCATTTGATGATGAAGTTATACACTTGCATGAGGCTGGCCATGGATATTGAGTAAAGATAGAAAGGCAAATAGTTAATAGTAATTTAACATATAAGTTTTATATTAAAATAGTAGAGATGATAAAACATGGTAAAGGCTAACAATAATACCAGGTAAAATATATTGTGTGTTTAAAGTGTTTCAGGCACTGTGCTAATCTCCCTATAGTAAATACCTCTTTAATATTTATTACAGACATATAAGTTAGTACTATTTTACAATCATTTATTAGAAAGGAATTGAGTCTTAATGATATTAAGGGTGTTCCTAAATGTCACATATCTAATGTGAAAATTGTTAGTATCAAAGTGGAATCACTTATGTCAAACAAACAAACAAAACCAAAACCATGACAAATAGAGCTCAGGAAGGCTCTGAAGACAGGTTTTTCATGCATAAATACCTGATAACAAAAATTATTACATTAGACTCTGGAAAAAACACAACTTGCACAAAGGCCATTGCAACCTTACACAAACAAACAATACTTCTGCAAAGATATCTGCCCAGCAACTGCCTGTCCAACCTCGAACTGGTGCCATCCTTGTGATACGTTCTTGTGTCCAATTATAATTATCTCAAAAAATTAAGTAATCATTCTCATTTTTTTTCTTTAAAAACATTTTTCAAACCCCAGCACCTTAAAGCATCTATTAGAGACAAATGTAAAGCTTTCTGAACAGTAAACCCAGGTACAAGTGTATGCTGACAATTCTGAAGACACTTCTATTTTTATTTTACCAATAATTTAAAAACCAGCTTATTTAAAAAAATATTTAACATAAGTCACATGAACTAAAAGTCATTTGGATTATTGTATATTTTACACAAACATTCATTCATCTAATTCAATCTGAGTAGAATTCCTTAAGGGATTTCTGGTTGACTATACAAAATCTTTACCACGTAGGCACAACTGTAATATAATACATGTACATATGCATAAACACACGTAAACACATACACACACATATAGATACAAATCTCATGGCTTTTATTTTAAAATTTTAAACATGAGATAGTAATACAAACTCAACAACTTATAAAAGACCGTTGGATTCAAGTTATATTTCTGACAAAATAGGACCTGTTCACATGGCTAAACTTCATTTTCAGCTGACACAGTTATGTTAACTAAATAAAAAATAAGGAGAGGCTCTCCAAAAGCAGCAAAGCAGAAGTAAAAAGATAAGAGAATTTGAAGACTAATAGAAATGATAATCTAATGAGGGCCGTGTACCAAAATTTTGGGTAAAGCAGTTTGGTTTCAAGAAATATATTTTATCCTTATTCTCCCCTATTTTTAGTTTCAGTTGACTTTAGGGTTAAATTTTCAGTTTCAGCAATGATGAGTTGAATTGCACCAGAAAAATAAAATCTTTAAGTGGTATGAAATTTTTAGTAACAAATCTTATCTTTTCTTTGCCAGTCTGGATTGCTTGATTAGTCAATGCAAGAGAGAAAGCATTTTAGCACTTTTATTTTATTTCCTTTAGCACTTTTTCTGGTCCCTGAGCGGCAGAAAAAGCCATGCGTTCCCCAGAAATATGGCAAACAATATTTATTTTATTTCTGTTCAGTATTGATAAGTCATATTTTTCTAGAACTATTTCTGTTTCATCCAAATGACAATTAGATTGTCAAATTTATTAGCCAAAAGTTGGTAGACAAAGCAATTTTTATACTTGACAGAGATACTTTATATTTTTTCACTGAGCTTAAGATTTTAAACTGTATGGTCTGAGATCCTTTTATAAACATTTATCTACTTCTTTTCTTTTAGACCATCAATTTATCATTAACTGTTCTATCATTCTCAGCAATTGTTAGTCAGGCAAACTTAAATTTACATTTCCAAAAAGTGTCTAGGTTGTTGATTGCCATTGAACTGTTGTAATTTTTAAAACCATTAATTTGAATGCCTTTTAAAACTTTAAAAAGTCTTTTTTATCTTGGCTAAAATGCCGTAAGAATGAGTTTTCTCACAACACCTGCAGAAGAGTCAGCAGATTCAAAGTAGGCAGAAAAAAAAAAGTAGAAAGAGAACTTAACAGGCTCCACATATTAATTCTGTAGTTGGAGATGTTCACAGAGAGTTTTAATGATGATCATTTGAGCTCTGAATTTTCTTTAATTTTCCCATCAATTCAATATAAAAATGTACATGAGAATGCGTCATAATATGTAGCCAGCTGGAGTCCCAGAAAACCTGGCATGTGTTAATGTTTATGAATCCCCTTCCATTTTATATTAATCACTTGAGAGCAAAGGAAATCCCATAAATTCTATCAGGGGATATTAGGAGTTTGGACCAGTGTTTTAGATGGTGATAGCTGCTGCCCTGGTGGCTTTTAACTAGCCATTCTGTACCGGCTTTTTAAAATGTTTATTTTTGGTCTCAGAAAAAACCCAAAGTAAATTTGTCAAAGAATACATGCTTTACCGACAGAACATAAATTCTGTAAAAATAAGAGCACTCACACCAGAAAGACATTTGTCTTTATACCAGATACAAACTTTCCAGAAAAGGCAGTCTTTCACCATCTCAGGCGGGATGGAAGGTTGTCTGGTAAGACTCCCTTCTCCAAATCAGATCCTGAATAAAGTCAAAATCTTCAAGCAAAAAGAGGATGGCTCAACCTGAAAGAAGACTCACCATGGAAGAAAAGGTGAGCTATGGAAGCAGAGTGCTCTAAGGGCTCAAATGGGTACTACACACTAGTTCTAGAAATGGCTAATTTCTACCAGAAGTGATCTTTCTTGAGGTCTTCTTCTGGACACCATTTATATCAGCTTAAATAACAAAGGGGGAGTTGCTCTCTAAAATAAAATGATATTTATTTGGAAATGGAAATATGCACACCATAGTAAATGTGTGCATATTCAGGGAGGTAAAGGAAAACAAAGATTTAAGAAAAAAGTGAGGATGATTACATAATTACCTTGAGATAATTATTACCTTGGCTACAAGAACAAGTGTGGTTCTATTCTGGGGTTGAACAGGCAGTTGCTAGGCAGATGTCATTGCAGAAGTAGTTTTTTGTTTGTTTGTTTTTTTTTTTTTTTGAGACGGAGTCTCGCTCCGTGGCCCGGGCCAGAGTGCACTGGCGCCATCTCGGCTCACTGCAAGCTCCGCCTCCCGGGTTCACGCCATTCTCCTGCCTCAGCCTCCCGAGTAGCTGGGACTACAGGCGCCCACCACCGCACCAGGCTAATTTTTTGTATTTTTAGTAGAGACGGGGTTTCACCGTGTTAGCCAGGATGGTCTCGATCTCTTGACCTCCTGATCCACCCGCCTCGGCCTCCCAAAGTGCTGGGATTACAGGCGTGAGCCACTGCGCCTGGCCAGTAGTTGTTTTTTTGTGTAAGGTTGTGATGGCACTTGTGCAAGATTGTGGTCTTTTGTGATGCTTTTTATTATGAGGCATTTATGCATGAGAATCTTCTCTTTATTACCTTTCCTAGCTCTATTTGTCAATTTTTTTTATTGTTGCTTTTTGCTGTTTGTGTACATTTTGTTGTTTGTGTACATTTTGTTTTTTTCCATAAGTGACTCCTGGAAGTTGAACCTGATGAAAAGGTATTTGAATTTAACCAGAAGAATGTGTGTCCAAGGTTGTGAGTGTGTACCACATTATTGAGGAATGTAAATGACAAAATTAGTACCTCGAGCAGGGGAATACACAGATCTTAGAAAAAGTAAAAGCATGTAAAATTTCCCGGTTAGATGAAACAATTTAGACATGTCAAAAAAAGCTAAGAGTACAGAATCAAATTTTACCAGAGGAAAAGATTGCTTTTTTAGGTATTAAGATTAATATTTCAGCATCAGGCCCTAAGAGCAGAGTTAGAACTGGGGGAAAATGTTACAAGAGCTAATGAAAAAGTTGAAGAAAGTTATTGTCTCAGACCTTCTCAAGGGGAGAAAGACGAAGAGCAGAAGGCAATGATGCATGAACTGCAAATCACATGAACTTCTGAGATATGAATCTGAGAAGCTTCAAGAGGAAAATTCTATCTCCAGATATAAAATTGTCATTCTAAATAAAAAAGAAGCATTACAAACCTGAAACTAGGGAAATTAAATGAAGTCCATAAAACAGAAAAAAGCTACAGAAATTCAAGATCAAAATCTTTTGCAGATTTTCTGAGAGTAGATCAATATTTCAGAAAAGTCTTGTTTCTAAATAAATAACTATGGGTGATGAAACAACCTGTACAATAAACCCCCGTAACACACGTTTACCTACGTAACAAACCTGTACATACGGTGCATGTACCCCTGAACGTAAAAGTTAAACACTAAATATTAGTTTTGCATCAGTGTATTTTTAATATCAAACATCAATCTTTACAAAGACTTATAAATACATCCCTTCAAATTATAGCCAACTAGGGCATACACAAAATTTCTTTTGCATCCTTCACAAACCTTTGGCAACCTGCATGAACCTTTGATGACATGTGTGGACTTTTGCTTTGTCCTATAATTCCTCTTTCTTAAATAAACAGTCATTTTAATTTAGGACAAAAATTTACCACAAAATTTTCTTTTTTATACAAATTATTTTTATTTTTGACTTTTCTTAACAAAAATGCTTTTTCACATTCATAACTTTCTTCACATTTCTCTTTCCTACCTACTGGGTCCTTTCCATCTTGTTTCTATTTCCTTCCTAAATTTACTTTTTGAAATAAACTTTAAAGAATATCTAAATTAGCCAAAATTAAGATTTTTCCTCAATAAAGAGCACATATTTATGCCTTTCATATGATTTTTCTCATTAAAACACATCTTACTTTTTAGGTACAATTTATATACAGAATTGCATTATATTAGTTGGAATTTTAACTTTTAGTAACATTTTCTCATGCAAACCTAGGAAGCAATTAATTTTGAACTGTCATATATGAGTATTTTGTGGATGAGAATCATTTTATAATTTTAAAACACAAGTTTCATGCTTAATGTATGGGCCACACAAAAGTTCACCAAATTGCCCCATGTCCTAGCCAGAAACATTCAAACTGCAAACCAGAATGAGAAGTTGATGTTTTCACACTGTAGACAGCTTTTATCTAAACATCAGAATAAGGCTCCATGTCATAATGAGACAAGCTCTCTTAATGCCTATCTTTTCACTTGGCTGGATAATGATCATTTGATTTATTCAATTGTTAGCCTTTAAGCCTAAATTCACAGCTCAAAATCATTAGGCAAACTGGGATTGTCATGTAACTTATTAGTTTTGCTTTGTATTTCCCTTTTAAAGCTTTGTATCTGTTACTTAGTAAATTTTTGCAGAAGTACAACTCCTAACAGACTAGTGCTAACCCAGCACTTTGAGATGATAGCAAAAGACCATGGAACAGACAAAATTGAACTTCATAATGGACTCCAGGTGGACTTAACCTGAAAGTCTCTCCCTTCAAACCTCTCTAGTTGCTAAAAGAGTTTTGACATTGCCAATTACTTCTTCCAGTTTGGGACCAGACCAGAAACCTGGGACAGGTCCACCCTGATGCTGATGAACAATCCAAACCTAACTACAGGATGCTTAATCATTGAGGCTTTTAGAGAAAGATCTTCGTCAAAAGGGAGAAATGTGAATGCTGTGAGAATAAAAATGGAGTTATTTATGTTAAACAACAAAAACATAAAACAAACCCTGACAAACAGAGCCAGGAAAGGCCATGAAGAGAGGGTTCTCAAGCGCAAGTGCTTGATAACAAAAACTACCAGAAAATACTTTGCAAAAACCACAACTTCTCACAAACGTCCTTACAACCTTACACAAAAAAAACACTTCTGGGAAGACATTTTCCCAGCAACTGCCTGTCCAGCCCCAGAATGGAGCCACCCTTGTTACTGATCCTTATAGCCAAGAATAATTCTCGCAAAATAATTATATAATACTCATGTTTTTCCTTTAAAAACCTTTGTCTTCTTTTACTTCCATGAATATGCACATCTTTTACTATAGTATGCATGTTCTCATTGCAATGTCTTATTTTCGAATAGATAATTGTTTAAGAAAACCTCTCTCTGTTATTTAGATTGACTCTAAAGAGCGAAGAAGCTGGAGTTCAAACTCAGGCATTCTTTATTACTGTGTTATCCCGTTAACCACTATGTTATCCTGCTTCCCAGAAATAACCAAAGAAGGAAGCAAGGAAGAACAGAAACTGCAAAGATTTAGAGAAAGCAGGAATAAAGTATCTGTAAATCTTGGTGAGGTTGAAGAACAGTGATGAGGTTTGAAATTAGGTGAAGGATAGGCAGTTGTTGCTTGAAAGTGGAATAGCATGTGTTTACGATTTCAGGGATAGAGCAGTTCAGGAAATGAGAAAATTGAGGGTGCAGTATTGGAAGCAAATGGCTAAAGTGCAATAAAAGTGAAGGTCAACGGCATAGAGACAAAACTAGAACAATGAAGCTATTATTGTTACATGCACAGAATTGAGAGCAGGGCAAATGCTGAGTTTCTTGGAGAGAGAGTATATCAGTGTTAACATCACCGAAGAATTGGAGGTAAAGATATCCCTATGAGGAGAGACTACAAAAGAGATTAGAAAAATAATTATTTATTTATTGAATTTTCAAACTTTCCCCTTATATGTCTCATTTAAGTGCTCATGCCTAGAATTACACTCGTTTTTTTTTTTTTTTTCTTCTGACAGGGCAAGAAAAAAAATAAATCTGCCATAAAGTCAAGTTGATTTTCCTTCTATGTGTTTGATTTTGTAGTGTTTCTCTCCTACATTCTCAGTCTTTGCTGACCTTCTGTTTTTCAAAACCTCCTGAGACTCTAGGGTTATCCATCTCACCTAACCTTGCAGTGTTTAACTCACTGCCTTTATCTAATATGCTCTGACTCACACCTAGTCTGACCTGTTTATTATAGACTGACAGTTGCCTTACAGACCAGATTCACTGCATTCTGGCAAGTTTCTGCTCCTTCAGACTCCTTGGTCCTGACCTTGCATATCCTCCTTATATTTTTTATAGGGCTCTTGGCTGCCTAAGCTGGATGTGAATGAACATTTCATGTTTTCTTGGCAAGGAAAAAACTTCTTTCTGCTTGGTCTGGGTTAGAAGAAAACCCTATCAAGTCAGCCTCTGCAATACTGAAAGACTATATACCATTTTTAAAATAATAAAGTACGTATTATGGAAGACAAACGCCTCTGATTTAGCGTCAGAGAATTTTAGATTTGCAGCTCAGCATGTCTTTGGCTTTTATAAGCTTCTCTCATTATGAAATTAATTATTTAAATAATTACAACAATGTAAATGAACCATCATCTCAAAATAGAACCCAATTTACTTCCTGCTAGTCCCCTAAGGGGCCTCTTTCTGTAGTTCAGTGTAACCATGTCATCACTCCAGTTCACCAATTTGTGTTTCCTGCTTTATGGATTAAGCACTGTGGAGCCTATCATGTTCTAACTACCTTTGCTTCCGCCTTTTCTTTATTACCATGTTGCTATTTTACCAACAACTGACAAAGTTTAGTGGGAGGCAGAAAGTGATGACAGCATGGCCATTGGGCAATTCAGGTTAAATATATGTACATTTAATTATTTACACTTGGATTTAACATTGTAATTGGGAGTCCTGGAAAGGCATTAGAATCTCAGTTTATTGCTAACAGCATGGTGCTTGTATTTTCAAAGAAGAGCTGATACGGGGCTAATTAGATTTACTATCAGATATCTGGCTTTGCCTGAAATTGCCTTCTTCACTCTCAATAAGTAGTAAAATTTCACTAAGTCTCTTATCTTGGTGATATTTCTTTAAACTGAAACCCATAATGCTACTAGGTGATTAAAAAACTAAGTTTGAAATGTATAACACAGTTCTGTACTTGTTAAAACCTTTGAAGAAGCAGAGCTAGACAAACACGGTAGTCCCCCTTTATCCACGGGAGAATACATTCCAAGAACCCTAACAGATGCTTAAAACCGCGGAAAGTACTTAATCTTACATATACTATATTTTTTCCTATACTTACATACATTTAATAAAGTTTAATTATAAATTAGGCATAGTACAAAACTAGGAACAATAGTAATAAAATGGGAAAATTATAACATTATGCCAACATCACTCATTCTGTGCTTCGGGCCCATTATTAAGCAAAGTAAGGGTTACTTGAAAACAAGGGCTGTGACACCATTACAGTTGATCTGATAAGTGAGGCTACTACTAAGTGACAACTGGATATGCTGAACAAAGGGATGACTTACATTCCAGGTGGGACAAAGTGGAGTGGGCTGATATGAGATTTCCTTATGTTTCTCAGAAAGGCTTTCAATTTAAAACTTATACATTGTTTATTTCTGGAATTTTCCATTTGGTATTTTCGAATTGCAGTTAACTGTGAGCAACTGAAACATGGAAAGTAAAACTCTTTTACTTTATAGATAAACTGCCTTTATAGATAAAGGGCAACTATTGTACTTGATTTTATTCATGTGGATAAGAAAAAAACATAGTTTCAAAAAGTATGACAGATAAGGAAAAAAATACAAGCGTTGTACATCTTGCATTTAAAAAGGTAACTACATATGAGCTAATCAAAGTATGATTCTGATAATCAGGTAAAGGTAAAACTTAAACCAACTGTTCTTCACTAACTCCTTTTAAAATAGCTTTTGCTGCCAAACTTGTCATCATCTAACACAAATCAGGCTGCTGAGGTTATAGAGTAGATTCCCGGTGGAGGAGGGGGCATGGTATATATTTGGAAATGTCCACAGTTTTGCCAAGAAAATAATGGTTTTGTTGTAGTTTCATGTTGATGGAATCTAGGAACTCAGAAATATTAAAACCATAAGAATCAAGAGAAATTGACAGTGTAAAAAGAGGAAGTCTGAAATGGTGAGGTCAAAGGCATGAGATAGGCCTTGCCCAGGTTTCAACAATTGGGGCTACAAATGTTGCAACACAAATAACATGAATTTGAGTGACATATGGCTCTTATAGAAAAACAAAAACATGACTTTTTATGCATGGCTATTACATACATAGAAAATATGGCAGCTGGTAAATCCATGAGTGAAAAGAAATATATTAAAAAAATAGAGAATTGGGGAAAACATATAAAAGGTAATTATGTTAGAAAATATTATCTCAACCTCCACATGCCTTAATTGCCTTTTATATTTAGTATCGTGCTTCTGTGCAACACTCTGCATGATATCTCAATATTAACTTCCAATTCATTAATTCTCTCCCTGACTGTATATACTTATTAGTGCTATTGGTTGCCTCAAATTTTTATGCAAAAAGCATCACTAGACCTAAAAAGGAACATTTCAGGAAGATGAAGATATCAACCCATGAAGAACATGTTTTGATTCAAAACCTGCATATACCCCATAACAGAGCTTCAAAATATGTAAAGCAACATTTTGTAAAAGCAAATGGGGTAGATAGTCGCATTCACAGTTTGACACTTTAACATATCTCCTTCAGTAGCTGATAGATGAAAGTGAACAAAAGAAACAAACATCCATAAGAATGGAAAAGTGAAACAAGGGCACTGAAATCAAACTTGTTCTAATTGGAATGTATGGAACACTGCATCCAACAATGACAAAAAGTACATTTTATTTAAATGCACATAAGAAAGTCATCAAGACTGACAATATGCTGCTTTATAAAATAAGCCTTAACAATTGCAATGAATTGATATAATTTAAATTATAGTTTCTGACCACATTGAAATAACCTAGAAAATCTCCAAACTTGCAAAATTATGCAATACACTTATAAACAACTTAATTATCAACTTAAAGATGATAAAATCATAATGTAATAATAAAAAGAAATAATTTCAATTAATTTGACAACTTAGATAAAATGGACAGTTATCTTATGTATACAAGTTACAAAAAATCACCCAAGAATAAATTGAAAAAAAAAAAAGAAAATAATAGTCCTGTAGTGGTTTTTAAAAATAAAATCTAAAATTTAATACTTGCATGTGAAGAAAATCCCAGATAATCTACTTATTATTTTTTACACTTGAAAAATAAATAACATCAAAATACACAAAGTGGAAATTTTCAAAAAATAAATGGAAAAATAGAATAATTCTAATCTTCACAGATAGTTTAACATTGTTTTCTGAGCAATTAATAAAACATATAGTTTAAAAAATCTGTAAAGACATAAATAACCTGATCAATACTATATTGCCCAAAACAATATTTGTTTGACACTACTGCTTCCAACAACTGCCAAATATACAATTCTTACAAGTCAAAAATAACAGAAGCCAGGAAATAGACCTGAAGATATATTGTTATTTAATTTATGATTAAGGTATCACAGCAATTTAATGAGGAAAAGACATACTTTTTTTCACAATTAATTCTGGGCTAATTGGATACCCATATGGAAAAAGGAAACAAAATATTGATGTCTATTTCAAGCTATATATTTACTTGCATGAAAATATGAAAAAAAATCATTCATGTTTCAAAGAGAAAACACGGGAGAGTATCTTCATGACCTTGGCCTAGGCAAAATTTCTTTAGGCTATCAACAGCGTTAACTATAAAAAAAGTTGTGATGTGGACTATATTAAAATAATAATTTCTGTTTAGTAAAAGACATTATTAAAGGGTGTAAAAGCAAGCAAGAAAATGGAAGCAGATATTTGCAGTATGTATTTCAAACAAAGGTCTTGCCTTCAGAATATATAAAGAACTTCTATGAATCTTTAAGAGAAAGGCAAAAAACACAACAGAAAAATGGATAAAGGCCTTAAACAGGCACTTCACAAAAGGAGAGTGTCAAAATTACACAGTAAACATAAGAGATGCTTATTTTATTTGCCATCAGAAAAATGGAAGTTTAAATCACAATGTAATAATACTGCACAGTCACTAGGAATATTTAAAAAGAAAAACACAAAATACCAAGTGGAATCAATAGAAACTCTCAAACTCTGCTCTTTGGAGTTACAAAGAAAAATCACACAAGAATAAATGATGCAATTTAAAAAAAACCCAAGTCATCATTTATTTTTTGACAATTTTATTGAAATATAGTACATGCTATATGATTTGACCATTCAAGTGCACAGTGAATTTTAGCATAATCACAGATGTGTGCAACTGTGATCACCATTGTCAACTGTGTAACATTTTTGTCACTTTGAAAAGAAAGCCTGTACCGTTTAGCTATCAACCTCTACCCAGTCTCAGGAAAACTGTAATCTGATTTTGTTTCTACAGATTTACCTTTTCTGGGCATTTCATCTGAATAAAATTATATAATAGGCAATATTCTTGGTCAATACAGGCTTTTATAACTAAGTACTGTAAATTAGATTATTTGTAAACAACAGACATTTATTTCTCACAGTTCTGAAGGTTGGGAAGTCCAAGATCAAGGCAGCAGCAGATTTGGTGTCTGGTGATGCTCTTCTTTCTGGCTTACAGAGTGTGCCTTCTTGCTGTGTCCTACCATGGTAGAGAGATTTAGCTAGCTCTCTGAGGTCTCTTTTATAAGGGCACTGATCCCATTCATGAGGTTTGAGGCCTCATGACTTAATCACCACCGAAAGGCTCTACCTTCTAATACCATCAACTTAGGGATTAGGTTTCAACACATGAGTTTTGATTTCAAATATATAGCATTCTGCCCCAGCACCCAAGATTACTTTATTCCTTTTTGATGCCCAAATTACACTTCATCATATGAATATACAACCATTTGTTTATTCATTCATCAACTGATAGACACTTGGGCTGTTTCCACAATTTGGCTATTATAAATAAAGCTGCTATATACATTTGTGTTCACATTTGTATGTGGATATATGTTTTCATTACTTTTAGGTATATAATTCTTAGTTATGTAAGAATTATAGAGGTATATAACTAGTGATATGATTTTTAAGTGTCATGTAACTTAGAATAGATAGACCATATAGTAACTCTCTGTTTAATAATTTAAGAAAGTGCAGGCTGTTTTCCAAGGTGACTGCAACATTTTTTACATTACCACTAGCCAATGCTTGTTATTGTATGACTTTTTTATACTAGCCATTCTAGCGGGTGTGAAGTGGTATTTCATTGTGGGTTGATTTACATTTCCCTGATGTCTAATAGAGCATGTTTTCACATGCTTACTGGTTATTTGTATACTTTACTTGGAAAAATGTCTATTTAAATACTTTTCCCATTTTTATTTGGATTGTCCTTTTGTTACTGAGTTATCAGAGTTATTTATATATTCTGGATACAAGTCCCTTATCGGATGTATGAATTACAAATATTTCTCCCAGTCTATGGGTTGTATTTTTTACTGTCTTAATGGTGTCTTGTGAAGCAAAAAGGTTTTTTCACTTGGATGAAGTCCAACTTATCTTTTTTTTCTGCCTTTTGTGTCATATCTAATAATCCATTGCTGAACCCAACATCATATAGGCTTACCACATGACTTCTTGTAATAGTTTTATAGCTTTAGCTCTTCTATTTGGGTCTTTGACTATTTTGAGAAAATTTTTGTGTATGTGTTAGTTAAGGGTCTGACTTCATTCCTTTGCATGTAGCTACACAGTTGACGAAACATCATTTGTTGAAAACACCATTCTTTTTCTCATTGCATGATCTTGACACCCTGATTAAAAATCAATTGACCAAAGATGTGTGGCTTTACTTATGGACTCTCAATTGTATTCCATTTGTTTACATCCTTGTGCCAATTCTGCACTGTGGTGATTATTGTTGCTTTGTCTTAGATTTTGAAATATGAAAGTGTGAAGCTTTCTACCCTGTTATTCATTTTCAAAATTATTTTGACTATTTTGGGTCCCTTGCAATTTTATATGAATTTTAGATGCAGCATGTCAATTTCGACAAAGAATCTTTTGGGGTACTGATAGGGATTGCATTGAATCTGTTGAGCAGTAGACAGTTTGGGAGTGTTGCTGTCTTAACAATGTTAAGTGTTTTGATTCCATAAATACAGAATGTTTCTCTAATTATTTAGAGGTTTAACTTGTTTTAACAATGTTTTGTAGATTTCAGAGTGTAAGTTTTGCACTTCTTTTTTTATATTATTTCTATTTTATATTTTCATACTAGTATAAACTGAATTACTTTCTTAATTTCATTTTCAGATTGTTCAGTGTGTGTATAGAAATATAATTGATATTTGTATTTTGATTTTGAATCTGTCAACCTTGCTGAACTTATTAGTTAGTTTATTTTATATTTTTTATTGTTTTGAGACGTGGTCTTTCCCTGTCACCCAGGCTGGAGTGCAAGGCTGGAATGCAATGGTGTGATCTCAGCACACCACAGCCTCAACCTCCTGCACTCAAGTGATCCTTCAACCTTAACTCTCCCCAGTAGCTCGGACTACAGGCGTGCGGCCACCACACCCTGCTAATTTTTGTATTTTTTGTAGAGTTGTTTTAGAATGTATAATGCAGAATTAATAGGAGTAAAAATTGAAGAATGTGTGTAAATTGGAATTGGATTGAAGTTTGGAGTGAGTGGGGCCTCATGGTATTTAAGTTTGGTGACTGGGTGACAAATGTAGATTAAAAAATACTGCTTTATAGATCCATTCACATTATTATAGCTATTTTTACATTATTTTTTATTTTTCTATATGATCTTTTGACCTAGACACTGCTCTGGGAGTGGACTATTTGAATGAGAGATTTATATGCAGTCAACATGTAAGAATAGAGCTTTGTATTGGTAAGTTGTCATTGAATAACGAATCACTCTAGAAATAAAACAATTTATTATTTATCACCAGCCTATTGGTTAACTAGGCAGTTTTCCTTCTGTAGAACAGGCTCTGCTGATCTTGACTGGGGCTTGTATGCTCGAGATTTAGCTTTCCTCCATATATTCTTTCATCCTCCTACAGGCTAGTCCAGACTTGGTCTCAGGCCTGAGGCAGAAATCCAATGGAAACAGTAGCACACAAGGTTTCTGAGACCTGGATCTTAAAATAACACAACTCACTTTTGCTGCATTTCATTAGTCAAAGTATATACTATGCTCAGCTCATATTCAAGAGATGATGAAAAAAAGAAAAAAGAAACTTTACCTCTTGAAGTAAGGAACTTGAGAATTCACATTCCACAGGATATAAGGACAGGAAAGTTATTGGCTGGGACCATAAATTAAATAAATCTAGTACAATATCTAACATAATTTCAGGCTTAATTTTGTAAATGTTATTCTAAAAATGTGAGAATCTCAGAAGAGCTTCAATTTTCCAAATTCTCATGTTTGAAGCATCTATGTTTCCTTTATTAATAGAGGGACATTTGATATGTAATCTTAGCTTATTGCTCATTAGGACATGTGAATTAAAATGAACAAAGTTAAGCATAAAATGTTTTTAACTGATAGGGTTTTATGGGTTGCTAAAAATAAGATTTAAAACTAAAGTACATTGAGGAAGACAAGAAAAAAAGAATACCTAAAGCCTGTAATCCCAGCACTTCGGAAGGCTGAGACGGGCAGATCACTTGAGGTCAGGAGTTCGAGTTCAGCCTGGCTAACATGGTGAAATCCTGTCTCTACTAAAAGTACAAAAATTAGCTGGGCATGGTAGTGGGCACCTGTAATCCAAGCTACTTGGCAGGCTGAGGCAGGAGAATCACTTGAACCTGGGAGATGCAAGCTGCAGTGAGCCAAGATTGCACCACTGCATTTCAGTCTGGGTGACAGAGTAAGACTCCATCTCACAAAAAAAAAAAAAAAAAAAAAAAAAAGAACTTTCCATGTCTTAGGAAAGATAGGGATACCTGAATCCATGAAGTTCAAAGGTTCTCAAATAGATTCAACCCAAAGAGGTTTTTTCTTTTCAACGCACATGATAATCAAACTGTCAAAGTCAAAGACAAATAGATAAATCTTAAAAGAAGCAAGAGAAAAGCATCATGTCAGAGATGAAGAAATCTTCATTAGACTATCGGTGGATTTCTCAGAAGAAGTCTTGCAGACCATGAGAAAATGGGATGATATATTCAAAGTTCTGAAAGAAAATATCAAAAACCAAGCTAAACTAAACCAAAACAAAAATGCTTGCCAATACTACTACTATGCCAAAAAAATTCTTCAGAAATGAAGGAGAAATAGTCTTTCACAGATAAGCGAAAGCTGAAGAAATTCATTATGGCCAGACGTGCTTCACTGGAAACGCTTAAGGAAGTTCTTCAAGCAGAACCAAAAGGATGATACTTACCATCATCAATACATATGAAAATATAAAACTCACTGATAGAGAAAAGTACATAGTGAAATCCAAAATATTCCAATACTGTAAAGATGAATTATAAATTATACATATCTCCAGCATAAAAGTTAAAGGCACAATAGTCAAAAATAACTAAAGGTATTATAAGTTGTTAAGGAATATGCAATATAAAAGGATGCAAATTATTACATCTGAACATCAACTGTGGGGATGGTAAATGTATAACATTTTTTATGTGACAGAAGTTATCAGTTTAAATGAGTAGATTATAACTATAAAATGTTTTATGTAAGCTGGATATTAACCACAAAACAAAAAGCTACAGCAGATATACAAATGATAAAGAAAAAGAAATCAAAGCTTAGCACCATAGAAAAATATAATATCACAAAGGTAGACAACAAGAGAGGAAGAAATCTGCTACAATCCAACTAGAAAATAACAAAATGGTAGTGTAAGTCCTTAGCTATCAATAAGAACACTAAATGTAAATGGATTAATTTCTCAAAAGACGTAAAATAGCTGAATTAATAAAAAAGGAAACAATATCCAACTATATGCTGACTACAAATGACCCACTTAAGCTTTGTGGATAACATAGTGGAAAATGAAAGGACAATAGATATTCCATGTAAATAGTGACCAAAAGAGAGCAGGGGTGGCTATTCTTATATCTGATAAAATAGACTTCAAAACAAAAGCTGTCACAAGAGACAAAGAAGGTTATTATTTAACAATAAAGTGGTAAGTTTGTAAAAAAGATGTAACCACTGCAAATGTTTCTGTATCCAACATTGGAGCACCTAAGTACATAAAGCAAATTATAATGAGGGTGAAGGGAGAAATAGATAGCAATATGTTAATAATAGGGAACTTCAGTATTCCACTTTGAACAATAAATAGATAAACCAAACGGAAAGTCAATAAGGAAATACCGGACTTGAATTCAATTATTTATCAAATAGACTTAATAGATATATACAGATTATTTCATCTAACAGTAGCAGAATACACATTTTCTTCCAATGTACATGGAAAATGCTCCAGGACAGACCATAAGTTAGGCCACAAAAAAGTCTTAACAAATTTAAGAAGATTTAAATATTATCTAGTATCATTTCAGACCAGAAGGTTATGAAGCTGGAAACCAATAATGGGAAGAAGCTTGCAAAGTTCACAAATATGTTGAAATTAAACAATATGCTCCTGAGCCATCAAAATGTCAAAGAATAAATCAAAAGAGAAATTTAAAAATATCTTGAGAAAAATGACAATGAAAATACAACATACCAAAACCTATGGGATGCAGAAAAAGCAGTTCAAAAAGAAAATTTATATCAATAAATGCCTCATTAAAAAGATGTTCAAAGCACATAGTCCAACATTACACATTTAGAAGCCAGAAAAAGTAGAACAAACTAAATTTAGAATTAGCAGAAGGAAGGAAATAATAAAAATCAGAATATAAATAAATTGAGAACAGAAGAATCATAAAAAGAAAAAACTAAGAGTTTTAAAAATAAATATTTGACAAATGCTTAGCAAGTTTAATATAAAAAGAGAAAATGCAAAAATAATGAAAAATGGAAGTGAATAAATTACAATGGATGCCTCAGAAATAAAAAAATGATCGTAAGAGACTCTGAATAATAATTATATAACAACAAATTAGATAACCTAGAGTAAATAAATAAGTTCCTAGGAAAATACACACCTTCCAAGATTGAGTCAAAGAGAATTAGAAAGACTGAACAGACCAATAACAGATGAAGAGATTGAAGAAGTACTAAAAAACCTACCTGCAAAACATCTTCACAACCAGATGGCTTCACAGCTGAATTCTAACATACATTCAAAAAAATTAATACCTATACTTCTTAAATTCTTCTGGAAAATAGAACTAGAGGGAATACTTACAAACACATTTTATGAGGCCAAAATCACTTTGATACTTAAGCCAAAGACATCACAAGACAAAAATTATCTACAAATCAAGGTCTCTGATGAATATTGATGCAAATATCCTCAATGAAATATTAGTAAAACAATTCCAATAGCACATCAAAAAGATTATACATTATAATCAAGTGAGATTCATTCTGTCATGTGAAGCAGGTTTAACAAATGCAAATCAACCAATGTACTACATCACATTAATAGAGTAAAAGTTAAAAGCCACAAGATTATTTTATTTAATATGGAAACAGCATTCAACAAAGTCCAACATTTCTTCTTGAAATATATTCTCAACTGTTTTGGTATAGAAAAAAGTTTTTTGACTTAATAAATGTCATTTATGAAACACCCACAACTAACATTATAATCAATAGGAAAAAATGAAAAGCATTTCCAGTAAGATTGGGTTCAAGGTAAGGATGCCCACTCTTGCCACTTTTATTTATCATAGTAATGGAAGTACTGACAGAAGCAATCAGATTAGAAAAAATAAAGCATCCAAATCAGAATTGGAGAACTAAAATTATTTATATTTTCAGATTATATTATTCTATATGTATATTCCAAAGATTCCATGAAAAACGTTAGAAATAATAAATGAATTCAATAAAGTTGCAGAATAAAAAATTAACATGCAAAAGTTAACATACGGAAAAGAAATCAATAAAATAATCCTATTTATTATAACATAAAAATAAAATAATTAGGAATAAATTTAACAAAAGAGTTCAAAGATCTGCTCACTGAAAACTATAAAATATTGATGACAAAAACTGAAGAAGGCACAAGTAATGGAAAGATATCTTATGCTCATGGAATAGAAGAATTAAAATTGTTAAAATGCCTAAACTACCCAAAGCAACATACTGGTTCAGTGTAATCCATAGCAAAATCTCAAGGGCATTCTTCATAGAAATAGAAAACAAAAATTCCAAAATTTATTTGGAATAATAAAAAACCCCAAATAGTTAAAACAATTCTCTGAAAGGAAAACAAATTTGGAGATACCACACTTCCTGATTTAAAATTATATTACAAGTCTATGTCAATTAAAACAGTATGATACTAGCATAACAATGGACACATAGACTAGTGGAACAGAATAGAGAGCCCAGAAATAGATGCAAACATATATGAGCAACTAATTTGCAACAAGAGCACCAAGAAGACACAATGAGAAAAAAAATATTCTCTTTACTAAATGGTTCTGGGAAAACTGGATTTCTGCATGAATAAAGTCATGAAATTGGACTGGGTGCAGTGGTTCATGCCTGTAATTCATGCATTTTGGGAGGCCGAGGCAGGAGGGTTGCTTGAGCCCCGGAGTTTGAGACCAGCCTGGGCAACATAATGAGATGTTTTCTCTATTAAAACAACAAAACAAACAAACAACAACAAAAAAAAAAAACAAAAAAAGAATAAAATTGGACCCTTACCTTGCACCATACACAAAACATCCTAGATGACAACATAGGGTCAAAGCTCCTGGACATTGTCCTTAATAATGATTTTTTTGGATATTATACCACAAAATATCGGCCACAAAAACAAAAATAAATACGGCTAGATCGAACTAAAATTTTTCTGCACAGCACAGGGAAGAATCAACAAAATGAAACAGCAGCCTATGGATTGGGAAAAAAAAATTGCAAACCATATATTTGATAAGGGGTTAATATCTAAACTTTATAAGGAACTCATGCAACTCAATGAAAAGAAAACCCAATTAAAAAAATGAACAAAAGACTTGAGTAGACATTTCTTCAAAGAAGACATAAAAATGGTATATTAAACAGGTATATGAAAAGGTGCTCCACATCATTAATCATCAGGGAACTGCAAATCAAAACCACTATAAAATGTCACCACACACCCTTTAGGATGGCTGTTATCAAAAGCCAAATTTTAAATGTTAGTGAGAGTGTGGGGAAAAAAGGAACTATTGTACACCGTTTGTGGAAATGTAGATTAGTACCACCATTATGAAAAAGAAAATAGAGGTTTCTAAAAAATTACAAATAAAACTACCATATGACATGGCATTTTCCGTTCTGTGTATATACTATATCCAAATGAAATTCAATTAATGCCTTGTAAAATATCTGCACTCTCATGTAAATTGCAGCATTATTTCCAATAGCCAAAATGTGGAAACAATCCTAGCGTCCATTGATGGATGGATAAATGGATAAAGAAACTGTTCTACAAACATATAATGGAATACTATTCAGTCCTGACAAAGAACAAGCTATTGCCACTTGCCCCAACATGAATAAACCTGGAGGATATTATTCTATATGAAATAAGCCAGATACAGAAAGAAAATTACTGCATGATCTCACTTATACGTGAAATCAAAAAAAAAAATCAAATACACAGAGATAGAGAACCAAACTGGTTATGAGCACCAGGGACTGGGGAGGAAATAGGCATATGTAGGCCAGAGGATACAAAGTAGTAGATATGTAGGATGAACAAGTATAGAATTCTAATGTACAACATGAGGATTAAAGGTAATAAAATTGTACAGTATATGGAATTCATGCCCAATGAGTAGATTTTAGCTTTTATTGCCACAAAAACAAGAAAAATGGGTAATTTCATAAGATGATAGATTTTCCCCACCATAGTAACCCTGTTACCATCTATATGTATCCCATAACATCATGTTGTATACCTAAATATACATAATATAATTTACTTTGTTTAAAAAAAAACTAAAACACATTGCATTTGCATTGTAATTTCTGGAAATTTTTTGGTGATTTTTTTGTCATTTTCATGCTTGTTTACTAGACGAATGTGAGTTTCAGTTTGGCTGGGAATTAAATACCCAAAGTAGCAATTATTCATACAAGTTTATTTCTGTTATCTAGAATTCAGAGTCAGAGGCCAGGGCTGTAAGACATTCCATGGGGTCAGGATCTAGGCTTCTTTCTTTTTGTTGCACCATTACCTCATAACTTTTTGTTTGTTTCTTAATAAAATTTTAATTTCAGAGTACATTTAGATTTCAATAAAAGTTACAAAGATAATATGGAAATTTAAAGTATACCCCTCACCACGTTTCCCTGACGGTTAACCGTGTAAGAAACCAATATCAGTACATTGCTATTAACTAAAATTCAGACTATGTTTACATTTTACCAGCTTGTCTATTAATGTCTCTTTCTGTTCCAAGATCCAATCAAGGGTACAATAAACACTTATTTGTCATGTCTATGAAGTCTCCTCTGGTCTGTGACAATGTTTCAATCTTCACATCTTTCCCATGACCTTGAGGTATACTGGTCAGATAGCCAGCAGACTGCCTCCCAATCTGGGTTTGCTTGATATTTTTTCATAATTAAACTCGGGTTATTGATTTTTGGCAAGAATACTACAGAGGTGAAGTGCCCTTCTCATCACATCACATGAGTGGATACACATTATTATTGATGATATCAATCATCACTTGGTTATGGTACCGTGTTTTTTAGATTTCTTCACTCTTAAATTACTTTGTTTCCTTTTTCATATACTGTATTCTATTTTTTGGAAGCATGTCACTAGGTTTAGCACATCCTTAAGGGGGAAGAGATTAAGCTCCTTTTGGAGTGGGGAGACATTACATATGTTAAGAGGAAGTCTGTAAGGAAGTAAGGAATATTTACCTCTTCTATCTAATTTTATTCATCATTTAATTACTTATTTTTATCATTATGGCTCATTGGTATTTATTTTACACTTTGAGTTGTAATTCATTATTACATTCCTCATTTTGTTGCTCAGATTTCCCAGTTATGACAATTGGGAGCTACTTCAGATTGCCTTCAATTTCTCTTAACATGTTACCATCCTTTTGTATTTTTTAGAAAGTCCTTACATTCAAAGATGCTCCAGAATTACATTTTTCTTGTCCCAATTAGAATAAGTCGTTTCTCCAATAAGCTTTAGTTCCTTTTATGAAAAACATACTTAGAAATCAAGACTTGCGCATTAGGTGTGCTTGTTGCTTCTGAGGTGTCACTGATTCTAGGCTCTTTTAGCAAGTAGAACTAGGTAATAATAACAAATACTTAGAATAATAATTCTAAGTATCTTCTCTGTGTGGACATACACACATATATATGCATACATGTATATATATACACACAAACACACACACACACCTAAACCAAACTTAAATTCATTCTTATGTCACTGCCTCTAATTGAGTACCATATTATTTTTATAACATTCCTTTCTTGCTTATGTGTAATTTACCTCTCTGACAGTAAAAAAATCGCTGTCAGCCTCATCTATCCATTTACTTGTTTTATCTTATTGTACATATCATGCCTTTTTGACCTCGTGGTGTAAGATAACAATCTGAATGTTACAGGCAATAGAATGAAGATAGGAATGTAGAATTATAGTCAAAGAACACATGAAATTTTCTTTAAGAAAGGTCCAGAAGCTGCCTCACAAGTTTTTTGCTTATATTTTATTGGCCAGAAATTAGTCACAAGGTGACATCAAGCTGAAAGAAAGTTTAGGAAATATAAGCTGTCCTGAGCAGTGAAATGCCAAGCTTAACACCCCCCGCCCTCCACATACACACGCACGATTACTATGAATGTTAGGAAAATAAAAAGGAAGAGAAATTAGAAGATATTTAAGAATCTCTTCCGTACATTTCCTGTGTGTGTATATATATCCATATATATGTTTCTAAATATTATATATTGTTATTGTAATTAATGAAATAAGGAAAGAAGTATTCAATATTATAATTAGTTTGGGAATTATAGAAGCCCATTTAGATAGACTGAGACGATGATTGTTATCTTTAAAATCCATATTTCATATCCCTTCATCTTTAGCCTCTTATATAGTCCAGGTTACTTTAAATAAATGAACACATGATTAATAGATTTAAAGTCAAATGGGTCTAGGAATTAGGTTGGAAAAAAAGTGATACAGGCTATCATTTAGGAATCTGGAGAGACAATTTCACCACATTTTCTAAAATTGTCTTTAAATATATGAAGGAAATAGCACTTTCATTTTTATATCACTGTTTCCCCTTTTCTCTTAACAAGGATTGTGAGCAGTGACATTAATCTGTTGACTGTTGCTGAATATATCAGATACGCTTCATAAATGTGCACCTGCTGTGCTGCTGAAAGAACTTGGTATTTTCTGATGCTCCATTGAATACAATGGACTGACAGCTTAAAGTGGCAGAAAGAAAGGTAGGTGGGAGGAAAGTCCAAGAGTAAATGGGTTAATAATATACCATAATACACTCTTCATTGAAACCAGTTATTACTGAAAAGAATGGAGGAACAACAAAGTCTTAAATAAAGGCTATCTTATGAAATGTAATAACACTAGAACTTGTACTAAAATAGATATACTCTTCAGACTGAACTGATTATAAATTTCTAAATGCATGGTACTGTGTTTTCTTTTAAAAAAATCTGAGTTATTTAGAGGTGACAGCCTTGAGCATGAACTAGCCAAGTTATGCATAATACTTACTCAACATTAAAATGCAAAGAATTTATATCAAAAATGGCATATTATATTCCCATATGTAACATCACATTTTTAAAGTTTCAACAAAAGGCCTATAAAACCTCTGTATATAGCTGCATAATGGTTCCCAATTGTTCTGAAAATAGCTCAGTCCATGGAAAACATTATAAAGAAATTTCATTCAGCCCTAAATATATCTATTCCTTTGACATAGTCATAGAAATTCAAGCATGAGAATGAATACAAAATAGGCCTTATGAAACCTGAAATGGGATTTTCCTGTATTTTAAAATTATATGTCCCTTCTAAGAAGTGAGAAGATTTGGAGATAATTCAATTTAAGCTTACTAGAAACATGAACCTTAATGGTGAAGGTATTCCAGTAATTAGTTTTTCCTTCCTAATTATAGTTGTGAAAATGTGCTTTCTTTTCTTTTCTTTTTGATTTCTGAATATTTTACTATTCAAAAGAAAAATATCATACATTAGAAATAATTGAAATTTTTTCACTTAAGCAGAACACAGAATATTTACATCCTTCAGCTTCATATTTATTATATCAAATTTATACTAATAAAATCTTTATTCGTATAGAAAAATACCTAAAATTTTGTCAATTAGTAACAATAATGATAATCAGAATACTAATAGAAAAGAAAAAAAGTTTTTCTATGTGTTTTGTTCTTCTAATTTCTGTGGTGAGGTAAAAGTATTTTTAATATTCAGATATCATTGCAACAATAAGCTTTTAATAATATACATTTTAAAATATTTCACATTTAGTATGTTTTGCTGAATTATACTAACACTGCTTACTTTGGTCATTGTTTTATTCATGAAACTGTGCTATAATTATTTCTCTCAATGATATTTAATCTATCTGCATAATTATTATATTCCAGATAATTATTACATTTCCCCCTTAAATTTTTCTTGGCTAAACTTTACATACTCAATCCTTTTAAGTTTATATTCCCTCCTAAGAACATTACTCTGGCTTGTCCAGACATCTTAAGAGTTCCTCTTTAGGGAAAGATTTTTGCCATTTCAGGGATAGTGGTGTTAGAAAGAGCTTGATGTATAGCCTTTTTTCTGATTCTGTGGTGTATATATTTTTCCCAGCATTATTTCAACCTAAGAGATATACATTTGGCCTTTGAGAGTTCATAGAAGGGTCCAGTTCATCATTGAATCTATTTATTCCTTTTTTCTGGTCAATTGCTTTATAACCTATTAGATTATGCTATGATAATTATTGCCATGTTATTAAGTAACCCCTGAATTGCTCTTAATGGTTATTTCCTGTCATTATCACTATATGTATGCATGGTTTTCCACATTACAACATGACTTCAATGAAAGTTAGAAACTGCTCTATCTTTGAATTGATATTGACTTTCTCAACACAATTTCCTATTCCAACAGTGCTTGACTTTTTTATGAATGTTAGTATGTCAGCATGATTTCATTATTCCATTTCTTCCTTCACTTCTACTATCTTTAATTACTTGATTCAACACATGAAATGAATTCTCTTCTGAAATACTTTTTCCACTCCTCTGATGACGTCTTTTAAGTTCCTCATCACAGGCTCCTCTTCCTTTAGCAACCCTATAACTGAGTGTTTCCCATATTTCAATATATAAAATAATAAGAGCGTGTTTTTTTTTAAAATGTAGTCTCCTAGACTTGACTAACAAATTCTGATTTAGTAGGTTTGCCCCCCACTTCAGGTGTAACATTTTTGTAAGCACCAAGAGAATTTTCATGTGGATGATTCATGGATCACATTTGGATAAACACTTCATAAATCTTTTTCTTTAAGGCTCTGTCTCATGCCCTTTCCTTTAGTGATATTATCTTCTCTAGCTTAAATATGCAATGGACCTAAGAATCTACATCTCAAGTCTTGTCTGAATATAATTACCAAACACACTCTTTAAAGCATTGAAGATGTTAGCATAACATCAAGACCACTGGCTAAATGTGACAAAATATTTTATTTGTATTTATTTACAAACAAAATATTTTATTTGTATTTATTTACAAAACTATAGTGGTATTTAGCAGATCAAACTTTTCATAGGGTTCTCCCAAAAAGCAGACAGATAGCCCACACAAGAAAAAAACTAAAAGCAATTGGTTTAAAAAACAAAAGCAAAAACAAAAAATACAAATAAAAAACATGGTAATATGTGAATGTGTTGTGAAATTGCTTAGAGAATAAATGGGCATTAGGAAAAATATTTTAATTTGTTCCCAGGTCTTTAGGTGTACTAAAATGTCTTCACCATTGTTTTACAATATATAGCATCTCATAGAAAGAAAAAACTGTTGTCAATTTAAAGTCGCCTAATTTCAAAACTATAATAGTTCTGCTTGACTAGCTATATGAATAGTTAGTGGTTTAAGCTCTCTAACCCTCCACCTGCCTATTCTTGAAAGAGGCATGCAACTGTACACATGTTAAGCTCTCTAACCTTTCACCTGCCTATTCTTGAAAGAGGCATGCAATTGTATACATGTTAAGCCTATAGATTCCTGACTAATCTGACTTAGACCTTATTAATTACAAACTAACAGACTTTTTGGAAGCTCATTAAGGAAACAAGTTAGCTCACTAAATTGTCACTCTTCCATGATCTCTGTCTTTTTGAGCCAAATTGGTGAATCACTTGCATTAACATCTGCCACTAACTTGAAAGGCATTGCACTCCCACATCAGTCTCATCCTCACATTCCACCCTCCCCAAGATATTTAATATTCTCCTTAACCTCATATGTATTTTCTATTAATATTTTTATGGGAAATGTTGTTGTATTTTAGGATTGGAATATCCTCATTTAATGCTAAATTCATATTTTATTTGGCATTTTATGTTTGAATAATTAATTCATTTTATGCCTGATATGTGGTTTGAGATTTTTTTTCCAAATTGTCAATCAACTATTCTAACATATTATTAAACCATTTCTTCTTTCCTCGCTAACTTTGATACTTTATCAAAGATTAGATTATTAAATAGACCTGTGTTTTATTTTTGATTGTCAATTTCCTCATCAATCTCAATTTTTTCATCAATAACTTCAGTGATTATGCCATGGCTAATTTATTTGTATTATTATCTAAAGGAGTCATTAAGCTCCTCATTGCTCCAAATTTAAAATTCAAATATTTATTGCAGCCTATTAGTTATCCAAATACATTTCAGAGTAATTTTTACAAATTGCAAACAATTATCTGGAGAAACTATTGCAATTAGTTTAAGTTTAGAAATTATTTTACCGAGAATTTGGAAATTCTTTTATCTTAGTCTTTTCTTGGTTCAAATACATAACATTTGAAATTCTGCTAATTCAATCTGCTAGCATATCTAGCCGCCCAGGCCAGAGTGCAGTGGTGCCATCTTGGCTCACTGCAACCACCTGGGTTCAAGCGATTCTCCCGTCTCAGCCTCCCGAGTAGCTGTGATTACAAGCGCCTGTCACCATGCTGAGCTAATTTTTGTATTTCAGTAGAGATGGTTTTTCACCAGGTTGGCCAGGCTGGTCTTGAACTCCTGATCCCTGGTGATCTGCCCACTTTGACCTCCCAAAGTGCTAGGATTACAGGCGTGAGCCACCACACCCGGCCACACATCTTTTGTGTGTAAATAAAGCTACAAGGATTGTTATAACCTGGGGTGCTACAGATGCAGTGCTTGGGCCTTATGGGATTGAAAAGGCTGAGCAGATAAGACGACGAGGCTTGGACCTAAGACTGGAGATGAGGGATACAGAGAGTTCCACAGCATATGGCAGGATGAGTAACTGGTGTAGACAGAGGACCAGATCCAATCTCGTCTTATTTCCCATCCTCATTTAACTTTAAGACTTCTAAAAACTGGGACCTGGGAATTAGAGAATGAAAGGAAAATCTGGGGAAAAAATTTGAATTTACAAGTTCATTCTCAATTGGTAAGGTTATATTGTTTTGATTTGTAGCATGAGGGCTTGGGATAAAAATTACAATTTTGGAGGGGTGGAGCCAAGATGGCTGACTAGAAACAGTGTCTTTTGGAGGCTCCCATAGAAAAAAACCATAATATGTATGTGAATCTTTCACCAGCACCCAAGGTATCCAGGTTCTCTCATCAAAATTGACTAGAATGCTGATGTGACCCACGGAGAGAAGGAAGAGCAGTGTGGTGTGGTGACCTACATGAGAATCACATGGGGAAGGGGAAACCCCTTCCCCCATCCAAGGGAGGCAGTGAGTGAGAGTGCCACCCAGCGGGGCAAACTGTGCTTTTTCTATGGAACTGTGCAAGCCACAGATTGGAAGATCCCATTCGTGAACCCACGCTGCCACCAGGGCCTAGCATCCCAACCCCGGAATGCGCAGATCCTTACCCCCTCTCAGGTGGAATCTGCTTAAGCCTACTGAACTCCTCTGGGGAGGGGTGACCAGCACCAGCTGCCCCTATCTGCTGTCTAAACCATTTGAGCTTCTTGGGCGAGGGGCAGCAGCCAGCACTGGGACTCGCAACTGCCTAACATGCTAAGCTCCCTGGGTGGGGGAAGGAGGGCACCCATTGCTATAGCTCTGGTCTGTGCTTTTCCCCTGCTGAAGCCAGGGAGGCTGGACAGCTTGGTCCCAAGACTTGTCCCCACAGCCCAACACTGGCTGTGGCAGTCTGCAGCCAGTGTGCCTCTGTAGGTCTAACCCTGACCCATCCTTCCTCAGTGGGTGGGACTTTCTTGGCAGGATCTCCAATAACTTCGGCTAGAGGCTCAGGTTCATGATTCGGATCTCCCTTGCCCTGAGTTCCTAGGGGGAGGTGTGGCCGCAGTCTCTGTGGACCAGCAGACTTAGCCTCTCCTCCTGGTAGTTCTGAGGAATCCAGGCAGCCCAGACAAGTGGGTTTTGCCCCAGTGAAACACACCCTCTCCACCAAGGGACAAAATACTTAGTTAAACAGGTCCTGCTCCCCATGCCACCCAACTGGGTGAGACCTCCCCCAACAGGGCTTGTCAGACACCCTATACAGGAGCGATCCTACTGGTATCAGGCTGGTGCCCCTAGAGGTCAGAAGTCCCCAGAAGAAGGAGCAGGTGCCCATTTTTGCTGCTCTCCAGCCTCCTTGAATGACATCTCCAGGCATGGGAGCAAATCAGATGAACAAGGCCTGAAGCGAAACCCCAGAAAACTGCAGCAGACCTACAGAAGAGGGACACTATTGAGAGAAAAACAAACAAGCATAAAGCAACAACAACATCATCATCATCAACAACAACAACAAAAGGCCCCCACAAAAACCCCATCCAAGGGTCAGCAGCTTCAAAGAGCAAAACTAGACAAACTCACGAATGTGAGAAATAATCAATGAAAAAATGCTGAAAACCCAAAAAGTCAGAGTGCCTCTTCTCCTCCAAATGATCGCAACATCTCTCCATTAAGGGTGCAGAACTGGACGGAGCGTCAGATGGATGAATTGACAGAAGTAGGCTTCAGAAGATGAGTAATAAAAAACTATATGAGCTAAAGGAGCATGTTCTAACCCAATGCAAAGAAGTTAAGAACTTTGATAAAAGGTTAGAGTAATTGCGAACTAGAATAACCAGTTTACAGAGGAATATAAATGATGTGATGGAGCTGAAAAACACAGCACAAGAACTTCATGAAGCATACACAAGTACCAACAGCCAAATTGACCAAGTAGAAGAAAGGATATCAGAGTTTAGAGACCACCTTAATGAAATAACATATGCAGACAAGAAGAGAGAAAAAAGAATGAAAAGGAATGAACAAAGCCTCCAAGAAATATGGGCCTTCATAAAAAGACTAAACCTATGATTGATTGGAGTACCAGCTGGGAACAAGCTGGAAAACACATTTCAGGATATTATCTAGAAATTCCCCAACCTAGTAAAACAGACCAACATGCAAATTCAGGAAATACAGAGAACAAAACAGGCCAACATGAAAATTCAGGAGCTACAGAGAACACCATTAAGATACTCCACAAGAAGATCATCCCCAAGACATATAATCATCAGATTCTCCAAGGTCGAAATGCAGGAAAAACTGTTAAGGGCAGCCAGAGAGAAAGGCCAGGTCGCCTATGAAGGGAAGCCCATTAGACTAACAGCAGACCTCTCAATGGAATCTCTAAAGCCAGAAGAGATCAGGAGCCATATTCAACATTATTAAAGAAAAGAATTTTCAATCCAGAATTTCATATCCAGTCAAACTAAGCTTCATAAGTGAAGGAGAAATAAAAGCCTTTCCAGACAAGCAAATGCTGACGGATTTTGTTACCACCATTTCATTAGCCCTGCAATCGCTCCTGAAAGAATCACTAAATATGGAAAGGAAAAACCAGTACCAGCCACTGCAAAAACACACTAAAATATAAAGACCAATGACACTATGAAGAAACTGCATCAACTAGTGTGCAAAATAACCAAACAGCATCATGATGACAGGATCAAATTCACACATGGGCCAAATGGACTAAATGCCCCAATTAAAAGACACAGACTGAAAAATTGGAAAAGGAGTCAAGACCCATTGGTGTGCTGTATTCAGGAGACCCATCTTACTTGCAAAGACACACACAGGCTCAAAATAAAGGGATGCAGGAAAATTTACCAAGCAAATGGAAAGCAAAAACAGAAAAAAAAAAAAGCAGGGGTTGCAATCCTACTCTCTGACAAAACAGACTTTAAACCAACAAAGATCAAAAAAGGCAAAGAAGAGAATTACATAATGGTAAAGGTAACAATTCAACAAGAAGAGCTAACTATTCTGAATATATGTGCACCCAATACAGGAGCACCCAGATTCATAAAATAAGTTCTTAGAGACCTACAAAGAGAATTAGATTCCTACACAATAATAGTGGGAGACTTTTATCACCCCACTGTCAGTTTTGGACAGATCAATGAGATAGAAAATTAACAAGGATATTCAGGACTTGAACTCAGGTCTGGATCAAGTGGACCTAGTAGACATCTACAGAACTCTCTACCCCAAATCAACAGAAAGTACATTCTTCTCAGTGCCACATGGCATTTATTCTAAAATCGACCACATAATTGGAAGTAAAAGACTCCTCAGCAAATGCAAAAGAACTGAAACCATATAAATAGTCTCTTGGACCACAGTGCAATCAAATTAGTACTCAGGATTAAGAAACTCACTCAAAACCGCACCATTACAGGGAAATTGAATAACAAGAGACAACATACCAGAATCTCTGGGACACAGCTAAAGCAGTGTTAAGAGGGAAATTTATAGCACTAAATGCCCACATTAGAAAGCTGGAAAGATCTCAAATTGACACTATAACATCACAATTAAAAGAGCTAGAGAGGCAAGAGCAAACGAATCCAAAAGTTAGCAGAAGACAAGAAATAACTAAAATCAGAGAAGAATTGAAGATGATAGAGACATGAAAAACCCTCCTAAAAATCAATTAATCCAGAAGCTGGTTTTTTGAAAAGATTAACAAAATAGATAGACTTCTAGCTCGACTAATAAGAAGAGAGAGAGAGAGCAGAATCAAGTAGACATAATAAAAAATGTTAAAGGGGATATCACCAGTGACCACACAGAAATACAAACTACCATCAAGAATACCATAAACACCTCTATGCAAATAAACTAGAAAATCTAGAAAAAAATGGATAAATTCCTGGATGCCTACACTCTACGAAGACTAAACCAGGAAGAAGTTGAATCCCTGAATAGACCAATAACAAGCTCTGAAATTGAGGCAATAATTAATAGCCTACCAACAAAAAAAAGCCCAGGATCAGATGGACTCACATCTGAATTCTACCAGAAATACAAAGAGGAGCTGGTACTATTCCTTCTGAAACTATTCCAAACAATTGAAAAGGAGGGAGTCCTCCCTAATTCATTTTATGAAGCCAGCATCATTCTGATACCAAAACCAGGAAGAGACAAAACAAAAAAGAGAAAACTTCAGACCCATACCCCTGATGAATATCAATGCAAAAATCTTCAATAAAATACTGGCAAACTGAATCCAGCAGCACATCAAAAAGCTTATCCACCGCATTCAAGTCAACTTCATCCCTAGGATGCAAGGCTGGTTCAACATACACAAATCAATAAATAATCCATCACATAAACAGAACCAAAGTCAAAAACCACATGATTATCTCAATAGATTAAGAAAAGCCTTTGATAAAAGTCAACATCCCTTAGTGTTAAAAACTCTCAATAAACTATATATTGATGGAACATATCTCAAAATAATGAGAGCTATATATGACAAATCCACAGCCAATTAATATTGAATGGGCAAAAGCTAGAAGCATTCCCTTCGAAAACTGGTACAAGAAAAGTATGCCCTCTCTCACCACTCCTATTCAACATAGTATTGGAAGTTCTGGCCAGGGCAATCAGGCAAAATAAATAAATAAAGGTATTCAAATAGGAAGAGAGGAAGTCAAGTTGTCTCTGTTTGCAGATGACATGACTTTATATTTAGAAAACCCTATCATCTCAGCCCAAAAATTTCTTGAACTGATAAGCAACTTCAGCAGTCTCAGGATACAAAATCAATGTGCAAAAAGCACAACCATTCTTTTATGCCAACAATAGGCAAGTAGAGAGCCAAATCATGAATGAACTCCCATTCACAATTGCTACAAACAAAATAAAATACATAGGAATACATCTAACAAGGGATGTGAAGGACCTCTTTAAGGAGAACTACAAACCACTGCTCAAGGAAATAAAAGAGGACACAAACAAATAGAAAAACATTCCATGCTCATGGATAGGAAGAATCAATATCATGAAAATGGCCATACTACCCAAAGTAATTTATAGATTCAATGCTATTCCCATCAAACTACTATTGACATTCTTCACCGAATTAGAAAAAACTATTTTAAATTTCATATGGAATCAAAGAAGACCCTGTATACGCAAGATAATCCTAAGCAAAAAGAACAAAGCTGCAGGCATCATGCTACCTGACTTCAAACTATACTGCAAGGCTACAGTAACCAAAACAGCATGGTACTGGTATGAAAATAGACATATAGACCAATGGAGAAGAACAGAGACCTCAGAAATAGCACAACACATCTACAACCATCTGATTTTTGACAAACCTGATAAAAACAAGCAATGGGGAAAGGATCTCCTATTCAGTAAATGGTGCTGGGAAAACTGGCTAGCCATATGGAGAAAACTGAAACTGGACCCCTTCCTTACACCTTATACACAAATTAACTCAAGATGGATTAAAGACTTAAATGTAAATCCCAAAACCATAAAAACCCTTGAAGAAAATCTAGGCATTACCATTTAGGACATAGGTATTGGCAAAGACATCATGGCAGAGATGCCAAAAGCAATTGCCACTAAAGCCAATGGTATTTAATTAAACTAAAGAGTTTCAGCACAGGAAAAGAAACTATCATCAGAGTAAATAGACAGCCTACAGATTGGGAAAATTTTTTGCAATCTACCCATCTGACAAAGGTCTAAAATCCAGAATTTACCAGGAACTTAAAGATACTTACAAAAAAAGAAAAGCAACCCCATCAAAATTGGGCAAAGTGTATGAACAGACACTTCTCAAAAGAAGACATTTATGTGACCAACAAACATGTAAAAAATAGCTCAACATCACTGATCATCAGAGAACTGCAAATCAAAACCACAGTGAGATACCATCTCAAGCCAGTCAGAATGGCTATCATTAAAAAGTCAGGAAGCCATAGATGCTGGTGAGGCTGTGGAGAAACAGGAATGCTTTTAAACTGTTGGTGGGAATGTAAATTAGTTCAACCGTGTGAAAGACAGTATGGTGATTCCTCAAGGATCTAGAGACAGAAATATCATTTGACCCAGCAATCCCATTACTGGGTATATAAATCATTCTACTATAAAGACACATGCACATGTAACCTATTTACAGGATTGCCAGCATTATTTACAATAGCAAAAACATGGAACTAATCCAAATGCCCATTAACGGTAGACCGGATAAAGAAAATGTGTTCTACATACACCATGGAATACTATGCAGCCATAAAAAGGAATGAGATTATGTCCTTTGCAGGGACATGGATGAAGCTTGAAGCCATCATCCTCAGCAAACTAACACAGGAACAGAAAACCAAACACCACATGTTCTCACTCATAAGTTGTCGATGAACATTGAGAACACATGGACACAGAGAGGGGAACAATACACACCAGGGCCTGTTGCTGGGTTGGGGGTGAGGGAAGGGAACTTAGAGGATGGGTCAATAGGTGCAGCAAACCACCATGGTACATGTATACCTTTGTAACAAACCTGCACGTTCTGCATATGTATCCTTATTTATTTATTTATTTTAGAACAAATAAAAAGAAAAAAATTACATTTTTTTTCTAATTGTTGGCATGCTACAATTTTCGGTTGGGAGCTCAAAAGGTACATGTTTCTTTTGAAAAACAAATCATGCTTTAATATCCAGTCGAATGTTTAACTGCATTTTAGTTTTATTAGGTTGGAAATCATCTTGGAATAAACGAATATGAAAACGGTTTTATACAAACACGTAACTATTCCTGGAAAATCATAATGCAACCTTGAAAAGAAAGTTTCACAAAGATTTTTCCTTCTCTTTTATCAATGAGAGTTTCATGTTCGAATTAATTATTTTTAATTATATATTTAGAAGGTGACTTTAACACATAGACAATAATTTTTTGAGACTGAGCCTCACAGCACTAATTTTAACTTAATTAGTTTATGCATTTGTTCAACTCACAGTTTCAAGTTCCCTGCCCTATTTCAGAAATTACACGTCCTTATCTGTAAAAACAGAAAGATTAAGTCACACATATTAAACAGTTGCTCATGGTTGAAAGTGATAACAAGATGTGTGTAAGCATAGAATTTTAACTTTTATTGTCTGTAGGCTTCTTTTTATTAGCTATCCCTACAGAGAGAGGAAGATTTCAGGGAGTCAGGGCATTTTTTGTTTGTTTGTCTTGGTTCTATTCTCTCACTCTCCCACTTCTAACCCATATCTAACATATCGACTTTTATCCTCTTTCTGGATTAGAATTCTTTATCATTTCCAAGTTGAAATGTAGAGGGCTTTCTCTATTCATTGATACTTTAGGTAGTTATCTTTTTGATTACCAAGTCAATTGAGAATCTTCCATTGTAGATGGCTCATAACCTTCCCCATGCCAGGTTTTGTTTTCTATCACGAATGTAGAAAAGTTGTCTCCTACTCTCAGTCTATTTGATTTGCTTCTGCATGCCACCTAGATGATCCCTAAATGCTGAACAACTTCAAGAATTTTCTGTAACAGAAGCAAGGGTGGAAGGAAAAAATTTCAAGCTGTTATCCGCACCCTTACCCCACTCTGCAATATCTCTCGCATCCCAGGAAATGTGAGACAAAAAGAATTGGAAATGACAAAATGCCAAGGATCCTTTATTGCTTAGACATTCATGACAACCTTTCTACAGCTCCCGCTATCCGTCAGGAGGGACAACCCCTTTGTTTCCTAGGACAAGCAGAGAATGGACAGGTAAAAGAAATGATAAATTCTTAGATTCTCTTCACTACAATATTTTTCTCTCTCTTCACTTCATTTTGGACTGCTCTTTAGCTCCAACAAATCCTAGCAATATGAGCCGAACAACTCAGTTTCATAAAGAGGTCCTGAATGTGTGAACTTCTTTGCCATATCCTTCTCACCAAGTAGTTCATGTGTATGCCAAGTCAAGAGTAGATTTCTTCTTCAGGTTGGGCCTAATTTCTGAGGCAGAAATTTTAAGATAAAATATACCTAGAGATAAAATAAAACACTTTTCTATTACTGTTTTCTTCTTAAAACACGATTTCATAATTTTCATATATTATCATTTTGGTTTCTGTTATCTTCTTATGCAAGGGACTCTTTCAAAACTCTGCTAATTGGTTCCTCCACATTTTACGGAGCAGTAGAGAGAGGGTTTTACCACCAAATATATCACCTCCTCAAAGGGAAGCAACGTTCAAAATATTTTAAAACCTCTCCCGAAAAGCATTTCATTATAACTCTATTACCTAATTAAAACAGGTTTCATAGTAGGTACTTCCGTGTCTTTCAATATAAGCAATAAAAGCAAGCCGATCGAATTTTTGAACCAAGTTTTCTCACTGGAACTTTGTAATCACTGCGTGCTCCATTTTACTGTAATTATATGAAACTTATATTTCTGAGAAAAGTATATACTTATTTTGGCAAAGCTTTCTTGAGAAAAATAGCTAACACTTACACTTTGTTGTATTCATATTTTTCCCACCTCCTAAGAAAGATAAAACTGTGAGAATGAGCGTTAAAGAGTCGCAGGTCTATGGCACATAATTTACCAAGGTCTGTAGAAACTCAGGCATTGAGGGAAGTTCTATTAACCAAAGAGAGCAAGAGCAAGAGACAGTAAGAAATACATTGCCTCAGTATACTTTTCAGAAAGAAAAGGAAATATAGCTGGATACTTTTTACACATAATGAGAATTTTTTAAAGGAGGAAATTTTCACATTGATACTTATTGAATTCATGTTGTCCTTTCTTATTTGTAGTTTTTATTTGCTTCCTAGTCATAATCCTGTTTTTTTTTTCTTTTACGACTTTTGCTGGAGTTATCAACATTTAAAAAATTATGTTCTACCCAAGTAAGTTGGAATTTACGTATTTTATTTTTAACCTCCTTGTATTTTTCTTTAAATAATTGAAAGGTATTTGAATTCTCTTTCTTCATTCAGATAAGGAAAACAACAGTAAAATGTATGATGGTGAGATATTTAACAGGTTTCATTTTTTTTCTTGATCCTTTCTTAGCCTCTACATTAACAACATCAACCACAGCAGCACCAATGACATCGTTAGTATATTATTTGTGTTCTTTTATTTTGTTAGCATAATCTTTTTAATAAAATAAGAACAATTCTGTACGCTTCACTGCAAGTTTCACCTGAATTTTGTTCATCACTAGATAAATAGAATAACATTGTTTTAAGTCAGTATTAATGAGTATGTGGATCTAAGCGTATGCCATTTATTGCTACTTTGGTATACACCACTATAGCCTTTCTGAAAGTCAGTTTTTCATTAGGTATCAAAATCTTTCAAAATCATTAAAATTGCCCTTAACCTTAAATATGATAATTATCTTTTTAGGGTTTCATCCTAAGAAGATAAATAAGAGCAAGCACAACATTTTTTGCTAAAGGAATAATAGTTGCACATCTTAAAAATGCCGCAATAACAGAAGCCTTCTTCATGCACATGAATTTTGTGTTTTTTAGTGTATGATATACTATTCCTAAGGTTAAATAACATGTTGACGGATTGCACTGGTAAATATTTAATGGCATGGATAAGGAATTGTCATTATAACACATTAAAAGAATAAAATGCACACTTACAAAACATGAAGTCTAATTTCATTTTTGTTCAAAAACAGATATACATGTAAAATGCTTATACTTATATGTAGACATTTATCTTTACATATTTTGGGACATTATGCATTAAAATGTTGACTTTCTGGAGGGCTGGTATCATGATTTGTAATTATTTCCTTCATAATATTTTTCTATACTTTCATGTATTTTGCAATGAATACTTAATTATTCTTGTAACAGCTAACGCAGTAACATTTTAAAAAATTTAAATCAGAATCTATAAAAGAAAATATATAAATATAAATGAACAAAATTTTACATATTTTCATAGCAAAAGATATCATCAGCAAGTGGTAAACAGAGTAAAATATTTGCAATATAATGCAATCACCTAAGAATTAATGGGCCAAAATATACAAAAACCTATTTCAAATTGATAAGAAGGAATAATACCCCAAACACAAAAATGCTCAAAAGAGATAAAGAGGCAATATATAAAGGAGCAAAGTTCAAATAACCAAACATACAAAAACGTAAAAATAAAATGCAACAATGATGTATCAATTTTTACCTGTCTTGTTGGCACAGACAAACACATGTTAAAAATCCAGTGCTGGCAAGGACATAAATTACCATGGTCCACTTGAAAGATAAGCTAACAATATCTTCCAAGATAAAAACTAAACATTTCCTTTATATTACTGTAATACATATACAAAAGGAGTGAAGGTGCCAGTACAGAAGAACATACGTATTATGTTTTTTTCATCATTCAAAGTACCACAAATATGGAAACTGACATAACTATAATGCAGCTATTAAAAAGACCTGGATAGATTTCCACGGTGCAATGTCAATGAAGAAAAATTCTTACCAAAATATTAGATGCCCTGTAATGCTATCTTTCTACAAATAAATGACTTAAAACAGAAAATTAATACTTTTTTATATGTATGTTTGTATTTGTGTAACATGGAGAAACATATGTAAAGATTTACACTAAGCTATAGGTTACCTGATGTTGAGATTCAGGTTGGAGAGGAGCTGGGAAACATGGAGGAAAAAAAAAAGAAAAAATAAATATTGTATAATGTTAAGTGAAAGTTGTATTAAATTTTAATAAACACTTGAACAAGAACTAGAAAGTAAGTTGCATTACAAAATGGATTTGATTAAATGGCAGATCTTGTATTTCCATTGTATTGTTCTTGTAAAAAAATTCCTATTACAACCCATAATCATTGGCAATTGATTTGTAAGATGTGGAGAGAAGACTATCAGCTACATTTCTTTCTTTCCCTTGAAGAGATAGCCAGCTAACTCTCGAAGCCAGACCTGTCAATGAGCACCTATAGCCAACTTAAATCTCACTTTTATGGAGAGAATCCAATGCATAAGGACACAGGTTTATCATTATGTCCTGCTTTGAGCTTTTCCCACCCTTCATTTACGAGTAAATCCCAGACAAAGTGGCCCTGGCTCTTTCTGGAATCAATTAATCACACACTTATCTCAGGGTCTTTACAAATACTCTTCCCTTTGCTAAAATATCCTCCCAGAAATAGTCATATGGCTTGACTCTTCCCATCATCAGCTCTCTGACCAAATATTAATACCTTATCACAAGCACTTTCCCTGATCTCTTGACCTAAAAGAAAGAGCTTCCACTACTCACTCTAACAACAAAACACCCTAACTCACTTTACTCGTTTTCATAGCACTTATATTACCTGACATATGATATGTTTATATATTCATTTACTTGATGCTTAAGTTCTTTCTGATAAAATGTGCATTCCATGAGAGACTTTGTTTTGATTACTATAGTGTTTTCAGTTCCTAGAACAGTATCTGATAGCTATTGTGGAATGGATTAATTAATGCATTTTGAATGGATTAATTAATGCATTTACAGAGACACAAAAGAAAGTGCTAGATTTTTAAAAAGTGCTTTCCTAAAAAGGCTAATCCCATGTAAAGAGACAACTCTGTGATTATTCAGTGTCTACAGAGGAGAGATAGTGTAAGAGTACTGTTTTGTTTTTGTTTTAGGGCAACAAAACTGAAGAGAAATTGTCTTATAATAGAAAGGGATGGGAATGGTAAGTTACGTTGAATATTGGATACTTGTGCCAACATCTACCACCCTTATCCCCCACAGCACTCAGAGGAGCATCAAGGGCTCCATGATATGGTTCATCGAATGAGAATGCACACGAGAAAATAAAGTTACAGCCTTTGAAAAGATTCTCCTGCACCAGTCTTGCACAGAAGAGACAAAGCCACTGACTACTGAAAGATGGATATGGGTTTTAACTATGTGGACAGTGTGCAACCATCATGGGTTAAAGACTAAAAGCCCTTCCACCTTTACTCTGAGCCTCAGGTAAGCTGCTCCAATCGCCTAACCCAAAGAAAAAGAGGGGACCTCCGTATTATTTGAAATTAAATTTTCACCCACCCTGTGGATAAAGTACTGTGGAAACCTATTTAAGTAGTGTTAACTTAAATATAGTTTGAAATGTGATTTTAGCTAGTGGTCATCACTTTTCCAAACTTTTAAGTATTATATGCCTCTGCTATTGCTATAAGGCAACTATACAAATTCAGACAGTTTATCTCTGTATATTTCTATCTGGTATGCACACACATACCCTTTAAATGTATAAATTAATGGATTGATAAAGATATGTAACTAAACACAAAAAAAGTCAAGCAAGTATATAAGGTCATGCAAGTTCTGTTTTATTTATATAACCAGAGAAAATAGTCTATGCTGCAGAATGTCTGTAGTCTTTCACAAATTCATATAACAGGTAATAGTTTGAAATAGGAAATTATTTGTTTTGAAGTATCAACTGTGTCTTAAATTTATTGAAGTCAGAGGCAGATTTCACACTTAAAAATATGGTCAACAGTTTCCTACAATATTACAGGAATAAAGACTTTGCCTGTAGACTAATGATCATGATGTGCTGGTAATTTCTCGTTCTATAAAATAAATTTATTTTATACCAGGTTTCTAGGAAGTAAGATTTAGACCTACTAAATGTGGTATCGTTTCTAGAATTGCTAAGAATGCTTGTGCAGCGTACCTACGTGCACTATGTGCTGATTACAATCCTTGAATTTGAAGCTAACCTCAATTTTAGGCCATCTGTGAACCTTTTGGAAAATTAGTGCGCAGGTTGTATGTGGAATTTCCAAAGTTACTACTGATTTGGCAAATAAAAGTGAACTATGATGAGATTAACTTCGAAGGTATAGTTTAGGTAGTTTAAAAAAAAAAACCTGAGCGGGTAAAGCATAGGCAACAGAAGAGTCAGGGAAATTAAGCAACTAAATAATGTAAACTTAAAAAGGCTTCTGAGAAGATTAATTTCTCTGTGAGTCTCAAACATAACACAGAGAGGAAAACCAAAGAAAAAGATAGAAACCTTGAATGTTCAAAAAATGATCTCTGTCCTGGAGAGGGACAAACATGTAGTGAACAATATTGCCAAAACTCTGGGGGTATAATCATGCTCATGCCCCAAGCCTGGATGTACTGTCAAGCAGTTATATAGGCTGTTTCACCTCTGCACAAGCCATGTCTTGCTAGAAATGAATGGTTTCAAGTCAGAAGAAAATGCCACAGCAGGAGAAAAGCATTGGAATCTTAGCCAGGATTCACTACTAATATGGTACAGCAATAACAGACACTGGAAACCAAAAATTGACAAACACTTAGGAAATGAGTGCTAAAGAGGCAGTCTTTAATATAATGTTGGCCGGGCATGGTGGCTCACGCTTGTAATCCCAACACTTTGGGAGCTCGAGGCGGGCAGATTAACTGAGGTGAGGAGTTTGAGATCAGCCTGGCCAACATGGCAAAATCCCATCTCTACTAAAAATACAAAAATTAGCTGGGCGTGGTGGCACACGCCTGTAATCCCAGCTGCTTGGGAGACTGAGGCTGGAGAATTGCTTGAGCCTGGGAGGCAGATGTTGCAGTGAGCTGAGATTGTACCACTGTACCCCAGCCTTGGTGACAGAGTGAGACTCTGTCTCAAAAAAAAAAAAAAAAGTATTTGTGTACAATGGACTGAGTGTTTCTTTTCTCGCCAAATTCTTATGTTGAAATCCTAACCCTCAACATGATGGTATTAGGAGGTGGGGCCTTTGCGGGGTGATTAGGTCATGAGGGCTTTGTCCTAATAAAAGGACATGCGGAATTAGTGTCTTAATAAAAGATGCTCCAGAAAGCTCCTTTGTACTTTTGCCATGTGAGAATGTAATGAGAAGGTGCCATCTGGGATCAAGGGGACTGGCCCTTACCCAGACACTGAATCCCCCAGAACCTTGATCTTGGACTTCCCAGCCTCCAGAACTGTGAGAAATAAATATCCTTTTTTATAAGCCATTCAGTTTATGGTAGTTTGTTATAGCAGCTGGGACAGACTAAGACTAAGACATATTGTTTATCAAGCAAACAACTTCAGGAATTGTGATTGGCTATCTGAGTCTAGGGTTTGAGGCGTAGTAAAAACCAGAGAACACTGCCAGAAGGCTGGGGAAAAAGTTCTCAATTTAAAACTAAATTAGATCCCACAGCCCAGAGAACCCCCATCTCAGGGGTTTTAGATTTAGGAGGCATGGTTCAGGTTCATTTTCAACACGTGAGAGCAGGAACAAAAGTGAGTAGCATGCTAGTCACCAAGCCCACCCTGTCAGAACTTAACGTCGCTCAGAAGATAGGGTAAAGAAAAAGGAGGAGGAGAAAGAGAGTCCCTTTCTCCATGCAGGAGGAAAGCCAGGCACAGATGGTGATTTCTGTGTCACCAGACTAGACCCTGCCAATTTGAGGATTTTGAAACTTTTTATAGCAGTTGCCACTCTGGAGGCTTTTTGGAAGTCAGGTTTGAGCAGCCTTTCCTGAGACAGGGCTAAAAAGGTGCAGGGATGCAGATATACTGCCAAGTGTGCACACCCAGTAAACTTGTAACTGACTGCTGACTTGATGCAGAATCTAGGAGTCATCCTGAAAGTTGAAGAGAACTCTTCTCAGCCTCAGAGGAGGAACATTTCCAAAATAGCTGCAAATACTTTAAAGCAGTCCTTAAGCCCTTGTTTTTTTATTTGTCCTTTGGGGAAAGATGGACTTATTGTATATTTTACTCATGAGGAGAACATAGAATTAGTAATGGGAAATGTGGCCTGCTTGCACTCAGGAAGACAGAAAGAGGTCAAAAAGACAAGCTTCACTTGTCCTCCAAGAGTCAAGGTCAGTCTGTACCCAAAGCTTTGTCTCCTCAGGCAGCCAGGGTCAGGAAGGGACAAATAAAGCTACTTGAAAACCAGGATACATCCCAGGCCTCAGTGAGGAGAGTGGCTTATATTACAATATTCCCCTGTCAACTAGTGAGTGCTGAGTAGAGGGGCTACATTTCCATTGCTACAGACTAGAAATCTGGAAGATCTTAGTGATTTTATGGATGAGAAAGATCGAGGTTGAGAAGCAGCCCACACTTCCTGTTAAAATGCAATCATTATGTAGGTACCTTCACGCCAAATATGGCTAATTACCAACCTCCCATTCTGACTTCTAGATTGGATGGTGCTATTTTGAAAGGAACAAAGTTGCCGTAAATCAAAGTAAAATACCTAGCTCTTCAAGATCACAGGTAAATACAGTCCTCACAGACAGATAGATTCTCCTTTGCATGTTGAGGGGAGAAATAATTTATGTCTGAGAAACTCACCATGGAACAAAAAAGTTAATCTGCGTTCCACTTCTTGGGAGAGGTAGGTGCAATAAAGGATTGAAAACACTTTGTTTGGTTTCTTTTCTTGTGTGGACTAAAAAAGGACTTGAAAAAGGATGTGGTAGAATGCTTTCTTGAGGTATTATGTTTTTTGTTATTTAAAATTATTTCAAAATATATAAAAAATAAGGGTTTATATAAGTTATATCTTTGATTTAAAGGACGATAGTAAAAATGACACCGTATGCCCAAAGTACAGCTTAAAAAGAGAACATAAAATGCATGAAAAGAACTATTGTAGCTCCCAGTGTGCCTTTCTGTAAACTCTTACCCTCCTTTCCTCCAAAGATTCCCATATCCTGAATTGTGAAGTTATTTCATTGCTTTTTATTACAATTTTTACTACAGGTTATGTTGTGTGTGTATATGTTTGTACATGTGTGTATAATGATATATATGTAAACAAACAGATATACATATATAGAGAGAGAAAAGAGAACTATATGGTATGTGTTTACAGTGCGTTTTACAATTTTTTGTTGAATTTTGTGTCTTTTAAGATCTCATTATGGTTTAAAATTCAATTCGAGGCAGGTTTAGCTGTGGATTCATTTTTGTGATTCATATTTTATTGTATGACTAAACCACAGTGTTTGCCTGTTTCAATTTTTATAGACAGGAGTTACTAGCTTGTGTATATAAGAGTTTTTGTTTGCTTATTTGCTATTATAAATGATGCTGTTGTGTACATGGAGAGGAGAATTCCCAAGGCAGTGTATTTTAACTTCAACTGTACACTCAACAATCTGTTGCTTGAGGACCTGTTCTGGGCTCAGTTGAATTAGTAACTTTGGTAGTGGTACTCATGCACCGACATCTAATAAACATTTCCCAGGCAATTTTAATCTGCAGGCAATGTTGAAAAGCACTACCCAAAACAATCAATATCTAGGAATAGAGAATCTTGGTAATAAAGAATGTGCATTTTCACATTAATAGGTAACATTAAATTGATACCTATATCAGATGCAGACATTTCCAATTGGACTAAAATATATGAGATTCCTGTTTCTCCACATCCTTGCCATAACTGGCATACTCAGTCATCAGTGTCAGCCTGGTGAATGTCAGGTGAAAACCCATTGTAGTTAAAATTTTCAGTTTCCTGTTTACTAATGAATTTGGGTACATATTCATATATACTGGCCACTTTTAGTGATACACTTTAATTCCTTATGCCTTTTTTTTTTTATTTTTGTGTCCTTTTTTATTTATTGTAAGGAATTCTGGACACTAGATCTGATTCACAAAAACTTCCCCAATGGAGGTTGCTTATTCTTCCCCATCTGCTGGCCAGATGCGGAAGATCCAATAGAGGACTCCAAGGTTATAGACCAGGGTTTCCAACCTCAGCACTGACATTTGGTGCCTGATAATTCTTATTGTGGGAGCTGCCCTATGCCTCAACAGGAAACAGTGTTCTGTGGATGTTTTGAGCATCTCTGTCTTCAATATATTAGATGTCAATAGAGACCAAGTGTGACAACCTGAACTTTCTCCAGGTCTTGTCAAATTTCCCATAGGGGTCAAAATTGCCCCCAGTTGAGCAGTACTGACCGACAGAGTGGTGGAGCCACAAGAAGGAAGGCTGCACCCTGGAATCACTGCTTGGAGAAGAGTAGTTCACCAATTAGGAATCAGTGAGATTTGGAGACTTGTTACCTTATCTGATGTAATTATTTTACTCAGATCTTCATTACAGTTCCTGATTTTTCTGTTTAGTTCATTTATTAATTAAAAAAGCATGTTCAAATTATCTGCTACGACAGTAGATGTGTCTGTTTGATTCTTCTCATACTTTTTGTTTTGCATAGCTTTAAGCTAGATAAAAATAAGTTTAGAATTGTTATATGATCCAGTTGAATTTAGCTCCTAGACATTATATAGAAACTGTGCATGTATGGTTGTATGTTTGTGTCCTATAATGCTTTAACCTTAATTTATATTCTGTCTTATGTTATAGTCACATGAGATTTTTGGTTAGCATTTTCCTGCCACATCTTTTCAATCCTTTTGCTTTCAACCATTTTGTTATCTTATACTTCATACATGTCTTCTATAAACAAGTCCAGATTATTTTGGTCTTTTAACTAAATAATGTATTTATATTTATTGTATATAAGTATATTGATATGAATATGTTGGTATATTTGATTTTATTTCTGCCACCTTATTTCAATGCCTCTATTTATTAAGCTTTTTCTATGCTTTCATTTTCTTATTTTCTTGCTTTATTTCAATTGAGTTTTGTGTGGTTTGCTTTGTTTTATTACCTCATTCTATTTTGTCTCCAAGAAGATTGAAAGTTATAGAAACTATTTACATTCGTTTTGTGGTTATATGCTTGCCTAACTTTCAAAAGACTAAAGTTAATCGTAGATCTCGGCTCACTGCAAGCTCCGCCTCCCGGGTTCACGCCATTCTCGTTTCTCAGCCCCCCGAGTAGCTGGCGCTACAGGCGCCCACCACCACGCTCGGCTAATTTTTTGTATTTTTAGTAGAGACAGGGTTTCACCATGTTAGCCAGGATGGTCTCGATCTCCTGACTTCGTGATCCGTTCGCCTTGGCCTCCCAAAGTGCTGGGATTACAGGCATGAGTCACCGCGGCCGGCCCTAATCATGTATCTTTATCTACCTCATGAAAAATCCAAGAACCTTAGAATCTTAATTTCAGTGTCTTAATTGTTACACAGCATTCTTATTTGTTGTTTTTCTTTAGCCCTACAAATTAGACATTGTTTATATTTTATTAACTTGGTGTTTGCTTTAATTTGCCCAAATATTTTCTTAACATTTTTCATACATTTTAAGCAATTATCTTTCATATTTTGTATCCTGAATTTTGTTTTTAAGGAATTTCTTCAATGTAAGTCAGTTAATATCTTTATTGTATCTTCATTCTTGAGATACTTACTTTGAGTATATACAAATATGACAGTTTTTCCTCCTGGCACCTTGAAAACAAATAATTCTATTGTCTTCCAGCTTCTCTTGTTCTGTTGGAAAGTCACAGTTTTATAGCTTTTCCTTTGGAAAAAGCTATCTTTTCTTTCTAACTATTTTAACCATCTTCTCTTGATTTTAGAATTACGTATATTCATTACAATGCATTTATCTCAGCTTCTTTTAACTTATCCTTCTTGAGAACTCTTTAGCTTCTCTATTTAAACATTGCTATCTTTCCTGAATTTTGGAACATGCTGACTCAAACATCTTCTTTACTAATCCTTCCCTCCACTTTCTCCTATTATTTCATATTAAACTCAATTTTGATATATGTTAGACCTTTTTGTTCTTTGTCTTAATCTTCTTATTTTTGCATGTCTTTATTTTTCTGTGCTTTATTAGGGGTAATTTCTTCAAACAGATCTATATCCATTTTCTAATGTTCTCTCTTCATCTTTGTCTATTTAAATCATCTATTGAGTTTCTAATTAAAATTACTATGTATTTTTTAATTATATGAGAATTATTTTTTTTCAGTCTTTCTTGTCAACTATGACAATTATGTTGTCAATTAATCTTATAGTCTATTCTCTTTTTATAATTTAAAACATTTTTAGCATGCTTACCTTTACATTATTTATTTGATAGCTTTGCTATCTCTAATGTCCTTGAGTTTGATTCCACACCTGTTTTCTATTTTAGATCATTCTGGATCATTTGTCATCTTAATTTTTTTTTGGAAAATTTGTCATTATAAGCTAATATTTCTTGGAACTTTATATGTAGGAATAATTTGGATGATGGGTTTAACATCCTTTTTTCGAAGAGAATATTTCTCATTTTTGTTAAATCCTCGTGATGCACTACCTCACTGGAGCTTTTTAAAAGTAAATTACATGCTTGGATTTACGGTCACATGCTGCAACTCTAGCTTGTGGTTAGGTATTCTTAGAAGAGACTTCCTTCCGTCTTTCTTTCCTATTTCTTTTATCTCTTTCTTTATTTCTGATTTATTTTCTCTCAGTGCAGAGCCAAAATGAGGGTCAAGACATCTCCAACATCTCCCTCTACAGGTGAAGTTATATTTTTCTAATTTACCCACTGATAAAAACGGCTTCTAGATCTCCTGATTTAAACAGAGGTCTCCAATGTTCTCTTTCACTTGAATTATTATTTGATGGTATCGTCTATATCTTGCATAGAACCAATTAATCTATAAACTTTAGGTCAGCTGGGCTAGTCAGAAGCTACCAGGGAAATACTAGAAGCTTAATTCTTGGACTTTTGTTTTTCTCTCTTATTTTTTTTCCTCTGCCAATCCAAAGGTAAAACTGGGGAGTTTGTGTTTTTATTTGTCAAAGAGTTTTCACAGTCGAAATCAAAAAAAGAATGAAGGCAGTCTTTTGTTCTCCTCTCAAGTTTTTTTAAAAGCTATACCATCTTATAACCTCTGCTCATTGTTTTTGTGGGTTTTTTGAATTAAAAAATTATTTTTATTATTCTTATTATTCTTCTTGTATTAAGTTTAGGGGTACAAGTGCAGGATTTGTTATATAGGTAAACTTGTGTCATGGGAGTTAGTTGTCCAGGTTATTTCATCACTCAGGTCAATCTAAATGCTGTTTTTGAAGGAAAAGGTAAAGGAGCCAGTGCTTCTGCAGGCAACTAGACTAGTGCATGTCCAGGCTGAATCTAGGATGAATGCACTCAGTTTCCTGTAAAGATTTTGCTTCTATCCCTGGCAGCATCTCATGAGGTCAATGGGTACATCTAATGGTCCTGGTTCCTAAGTAATGAGGTTGACATACTGGCTGAGAAGATTTTTACAGAAATGTGATGCAGTGGCACGCAGATGTCTCTTGAATTTGTATTCATGAAACACTAGGAAAAGGGAAGCCTTATAATAACTGATGTTTCTTTTATTATCAGCCAAGGAGGCTGGGGAAGAGCGTTGGGATAATGGAACACATAGAAGAATTTGGATTTTAAATTATTTATATAACCAAATAAAGTATACTTATTTTTTACATACCTTATTTGTACTTCTTATTTATACCTGTAATTGTTTTTACATGTGCATCTCCTAGTGTTGTGATTCTCCTTGAAAATAACTGCTTATTGCTAGATCTCATCCTTTTACATTTTCAGGAAGTTTTTACATGTCCCAAGACATTATCAGTTCATTTGTGTGATGTGTGTCTGTTGTCTATAAGCTGACCTCATATTAAGATTTTTATAGAAATTGCATTGTATCGAGGCGGGTGGATCACAAGGTCAAGAGATCAAGACCATGCCAGCCAACATGGTGAAACCGCGTCTCTACTAAAAATACAAATTTAGCTGGCTGTGGTGGCACGTACCTGTAGTCCCAGCTACTTGGGAGGCCGAGGCAGGAGAATCACTTGCACAGAGGAGGCAGAGGTTTCAGTGAGCTAAGATTGCGCCACTGCACTCCAACCTGGCGACAGAGCAAGACTCCATCTCAAAAAAAGAAAAAAAATAAAGAAAAGAAGACATTTTATTCCATGTTTTACCCAAGTAATTACCCAGCTGTGCCTCAACAGGAGCAAGTACTAAATGTGAATTTTTTTTTTTTTTTTGAGACGGAGTCTCGCTCTGTCGCCCAGGCTGGAGTGCAGTGGCGCTATCTGGGCTCACTGCAAGCTCCGCCTCCTGGGTTCACGCCATTCTCCTGCCTCAGCCTCCCGAGGAGCTGGGACTACAGGCGCCCGCCACCACGCCCGGCTAATTTTTTCATATTTTTAGTAGAGACAGGGTTTCACTATGTTAGCCAGGATGGTCTCGATCTCCTGACCTCGTGATTTGCCTGCCTCGGCCTCCCAAAGTGCTGGGATTACAGGCGTGAGCCACTGCGCCCGGCCAAGTGAAGTATTATTTTTATTCCCTGTTATTTCTACAGGTACCTCAGCTTGCTTTAAGGAATTATATATATCTATTGTACCACTTGATAGGCTACTATAAAGTTTTGGCTTTACTTTCAGTTTTCAAAGTTTCTGACAGAATTTTCTGTAGGAAACTAATAATACTTTTTAAACAGCTTCTGAAGTCTCTTGCGTATGATTGCTGTAATATTCTCTAAAAACTACTAAAATTTGGTATGACTTTCTTATTTCAATATTGAAATCATTGGGCTGTGTAGTAATAAGCTTTGTCAGGATTTTCTCCCTTAGAGCCCACTGATTTTCTGAAATGCAAACCTTCAACTGATTAGGATATAATTTCTTGATTTATTCTCAAACAACATCAACAACAACAGGCAGAAGGATCTGTTATTTTTCTTTCCTTGGGAACATTTCTAAGCCTAATGAAATTTTTAAAAGGTCGAGTAAAGGTTTACTGATTTCTTTGCTCTTTTCCCTTAATCTTCTTAATGCTTTGTATGCCATCTAAAATTGGTGCTTTATCAATTTCAAGTGCATTTTTGTCTTTTTAGAAAATCACTCCTATTTTTCTTTGTTGCTTAACTTGTCTGTCTTGCCTGAAAAAGAAATCAAATATTTGAATCAATGGAGTACCTTATTAGTATAAACCTATTTAAGTTATGACTCAATTTTTTTTCCTGAAAAAGATAAATTTGCTTTTATTAATGCATTGGCACATACACAAATTACAGATATGAGATTATAAATCTCAAAGTTATGCTTGTTACCTTCTTCAGAAACAATATTAAAGTATTCTTAAAAAACATTTCCCATAAGATTATAGATATTTGGGCAAATAACTTATCTTCCCATCAAACAATTAGAGTTGCTTTCCTGTTAATATCGAAAACATTTCTTGGTAATATCAGACATGCAACTCTCTGAAAATAACTTGTATATATTTGAAAGCATCATAAACTTTCTTAGGCCATGATAATTTATAAAATTATTGCCACAAAATAATAACTCAAGTTTGTGGTTACCAATAACAATATGTAACATCGTAAATAGCAGAAAACATTCCTGCCCCTTTTTTTTTCTACAAGGTAAAGTATGTTTTACTAGTGCATATCTTTATTAATATGACAGCTTATCCAAGACAAAAATAGTCTTGGTTTTCACCTGTTGTTTACTTGATGCTTTTCTCAAGTACATACTGTAAATGTACTTATAATTAAAAATGAGGGGAAATACCTAACACATATCAAATACTTGCCTTATGTCAGGTATCTTTCATAAATTATCATAAGCCTTTCTCCAAAACCACTCTCAAAGAAGATGTTTTTTCTATATTGTTTTATTCTTTTACAGAAAGCAAATTAACCAGTGGATGTTAAGTAAATTTCTCAAAAGAGAGACAGCTAGTAGACTGCAGATCCAGGATTCATGTTTCAGGCCAGGATTTTCTGACTCACAAGAGTACAACATAAGCTGAGAGAAAGGACATTTCTTCCACTATCCTTCATTCATGGTGGATGAGGAAATGCACCTTTAAAACATTATGGCATTGTCAAACCAGAAATATATACGGATTCCTTAGTCTGCTCCATTTAGGAATGCCTTCGGTTGCAAATAAGAAAATTAATCTCACACATGCATCACCAAATGACACAAGTGGGATTTATTTGTAATACATAAGAAAAAGTTTAGGGATTGATTAGCATAGATGTTCAGTTATCATTGGGACCAGGATTCTTGTTATATTTTTGCTTAGATTTTTTTTCTTAGATGTTATTTTTGTCCTCACTTTTGTAACCTCATGGTAATAATATGGCTACTGTACCCTCAGGCATCATATCCGTGTGCCTGTTACAGGCCAGTGGAAGAGGAAAATAAAGGGATGCCAACGGTGGACGACTTCTTACATTTCACTGGCTTAAAAAGTGTCACATGCCCCTCTCTGGCTGCAATGGAAGCTAGGATATAAACATTTAATATTTGTATTAGAGAAGGGATAATGTGTTTGGAAAGAGAATTTTGAACATCCCATCTATAATGTATACTATACACACATTATCCTACATACCTTTTTTTTTTTCTTGGAACTAACCCAAACTTATGTTTTCATTCACCTCTTCATTCAGTTATTTAAGATATATTAATTCAGTATTTATTGCTGGGTGCTTTAAATACATCTGTGATTAAAAAGACAGCATCTATCTTAAATAAGCAAAGTCAATTACAGATGAATTTCAAGTCTAATTGTAAAAGCAAATGGAAAAAGCTTTTTGAAGTAAAGATAGAATAATCTTTTAATCTTGGAGTAAGCAAAGATTTCTTAAAGATATTAATCTCTTCTTATATAGCTATATATACACAAGTCAACTGAAAATGCAAAATGTGAATAAATATTTGATAAAAAGAATATGTAAATGTCTATAAACATGTGAAAAGGTGTTTAAATATATTAATCATCAAAGAATTCAAATTAAAGCAATAATCAGATCCTACTACATATCAGAATAGCTACATATCAGAATAGCTACAGTGAAAAAGACTGAAAATCTCAAGTGTTTGTAAAGAAATCTTGTTTGGAGAAACTGAAACTCTTTAGTGAGAGTTCAAATTGGTACAACCACTTTTAAAACTTGTTTGGGACAATATTGACTATGACTAAATATATGCACTTTATGGACTAGCATTTCCAATCTTAGGTATATTTCCAAAATAAATCCAGACCTATGCCCATGAATAGACATGCAATAATGTTTATAGCAATATTATTGATCACAACCAACCCTGGAAATAACCCAAAGGTCTATCATTGGTAGAATGGATACATAAATTATTTTTTATTTATACAGTGGAATATTATTCTGTAATGAAAATAAACAAGTTAATAATTGCATGCAGTAGTGTGGATGAATCTTATAAATATGTGTTGAAAGGTGAAACAGCTTTAGAGCATGATATGGTTTGGCTGTGGCCCCACCCAAATCTCATCTTGAATTGTAACTACCATAATTCCCACGTGTTGTAGGAGGGTCCTGGTGAGAGATAACTGAGTCATGGGGCCAGTTTCCCCCACATTGTTCTCATGGTAGTGAATAAATCTCACGAGATCTGATGGTTTTTTAAGAGGTTTCCCCTTTTGTTTGGTTCTCATTCTCTCTTGCCTGCCACCGTGTAAGATACGCCTTTTGGCTTCCACCATGATCGGTGAGGCCTCCCCAGCCACGTGGAACTGTGGGTCCATTAAACTTCTTTTTCTTTATAAATTACCCAGTCTTGGGTATGTCTTTATCAGCAGCATGAAAATGGACTAATTAATATAGAGCATTTTATTTATATAAAGCACAAAAAGAGGCCAAAGTAACCTATGCAGTTAAACTCAGAATGGTAGTTAGGCCTTAAACAGGAATGGAGAATAAAGGGAACTTTCTCAGTGCTAGTAATAAACCAAAATAAAAATATTGGTGATCTTTACACAGCTGTTCTATGTGAGAGAATGCATCATGCCCCACATTTATAGTATATTTACTTTTCTTTCTGAACATTATCCTTCGATTTTTAAAAGTTTAAAATAAAAAAAGAAAGAAAAGACAAATCAAACAGCTCTGACATGGAACTCATCAAAGTTGACTAACAGGAGAGATATTAAACAGTAATCACAAGCATAACTGTGTTAATATGAGTTTTGCCAAGCAGATTAAAGGATAATTGCAGGTCTTTCAAAGAGGGTTAAGCCACTGTAATGAATTAGAAAGACACTATAATGAACCTGAGGATTGGAGAGTCTGTGAAGATTCCTCTGAGGAAGTAAGACCAAAGATATCACTTAAAGCATGAGCACATAGACTAAGAAAATGGCAATGCAAACAGGAAGAAGTGAACTAGTGTGCTGTTTTTGGAATTACACCACTGCTATTTTCTCACTTCTATGTAACATACTGTCTACCAAGTTTCTCATCTCGCAACAATTATGCCCACAATCTCCTCTAAGTCCTTTGTATATGGGCTTCCTAAGTCCTTTGTAAATAGGCTTCTGAAACTGATAAGCAGTGATAAATTTAATGTGGAAGATGAGAAGAAGAGATACGTTAGAGATCACAGGTTCTGTGATGAACCTAGATGTGCCAGCTCAAAGTAGAAATACTACAAGAGGAAGTTGTTAGGAGGCCAGATGGAGAGTTGAAATTTGGCCTTGGTAAAGTACTCATCCAGGAGACAAAACTATTTTAACTGAACAGATTGATTTCTCAAATACTGACAAGAGATTAGCTGAATTCAATTACTTGCCAATAACACTGAAATAACTGCTTGATAACTATGTACTGACTGAAAGAGATTATAAATCTGACATATCAAGACGCTATGCTCCATATATCAGTCAGGGATCAACCAGAAAAACAGAACCAGTAGGAAATACATACTGTAAGAAATTGGCTAACATGATTTTGGGAGGTGACAATGCAAGTTTGAAACCCCTAAGCTTGCCTTTAGGAGGGGCAGACTGGAATGCTGGGGCATGAGCAGAAGGTAAAACTGGGAATGCTGGGGCATGGGCTATTCACAGGCAGTTTCTTCCTCCTCAGGGAATCCTCAGTTTTACTCTTAAAGTCTTTCAACTGATTGAATCAGGCCCACACAGATTAACTAAAATAAGCCACTGAAGGTCAACTGTTTGCAGACTTGAATCTCATATACAAAATGCCTTCACACTAACACCTCGACTAGTATTTGGTTGAATAACTGGGGGCTACAGCATAGCCAAGCTGATACATTAAACCTCCTTTTATACTTCAATATATATGATTCTTTAATTTTGTTAAGTTTTAATTTTTCTTTGCTCACATCAGGCAGAGATTTTAATATAATCAAATACATTAGTGGTCCATTTCCATTAACTCTTTCTATATATTTATTTTAACATGTATGTACTTAAAAATACCTGCTTTTAAACTTTCTCTTTACTTATTTTAATGGACTTTTTTTCCCCAGTACTTTTGCCTACAAGAGTGACAGCACTTTCTGAATGCTCTAGTATAATTTGAAAAAACAAGTCTCTACCTCTTTGATATGCTAATATTAGCCTCTCTGGGTATCAGGAATTTCAATGTTCTGTAAAAATAACTGTTTGAAAAAATGCATATTTATATATTTGAATGTACGAAGCTATTTTATTTCTTACTTTTACATTTGGTGCACGAGTTTTTCAATATTATCACAAGGTAAACCATTATCTTTCCCCTACCCCTCTAGTTTACTTTGTTGTGAAAAGACAAAACAACCACATTTCTTTCTATTAACATATTTGCTGAATGAACAACAATATATTTATTCTACATTATTTTTATAACATTAAGATTTTAAATATTCTTTTTTTTAAATTTTATTATTATTATACTTTAAGTTTTAAGGTACATGTGCACAATGTGCAGGTTAGTTATTTTCATTCCTAATTTTCTGTAAAAATATAACTGCAGTATAATTTTAATAATAATCTGAATGAGAAAAGAATGAAGCACTTTAGGAGTTCAGAGAAGGAAGTGAATGGCTCTTACTAGAAGATATAGGAAATATTTTATTGACTAGAATATAAATTTGTCTTGGTCTTGCAGTACGTGAGTATCTGACAGGTTTAGAAGGAAATAATTTATTTTGGAAGACAGGAATATATTGTGGACAAAAGCCCAGAGGAATAAAAGGGCTTGAAATATTCAAGTGAATGGTAGAAGTTTAGTGTAAATGGAGAATTGAGGGCATGAAGTAGAATCAAGAAAGAAATCAAGTTGCAGAAGTTGTCTGTGTTAGGAATTGGATTTATGTGTTTCAAACTAAAGAGTGAGTAGTCAATAGAAAACCATGAAGCCTATTTAGGCTTTTAAACCTTACTGATATTTATCTATCCCCAATGTCCCCAAGCCTACGCAGTACATGATTCATAGCTGGCATTCAATAAATACCTTTGGTGATTGAACACATCCTGTGTAGTGTATGAAAAACAGATCTGTTTTTAAACAAAAGAGCTCTTTTGCTTGTAATAGTGAATTTGCACGGTGATAGTGAGAAATGGGGGGCAGAAAGACTAAATAGGAGTTTAGAAGAGAAGAGTTTGGGTTTGAGAACATTTTTTCTAACTATAAGCATTTTAAAAGATAGACTTTATATATGAAGAGTTCAAAGATATTTTTATGAAAAGGAGCCAGTTGTGCATTGTAGCATTAAATCACACTGAAACCTGTCTGTGAGCAATAATGTTTACAAACATCTAAAAATATATTAGTTGGGGAATAGTATTATGGCATTTCATAGAGTTTTTTTATACTCTTTTTTGTTAAGAGAGATTCTGAAAAATGTACTCAAACATTGGATCAATGTTGTGAATTTGCCAACATATTTTTCAGTGACAGTAAAGATATTCACCGATATCTAGATAACTAGAAATTGGATCTGAAATAATACTCTACCTCTGGGACTGCATTCTGTTTTCTGCTAATGAATAATTGGTTTTTATCCAAAGGTAATGCTTTCTTACAGGCTGGAGTATCCCACTATGTCTCTGAAAACTTTTTATTCTCTTTGCATAAATTGATCCCAAAGATTAAAGAATTCATAGTTGTGATTTAAAGTTGTATTTATTGACACCCATTCTTATTGAGTGTAAAAACAGATTGATGACCTTTGCTTTAATCCTTTTGCAGAATGGGTGGGGTTATTTCAGAATATTCGTTGGTTAGCTTTTTCCCCAGTGTCTGCCAACTTTAACACCCTGGACAAACTAATTTGTTTTTAAATTGCGTGATTTTTAGATTGATACTGCATACCAGAAAACAGAAACGAAAATCCCCTTGAGTTTACATTTTGCTTAAAATTATAATGAAGTTGAAATAAAGCCAACCCTAGAAATGATTCCATGTAAACAAGTAACGCATATGAAAAAATACTTTAAAAAATATTAACAAGCGTGAATTTTTAAATACAGTTCTCTAATCATTAATTTCTTTAAGAAGAAACTTTGATAGGAAAAACTTACATACTTTCAGAACGACCTAAGTGAAGTATAGACGAAGAAATTTATCCAGACACGAGGAAGCAGAGAGAGAATGTTTTGTTTGATAGATTCTTCAATATCAGCTAGGTTCCAATAACTGCATCAATTCAATCATAGACTAGGACTTTTTGGGAGTGTATCCATTCTTTCTTTTTCTTTTTGGATCCTTCCCTGATAAAGACTTTTGGCATAGTGCAAACCTCAATTGTGTCTTCGTCCCACATGGCAGGAATAGTATATTCTAGTAAATTGGTTTGACCGAGGCATTTGTCTTCATCATTTTTACTGTTAAAAATCCAATCTAAACTTCAAGTTTGACTTTTTACAACTAATTCCATTTTTCTCTCAACATGCTCATGAGCCCCTAAGATGTGTACCTACTGTCTACCTAATGTGATTTCACAGATATATCTTTAAATGGTTAATTAGGCCTTAGGTTCTGTCTTCATTCATTAGGCATTAAATAAGTTCATGCTCAATTAGGTGATCAAACTTACTCATAAATCAATAAGTGCAGGATCAACTGAATATGATTACCTCTCATTTAATGCCAAGGTGTTCACGGTAGGGCAGAAGTGCATTAAGGCCCTCTAACTTTGGCACAGGTAGATTCCTTGCCATAGAAAGCATGGATTATTTGTTCTTCCAGAATTATTTAATGCATACTGAGGGCACTAAACACTGTGGTTTTTATAGGAATTGGAATGAGAGAAAAAGTAAATCTTCCATTTTTCCTGAATTTTAGGAATTGTATTAGATTTATTTTAAATTTATCAGTGTACCAATTTACCAAATCGAGCCCAAGAAAGTGATTGGGCACAATAGAAAGAGCTATGTACTTTGTAAAGTGGATGGGTGTCTTTGTACAGCAACTTTAGTACCAAATGAGACTGAAGATGGATTGTTAGGTGTGGAGCAGTGGATGATGGAGATATTTCAGGTAATGATGGAACCATACTATAGTACTCACTTCACTTTTCATAAATAGAAAATGCTTGCATTAACTGGCTAAAATCTTTGATGATTGCTGCTATGCAGATCGAGTGCATAATGCATGATTGTATTTGCACCAAATCTTAACCAAAGAATGTACGAACCTTACCAGTTACCCATTTTTTAAAGCCAAGACATCATGTGAATACTAGTGAGAATGACACCATTTACTCTATTAGAAGAACAATTGCAGAAAGACTGCTTTTTCTATAATATACTTCCATGCGGAAGGGTTGCAAGTGGGGAAATTAACAAACTCTTCATCTATCAGTTACTTTTAACTTATGTCTCTGTTTCTGCTTTGCTGTGATTAATTCTTGCCAGTCTTGTCATTAGCAATCCTCCAGGTGTCCTCCAGTCTGTAACTTTTCACCTTCTTCAACTTCTATCTTACAGCATTGCTTACTTCCAAACACAAGTTACAGTTTAACCTGATGAGGGGCTTAAACTGAAGTGAAACTCTTCGATGAAAATTTAAAAATAATCTTAGTTTATAGACTCTTTGAGGGTCTTGTTTACTTTTGTACTTCAAAATTATAGCACAGTATCTGAACATAATAGTTGCACAATGAATATTGGTTTAATAAACAATTCGATGTTTCAGATCTTCATTGCTGTTAGTATTGTTAGTATTGTTAGTATAACATTGAATATTATAATTAAATGTTCCATTATACTAGGGATGTTTCAGTGCTTTGAGATGATTATAAACAACTCCTGGCTGAGCCTGCTTACTGTTTGCCTGGCACTATACATGTATGAATGGAATAATTGCGCACCTATGAGAAATTTATTTAATTTATCTACAGTTGAAGAAATTAAGGAATAGACTGGTTTAGTGATTTGCCTAAGATCACAAAGCCATTCATAGGGCTAAAATATCAATCCAACAATCTAATTTCAGAGCACACTTTCTTAACAACTCTGTTATAAAATAAAAACTGACCATCTAGTTTAGCCAAGATTAGTATTACCCAGATATTTGGATTTAATGATAGGGTGGACAACTCTAATTTTGTCAAAAATGGTAGGAACAAAGTTACTATTACCTAAACTGTGTGCAATAAAATATATTTTAGGACAAAAATAGAAATTACAATACATAGCATAATAAAGGACAATTATTTAGGTTGACAAAAACATGAACTAATCAGTGTGCTGTTCTCATGTTTTCATTTCACTGCTCCCTGATAACAATGCTTTCATAGACGGCAATGGCAAATACACTGGCATTGGGGAACCTTTTCTGTATGTATACTATGCACTTTTGCCATGAACCTTTCTGTTTCCATTTGTCCCCTTATACCTAGAACAGATTTTAATGTGCCCTAGGAGCCTATACATTGCAAAAGGGCATCATTTGCTCCTTGTGGAGATGAGAGTATGGTCATTTCCCCAGCTGTCCTGCATTTCAGGGTATCTGGGCAGGAAGCCAGGAGCATTAGAAAATTAGACTAGGATAAAATCCTCTTGAGTTCATATGCAAGAAGGTATTTTTTAGTGCCCTCAGGGATCAAAGGCGAGGATAAAGCTGATTCGTTATAACTGGGTGACACAAATTTATAGTAGTATGAATAAATAGCTATGTTTGAGGCTATGTTAAGACATGACTATTTCTTCAAACGACCGGTTCAATTTTATCTTTCTCTTTAGCAGCAGATTCAGCATTGAATCAGTTTCAGTACTTATTTCTGATAGCAGATAAAAACACCATTTCCTCATATTTCCTCAAATGTTAAAACGCTTACAAAGTGGAGCATGGAAGATAGCACCCATGTGTAGTATATTTGTGTTCTCTCAAAGCAAACAAAGGAAGTGAGACTATTTCCTATTTCCTTAGAAATGGGTATAATTATGTTCTATATAGTTCATCAGTTACATTTTATTACACTTAGATGATTTCATCTTGCTAATGCAGAGATAACCTACTCTGATTCATGAATTCACTTTTCTGATTCCCCAGCAATTATATTAGCATACTTGAATTACCCCATTTCCTGCCTTCTGAGAAGTGAAGAATAAAATGTTTCTCCTGTCAAAGATGAACCCCTTCCTCTGTGATCCTTTGGATGCCACCCCAGCTGACTTTCTCAGGAACTTGTCCTCTGCAGGTAATCTCTTCCACCTTTATTGTTATCTACCTCTTCCTCTCCCTGGAATTTTCACTTAAGCTTAATACTGTTTAATAGAAACTCTGTCTTAGTCCATTTGGACTGCTACAACAAAATAGCACAAAGTAGGTAGCTTATAAAAAACAATCATTATTTACAGTTCTGGAGGATGAGAAGTTTGAGATCAAGGCAGGCTCAGTCTGGTCAGAGCCTGCTTTCTGGCTCATAGACAGTGGCTTATTGCTTCATCTTCACATGGTGGAAGGGACAGGGGTTCTCTCTAGGGCCTCTTCCATAAGTGCACTAATCACATTAATATCTTACCCTTATTAACTAGTCATTTCCACAAATCCCCACCTCTTAATACCATCACCTTGGGTGTTAGAATTTCTACATATAAATTTTGGAGGAACATAAACATTCAGACAATAACAATCTCCTATTTCAAAAACAAACAAAGCAAACACCTAAACAAGTCCTCTTTTATTTCTACTGTTCTGCTTTCTCTTCATTTTCACACCATTTGTTGACAAATTTTACACAGATATTTATATGAAAGATAAAGGATAGGATGATGTCAATGAGATGAGGGAAATACAGAGTAGCAACAAGTTTTTTATTGAATGTATTTTTATGCCAGAATAGCTCGTGAACATATGTATCCAGTTCTCTATTTTGTATTAGTTATCTATCACTTCATATTACATTATCAAAAACTTGGCTTAAAAAATTACACATTTGTCTCACAATTTGTATTGGTCAGGAATCTGAGCACAAGTTAGCTGGGTCTTCTGCTTCAGGTTTTCTCACAGACTACAATCAAGGTGTTGTCTGTCTTTTGTCATCTCCAGAGCTCACTGGGAAAGGACCCACTTCCAAGTTCATGGGGTTGTTGGCGGTATTTAGTTCTTTGGGCTTTTGGACTGATGCCTTCAGTTCTTTGCCACACAATTCTAACATGCAGTTAGTGCCATCAAAGTGTGTAACCTGAAAAAGCAATACACAGAGTCTACTGACAACATGAAGGCCACAATTTTTAGTAATCTAATGTCAGAAGTAATAGTCCATCACCTTTGCCATATTAGAAGCAAGTTACTTCCCATTTTCAAGGGAAGGAAAGGATTACAAATAGATGTGACTATTAGGAGGTGGGATCATTGCGGGCTGTCTTAGACATCTATCTGCACTCAGTTTCTCAAGTACTGACTATGTAAATGACAAACATAATTACCCAGAAATAATACATATAATGTAATTATCACAATCATCATCTAAATGTAGTATTGAAAGTATATAAACATAAATAAACAAAATGCAAAAAGTTTATGATCACCATGTACGATATGATTCAGATTTTATTGAAATAGTAGATAGAAAACATCAGAACTGTATAATAGGTTGGTGCTATAATTTCAGATTATAAACAAAAACATGTATAGTTTCCATTACCCTTTTTCAATATGCAAAATATGGAAAGAGAAAGACCAAGATAATCAACCAGGAATGAAATGGTATTTATATTGTATCAAGGAATACTGTAAGTATTTTATGTATGTTATCTTATGAGTAAGCAATTGCTATTGAAAACCCCATTTTAAAGATGAAAAAACTCACCCAAAATATCATACCTAATAATTTATGGAGTTAATTAGAATTTGAACTTATGTTTTCTGATCTCAGCATCCAGGTATTTACATATTTATTTATTTATTTATTTAAGATGGAGTCTCGCTCTGTAGCCAGTCTGGAGTGCCGTGGCGCGATCTCAGCTCACTGCAACCTCCGCCTCCCAGGTTCAAGTGAGAATCCGTGTTTTTAAATACCAGGTGAAATTGCCTGCCCAGTAGTTACCTGCAAGGTGTTCCAGTATGTCCTTCTGGGATAACTAGAAATGGAAGGCCAGGAGCTGTTAATAGGTCAGAAGTAGTAGACTAAAGACTGACAAAGGACTATGGTTTGTTGTTGTTGTTGTTGTTGCTGTTCTTTTGAGACGGAGTCTTGCTCAGTCGCCCAGGCTGGAGTGCAGTGGCGTGATCTCGGCTCACTGCAAGCTCCGCCTCCCAGGTTGACGCCATTCTCCTGCCTCAGCCTCCCGAGGAGCTGGGACTACAGGCGCCTGACACTGTGTCCGGAATTGGTGGGTTCTTGGTCTCACTGACTTCAAGAATGAAGCCGTGGACCCTTGCGGTGAGTGTTACAGCTCTTAAGGTGGCGCGTCTGGAGTTTGTTCCTTCTGATATTCTGATGTGTTCGGAGTTTCTTCCTTCTGGTGGGTTCGTGGTCTCGCTGGCTCAGGAGTGAAGCTGCAGAACTTTGCCGTGAGTGTTACAGCTCTTAAGGCAGCATCTCTGGAGTTGTTCGTTCCTCCTGGTGGGCTAGTACGGGGAGGCTCCGGCCGCACAGGAGCCCTTGGAGTGGGTAGGAGGCTCAGGCATGGCGGGCTGCAGGTCCCGAGCCCTGCCCCGCGGGAAGGCAGCTAAGGCTCGGTGAGAAATCGAGCGCAGCGCCGGTGGGCTGGCACTGCTGGGGGACCCAGTACATCCTCCGCAGCCGCTGGCCCGGGTGCTAAGTCCCTCACTGCCCGGGGCCAGCAGGGCTGGCCGGCTGCTGCGAGTGCTGGGCCCGCCAAGCCCACGCCCACCCCGAACTCCAGCTGGCCCGCAAGTGCCGCACGCAGCCCCGGTTCCCGCTCGCGCCTCTCCCTCCACACCTCCCTGCAAGCTGAAGGAGTGGGCTCCAGCCTTGGCCAGCCCAGAAAGGGGCTCCCACAGTGCAGTGGTGGGCTGAAGGGCTCCTCAAGTGCCGCCAAAGTGGGAGCCCAGGCAGAAGAGGTGCCGAGGGCAAGCGAGGGCTCTGAGGACTGCCAGCACGCTGTCACCTCTCAACACCACGCCCGACTAAATTTTTTGTATTTTTAGTAGACACAGGGTTTCACCATGTTAGCCGGGATGGTCTTGATCTCCTGACCTCGTGATCCGCCCGCCTTGGCCTCCCAGAGTGCTGGGATTACAAGCGTGAGCCACCGTGCCCGGCCAGGACTATGTTTTTTAGAGTGATGATATCCAAACTAAGATCCTTTTGAGAGTGAAAAGAATTGCTATTAATACTTAACACAGGAGTAATAGACATAAACAAGCCAGTATCACAAGCAAACTGAGACATTTGGTTACTTTATTTTTCTGGAATGTCCAGGATTGGCTTGTTGAGAAGGCTTTTTAAGGGAGTTTTCAGAAAGGACATAACTAATAACTTCTTATCTTTGACTCTCTGTGAATGTGAACATGTATTTATCTGCCAAATACCATTTCTGCACACTTTTACTGCATAACAATCTCTTCTCACACAGCTACCAGAAGCTTCCATCTCCTTAGGAGAGAAAAAGCAGTTGAGGAACGGATGTTACCAAAATGAAATTATCAATATCAAACAGTGAGAACAGGACTAACACTTTAATAAAACATACCACTTGGTTAACTAATACACCCCATTCCTAGTTCTGCCAGTTTGAATAACTACTATATCAGGCACATTGTGATTATATTTCTTTATGTCAGTGGTATTCAAAAGGGGATGAGTTTGCTTTCTGGGGAATTTTGGTGATGTCTGGAAATATTTTTGGTTGTCATAATAAGGAAGGCTGTTGGCGTCTAGTGGATAGAGGCCAGGGATGCTGCTAAACATCCTGTAATATGCAAGATCCCCTCTCCCTCCATCCCAACAGCAAAAAATTGTGTAGACCAAATTGCTAATAGTGCCAAGGTTGAGAAACTTCACTTCATATTAAAAAAGAAATGAAGAGCTCTTGGTTCCATGATTTCTTTTTTCTCTTTACTATGAAAAGAACTGGCTACTCACTTATACACTTCAATAAAATAAATCTATATAGGTGGTGATGATCATTAGGACAGTAGGTTAGTGGATAAATTTTAATATAGAACAAAAGAATCCCTCTCTTTAACTCTCCTAACCCAGATGGATTTTTCATTAAGAATTTCACAAACGTATCTTCAACAAACTCATAAAACATGCCTTTGCTCCTTGACCCTCTGTCAGAAAAAAATACATTAAGCCATTTTCCTCTTCAAAAATTTACATTATTATTAATTACCAAAACCTGCTATATAATTATGAAATAGCAGCATTAAAGAAAGAAAGAAGGATAGTCTACTTAGGCAAACTCAACTACACTTAAAAAAGAAATTATTAAAAATTGTTGAATATCATAATGTTTAGAAATTGCATGCTCTATCTTAATAAATTGAGTGCATTTGAAGCAACTACAAAATAATTGTCAGAACATGTATTTTAAGAAGGAAGGCATACCTTAATCATTAGGTCACTATAGTAGCTTATTCTTATCAAAGTGCTTATGAATTGTATTTTTGATATTTCAACTATGGAAGTTATAGAGAGAATATAGATTACTTTTGTGCTGTATTTTAGTTTACATTTATAAAGAATCCATTATAAAAAACCATGTAGACATATGACATTATTGCTTTATATGCATTTTGCATATATTCACAAAACAATTTAGAAAGAAAAAAACTTGAATTAAATAATTTTTTAATAGTTCAAAACCTTTTAAAATAAAACGACCTTCTCTTTTTAAAATCAGAAAATATAACAAGTTATAAGGAAGCAAATTAAGATTACATAATATATTAACAGGCAGAGGATGTTATTAAAATTTCATTCTTCCAGATTTATGCATATACTCATATGTAAATGGAACCATTCTGTTTTCCGTTTTATAACACATCTTTATTCTGTTATTTTGAGAACAATTAACTGGTTAAATACCATCATTTAATATGAAGTTTGGTCAAAAGGCTAATTGATGCTTCTTACAATACAACTAAGTATAATTAGCCTTCTGATAACCAGGTTATTTCTATTTATTTTATTTAGCCTTTCTGCTATAATTTTAATAAGAATCATTTCCTATTCACAAGAAAGACGTCTAAAAAAAGCCTCTCTAAAATACTTCAAGTGTAGTCTAGAATCCAGTAACCTTCATAAATACATTTTCTAAGTGATAAAAAATTTTTTGGCTAGTCTATACTCAATTTCTCTACATCCTTTTCTATGAAATACACATATGAACAAATGTACATAACTACATCTATTGATCACAGGATTAAATAAATAATTATAAATTATTCAGAATGCAAATAAACTTATTTTATATGGCCTTAAAGAATCTATCATAAATTTGGATATATACTTCTAAATGTTGTCAAAAACCATGATGAACCTGAGACTTTATGCTATTTGCAAGCTAAAAAACAAAGTCAGATGAAGTTTTATAAAGTTTTGCTGCAAACATCAGATTTCACATGCGCAGCAAAAGAATAGCTTATTACTCACTGCAGTAGTAGTACCTGATGTATGATCATTTTCTTGTGATGGTCCCATAGCCCGAATTCGCACAGGATGGTGAAACAAAGGCAAGGTGATGCCTGCAACTCCAGTGGGTTGCATAACACGGGAGGAACCACAAACTCAGAACCCCCCCCACCTGTTTTTGTGGTCTACAGGCAAACTCCCCTGTTGCCTTGGAGGGAGACACTCTATTGGACAGTAAGCTAAACTGCCCTTTGCTCCAGAGTGAGCCATTATTTCTGTCTTCCAAGTCTGTTGGTTATACAAACATCTTCAAAAAATTAATCTAGAACAGAGGGCTGTCAGTGTTGCTGCTTGCCAGATGTGCAGGAATGTTCCACTTCCCCAGAGAAGTGTCTCCCAACTTGTGGTAGCTTAATGATGAACAGATCATTTATTTGGACAACAATCTCAGCTAGATAATTTAGGTCTGGACTATCTAGTTTTATAGGGCTACATTGTTCAACATAGTACTAATGTGTTCTAAAACAAACATGTAAGTCAATAAAGAATATTGTAAATTCCCTCTTTGACATACCCTTTTATAACCATTATATATGAAAATATCTGATGTCATTCATATTTAATATTTCCATAGGGAGGTAGAATGTAAAATAAAGCATTTCCTTAAAGAGTGCATTATAGAGGCCAGGACCAGTGGTTTATGCCTGAAATCTGAGCACTTCGGGAGTCTGAAGCCAGTGGATTCCTTCAGCCCTGAGTTTGAGACCAGCCTGAACAACATAGCAAAACCCTGTCTCTACAAAAATTACAAAAATTAGCCAGGCCTGGTGGCCTGTGTGTGTAGCCTCAGCTATTTGGGAGACTTAGTGGGAAGATTACCTGACCTTGGGAAGTCGAGGCTGCGGTGACTCATGGTTGCACTACTGCACTCCAGCCTGGGCAGCACAGCAAGACCCTATCTAAAAAAAAACCATGATAACTTTCTGAAATAGGTAATAAACTATTCCAATATTACCACAATTATAAAGTCACCTCCCCACCCACCTCTGTTCCTTTCCCTTCCATTCACTGCTATCTAACATCAACCATATTTTCAGTTTCTTAGTTAACCTTTTAGTTTTCTTTATCTAGATATAAACAAATGTGAGTAAATTCTTATTTTACCAGTTTCTTTCTTTCTTTCTTTCTTTTTTTCAAGACGGAGTTTCACTCTTGTTGCCCAGGCTGCAGTGCAATGGCGCAATCTTAGCTCACTGCAACCTTTGCCTCTCAGGTTCAAGCGATTCTCTTGCCTCAGCCTCCCAAGTAGTTGGGATTACAGGCTCCCAAAAGCATGCCCAACGAGTTTTTGTATTTTTAGTAGAGATGGGGTTTCATCATGTTGGCCAGGCTGGTCTTGAACTCCTGACCTCAGGTGATCCACCTGCCTCAGCCTCCCAAAGTGCTGGGATTACAGGCATGAGTCACTGTGCCCAGCTTATTTTACCAGTTTCTTAAACAAAAAATAGCATTCTATTTCACAATTCTCCTTGTAGTCTTACTTTTTACATATTAAATCATTTCTCCCATGTCTATAGAAAGCTTCTTCATCTTTTTTTATCTGCATAGTTTAATTAATATACTTTAGTTTCAATTACTTTAGTTTCAATTACAAAAGTCTTTATCATTGAATAAATTACTGGTTTCTAATCTCTTGCTACTACAACAATGCAAAGATTTATTGTATATATGTCACTCTGCACCTGTGCATGAATAACTTCAGGACAAATTACAGAAATAACATTGCTGGATCAAAGGAAAAATGTCTTTGTAATTTTTGATAAACATTGCCAATTACTCCTCTTTAGGAGCTGTATCATTTTGTACTCTCACCAACAGTGTATAATATTGCTTGTTTTCATAGAGCTTTACTTAGTGATTCTCAAACTGGGGATTCATCTGGAAATGATAAAATTGGCCCATAATACACACCATATACTAGTGTAAATTTCAAGTGGATTAATTACTCAAATGCCAAAAAAATCAGAAAGCCATAAATATTGGAAGAAAACATAAATGGATTGTTTGTATACCTGGATAGATAAAAGTGTTTCAAACGGAAACACACATACACATATACACACAGACATCTTCTGCATGTCAATTATAATAAAATATAATAATAATAATAAATACAGAAAACTCTGAAAGGAGATTCGATTGGGGAACAATAGCTGATTTACTATTGATATATTAAGCCAGTAATGAAAACACGTGCTGCTGTTTCATAAATAGACAAACTGACCAAAAAAAAAAAAAAATAGAAAGGAAACAAAAATGAAAGACCATATACAGACTCAAATACCTATGAGAATTTAATAAGTCATTTTAGAGCAATTAAAGACTGACTGTTCTACCTTATTGCACCTTTAATTTTTTCTTGTTTCTCTAAAGGATTCATATTTTAATTTCTATTTATTTTCTGATTTTTTCAGTTCTCTTTTCACTTTTATAGATTGTCTGACCATGTCTTTCATGAATGGATTTCTGTCCTGACATTTTCCTTCATTGTCTGATGAGTTCACCATTATTATAAATGTTTTAATTCATGGCAGACTGTTCGCAATGTTTATCTGTTCTATGGTAATGTCTACTTAATGAATATTTTTGTAGGAAAATTTTATCATTCTCTGCCATTTTTCTAATCCTTATTTGAATATTTTCCCTCTTCCTTTTTGGTCACCCATATTTGGGTGAGTGTTATTTTATGGACCAGATTTTTTAAGAGATTTCTGCCTGGGATGGATGGGGGCACAAATAAGAGTAATGGAAAAGATATCTTGCCTTTGTATTTAAAGGTTTGTTCCTCATCTGACACAAATAACTACTGTTTCCTTCAAAAGCGGTGCTTCTGTCCTGCCTTTGCTGCCTCTTTAACATTAAGTAAGTGAGGTAGCCTTTTTCTTTCCTGGCCTATTCTCCCAGATTCCCTCATCAGCTGTGGTGCACCATGAATGCATCTAGCGGACATTAAGATTCCCTTGCTTTTGGAAGATGATTTTTGCTGCTTCTTTCAGAGCTTTCTATTCTATAAATTTTTTTCAAACTTTTCTCTCTCCCTTTACTCCTGCTTCTATAAAACAAATCTGGTATGTTCACAGCTTTTTTTTACTAACGGGGGGCACTCACTTTTTGCGAGTGCTTTTTACCTGGAGTTGTGTGAGATTCACCATTGCTGGGGTTCTTAGTTCTTCCAGTTCTGCAGCTTAGCTTCTGTGCAACTTCTTGCAGAAATTCCTACACGGCTCTACTGGTCTGGTTTTTTTTTTGTGTGTGTGGTGGGGGAGTGGGGCAGGGGGACAACACTTTAGAGAAAACTGTGATTTTTAAGTTTTGTACTTCATAATTTATATAAAAATAATTTTATGTTATTTCAGTTTTATTTTTTTCAGGAGGAGAAATGGTAAGACTCAGCAGTAAGTTACCACAACATTCATACTAATCATCTTTTTAATTTTTTAAAAATAAGGGGCTTGATGCTCATTTTTAAATTAAAACTACAACATTTAATCAAGAAAAAAAGAAAGAAAAATAAAACAAAACAAAAAAGATTCTAAACTGGATTGAGTGGCAGCCGATCTTAAAGCATGTAGCACTGTTTATATCTATTTTTAACATTATTAAACATAAACATTTTATCCTAGTCACAAGGTCTGCTCTTTTCTCATATAATGCTGAATCTTTTGATCTTTTATTAATAATTATAATAAGACTATTCTATTTAATAGAAATAATAGCACATACATTTTTAATGAATATTGTTTTTCATAATATCCATTACAGGGAGCTTGAAAGTATTCCACTGGATATTGCTACTTATCTAATCATTGCAGGAAAATATTTAAAATTCTTGCAGGGATACATTCAATCAACAATGGAAAACCATTTATTTATAGTAACTGAATATTTCTTTTGAGCCAATATCTACTTTTCTTTCCAAAATTCTTATCGTAACCTTGTAAGTTCCTGTGTGTTCTGAGTCCTTGCCATTTCTTTTGAGTCATTTCCTATCTTTATTCCATTTGCTAACTCTGCTCTAGTCTTACTGACTTTTTAGTGTTCCTCAGATGATTCAAGCATACCATTACCTTAGGGTTTTTCATTTGCTGTTCTCTCTGCCTGGAATATTCTTCTTAGAGTTATCATCTTTGCTTATTTCCACATGTATGTCGGGTCTCTGCTCAAATGCAATATTGAGAGGCCTTTCTTGGATACCCTATATAATACTCCCAGACCAGTTTTCTGCTTTATTTTTAATCACAGCATGAACATATCATATTTTTATGTCTTATTATGTTTAATATCTTGTAAGCCTCACAACATTAAAATTAATGTTTCATAGAAAGTAACTACTTGATTCATTGTCTTCACTGTTATATCCCTAGTGTTAAAACAGTGCCCAGCACCAAGTACCCAATAAATATTTCTTAACTAATTTATTCAGTCCTTCCCTTCTCACCTGTCCATTTAGCTTATTTTCACTTCCTCCTTTTCTACCATTTTTTGGTCCAGGTCTATCCTGATTGATCTTACAGACCCTGTCAAGAAAACGTGCATAGTATGAGATAAAAAAGATGATGTAGACTGGATCTCAGCAACACGCTTATGGGATAAGTGCAATGTATTTGTCCAAAATGCTTTATTATATTTTGTTTTAGGGAAATAAACTAACCCCAAACTAAGCCAATAACCCTTTAAACTAAGGATTTGGCTTAAACCTTTGCTTGTTTATTATTGAGCACAAGTCCACAGGTGTGCTGATTTGAGTAGATTAGATTACTCTGGATGGGTTAGGTTGACTAATCTCAGCTGAGCTCATTCATGCATCTACAATTAATTTGAGGGTTTTCTGGGCTGTGGCTGATCTAAGATGGCCTTGCCTAGGTGAGGTCAATACATGTGGTCTCTCTCATCCTCCAGCAGCCTAGCTAGTGCTTATTCCCATGGTAGTTTCAGGGTTTAATGAAGAGCAGAAGCATTGGCCATAACAAATCACAAAGCTACCCCAGATTCAAAGATTAGGAAAAGAGTCTCCACTCTTGATAGCAACAGCTATGAAGTCATACTGCATTGCAAACAGTGTGCAAATAGGGGGGAGTAATTGAAACTGTTTGTGTTACCAATGTTCCAACCTTTCCAATGTGGGACTACCTTACCCTCATCTCCGTATTCCTGTCAATTTCAGTGATTATTCCACTGCCTACTGAGTAAGCATGTAACTCAAGATGTGGGCCAGTTGTATCCCAGACCTTTGATTTAGTGGTTGATCAGGGCTGGGAATATAACCACACAATCATAATATACCCTGATATTTAACTTGTAGATTGATATGGTTTGGCTGTGTCCGCACCCTAAATCTCATCTTGAATTGTAATCTCCATAGCCCACACGTGTCAAGGAAGAGACCAGGTAAAAGTAATTGAATCATGGGGGCAGGTTCCCCCATGCTGTTCTCGTGATAGTGAGTGAGTTCTCACGAGATCTGATGGTTTTTATAAGTGTTTGGTAGTTCCTCCTTCGTTCATTCTCTTTCCTGCTGCCTTGTGAAGGATGTCCCTTGCTTCCCCTTTGCCTTCTGCTGTGATTGTAAGTTTCCTGAGGCCTCCCCAGCTATGCTGAACTGTGAGTCAATTAAACCTCTTTCCTTTCTAAATTACCCGGTCTCGGGCAGTTCCTTATAGCAGTGTGTAAACAGACTAATACATAGAAAAACATCTCAGAAACGTCTTCTTTTTAGAATAAAAGCTGAAAATATACATGCAGAAAAAGAGAAAGCTGACAAAAGGAGATATGAGAGATAAAGGGAGAAATAAAGTCCTGACACAGTATTTTAGCCCCTGCATCAGACGTTCTGGTGTTAGAAGCAATCTAGATTCCCAGAAGTCACATCTACATTTTAAAATAAATCCTACTCTCTCACAAAGCTGGTTTGAAGTAGGTTAGTGTATGCTTCAAACTGAAGTAGTCCTGACAAACACATCGGAGATAAACCTACGGGATATATCTGCAAGAAGATGGAGTGTTATAAATTCACTTGAATGTTTCTTGCCTATTGTTGATGTAATACATTAATAAGTTGAGTACAATTGACTCAATGCCAGAAGTAAGATTTGTCATGAATTAATAATTTTAGGATTATCTGCCTAGGCATTTCACTAGCATGGAATGTTCACATATAATAGAATTATTTTTACTCATTCATTAAATTGATCACTTATTCAAAAATATTAAGTGAAAGATATGGGTTTTGAATGATATGTTTTTTGAATGAAAGAGATAAAATTATCCTCATATAACTTATTTTTAATATTATTTAAAATCTTGAAATATTTAGATCTTTCAGAAAAAATAATTTGATGCTTGTTAATCTTAACAGTGTCAATGTTAAAATTGTGAATGTTGAATGATGAATTATTTTAAAAGTTAAGTTTCAAAAAACCAGCTGTTTTTGAGACATGACCAACAGAGTGAGAAAATCTATTTTATTCCTTTTTCAAAAGCTGCCCTTTTCTAATGTCAAGCAACTACAGAATGGATGAACTTTGGAAGTGTCAGTTCTGAAGTGTTATGCAATTTGTTCTGAGCATGAATCAGGCTGAGCCTTTAAGTGCATTAAAAACAAGGAAGATGAGCTGAACACATCCCTAAAGGGCAGAAATACTGTTAGGTCTGCTTAGTTAGGTTTGCATGTCATTTATTTTACAGTGAAGATTTCCTGGTTTTACTGTACCATGATCTCATGTGCCAATATATCCTTAAATAGTTTATGGTTAGGCCATAATGGACAGAATAATTGGACTAAAGTAATGACATACTTTTTGACTTACTACTCAGAAATGAATAAACCTGCTTCCTATGAAAGATAAAAAATATAAGGATATTGTTTTCTGTAGCTGTGGTGGTCCAGTTTTGACTATACCAGTTTAAAATTAAATCATTCATTTATTCAATGTTTTTTATGAAAGATATAAAACTGGTATGATTTTCTTTTTACTAAATTCACAAATGATCCAGCCAAAATGGCCAGTGGCTTTAATACTGTTAATTTATTATGATTTCTGCTAAGTTATGACTTTTAGAATATGACTGCATGTTGTGAAAGCACACAGCCATATTTTTAAAGGACACATGCATGTCAGTACCCATATATTAAAGCCACAGCATGGTCCTGGGATGCTGGCAAGTAGACAGGGTTATTAGGAGAAAAATACAGTGGAGCAAAACGGAGGAGTACTGGAAGTAGGGGAATAGAAAGATCTGGCTGGAAAGATATAAACTCCTATTTTGTTTCCCTTCTTTTTGCCTTCGTTAGTGCCTGATTACCTAAATTTGAAAACTGAAATTCACCTTCATTTCTGAGACAGTATTAATAAAAACAATCAACAGCTAGAGTACATCTACTTTTTTTTCTCTCTCTTTCTGATCCTGGGCATTATTCCCTCCCCATTTCATGTGATTCCAGTGACTTTGTCAGAGATGAGGCCGTGCATTTCCCACCCTGTGCATTGGCCACTCTGCAAACAGAGACTGGTTCACAGCTGAGCACATGACTCAAAAAGAGCTGGTCAGAGCCTTTATAATATTGGCACTGTGAGAGAAACTGGTTACTCTCAAATTAATAAAAATATTTTATATAACATTAATGGAATGTTTTTTATATGCCAAAACCTATTCTAAGTGGTTTCTGTGAAAGAAATGCTTTAATTTTCATGATTTTACAATCATTGATATTTTTATTATCTTCATTTTATAGATAAAAAACTGAGGTTCATAATGTATCAAGTTGTTTGCCCATGTTATATAACTAGAAAGTTGCAGGGCTAGTGTTGTAAACAATACTGGTTTAAGTTGCTTTCTCTTAAACACCTTAGGATATTATTTCCCTTCTGAAATTATAAATTAAAGGTACAACATAAGCCTAAACCTACTAGGGCTCTTGCTTGAAAACAAAGTCAACAGAAGAAAAGCACAGAAAATAGGAATAATAGTAATAATGACAATAACAGAGAAGAAGAGACAAACTCACAATGACATTATTCAGCACATATCTTTCAGTCTTGAAATAAATCACAGCACTTCCTCCTTTCATCCTTTTCAATCCCCAATAAATATAGACAAAACAATTATTGTCCTATGCTAGCCAAGATTCTTTGTTGCCATGTTCTGATAACCTGATGTTATACTGAAATGACTATTTTGAAAATTAAAAATGAAGCGAAATGGCTACCTTTCCTGAGAACAGTTCTGGTGTTCAGTCATTTAATTTTGTTTCCCTTATTTGTCCATTCTAAGGGCCCAAGATTATCATGGATTTTAATAATTTATATCTGTGATTAAATTCAGTTAAGTCTAAGGGAGGTGGAACATCTCTTTAAATATCAGAAAATACTGCTTAGTGAAGGACAGCCATTTATGGATGCTTTTATGCTCCATGGCCAGCAGCACTTAGGCTTTCTTGTGCTTGTTATAATAATCCTAGCACTTTGGGAGGCCAAAGCAGGTGGATCAGCTGAGGTCAGGAGTCCAAGACCAGCCTGGCCAACATAGGGAAACCCCATCTCTACTAAAAATACGAAAATTAGCTGAACATGGTGGCACATGCCTGTAATCCCAGCTACTTGGGAGGCTGAGGCAGGAGAATTGCTTGAACCCAGGAGGCAGAGGTTGCAGTGAGCCAAGATGGTGCCACTGCACTTCAGCCTGGGTGACAGAGTGAGACTCCATCTCAAAACACACACACACACAAATGGAACTGTCTGTCCTTTTCTGTTTCAGCACACTAAAAGAGTCAGTTTGCAAAAAGCAGCAGAGAACTGAAGCTCAAGATTGCCACATGCAAAGGTTGTCCTTGTACACATGTTCTGTGCCCCCTTCTCCACTTCACTCCAGGCCTTACTCATGCCCTCATTCTGAGCCAGCTATTCAGGTCTCTGTTTCGGTAGTAATTATAGAAAGATGTTTCAGAGTTTTCAGCAAAGTGCTTTTCTACCAAAAGGAAGACAAAATATGTTATTCTTTTTCACACCCTATTTCTTGTAGCATCTAAATAGAAGTACCTAAACAGGACATGCCAAAGAAATGTTAAAAAACAATAAGCTAGTGCTCAGCACCCACTAACACACAGAATGCATCTTTTCGCTTAGCTGGCAAAATCTTTGAAACACTAAGCGAGTGACCAAACATGATTACTTCCTTTGTCCATAAAGAGAGTCTGGTGTTTATTCTTCAGCTTTTCCTGAAGCTCTGAAGGAACAATGACTTTCTTTACATGCAACTCTGTTGACTCCTCAGGACCTGTAGCTGAATATCTAACATCAAATAACTTTAGCCTTTAGAACTTATTTTCAAAGTCCTTTCTATTTTGCTCTTGTAAACCTTCTTCCATTTTAGATCCACATAAAACCTGACCCTTCTAAAATTTCTCTGGTTCTCTGTATTACTTACATTACCAGTTGAGGATAAAGTTTAAATTATCAGTGTGATTCATTGGTCTGAAACATTGTGGTTTCCTTTGAAAGAAGAATTATTTTATTATTTAGTTATAGATAAATATATTGCCATCTACATTTTTATTGTGAAGTATTTCAGGCTTTATAAAGCAAGGAGTTCTTAATCTTTTACTGAAAGTTGTTGCTTAAAGGAATTTTTTCCCTCAGTTTAATTTCTGTGGACTTTAGTTTGATTCTTTATTAATATTTAGGGTTTAAAAACACCACTGTCTTTAGAAGAATAATAAGTGTAACCAGCTAAATACGTGGAATAAGTATATACCTTTTAAGACAAAATACTAGTTTCTTCTGTTTCTTGTGGAGGCAGCTGCCTTAGTCTTATGTAAACTGGTGCACTGACTGAATCTAGCATTGAATCTAGCTCTTGTTTTAAACTCGCATTTCCTTAAAGAATCATTAGGAACTCTATTGGCAATTACCAGAAGTTGATGGGAAAGTTTTTAATTGAGTGAGTCACACGTATATTCACACTGCAATCTGAAACATCATCTCTGTTGACTCTATACTTTGCTCCAACTCCCATATCCAATTACTCACCAGTCCTGTCTGTTATGCCTGTAAAATATCATGAGTCCATCCCATGAGGTCTAGTACAGGTATTTATCAACTCATATCTGAATTATTGAAATACATTTCTATGTAACACGCATCCATTCCCATTTTTTAACTACCCCTCACCCCGCACCCTCTGCCTACAGAGACACACACACACACACACACGCACACACCCACACGCAGCAGAAAGGGACTGAATTCTGGGGAACAAGAAACAAACTGTCCACTACAAATAGAACAATCTATTAATACCAAGGATTATGTTTTTGTTTCCAAAACTATATTTCTGAAATCAAGCCACATCTGGCTTTAGAAGATATTAGACATGTTTCCCTTAATAAATGAATGAATATATTCATATGAATATACGGATATTATAATAGAAACAATAATACTCTATTTCTCATTCTGTAGTGAGCTAAGAAAGATCATTATAAATATTTGTAGTTAGGTTCCCTTCCAAGAGGTTCTAAGCAACATAACCAAAGATTGCACCTAAATATCTGTTTCAGTGTTGCTAGATAATTTATGAGATTTAGAGAGCATTTTTATTATGATAACTTAGATGATATGCTGTTGCCGTGCATCATGTCACGATGAGAAAAGGTTCTGACAGTGGATATCCTTGTTTTATACCCACCTTTAGAGAAAAGGCAATGTTTTATCATTAGCTATGATGTTAGCTGTAGGTTTATCATAGATGACCTTAATGAGTTTGAGGAAGTTCCCTTCCATTTCCAGTTTGCTGAGAGTTTATGTCATAAAAAAACTACAGGCAAGCCTCAGAGATACTGTGCGTTCTGCTCCAGACTATTGCAATAAAGGGAATAACCCCATAAAAAAAGTCACATGAACTTTTTGATTTTCTGCTGCATATAAGTCATGGTTGCACTATACTGTAGTCTGCTAAGTGTGCAATAGTATTATGTATAAAAAACAATGTACATATTTTCACAGTTCTTACAAGATAAGTTTTAGTTCTGAAAACTAAAATTAAAAAATACTTCATTGATAAAACATGATAGCAAACATATGAGCCTTGACTAGAAAACACTTAATTGCTAAAATATGATAGCAATCATCTGAGCCTTCAGTGAATTTGTGTGTGTGTGTGTGTGTGTGTGTGTGTGTGTGTGTGTGTGTGTTTGGTTGAGTGGGGTCTTACCGTAATGTTGATGGCTACTAATTGAACAGGGTGATGGTTGCTGAAGGTTATAGTTGTGCAAATTTCTGAAAATAAGGCAACAATGGAGTTTTCTGCATCAACTGACTCCTTTCCCGAAATATTCCTCTGTAACATGCAATGCTATTTAGCATTTTACCCAGTAGAACTTTTTTCAAAATTGGGGTCAATCCTTTCAAACCTTACTGCTTCTTTATGAACTAGGTTTCTGTAAGATGCTAAATTTTTCATTGACATTTCAACAATGTTCACATTATATTCTTCAGAAACAGATTCCATCTCAAGAAACCACTTTCTTTGATCATTCATAACAAGCAAATCCTCATTCATTCAAGTTTTATTATGAGATTGCAGCCATTCAGTCATATCTTCAGGATCCACTTCTAATTCTAGTTCTCTTGTTTTTTTGTTTTTTTTTTTTTTTTTTTTTTTTTACCACATCTGCAGTTACTTCCTCCACTGAAGTCTTAAGCTCCTCAAAGTAATCTATAAGGGTTAGCATATATATATATATATATATATATATATATATATATAAGCTTATATATATATATATATAAGCTTATATATATATAAGGGTTAGCATATATATATAAATATATATAAATATATATATAAATATATATATAAATATATATAAATATATATATAAATATATATATAAATATATATATAAATATATATATAAATATATATATAAATATATATATAAATATATATATAAATATATATATAAATATATATATAAATATATATATATAAATATATATATGGGTTAGACTTCTTCCAGTCTCCTGTTAAAATATATTTTTTGACATCCTCCAATGAATCGTGAATTTTTCTAATGACATTCAGAATGGTGAATACTTTCCAGAAGTTTTCAATTTACTTTCTTCAGTTCTATTAGAGGAGTCACTATCTATTCCTGCCATAGCCTTATGAAATGTCTTTCTTAAACAATAAGATTTTAAGTCAAAATTGCTCCTTGATCCATGGGCTACAGAATGGATGTTGTATAAGCAGGCATGAAAACATTAATCTCTTTCTGCATCTTCGTCAGATCGCTTATGTGACCAGGTGCCTTGTCAATGAGCAGCAAGATTTTGAAAGGAATCCTTTTTTTTTTCTTTTCCTGAGCAGTGGAGCTCAACAATGAGGCTAAAATATTCCGTAAATCATGTTACAGTCACATGGGCTGTCATCCAGGCTTTGTTGTTCCATTTGTAGAGCACAGTCAGAGTAAATTTAGAATAACTCTTAAGGGCCCTAGGATTTTCATAATGGTAAATGAGCATTGGCTTCAACTTAAAGTCACCAGCTGCATTATCACCTAGCAAGAGATTAGCCTGTTTAAACCATTGAAGCCAAACATTCACTTCTCCTCTCAGCTATGAAAGTCCTAGAGGGTATCTTCTTCCTATATGAGACTGCTTCATCTTCACTGAAAATCTATTATTTAGTGTAGCTCCTTTCATCAGTTATCTTGGCTAGATCTTCTGGATAACTTGCTGCAGCTTCTATATTAGCACTTGCTGCTTCACTTTGTACTTTTGTGTTATAGAGATAGCTTTTTTCTTTAAACCTTAAGAACCAACTTCTGCTAGCTTCAAACTTTTCTTCTGTAACTTCCTCATCTCTCTCAGCCTTCATAGAATTGAAGAGAGTTAGGGCGTTGGTCTGGATTAGGCTTTGGATTAAGGGAATGTTGTGGCTGGTTTGATATTTTATCCAGACCATTACAACCTTCTCCATGTCAACAATAAAATGGTTTTGTTTTCTTGTCATTTTTGTGTTCACTGGAGTAGCACTTTTAAATTTCTTCAACAACATTTCCTTTGCATTAACAACTTGGCTGTTTGATCCAAGCGGCCTAGCTTTTGACCTATCTCAGCTTTTGACATAACTTTTTCACTAAAGTTAATCATTTCTAGCTTTTGATTCACAGAGATATGTGACTCTTCCTTTCACTTGAAGACTTAGAGGTCATTGTAGGGTTATTGCTTGCCTTAATTTCAGTATTGTTCTCTACTAGGAAATAGAGAAATCAGGAAATGGGGAAACAACCTGTTGGTAAGGCAGTCAGAACACACACAACATTATTAAGTTCACCATCTTCTCTGGATGTAGTTTGTGGTGCCCCAAAACAATTGCAATAGTGACATCAAAGATCACTATCCACAGATCACCATAATAAATATAATAATAATAATAAAATTTGAAATATCACAAGAATTACCAAAATGTGACACAGAGACAGATACTGAGCACATGCTACTGGAAAAAATGGTGCTGATAGGCTTGCTCAATTAGGATTGCCACAAATCTTCAATTTGTAATAAAACTCAATATTGGCAAAAGTCAATAAAGCATAGTATAATAAAATAAGGTATGCCTGTGTTGACTTTTATCAAATGCTTTTTCTCTGTTGAGAAAATCAGTTTTTTATCTCTTTTAGATGACATTGTGGAATCAATCGTAGTTATGCAGTAAGATTGAAGTAGTGAAATGTCTTACATGTTATACCTAAAAAATAACAGACCAATTGAGCCATTTGGCAATTACTTAATAATACGTCCCCCAAAGTGGGGAGTTTAAAACAGCAATCATTTATTACAGTCTAAGAATCTGTGAAACAGCAATGTTTGGCTGATCAAAGCAAGGCATGCCTGGTCATGGGGAAGAATCTCTGCTTCTCACTGCACTTTTGTGGATTGGTTGCGGCAGCTTCACTCTTTATACTCCTCATCCATCTCTTGACACCAGCAGGCTAGCTGGTGTGTTCAGTGCCACTTAGGTTGAGGCTCAGAACTGATGCTCCATCTCTTTCTGTCTCATGCTAGCAAAGTCACTTCTGTGCCAAATTAGGTAGTACAGAAGTATATTTTGTCTTGTTGAAGAAACTCTAAAGTTACCTGACTTTTTCTATAGGAAGGGATAAATAATTGCAATAAATAATGCAGTCTACCATCTGAAACAAATATAGGTAAATGGTAATTTTTAAAACTATAGATATCCATTATACTATTCTAAATTTATATTTTTAAATTTTAATAAAAATTAAAAATAAAAACAATTCAACAGAGAATGTCCAAGAAGGATACATATCTGTAATAGAAGAGAATTTTTTTTTTAGAAATTGACAAGGGAACTATCTGAAGTAGAAATGGCAAAGAATATAAACAGAAAATTTGTAATATCACATCTAAATTACCAATAAATGTCAATATCACAAGTAGCCCCCAAAATGGAAATTAATATGAAGATGAATAGCACAAAAATGTTTTTAAAAGGTTAAATATATCCAGTGGTAGTGACTCTTGAAAAAATATTTTCATACATTTCATGTGGTTGCATGTATTTTTATGCATAAGTTGAAGACATAAATTGAAAATTGACGTAGACACGTTTGATAATCACGTAAAAATATCACATCAGTAAATGCTTGCTAAAGCATTTAGTAAAAGAAAAAAGGTTATGTCCTTCACCTGATACCAGGTTGAATATAGTATCATGTAGCCACTAAAGAAAGAATTCATTCCCTACCAGCTGGTAGGAAGAGAATTCCACAATGCATTCTCAACCGAAGAAGCCAAGATGCAAGTATGTGTAGATAATATGACCTTATAATTTTTAATGAGCAATGACAAATAATAGATATGTATAATGTATATAATTACAGGAAAATATATTGAAAGACACCTACCAGGTTACTATAATTGAGTGTGGAAGAGTGAAGAGTGGGGAAATGGGGAACATGGGTCATAATAGAGATAATGCCTCTGATAAAAATGTCATGTATTAAATAATATTATTTATTTAAATTTCTAAGTATGTATAATAGGATGAAGGTTAGAGTCTTCCCTGTAGTCTCAGGATTCTGGGCTTCTGCCTGAAAGCTAAAAATAATGGATTATAAAAACTCCTTATAAAGAGTATCTACACACACTTACATAGGATTAAGTTTGTCTAAACTGGCCCAGTGATTGTCACCCAATATCCTACAAAAGAGAAGTCCAAAGTCCATTTATTAGGAATGAGGGTTTAAGGGGAAAATTTGTAAGAACAGAAAGCACTAGGGACATCCTTTTCCTTCTCCAGACCACAATTAAGAAAATCAGACCCCAAGGATACTCCTCAGAAAAATGGAAGGTTCTGAAATGTTGTCCTCTGACTGATTGTTTGTGGAGCAGGAGCTTGAGAGATTTCTTCGTAGAACATGACAGAAGACCCTGGGTTTGGAGTGCAGTGACTCGGATCTCACTATCAAAGAAATCTGAAAGTGGGAACTTACTCTAACAGATGTGGCAAGAGGAAAGTTCTTGGGCCAAAACTTCTCTTCTACTTGATGGTGGGAACAACCTGACCTCCCTGCATGGCAGGTTTTGAAAGGACTTTGTTGGAAAGAAAATTCAGTTCAAAAAGTCTATGAAGAGTTTTATTGCCAGAGGGCAGGCCTGAGGGCCCATTGTAAGAAGTCAGCAAAGCCTCTTGTCTATGCCAGCCAAACGCTACGGTGGAGCATTAAATGCAGGTGAAGAATCTGTAGACTGGCTTTTTATGAGAGAGAAAAGAGTGGCAGAGAAAAACCATGTTTGAACATTTAGACACTTAGTTGGGAGAAGTTATTGGCAGCCTATAAAGATTAACAAATAGCACCAGCTAATTGAGAGACTTTATTTATTATACATTCATTTATTCTAATCAGTCGTGAGAGAGAAGAAAGAAAAAAAAATCACACTTAATTTCTTTTTATTGCTGTGTCCTGGGCTAGGAAAACAAGAGAACTCTTACACTGAATGGAAGATTAAAATTTTTATTTAGCTTAGACTAGACATTTTCATTTCCTGAAAGTGACTCTTAAGCTCTGAGATCTGACCACATTGTTGCTAAGAGGCAGAGAACTGAGAACCATCAGAGTGTTTTAAAAGTTCCTTCAGGAGTGGAAAATAAAACTATTTCCTGATTTTTACTCTATTGAGTTTAGCACATTGTTATAAAACCAGGCTGTTTGGGAGTTTATACATCCCTTCACATACCTACACACAGAGGTGAATAAAAGATTGGTCACTAAAATATTAATGTTATCTCAAAGAAATGGGATTTCAGGCATTTTAAAAATGAAAGTACAATTTTATTCAGTGGAAACCACAAGTTAGAATTAGAGATTGGTCCTCATCTTTCTTTTAAAGCAAACATATTCTCCTAAGGCTTATCCCTAACTGCAAGTACCCAAACACCAGCAAAAACCCTCTCGCAACACACGTACACATACATAATGCACATACACAAGAATACAAAAAGAATGTCCTCAAAACACTTCAATACGAAGTTTCTGAGACTTTCTCTGCACACATGCAATTTGTGGGGCTCATTAAAGTATGAGCCTCAATCAAAAAATATATAAAACCTTAAGTATTCAAATATGCAGCACAATCAAAGAAGCACACAGCTGATTGTTAAAATATGCAGCCTGTTGAGTAAATCCCATTAAAGCGAACTTCAGAGACTAAAATATGCTTAAAAATTAGTAAAATGTTATTTCAGTTTTCAAGTATATTCAAATATTTCAAAAGACACAAGAAGTTGTTTTGAGAAAAGACAAAACATTCAAACTGATGGTGAAAAATCCTGCAACAGATCTATGGAAGTGGGTTCTAGTGAGATGAGCATGGAGGGCAGGAGCAGAAACAAAAGATCTAGTCCCTCATATCACAGATCTTTCAAAAATTTCAGAAAACCAGAATGTGGTATGGTGAATATCAAATGGTGAGATTAGTTCTTCATTCCCTGGAGAAATGGCATCTTCATCTACTGGAGAAGATATAAAGAGCCTAGGGGATTGCAACTAAGGCAGAGAAAGAGAGGCATTTTTGTAAAATTGGCAGAAATTGCCTTTTTATCTTCCAAGAAAATGTTGTGAGGCAAAACTGTCAATTTAGCACAGCTTTGCTTTAAAACCACTTCCTTATTTTGTGCATTAATTTTTAAAACTTTTTTTCACCCGCAAAGAATAAAACTGCCACTTTGAAATATTGTGGCTGATACTTATATTATACAGCTTGATTATGTTACATTAGTCAACTCATGTATCTTTATTTAATATAAAAAGGAACATTTAAAAATATTTATATACTCTTTTGGTGAACTCCACATGTGATGGGAAGGGATATGGCTGGCTTCACATATGCAGTCACTGTGCAGCCTTTCCATAATTGTGCAGATGGTTAGTTGGTAATATCAAGGAGCTTTTTTGCACAGATGGGGGCATAAAAATGATTAGTAGAAATTACATAGGACGATTCATTCAGATTATGACAACGTAACGGTATAGGAATTATGACTTATATTTGTGAGCTGAGATAGGGCATAAAAAATTGGCCTATCAAAAAAACTGTAATCAATTCAACAATCAGTACCCAGAAGTCCTATAACATATTAAACCTATGGTCATTTTAGAAATACTCAGAAGGCTACAATTTAGATTTCTTCTTACTCATGCTGTTCCCTCAACTGGCTTTGAACACATTTATTAGTAATCATATTATCCCAGCAACAATAGTTTGGCTTAGAAACACCTTTGGGAAATTTGACTCATTTTCAGTTTTCTCATTTTCCCATAATGGCTAAGCTATGCAACTTTGAATGACTATATAAAGCCTAGCATCATATTTATGTAAAATGAACAAACAAAAAACAAACAAACCTTGCAGATCCCTCTATGAGTGTATTTAATTTTCCTTTCATCCAGACATATCTGATTTTCAGTTGCATTTTAGAAAGTAAATGTGTTGATTTACCATGTGCATTTGTCACCTACTCCTGGGATTTTAGTTCAAAATTATTTAAACATGTGGAGAAAATAGAACATTTATTTTACATAGGAAGAATCACTATTTAAAAACTTGAAAAGATGACTTAATTACACTTGTAAAATATTTCTTAAATGCAAAGGTCTATGGAATTCATCTCTAAAATTATGAGTATGTATATTTTTTAAGAAAAATGAGATCAATTTTTAGCCTCAAGGTAAATGCAAGTTGACTTCGCTATTTCTTAGGCTATTAATCCACATTTTATCAAAACTATTTTATAACTAGAGCTTTAGTTTATTCTCACTGTGCTTTATGGCATTATAATGAAGTGTTTTTGAGAACTGGTAAAGCAGTCTTTCAAAAGGCAATCCAAAAACCAGCTAGACATATAATGGAAAAATAGCCCATTCACAATGGCAACAAAAGCATATTATATCTAGATATAGACATACAGGAAATATTCAAGCCATATGTAAAGAAAACGATAACTTTCTCTATAACACACAAGTTTTGAAAATATAGACATATGTCTTAGGAAGACACAATAATATGCCAAATTTCTCTCAATATTTCTCTACACCCAATGCAACAATGCAATTCCAAATACAACTCTAATAGGATTATTTGAAACTTGATTAAGTGGTTCAAAAAATCAGAATGTATAATCAAAGAATATATAATCAAGAGGTTGTAAGCAACATCTTAAGAAAGTTGGGCTGGAGCATGTTCTTTCAGAATTTCAAATATATTCAGAAACTATAGTAAAAAATAGGTGTATAATACTGATTTAAAAAATGGGCACATTAGGCTGTGTATGGTGGCTCAGGCTCATAATTGCAGCACTTTGGGAGACTGAAGCTGCTGGATTTCTTGAGCCCAGGAATTTAAGACCAGCGTGGGCAACAAAGTAAGACCCCATCTCTACAAAAAAAAAAAAAAAAAAAAAAAAAAAAAAATTAGCCATGCATGGTGACACAAGCCTGTAGTCCCCAGCTACTCAGGACGCTGTGAGGTGCAAGCATGTCTTCAGCATAGAAGTTTGAGGCTGCAGTGAGCCATGATCATGCCACTACACTCCAGCCTGGGTGACAGAGTGAGTCTTTATCTCAAATACTTACATACACACACACACACACACACACACACACACACACACACACACACACACACATATTAAATAAATAAATAAACTTAAAAAAAGGCACATTAACTTATGGACCACAGTAAAGAATCAATGAATAAATATAAACGAATATAAAATTTAGTATGTAGTAAAATTTGGAAAAGGGGAATCACACATAAGTTTTCTTAAAGGAAGAAAAAAATTTTGATTCACTCTATATTTATTTCACATTTTATTTCTTAAATATCTACTACATGCCAAAACCTGCTCGATTTGCTAGAGATAGAAAAATAAAAGAAACAATATCCAAACTCTTGTAGAGCTTAAATTCTGGTAGGGAAAGAGAGACAATAAATAACAAATAAATATATAGCATGTTAGGTATGCTAACATTGTTTCAATGATATGAAACAAGTATAAGGGAGGCAGAGTATGACTGCAGAGTGGGGTTGTTATTTGATAGAGGGTAACCAAAGAATTTGTTCTCCCAATTAACATTTATGCAAACTAATGAGTGTTGTCTAAAAGATTGGCAAAGATAAGAAAAAGAGACATTAGCATAAGGATATAGGGAAAGAGTTCAATATAGTTCAATGTATTGACAGTGAAAGTGTAGATTAATGTTTTTCTGCTTTGCATTTTGGTCTATATGTATAAAATTTATTTTCTCATTAAGCAGATAAAGAAGTAACAAAGATTCATACTGAAGCACTTTTTATATTCACATAAAAAGGAAGTTTCTTCAAATTTACTAACAGGTAGTGGTAAAATAAAGTTATGGAATATTCAAACAAGAAGGTATTTTATACCCATGGAAAATAGATAAAATGCTTGGTTTAATAAAAAATCATTATGCAATTTGAAGTACATTCTAACTTCATGAATATAACATTATATATCAGTATTTCTCCCTCCCATATACATAAAATTCTGGAAGGTCATTCAACAAATATTAATGTGGATTATCTAAGAGAGAAAGGATTTTATATTGTTTTTAATTTCTTTATTTTTTATTGCTAGAGTTAAAGTAAGCATATATAATTTTTATAATGGCACATAAAGTAATTTTTCTGTTTTAAAACACTTTGTATAAAAGTTCATTCTTGTCCGAGGGCACAAAATTTCATTTAGGAGAAGTCAAGTCAAGAGATCTATGTTATATCATGTTAACTACAGTTAATAACAATATATTCCATACTTGAAAATTACTGAAAGAGTAAATAAGTGTTCTCACCATAAAAAAAATTACAAGTATGTGAGTTAATGCATATATTCAATAACTTGACTTGGCCATTCCATAATGTATACATATATCAAAACATCATACCTTACACCATAAATATATAACTTTTACTAGCCAACTAAAAATTAATTTTTAAAAGTCAAAATTCTATAATAGTTACAAGGAAGCTACTATACTGTTCATATAAGTTAATGCAATTTTAAAAATAAATTTGAAGCAGAAACTTAATGTGAAGTAGAGGGGTGAACTGATAGTAATGCTGTATTTCACACATGGCACAAAAAATGGTCACTGGCAAAGTTATATACACAAGGTATACATTGCCATTTTCTCTCCAGGTGACCTTAAGCTAGATAGGAAGAAAGGAAGATCTTCAAAGGCAATGGAGCTGCAGATATTTAAGTCAGTATAAGACAATCTATAAAGAAGAGCAATAATGTGAATAAATAAATAAAATAGGCTAAAGGAAGGGATCCCTTTTCCTTTAAATTCCTTCCCCTCCCTCCTGCCATCTCCCTACTTGAATAGGCAGGTATTGAATTAATAAATAGTAATCCCCTGAAAGAAGACTTCTCTGAGTTATTGAAAAAAAAAACAGTGGTAATAAAGGTTTCTATCAATGAAACAACAAAGAGAAAAGAGAAAGATAACTGTTGAGGTTTGGTGCAATTAAGTACAGATTTTGTTTTATATTTTAAAATTCTGTAAAATATTAGTTTGTATGCAGCCTTAAATGATGTTAAACAATACTAATTAATGCCTATCCTTCCAGGGGATTATACACTATTATAAGAATTATCAAATGGAAAAGTGCACTTTCTATTTTTTATGATTGCTGTAACAAAATTATGTTTATTCAAAATACAGGAATTTATAATCCCTCAGATCTGCCTCTCTGCATTTCTTTATAAATGGATATTTCAACAACTCAGAAGGTCTGCCAAGCCAGAAAGTTAAACATCATCTTTAATTCCTTTCTATCTCTTAGCCCAATGCTATGTCTATCACTAAATATATAACTTTTTTTTTTTTGAAAAAAATCCTTACTGTCATTACCTTAGTTCAGGTTTATTTGATTTCTCACCAAGATTACTGCCAAAATCTCAAAACATTTTCTCCTGCTTTCCTCGTCTTGTTTTCTGCAATCTGTTCAAAACTTTGTTGGTACTGGTCTTAGGCATAAATTGGATTATTTCACTTTGGTGCCTAGAAACACTGAATGACATCTCCCTTGATTACAGGATAAAATCTAAAAAGGTGTAGATGACCTGTCTTCTACCCACCCTCCTACTCTCACTCCATAACCCAATATAGGCACATCTGGTCATACTAAGATATTTGTAATTACTTGAGCATGTTTCTGCTGCCATGCTTTTACAGGGGATGTTTTCTCTGGCACACACTTCCTTGTTTCAACTTCTCACTAACACAGCTGCTGTTCATTTGTTTCATTTAAATAAGGTTAGTATTTATGAGTCTTTTAAAACCCAATTTCTACATGACTGCCTCTGAGAAACTTTCTGTGTAATCCAGTGTGAGATACACTCTCACAGCATGTGTACATAAAATCTGCATCATAATTCAGATCACATTGTAAATAATTGTGCATTGATTGGTCATTGTCTTCTATTTAGAGCTTTTGGTGAAATGGAATTTTTTAAGTCTTCATATTTCCTAAATCCAACACAGTGACAAGAATCAATAAATGTTGGTTGAATGTAAAATAGGGAGGTAACACTATTTATTTATTCAAATCTATCAAACCTCATCAAATGCCTATACTTAGGCCATCAGGAGAGTTTCTGTCTCTTGTATTTTTCTTAATTTTTTTTGGTAGGAATTCATAGCATATTTTATGTTGTATGTCTGACAAAACATAACTTTATTTTTCTAAGATCATACACTAACAACTAGCTTTCAAAGGAAGTTTGTAAATAAGTGTGATCCTTATGCAATGATCCCTATAAAATTCTATGGAAGTGAACATTTATTGATTCAGCAGATGCACATTTGATGTGTACTATGTGCCAGGTACTCTACTAGAGTACATGAAAAAATGTAAAATGTACATTCTGTATCCTCATGGAACTGTTGGTCTTAACTTTCCATGTGGGACAAAACCAATCAACAAACAAAAAATGTAATAAACCTTTGATAAAGTGTCTTTCCTGAATAGAAAGAGAAGTATGTAAAAAGCAAATAAACTTGCCTTTCACTTATGATATTTAGGCCTCTTAAGAAGATAGGTTACTGTTATGCTTCTCATGCTATCTTATAACTTGGAATCATTTATGATTGTCATAGAGGTTTATGCCAGTAAGATAACTGCAATTTAGGAAAGGGGCTGGAATGAGATTTGACATGGTCTTGATGGGAAATAGGATAGGCAGGCAGACAGCAGGGAGAACAACTCTTTAGCAAAGACATACATGTGGCAAAGTGAAACAAGGAAGAGATCTACCGGACTTGAGTAGGGATTTGATGTAGCAGAAGAGGCTTAGCTCTGGAAGGGTGGGGCTAGTTAGACTGGGCAGCTTAAGGAGCTTGGAGTTTATCTTGTAAGCAGGTGAGTCAAGTGTCTTGTTTTTGCTTCTGCAAGTAACAATGTTTTAGAAAGATCGATCTGTAGGGAATTACAGGATGCATTGAAAAGAGGAAAAACTTGCTGTAGTGAAAGAGGAAATAGAGGAATGCATAGAAGGTGTGGTCATGAAATAGAAGCTATGAAACACATAGAAATTTGTACTTAATTTTGCTGAGAACATACTCGAATATGTGTTTCTTTTTTATTTGACCTTTCTGTTTTTATTATTACAACCAACATATTCCACCAAGCTGGTTGTTTCAAATCTAGGAAGGCATCTAGGTGGTTTAACAAAAATGTTCATTCTTTGGAGAATTGATTTACAATTGGGAAGACTCAGCTGATATGCATGTCTTTGTCATCTTCTGGAAAGTAATAAGGAGAATAAAAGTGAGTCCATCTTCTTCAGTACTACAAATACAAACTGAAGGATTTTTTTCCTCCCAAATCCATTAGCATCAACATTTTATCACTTGATGTCCCAGAAGGAGTTGATGTGGAATAGAACTAGAATAAAAGCCAATGAATGTAGGTATGAAAAACAATAGCATATAAAACAAAATGAAATAATGAATAAATGAATCTTCTGTGAATTGTGGAAACATGGCAAAGAGGGGATTGTAGAAAGCAAGCTGTCATTTTCAATCCAGAATACACTCACATGAGGGAAATGTTTTGTCAGGTTACATAAAGATGGTTTTTCAGACAGGTATACCATTCAGGCATGAGAAGTGTATCCTGCTGAGTTATTAGGAATAGTTCCCTAGCAAGGAATACCTCCTAGTAGTGTAGGTAATGATCAATCTGTCATATTGTAACAGCATAATTTTAATCTAGTCACTGGGCCAGATTCTAGTTAGGCAGATGAGGCTACATATACGATCATCTCCTTTATATACAGCTGTTAGAACAAAAGAGGAAATAATTTCTTAGTATCATTTCACTGCCAAGTCTCATGGTCATGCCTTTGCTCATGGTTTTCCCTCTCTAGAATGTCCTTTCTACATTTGTGTCTCTACCTGCTGTGCCTTATTTAAAGATTCATGTCAAGTACTACCTTTTGCTATGAGTGCTTACCCAACTCACTTATCTGCTCTATTGTATGATATTTAATTCTCCCTATTTTAGAAACACAAAGGCCTGCAGTCATTATTGTGATGTAAGATTTCAATGATAAATTTTATTCATATCCCTGTTGGCTTGTGGAATTCCTGAATAATTATAGTTAACATAATTATTAACTATATTCTCAGAACTTAATATGGTACCTAGTAAACTACAGGTACTTAATAAATGTGTTTCAATATTTTCTCTCCCCTCTACAGTGTTGGTAATACACAAAGATGTTGGTACATACACAAAGACCTCTTGTGTAGATATGGCACACATAGAATTAATTGTCTAGCTTATCACCATCTAGAAGCAACACACGGAGACACTGTATTTAAATTAAAACTAAACAATAATTCACCTCTGTGGATGAAGTTTATGCTCGGGAATCCTAACGTTAGTATTGCTTCTGGTTCTTGGTGGTTGGAGGATGAAGTGGTTATTTATCTCATGCTCTGTAATTCTGATTAAGGGGCATTATTTTCTTTATTAATGAGATAGCATGGACACTTAAACTCTACCTATTATTGATAAACTCTCTCAGAAAACTGATAGATTATCCTGCCTGGATACATATAAATAATTCTCCTTTTGGTTACCAAAATTATTTTTGGTCTCATAGACTGTAATGGCAAACGTAGTAATACGGCATTCCCATCCTAGTAGTTGGGCTGTATTTAATTCTTGGTCTGTTTTGTACTACTGTGAATCTGATATTTTAAAGATGAGTTCATAATGTAGAAAGGTTTATGATCTTAGAATCTATGTTTAAGAAGCTTCATTTTAGAAAGGAATTTGGAGAATTTTTACCCTATGCGTGATTACAAGACAGATATCTCCTCCCTCTCTCTTTGGCATGCCAGACAAATGCTGCCAAGCCTCTAGAAAACAAGATAGTATTCCACTCTCAGTGATGAAAACTTAATTAGCTTGAAAGAATATTCATTGTTTTATATCATGAATCAGATAATATATTATTAATGTTATAATGAATGTTTAATGTAGCCTATCTCCTACATATCATAGCTATTGAGACATCCAATTTCAGTATTTTTTTTTCTTCTCTTGACATGACACAAGAATGCTATGGCTAACACAGTCTAAGAAACTCAAGGAGTAATCCTTGATAGTACATTTTTTTATCACCAAAATGCTCATAGTCTGAATCCCCACATGCCGCTTTTAAGATCAACTCCTGGGCTAAATTTAGGCGGCTATGGCACGTCTAATTATTTAATCGTCTGGCATTCACATGGCCACCTCCATCAGAAATTTACCACCTCAAAGATAAAATTTAGCACCTTAACTTCTCATCAATTTCAGAATTAAAAGGAAAAAAACAATAGCTTGAGAAAAAGGAAACTGAGTTATCTAGGAAACTGAGTTCTTGTTGTCCCCTTGAGAAGGTAAGATAAAATTCCACTTCTTTTCTTTTTCTTTCCTGATGAGTCCATAGCCTGGAGAAAGGTAACATTGGTCTAATTTTTCAGTGAGGATAGTTCCAGTTGTTTAAGAATACTTCCATAGACTGAATTGATATTTACCTTCTTGTAACCTTTAATCCTTGCTCTTTAATTCTGTTTCTTGAAACCATGGTATAATAATTAATAAAATAATAATAGATAATTTTATGACACATTCTCTAACACTTTATTTTTGAGATCATATATTTTAGCCACTTCTGAGTACTCTTAAAACATATCTTCATCTGTATACTTATTCCTTTGAAATATTTGCCATTATTTCAACAGTAAAGCTGAGGAAATTGTAACCTGGAAAATTTCAGCAATGTTCACTCAACTAGAAAGTGAGAAAACCAAGTAAAGATTCCAAACTTTAATGCTAATTTTTTATGAAGAATTACACAATACTGTGTTGTGCAGGTCTATTGTGCTGTTTGGAGAAGGCTCTTTGGAGGCAAGGCAAAGACCAGCTGACGAAGGGAGTCATAAATGGACAGAATATTGTTATGCTTTCTTGATAATAGCTGAGAAATTATTTTTCTTCTTTCACTAAAAATTTCCAACTAAAATTTCTAAATACATGTTACTAGATTACAGTATTCATTTTTCTCTCAGGTTTTGACCACTACCTTCTATCATTCCATCTACTTATCTAAATACTTTAATCCTACCATTCTTTTGGCCCCCATAAAAAAAAAAAAAACACTCAGGTTCCTCTGACCCTATGTCTCTGTAGCTATTCAGAGCCCTTTTCATGCTCTCACAACCTTTACAACTTGGTTTAGATGCTGTAGTTCTTTCTGTGCAAATAATCTTCAATAGTCCTTTGCTCCTCTGTCCCTTAGTCCGATTCACCAGATTAAACTCTTTCTCTGGACAAACCCAACTGGATAACTGAATAGTTTTAAAGAAATTTAGTACAATCTATGAATTTCAAATTATGTTTAAATACTGCCAGACATATCCCGTGCTTTCTCATTCTCCGAGATGACTGCGTCACATTGTTTACTTATATGAATATGTCTTGACTCTCCTGGCCTCCCACTCTCTGGTTGCTTTGCTTCGTAGTTCCTAGCAAAAATGGACAGTCAGCTGAGATTCATCTATACCTCAGATAATCAAAGCCAACAATCTTATTCCACATTTTTATGTATTATAATCCTTTCTTCTTGTGTAATAGAAGTGTCCTTGTCCTGTGTAATAGAAGTGTCCTTGTCCCGTGTAAGACCAATCTTTCCATTTGTGCTATGCATCTCAAATAAGCTTATATTATTATAGCACTATTTTTCTTAGAGTAGTAACAGCTGTTAGAAAAATAGATGCCAAAATATATAAGACAACCACATAATAAGAGTTCAAAAGTCTTTCACATAATAGTTTAAGACCAGAGTTCCTGATTATATATAAAAGACTTATATTTATGTATAAAAGGCTTTCCTTCATTTAATGATTCAAAGACTAAGGTTCCTTCTGGCTTATAGATTCAGCTTCCCTGGAGTTGTGTCATCAGAATAAAAAGGAGAGCATGGATCATAGCATACATACGTATTATCTGAAAGAAAGGCAAATCAGCTTCTCTCACATTCCATGGGTGAGAACTAATGGCATAGCCGTACCTGGAGGTGAAGTAGGAAGTGTAGTCTCCATCTCCAGTGGCAGGCAAGTAATTAATAAGCAAAAACTATGTTTTGAAAGGAAGAGTGGAAATTCTGGGGGTTCTTTGCCATAAGAAACCAATAAAGGAAATCAGAAGAGTGGAAAGTCTTGTTTCAAAATAATGAACAATAAACCTAGAAGAGTGCTTCTTTTCCTTAAGTTTTCAACAAGGTGGTAAACTGCTTTAAATGCTGTTGAGAATTTGGATAAAATGTGGAAAAGAAACTATTGAAACTAGAAGGATCTAGGTTGTCTTTAAAATTAGCAAAACTCATTCCAATGAGTGATTGAGAATATCAAATGATGTGGGCTGAGGAAAAACAAAAAGGGGATTTGCCTATTTTGCCTATTGTCAACATATACAACACTTTTGAGTATTTTTGCTATAAAGGTGAGTAAAGAAATGATTCAGAAAGTTGAAGGATGGCTTGGTTAATTTTCAGTAAGTGTATAGATATATGAGTAAATGAATAAAGGAAGGTACAAATATAATGTAAATATTTCTGAATATTTTTTGAAGTTGTTATAAAACATTCATTCATAGTGTTACAGCCTTACCTTACTGAAAGATTTATGAGTTTGGTGGCTATTATTACTTTTTCATAAATAATATTTTTCTTGATTGGAATACTGGCAGCCTTCAGAAACCTGTCTTGGTGGAATGCCACTGCTTTCTTCTCACTTATTACTTTCAAATAAACAGGTCTTTCACAGATAGGCTTCAATGGCATGAGTTCTAATTACTTCACTTTTTAATCCAAATACAATATTTAGCATTATATTTTGGTACAACTTGAAAGTAAAAAATTTAGTTCAAATGAATCACACAATCCTTAAAAAAATCTCTTCGAGTAAAAAGGAAAATGCAATCTAAAGAGATTTTGGTACATTTCTGTATGTATTTTTAGAAAAACAAGATGCCTATTTTATATTCTCAGTATTTACAAGAATTCCTGCATTATTTGACTCATAGTAGGATAGATCACATAGTAATATTTTCTATTGCCAATTTCTCCCAAATACTACACTCTCTAATGTAACTTCTTGTGATTCAAAGCAAGTACATTTCTAAATATTTCAGGACCACGTTATCAACTCCAGCTTATTCTTAGATTATTCCTTTTTGTCAGATTCCCCAGGTTCTGAGCAAGAAGCCATGCAGCTGAGAGTGTACTGAGAATATGCACTGGGTACTGTTGCTACCAGCACCTCCATATGAGGCTGCATAGTTTGTGCGCTGTAAAGAGAAGCCTGTCCCTGGGAGTGGCAGGCTAAAATCCAGCTTACTCTTTGCTCATTAATCCATGTTCACTACTACAAGGCTGTATCACCTGAAGCAAGGGGCATCTTTTTCTCATTTGTTCACATACAGGAGGCTTCCGTTTATAACTCATACAAAATTGCTTTGTAGATTGGTGGTGGCTCTGATACCCACTTTTCTGAAAACAGTCCAGACAATACAAATATGTAACAGGTGTGTGAAGAGCTGTCTTTCCACAGCCTGCTTCTTTGTCTTTTATTTCTCATTACGTAATCTAAGAGTTAACACACATTGATATTCTACTATGTTTACTTTCCTAGACATCTTATATATATTTTTCTTTCGCATTTTCTAAAACAAGCCTTCAATGTAAGTACAGTTACTTTCATTTTAAAGAAGAGTAAATTGAGATTCAGAGAGCTTCATCAACTCACCGTATACTTAATAAATAGCAGAAAGAGTTTCTGAGCCTGTAACCCTGAAGCCAAAGCTCATTTCCTTTTCAATATGCATTTTAATATTTATTGGATTGGCTATAGAAATGCTTCTCATTGGAGAACTATTTACAATATGTTCTTTGAAATATTTCAGCCATGCTAAAGCCTCACAATAACAACACAAGCAGAGAAGGCAGGTATTAACACCTAAATTCCACAGAGGAGAATGCTGAAGCTTAGAAAGGTGAAATGACTTGCCTTTGGCCACAGCCTCTAATTGATAACAGTAGAGTAAGTCCATATGTTCAGATTAATTTTCTCTTGCTCTGTCCCTCTTGACTATACATACCTTGTTGAATAAATTATTTAAATTGTATATAAGATGAAAAAATGCCTTTGACATCTTTACTTCTAGCCAAGACAGTATAACTAGACCAAGTTCCTGCTTGAAACAACTTAAAAACTGAACCAAATATATATAAAAACAATCTTTAAGAGATCAAGCTACAGAGGGTAGTTAATCCTGAGAGATAGAAAACAGATAATGTGAGCGCTTCAATTTCCCCAGCTCACTGTCTTGAGAGAATTTCCATACTTCTGCCCAAAGACAGGAAACCCAGGCAGAGTTTAACTATCATCCTGAATCAAGGAGATGGAACAAGGAGTCTGGCAGGTCAAGGTGATTAGAGTTTACAGGGTACACTGAAGATCTTCAGTGGATCTCCGCCAGTCTCCAACCAAACATTGATCAGTGCATGCATATGAAGAGGCTACTACAGGATGAGAAAGAACCAACAGGACAGAATGAATAATCCCTAAAGTTTATGCAGTGCTAGAAAAATTTCATTTTACCACCAGTCAGAACGGAAGACCTTATATTGTGTAGAGTATTGGATAGAATTCTGAGAAAGATTTTGCTTCAGTAGCAGTGAGAGTGATGAAGAAATAATTAAACATAGACTAAATTCTGCCTGGTTCCACTTAAGAAAGGTTAATATTTGGGGCCAAAAGGATGAAATTGTTCATAATTAATTAAACAACTTTCCAGAATGTATTATATTAGTCAGTTTTCACACTGCTATAAAAATACTACCTGAGACTAGGTAATTTATAAATAAAAGTGGTTTAATTGACTCACAGTTCCACATGGCTGGGGAGGCCTCAGGAAACTTACATTTATGGTGGGAGGTATAGGAAAAGCAAACACCTTCTTCACAAGGCGGCAGGAGAGACAGCGCACAGGGAAAACTGCCACTTTTAAAACCATCAGATTTCATGAGATCTCCCTTACTATCATGAGAACAATATGGGGGAAGCCACCTAATGATCCAATTACCTCCCACCAGGTCCCTCCCTTGATACGTGGGGATTACAATTTGAGATGAGATTTGGGTGGGGACACAGGACCAAACCATATCATAGAATAAAGCACAATTATGTATAAAAATAAAAATATATTCAGCACACAAGTTAACGCATTCACCAGGTATACAAAGAAACAGGAAGATATGTCTCATAATAATGGCAATAATTAATCAATTAAAACAGGCCCCAAATGTCATAGATGATAGGATTAGTAGACAAGGACATTTAAGCAGTTTTCATCTTATACCTTATGTTAAAAAAAAAAACTATGTTTCATATTGAACATGAAAGATTTCATAAAAGACCCAGATCAAACTTCTACAGATGAACAGTACATGTCTGAGGTGAGAAAAAGTATACTGAGGGTTGGGATTAAATGTAGATTAGATACTGCAGAAGAAAAAATAGCTAATCTGAAAACACAAAAATGCCATCTATCCAAAATAAAACAGGAAAAAAAAAAGAAAAATGAAGTATCTGTAAGGCAACTTAAAGTTTCCTATTATAAGGCTGAGACCAAAAAAAGAGAAACAAAGATATTCAAATAACCCTGCTGGATGCTATATCACATATTAGATTGGCTTCTTCAATATGCACTTCAAACCCTTGTGTATGTATTTTATTGTATACTGCAAGTGGAAAGTTAAAAATCACATACCTTATGGTGGTTTTCAGCTACGACTGTAAATATGAATTAGCCTCTGCCGGTTAGATAATTTGTTCAAGGCCATTAGAACTAAGAATAGTGCATTTCTGGAAACAGTTACATGGACTGTGGCTTTCTGATAACTAGTTTTACTACTAGTTGTAGATATAATGCTTCTTTGGCAGGATTGGTTCTATTGTATTTAACAGAATTACCAAAGTGTAATTGACATACATACAATAAAGTATACAATTTGAGATACGTATATATGTATCCATATGCATATATCCATGAAGCCATAATCACAACCAAGATAATGAGCACATCCATTATCTCGTTAATGATAAACCCTAAAAAGTTTATCATTGCTGCTTTGTAATCCCTCCCTCCTGCTATTGTCCACTATTGTCCACCTCCCATCCCCAGGCCACTATTTATCTGCTTTCCATCACAATAGAAAAATTTTCATTAGCTTAAAATGTATACTATTTGTCAATTTTGGCTTTTGTTGCCATTGCTTTTGGTGTTTTAGACATGAAGTCCTTGCCCATGCCTATGTCCTGAATGGTAATGCCTAGGTTTTCTTCTCGGGTTTTTATGGTTTTAGGTCTAATGTTTAAGTCTTTAATCCATCTTGAATTAATTTTTGTATAAGGTGTAAGGAAGGGATCCAGTTTCAGCTTTCTACATATGGCTAGCCAGTTTTCCCAGCACCATTTGTTAAATAGGGAATCCTTTCCCCATTTCTTGTTTTTCTCAGGTTTGTCAAAGATCAGATAGTTGTAGGTGTGTGGTATTATTTCTGAGGGCTCTGTTCTGCTCCATTGGTCTATATCTCTGTTTCGGTACCAGTACCATGCTGTTTTGGTTACTGTAACCTTGTAGTATAGTTTGAAGTCAGGTAGCATGATGTCTCCAGCTTTGTTCTTTTGGCTTAGGATTGACTTGGCGACGCGGGCTCTTTTTTGGTTCCATATGAACTTTAAAGTAGTTTTTTCTAATTCTGTGAAGAAAGTCATTGGTAGCTTGATGGGGCTGGCATTGAATCTATAAATTACCTTGGGCAATATGGCCATTTTCACGACATTGATTCTTCCTACCCATGAGCATGGAATGTTCTTCCATTTGTTTGTATCCTCTTTTATTTCATTGAGCAGTGGTCTGTAGTTCTCCTTGAAGAGGTCCTTCACATCCCTTGTAAGTTGGATTCCTAAGTATTTTATTCTCTTTGAAGCAATTGTGAATGGGAGTTCACTCATGATTTGGCTCTCTGTTGGTCTGCTATTGGTGTATAAGAATGCTTGTGATTTTCATACATTGATTTTGTATCCTGAGACTTTGCTGAAGTTGCTTATCAGCTTAAGGAGATTTTGGGCTGAGACAATGGGGTTTTCTAGATATACAATCATGACAAGTGGGATCTAATTAAACTAAAGAGCTTCTGCACAGCAAAAGAAACTACCAGCAGAGTGAACAGGCAACCTACAAAATGGGAGAAAATTTTTGCAACCTACTCATCTGACAAAGGGCTAATATCCAGAATCTACAATGAACTCAAACAAATTTACAAGAAAAAAAAAAACAACCCCATCAAAAAGTGGGCAAAGGATATGAACAGACACTTCTCAAAAGAAGACATTTATGCAGCCAAAAGACACATGAAAAAATGCTCATCATCACTGGCCATCAGAGAAATGCAAATCAAAACCACAATGAAATACCATCTCACACCAGTTAGAATGGCAATCATTAAAAAGTCAGGAAACAACAGGTGCTGGAGAGGGTGTAGAGAAATAGGAACACTTTTACACTGTTGGTGGGACTGTAAACTAGTTCAACCATTGTGGAATTCAGTGTGGCGATTCCTCAGGGATCTAGAACTAGAAATACCATTTGACCCAGCTATCCCATTACTGGGTATATACCCAAAGGACTATAAATCATGCTGCTATAAAGACACATGCACACGTATGTTTATTGCGGCACTATTTACAATAGCAAAGACTTATAACCAACCCAAATGTCTAACAAGGATAGACTGGATTAAGAAAATGTGGCACATATACACCATGGAATACTATGCAGCCATAAAAAATGATGAGTTCATGTCCTTTGTAGGGACATGGATGAAATTGGAAATCATCATTCTCAGTAAACTATCACAAGGAAAAAAACCAAACACCACATGTTCTCACTCATAAATGGGAATTGAACAATGAGAACACATGGACACAGGAGGGGGAACATCACACTGTGGGGACTGTTGTGGGGTGGGGGGAGGGGGGAGGGATAGCATTAGGAGATATACCTAATGCTAAATGATGAGTTAATGGGTGCAGCACACCAGCATGGCACATGTATACGTATGTAACTAACCTGCACATTGTGCACATGTACCCTAAAACTTAAAAGTATAATAATAATAATAAAAAAAGTATACTAATGGAAACTTACAATTTGTGGTGTTTTGTCTGGCTTTTTAAACAATTATTCTGAGATTCATTTATGTTACTGCATGATATTAGTTCATCCCTTTTTATCACTGAGTTGTATGCCATTGGGCAGATATACCATGGGTTGCTTATCCAATCACTTGTTGATGAACAGTTGCATCATTTTCAACTTGTAGCAATTGGAAGTAAAGCTGTTATGTGCATTTATGTGCCAGTCTTTGCATAACTATTTTGCTATCATTTGTCTTGAGTAAATACTTGGGAATTGAGTGGCTAAATCATAAGATAGTTGTATGTTTAATGTTTAAAGAAACTTCTAAACTGTTTTCCAAGTGATTGTACCATTTTACATTCATACCAAAAATTTGTGAGACTTCCAGTTACTCCATATCCTTACCACCATTTTATTATTTTATTGGCTAAGCTATTACTGTCTAACCATTCTAGTAGTTGTAGTGGGATCTCAATTTAGTTTCAGTTTGAATTTCTCTAATGACTGATGATGTTGCACATCTTTTTAGGTAGTTATATGCAATCCACATGTTTTACTTGAAAGAGTATTGTGCCAAATTTTTGCTCATTTAAGAAACTATTTTCTTACTCAGTTTTGTGAGTTCTTACATATTCTGAATAATGTACTTTATTAGATATGTTTGGCAGTACTTCGTGGATTGTATTTAATTCTTTTTTGACAGAGACGTTCAAAAAGTAGAAATGTTTAATAAAGTTAAATTTATCAATTACTTTTTTAAAATTAATTTTGCACTTGGTGTCTTATCTGTGAAATCTTTGTACAACCCAGGATTCAGAACTTTTGGCTGTGCCACATTGTTTTGATTATTATAGCTTTATAGTAAGTTTTGAAATTGAGTAGTTTGTGCCTCTGATTTTTTTTCTTTTTCTACATTATTTTGGCTATTCTATATCTTTTACATATCCATATGAGTTTAAGAATATGTTTGTCATTTTCTACCAAAAATAAAAAAGCATGCTATAATAAGTTTTGATAAAGATTGGGTTTCCCCTATAGATCACTTTCAGGAGAATTGACATTTAAAAATGTTGTCCTTCCGCCATATTCATGAAGTGTCTCTCAATTTGTTTAGTATCTCTTAAACTTCTCTTAGCCATATTTTGTAGTTTTTATGTACAAGTCTTACACATCACTCTGATTTATCCTTAAATATTTCATAATTTTGATGCTACTATAAATTGCGTTATTTGTTAATTTCATAATTGTTAGCAATAATTGTTGCTAGTATATCAAAATAAAATCAATCTTTGTATATTGATTGTGTATAATAAAAACCTACTAAACTCACTTAATGATTTTTATAGGTTTTTGGTTGATTCCATGAGATATCTACAAGGCAGATCATTTGATTTGTGAGTAAGGACGAATAAAATTTGCCCTTCTCTTATTTCTGTCTAATCTGAATGCTTTTATTTCTCTTTCTTGCCTGTTTGCATTAATTATAGCATCCAGAAATATGTTGAATAGAAATAATGAAAGCAGATATCTTTTTGTCTTGTTGCTGATCTTCACAACAAGATCAACGACATTCAATCTGTCACCATTAAATATGATATTAGCTGTAGGGTTTTCACAGATACTGTTTATCAGGTTAAGAGAATTACCTTTCATTTCTACATCTCTAAATGTTCTTATCCAGAATGATTGGGGGCTGGGTGCAGTGGCTCACGCCTGTAATCCCAGCACTTTGGTAGGCTCAGGCATGTGGATTGCTTGAGCTCAGGAGTTTGAGACCAGCCTGGCCAACATGGCAAAACCCTGTCTCTATTAAAAATACTAAAATTAGTCGAGTGTGATGGTGGGCATCTCTAGTCTCAACTACTCGGGCAGCTGAGGCAGGAGAATCGCTTGAATATGGGAGGTGAAGGTTTCATTGAGCCTGATTTATGCTTCTGCCTTCCATCCTGGGCAACAGAGCAAGAACCTGTCTCAAAAAATAAAATGAGGATTTTGTTACTTTGATTATTCTACTTCCTTTATATTTCCACATGAGTTTAAGAATCAGTTTGTCATTTAACAAAAAAGTTTTGAAACCCTATTAATAGGTATACACATATTTAGGATTATTAAGCCTTTCTTTAGAAATGACTTCTTTATGATTATAAAATCACCTGTTTATTCCTAGTAATATTATGTACAATTACTCTGATATCTGATTTCTCTGATAAGAATATAGCCAATCCAGCTTTCCTTTGATTACATTTGTTAACAAGCTATATTTTTTGTATCATTTTACATACAACTAGTTTTTGTTTCTACATTTCAAATGCATTTCTTGTGGGCAGAATATAGATATGTTTCACTTTTTATTCAATCTGACAATCTCTATCTCTTACATGGTGTACTTGGACCATATACATTTTGTGTAAATATTGATATGGTTAGATTCAATCCTATTGTCTCCCTATTTCTTTTCTATTTGTCTCAACTATTTTTTTTTGTTTCTTTTTCCACTATTTTTGACTTCTTTTGGATTAGCTAAGTATTTTCTTATGATTATATTTAGTCTCATTTTTTGGCTTATACATAACTTTTGTTACTTTAGTGGTTGCTTTAAACTTTATGGTATATATCCTTGTCTTGTTACATTATACTGTTATATGATATTAAATGATTATACATATCATTTAAGAACCTAAAAATAGTGTATTTCCATTTATTTCTACAACATTTTTGCTGTTTTATCTTTAATTATAAATTTATAGTAAAGCTTCCAATACATGCTTATTATTTTTGTTTACTCAATTATCTTTTGAAAATATTTAAGTAAAAAATATTTTCCATATTTAATTTCATAGTTTCCATTTTTCGTGCTTATAATTTTCTGTGTTCATTCGTATTTCCATCTAATACTATTTTTCTTTTGACTAAGCAATTTTCTTTTACATTTTTTATAGTATGGAGTTGCTGATGATAGATTCTTTCAACTACTGTATATCTTAGAAAGCATTTATTCCCTTATTTTCTGAAAGATACTTTCACTAGGTATAGCATTCTAAATTGATTTTTTTCTTTCAGTACTTAAATAATGTTGCTTCACTGTTTTCTCACTTACATTGTTTTCGATGAGAAATCTGTTGTCATTGGCATTGTTTCTCTGTATATACTGTGCCTTTTTTTCAGAGATTTTCTTTTCAAATTTTGAAGATTTTCCCTTTATCCTTTGTTTTAATAAGTCAGTATGGTATATCTTGCTATAATTTTCCTTATGTTTATTCACTTAAGGTCTGTTGAACTTTTTGGATCTTTATATTTACAGTTTTCATAAACTTCAAGAATTTTAGCCATTGTTTCTTCTACTAATTTTACTGACCCTCTCCAGCTCTTTTCAGAAATTCTTATTACACCTATAGTAGACTGCTTGAAGTTGTCCTGCAACTCAGTGATGTGTTAATTTTTAACTTTGTTTCCTCTGTGTACCTCATTTTGCTTCATTTCCACTGTGACATCTTCAAGTTTATTAATCTTCTTTTCTGCTATGTTTACATAGCTGTTAATCAAGTCCATTTTTATCTCACAGTGTAATTGTCATTGGTAAAATTTCTATTAGGTTCCTTTCTGTATATTCTATGTGTCTTCTTTCTGTAAGAGCACATGGAATACAGTTATAGCAATTTTTTAATGCAATTACTTGATAATTCTAACATCTGTGCCATTGTCGTTTTTGATGGATTGATATTTCTCCTCATGATGGGCCATATTTTCCTGATTCTTTGCATACTGGTAATTTTGATTCAGATGCATTTACATTGTGAAATTTATCTTGTTGGTTGCTAGATATTTGTGTATGTATTTATATTTTCTTCATTTGAATCATTCCTTTAGTATTTGTTATTTAGAATTAGTCATTTTTGGCCTAGTGCAATCTTTCCCCACTACTGCAGTAAGAGCCTCTGAGTGCTTTACCCAGTATCCAGTATATTATATTGTTTTTCCACTCTGGGTGATGGGAACTGTTAGTATTCTTAATTTTGAGTTAACATTTTCTCTAACCTTTTCATATTTTTTTTTCTATCTTAACTTTGGGTAGTTTTCTCACATGAAGGGGCTGACGAGTGCTATGAGAAATACCTGTGGTGACATTTCACAGATCTATACAGTGTTCTCTCTGTGCAGCAATTTTTGCTGTGTTATTCTTTCTCATGAACTATGGCTATCTTGATTTCCCTGCATGCTCAGCTCTGTCTCTTCAAATCTGGGATTCATCTCTCCCTGCCCCAGAGAGTGGCTTGAAAACTCTCTCTAGGCAGTAAGTTGGGACAGTCATAGGGCTCATTTGGTTTGTTCTTATCTTTCAGGAATCACTGTCTTTCATCTTCTGTCCAGTATCTTGAAAGTCATTCTTTTGTAGAATGTTGTTCATATTAGTGCTTCAGGCTGAAATACAAATTTAGTGCTTGTTACTCTAACTAGATTTGAAACAGAATTCACTTGCATTTTTTAAAAATCATTTATTGATGCCTGGACTTGAGTCTTCTTCTCCTGCCTCTGATAGCATATTGTAAGGAACTGATTTCCCTGTTAAATCATTTTCTGCTTAAATTAGATAAAGTGATTTCTAATAACTACAGTGGAATATTGACTAATACAGATATTATCTTAAAAAAGTTCATTTTTATGTGACATCAAAAGTGCTTCCCATCACATCACTGCACATACATATTCATCCTCTTTTCCACTACATTAGGTAAAGGTCTTCATATTAGTCAGCTAGGGCTGCCGTAAGAAAACATCACAGACTGGGTGACTTAAACAACAGAAACTTATTTCTCACAGTTCTGGATGCTGGAAGTCCAAGATTAAAGTGTTGGCTTGCTCTGTTTCTACTACAGTCTCTCTCCTTCACTTGTAGGTGAGCATCTTCTTACTGTGTCTTCACATGACTCTCTATGTGTGTACATCTCTGCTGTCTCTTCCTTTTAAAGACATCAGTAATAGTGAATTAAAGCCCTGCCTTTATTACCTCATTTAACCTTATTTACCTTCTTGAGGCCTTATCTCCAAATACAGTCACATTAGGGGTTAGGGATTCAACATATAAGTGAGAAGAGGAGGACAATTCAGTATTTAATAATTTTATTATTATGTTCTAGTTATATGTCTTAGTTGCATTTGTTAAAAACTTATTTTCCCAACTCTCACATACACTATATATTTTAAACTTATTTATATAAAGTAATTTTACATTATTATAGCAATATGTATTGCTGTATCACCTATCTTTATATTGGCAAATATATTTTTTTTTTACAAAGCTCCAACTTTTGTACCATAGAAGTGATGCAGGACTTTGCAATTAAAAAGATAATAATGTTATTTCTGTAACTCAGAAACAGAAAATCAAATACCACATATTCTCACTTACAAGTAGGAGCTGAACAATGGGTACACGTGAGCATAAAGAAGGATATAATAGACACTGGTTCCTCCTAAAGCAAGGGAGGGTGGGAAGGGGTAGGATTGAAAATTTACCTATTGGGTACAATGTTTACTATTTGGGTGATTAGTTCATTAGAAGCCTACACTTTATCACTATGCAATATATCCACATAACAAACCTGCATATGTACCACTTGAGTCTAAAAAATTATAAAACAAAAGACTCATGTGCGCGCGCACACAGACACACACACACAGACACACACACACACACACAAAAGAATTTTATTTCTGGTTTCATCTTTTTGAAACACAAGCTCTGAAATCAGAAAGAAGGGTACTAGACTCTTGGCCTTGCCATTTAGTAATAACTTGTGGCTCTAACGCATTCACCTTTTTTAAATCCTCAAATGTAAAACAGAAAGAGAACTTGTGAAAATTAATTGAGATAGTAAATGTAAACCACTTTATCAAGTGTGCCTGGAACATAGTTAATGCCAGACACACATTTGTTGTTTTTACTGTAGCTTCTCCTCCTCCTCTTTGTCAGTATTATGGAGAAAATGGTAATTATGCATGCTGGATCGTCTGCTGCCAGTTCGGCCTCAGCGCGGCCAGTGCTGACTGGCTGGAACTGCTTTTCTAGAATTCTCTTTGCTGTATGTTTCTGAGTTAGTGTTTGCCAATGAAAACTCATGTGAGATAAGCAGATATAGGCCAGAGTGGCTTTATTCAGTGGGGTGAGTTGGACAACCATGACAGCTTTTCAGATCTTTCCTTGAGCTTTCACTTTGTGGTCCCACTTCTGAGATTTGGATTTTCCAACTGTGCCAGCCCTGGAGGCTGAAGAGGTTAGTTATTGTTCATCCTATTTTTTAGACATAGCCATCCTGATGTTTACCCTTCAGCTTTAGCTTTTTCCACAATCATTATGTCTTAGCTATTACACTAAACTTGCTTTTTCTGTAATATATGGAAAACATCTGCTTTCATAAAGAAAACAAAAATAATCAACTACTAGGGGTTTATAAGGAGTGCCAAGGGCTGGGCATGGTGGCTCATGCCTGTAATCCCAGCACTTTGGGAGGCTCAGGTGGGCAGATCACTTGAGGTCAGGAGTTTGAGACCAGCCTGGCCAACATGGTAAAGCCCTGTCTGTACAAAAAATACAAAAATTAGCCATGCGTGGTGGTGGGCACCTGTAGTCCCAGCTACTTGGGAGGCCAAGGCAGGGGAATTGCTTGAACCCAGGTGGTGGAAGTTGCATTGAGCCGAGATCGCACTGCTGCACTCTAGCCTGGGTGACAGAGAGAGAGACTGTCTCAAAAGATTCCATATGAGATAAGGATACTAAAGACACTTAGCAGAGTGCCTGACATGTAGGACAGGCTCAGTGTTTTGACTAATAAAATCCGTTGCCCCTAAAATTGGGGGCAGGGGAGTCCCTGCAAAAAAGGTAAACCTCAAATGTCCAGACAGGGAGATGCTCAGAATTCCAAAGAAAGAAGAACTTCGAAGCATCTATAAGGGGAATTTACATCCAGAATGCTGTAGCAGTTCTCATGACAGATAGGGGAAGAAAGAGTTGTTCTGCCTAGGTAGGTCCTCAATAAAGGGGTTGGGTTATGCAGTTTATATGGGGGGTTAAGGAATTTGGCTCAGGGCTGGGGCTAGTTTCCACATGTTTAGCAACAGGGTTAGTCTCTGCGTTTTCTAGAAGCAACATAAGCAGCTTCATAAGTGCCTGGGAATATCCAAGGTCCCAACTAGAGCTCAAGCCTGCTGGGGAAAACAAGGCAGCTGGCCAGGTCACAGAGCAGTCAAGGTGACTCTGCGTTTCTCAGTCAGAACATAGAAAGAAAGTAGGGTGAGCTGGGAGATGTACACTCAGTGAATATTGATTCCTTTTTTTCTATACTATATTTTATGAGTATAGAAGAATATATTATATAAGCATGTATTGAATTCTATGATTATTATTTTAGCATAGTTACTATTATTATTCCCATTAGATAAACTATACACTTGAGTTTCAGTAGGTAACTTGCCCAACAGTGCATCGAAAAAAATATTAGCACTAGGATTTAAACCTAGATCTAGCTAATTCTAAGCCCCATATAATTTTCATATATCCATTTTGCCTACACAGATAAAACTTAATGAAAGACTCATGCTTCACAGAATATGGTTTCTACTTTAGATGTCACTTACATGTCAGCTTCTGGTAACTCTTAAGAAGTAATAGAGGAAAAATTCCAGTCACTAGCTAGATAAAAATAAAGTTTTAATGCATGAAAAAGGGGTAACAATTTGTATTATGTTACTGATAACAGTTCATAAGAGCTTTTTAAAATAAACTTTGTCAATTTATAGATAATTTGGGTATTTGTCCAGGCTTTAAAATTTTGTACACATATGATAGATTGTTCTACCTTGAGAGATATTTTAGTTCAGGTAATAACAGCTGCTATAACGGTTACATTCCAAAATATCAGAGGCTAAACAAAAGTGAAGTTCATTTTTCAATCGTTTAAGTCCAAACAGTGGTTCTGATAGGTGGGCAGTCTTCTTTGAAGATGTGATTTAAAGACCCTAACTACTTCCATCTTGTGTTCTTTTCATATGGAAAATGTGAATTCCAATGTTGCCTTACTCTTCTGCATGAAGCCAACAGAGTGGGAAAAGCCAAGAGACCGACCTGTTGGAGGGCTTTAAGGGTCTTGTCTGAATGTAGAGTGCATTATTTCTGCCCCGTAAGCTATGTCACCCACATTGTGATGCCTGCCTGCTGAGGATGTGAAAAAGAGTAGCCCAGCTATGGGTGCAGAATAAGAGAGAAAGCAGAATTGATGATCAGAAAGGATCAGCTCTGAAAGAAAGGGTAATACCATTTTACTGGAATCAAAAATGTTCTAAATTCAGACACTTGGGAGGTAATGACAACCTGAAAAAACACATAATTATGCACAACTTTGAGTCCTGCATTATAGGTGACAATAAAGGTAAAGGTAAAGTTTATTGAAAATTTATAGGAATGTTACTGCAAACAGTGTTTCTTGTTACACTAATAAGCTAAATTAATAACAAGAATAATAAAAATAATGACAGGCATCATGCCATTTTCTAATACCATTATGGCTTTTTCCCCACTTGCAATAATTCATGAGATAGTTTCTAATGAACTCAGTGTTTAGTCAAAGAAACTGAGACAGAAACTGTTATTCAAGTTATACAGTAATATGATAGATATTGATTTGAATGCAAGTATTCTAACTTTATTGTTATGCTCCCAATCACTAGACCATAGATAATTTCCTTCTATAGTATAGCATTTTAAAATAATGCATATATTTTTGCTTTATCTAATTTTGCAACTATCACAGCTAATAAAACAGAATAATTTCCTGTTGGCACCAAATATGGAAAACTAGAAGCCATGTGTGTTCTTTAAAGAATAGTTTTAAAAAGCACAACAGTGTTGGGAAAAAGCCCCCCAATATCTGGCCAAAAACTGGCCATAAACAAAATCTCTGCAGCACTGTGACATGTTCATGATGGCCATAAAGCCCACGCTGGAAGGTTGTGGGTTTACCGGAATGAGGGCAAGGAACACCTGGCCCGCCCAGGGTGGAAAACCGCTTAAAGGCATTCTTAAGCCACAAATAATAGCATGAGCGATCTGTGCCTTAAGGACATGCTCCTGCTGCAGTTAACTAGCCCAACATATTCCTTTAATTCGGCCCATCCCTTTGTTTCCCGTAAGGGTACTTTTAGTTAATTTAATATCTATAGAAACAATGCTAATGACTGGCTTGCTGTTAATAAATATGTGGGTAAATCTCTGTTTGGGTCTCTCAGCTCTGAAGGCTGTGAGACCCCTGATTTCCCACTTTGCACCTCTATATTTAATGTAGAAAAAATCAGCAAGTCAGGCTGGTCTTTAATTCCTCTAGTGCCGCTGGGTTAGGGTCTCCCCGACCCAGCTGGTCTCCACACAACAACGAAAAAGGGATAACCCAGAATGCACTCTGGGTGCAATCTCAGTTTCCTGTTATTTCCATGTGCATGTACCTGCAAAACCTACTTGAAAAAGTATGAGGTAGCTATGTAAAACCATACTAGTTTCTTTAGCCGGAAACCAGTTTTCAATGAAATATTACAACAAAATGCTGAGGATAAGAGTATGAAATGGAGAGGAAGTGGAGCATATACCTGATGAAAAATTATTTTTGTGTTATTATCTGGAAAGTCAAAGAGTTGTTTGCCTAAGAACTCGGCTATCGGCTCCTCTGCCACAGCTGTCAACCAAACTACTCTTGTTCTTTCAGCTCAGCTCTTCCAAGCCAGGCTTCTGCCTAATGGATATTTTCAGATGTTGTATTCACTTTTCAATGAGCTTCCAAAGACCATGGCATCTTGGTTCACATGTGTATGGTGTGCTCTCACTCCCTTACTGTAGCAAGTGTTTGACTTCTTCCTGAGAGTCTGAAAAATGTCAGTGCACTTTGCAAAAGGAATTGCATTTGCTTAGAATTGCCTCTTATATGTGAACAAACAGGGTTAGATAATGCCAATTTCAGCTGGATAACATTCTACTATTTCTCAATCAACTTAATTGACTGTGATCTTTTTTTCCCTTTAATTTAACATTGTCTCCTTGACATATTGCCTAATAAAACATATAAACACAAGTCAAACCACAGATTAACACATTTTTTTCTTTGAAAATATCATATATTTATGATAATAGCAAGGAGGCTAATTGAGATTAATGGTTGGGTTTACACATACATTTTCTACAAGTTTGGGGGTTCATATGAATTAAAATATACTATTTAAATCACTGAGGTTAAAGTTACTAGAGTTTAAAACAAACAAGTACATACTAATAGAGTGATAGTTTTTTTATTTCTTTACTCTATGTCCCTTGTGAAAATAAGGAATGCATATGCTTGAAATAACCTCTTGCCTTTTTTCTTTAATATAAGATGGAAATTTAAAAAATCAGTTAGGAAATGTTAAGCTAGTAGTGTTCCCTTTCCCTAGGAGCTGTGAAACCTTGTGTAACAATGCAAACAGTAGAGGAAAATAACAAAAATCAGCTTCCTTTAAGTAATTCACTTATTATGTACAATAAAGTGTCTGACTCTATCTTTTGATGTTTGACTGCTGATAGCTTTTAAGGCTTTCTTCTTTCTCTTTCCCTTCTATCTCCCATCTGAGTATTCTAATAAGAAGGCCTGGATGCCCCTCCAGTGGCACTGGCAGGCAGTCCAAACCATACAAGGCCCTGCCCATGTGTGCAAATGCTCAGTCCTGATCTATCTCCTAAACAACATAAAAACCTTAACCTGTGCTGTGGTCTAAATGTTTTTGTCCACTTAAAATGCATGCACTGAAACCTAACCCCCAAGATAATGATGTTAAGAACTGAGACCTTTGGGAGGTAATTAGATCATGAGAACAGAGTCTTCATGAATGGAATCTGTGCCCTGATAAAAGAGGTCTTAGAAAACTACTTTGCTCCTTCCACCAAATGGCACACAGTCAGAAGGCTCCATGTAAGAGAGATTAGACCTTCAGCAGACAGTGAATAAATCTGCAGGTCCCTTAATCTTGTACTTCCCAGCCTATAGAACTGTGTGAAATAAATCTCTGTTGTTGATAACCAATCAGTCTATGGTATTTTGCTATAACAGCCGAAGTAAGACAGGCAATCTCCTGGCAATGCATATTCAGGCCAGCTTTGAAACCTGCCCTGCACTTTCCAAAAAGCCCCATTATTTGAGTAAGAAACCTTTTCATACTCTCGGTATATGTGTGATGGTGGGGCGGGGGCCATCAGTCTCAACAATAGAAGCAAATTTTGGGTGGAGTCTATCCTGTTCATATGGATTTGCTATGACATTACATAAGGTAATCTTGAAAAATTAATTGAAAGACTTAATTACTCCTCATGAACCTCTCAGATAGAGTTAAGAAGACTAAAAGTCAATTACTAAAGAATATGACACCTAAGACATCTGACTGTTAGCTTGAATTTAAATTAACCCAGTTACATAGACTAAAATGAGATATTTCCTTTTAATTCACTCAAATAAAAAAGAAATGATATTGATTGATTAGCATATGGGAAGGCATACAAAATATTTTGAAATGAGAATCTAGAATACACTCTAATGGAGTGCACATTAAGATGTCACAGAATTCCATTATCCATGAAGTATAATGCAAATTATAGTACAAATTATAACTTATTACCATGCAAGTGTTCCATTGATTTAACTTTTGAAGTAAATTTTCTTAAAAGGTTTAATATTTCAAAAATTCTTTCTGTACAACTCCTATCAGAACCATCTATAGGCTAAGTATCTCTTATCTGAAATGCTTGGGACTAGAAGTGTTTTAGATTTTGAATTCCTTCAGATTTTAGAATATTTGCATACCAGTTGAACATTCCAAATCTGAAAATCCCAAATTCAGAATGCTCCAATGAGCATTTTCTTTGGACATCATGTTAGTATAAAAAAGTTTTGGATTTTTGAGTATTTCAGATTTTTTATTTTTGGATTAGAAATATTCAACCTGCATTATCACAGGCATCAATTTCAGATGCATATGTATCCATTTGAGATGTTGCTGTAGAATAACTAAGTTTGAATATGCTTAAATTATGAATTTCATTTACTAAAAAATATTAAAATTAATTTGAAATTCGAAAGTGACTTGGGTATTAGATACAACTGAATTGGCAATTTTTCTAGATGGGATAATAACTGTGATTAAGTTAGAGAGGGTCCTAATTCTTTTCAGATACACAGTTAAGATTTTAAGAATGAAGAGTTATGATTTCTGAAACTTAATCTGAAAGTGTTCAGCAAATCATTAGACAATAGAAAAATAGATAGATGTGGAAAATATGATAAAATGTTAATTGTTAAATCTAAGTTTTGAGCATAAGATTCCTTTAGCTTGTATATTTGAAAATTTTAGTAATAAAAATGTTGGCAATTTTTAAAAATCATAAGTCAGAAATAAAAACTTACATGATTGTCATGTGTAAATTTTTGTGTTTGAGGGTATATATTTTCTCAAGTATCCTTCCAGAAATAACATAGATAGCTGAGGGAATATTTACTCATCATCGGCAAAATACCCATCTACAGGACTTATTAATTTTATTAATACTAATACTAATTACTAATTTCATTAGTAATACTAATACAGTTCTAATTTTATTAACGTCATACACCTTGCTTCACCACTTGTATGCAGCTGCAAATGTTATAGTTACTGTAATTTTAACTCCTCAGTGATATCAATACATGTGGGAATCAATGAACTTTATATTCTAGAAGTGATAGTACAAATGAGTAATTGACATTAGTCATTCACTCATCTTTTGAAAGAACTTAAGTATTTCTTAGGAATATGCATTCCCAAGGTGGCTACAGCAAGTCTTTCAACATATTACCAGATAAATAGAAACTAGCTTACGAGACAGCAGAAGTAATATTTCTTGAATTGAGTGGCATTCAAATTATGTAGTTGACTAGAAATATGGACTAAGTATGTTGTTTCTGTTTGAACCATGAATAGAAAAAATGGATTTAAATAGTCCAGCAGTCTGTAACCTTCTGTGAGGTACCTTGAATTTACATCTCCATTCAGTGATGTGTCATTTCACTTAAGGGAGGTTTGCATAGATTGCTATGATGAAAAGGCTAGTTGATCTATCCAGGAGACCAGTGTTAACTTCTCTTGAGAATTAAGATGATCTTTGCCAACATTTGTGACAGCAGCTATGGCAATATGGCTTACCCCTCCCCCCTCCCGCCGTTTTTTTGCCAGAAATCTTTCCCTGGTAACATAAGACTATAAATCAATAAATAACGTTAATAGTTGCTTCAGAAAGTTCCTGCAAATCAATTTATTACTGACAATAGTCTGTTCATTTGGGCAAAAGTATCACTTAACAAACACGTTACTTATCAAATTTAGCTCTAAGATCCTCACTTCTCAGTGTCTACCAGTCCTCAACTATTATGTCACAAACCAGACTTTGCCCAGTTGCAATCAGTTCCATATCTTGAGAGATCTGCCCCTAAAAAACTTGAAACCAGATCACAAGCCCCTATAAGCCCCTTACTTCCAACTTCCTTCTTCTAAGTTCCTTCTAAGACACTCGCAAGGTGGTGGTTTCACTTCCTTAACTAGTTGCTAATTAGTTTCATTTTGTTTATTAGTTTTTTTACAAGGATATTTGATGTATTCAACAGTCTCAGAATAAACTTTTGATACATGAAACTTTTCAGACTGCCTAAAAGGACAGAGTTCAAGATTTACCAAAAAAAAAAAAAGAGAATTTTTTGTGTCTGTTTGCTAATTTATGTTTGATATGGCGGAATTTGGTCTGCAATGGCTTTCAGTCAGAACATAACACCTGGTAATGAGTGTGGGAGTTGGGGAGTAACCTATAGCAATCCTTTACCTCTAATTGTTGCAGACCATCTATCTTTACTAAAAGTTCAGGGAAATTGGGAATGGTCAAACTGGCATAGTTTATTGCAAAAGCAATGTAAATTGCATAGCTGGGGGCATCATACATTACACATGCTATTAGGTAAAAATATTACTGATGCATAAAATCATGACAAAGAACACCATTGCTTACACATATTCTCTGGTGTGTTTCCCCTGTAGGAAAAAAATAAATTATTATTTTAATAAGCAAAAAAAGGTTAATGAGTTAATTAAAAATTGGCAGCCAGAGGTCAAGATTAAAACAACATTTGTAATATTATACTGCAAAAGGTTGTTGTGCTATCAAGGAAACTATCTGCATATATTTTTCCTTATATATGGCCGCTCAAATATGGCTACATGAGCTAAACTGAACATAACTTTGCTTAAAAATAAAAGTTTAAAGAATACTTAATTTTGGACTACCTCAGAACCTCTAAAATCTTATAGAAGGTAAGATTTTAAGAGGACACAATATATCATCAATTAGCCTAACATTTGCAAGATATTGCCATATTCCTGTAGCCTTTGTAAAATATTATAAAGTAGCTGAAGCTTGTAGAATTACTCTCCTCTCTTCTTTTTTGGTGTTTTCAAGATCTTAGTTCGTGTAGAAGTGAGTTTTGGATATTTATTCACCTAAAGTTTGAGTGATGAAAATCAGTTTCTGATGGATTGTTTATTTCAACTACTTAATAAAAAAACATTTACAATGTGCAAAAATATTATGCTAGGTTTAAGTGGATGTGTGTGGGAGATGTGTATCTATAACATCAAATACATAAAGCACTTGAGATCTTTGGAGTGAGATCTGGGTATCAGTCCTAGTTCAGCCTTTTATTTTCTGTTTTATAATGGAAAATACCTTAATCTCCCAGAGCCTTGGTTGTCTTATGACTTAAAATTGGGTGTCTAATATTTACCTCTTAAATTGTTTGAGTATTAAGTGAAATAACCTATGGAAAACACTTTATATTGTACTCTCTACTCTCAACGTGGGCACGATCAAGCTAGTGAGACAGAAATAAGAATAGCTGTAGAGCAATCAGAATTAATGCAGTGGTATTGTACATTACTATGGTGTGCAATGGGTGGACTTGATTTCTCATGTAGTTATGGATACTTGTCTTATTGGCACGTGATAGTTTCAGTGTTTCTGATTATCTGAAATCATACCAGCAAGGTAGTCACTTTTATTGCTTCTGTTGTCAATAGACTCTGCATCACGCCGTTGTGAACACCTTACATGTAGGAATATTATCTTGTCTCTCACTAAGTAAGAAATGAATTCTTTTTAGATTGTGGAATTAGATGGCCCACTGAAATAAAAAGTAATACACCATGGGTAAGAAGATGTAATTATCATAATAACTGCTTTTCTCTTCACCTTGTCCCTTGAAGTGTAAATCTTAATGAGATAAAGACTTGAACTAGAAAGTAGCTCTGTGGGTTTTGTGTTTAATATGAAGGAAGACTGAGGTAAGTTGAACACACTGGCTTCATCTATAGTTGAGGGGTGGAGGCTGGTTTTTTTTTTTTTCCCAAGGATGCTCTGGTTCTGTAACACTTGAGCAGTCCCACGACTGCACTAATTCATTTTGCAGCTCCTGCTGCTAATTTTAATGATGTCAATATGCCACTTACTATCTACTTTTACATCCTTTAATTGAAATACAGTAGAGTATAAGAAAAAGCAATTTCTTTTTCTTTCCATGGTCGGTATAATTTCTGGAGGAGAAAAATATGTAGGATACTCTCCCCTCTGAAAGAAAATCTTTGAAACAGAAATTTGGTAAATGAAACTTTGTTAACTCAAGGCAATATTCAGTTTGGAAATTATATGTACAAATTTATTCCTTAATTCCTCAGTTAATTAAAGGAAAATCCTACCATGATATGAGTCATTATTACAAAGTCAAATCACACTCCTTATAACAAGCCTTCTTTTGCTCTTTTAATTATAGTTATGCATCACTTAACAACGGTGATAACTTAGAAATGTGTTGTTAGGTGATTTCATCATTGTGTGAAAATAATAGAGTGTACTTACACAAACCTAGATGGTGTAATCTACTCCACACCTAGGCTATATGGTGTATGCTATTGCTCCTAGGCTACAAAGTGGTATAACATTTTATTGTTCTGAATATTGTGGGCAATTGCAACACAGTGGTATTTGTCTATCTAAACATATCTAAATATGAAAAAGGTACAGTAAAAATACAATATTATAATCCATAATCTATGGGATCAAAGTCATAGATGAGGTTCGTCATTGACTGTGATGTCGTCATGCGGTGTATAACTCTACCTCCCTCCTATCTCCCCATCCCTAAGTGGCTTTCTTCCTTCTTTTCACATATGCAAATTATTCCCATTCTTAATCAAGAAACTCCTCTTGATTTCTGAAGTCCACATTTATTTAATACCTCCGCTTTTAGTGCCCTTAGCACATTTGCAAGTTCCAAATTGACTAATATTTATCAAATAGCTAATATTTGTCAAGTACATTTTAAAAATAAGAATGTGTTATTTGGGTTCAACTTCTAGCTCAGTCCATGTGACTTAAAATGTAGCTTTGCCATTTAAAAAATCAGAATGAAATAGTATCTATCACAAGGGTTTATTGTAAAGATTAAATAATTCATATCTCAGATTTATCCAAGTGGCTGGCATGTAATAAACATTTAGGAATTATAGTTATTATGATAGTGATTAATGTCTACTATTGCTATAATGGAATCTTTGTCACTAACAGGTATTTTGATACTTAAATAACATACTGTCTTGTATTATTATGTGGATGATACCCTTGAATTTGTATTGTTTTTTAAATTAAATTATGAATCATTCAAAGGTAGTGACAATGTCATCATTTATATCAATTCACCCTGTCCAACACTGTACTTTATCAAGAATTAGACATATAATTGTAATGTACTGAAAATCACATCAAATTATTTGGAATAGTTATTAATTTAATAAAGATTTATTAATACATTCTCATCTGCAAATAACTGTGGTAGACACTTTCTTTCTGGTAAATTCGCAGTTTAGTGAAAAACATAAATCACAAAGAGAAAGAGGAATCCAACAGAAAAGGGGCATTGCTTGTGAAATGAATGCTGCCCAATAAATTAATGACATTCAAAATATGCACATTTGTTTAGTGCACACAACAAACTTTTCTGTAAAGGGTCAGAAAATATTTTAGGCTTTGCAAGTCACAGAGTTTCTGTTGCGATGATTCTTATCGTAGCGTGAAAGCATCTACAGACAATACATAAGCAAATGTATGTGGATGTGTTCTAATAAAACCTTGTTCATGGATATGAAATCAAATTTTATATAGTTATTCATGACACAAAATATGATTTTTAAATATTTTTCTCAACCATTAAAAAACATTAAAAACCATTCTTAGCTCACAGGCTAAAATAAAAGCAAGGTAGTCGGCCAGATATGACCAACAAGCCACAGTTTGCTGATCTCTGGTATATATTGTGGCATCCTATCAGTCTTTAAGTGTCTTGTCTCTTTTTATGCTGTGCCAAAAAGCCTACAATGATAAACCTCAAAAGAAGATTGAGATGAGATATTTAGGAAATTAAACAAAGGCTTCATGGAGAGTAAAGGTTTGTACTGGCTCCAAGTGTCCTACCAGCGGGGAGCAATTAGTTTCATTCTCTTCCATGACTGGAAGGTATAGGCATAGCACAGGTCAGTCAGCTTACAAAGTGCATGCTATATGGCACACCAAAACTTAAATGAAAATCTCCCTGACTGCTATGTATGCACTTATTTATTTTGCTCAGTCAATATCATTATCATAATCTCAACCGGACCTTTTCTGTACAGTTGTCTTGGCAACTCTATGCTGAATTTCTTAGAGTCTTTGACTACATTTCACAAGCCAAGAGATAATCTTTTTCTCTCTCCCATCTCCCACCATTTTCATCTGGGAAATTACTGAGGCTCAGTGAATCTAGTTTACAGTTCTTTGTTGAATCTAGTTTACAGTTCTTTGTTGCTCGAGGCATGTCCCAGGCTTTCAGTCACTGTGATCCCAATTTGGAAATTTTTCTATGCTTAAATCTGACCCCTTCCTGCCTTGCCCCCAAGTCTTAAACTCACACAAAAGCCAGAGTGACCCTTTTATCACACCAAGGCTGTAGCCACCTTTCAATAAATACCCTGACACTACCTTTGCAAAATATTTCCTGGGGTCTGTTTATAAAAAAATTCTGTGAGGTGTAATACTTTTCTGCAGTAATTGAAATATGCCTATAGTCAGAGTTAATGTCTAAAATCTTGAAATGTGTGACTCTTACTTGTTAACCTGTGATTTTTGTTCTCTCAGTGTTCTGTGACTACAGCCGCATTCATTTCATAAGCAATAGCTTTTTTCCACTAAGATCCTTCTCTCTCACTGGGTTTAAAGAAAGATTTATTTTTACTCCCACTGTTAGTCTGGCTTCCCTGACTTCTCCATTCTTTTGTTGTTTCTTTGAGCTTGTCCCTTGGTGCTATGGATATTTTATATAGGTCATGCACTATACAGGTATTATCTCTGGCTGAGTCCTTTTGTCTCCTTCAAATGTCAAATAGCCAGCCTGATTATTTTCTAAAATATTCAGTGCTTTTCAGCTGATATATCCCTGTATCCAGTTTTAAAAATGATTTCTTCTTGAAATTATTTTTTTTCCTCTCCCACTAGAACATTTATGTTAGATAAGTTTCAAATTTATGTTTTCTTTTCAGAACAACAAAGGACATTCCATAATATATGTCCAAAAATAAGATGCCATATATATATTATATGTATGCATAACATATGGCTTGGTGGTCAGGAAAAAAGAATATTAAATATGGGATTAGAAGAATTGAATTCAAGTTTTTAATCTCTTTATCATTCAATTAAGTCATTTCACTTTTCTGAGGCTTGTTTTTCTTATCTATAAATTTAGGACTCAAGGACAGTATATCCACCTCTAAGGTAGTTGCGTTAAATGTTTTAAAATGCCACTTATTATGACAGTAAAACATCTTGAAAGATTGCTCCTTCCCATGGAATTATAGGACTTACCTTTCCTCAAATTAACTACTCATACAAGCATTAATAAGGAATAAATGTTTAAAGATTTTACTAGGTGAGTCAGGGGAAAGGATGCATCACATATTACATGCCAAACTGGAATAATTCCCTTAATACATTCAGTTTTTTTATTTTTGGAAAGTTTCTTCTCTTGGCAGCTGCCAAGTCATATCTTTTGTCCTGCACAGCTGCTCAGATCCCTTATTATTCCTGAGATTTCATTTTTGGTCATTAGTTTTTATTTCCACTTCGCCCATTGAAAGTTCAGCATTTAGTGGATCCTCTCTCCCTAGGAAGGTATTTCAGCTGCCATCACTTCTATTTTCAAACTGGCCCCCTAGTGGTCTTACCATACCCTTACCCTCCAGACCAAACAAAAATACTCAGTCTAGAAAACTTACCTCGTCTACATGCAAATCAGCTGCTTTTTATCTTATATCTCATGGTAGAAGTGATATGAGCTATAAATTGACAAAACTTTATGCGAGATAATTGAGTATAAGATCAGCAAAGTCACAACTTGGCATGAATTTGACATCATACATCATTACTCCATAAATTCCAATGTGATAAACTATTCCTCTGTACCTTCTTTAAATTAAAATTTTGGTTAAGCATACCTCCATATGTACACAGTCACTGATATTCACATACAATGTAAAAGCCATCCTATTAGGAAAATAACATTTAACTTTTGACACCCTTATCTTTTCCCTTATATCCATTTTTTATTGTGCACCTATACAAAAGACTAAATGGATCACTTCTTTTAAACTTGGCATCACAATATACTCCTAACATTCACCTGGCCTAGTAGTTTCCTTGACTTCATTCTCTTCTTTCCACGATGATAGCTTTATAGACAACAGTGCTGATAGATTAGTTGTTGGTTAATTTGTCCTCTCAAGTAAATTCATCTATGTATTTTTGGATATGTATAAAATCTTGAGATCTTAACAGAAAATGTTAGGAAATGTGTGGTAAATGTTTCAGGTCAAATTGTCAATTTGTGAGATCTTGACACATAGGTAGCCTATCTTAAGAAATAATGTGAAATGTTCCATTTAATTGGGTTAGTTTCATTTAATGTGAAATCTTCCCTCTTACTCCAAGTGAGAGCAGCTATTTGGAGGCTGGTGAAGTTTAGAACCACATGTAACTCAGTTAAACTGAAGACTTGGCATATATTTTATCATTGTAAGTAGTTTAAATGCATTCTTTTATTATTAAGAAATTGTTCCGGCCGGGCACAGTGGCTCACGCCTGTAATACCAGCACTTTGGGATGCTGAGGCGTATGGATCACGAGGTCAAGAGATCGAGACCATCATGGCCAACATGGTGAAACCTTGTCTCTACTAAAACACACACACACCAAAATTAGCCAGGTGTGGTGGCAGGTGCCTGTAGTGCCAGCTACTTGGGAGGCTGAGGCAGGAGAATAACTTGAACCCGGGAGGTGGAGGTTCCAGTAAGCCAAGATTGTGCCACTGCACTCCAGCTTGGTGACAGAGTGAGACTCTGTCTCAAAAAAAAAAAAAAAAAAAAAAGGAATTTATTCCAAAAATCAAAACACTGTTGCTGCATTTGAAGAGGTCCTTAATCCCTTAATCTGTGCACAGAAGTGGAAGTTTAACACTTGTTTCTTTCTGCTATTTCAATCCAAATTTAAATATCCCTCATTTAAGACATTTGTACAGGAGTGGTACTTCAAAGTCAACCAGTTCCCAAAGAATGCCAATGAATTGCCAAAGAAATAGCAAATAATAAAAATAATAGCAAGTGTACCAAGGGCTCACTAATTTTTGAATCACCATTCTAAGCCCATTAGATATATTAATTCAGTTAATCCTTACAGTCCTGTGCATTTGACACTGTTACTATTTTACAGAGGAGAAAACTGAGGCAGATAGATTAATTTGTTCAAGTTCACACAAAAAGATGTAAGTGGTAAAATTGTAAAATATCACTTTGCGTTTAAATCGCCCAGTTCCTAAACTGACTTCTAAAGCCATAAGGAATTTTACAAAAGCCTTTGGCAGAAACTTTTGCCAGGATCAAGAGAATATCATATTTCTGTTTCCACATTTTGAAAACATGGAAAGCTTTAGAAGTAGCCAAGTATGTGTATGTGTATTTGGCCTATTGAATCCTCAAAGTTTTAATTGTTTTTCTCTTCATTTTGATTTCACTTGTAGTTTCTGAAGCTATGTTTACATGTACCCTTTCTTTTACTATGCTCACATATCACTAGTTCTGTTAAGTGACAATAGGTTTCATAATCAACTAAGTTTGTTTTCATCTATTAACGGATTTCTTGGCTTCTGTACTATGTTAATATACATTATACCTCAAGAGGAAGATTGTATTTTAAAGATTTTCTCACACTTATCTGTCCCCACATAAAAATCCTTTGTTTTGTTTTGGCATATGTGTATATCTTAAAGGATTGGTATTTTCTGAAAATCATCCTGGAAAATAATAAACTGAATAATAATTATAATATTTGAGATGATTAATATGATATCTGTTGACTGAATATTAAAACATATAGCTTTGAGTAATTCATCAAAATGGGAGATTAAACAACATTTTAAATATACAGAAGGATTTAAGAAAGAAAAAATGTACAAAGTCTTCTGAGAATCCATATTTGTTTTTGGATTATCCTAGAAAAATAATTTCTCTGATTCCATTGCTCCTCGCCTTCTGCTGATATGTGAAGGAATAAACTAGCAAATCCTGAGTGACTCTCCATTTTTGTAATTTCATGTGCATTAATTTTCCCCGTTATCATTATTTTCAAATAACCATAATTTGTAACCATAATTTGAAAATATGAATTGAAGTTCTAAGGACCAATTGCCTTAAACCAAAATTATATCCAAGCAATGAAAATACAAATATCAATTGCTTTTTAATGGGATTAAGGGCAAATAGTATGTGGCTGTCTTTATTAAAGTATTTTTTCTTTCACATTTTACTTATTTTTAAATATTATTCTAACAAGCATGTTTTAGACAGAAATACTATGTTCACAAAATGCATCAACCTTTTTGATAATTTAATGCATCTTGAATTATTGTTTTATATTAAATATTTGTTCCTGAAGAAAGAAATCAGTGTATGGGGATGAGGTAGAAAATACAAAGATTAATGTTCTAGGTAAAACAGTGAGGAAGTCATTTGTATTATTTTAATTAAAACCCATTATAATCTAACACTGTTTGTTGTCAGTTCCAATATATCTAAGTCAAATGCTTTAGTGCCTTTATTTTGTATTTATATACAATAATACATGGAAAAGATGGTGAGTAATCTGTTTTTATTTTTCCCCTTTACAAGCTTAATATTACCTCTTCTTCCAAAAATATTATTTTTTTTTCTTTTGAATGAACCAGAAAGGCTAGCTATTCTCCAAGGGAAAAATATGGTATTCTTTTAACTGAATGAAGTCTCTTAACAATGATTAAAAAATGTAATTTCCTAGTTTGTTTTTAATTACATTGCTGTCAACTATTACTAATGCCAAAACCTAGGGTAATATGAGGACTTGATTAGTTTACCATGTTTTACATCAGTCTTAAATCTCAGTAGGTTTTAATATATAAATTCCAATAGATATTGATAGTTTGCCTTAGGGAATGAGTCTCCCTTCTGAACCTGGCTGTTCAATCCCATATGCAGGGATAAGAGCTTATCCCTGAAATAAGTGTGTTTGATTGGCTGGTCAGCAGCATGAAGGGAATACACAGTTTTACCAAGGATGAGATTCCATCACTTGACCCCTAACTTGTACACATTTTAATTCTATTGTCTGTTCCCCTCAGAGATTCTGTAGGACTTTGTTTCTGAAGAATGTAAAGAAAGGAAAACAAGAGTGTTCGTGGTTAATGATCTCTGCTAACTGCCATTAAAATGCAGTCAAGTTTTTGCTTCACTGAGTTAAATGGAATGAAGAGAGGCGAATGTTTGTGTCAGTGTGAGGCTTATTTGTCTGGGATGTTACTCATGCCACCAAGCATCAAAAGATCTAATTCCTCAGAAGTTTCAAACAAGATGTCATATTTGTTGGATGTTGCCCAACTAGTATCTTGAAGAAATGCAGTCATGGGTCTTGTTAGGTCCAAGAAAAAAATTCCAAAACTCATAATGAATATACGATTTCATATCATTGTGTTGTTTGCATGTCTCAAGCCAATGTTTTGGATTGCCTTTTTTCTCAACAATATTCTTCATGTTTTTATAAAGGAGGTTGCTCCTTGTTTTTTTCTGTGAAAGCAAATTTCATTTCACTCTGTCCAGCTGGTCTTTAAATGACACTTTTGCAAAATAATTATTTGGCTAGTAATTTTTTAATATTTCTAAATTCATCCTTTATAGTTCATTTCTAGAACTTTGTATAAGTTAGTTTTTATGGTTAACAAACCATCCCCAATATTTAGTTGTTTAAAGCAACAGCCAATTATTATTTCTCATGAGTCTATGGGGTAGCTAGGTGATTCTGCTTATCTGGACCAGGTTCAGCTTACCTTAACTGGGCTCATTTGTGTGTGCAGTCTGTTGGTGGTAGGCTGCAGACTATCTATCCTGAATGACCGCAGCCTGGCACATCAGTTTTCCTTCATATGATACTCATATTACTTCACAGGCTAACCTGGGAACACTTTCATGGCAGTGCAGAGGTCCAAGGAAGAAAGTTTGATTGTGCGAAGGCTAGTTTAGTAGTCTGCTTGAATCAGGTTTGCTACTGTCCCATTGGCAACAGAAGATATATAGTCAGACCCAGGAACAATGGAAAAGGAACACACACCAAAGGCCATAGATATAGGTAGGCATGAAAAATTATGTCCATCAACACATTGTACTAGAAACTTTATCTGAATAAAATAAATATGTGAGGAATAACACATAAAGATACCCATTGCAAGTATTGTTAAAATATGGAAATAATGGAAACGAACCCAAGAAATTGGTTAAATAAATGATGATAAATCCATCTGATTAATATTATGCAGTCATTGGAAATTGTTTTAGAACAATATAAGTATAGGCAAATATTTCTAATATTCTAAGTGAAAAATTGAGATATAAAATTGTATATATAGTAAGATTTAATAGTTAAAACACATATACATAAGAAAATATAAAAATTATAGAATAGTCTTGCCAAAATGTTAGTCATGCTTCCCTTTAGACGGTGAAATACAGAAAATGTTTATTTTATTCTTTTCTGTTGATACGGTTTGGCTCTGTGTCCTCACCCAAATCTTATCTCGAATTGTAATGTCCACTTGTTGAGGAAAGAACCTGGTGGGAGGTGATTGGATCATGGGGGCCATTTTCCCCATGCCATTCTCATGGTAGTGAGGGGTTCTCGCGAGAGCTGATAGCTTTAAAGTGTGGCACTTCCTCACACTCTCTCCCTCTCTTGCTTCGCCATGGTAAGATGTGCCTTACTTCCCCATTCTTCTTCCACCACGATTGTAAGTTTCCTGAGGCCTCCCCACTTGTGTGGAACTGTGAGTCAATTTAACCTCTTTTGTTTATAAATTATCTAGTCTCAGATAGTATCTTTATAGCAGTGTGAGAACTAATACACTGTATTTCCTAAATTTCATAATCAATATGGAATTTTTCTATAATCTGAAAATAACATAAAATAAACATTGTATAACTAGTAGCCTGTAGTAGGAAGGATTCTAATATGACTTCCAAGATTCCCTGTCCCTGGCAGATATACCCTGTATAATCACTTCCCCTTGAGTATAGGAAAGACTGTAAATATTATGGATTTTATTATCGTGATTAGACTGTTACATGAAAAATTTGAGGGATTTTGAATTAGTAATTAAGACCCCAAATTAGCTGACTTTGAATTAATCAAAAGGGAGAGGCTGCGAGTTGGCTTGTGCCTCCCAGCACTTCGGGAGGCTGAGGTGGGTGGATCACTTGACGTCAGGATTTGGAGACCAGCCTGGCCAACATGGTGAAACCCTGTCTCTACTAAAAATACAAAAATTAGCTGATCGTGGTGGCAAGTGCCTGTAGTCCCAGCTACTTGGGAAGCTGAGGCATGAGAATCGTTTGAACTCAGGAGGCAGAGGTTGCAGTGAGCCTAGATTGCATCACTACACTCGAGTCTGGGCGAGAGAGTGAGATTCTGTCTCCAAAAAAAAAAAAAAGGTGATTATTCTGGTTAAGTCTGAGCAAGTCAGATTAGCCCTTAAAAGGGATTGGACCCTATCTGGAGGAAGTGACACAAAGCACGAGAGAGATTTTCCTGCTGGTTTGAACAAGTAAGAGACCATAATGTAAGAGATCCATGTGGCTAGAACCTGAGGGCATCCTTAGGAGCAGAGTGATACATCTGTCACACTGAACGAGAAAATGAGGACATTAGTCCTACACCTGCAAGAAACGAGAATCTACTAACAACCAGTGTCACCAAGTTGCAGATGAGATTGCAGCACTGGATGATGCTTGGATTTTAGCCAGCTAAATTGTACTGACTCCTGGCCCACAGAAACTGTGAGGTAATAAATGTGTTTTATTTTAAGATGCTAAATTTGTGGTAATTTGTTAGGCAGTTATATATTTGTTAATAAGAAGTTAATAAATAGCCCTTTAAAGCCAATTTCCTTTCACTTTTTCATTTCCCAGATTTTCTAGATATTTGTTGCAAGTACATAATTCAAAATCATGCCACCATTGTTGATGCAGTTGATTAGAATTATTGTGCACATCCATTCTTACAACCTCTCAACATGACAATGTGGCATCAATTATTTGTCAAATGAGAGTCATTGAATTTAAGTTTGTGATACAGAGACAACCACATAGAAAATTAAGTGGAATAGTAGACTTTTGGAATTAACAGGTTATCAACTATCATAGATAAATGGAAAAATTTATGGAGTGGATCAATCAATATTCAATTAAACCATATGTCATGAAGAATGTTTTCATGGTCATAATTAGTAGCACAAACTTCCAGCCAATTTAGAGCCACATAATCATTTTTCATGTGGATGATGTGAAAAACCATCACAGATGTCAATAACAACCCAGAATTTGACAATGTATAATACTTGGTGTCCTTTATTACTGCTGGCAGATTAGTTATCTTTTCCTCTAAACCCCTGTTTAGCATCAGAATAATTTTCAAAGCATCATTCTATGAAACCATTCCCAATCTATCTGATTTGGCCTGAGAAATAGAATCATTTTTTCATTGAGAAAATAACATTTACTCCATGATTTAAACAGCTCAACTTTGGAAACGCATTTCGGCGATTGAAGACTAACTAGACAAAATTTGTTTCACCCATTTTCATTACAACTTTAAAAAGAACTAGTATTTTGTGTAATAAGGTAAAAGGTTAGTAAGAATTATGAGAAAAAGGCATCAAATATGATATGTTGATTTCTTTTTCTGATGTTTTACTTTGTCCAAAAATGGCTGGATACCATTGTAGCTCTAACACTGAAGTAGGCCACAGCTATGCTATTAAAACAAGACTGACTTTATATAATTTCTTCAAACAAATTTCAATGGTCTTCCCTTCCAATATCATTTGCTGTTCAACTTGGGACAATCCCCTGTCTAGGCCTTGGTTTGTTCCCTTATGATGTGAGTGGTTTAGACTTGCAGTAGTGATTCCCAAAGCATGTTATATCAGCTTACTTAGCATTACCTCAGAACTTGTTAGAGATGCATATTCCCTGATATCACATGAGACTTAATGAAGGAGAGGTTCTGGGGGTAGGAGCTGAACAGCAATGTGTATTTTAATCAACATGTCCCCAGATAGACTAGATTATCTCTAAGAAACATTGTAGATCTGAATAGATGCCCCTTCAAGTGACTTTAGGTTGTGGCAGACCCATTTTTTACTGTTTAGTTGATCAGGGTTGCAGTATGAATTTTCCTTCCAAAGCTTAGCTAAGCATGAAGATATTTAGTTTAGAGAGGGGCCAAAGCCATTTCTCTATAGGGATGATGTCAGGTCTTCAGTATCGATTTTTAAATCATGGGATTGCTTTCCTTTGCACCCGGTGTGTTTCCTTCTTTACTCTATCTCCTGAAGATCCTAGCCACCTACCTCCTATTTTGTTATGCTTGCCTCTAGGAAGCTACATTCCCAAGAGGAGAGTTTTGGTTTGGATATAAAATGAAGGCAGTCTCCATATTCAGATAGATTTAATTTATATGTCGGGGACTTGAGAATTCATTACTTATTGCTGCAATAAAGAAAGCATATGGGAGAAGAGGGTTTTAGCTTTTTGGATTTAGAGACAGTTGGGATTGAATTCTGACTTTGGCTTAAAATCGTGTGATATCTTGTAAGTTACTTATTGTTTCTGTCTCTCTTCTTTTATAATCTGTAAAAATAGAAATACTGACAACCCTGAAATAAGGCAACATAAATGAAATTACCTGGCATGTAACAGGTGCTGAATAACTTGTAGTTTTATTCTATCTCCCAGGCTTCACAATCAAGGATTTGATGCCAGATAACTTCATTTCCCAAAACCGCTTGCTACCTGAGCCAGCTGGGCAATATTTGTAACGCTTATGTTCCAGCCAGTTAAACTCCACCTACTGGCTGAAGACTTCAGTGTTGTGACACTATCATTCATGCTATGACTTCACTTTTGTCTATTTTCCATCTGCCTATTCTTTTTTCCCAAGAATAGCTTCTGGTTGGAGGTAAACAATCTAATAGGGAAGTATCCTGATTAGTAATGATAATAATAATTTTAAATAATTATAAGTAATAGTAAGAATGTAAATCCTTGTGAATTTCTGTGGAAAGTTAAAAAATAAACAGATTCTTTAAATAATTTTTTTTTTTTTTTTGAAATGGAGTCTCGCTCTGTCGCACAAACTGGAGTGCAGTGGCACAATCTCGGCTCACTGAAACCTCCACCTTCCAGGTTCAAGCGATTCTTCTGCCTTAGCCGCCTGAGTAGCTGGGATCACAGTTGCGCACCACCACACCTGGCTAATTTTTTACATTTTTGGTAGAGATGGGTTTTCACCATGTTGGCCAGGCTGGTCTCGAACTTCTGACATCAAGAGATCAGCCCGCCTCCGCCTCCCAAAGTGCTGGGATTACAGGCATGAGCTACCACACCTGGCTAAATAAAATATTCTTAAAGGTCAGAATCACATATAAAGCACTTACAATATAATCATAATCAAAATGAATCACTACATTTGGAAAATTAAAATTCAGCTTATATTATTATCCCCTTTGTCTTGCCTCATGTACAGATGCCTCAACTTGTTTGTAAACATCCAATATAGTTAAGTCAAATCCTGGTGTGGGGTGTGTGTGTGTGTGTGTGTGTGTGTATGTGTGTATGTGTATGCACCTGTATGCACATGTCTGTGTGTTTAGAAATAGACTTAAATACTTTTTAAAAATTATAGAAATCAGACAGACATTTTGTAGATTTCAAAAACAAATCAAATTGTTAAGGATTATTTGAGCATATTAAATTCTAAAATACATAGTACAGTACAAACATACCTCTGGTTATGGTCATTAATTACTTAATAGTACCATTATATCTGAACAATGATGTCAAAGAAGAGATGGATTTGCTTATATCTGATCTGTTTCCAAAGCTGGGAATGACTTTTCCCTTTAGCTCTAGAGAAGATTGGTTTAATACTCATTATATCATCAATGGAAAGTTCAGTCCTCAAAAGGTATTAAAATTATTGGGAGTGACTTTCAGAGGGTGGAGAAAGGAAAGGATCAGGAGAAATAACTAATGGGTAATAGGCTTAGTACCTGGGTGATGAAATAATCTGTACAACAAACTCCCATGACACAAGTGTACCTATGTAACCTGTACTAGTACCCCTAAACTTAAAAGTTAAAAAAAAAAAATTCCAGGAGTAAGGGATGAGAGACAACATTTATATAGCCTTTGTGTCTCAGTTTGTATTCCAAGAAATTATATCAGGAATTGTTTTAGTTTCCGCCAACCAGGTAAGTATAGAATTCTTCCGTTTAAATTCTACAGAACATAATTCAACTTCTCTGCCTAATACACACAGGGCATTCATTTCCTTTATTCTTTCAACAAATATTAGTGAAAGCTACAATATGGGCCCTGTAATATCTTGGAGCAGGGATACAAACAAGAGAGACAAGATCTCTTATGTCATAAATCTAATGTATCACAAACAATAGACTTTTTAAAAAATATAGCCTAGTGGTACATAGACTTAAAAATAAAGAGGTATGCATCAGGGGGTATGAGGTGTGGGGAAAATGAGTCCATTTTACTTTATGTAAAGTTGTCAAAGGAGGCCTTTTCAAGGAAATTATATTTACACAACTTGACTGATATTTCTTGAAAGATTATTCAGGCTGCTGAGTAGAGAATGGATTATATGGGGGTAGGGCAAAGGAATAGTAGAGAGATCAGTTAGAAGGCTATTGCCTAGGTGAGAGATGGTGGCCTGAGCTAGGGTAGTAGCAAGGAAAATAATGAGACCCACTAATTTAGATTATTCTTTAGGGAAGCCATTCTCAAAACATGATCCCCAAACCAGCAGCTTTGGGTCATACTCTAGATTATTGTCTTAAAAATGCTGGGGATGTATCCTAGCATGCTTTTAAAAGTGCCCCAGTGAATTCTGATGAATGATAAAATTGGAAAGCCATTGCTTAGAGAAAGTGTTGACAAGCCATGAGGTTGGCATTAGGAAATAATTCAGAATGACTGACTCCTAGAATTGCATGTTTGTTTCTTTGTTTTTAAAGAAGGAGGAGTATACCAAGCTTTCCATAAAATTAAAGATGAAGACATTTTCTCTTTGTAACTTAACAACTTCAAAATAAATACTGGATATCTAACTAATAGTTCCTCAGCCATTCCTGCCACTGAAGCATTGGTGGGTCACCGCATTACTTGACTCTTTTCTCCGGACCTTTTTTTTTTTTTTTTATCCTCACCTCTTTGCTCTCCTTATTTCCAATTTCTGTTCAAATGTAACGCAGAATAATTTTCCTGCTGCTTAACTCATCCAGTCCCATGAACTAAAAACTAAATAGCTAACTTTCATCCCTTCAATAGAATTTTCTAAATAAATGCAGTTTCTGCTGAATGAAAAATTCTGGTATCAGCTATTAAGATAATACGTTGTCACACCCACTACACAGAGAAATCAATTTTGATTTGCAAAGATTTAAAACTATAAAATAATTTCAAAAATAACTGGATTTTTAAAAATAATTTAAATTTTTGAATTTGTACATAACTGTTGCCAACAACATTAAGAATTTTTAAATTGTTGATATCTTTGCTGGTTTTTCATGTACATTTGTTTTGAACTTCAAATAAAGGGTATGATTTTAATCCAGAACCCTGTTGTTCAAATAAATTTTATAAACTCTCAAAGTCTTATACAAAATCAAAAGATTAAACTCCATTTTTCACAAATTATTTTTTAAACTGTGGCAATTACTGCTGTTATACTTTACAATCTGATATAGAATTGAGTTAAAGCATAATTCAAGGAAATTTATTCATTTTCTATTCAGTTATTTTTCTACAACAATATTTGCACTTCTTTTCAATGTTGATGTGATATCAATGTATGATAAAATTCTTTTATTTTAGAACTGCTGTTCCTATATAAGAATGCTGCTCTATTAATCATAACTGTGGCAGCTCAATGCTTGAATTGCAGCATAAAATGTAATTTATTAAAATCTTTTCCAGGCAGGTCTGAGACAGGGAATTCAGTATTTATTAATGCTTTCTCCATTTTCAGCTTAGGGAACGCTGAATTAAATGAAGTAAAACTTGTGATACTGTCTTCACACTCAATTTTTTTGTGGCACAAAAAGAAGTCTCTATCATTTAAAAATAGACTATGAAATAGAAAACAACTTCTGAAGGCTTTTGACATTTTTATGCTTTTTTACATTTTGGGAGATTTCCCTTACAATTCAGTGCTAAGCCAAGGCTTGTCTTTAGGACAGTGAAATGGCCCTATACAACTTTGGTTCTGAACAGGAATGGTCTAGACTGGGTGACCATCCTGAATCAGGCTAACTAGTAAGACTACCTTCACTGGGTCTTTCTTACTATTAAGTAAGTGCAAGTATTGTAATTTCCAGGACTCTTATTCAAATTACTACTAGTTGTATGCAAAATAAACTTACTACTAGTTATATGCAAAATGTGCTTTCCATTTAATTCGGCACTTGAATTACTACTAGTTCAAGTGCCTAATATTGAGGAAAGATAGGATTGTGGAAAGATAGATTCAATGACATAGAGATTGTTTATTTCCAAATTTAGACTCAGTCTCAAAATAATAAAATGAGGGATGATTAATTTCTGGTCTAGAAGCTGAGGGAAATGCTCAATTTCTGAGAATACTGAGTTCAGCATTATAGGATCACTAAAGCCAAGTGTTTCAGGATTCTATGCTATCCAAGAATTTCTGAATACTTTTCCTTAGCACTTTCTCTCCTAATATGTCAGATTGTTTCCATACTTTTCTATATCTCCATAGTCCACTGCCTAAGAAAAATAGTTAGAAGTTGTTTCTAGAAAAAAAAGATTTTGCTTATACAAATATACAGAATAATCAGCATATCTTTATGCTTACTCATTACCATGTTTTGATTTTTACATGGGAAAGTAATATTTTGCATTTAAAAATATTGACTATATGTTCTTCTGTCAAGAACTTTAGGGTACGGTTTACATTACCTCTTTGTATTTCTTTCCATGTACCATTTGGCACAGAGACCTGCATCCAAGACTTTACCCTACTTCTATGCTAGCAAGTTACCCTACCACAGTTTCATAGATGCAAGCAGGAGGCCAAAGACCTCTGAGACAGAGACAAAGGATCTTACTGCTCATGACACAGAAGGTGGCATGAGCTTCATGTTTGCATCAATTGCTTTTGCTCCCCAAAACTCATGGGGGTCATCTGGAATGACCAAGGTAGACGTAGTGGTCTGAGTCACAGGTGTGCAATTCTGAGTTGAGGTTTTCTCCAATATTATTGTGGAGGCTGTAACAAACCTGCTCCGCTTTTGCCCCAGGAAGATACTATCTATATAATCCTGGTCAGGAAAGAAATCTGCCTACTGACTTACAGGGAGACACTATCTTCATTGTCCCAGGCTGCTTACTATACAAACATCCTTTAAAAGATAGTCCAGGACAAAACTGTCACCGTAGAGGATTGTCCCCCAACAGAATGATCTCATGGAAAATAGTAGCTATTTCCTAAACTCAACAGAATGCCATTTTGAATATTTTTTGTATTTAAAGTATAGGTATGTGTTTTAATTCAGGCGGCTGTAACAAAGTACCATTGATGAAGTGGCTTATAAACAACTTTTCTCACGTTTGTTTCTCACATTTCTGAAGCCTGGAAATCTGAGACCAAGGTACTGGCATGGTTGGGTTCTTGTGCAGGCCCTTTTCTGGGTTACAGACTGCTAACTTCTCGTGGTATCTTCACATATTTGAAAGAGGGTGAGAGTGGTCTCTGGAATCCTTTTCTAAGGGCACTATCCCTTGATGAGGACTTCACATTCAGTCATGAGGATGGAGCACTCAAAAAGGGATAGTGCCCTTAGAAAAGGATTCCACCTCCTGACATCATTACATGGAGGTTAGGATTTCAACATCTGAATTTTGAGGGGACACAAACATTTAGTCCATTGCAGTATGTTCTTAGAATACAATTTTTGTTTTCTCTAGATCTCATTCCCAAAGATTTGTGGTTTAGAACTAAACTGGCTCATAATTGTCATTGAATCTGGCACCTTATCCTGCTTTAAAAGCATTGTGCAAATCACATACCATTAATCTCCATGGAGATAGCTAAACTGCCAATCGCCTTTTAAATTCACACACACACACACACACACACACACACACACACACAATCAGTAGGCTCTGTGAAAGAATTTGGAGCATTTGGTAGTATTCAAAAAGATTCAGCTGAATGGCCTTGCAATACTGAGTGGAAATAGACACTCATACCATTAATATATATTTTAATCTTGTATGTAAAAGTTTAAGTTTCTTTGCAGCAATATGAATCAGACAGAAAGACAATTCTTTATTTCTTCTTCTTTCTTCACCTTTTTTCCTTTATTTCCCCCAAGCTAACCCCCTCAATTCTACTTCAATATTTAAATCATGTTGAAGGTTGAGTGCCTGAATATTTCATTTTCATTCCATCCTTAAGGTTCATCAATTTTAAATATGGATTATAAATCTATAGTAAGTTTTTCCTGGGAGAAATGGTGACCAAAATAGCTTACTTGAGACATATAACCAGTTTCATTCTTTTTCAGGGCTAAATTTTATAATCATGGTATTCCAAAGGGATAAAAGAAATATGTCTTAGGTAGTAAGTGGTTTGAGTACTGAACTATTATAAATGGCTGATAGTTAGCTATTAGAAATGAAGGCATATAGTATTGAAAAGCACATATTATCTAGAAAAGCCAAATCATGGAAAATATTTAAATACATGCAAATACTACATGTAATTGCCAGCAATTTGATCTGAGTTTCCATTTATTTTAAATATGGACCTATGTAGAAAACATCATCTAATTTCACATTCTTACAGGAAATTTGTGTGTGAAGGGAGAAAGGGAAAAAAACAGCTTTAAACAAAATACTATCTGACTGTATGTCATAACTATGTGTATATATATATATATAGGGCATATATGAAAACCTTCATTTTATGGACATTAAAATGGATTCAATGGAAGTTTGTGTTTTTCTCAAGGTTACAGAGCTATTAAGTAACAGTATTTTTACTAGAGCTCAGCATTTCTTGGCCAGGCTTGTTTTCACTATATTATAAACTTCATTAATAATAACATCTATTGTTTATTAATGATTCACTATGTATTTGGCACTATGTCAGGAGTTTTACTTGGGCTATATAATTTAATTTCACAACAGAGAAAGGGTCAATTGTTATCCTCTTATCAATAGGTAGTAATTTTACAAGATCACAGAAAGAATAAAAGCTTGAACCCAACATCAAACCTAAGTATTTCAGAGCCAGAACTCTGAACAGAAATGCAACCCTAAACATGAAATATATTCAGCAATTTACCAATTACACATATTCATATCACAAAGTGGGAATTTTGAAACACTTCTCTGTCAGCAATAAGATATATTTTTAAGATTCTATGAACCACTTAAGCTTCAATAGAAACTCAGTAAGTTATAAATTCAAACATGCTCTTTTAGCCAAAGATTGAACCTTAGAGAAAATACAAACCAAAAAATCCTGTCAATAAAGAACAATTTCTGTAATTCATAGTGAATAAAGTATCATAAACTAATGCAAGACATCTCTTTGGAAGATCATTTTGAAATATGCTAGTAGGTGAATTACTTTCATTTCAACTGCAGAGAGTTAATGTTACATTTGCTTTTTATGACATCCAGTGCTCATTTCCTCTGGATGATGATTCAGAGGCAGGAGCTAAGCCTAGGTTCTATTTAATATTTTCTGCAAATTTCATATTACTCTGTGATGCTCTGGAAACAAAACAATTATTATGCACCTCCCACAGGGAAAGCTAAACTGTATTTAAACTTGGAGCCAATCTACTCCAGTTCTATAGCAGTGTTTTTTTAAGAAGCAGAATATCCTTGAAATTTTATTAAGGAAATAAAAATAATCATAATGCATTCAAGTTAAAAACCTTGAAATATGTCCCACCTACAAATCTAGAAGGTCTTGAAATCACATTTTAAAGCAGTGAGAATTAAGAAGATATTAGTCTTATGTGTTCCTGAGTCCCCACACAATACAGAAAGAGTCTTTGTGTTGGCCTTGCTTCTTCAGAAATGGGTTAGATACAAGACAATATTTACATAGAACTGCCTCACAAAGAATGAGAAATTAGATGAAATTTAAAGATGAAAGAAAATTTATTTTTCTAGTTTTATATTTGAATTCTAAATTTGGCTCACTGAAATAATATCCATTTCTTTCTTTGAGAAAGCATACATCTATGTTTCCATTTTAGCACAGAAATATTACAGAACTCTGTTCTAATAGTGATTATAACTTCTCAATTATACTTGTAATAATTTCATGCATTTTCATGATAAAACATTTTGCATCTTATTGGAAAAGGAAAAGAACAACTTCAATCTGCATCCAAAGAATAAACTTGGATTAGAATGCAGCTTTTTTTTTTTTGGTGCTATGCTGATCCACTAAACAAACTGATCTTATTTGTGTGACATTGTAAATATCTTTACTTTGTAAATCATTTTGAGGTATGTTTCTATTAGTTGCAGGTAAATGTTGAATGCACATATCATTAAAAGTGGTGATATTTTTGCCTTTAATTTTTCTAAATTATTCATATTCCTTACCCCTCCTAAAGAAAACCTAAATCTCATAAAAAAGACAGTACTTTAGATAAGATGACTATATGCCTGAGTTTACTTTGACAATTCTAATTCATGACTATTTTCCCAGCATAATTATTGACAGTGGTGCATTTCATTCTCAAAACCCTTTATTTAAATAATAAATTACACTGTATGTTACGTATTATCATGGTATTGTCATGCCACAAACTATCTCCAAACATAATGACTTATAATAACAATTTATTACCTTTCATGAATGTGATATCAGTTGAATTGATCTGTTGATTGAACCTGTTTGGATGATCTTGGGTAGACTTGTTTATGCTTCTGTGTTCAGCTAGCAGGTTGTCCGTAGCTGGCTGATCTATTAGGTGAGTTCAAAAGTAATTGCAGTTTTTGCGTTGTTGGAATTTACCATTTATTGGAATACTTTCTTAAATAAATGTGGTTATGTTATACATCATTTTAATGGGCATTTTTCACTTATTTTTTGCTAATGACTTATTACCTGCCATTTATTTTATGTTTATTTTAGACTATGGAAATGATGTTAGACAAAAAGGAAATTTGAGTGATTTTCTTATTCGAGTTCAAAATGGGTCGTAAAGCAGTGGAGAAAACTCAACATCAACAATGCTTCTGGCCCAGTAACTGCTAATGAACATATGTACAGTGGTATTTCAAGTTTTGCAAAGGAGATGAGAGCCTTGAGAATGAGGAGCATAGGGTTTGGCTGTTGGAAGTTGATAACAGCCAATTAAGAACAATCATCGAAGCTGATCTCTTACACCTTCACAAGAAGTTGCCAAAGAACTCAATGTTGACCATTCTACGGTCATTGGTCATTTGAAGCAAATTGGAAAGGTGAAAAGGCTCAATAAATGGGTACCTTATGAGCTGAGCAAAAATTTAAAAATTGTAATTTTGAAGTGCCGCTTTCTCTTATTCTACACAACAACGAACCATTTCTCAATCCGATTGTGACGTGTGATGAAAAGTGGATTTCATATGACAACCAGAGACGTTCAGCTCAGTGGTTAGACTGAAAGAAGCTCCAAAGTACTTCCCAAAGCCAAACATGCACCGGAAAAAAGGTCATGATCACTGTTGGGTTGTCTGCTGCAGGTTTGATCCACTGTAGCTTTCTGAATCCCAGCAAAACCATTACATCTGAGAAGTATGTTCAGCAAACTGATGAGATGTACCAAAAATTGCAATGTCTGCTGCCGGCATTGGTCATCAGAAAGGGCCCAAGTCTTTTCTAAGACAATGCCTGACCACATGTCACACAACCAATGCTTCCAAAGTTGAATGAATTAGGCTATGAAGTTTTGCCTCATCCTCCATATTCACCTGACCTCTCACCAACCGACTAGCACTTCTTCAAGCATCTCAACAACTTTTTGCAGGGAAAACGCTTCCACAATCAGCAGGATACAGAAAATGCTTTCCAAGTGTTCCTAGAACCCTGAAGCATTAATTTTTATGCTACAGGAGCAAACAAACTTATTTCCTGCTGGCAAAAATGTTTCAATTGTAATGGCTCCTGTTTTGATTAATAAAGGTTTGTTTGCACCTACTTATAATGATTTAATATTCACGGTCTGAAATTACAATTACTTTTGCACCAGCCTAATAGAATATCTTCAGATGAGATGATTTGTCTCTGTTCCACTTGGTCTTTCTTCTTCCAGCAGTCCAGACCTGGGCTTGTTCTCATAGTAGATTCAGAGTGTTAAGAGACTAAATGGGCTGGGTGCGGTGGCTCATGCCTTAATCCCAGCACTTTGGGAGGCTGAGGCGGGCGCATCACGAGGTCAGGAGATCGAGACCATCCTGGCTAACACGGTGTAACCCCATCTCTACTAAAATACAAAAAATTAGCCGGGCATGTTGGTGGGTGCCTGTAGTCCCAGCTACTCGGGAGGCTGAGGCAGGAGAATGGCATGAACCCGGGAGGCAGAGCTTGCAGTGAGCTGAGATTGCGCCACTGCACTCCAGCCTGGGTGACAGAGCGAGGCTCCATTAAAAAAAAAAAAAAAAAAAAAAAAAAAAAAACTAAATGGAAGGGTGCAGACTCAAAAGTAGAATGACGTTACTTTCACAGTGGCACACTAGCATATTCTGTTGGCTAAACCAAACCATAAGGCCAGCCCAGAATCAATGAGGGAGAGGGCTGAAAGGGAGAGCCTTAGAGAGTAAAGGCTATTAGATATGGTAAAGACATTATTTGGCTATACCAATGCAATTAACCAATGACTCAATATAAATATAAAGTATATTTCCACTTAATTAAGCCCTCTCATTTTTATTTAGTCAACTACATATGCCAACTACATATGCCTGCCACCACACTGGGCTAATTTTTGTATTTTTAGTAGAGACGAGGGTTCACCATGTTGGCCAGGCTGGTCTCGAACTCCTGACCTCAGGTGATCCACCTGCCTCGGCCTTCCAAAGTGCTGGGATTACAGGTAGCCACCGTGCCCAGCCCTAAAATGTGTTTTATACTCTGGTGTGTCTACACAGTACTTACAATAATCATGTGACAAACTTCCTTTATAATATTCATTTCCTTTACATTCTTTTCCAAGATATATTTTCATGAAACCTTCCAAATTCCCTTAAACTTGTTTACATTTGATAAAGACAGAATTATACTTAGATTTTTGTCTGCTGCTCCTTAAAATGTGTTATTTCTTCCTTTATAGGTAAGCCTGCTGCAAACATATCAGACACACTCATCTAACAGAGCTTGCTAGAGAGATAATTTGTATTTCAAAATTAAAATGATTTTTATAACACAATAAGCATTTCATTGAAACCTACCATATTCCCTTGATTGCAAAGAATAAGAATATTTAGGAGAGTCATGTATTGATTTGCATCCTTTTAATAATCGAAACAGTATTTTCTTCACTACTTAGCTGTATTCACAACACTGTTCTTCAGTATCATTTTTCTCCATAATTTCATACCTCTCATTTGAAAATTAAAATAGTACTTAAGGAGCTTGAAATATGTTCAGTATTAAAACTGTCTACTATATAAGATGGTGCAGTATAATATTTATTTATAATGTAATCTAGTGCTGTATTATCACTTTCTCAGAAAACTTCTACTTATTTTTTTCCAAAAGCATCTTTTTGCTTTAAACATAGATTTCTCATTTGTTTCTTATTTTATAGATGCTGGTGTAGCCTCAGAGACACAAAGTCTCTTATGTATATAGACAGAGAATCCTAAAATAATATTCCTTTTTATTATTCAGAAAATTGGAAATGAGCACAGAATCACACGAATTGTCCATTGAAGCTGAAGTGTTACTATCTCCTTGATCAATGGAAGAATCTTGTTTAGTGCATTTTGAGATCAAGGGAACATCATGAACCAGCAATCTCCATGTAGAAAGAGTTGTGAATACACCAACATGGCATTTAAAAAATTGTCTTGATGAAATGTAATTGTGTAACTTTCCCAAAGCGAATACAGAGAAAAATATATGCATTATCCTTTGTTTCCTTCCAGCTCTAACAGGCACTGTCACATTAGGACAGTATATCATTATTCTCTTCAATTTTAAATATTAATAATTTTATCAAGAGATTTTGTTGTTTTCGAGTAAATAATCCACTAAGCCATTTTATAGTTTTGAAAATTCATAAAACACTTACACATACACATACCCCCACATAAACAGCCATTTTGTATGTATCAGTGATCCTTAAGTATAGTTAACGGATAGACAGAATAAACATGAACTTGTTTTTATTAAGAGATGCTCATAAGAGAATGCCTACACTACCTGTGAATTCTTCTCTAATGAAGCCATCTGTTACAAAAAACAAAAAGCTGAGTTAAAATTACTGGCTCATTGCTAATGCTCTTGTCATCCAAGTTATATCACAAAAATGTATCTGATAGAAGATAATTATCAAGTGGCATTATGAAATTTTTAATATAAGAAATTTGATATTTCCTAAAAATATGATACCATATTTCATAACAAGTACAATTTGTCTCTCACAGAGCAAAGATTACCTACTAAGTACTATTGAAATTCTACACTGAGATTCCAGTTACGTAATTGCTTTTTGTCTCTTGAAAACCTAATTAACTGAACTGCAAAATATTTTGTTGATGTAATTGATTCCAGAAACAAGCTCTTTGGTTGTGACATTCAATTGAGAAAAATATGTAGATATATAAATGGAAAAATACCTAAAATCAAAATACAATAGTTTATAAATACATGCAATTATATGAACTTTTCTAGACTGGCTAGCATGCTGCTACACTTTGGAATTAATATTTCACAATTATAATACTTTCGTCATTCTCCATGGTCTTGGGAAAGACAACCATGGTGATGTTTAAAATGTTTTTTAAATTTTTATTTTACTCATTTTTGTGTGTATTTCTTCTGTTGTGTGGAAATGAACTATTAGAAATGAACTCTTAGACAATTTGAGATTATTAGAATCTAAGTTTTTATATTTCTTTATGGTTCTATACAGAATTTAAATTATCTGTTACACCCTAAATTTAAATTCCAGTTGCTAATTTGGCAGCTATTCTGAATACCTTGAGTCTTCTCTGTTCCAGCCCCTGGTTCACACGTTCCTATAATTCTCCTAGTCTTAGATTCTCCATCTGGTTTTGGCTCTTATTGAAATAATGTATTTTTCAGCAATGCTATGGCTTAATAATACCGAACTTTTCAGCAGAATATCTACTGAGCTGAATTCAGGCAAAATTAAAGGATAATTAGCAAATAAATTGTTGTATTTTTAAGCCCCCAAGTTTTAAAATGGTTTGTTAGACAAACTACAACGCTGATACACCCCGACCTGAAATATATGAATTCAGTTGTCTGCAGTAGGTATTTTTATAACTCTTTAGATGATTTTAATATGGAGTTGGTTTTGAGAGCAATAGCCTCAGAAAATTGAGACACGGAATATTTGTCTAAGGAAGTTCTAAATAAAAGTATTTGAACTGAGAGAGGAGAAAGGAAGAAACCAGTCAGGTAGGCAGTTATTGTAGGTCCTCAGTAAAACTCCTTCAAACAAAGAACAGCCTGAAAATCAAACCGCAGACCGCAGATAAGAAAGAGCCCGTGTTGTGGAATGGAAATGCTACCTGTGTACCCAGATGAGCAAATTCCATCCCTTTTTGGACACATTTCTCTCTCCTTGGCACACCTTAGTCTCTTAGGTTTCACCTATTGGTTTCTCACTTTTCACTTATTTTACATAAGCCTACCTTTCTGTAATTGGCCCCGGGCTAAGTTTTCATTTACATAGGGTGAGTCATCATTTCAGTTCTTGATTGGTCCCAGGCCAAGGTCCCTGGCCAAGCTTTCAGTTTAGCTCTTGATTGGCCCCAGGCCAAGGTCCCAGACCAACTTCACCTCTACCAACAATTGTTTCCTTACACTATCATACCTTTATCTTACTGGTGCTTTCTCCAAAATGGTCTACAGACCAGTCAGCACATTCTTCCCCTTCCAGTCTATAAAAACCCTGGACTCAGCCTCATAGCTGGAAGCCTTCTTTCAGGCCCCCTCTCAAGTGTTGAGAGTTCCCTCTTTTGCTTATTGAGTTTATAGTCCAACATTACCCTTGGTGTCTACACTTCTTCATTTTCTTGGTCATGAGACAAATAACTCTGGGTAACATTTCAGACAATGAGCCTGCTTCAGACCAGTTAACTTTTTTTTTTTTTTTTTTTTTTTTGAGATGGAGTCTTGCTCTGTCACCCAGGTTGGAGTGCAGTGGCGCAATCTTGGCTCACTGCAAGCTCCGCCTTCCAGGTTCATGCCATTATCCTGCCTCAGCCTCCTGAGTAGCTGGGACCACAGTCGTCCGCCATCACGCCTGGCTAATTTTTTTTTTTTTTTTTTTAGTAGAGACGGGGTTTCACCACGTTAGCCAGGATGGTCTTGATCTCCTGACCTCGTGATCTGCCCACCTTGGCCTCCCAGAGTGCTGGGTTTACAGGCGTGAGCCACCACGCCCAGCCCAGTTAACTTTATAATATTGGAAAGTGCAGAGATTAATATATAATCAGTGGCTTTGAGGCATTGCTGTACAAATGACTTTATATTATAGATTTTTGAACAGAAAAAGCAATGTAACTGATAAGTGAACAATTTTAGAAAAGGATATAGTGAGTTTACTAAAAACAAGCTTGTGACGGTTAATTTCATATGTTGTCTCGTCTGGGCTAAGAGATACTCAGATAGCTGATAAGACATAATTTCTGGGTGTGTCTGTGAAGGTGTTTCCAGAAGAGATTAGCATTTGCATCAGGAAGCTGAGGAAAGAAAGTTGCCCTCACCAAAGTGAATGGGCATCATCCAACCCACTGAGAGCCTGAATAAAACAAAGAGGAGGAGAAAGGATGAAGTTGCTCTCTGCTTTAGCTGGGACATCCATCTTTTCTTGTCCTTGGACATCAGTGCTCCAGGTTGCATACCTTTGGACTCTGACTGGGACTAGACCATTTGTATCTACTTGTTCTCAGATTTTCGTGTTTGCACTGAAACTATACCTCCAGCTTGCAGATGGCAAATCATGGGACTTTTCATCCTCAATAACTGCATGAACTAATCTCTCATAATAAATCTCTTTTTATATGTTTTTATATATCCTATTGCTTCTGTTTCTCTGGAGAACCCTCACACTAAGCTTGATTATAATTAAGTGTTTACGTTTATATTATATATAATAATTATTAAATACATACAATTTTATTTCATAATAGACACATAAATGTTTATTTGATGTTTTTGTTAAATCAGGTAAGGGGATTTTGGATAAGTAGTTTGTCTTTCTTTAATAAAAGATTTTCCTAAAGCCACTTAGTCCATCTCAGCCCATTTGAGAAGATTTAGAAAAACAGGTTAAGTTGTAAAATTTAAAGGGCTTGTAGTTAGCTTGATGACTTATTGCCAATTCAGACATCTTACAAGGTTTTATCTTTGGTCTCTTCCTATTTAAAATGTTTATTAAGGACTATGTTAAGTAAAAGCTTATTAAATTTTTATAATACTGACACAGAGATCATAGATATGCTAAGTAAAAAAATCCAAAATCAAATATTTACTTGTTGAATAAAGGCCAAAAGTTTTCTCATTGAATAAAGATTTTTTTAAAAGAAATTTGTGATGGCCTTTCACTCTGCCCTTAATTCATACAGTGGAGCTAGTTCTTCCATTGTGTCCAGATGACACCTCAAGCCGGTCCTATGAATTCTGTTATCTCTCTCTTAGAAAACAAGTCTATAATTCTTTCAAGCCACAACATTAATCTCACCTTATTAACTGAAATGTTCAATCTTAGGTCATAATCAAAATTCTAAAATTGACTTAAAGCTGAGTCTTTTGCAACCCATGGGTTCACCCTGCTATAGGTAAGAAGCAGCAGTTCAATGCCGAGAGCTGATCACCTTCTATTTTTTTCCGTCATTTAAGGTCCTCCTGCACTCTCACTCCTCAACCTTCCTAACTTCTGTTTGTGACCCCTTCATGTCTGGAAACTTGGGAAGGAAAGAGAGGAAGGAGAGAATAAAGAAGACAAACACTTGACAAGTACAGAGTGATCCAGCATTGTCTTGGCAGGAGTTTGACATTAATTCATTATCCCAAGAATTATTTTTCTTATAGAGAGTTTTGAAGGACTCCCCCCCAACTACCCAATCAAGAAGGATCTCTCATCCACTATTCACTAAATAAGGGTTGAGTTTCTATTTTATTTGTTACTGCCTCTATTGTCCTAGTATTTTGGTGATAACTCTGCTTCTTTCTATCAAGTCTTATGCCTCCCCATAAAATCTCCTTTGACAGGCTTGAGAAACACAACTTTTCTCTAATATGAATGGTCACTTCAAGTCCATGGGAAACATTCATAAGCCCTTGTTGCACAAAATATTTTCAAGTTGAGGGCCCCCAAAAGAGCTACTGTTCTTTTGATCTGTGGTAAGAACAGCTAGTCCAGCTGCTTTTTATTAACTACTCCTACAATATGGAAGTAAAACATCAGTTTTTTATGTCAGTCCAGAGGACACACATAAACTCTCCAAGGATCTTATTAAACATTGTCCTTAGGATTGAAGAGAGTGATAGATTTGGCCCCCTGATCCTCCTCTGAGTCAACTCTTTGCTCTTTAAGAATCTTGACTTTGTTGAGTGGTTAAGAATAATGTAGCTGGCTTTCTAAAACCTGTATATATGCTACAATGTTTTCTAAAACCTATTTTAGAATGCAATTCACTAGTCTCTTTTTCCGGTTCCTTTCATCTCCCAGATCTCAAAGTATCACTATGGCTCAGGACTCAGTTCATAAGTACTTTCTAGGTGATTTCATGCAATCTCACAGCTATATGCTGAGAACTCCTAACATTTATATCCACTCTCAATGTTAAGCTCATATATCCACATGTGAAATAAATTTTCTAATTGAATGTCTGCTAGGCATCTCAAAACTAAAATAAGACTAATCCCAAACTTCTGACCTCGTTCATCCTCTTCCTAGTCTTTATTTTCCTTGTAAAGGGCAGTTCCACTATTTTAATAGCTTGATGTAGTACGTGGGCATCATCTTTGGCTTTTCTCTCTGTGTTTATTATACAGCTATAGCATCCTATTAGATCTACCTTAAATATTGTTGCAGATTTATATCACTTTTCCTTATCTCCACTGCTCCCCAATGGTCTAAACTATCATTTCCTTCCAAGATGATGACCCTATTTCACATCCTTGCCAGCTACTTTCCATCCCTTTTTCTGCTTTATTTTTTCTCTGTAACGTATTGTCTATTATCTTCTTGCCACTAGGATGTGTGCTCCGTGATGGCAGGTACTTAATTTTGTTCATTTCACAAGAATCACCTAGCTAATGGTGCCTGGCACACAGTTGGTTTTCAGTGACTATTCATCAAATGAATAACTGAACCAAGTTTAATTATCAATAAGTAGTCATTACTTTCTTAGTCATTTTGATTAGCTTTTACAATTTGGTCAACTCTGGGTAATAGAAATGGCATCCATCAAAACAAGATAAACTTCGAGGATATTCTGTTACTTTAATACGTTACCAATGAGTATATATAATTAGTTCTTACTAAATGGTACCTAATAACCTGAAGGGGCAATATTGCTATTGTGTGACATATTCCTTTATATTTGTAATCTGTAGTAATTTCTCTACTTGTTAATTATTTTTGTTATTTTTGCATATTTTTACTCTGCTTTAGCACAATTTATTCCCTTCTGTGCTAGGTATCTCATAAATCCCTTATGTTACTGAATCTGTTACTAAGACAGTGGTATTGCCATGTTAAGATGTCCTTCTGACAGCCCGGTCTTCATATTTTTCTTGTGGATCCATTAAGTTCTTAGCAAAACGATTGTGTTTCATGTTGGAGTATTTATTTTTTCACAAGTCCTGGTTGAGGACAAAGGCTGGACCATGAAGCAGTATAGATTAGAAGGTTGTTATCCTTGAGCTATAGTTTCAATTTTAGATAAATATTTAGAGAAACACAAAGTAGAATATGGGAATATTTCTGAAAAAGAACCACTAATGATAAAAAAAAGTCATTCTAAACACAACAGTGAAACAGCTGTGTTTATTGGTTTACTTAGCTTATCATAGCAGTTTGTGTATCTGCCTATAACACCATTTATCATGGAGTCTGACTCTCTCATCACCTTGTGAGATTCACATTTTCAAACATAATCTTCTTTGTATCCCTATTAAAAAGAAGAGTGCCTGTTGCATAGTAGTCATTACATTAAACTTTGCTGATGCTGGTTAATTTTTTTTTTTTTCCCCCTGAGAAGGAGTCTTGCTCTGCCACTCAGGCTGGAGTGTAGTCGTGCGATCTTGGCTCACTGCAACCATCACTTTCCAGGTTTAAGCGATTCTCCTGCCTCAGACTCCAGAGTAGCTGGGATTACAGGTGTGCACCACCATGCCCAGCTAATTTTCGTATTGTTTTTGTTTTTGTTTTTTTAGTAAACGTGGGGTTTCACCATGTTGGCTAGGCTGGTCTCAACTCCTGACCTCATGATCCTCACACCTTGGCCTCCCTAAGTGCTGGGATTACAGGTGTGAGCCACTGCACCTGGCCGATGCTGATTAAATTTAATTGTCATATTACGCATGATTTATACTATTTAAATTTTGCCATGATGATTTTGAAAAATCTTTTGAAGGATTTTCTGACTTGGAAATTGTCTTGTAAAGTATTTTGTTACCTTAAAAAGGAGTTATTTTTATTGTATTTTATGCTTTTTATGTTTTTGTTGATAACAGGCATGAGTTATTTCTGTAATTCAAATGCAAACTTAAAATCTAAAAATCATTCTTATTGCTTCATTGTCATACTTAATGTTTGTTCCTGAATGGTATTACACAGTATTTATTGAGTACCAAGTATGTGCAAATTCCTGTAATATGCAATCTGAGAAATACTAAGATAAACATAAAATAGATGTTCTTTCTCACAGAACATCTGCAGACATGATGAAATCTTCCTGAAAGTATGTGTGAGTGTGTGTGTGTGTGTGTGTGTGTGTGTGTGTGTGTGGAGGGTGGTGGCTGGGTGGGAGTAAAGAAGTGCTGTTCAGACTCTTTTTGTAACTTTTCTCATGCTAGATATAGTGGCCCAGTAGTGAGCGTCTATTACCCTTGTTATGTTAATGAATAAGTCATTTCCTATAAATAATAATAAAATAGAAACAAAAAGACAGTAGGATTTTTTGGCAAAAGGATTTAAGGAAGGAATTTGTAGTGCTTTAGATTCTTATTACTTCACTGTCATACTTAATGTTTGTTCCTGAATGGTATTACACAGTATTTATAGATGTATGACAGATTGAAGAACTGGCAGATATTTTGGCATACTTCACTTGAGAACAATGCGTTATCGTCACAGTCAATTCATCCCATCTGTTGCCCGTGAGAGGAAAATTTATTACGTGTAATGATCAGAATTATCACATTACATATTGAGGATTTTCCAATGATTTCTCATAATTTCAAGAAATATAAAACAAATTGTACTGCAAGAGAATGTGCCTAATTAGAGCTAATGTAGTGGGCAGTCAATTCTGGATTTTTTTCATTGTTTATTTATTTGAGACAGAGTCTTGCTTTGTCACCCATGCTTGAGTGCAGAGGCTGCAATCCAACTGACTGCAACCTCTGCCTCAAGTGATTCTCATGTGTCAGTCTCCCAAATTGCTGGGATTACAGGCCTGCACCACCATGCATGGCTAATTTTTGTATTTTTGGTAGAGATGGGGTTCCCCACCTTTGCCAGGTTGGTCTCAAACTGACCTCAAGTGATCTGCCAACCTTGGTCTCCCGAAGTGCTGGGGTTACAGGCATGAGCCACCATACCTGGCCTAATTGAGATTAAAAGTTTTTAAAAATTCTGTTATTATAGATGGGCTATCCAGGGCATCTTGAAACTCATACTAAGCAGGGAAAGACTACCATGAATCATTGAGTGTTATGAGCAAGGCTGAAATTTAGTTAACAGTTTAGATAATAGAAACGCCCAACAAAGTTAATGATTTTTGGCCCAATAGTTTGAATTGATAGAAGAAAAAATAATTTTTCCAAGGAGGAAATAGTTACAAGATGTCAATGAGTAAGATTAGCAAAATTTAGTCTGAATATTTGAGGCTCTAGAAGAGGCAGTAAATCTTAGAGATGTCAGTAAAGAAGGGACTAATTAAGCTGGTGTTCTAAATTGACTAAAACTCATGTCAGATTAAGGCAGTTAATTCTTACATCATGCCTGACTTTAAAACAGGCTGCCTATAAAAATGTGCACCATTTTAAACAGCACATCTGTGAAGGCTTTTTGAGAAGAGACTCTTTGAATCACTTCTGTTCTCTATTCTGCAAGTTTTACTATGCTCACTGATGTTACTACTTCTTCAGAAAACTATCATTTCTTTGTGCCCACAATAAGTCAATGTAAACTATTTCACTCATGTTTTTAATCTGAAAACAACCCTTTTTCCCCTGACACTCCCAAACATACATTTCTTTCCCCTTAACTTTCTAAAGGTTATAGGAATTAAAGTGCAACAAATTGATAACTTACATTTAAATTCCACTGTAATACACTATTGTTTTAATAGAAATAGGAATTTTCCCAAGTCGAGAGATTTCTGTAGTTTTATTACTGCTTTTTTCCCTTTGGTTACTGTATTAGATCTAAATATACATACACATGTGAGTGTGTGTGTGTGTGTTTGTGTGTGTGTAAAAATGGCTCTGATATTTAAAAGCATTCCTGCTGAAGAATCTTTTTTATTTAACTTAGTCTTCCATTTTTACTTTTAAAATTAAATCATTTTTATTAAGCAGAACAATGGTTCAATTTTATAATTATATAGCATTCTCTATTTTAATGTAAAAGTTAATATATTGTGGGATCATACTGTTCTGTTTTATTTAATATTAAATTTCACACTAGGTAAATTACATAAGTTCAATTTTATTGTAAACCTTTAAAATAGAAAAAAAGAATTCTTGCAGTGTTAAAGCATACTAGATTGCCATTAGTCACTTGATTTTGTTTCTTATTAATTATATTCAATCACTTTCAACTATTACTTGTAATTATTAAAATGTAATCATGAACACATTTATAATAATTTTCCTAGTCTCTACATATTCTCATGGTGATTAATTATATTCCTTCTTATTTCACTTTATTAATTTATTTTAAAGTATTAGATAATTTATTAATTCATGCTAATTTGATAAGAGAAAATTATGGATTGAAGAAATTCAATTGGAGAAAGACATGGCGATGTGTTGTTCTCTAGTTTTATGTAATTGTTATGTTAGCCTAGAAGAAACAATACACAGATGATTTAACTTCAGGACTTGACCATGCTCCCAGTGGAGGGATGTGAAGAACTTTGTTCTATAAATAAAATGAAAAAGATGTAGCAAATGAGTATTCCAGAGTTCCTCTCACATTCAGGGGTATATGTCAGCAAATTGGAAAGAATAAGCTTCTGATCCCAAGCACTGTTTTTAGTACATTTTTATAAGCAAGAAACTTGATATTTTCTATAGCCTATTAAGTCAGTTTTAAAATTTCCTCCAATTATTCCAGCCTTAATAACTACAATTAAAAATGAGTTTGAAAATAAATGTAGGTATTTTGGAGATATTCTTTACCAAAAAGTTTGCCATGTGTGGAAAACAACAAATCTACATAGAAAGCTTAGTGAATACTGCAATTTTGTATAGTACATTTAACCTTAAGCTTTATGAAGAAAAACAGAATCTAGGTAAGTTTCTTCACTGCTCTTTTTTTTTTAGCACCAACACAAAGATTGGCAAACTGTAGGTCTTTAAAAAGAGCCTGTTAAATGGGTAAAAAAAAAAATGTTGTTTCTTCATGATAATACAAAAATTTCAGATGAATAAAATATTTAAATGAATGAGAACACCTGTTAAATATGAGATTGAACATTTAATACTTAAGCCAGTAGTAATTGAAGATTGTGTGGCCATTGCATTAGTGTTGAATTGTTGCTCTAACAAATTACTACACATTTAGCAGCTTAAAACAACACTAATTTGTCTTAAAGCTCTGGAGTTCAGAATTCCTGAATGAGTCATATTAGTCTAATATCAAGATATTGGCAGCTTATTTCTTCTGAAGACTCCAAAGGGAAATCAGTTTTTTAACTTTTCCAGTTTTTAGAGATTACCTGCCTTCCTTGGCCCTTGGCCCCGTTCCAGAATTGCTTGATTCCAGTCTCTGCTTCTATGGTCACATCTCTTTCTCTTACTCTGACCCTCTTGCCTTCTTATAAGAACCCTTGTGATTACACTGGGTCCACCTGGATAATCCAGTAAAATCTTTTCATCTCAATACCCTTAACTAAAACACACATACAAAGCCCTTTTTACCATGTAAGGTAATATTCACAGGTTCTGGGGATTTGAATATGGGCATCTTTGGTGTCTCATTATGCCATGTTAGGTATCTATTCAAAGACTTAGTGATAGTGATCAAATAGCTTCTAGGCTCAGGTTTTGCAAAACTAACTTTAGAATGACTGTCCATCTCACCTTCTCTAATTAATTACATTTTGGCTTCTAATCTCTGGGGAGTGGCCAGGAACCTAGATAGTCTTTTTCTATTATTCTTTTTGTTATTGGCTTTGTATATGTTTGTGGTCATAATAGCTAATCTGGCAGTAAGATACAAAACACCATCACAAAACAGTGAATCTGTGTATAGGTGTAAAAACATAAATTTGAAAGCATAATTATGACTCTACTCAACGCTGTAAGCCAAAGAGACCACAGAGGGGACAAAAAAGTCATTGGTGTCCATGTGGTCATTGACTTATTCAGTGTTCTGATTCAGTTTCTCTTGTCTAATCCCTCACAGCATGAATCTGGATCTATATATTTAGTCCCCTTAATTATTATTGTCATGTAGAAGTCTGTAGCAGATTTGTATAAATAAAACTACCTTCACTGGCATAACTTAGAAAAGACAGCCATGAGTTTGTACTGGCTGAAAATTATGTTTACCCACCATCACTTTTGTAACAAAATATGTTTGAGCTGTTCTGCAGATGTTATTAACGTGATTCCTTCTTACAGAATGAACCCTACCAGACAGTGAAGGACAAATGGCAAAAGCTTTTGACACTTTATGTCCAAGGTACACACTGATGATAAGTAGAACACCTACTTCTTTTAGTTATTTTTACATTGCCAAAAAGTCCACAGTTGCAAAGGAAGCCCTGTAAAAGCTCCAAAAAGATAAGAGCTCAAATCTTATAATGATATGAAGTTCATATACCTTCTTCTGGAACAATTAAAAGTAGCTGCCTTAACTAACAATTTTATAGGGTGTGTCCACAGGAAGATACAATTTGAGAATGACTAAAGTCTATACACTATGGGGGAAGGAGATATCATTACAAAAGAAGAGAACAAAATACTTTTGCAAATTTCACAACAACATATAATCATATTAAATATTAATGGATCCTTTCCCAAAAGGATTTTACAGAAAATGAGATACTGTGAGGCTTATATGCCATTAGTTTGACACCAATTTACCTCTCTGTGTTTATCTGCTATTTATATAAAGTTAGCCCCTTGCTTGTTCAGTACGTAGCAGAGGTTAATAAATGTTTACTGAACACTTCCCATTGTCTTCCTTACTTTTCCTCTTTATTCAAACAACCCGTCCATTGCACAAGTATCCCTCAGTACCTGAGGGTGATATTTCTTTATATGGCTACCAGAAGTACAAGCAGTTTCTTCACTGCTCACATCCCCTAAAAGATAGAGTCCAGGATAATCATCAGCACCTAGCCCCTAAGAAATAAGCAAGGAGTGACTTCCTTCTGCCATAAGATAGCCAATATTCACTGACACTGGAGCTAAATATTAGCCTCCCCTGCTAGATGAAGCCTACCATACAATTTCAGGTGGACCTCTGAGGCAGTTACTGAATGGAAAGCCTTTCAGTTTCTGGGATTCTGGAATGACTGACTACTCTGCTTCTACACCAATCTTCTCAAGAATGGACCATGAGTAATGATCAGATTAGGATAAAATGACATTAATATATTAATGTAAAATGTTTTGAAGCAACCAATTTATTATATATTCTTAATTATATAAATGAAGAAACTATTATATCACCTATCTTTTACAAATTACTTTCCTGTATATTTTAATTAACCTTTGTTACTATAAACCACCTAAAATATTTGAATAAAATGCAACAGACGTAATTTTGAATATATAGCTGTGCTGGTGACATGCTAGAAAAAAATTTTAAGGGCCACAAGAAAAAAAATGTAAACCAAACCAAACATAAAAATCATGAGTTCTTTCCATAGTTGAATGGGTTTCTATGTTTAAAATGACAAAGGTAAGTTTAAAATTAAATGCAGCTGTGAAAGGAATTGTAGTTTTAGGAACAGAGAAACTTTTTTCCTAAATTTTGTCCATAATTTAAGAAAAAGATTTCTAATTTCTTTTAGGTTTTAATTCCTTGTCTTTTATCTTCCCACCTTACAATTCTAAAGATCTTTAAATACAGAAATGTTTATTGTCATTTCTCGATCGTAGTCGTGTGATTGTTTTGTGGAAGTGGAAGTCTCATTGGGGCATAGAAGAAAGTACCCACATTTTGTAGGAAAAAAAAAGTTTCTTATCCAGCTGTCTACCTAAATGTCACAGAAGCTTGAAGGAGCAAACAATAATGATTATAAAATGGAGTGTGTATGATGTATGGGGATATAGGATGAGGGATTGGGATATAATTAAACTTTAAAAATTATCATTGGCTTATCTGTAAAGTAGTGATAAACATGTTTACATTGCCTAGCTCCTAAAGTTGTTTTTGAATTTTTTGAATCAAGAAATAAAAACATATTGTGGTGACTATAGTTAATAAAAATGAATGAATAGCTTGATTTAGTCATTCAACAGTATATACATATATTAAAACACCAAGTCGTACACCATAAATATATACAATCTTATTTGTCTATTTAAAAAGACATCAAAATGTGTGCACTTGTAAAAACTTTAACAAGCTACAAAATTGCTACAGTTGTTGATAGGAAGTCACATGTAACTCTGCCAATGTTTTCCCAATTCTGACATTCCACTGTAGAAAGGAAAACAAAAATTTCATTTATGCTCTTAAATTATATAAAAAGAATGCTGCATATTAAACTGATGAACTGGAGAAAAGGTTTATTATCTATCTGTATGGAAGCCTTCATAAAAAAAGAAGTGAACATCCAAAAAATAAGTTAGACCTTGGGACTTAATTATCATTTGGCAAAGAGCAATAAATTGTGGAGCAGTCACAAGACAAAGGGGGCTGGTCTTCTGGGGATGATAAATTATGGGAAGGTAAATATATGGGGGAAACAAATGAAAAATAAGTTATTTTAGTAAAGTTTGTTATGCAGACTCAGTCTCATGTAGTCTCCAGGATGATAAGAGGATCTTCAATGATGAATAGTTGTTATTATCTTCCTGATCTGGGCGAAGGTGGATTGGGGTGGAAATCTTCACAAAGGGAAAGTAATACCGTGCTTTTAGGTAGTATAGGGGCAGGTAGAGAGCTTTTGCTGTATCTGATGTTTCTCAATGGCCTTCAGTTCAAAACGATGCTTATGCCAAAGTAACATGTTTTGTAGCGGCATAGTGTGATCCCCTTTATTACCCTAAAGTAGCAGTGCTTTTTGATTTTCTTTGTACTGTCACAGATCTACTATCTGTAATGCAAAAAGATACACTACTTTAGAAAAAGAATATTTTAAAAATATGCCCTTGGACTTATATTTTACATCTCAGGAACACATTTGTATTTAGAAAGAAATGCTTTTATTAAAAAACGTATCTTTGGTGATTTTTCCAACTTAGTTGCCAAAAATTCACCTGGAATATCAGATTCAAATGCTTGTCTTCCAAGTGATTCTAATTCTGAGTGAGACCAAAAAATAACAATTTTAGGAATTACTCCATGTGATTCTGATTCTCCATGTGGTCTGTGGGGCATGTTTTGAGTAATACTCTGATAGGAAGAAAGTCTTAGTTAAAATTAATTTGGTCTTCTTTTAAAGACATGTAGATACGTGTTGGAGTTGGCTTTCTCTTCTGCCACAAGGGTATAGTCTGCTTGCTCTTATGTGTTTCCAAAAAGTATATGCGTAAGAAACTGAAACTTTGTTTTTTGAAGACTATAGTAGGACAACAGGACTTGAGAGAGAGAAAAAAAGGAAGGAAGACAAAAGTGAAAAAGATACTAATGGCTATGGGGGTATGGGATATGGGGGCTATGCAGGTGATTCTGTTCAGATAATACTTTGAACATTTACAAATGTGTACTTATGAAAGAAAATATATGTTAGTAATAAAATATTCCTATTGATTAGCAAGGCACAAAACTGTTGTCTATTTATATGACCCTATTTTATAAAAAATTAGCACTTAAGGCTCTGGCCTGCCTGCATCATAATTCTGTCTCAAAATCAGGGTGAAATATGAAGTTGCAAAAATGTATCCCAGAAGTCACTGCTGGCATCTTTAGAGTCTATTAGAAAAATCAATATGCCACCAGTGAAGTAAGTGAAAAAAGTTTTTATTATTTTATCAGCTTTAATTAATACAGTCTTAAATTAGCAACAACTAGAAATTTAGCAACAACTGGAATTATAATATTTGGATAAAATTATACTCATGGTAATTTCTAGAAGTTCTGTACATGTTATATGCAATTAAATAGAAATATACTAATCACCTAATACGAGTAAACCATACAACTTTACATTTTAATTATTTCTTATCAGCTGGACATAAAGCAAACACATTGAAAGATTATAAGAGGATGTGAATATCTTATTTATATGTATTTTCTACCTCCTACAATTTAGGTTTAGTTAAAACTTGATTTATTTCAGGTCCTAAAAGGTTAGGTAGTGTAAATGTAGATACACTGTTTTGTGTCAGATGTCTTTATAAATTGGATGTTAGCATTTTACCACATTAAAGTGTGCATGATTTCTCATGATTATCTGTCAATTGATTTAAAAAATCTTGGGTTGAGTAATAAAAAAAAATCAGCAGTTGTTTTGTGATCCATCCTTCCTAACCAGGGGCCACCAGAGAATTAATTAAAGAAGTAAGAGATAGTTGGAAAAGGATCAACCTCATTATTAACAGGCCATTTAAACTATTATATAGAATTGACCAACAGAAAGATAATGGGGAGTACTGATCTATGGAATACTTTTAGTAGAATACATATTTTCAGTCAAGACTGCTGATAGTTAACAAATTAGAACTTTAAGTGGCACATGATCCACTGAAAAATGTAGCATCAGCTTTTTAATTATAAGAATATAATAATCACTACTGTGGAAGTGTTTCATTTTCTCTTTATATTGCTTAGAGAGTTCATCTGTAAAAGTTAGACCAGAGTGTGTCCTAATGTGGCAAGGAAGAACTTGAAGAGCTTCACTGGCATTGTCAGATTTCTTAATGTTTTGTTTGCTAATCCATGAGTTTTAATTGAGTTGTTTTTTACCATACATTTTTTTTTCTTAAAGATTCATGGGGTACATATGCAGGGTTGTTACATGGATATATTGTGTAATGTTATGATTTGGGCTTCTAGTGAACTCATACAGTACCCAACAAGTAGTTTTTTAATCCTCAGCCCCCCACCCCCACTCTCCCTCCCAACTCTAGCAGTCCCCAATGTCTATTATTTCTATGTTTATCATGTACCCATTGATTAACTCCCACTTATAAGTGAGAACATGCTGTATTTGGTTTTCTGTTTATGTGTTAATTAGCTAAGATCAATGGCCTCTAGCTGCATCCATGTTGCTACGAAGGACGTTATTTCATTCTTTTTCGTTGCAGTGAGTGTTCCCTGGTACATATATAATGCGTTTTCTTAAGTCCACCTTGATGGAGACCTAGGTTGATTCCATGACTTGAATACTGCAAATAGTGCTGATATAAAGATACAAGGGCAAGTGTCTCTTTTATATAGTGATGGCTTTTACTTTTGGGTATATACCCAGTAGTGAGATTGCTGGGTTGAATGGTAGTTCTATATTTAGTTCTTGAAAAATCTCCATATTGTTTTTCTTAGGGATTTGTATTAGTCCATTCTCACATTGCTATAAAGAACTGCCCAAGACTGGGTAATTTATAAAGGAAAGGGATTTAATTGACTCACAGTTCTGCAGGCTTAACAGAAAGTATGACTGGGAGGCCTCAGGAAACCTACAATCATGGCAGAAAATGAAGGCGAAGCAATTATGTCTTACTACAGATCAGGAGAGAGAGAGAGAGAAAGGGGAGGTGTCACACACTTTTAAACAATCAGATCTCATGAGAATTCACTCACTATCAAGAGAACAGCAAGGGGGAAATCAGCCCCTATGCTCCAGTAACCTCCCACCAGGCTCCTCTCCTGACACATGATGATTACAATTTGAGGTGAGAATTGGGTGGGGAGATAGAGCCAAACCATATCAGCTCCTTTAATGAGTTGTGTGTTAAGGGTTTTTATTATGAAAGATTTGGGATTTTATCAAATGCTTTTTGTGCATCTGTGAAAATGATCATAAAGTTTTTGTTTTTATTTTCTTTATGTGGTGAATCACATTTATTGATTTGCATATGTTGAACCATCATTGCATCCCAAGAATAAAACCCACTTGATTGTGATAAATTATCTATTTGATGTTCTGCTTGATTTGGTTTGCTAATCTTTGCTAATCTTTTTTTTTTTTAAGATTTTTATTTCCACCATTGGGAGTATTGGCCTAGAGTTTTCTTATTTTGCTGTTTCCTTGCCAAATTTTGGTATCAGGACTGGTTTTGTAAAATGAGTTAGGGAGTAGTCTTGCCTCCTTGATTTTTTGAAATAGTTTCAGTAAGGTTGGAACCAGCTGTTCTTCATACATCTGGTATAATACAGCTGGGAATCTGTCTCATCTAGGGCTTTTTTTGATTGGTAGGTTTTATATTACTGATTGAATTTCATAACTCGGTATTGAGCGGTTTAGGATTTCAATTTCTTTTTCATTCAATCTTGGGATTTTGTGTGTTTTCAGGAACATATCAATTTCTTTAGTTTGTACATATATAGATATTCATAGTCATGAATATGACTGTTATAGAGGTTCTAGTTTGTATGTATATAGATGTTCATAGTCAAAATATCTCTGGATATTTTGTATTTCTGTGGTATCAATTGTTATGTCATCTTTGTCATTTCTGACTGTTCTTGAGTCTTACCTCTTTTTTCATGGTTAATCTAACAAGCAGTCTATCAGTTTTGTTAACACTCTCAAATAACCAGCTTTTCATTCCTTTGGTCCTTTCTACAATGTTTTTGGTCTCAATCTCATTTAGTTCTGCTTTGATCTTTGGTATTTCTTTTCTTCGGCAAGCTTTGTGTTTGTTCCTCTTGGTCTTGATTTCTAATTTTATTCCCCTGAGATCTGACATGAAGCTGGATATAATTTCAATCTACTGCACCCACATTTCCTTTCTCTTAAGGGGACTCTGTTGAGTTATGCTGCACCCCCCATTAGGGACAGCCCACACCAAGGGTTATATATACAGGGCTCTTGCAGCTCCCCAGGGACCTGCCAGTCCCCTGTGCTTGCCAAAGTCAGAATGGTTTGTAGTGTACGTTTGTAGGGGGGCGGGGGGAATCGGTGGCACAGTGACTCAAGGACTGAGGTTCCCCAGGCAGGACAGTGGCCCACCATAAGTGCATGACCAATATGGCACCTGCTGTCTCAGTTCAGGCCTGAGGGGAGTGTGGGCTCACCTACATGAGCTGGCTACCTAGTTCTCTGTCCCCAGGACGTTCCCAAATCTCTACCAACATCCTTGTCCTGATCAGGAGAGCAGAGGGACTCAACAGTTTGGCAGTCAACAGATTGTCATGGCAATAGGGGGAGCAGGGAAGCACTCCCACCTACCCTTTCTGCAAGGCTCCAAGTTCCTTGCGGTTCCATCTCTGCCAGACCGACTGCTTCCCTTTTCTGGCTCTAGCTTCTTCCTGTGGGCACTCCAACAGGTCCTGGGTCTCCTCCCTCAGTTAGCCATTCAGATGACTATTAACCAGTAACCTTGATCGTTTTTCTCAGGGGAACTGGCATGCAGTGTCCTAGTCAGCCACCTTGAAAGAAAAAACCTAAATTGAGCATATTGAATATGCTCCCTTGCCTGTTTTGAAATCATTTTATTTTCCTGAAAATTTTAACTCTGCCCTGGTATTTCACCATGAAGAAAAAGAACATATCTAAGATGTAATGCATTTTTCTTTTCTTTTCTTTTCTTTTCTTTTTTTTTTTTTTTTTGAGATGTAGTCTTGCACTGTCGCCCAGGCTGGAGTGCAGTGGCGCCATCTCAGCTCACTGCAAGCTCTGCCTCCCGGGTTCACGCCATTCTCCTGCCTCAGCCTCCGGAGTAGCTGGGACTACAGGCGCCCACCAACAAGCCTGGCTAATTTTTTGTATTTTTAGTAGAGACGGGGTTTACCGTGTTAGCCAGGATGGTCTCTATCTCCTGACCTCGTGATCCGCCCGCCTCGGCCACCCAAAGTGCTGGGATTACAGGCGTGAGCCACCGCCCCCGGCCTGCTTTTTTTTCTCCCAATAAATATCTCTAGATTACTTTATGTTTCATTCTTTCTCATCCAACCACAATGTTTATACATCAATTCAACAAAAAATTTACATCCAATACCGTGCTGGGAGTTGGAGATATAATGGCAAAAAATACAGATTCTGTGTCTGAAAGCATGGAATTATAGTCCAGCGGGAAAGGCAGATATTAATATATAATAACTTTTAAGGTATCTGTAATTTGCTAATTTCTAACCTGGTGTAAAAAGTTAGAAAAATTTTTCTTGATGTGTCATCTAAGGCTAGAACTGGATAGAAGAGTAAAGGAAGATGAGGATGATGGTTACCAGCAAAGAGAACAGCATGAGTGAAGACCCTGAGGACATTTAAGAACTCAAGAAGGGTCACGTAGATGAAGTTCAGGACATGATAGACTGAAGCATATAGCCAGGCTGGAGCTACATAATGGAGGGCCCTGCAGGGTTTGTTTAAAGACTGACCTTTAACATAAGACAAATAGAATACCCAGGAAGAGGGTATACATTGTTTTAGATGGCTTCACTCTCTTCTTTTTCAGATTCAAAACTTCACCTGTGTTTTTGTCCTAATTCCTTCCCCTTCCATCCAACAGCTTATCATCTATCATCTTCTCCTTCACTCTTAACTTCAACCCTTCTTGTCTATCAGTACTTTCTTCTCCTAAATACCTCTGGTTGCACTTGGACCAAATAATTGTTTTTCTTCAGCCTATACATATTCTTTTGCCCCACATTGTCTCATGCCTTCAAATAATAACATGCATTTTGCTACAGGGCATTTTTGTAATAATTACATCAAAAAAATCCATGAGTAGACTTCAGTCCAAATCACTCTGTTAGTTTATTTACAAAACGTTTGCAGAGTCCCAGTATAGTAACAGGCATTGAAAGTATTACCAAAGTGTCCTCTGTGAGGAAAGGCTTAGTTTATTTGTAAATGAGCTACCCATTGCACAGTATTATCAAGATCATACTATGTGATTGTCGCCTCTAATAAATATGTATTGTGCAACTGCTTGGTGTGAGAATGAAAATATCGATAAAGTAAAAGAAAGACAAGGTTTTTGCCCCTCCAGAAACACAGAGAGGATAGTGTTGCAGCTAGAGGACAAAGAATACAAATAAGAAACAAGTAAATAAATATATATGTTAATTTCAAATATATTCTGCAAAAGTAAATTTAAACTATATAGTATTTTAAATTAATTCAATCATTTATTCAACAAATATCTGTGTGGCATCTGCTCTATGAATTTACTGTATTAAGTAAGCAAATGTCAGCAAAAGATGGTGTCCTTCCCTTAAAGAGCTCAAATTCTCAGAGGGGCAAGTTATGACCTGATAAACTGCTTTACGATGAGGTGGCTGAGAGAACAAAGGTAGGAGCAAGCCACTGGAGGAGAGACTCAATTTACTTAAGAGAGTAGAGGTAAGATTTCAGAGAGGAAATAAAATCTAGGGCACTGAATTTTAAAGGATGAATAAAAGATTATTAAAAATGGTTTGTGGTCTTCCAAGCTAAATGATTAGTACAAGTAAATGAATAAGTAAGGTGAAGAGTCTGGTATGTGATCAAGTCAGACAGGCTCAATGATTGGAAAAAAGAACATATGAGTGATGGGGAGCTAGAGGACTGGTAGACATAGGAGAAATACTTAAGAGCTCACTTAGCCCTTTTTTCCAAATTAATGTTATTTATTATTAGATTTCATCAGAATTAAGATATTAGCCTTAAGTCAGGTATTCAACTCAGGTAGATTATCAAATAAATTAACTAGATAAATTTATACTATAATTAACTACTTATCCCATTTACCTTTCATAGTGAAAGCAAGCCTACAATTCAACAATTAATTAAATAGGGTTCTTTTCAGGGGAGACATAACAATTATTCTTTCTCCTTGGAATTAATGAAACTTTCCATTCAACAATGTGTATTTCATCACCAACCTCTCAAATTCCCACTGGGCAGCAAGATACTACTATTTGAATATTTATGATGGTGCTGAAGTATAGTCAGTGATTGCATTTTCTGTGATAAAAGTAATAGTAAGAACAACCATTTCTTATATATGATAAGTTTGTTGCCTACTGCCGGAACCCTTGGGGAAAAATTCCATTAAAACAAGTCAAATTAATAAGCATATCTCCACATGATCAGCATTCATCATTTTAAAATTATTATATCATTCACCTTCTGTGGGAGAAATGCAGTTATTGTTATAGATCATCATCACAAGATCAATGTTTCTAGTTTCAAAAATAGATGTCTTTCTCAGTTTCAAATTAATCTGCTAGCAGGAGTCTGATATTACTTCAGTATCTTAGTATGAAAATATGTCCATGAATATTCATTCGTGAGCATGGACTTCTTAATTTAGATAGTTAGCTTTTTAGTATAGTTTCTTTCATTTAGTTGGCCAGCCACTATCCATTATTACTTTGCATTTACGCAGCAGCTTTCCTCTAAGGAGCCTAAAGTACTGTAGTTTAATTGTCCAAAAGAAATGGTGTCAGGCTAGAGAGAAGGGAGGTAGAAAAATGTGTTTCCTGATTGTCTTAGGGAATTGGGAGATACTCAATTCTAATTCTGGCTTTAAGCCCAGACAGTGAGGCTGTGTCTATACAAGTGAGGTTAAATGTGACTTCTAAATTTTGCTTCCATGATAACATGTACATGGAGTCCCATTTCAAGAAATTCATGATGTTATTCTAAGTCAGTGTTTCTCAACATGGGGCAAATTTCTCCTTTCCATCCTCCCTGCCTTAGGTAGATGTGACACTATCCAGAAATATTGTGGGGGTAGAAGGTTGTACTATTGTATCGTGCATACAGGTTGAGGATGCTGCTAAAAATCCTGAAATGTATAGGATAGCTCCTTACAAAAAGAATGATCAGTTCTAAATGTCAGTATTGCTGAGGTTAAAAGACTAATCTAAGGCTTAATACTGCATAAACACTCAATTTATTTGATATTTACAGAAAAAGTCTAGTGCCAGGTAATAGTGGTAGGTGCCAGGTATAAATGTGATTCTAGTGAAACTTCATTTGCAATCAGATTTCCCAGATACGATATAACTTGTACCTTTAATTTTTTAAGCTAGTCTACTAAGAAGTTATTCTCAGAAATAAAATCAATCTGGACCCTACATTCCTGCCATGAATCTAAAGTAATAAAGGAATCTTTTAATTCTCATTTTATCTGGAGTGTCTGATGTCCTCTCCATCTTTTTTCTGGAGTCAAGTTTCTAACTGATGTTCCCAGAGCTAACCCATGGAAATGAGCAGTAAACAGCACTGACTTTTGTCCAGTGAACAGTGCTGACTCCAATTATTGTTACACTCCCCCTCCTCCAGATAAATATGGATAATGCCTTCCTTAACAGATCCAAATACAGAAATACACTAGAACTGAAGTTTCTGTAGGAAAGCATGTTAGCTCAGATAGGTACATAAAGTAATCATGCAACTATAGAAATTTCTGTTTTACCATTGTCATTTTTAGCAGAAGTTACTAATCATCCAGTTACGTGGCTGAGAGTGCCTTACATTTTTTAGTACGTAAACTACAGTAAAATACAATATTTGATGCAGTAATTTAATAAAGTACAATTTAATTTAACTCACTCTATTCTTACCTTTCAAGGCACTGCTCCAGATTCCAAATTTTTCTATTCATAGGATTAGTTAAAAATAATTTTAAGTAGAATAGGAGAGACTGAAAACTGCAATGGTGTATATTAATAAGTACCCTGTCAATTAGGTATAATGAGAACTGTCTCTGACAAACTGTGACATTTGGTTATGCCAACTACAGGTGTCTGAAATTATTTACCATTGACAACTGTGATTTTATTTCTCCTCCTCTGAGATCACAACTGCTGATATCAGAATTTGCTAAGATATGCTGGCCCTTGTGCTGAGAACAATTTCCATTGCCACTGGATATTATTAGGAATTATACCAGGTACTCACCTTTTCCAAAGTTATCATGGTTTTCTCTATTGTCTCCGGATGACCACTGATTCCTACTATATGCTGGACATTACCATCCCATGACAGATATTCTGGAGTCCTGTTGACGCTAAAGCTATATAGTCGAGTGTTAAGAAATGGGAAGAAAGTGCTTATTTTCCAATTATTTGTAACACTTGGATAGAGTAAATAAGTGCTGCTTCTGTTTCAGTACCTGTAGGTTTTTTTGTGAAAGATGCCATATACTGCAAACATATGTTCATAAATGGCTAGTTGGATAGATAATTCTGATTGAAATATGCTTCCTCTAAAAAGATAAGATGTTTTTCTTTCCACTGATTAAGCTTATGGTCCATGACTTCTTCTTCTCTTAGAATGTGTTTTCTCCCAAGAGAATCCTTAGAGCCTTATGTAAATAGGATTCCTGTGGACTCATCCCACCAATCTGTGAACATGTCTGGACAGGTTGACATCCCAGAGGTTCACACAGCTAAGAATTAATCTAGGATTTATTACTCTATTACGACTAAAAATATATATCATTTTTATAAGCAAAAGTGAAATAAACAGCTTGCCAGCAAATCTTAGTCATCTGTAAGTAAAATGTCTTGTTCCAAATGTGGCTAATTTTTGTTTTTGTATGTATTTAGATCTTATTCACATTCATGCTTCTCCAGTCAGCTTTTCTTTTATGTCAATTTCTTGAGACAATAAAAGTAAAGCTATTTTTATTTATTTGGTTATTTTGAATATTCATGTCTGATGGACTAAATTGTACCCACCCCCCAATTTATATGTTGAAGCCCTAACTCCCAATGTGACTGTATTTGGAGATAGGGAGTAATTACCATTAAATGTGGTCATCAGAGTAGGGTCTTAATTCAATAGGACTAGTGTCTTTATAAGGAAAGAAAGAGGTTCCAGGAGTATGCACACACAGAGAAAAGATCATGTGAGGACACAGTGAGGAGGAATCTGTCCGCAAGCGAGGAGAAGAGTCCTCACCAGAAACCAACCCTACTGGCATGTGATCTTGAGCTTCTAGCATTCAAAAATGTGAAAAGTAGCTTTTTGTTGTTTAAGGCACCCAAGTCTGTGGTATTCTGTTATGGGAGCCTGGACAGACTAATACACCATGGCAAGCACCTACTATTCTCTGTTTTCAATTATGTCCTAGACAAAGGATATAGCCTATTTCCCTATATCACCTAGGACAACATTGAAATATCATGTTATCAAGAGTATATTCTTCTTTTAAATACTAAGAGTTAATCACCTAATGATGAGATGATTACCTATTAGTAGTCATATGATGATGATTAGGTCATTACCTATTAATATTTAAAAGAAGAATATACTCTTGAATGTAAATGACTCGTTGCCATATTATTTTCACCATCCTTTTGCCATGGTTTTAAAATAGCAAGTTAACTTAAAAACTGGAGTATGTCATATATTGTCCATAAGTATAGCATTATTTATCTGATGCATTTATCTAAATTGACTTGCTCAATCAACTTTATGTATACTTTGTAACAATTATAGATTTTAAAATAGTTTTAGATGATTAACATTTTGCCAAAACTTATTGGCTTCTAATAGAAATGTCTCCACTGACAATGATATCTGTCCCACTCCTTACATTTCTAATTACATATTCTTTGGAGTATATAGGTAGATCAGTGCTTAAAATCTAATTTATTCATCTAATTATTTCTTTTTAAAAGGAATGCTCTACTGGGAAACTTCGTAGCATATGCATTAGGTTTCCATTATCTTTTTCCAGGTATAACATTTCTCGCTAATGAGTGAATTAAGCTTAAGCATTTGGAATGTAGCACTATCTTGCTATATGATAAGGCCAATTCACTTCCCTGTGAGAACAAAGAGGGAGAGGACTCTCATCAAATTGTTTAAGAGTAAAGCAAATTCTCTCTTTTATGCAGGGCATGAAAGAGCAAAAGGAAGGATGAAGTAAAGGCAGGAATGAAAAATAATGTCTCTTAATGTGATGCCTATAGCAACTGATGAGACAGTATTGCTAATGAGCACCTTAGAGGTGGCACAGCTGAACCATATTAAAAATCTTCAGAAGCAAACTAATCTTATATCTCTGGCTAGAATGTTATTAAATCTTTCCTGACAAGATGTGACAAATGTGCCTCCATTTATGGTTGTATAGCCTCCATTTATGGTTGTATAGACTTCAACTTCCACAAGTTTGGGCATCAGCAAGAGTAATGGAGTGGAGAATTTGTACAGCAATGATAATAATGGCAACCATTAATTAAATGCCCCCTAGATGCCAGGTACTGTACTAGGCATTTTATAGCATCATTTCATGAAAGGTTTTCACCACCCCTAAAAATAGGAATTATAATACTTCTTTCTTAAAGGTAAAGAAACCAAGGCAAAAGGGAAATTACTTGCAGAGGTAAACTTAGGGGGAAAAGCCAGAATTTGAACTCACATTTATCTGAAGTGCTGTCCAGTTAGAAAATTACTTTAAATAGGTCAGTGAACACATATTAAGCAACAATTCTAATTGAAATTATAATAGTTCAATTATGGAAAAGTTAAAGTCCTTGCTTTCCAAAAGCAACTTTCTAAAGCAACATTTATTACTCCAGAACCAAGCAAGCTACATTTTAAAGAGGAAAAAAGGTTGTGGTCTTCGCAGAGTGATGAAAAACTTGAGGAATCATCTGTATCTGAAAACATATATATCATTGACTCTATCAAGGATGCTATTGAAATACCAGTCACTTATTTATCAAGAGTGACTCATCTGTCAGTGTCATACCTGATCTATTAGATTTTTAGTTCTAGAGTTAGCCCTCTCATGCATAACTCACAAAAGGGAGAACAATGCTGTTAAAATGGATTTAGGTTGAAATCTATTCATGTCATGTAAGGCCCTTCATAATGTGTTTACTGTTTTACTATCTAATCTTATTTCCACTCATTCTCCCTTAGACACCCTTTTATTCCTGCAGAACTGAACTGCCTGGAGCTCATCAAATGTGGCATATCCTTTATTACTTCATGACTTACTTGATCTGTTCCCTTGTTCTGGCAGAATCAAATAAACAAACAAAAACAACTCCTGCACATTAGACTAGATACATCTCCTACCTGATATAAAGACTTAACCTCCTGTAGAACACATTTTCTGGCTCTTATACCTACTTTGTGGCATTTTTGTTTAATTCTCCTTCTTTGTATTCCTGCAGTACTCCATACATATTGCCATTATAGAATGGATGGGCTGTTGATATCATTAACTCTTGTCCCCCCTTCATCTAACTGTCAGATCTTTAAGGTTAGCTATTATCACAGTAAAACTATAAAAAAACTATCCCCCGGTTGGGTGTGGTGGCTCATGCCTGTAATCCCAGCACTTTGGGAGGCTGAGGTGGGCAGATCACGAGGTCAAGAGATCAAGACCATCCTGGCCAACATGGTGAAACCCCGTCTCTACTAAAAATATAAAAATTAGCTGAGTGTGGTGGTGCTCGCCTATAGTCCCAGCTACTTGGGAGGCTGAGGCAGAAGAATTGCTTTAACCCAGGAAGTGGATGTTGCAGTGAGCCGGTATCATGCCATTGCACTCCAGCCTGTCTACAGAGCGAGACTCCATTAAAGAAAAACAAAACAAAACAAAAAATCTATCCTCAAACTCAGGAGAATTCAGTAACATTCATTCTCCTGCCCAGGGTTGTAGGTTGGTTGTGTTTTAGTTTATTTATCATAGTCTTAGCTGGGTAGTGTAAATCCAGGCACTAATTTGGTGCTCCAGTCTACAGGCTGTGTTTTGGATTTAGTTCTTTTATATATGGTATTATTTTAAGATTAAGGTTGAAAGAGAGGTGGCTATCTGGGTTATGTTCTTCTCTTGAGGATTACCGGAGTGTAAAAGACAATCCAAACTGCACAACAACATTCAACAAGAATCTGCTAATGGTGTGACATGACGCAAAAGCGCAGAGAGTTCCCATTAGCCAAAGAAAACCTTGGGCAAGCCTCTTGTCAATATCAGATCCATAAATCACTGGTTCATAGAAATTCTGGAATTCCTCTGGGCAAATGTTACAACCTACCATGAGAGAAGGAGAGTTGACTAATTAAGCCAGTTTTCTGGAATAGCTCCCCATTCCATTATTCTAAACAGTTTGTTGTTTTGTTCTCTGGAAGAGCCTGACCTGACAACATCCTCGGCCACTTCTGAAGAAGGATACTTGTTCCAGTGAAGGGGACACATATGAAGATATTAAACATAACTAAATATAATCATCGTATATTGTTGCTGGCAATTTAAAATAATATATTAATTTGATAAACTGTTTGCCAATGTCTATAAAGTTTAACATATTCTCATCTTATAACCCAGCAATTCCACTCCTAAGTACATGCCTAAGAGAAATAAGAGCATATGTCCATAACATCACTTCTAAAATATTTGCAGCAGCTTAATTCATAATAGCCAAAAAGAAAAAGCCACCTAAAAGAATTTTTTTAATAAATCATGGTATAATAATAAAATGACATACTATTTGGCAATTACAAAGAACAAACTACTGGTATATTCAACAATATAAAAGAATATCAAGGTAAGTATTAAAGAAAGGCAGGAAAAAAAGAGTAGATATTGTATGATTTTATTGTCTATTTCTCCTGGTCTATATGCCTCCAAGATATATGTCTAAGAGTCTAGGACTGGATATCGTAGATAAGAAATATGAATGCCTTCAATTTGAAGGAAAAAAAGAGTGATAAACCAATATATTATCCTACTAAGAGTTTATAAAATGTCCTATTGTTTGTCACTCAGCCAACAAGTAATAGTAGGAAATTTTACAAACTGTTCCTTATTTGGAAGAGGTAAAGAAATTCTTAATTGCAGTTTTGCTTCAAATAATCTATTCCACTTTTATTTATAGTAATCATTATTGTAATAGTTTTTATTTTTATTTTCACTTGTTTATTTTAGTTGACAGACAAAATTGTATGCTTTTACCATATACGACATGATGTTTTGAAGCACATATACTATTGGAAAGTGACCAAATCTTGGCAATCAACGTAAGACTCACTTTACATAGTCATCATTTTTGTGGTGAGAATACTTTATATCCGCTCTCCCAACATTTCTCAAGAATATTATTAACCATAGTCATCATGTTGTACAGTAGATCTCTTAAACTTATTCCTGTATCTAACTGAAATTTTGTATCCTTCAACCAACATATCTTCAACCCCCTAGCCCATCCACCCCTTTATTATAATTAAATGTTGAATTCTACAAGCATCCATTCTCTGAATTTATTAGGTAATTAATTGATTTTCATTAAAAGAGGAAAATCCAGTTAATCTATTTACCATTACAAATTACATTTGTTTATTTTCTAATGTTAAACCAGTCATATTTCTGGGATAAATTTTTATTTATCAGAATACTTTTTCTTTATTATTATTGTTTCTTGATGTAATGTAACTATGTTTTGCTTAGAAATGTTTCATTGTGCTCACAATTACTACTGAGCTTTATTTTTGTTTTTTAAAATTATAGATTTTATTTTTTAAAGCAGTTTTAGGTTCATAGAAAATTTGAGCCAAAATTACAGAGTTCTCACATGTTTCTTCCCTACACAAATAGATAGCTCGCCTAACATCAACATCCCACGTCAGAGTACTACATGTGTTACAACTGATGAACCCGAAGTCCCTAGTTTTTAGTTTACATTAGGGTTCATTCTTGGTTTTGTACTTTTAGGAGTTTTGAAAAATGTAAAGTGACATGTATTCACATTTATAGCATCATATAGGATAGTTTCACTGCTCTAAAAATCTCCTGTGCTCTACCTAGACATTCCTCCCTCCTCTGAATCCTCTGGTAACCACTTATCATTTTATTGTTTCCATATTTTTGCCATTTCGAGAATGTCAGGTAGTTGAAATCGCATATTACGTAGGCTTTTCAGCTTGACATTTTTCATTTTGTAATTTGCTTTTGAGGTTCCTCCATGCCTTTTTATGAGTTGATAGCTCTTTTTCATAGGGCTAAATAATATTTGAGTGTAAATATTTTTCAATTTTAGTGCTGAATAATATTTTAGGGTATATATAATAACAGTTTATCTATCTGTTGTAGGGCATCTTGGTTGCTTCCAAGTTTTGGCAACTATTAATACTGTTGCTATAAACATTCATGTATAGGATTTGTTTTATGGACATAGTTTTCAGCTCATGTGGGTAAATACAAAGAAGCGTGGTTGCTGGATAGCTTGGTATGAGTATGTTTAGTTCTGCAAGAAGTTGCCAAACTACCTTCCAAAGTGGCTATACCATTTTTCATTTCTACCATCAGTGAATGAGAGAATTCCTGTAGCTACATATCTTTGCCAGCATTTGCTATTATCTGTGTTTTAGATGTTAGGCACTCTAATAAGTCTGTAGTGGTATCTTATTTTTATTTTAATTTGCATTTGGATTTTTGAGATATTCATTGTATAGTCCTTATGGGGTTTTGGAGTAAACGTTATACAGACTTCACAAAACATTTTGGACAGTGTTCCCTCTTTTCCATTCTGAAATAGTTTGCAAAAGATTTTAATTATTTTTAGGAGTTTTCCTAAAAATAAAATTTTATTGGATATTTTAAAATACAACCTAAATATCTTTGCTTTTTAACTAGAGGGTTAGTTGGTTTTAATTAATTTTGATTATCAAGATAGTTTTATTTATCTCTACTAACTGATTTTGTCCTTTTTATTCTGCTTTTTTGGCCATATCTTTTATGTACAAACTGTTACCTAAGAATGAGTTTTACATTTTTAAATAAATAGAAAAAGTCAAAGTAAAATAAAGTTCATGACATGAGAAACTAATACAAAATTCAAACTTTATTGATGAAGTCATAAGTCCAAAGCTTTTTGAGTGCCATATGTAGTTCTGTACTGGGATATTTTACTTTTATTTTTTAATACTAGTACGTGCCTGTCATGTCTAAACAGGAAAAGTCAACTTCAAATGCCTTAACATTTAGACACAATAGAGAGTGAATTATTTTTTATCATATCAGAAGTCAACGTATTGTGTTTATTATTCAATGACATTATAGCTGTGCTCAACCAATAAAATATACATCAACATTATAACACTAGGCACTCATTAAAATATCGTCAACCCCAAGAAAGCAACAATCATAAATATCCAAAAATTTAAAACAGAATGTCTTATCACGGCAGAATAAAAAAATGAGGCTGCAACCAAAGTAAGTTTCCAAGTGGCTCACTTGTTGATATCATTATTTGGCACCACGTATTTGTGTGAAATTTTTCAAACATAAAATATGCAAAATCTCATTATAAATCAGCATTAACAGAAGCATATTTGCAATCAATTTTGATGACAGATAATACTAATTATGAACTGTAATTAAATTGTCATCCTCATCCCCAAATGTTCATTCTTCTCATTAGTAGATCTATATTACAGAAAAAGTCGTCTTCAATCATTATTACATTTTGAACTACATCAATTAAAACAATTAAAGAAGTGTATTCTTTCTTTTTTTTTATAGGTACCTATACTTTCTTTTGCCTCTTAGACTACAAAGCCTTTAAGGAAAAAAATTGCTGATACCTGTTCAAAGTACATAAAAATTTCTTATCCTTTCCAGTTTAGGACTTTTTTATTATTATATCCAAATATTTTAATTCTGTATTTGTTTTTAACCCACAGAATATGTATGGTTGTATTATTGGTTTATGCTTTTAAAATTTTATGCATACCTTCATGCTTTCTGTTGTCTTTGCTATCATTCCTTCTAAAGCCTCAGGCCTTCCATTCTAGCTACTTTTCATTCTGCCTGAAGTATAACTTTTAGAAAGTCCCTTTTGTCTAACATTTTTAATCTATTGTTTTGTTGATAGTAGCCATCCTAACATTCCTAAGGGGTGTGAGGTGATATCTTACAGTGGTTTTAATTTCTATATCCCCAGTGATTCATGATGAGCATCTTCTCATATACCTGTTAGCTATTTGTATGTCTTTTTTAGAGAAATGTTTGTTCAGATTCTTTGCTCCTTTTAAAAATCAGATTGTTTGTTTTTCTGATATTGGGTTGTAAGAGTTGTTTATACATTTTGGATATTAACCCCTTATCAGATAGATGGTTTGGAAATCTTTTTTTCTCAGTCCATAGGTTGCCCTTTCATTTCGTTGCTTCTTTCCTTTGCTGTGCAGAAGCTTTTTAGTTTGATTAGTCTCATTTATTTATTTTTGTTTTTGTAGCCTAAGCTTTTGGTGTGATATCCAAAAAAATCATTGTCAATAAACCTTTTTACATGTTATCTTTTAAGAATTTTGTGATTTCAGGTCTTACATTTAGGTCTTTTCTTTATTTTGAGTTATTTTTGTGGATGGTGTAAGATAAGGGTCTAGTTTTATTCTTTTGAATGTGGAAATCCAGTTTTCTCAATACCTTTTATTGAAGATTCCCCATTGTGTGTTCTCAGTGCCCTTTAGGAAAATAAGTTAACTGTATATGTTTGGATTTATTTCTGGGCTCTTCATTGTATTCCAATGATCTATTTTTTGTTTTTATGCCAGTGTCATATTATCATATTGTTTTGATTACTATAACTTTGTAACAGAATTTTAAATCAGGAAGTATGATGCCTCCAATTTGTTTTACTTTCTCAGTATGCTTTGGCTGTTTGTTTTTTTGGTTTTTGGTGTTTTGTTTTGTTTGCTTGTTTTTTCTTTTGCATCTCAACAGATTAAGAAGAGACTAAGTCTCAACAGAGTAAGAACTCTGTGGCCCAGGCTGGAGTACTGTGGCACAATTATGGCTCACTGTAGCCTTGAACTCCTGATAACCCTAGTACTCCTCCCACCTTAGTCTCCCATGTAGCTAGGACTACCACTGTACACCACTACACCCAGCTAAGTTTTTCTATTTTCAGTAGAGATGGGAGTCTCACTATGTTGGCCAGGCTAGTCTCAAACTCCTGGCCTAAAGCAACCCTCCTGTTTCGGCATCCCAAATGCCAGGATTATGGGCATAAGCCACCCCATCTAGCCTATTTTGTTTTTTTATTTGTGGTTCTATGCAAATTTTATTATTGTTTGTTGTATTTCTATGATGAATAGTATTGCAATTTTGATAAGGATTGTGTTAAATATGTACTTTGCTTTGGGTAGTATAGACATTTTAACGATATTAATTGTTTTGGTTCATGAACCCCCTGGTGAAAATATAGATTGGTATGGCCATTATGGAAATCAGTATGGAGGTTACTAAAGAAATTAAAAATAGAACTACCACGTGACCCAGTCATGCCTCTTCTGGGTATATACACAAAGGAAACAAAACACCACCTCACAAAGATACCTGCATTCCCATGTTTATTGCAGCATTATTCATAATATCCAAGATATAGACATAAAATAAGTGTCTTTTGCTGAAAGAATGGATAAAGTAAATGTGTTATACATTTAGAATGGAATAATATTCAACCTTAAAAAAGGAGATTTGTCATTTGCTACAATGTAGATAGGCCTGGAGGGCATTACAGTAAGTAAAAATAAGCCAGACATAGAGAGAAAAATATTAAAGAGTCAAAGTATCAGATATAAGAATTTCCTTTAAAGGCGTTTGCAGATATGAACAGGTGTAGAGATCTAATGTACAAAAGACAAACTATAGTTAATGAAATTTTATTATGTTAGAAATTTTTGATAGATAAGTGGATTTTCGATTTTAGCTGCTTTTGTTGCAAAAAGTAACTGAGAAGATTGATATGGATCCCATAATATTATGCTGTAAATCTCAAATATACACAATCTAATACATTTAAAAATTCCTTTTGGTGAGACTCAAATTTTGTTAGCCCTTTTTTTGTCTTTATTCTTAAGGGAAAATTTTGCTGATATATTATAAAGATATTTTCACTCCTCATGAGGAAATATTTTTCCTTCTGCATCTGGGCTTCCATAAATTGTCGAAAATTCTTCTATCAGTGCTATTTTTCTATGATTCTTAAAGAGTTTCTAACCTTTAAAATATGGAAAGTACCAAGCTAGAGTGGGTACAATACCTAATTTTAAAAATAGCCTAATTCTCAGATATATATATGGGGATATATAAATTAAGTATTCTCAGCAATGTTTTTAATATTCTAAAATCCATCAAACTTGTGCCTCATTTTACAATTTTGCTGTGTTTTCCATCTAAGCTATAGTGAAATTCAAAGTTATAGCAAAGTATTCAAACTAATCAACATTGCTGAAATATTATTTTTTGTCCTTACTCTGGATAATAATAACATATAGTTATAATGCATTTTATTTGCATTATATTTATATTATAACATATATATTATATGTATTATATATATATTATATATAGTATTATATATATTGTATTATGTATATATATTGTATTATATATAATATAATATGTATATTATAAAAATATATTATATATAATATATTGTATATAATTATATATAATATATTATATATATTTATAATTATTTATATTATAACATAAGTCATATATAATTATGACAAGTTGATTACTGAACTTAAAGTATTACAACACATTTTCAGATATATTGTTTTATTTTATTCTGGCAACAGCCCAACGTGCTAGATAGCTATGGTTGATTGTACGCCCAACATGTTCTTCTTACTCTGTGACTTTGACATTTTTCTCATGTAATGGGATCCATGTTCCCTCCTCTTGAATTTGAATGTGCTTATGATTATGGCAGATATGATATCATGTGATTTCTGAGATTAGGCATAAAAGCAATATAGTGTCTGCCTAGTTTTTTTTGGATTCTCATTCTTGGGTCCCAACCACCATGCTATGAGGCAGTCAAGAAGTCACATGGAGAGGCTACATGTAGATATTTCTATTGAGAGTCCAATTAAGATTCCATGCGACAGTCAACATCAACTACCAGATACAAGAGGCAGGGAGCCTGCACATGCTTTCAGCCCAAGCCATTGAGTCACAACCAGCAGTTCATGCTCTGTGAAAGAGAAGAGCTGTTTCCCTTGAACCCTGCCTAAATAGCAAAATTAATATTTATTGTTTCAAGCTACTAAGTTTGAGGTGGTTTGTTATATTGCCATAGATATTTAGAAGAGTCATTATTTTTACCAATTTAAACTCCAGTGACCTGAATTTTAGAAACATAAATTAATTGAGTTTTCTAAGGTCACACAGTAACTAAGTAAAGACACAGGACTCAAACTGAGGTTTTAAACTCTTCAAGATTTATGTATAGCAAAATTGTTTAATTTCATATAGCACCCCAATATGCTGCTATTTTTCCCCAGTTCTCTGATGACAAACCTAGGAAACAGAGAAGTTAACATAATTGTCCAAGCTCACACAGGTAGTTAGTGGCCGTGGTCAAGATTCAAAACTGTAGCCTCTCTCTCTCAAACATCTTCTTTTAACCATTACATGCTCTTGGTTGGCAACCTCTCTCTTTTTCTCTTTTTCTACATCTGTCATCTTCTTTTCAACAGATGTGGAAAATTCTATTCTTAGAATAGAATTGTAAGAATTTGAAGAAAAATTGAGTTATATACTCCAAAAAATTGGCTCAGTGTTCTAAAGAAAAGCCACAGGTTTTCTCTGTAGACAACCCATATACACATATATATGTGCAGATTTTTCAGAGGATTTATAGACCCCCTTGAAACCAGTATATTTAAAGGTAAGTGTTTAGAAACCTTAGAGTCTCTTCTTTACACTATAAGTGGGCCTCAACATTTCCAGTGACTATAGGTAACAGAAGGAAATTTACACTTTAATGAACATAAATAAAGAAATTGATGAGTTATTGTAAGTAAAGTGGTAATAAGATAAAAATCAATTCAGCTTTATTAAGATACATTAGACTGTTCTCCAATCTGTGTAATCATTATAGATTACATTCTCTTATTTACAAGTTTATTTGAAGTATGCCTTTTAGTAATGCTCCTAGCACTAATTCCTTCTTTATATTAAAGAATTAGCATCCAGTGTTAATTATGTATCTATTGATCTAGGCCCTGGGCCAAAGATGGATATTTAGTAGAACTCAAGTAATAAACTTCCTTCTAAGGTATTTAGATATACAATTAGCATATATAGTGTTCCAAAAAATATTTAATTCTGTTATGGTTACAAAAACCCATGTTTGCGAGTAAGGCTACCAGGTTTGAATCTTGGCTGTGTCCAGTTATTACCTGTGCACATTTAGAAAATTTGCTTGACACCTCTAGGGTTGTCATTAGTAGCCCATTATAAGGGTACTAATCCCATTAATAAGGGATGCACCCTTATAATCTATAATTTCCCAAGGCACCACCTCCTAACACTATCACACTGGAGGTGGCATTTCAACATAAATTTGGGGGTGACACAAATATTCAGTCCATGATGTAGGCAAATAAGTTATCAATAAATGATAGCTAAGTCATGTGTGTTTTTTTATCTTGAAATGGGCTTGTAATACATTTACATAATTGTAACTTCATACCGTTTTTCATTTATAAAATAAGTTTTAGTTTCATTTTTTAATGGTAGTCTTCAGTGCAAACTTTAGTGCAGACTTCCATTCTGCTACCCATGAGAACCCTGTATTTTTTTTCCTGTCAGATCCTTTAAGCAAGGAAAAAAGAAATAAAGGTAGATATAAAGGCATTCTTCTTGTGAGTACCACAGGTAAAATTTAATGTAGAACAATCATATCAAAACTTGCAAGAAAACTCAATGTTTTCTAGTTTTGGCTACAACATTTAGACTGACAAATTATAAACTAGCAATAGAAGATCTGCATGGGTATGCTGATAGGCTAAGATGCAAATTGTAGATCTCTAACATATGTTTAAATCCTCTAGTAAATGAAGAATTATTTAGAAACATAAGTATGCATACATAAACACATGCATATTCAGGAAACATTTTATTTTCAACTACCAATTCAATCTGATATGAGTAGGAATATAATTCTAATACCTCGTAGTTAAATTGCATTGCACTTCTTTTTCTCAGGAACTAGGCTAATTCAATCACAGCACATAGATTTGTCATCAGTTTTTAATTTGGTTAATTTCTGTGAGCTGGTGGTTTAGAAAATTTCCCATTTTTCAACTCTAAGACTGTAGGAATAAGGCCATGTGTTATTCTTTCTCTATGTCATTTTCATTTCAATACAGATTTTATAGTTCATTACCTGTCAATCAGTTTTAAATCATGCACTATTCATTTTATCATGTTCTGAAAAACTGTTTTATGTCTCTTTCAATGTCTTACATTCATTCTAGACTGAGCCCTATTTATTTCTCTAAGAGCTGTAGCCATCTGTAGCTGTGCACATTTGAATGGGTATTTATTTTAGCAAATGCAATATTTTGCTTTATATGGTATATTTATTTGGGATATTTATTCAAGCAAGTGAATCCTGAGGAAGCAGCAGTGTGTAAATGCTTTATCTGTGACAAGCCGTTTTATGCCCTATATTTTTATTAATCGCTAACCTTGAGGGATACAATTTCAAATACAGTTGAAAGTCCTGGCACTATTTGTGGCCCAATTCTTCATAATCTAATAAAACATCATTATATAATTAACATTCAAAGCACCAAGACAAACAAACATAAATTTTGAGCCTCTAAGTTTTTCATAAACTGACATGTAAACATGTAACAAAAGGAAAATAATACATTTTTTAAAAATTAGAAGTTATCTTTTTGACACAGGTTTGTTCCTTCTATCTCACTCTTATATATATATTCATTTATACATTTTATTCATTTTATTTTATTCATCTAATGAAGCTTTCTCTTTATGAAATACAAATTAGCTTTATTTCTCATTCTTTAAGAAACATTGAAGAGTCTTTTAGTGTTTAGTGTTATCTTAAAAAGACCTATCATATAGATTAATATATTCATATTCATAATGATGTACAACAATCATATCAAAACTTGCAAGAAAACTCAATGTTTTCTAGTTATGACTACAACATTTAGACTAACAAATTATAAACTAGCAATAGAAGATATATCATTATGAATATGTCACAAGTCAATCCAGAAAAATTAGAAAAATTTTCTTCCGGAAATAATTAAGACATGTATAATTTTTACTTTGACTAGTGCAGAGGTAAATAATTTTTACGAGGAAACTATGTTCTGACTTTTGACCTACTAAATAATATAATAAATAATTTAAGAAGGAGATAGTTACAGCATTTTTTTCTCAAAACATTCCCAAACATATTTTCCATTAGGTTATTTGGAAACTGATTTCAAGTTATAACAATCATTTGTATTGCATGCTGGTAAACTCACTCCCTACAAAAGCAAACAAAACCTTGACTTGTGGCATTGGCTAATTTCCATCATGTAAAGTTAAAAATACTAACATTTAAATGATTAGCTTTTTTGTACTGAAAAGCTAGCTCAGCACATCACTGCTTCCTACTATCTAATCAAACTGTTTTTTTCTGTTTACATTTAAATTAATTTATTCTCCTTACTGATTTCTCAGGAGCAAAATAATATTTTTCTCACTACTCTAGTAATCTGCAGCACTTTCTCTTTACCAAATATTTAATGTTTCTCTCCATAATTCACATAACACATTGTCTCTCATATACCTTTGCACTAGTCAAAGTAAACATATGTGCCATTTTCACTTTGCTTTTTCTCCTGATATATCAAGTTGCTGTTATTCCTTTCTAATCCACTGCTTTCTCTACTTCCAGAGTTCATTTATAGGCTTACTGTTTTCCTGAAATTGTTCCAAATAGCTATGTTTGTTGTACTTACCAAGTCACTTCAGGAATTCCATTCCTCCTTTTTAAAAATTCTTTTAAAATACATAGCACTTTTGTATCTCAGTGCAACTAGTTTATTTTCAAAGCTTTTTCACATGTTATATTAATGTGTAATAAAAATAGAATTTTGTTTGGGGCACATATGTATAGAAAGTATGTTACATGCTTTTATGATATATGCTTATACTTTTATACTTGTATATGTATTATTTTAATCTGTTTTGTGTTCCTCGTTTGATTAAAACTCCTAGAGGCAAGTGTTTCTCAGCTAAAACATTTCCAAGAAAATAGTCTAATGTTGTGTACACCAGAGGATTCTAAGTAATTGTCTGACTTTCTCTAAGTGTATTTTTTTTTCATTTTCTTTATCAAGCTGAATAACGTATGCTGTTCATAAATCTACTTCCTGTTCATAAGCCTACTAGACTTTTTTTAATTCTCTGTTATAACATTTATTTAAGTCCCTAGGAAAATTAATAAAATTTCCAAAGAAAATATCTGATTTTCTTATTTTAGCTTCTTGAAATTCTGAATTTACTGTTTTCCTACCAGTTTATTGTGTATTTTACCTTGATAATAAACAATAAGAAAACAACACCTCACAAAAGACAAGATTAATACCAATGGAACAACTAAACAGTGTTTAAAAAACAGTGTTTAAATAGAATAAAAAAATCTTTTTTTATTCTAAAGCATATGATTAAATAGAATGCATCAAATATATTTTGTGCAGTTTTATCCAAACTAGATTTTTATATTTTTACAAATAAAATATTTTCTCTTTCAAGAAAAGCTCTGGTCTGCAAAAGCAGCTTGAAAAACCACTGGCCCAGAATATCTGATTTGTAGTAGAAGCTAAGAGGCTTGTACAACGCAAATTGGGTAAGCACTAGGAAGCACAGTGTTGATTTAGGAGAAATGTCAAAATTATTTGGAGGCTCTTACCATCAGGGAAATAATAAACACAACCACAGAAACCGAGATGACTACATTCTTCCCATCTTTGAGATGAGTTATTCCACTGGGTCCGTAAGAACCATGTAGAGAGATGCAACAGTGGATTTCAGCACGTGATACTGGAAATGCATCAGGCCAAAAGCTGTAGAGGAAGATCCTGAGATTTAACAGTATGAAGAAACAACCAAGCTGCCAGTTTTTCTCCTCTGAAACAGACCATAGAGCTATAGGGACAAAAGTGTATACAGATCCTGCAGAACTGATTTCAAATTCTGGAACAACCATTTAGTAGCTGTGTGATATAAATAGGGGTGGTAGGTAAAGCGTAGGTTCAGTTTGAATTTCCAGTAACAAATGGAAGATTATTTAATATAAGAATATCCCAAATAATTTTATATTTAAAAAAATCAGCCGGGGGCAGTGGCTCACGCCTGTAATCTCAGCACTTTGGGAGGCCGAGGAGGGCGGATCACGAGGTCAGGAGATCGATTGGTATCTCCTGGCTAACATGGTGAAACCACGTCTGTACTAAAAATATTTTAAAAATTAGCCGGGCGTGGTGGCGGGCGCCTGTAGTCCCAGCTACGCGGGAAGCTGAGGCAGGAGAATGGTGTGAACCCGGGAGGCGGAGCTTGCAGTGAGCCGAGATCAGGCCACTGCACTCCAGCCTGGGCGACAGAGTGAGACTCCGTCTCAAAAAAAAAAAAAATTCATTTCATATCTGAAATTCAAATTTAGCTAGGCATCTTATATTTTTATTTGCTAGGCAAATAAAATATTTAACTTGCTAGGCAGGTTACATAATATCTCTAAGTCTGATTTATGTTATCTATAATAAAGTGCCAATCAATATCAAATGACAAAAGTTATGAGGATAAGTGCATGTAAACATGCAAATACACACACACACAGACTCAAATGATATATAAAAATATTTGGGTGATACCTGATACAAGGGAGTTCTTCTAATTCTTACTTAAACAAGCACTGTTATTGCTCTGTTCTCATAAAAGGACTTTAATTGTCTTCCCTTTACACCCTGATGTTTGTTCTCTGACACTAGTTCTTCACCTTACTTTGCTTGAGATTTAGGCAAATGCTATTACTGTATGGTCAATGGTAGCATTTCTCCAGGCACTATTAAATATCCAGTTCACTTAGTAGTCTTGAGGTAGGTCTTGGTTTCACTTTGAAATCCCTCCCCTTAAGCTTAGTTTTCCCTTAGGTAGAAGCTGGGTATGATGGGCTTCTATTTTTCATCATCTATTTTTTTTCTAGTCATTTTTTTCCAGGTTGCAAAATTGGTGTCTGACAAAACTGAGTTAAGTGAGGGTGGGAGGGAGTTAGAGATGAGACCTAGGAATGTCTGGAAGAAATCAGAGTGGAAGATTTTGAAAGACCTTATTTAACTTATTACTGTCCTGTTGTTATGTCTGTTGTGTGGTCTCTTGCTGATGGTCTGTAAACTTGAATGTGTTTAAGAATATTAATCCTCTTATGAACACTTTCAAAAGCTGTTTTCAACCACTGCACTCAAAAATTTATGTGCCCATTCCAGTGGATCTATTACTATCTCTTCAGTCTCTTATTTTATTTACATATATTATTTTAATGATGAGGCTAAGGTCTCACATGTAAAATTTCATGTTATTAAGGAAAAAACACTTAATAAATTCAAGATCTGATAATTGTTTAATGTGATATGGTATTATAAAAGCATGCATCTTATTTTAAATAACATACTATTTGCTATGTTAGTATATCACCAATAAATATCATTTCATTCATATATAAAAATTCTAAAATAGCACTTTTGTTTCTTAAAGACAAATATTTCTGATAGATTTCACCCATGCTAAAAAGAAAGTAAAATCATAAAGATATGGTTTATTATATAATATTACTTTAATTCAGTGTCAGCTTTCTGACTTTCATTATTCTTAAAAGTAGAAAATTCAACTCCTGTCATATTTTGAGGCATTAAGGTATTTAGTTCTAAATAATAGATAATTTTAATTCATTTAAACAAAGACTGGTAAAAGATGTCTTTGCTTGGGCTACTATAACAAAATACCATAGACTAGGTGGCTTAAGCAATAGATATTTATGTCTTACAGTTCTGGAGGATGTGAAATCCAAGATCAAAGCACCTGTGAATCTGACTTCTGGTGAGAGCTTTCTTCCTACCACAGAGGTAGCTGGCTTCTCACTATATCCTCAACATGGTGGAGGGAGAGAAAAATAGAGCTCTGGTCTCTCCTTCTCTTACACAGTTGTGAATCTCATCATGGAGGTCTTACCCTCATGACCACATTTAAACCTAATGATCTCCCAAAGATCTCACCTCCAAATACCATCACACTGGGGAGGGGGGGGTAGGTCTTCAACGTATGAATTTGTGAGAAACATTTAGTCCATAACCAAAGGGATGTTTTACTCAATGACACTACATGAATAAAGGAATCCTGAATTTTTAGTTTGATCTGTTCTTACAATCCAAGTCACATAGGATATCTGCTAGAAAAGTGAGTGGTTTAGAGTTTACCTTTTCCTTTACTGCAGGCCTCTTGCAAAAAGAAGAATAATAGGGTTCATTAAATATTTTCTGGCTAATGAAGGCATATAAGCATGAAAATGTGAATGGATGAATAAAAGGATGGATGATTCAGCCATTTAGGCTTAAAGTTAAATAGAAATAAATCAACCACAACTGATTTTAAAATAATTATAAAAAGGTTTCTATTTACTTGTAAAAACATTTTAATTAACGTTATATAATATTTGTATATGTATATATATTTTTGCCACATCTCTGCAAATATTGTCTTTTACTTAGGTATTTATGCAGTTTGTTTTTCCTCTCAGGTAAATTAGTTTCCTTTGACCTCAATACTAAAACTTATCTTGTTGACATCCTCCTACACTTTAACTTGTTAGGTTATTAAAATTTTATCCTATTCTCTAAGGTGCCAACAATCTCATCCAAATTAATGTTGTCAGTAATTTAATGAATAAGCTTTCTGCTCTACAATCCCCAAACTCTGAATACATTTCTCACAGCAAACATCTACCTGAATGGCAGTAAAATGACCTCTAATCAATTGTTTTAATGACAGTGTGGAGTCAACACCTGTATTTCAAATTGCCAGGTTATTTTCTCTAATAGATGAAACAAATATAAGTTGGACATAGCCCAATCTCACTCTAATGCCTCTTATTGTGTGATGTCTCTTGTTTACAACCAATACATTATTAGTTAATGCAGAAACAGCATTTGAGACTGTCCCTTATTCACTTAGCAGATGTACTCACAGGATGTTTCAGGCACTTAAAAAACAGATACAATCAGCCTTAATTCCAAAGCTGTATTAAAAAATAATATTACAAATAACTTACCTTGCATTAACATAGAATCACTCAACCTTAGAAGTATTCCAGAATCACTTTATATTTTGAAAGGTAATAAAAATTTGTGTACAAATTAGGAAGTTGAGGCTTGACCATGCTTTATTAAGCTTACTATTCTGAAACTGGAAAATAATTTTGTAAAAACACAGAAGGATAAATTTTGATGCTGCAAGACTGATAAAAAAATACAATTATATAATAAGATTTCTTTAGAGTCCTTAAAAAACAATATGACACTGAAGAACATTTTTTAAAGAAATGTTATTAGACTAATGAAAAAGGAAGAATTTGTACTTCTGTAAATTTAAAACATTAAAAAATTATACCATGAATAAAGATGCACATGAATAAAGCCAGTTTATAAGTAATCTTGCATTCATGAGATTAGGATCAATGACCTCTAATGTTTCAACTAAAGCTAGTATTTATGATTATTTCAACAGCTTAGTTAGTTGAAATAATTACCATAAACATTGTGAATTGCTGAAAGATTTTTAAAAAATTATTTCTTCCCATTTCCTACTGGATCTTTGAAAGAAGACCAGAAAAGATAATTTAAAATAATTGAACATCTAAAAACCTTCCTATTGTAACTTTTATGAGTCTACTTATATTTGTTTTGAAAGTCAATCAATCATTCTACAAATATTCACTATCTGCTTACTTGAGCTTTGCCAGAGTATAATTGGAAACAAACATAACCAGGTACTGCATAATGAGTGGGAAATGGAAAATGATCAAAGTTGCAAAGCCTGATTTATATATTTATGAAGCTTAAAATCAAGTTAATTGAGATAAAAGTTTGAAGTAATTATAAAACAATTAGGAGAAGAACTCTTAAGACTCTAGTTCATGTGAAGGATAATATCCTGTAGTTAGCTGGATACAGATGGAGTAGGGAGGCTCACTGCCTTGGTTCACCTTCTGGCTTATCTGCTTACTGGCTGTGTGATGATCTTGGATCAATTTACTTAGCTTCTCTGTGACTCAATACATCTTACCAAGTTGTAGAGTACTCAGGCCAGTGATCCATGTCGTGATCTTAAAGTGTGTGTTCCTGTTGTTGGGCATGAAATCTTACAGTTTGTTTTTTAATAGTGGTTTAAACTAAAGATTGGGAGTGAAAATATTCAGTCTCTGAAAAGTTATTTGTAACTCGAGTGAAGCATTTCGTTTAGAATATGAATTTGATTTGTTAGAAAAACTGAAATGCTAGATGTATAAGAGGGAAAGAGTGAGAGTGAGAGACTGGCATATTGCTTTCATTATACTGATATTTTAAATTGTAGTAAGAACGCTAAACTCATTGATATCTACTCTCAACACATTTTTAAGTGTACAGTACAGTGTTATTAATTATAGATTTGAAGTACTCATTAATTTTTAAAGTATTCAAAACACTTTGAAAAACTAAGTTATTTCTAAAGAAATAAAAATAACCCATATCTGTATACATTAAGGCAAAATAAAAAATAAATTTTTATATTGTTTTTCTGAACATAGGCAGAATAATTATATCTGGGACATATTCGAGTCTTAATAAGTTTCTTAGTCACATCTGTCTCTAGCACCATGCCACTGGTATTTTTCTGAAAAAATGTATTTTTAAAAAATATGGACACATTATTTTTGTTTCAGATAAAAATTTCTGCAACTTTTCAAAATTGTATTCTATGATTAATAGATTTAAAATTTGAAATTTCTAACACCTTCAACTGATCTTTCTTGAAAGACTGTAATATTTTGAGATAACATTTTCTCTCATTGCTGAAGAAATTCAGCTAAATGGGAAATATTTTAATCCTACATGTATTACTAAATTTTATCAATATTTCAGCACAATTATGTTTAAAAATATCTATTACAAATAAAATGGTTTAAATATACTGTCTCTATTAGTAGGACTTTTAAATGCTACAAAATATATAGATGCTATAAAATTAGTTTTTTTTTCCATTGTTTTCTATCGTGATACAGTTACAAATTTATCCAATAAAAAACAGCAGTTCCTTGTTACTGTAGGTTGAAATATTAAAACTAGCGACAGGCGTGGTGGTTCACGCCTGTAATCCCAGCACTTTGGGAGGCCGAGGCGGGTGGATCATGAGGTCAGGAGATCGAGACCATCCTGGCTAACACGATGAAACCCCATCTCTACTAAAAATACAAAAAATTAGGGGGACGTGGTGGCGGGCGCCTGCAATCGCGGTTACTCACGAGGCTGAGGCAGGAGAATGGCGTGAACCCGGGAGGCGGAGCTTGCAGTGAGCCGAGATCGATCGTGCCACTGCACTCCAGCCTGGGCGACAGAGCGAGACTCCATCTCAAAAAAAAAAAAAAAGAAAAAGAAAAGAAATATTAAAACTTAATTACAGAGTTTCAATTGAAATCATGTACATTGTATACATTCTCATTATTAATTCTTTCAGTTTCATCCTTGCTTTAAAAGAATAAATTTCTATAACTTCTAGGAAGACTTTGTTTTAAATAATTACAATTTAGTAAAAGATTCAAAATCTGAAGTTTTGGGGCCTCTTTTCGTTGATTACTTTGATTAAGCATTTCCAACTGATTATAAATAAGAGGTAATCAACCCTAGTGAACTCTTAAATATTTAGTACCATTGTTATGGAACTGCTGATTTAGAAAGTAGTGCTTCAAAGACTTGAAACATTTCTAAAACCCCTCAGTGATAAGCAGCAAATAAAGAAAGCACTTGTCATGTCATTCTTTGTTAAAATTTAATATTAGGTTTTTCACACTTAATTTTCCAGTTTAATTACTCTGTAATTATACTTTTAAAAAGTCCAGGCTTCACAACTATGCAACATATGCATGTAACAAAACTTCCCTTGTGCCTTTACATTTACAGAAATAAAAAAAAAAAAGAAAAAAATTCAAATGTACAAAAAAACATAAATTTTCAAAAATTCAGCTTCTATTTAGATTGGTAGGCTATTCCAAGTTAGATTGTTGCAGTCATATATTATATATACCCCATGGCCAATTCCAACTACATTTCTTAACGACTTTCATCTAAATTAGTTAAAAAAAGTTATATGAAAATAAGCTCCACCAAAATATGTGTTAATAATGCATAAATCTATCTTCAGTACAATTGGATTTGGAACATTGACCTAATGTCAGAAATTTTACCTTTGAAATATTGAACTTTGAAAAGCATTATTTGTTTCTATAAATTGGATGAGAAAAATAAAATCTTTATCAAATTAACTTCACTGATTTTCTTTTTTATCTTACTTTTAATTTTGTGGATACATAGTATATGTATATATTTATGGAGTACATGAGATATTTTGATACAGCCATATAATGCACAATAATCATATCTGGGTAAATGGGGTATCCATCACCTCAAGCATGTATCCTTTCTTTGTGTTACAACAATCCTATTATACACTTTTGATTATTTTAAAATATATACTAAGTTATTGTTGACTGTAGTCACCTTGTTGTGCTTTAAAATGCTAGATCTTATTCATTCTAACTATATTTTTATACCCATTAACCATCCCCACTTTCCCTCGCTCACTTCTTTTTTTTTTTTTTTTTTTTGAGACGGAGTCTCGCTCTGTCGCCCAGGCTGGAGTGCAGTGGCGGGATCTCGGCTCACTGCAAGCTCCGCCTCCCGGGTTCACGCCATTCTCCTGCCTCAGCCTCCCAAGTAGCTGGGACTACAGGCGCCCGCCACTACGCCCGGCTAATTTTTTGTATTTTTAGTAGAGACGGGGTTTCACCGTTTTAGCCGGGATGGTCTCGATCTCCTGACCTCGTGATCCGCCCGCCTCGGCCTCCCAAAGTGCTGGGATTACAGGCGTGAGCCACCGCGCCCGGCCTCCCTCGCTCACTTCTGCATCCTCACTACCTTTCCCAGTCTCTGACAACTGTCATTCTACTCTCTAGCTCTATGAGTTCAATTGTTTTAATTTTTAATTCCTGCAAATAAGTGAGAACATGTGAAGTTTGTCTTTCTTTGCCTAGCTTATTTCACTTGGCATAATGTTCTCCAGTTACATCATTCTGTTGCAAATGACAGGATTTTATTTTTATGGCTAAATAGTACTCCATCGTATATATACTACATTTTCTTTACCTGTTCATCTGTTGATGGACACTTAGGTTGCTTCCAAATCTTGGCTATTGTGAATAGTGCTGCAATAAACATGAGAGTGCAGATATCTCTTCGATATACTTGTTTGCTTTCATTGGGATTTCAGTGGGATTGCTGTATCATATAATAGTTCTATTTTTAGTTTTTTAGGAACCTCCAAACTGTTCTCCATAGTGGCTGTACTAATTTACATGCTCACCAACAATGCAAGAGGGTTCCCTCCTCTCCACATCTTTGCCAACATTCGTTATTGCTGGTCTTTTGGATAAAAGCCATTTTAACTGGAGTGAGATGATATCTCTTTATAGTTTTGATTTGCATTTCTCTGATGGTCATTGATGTTGAGAACATTTTCATACACCTTTTTGTGAGTTGTACATCTTCTTTGAGGAAACAGCTATTCAGATGTTTTGTCCATTTTTCAATCAAATTATTCTATTTTTTTCCTATAGAGTTGGTTGAGTTCCTTATGTATTCCAATTATTAATCCTTTGGATGGATAGTTTTCAAATATTTTCTCCCATTCTGTGAGTTGTCTCTTCACTTTGTTGATTTTATCCTTTGCTATGCAGAAGCATTTCAACTTGATGTGATCCCATATGTCCATGTTTACTTTGGTTGCCTGTACATATGGGATATTACTCAAGAAATCTTTGCCCAACGTAATGACCTGGAGAGTTTTCCTAATATTTTCTTGTAGTAATTTCATAATTTGAGGTCTTGGATTTAAGTCTTTAATTCATTTTTTATTTGATTTTTGTATATGACAAGAGATAGGGATCTAGTTTTATTCTTCTGAATATGGATATTTAGTTTTCCCAGCACCATTTAATGGAGAGACTGTCTTTTCTTCAATGTATGTTCTTGGCGCCACTGCCAAAAATGAGTTCACTGTAGACATATGGATTTATTTCTAGGGTCTCTATTCTATTCCATTGGTCTAAATATCTATTTTTATACAAGCACTATGCCGTTTGGCTTACTGTAGCTTTGTAGCATAATCTGAAGTCTGGTAACGTGATTCCTCCAGTTGTATTCTTTTTGCTCAGGATAGCTATGGCCATTCTGGGTATTTTGTGGTTCTTTATAAATTTTAGGATTTTTTTTCCATTTATGTAAATAACATCATTAGTATTTTCATGAGGATTGCATTGAATTTGTAGATTGCTTTGGGTAGTAGAGACATTTGAACAATATTGATTATTCCAATCCATGAACATGAAATATATTTTCTTTTTTGCTGTCCTCTTCAATTTATTTTATCAACATTTTATACTTTTCATTATAAAGGTCTTTCACTTCTTTAACTTTATTTCTGGGATTTTATTGTAGTTTTAGCTATTGTAATTGGGATTACTTTGTTAATTTCTTTTCCAGATTGTTCATTGTTGGCATACAAAAATGCTACTAATGTTTGTATGTTGATTTTGTATCATGCAAATCTACTGAATATGTTTATCAGTTCTAATAGATTTTTGGTCAAGTCTTCAGGTTTTTCCAAATATAAGAATCATATCATCTGCAAACAAGGATAATTTGACTTCTTCCTTTCCAATTTGGGTGCCATTTATTTCATTCTCTTGTCTCACTGTTCTAGCTAGGACTTCCAGTACTATGTTGAATAAGAGTAGTGGAAGTGGGGATCTTTGTCTTGTTCCAGATCTTAGAGGAAAGGCTTTCATTTATTTTTTCCTGTTCAATATATTAGCTGTGAGTCTGTTGTATATGGCTTTTATTGTGTTGAAGTATGTTCCTTCTATATCCAGTTTTTCTGGGTTTTTAATCATAATGAAATGATGAATTTTATCAACTGCCTTTTTAGCATCAATGGAAATGATCACAGGGTTTTGGCTTTCATTCTGATATGATGTATTACATTGATTGATTTGTGTATGCTAAACTATCCTTGCATTCCTGGGATAAATCTCACTTGGTCGTGATGAATAATGTTTTTCTGTGTGTTGCTGAATTGGGTTTGCTAGTATTTTCTTGAGGGTTTTTGCATCAGTGTTCACCAGGGACATTGGCTTGCAGTTTTATTTTTTGTTTGTTTGTTTGTTTGTTCATTCATTTTTCTTTTTTGATGTGTCTTTGTTTTGTTTTGGTATCAGGGTAATACTGGCTGCATAGAATGAGTTTAGAAGTATTCCCTAATCCTCTATTTATTGAAATAGTTTGAGTAGGTTGCTATTAATTCTTCTTTTAATATTTGCTAAAATTCAGCAGTGAAAAAAATTAGGTTGTGGACTTTTCTGGGAGGTTTTTTGTTCATTACAGCTTCAAACTCACTACTTGTTATTGATCTGTTAATGTATTGAATTACTTCATGGTTCAATCTGGGTAGGTTGCATGTTTAGAGGGATTTGTACATTTCTTTTAGGTTTTCCACTTTATTGGCATATAGTTGTTCATAGTAGACTCTAATGATCTTTTACATTTCTTTGATATTAGTTATAATGTCTAATTTTTTAATCTCTGATTTTGTTTATTTTTGTCTTCTCTCTTTCTTTCAGAGTTAGTCTGGCTAAAGGCTTGACAATTTTGTTTATCTTTTCAAAAATCCACCTTTTTATTTCATTGATCTTTAGTATTCTTTTCATTTCAATTTTATTTATTTCTTCTCCTATCTTCATTATTTCTTTTCTTCTACTAATTATGGGTTTAGTTTGCTCTTGCTTTTGTAGTTTTTAAGACACATTTTAGCTTGTTTATTTGAAGTTTCATTACCTTTTTGATGTAGGTGCATACTGGTATAACTTTCCTCTTAGTATTGCTACTGTTGTATCCTATAGGTTTATGCATGTTGTGTTTCCACTTTTATTTAAGAGATTTTAAAATTTCATTTTTAATTGCTTCATTAACCTGCTGGTTATTCAGAAGGATATTGTTCAATTTCCATAGGTTTACATAGTTTTTAGATTTCTTCTCATTATTGATTTCTAGTTTCATTCCATTGTAGTCAGAGAAGATACTTCATATAATTTAAATGGTTTTTAAATGTTTTAAGATGTATTTTGTGACCTAACATATGGCCTATCCTGGAAAAGCATCCATGTGCTGAGAAGAATGCGTATGCCACAGACATTGGATGAAATGTTCTTTAAAATATCTATTAGGTACATCTGTTCTACAATGCAGATTAAGTCCAATGTTCCCTTGTTGATTTTCTGTCTAATGATCTGTCCAATGTTGAAGGTAGGAGGTTGAAAGTCTTGATATATAATTGTATTGTTGTCTGTATCTCTCTTTAGCTCTAATAATATTTGCTTTGTATATCTGAGTGGTCCAACATTGGGTGCATATATATTTATAATTGTTACATCTTCTTGCTAAATTGACACCTTTATCATTATATGATGACCTTCTTTGTCTCTTTTTATAGTTTTTGTTTTGAAATCTATTGTGTCTGAAAAAAGTATAGCTACCTCTTCTTTCTTTTATTTCTATTTGCATTGCATATCTTTTTCCATCCCTTTATTTTCAATCTATTTGTCTTTGTAGGTGAAGTGTGTTTCTTGTAGGAAAAAGATCATTGGGTCTGATTTGTTTTTCCATTCAGCTTTTGATTGGAGAGTTTAGTCCATTTACATTCAATGCTATTATTGAAAAGTAAGGACTCACTCCTGCCATTTTGTTATTTGTTTTCTGGTTATTTCTTCTGTGTTTGCTTACTTCCTGTCCCTCTTTTAGTGAAACTGACTTTTCTAGTGGCATGTTTTAATTTATGCCTTTTTGGTTTTTGTGTGTCTGTTGTAGTTTTTTTATTTGAGGTTACCATGGGTCTTGCAAATAATATCTTGTAATACATTACTTAAAACAGATGACAACGCTGATTGCATAAACTTATAAACAAACTAACAAAGAAGCAACAAAGTAATAAAAACTCTACATTTTAACTTCATCTCCCCAATTTTTAACTTTTTGTTGTTTCCATTTATATTTTATTGAACTATGTCTTAAAAAGTTGTTGTAGCTGTTATTTTGATAGGTAATTATATATTCCTTCTACTATAGATGAGTAGTTTACATACCATAACCACAGTAATTTAATATTTTGTGTTTTTCTGTGTACTATTACCAATGAGTTTTCTACCTTCAGATTATTTCTTATTGCCTATTAACATCACTTTCTTTCAGAATGAAGAACTCCCTTTAGCATTTCTCATAGGACAGGCATGGTGTTGATTAAATCCTTAACATTTGTTTGTATGGAAAAGTCTCTATTTCTCATTCATGTCTGAAGGATATTTTCACTAGATATTCTATTCTAGGATTAAAGGATTTTTTTTTCTTCAGCACTTTAAATATATCATGCGATTCTCTCCTAGCCTATAAATTTTCTACTGTGAAGTCTGCTGTCAGACACATTGGAGCTGTTTTGTATATAATTTGTTTATTTTCTATTGTTGCTTTTAAGATCGTTTTGTTATCTTTGATGGTTAGGAATTTGATTATTATATACCTTGAGGTAGTCTTATCTGGGTTAAATCTGTTTGGTGCTCTATAACATTCTTGTACTTGAATATTGATATCTTACTCTAGGTTTGAGATATTTACTGTTATTATCCCATTGAATAAGCTTTATGCCCCAATATCTCTCTACCTCCTCTTTAATAAAGGCCAATAACTCTTAGATTTGCCCTTTTGAGGATACTTTCTAGATCCCGTATGTGTTCTTCATTCTTTTTTCTTTTGTTTCCTCTGACTGTGTATTTTCAAATAGCCTATCTTCAAGCTCATTATTTTTTCTTCTGCTTGATCAATTCTGCTGATCTTTTTCCTACAAGAAACACACTTCACCTACAAAGTCTCTGATGAATTCTTCAGTATGTCAATTGCATTTTCAGCTCCAGGATATCTGTTTGATTCTTTTTAAGCATTTTAAGTTCTTAGTTAAATTTATCTGATAGAATTCTGAATTCCTACTCTGTGTTATCTCGAATTTTAATGAGTTTCCTCAAGACAGAGATTGTGAATTATCTCCCTGAAAGTTTACATACATCTGTTTTTTTGGAGGCTTGGCAACTGGTGCCTTAAATAAGTTAAAAAAAAAAGCAAACTAAATAATTTGGTGAGGACACGTTCCTAGATGGTCTTCTTGCTTGTTGTTCATTGATGTCTGGGAATTGAATAGTTAGTTATTTATTGCAATCTTTGCAGTCTGGGCTTGTTTGCGCCTGTTCTTCTCAGGAAGGCTTTCCAGTATTCAAAGGGACTTAAGTGTTGTTATCTAAGTTGTTGGTCACTGCAGCCATATCTGCATTAGGGAGAACCCCAAATTCATTAATGCTGTGACTTTTCCAGACTTGTAGAGTTACCACCTTGGTAGTCTTGGGTAAGATCCAGAAAACTTCCTTGGATGACCAGGCAGAGATGCTTGTTCTCTTCTCTTATTATACCTCAAATAAATGGATTCTCTCCCTCTGTGCTGAGCTGCATGGAACTGAGGAAGACTTGACATAAGCACCTTTGTGGCCATCACCTCTGAGACTGTGGGTCAGACCAAAAGCCAGCACAGCACTGGGTCTCATTGAAGGTCTACTGTGACCACTGTTTGGCTACTGCCTATGTTCACTTAAAGCTCAAGGGCTCTATAATTAGCAGATGAAAAATCCAACCAGGCGAATGTCCTTCCCTACAGGGCAGCACATTGCCCCCAGCTCTCAGCTGGTCTAGAGATGCTATCCAGTAGCCATGATCTGGAGTTGAGAACCCTAGGAATCTACCTGGTGCTCTATTCTACTGTGGCTGAGCTGGCACCCAAGCCACAGAAAAAAGTCCTTGCCACTCTTCCCTCTCTTTTACTGAAGGAGGGGTGTCTCTCCCTGTAGTTATACTGGCCCAGGCCCATGAGAACTACTGCCTGGCAACCACCAATATTGACGCTAGGGCCAAAGGCTCTTCAGTCAGCTTTTGATGAATGCTGCCAGGCCTGGGTCTCTCCCTTCAAGGCAGTGGGCTTCCTTGTGGCTCAGGGTCCAATTCTTGGAATCAGGGACCCCAGGAGCTTGCTTGGTGCACTACCCCACTGTGGCTGAGCTGGTACCTAAACTGTAAGAGAAATACCCCTTTTTTCTTCCCTCTTCTTTCCTCAAGCAGGAGTCTCTCTCTCTGGCTACCACAGCTGGGAGGATGCTGGGTCACACCAGAAGCCAGCAAGACTCTGAGTCTCAGTAAGGGCCCATAGTGAGTACTGCCTAAGACTGTTCATTATTCAGGGCTCAAGAGCTCTTTAGTAAGTAAGGAGGCAACAAATCCTGCCAGGACTGGGTCCTTCTCTTCAAGGTAGGGGTTCCCTTCTGACCCAGGATGTGTCTAGAAATGTCATCTGGGAGCTAGGACCTGGAATGGGGGCCTCTGAACTGTGCCTGGTGCCCTATTCTACTGGGACTGAGCTGGTATCCAAGTTGCTGCACTGTCCATTGTTGGATGAGGTGTGACACAAGCACTCCCTCAGCCGCTGAGGATGGTGTGTTACTAGATCATATGCATCCTAAGTCCAGTGGCTCTAAGTCCAGCACAACATGAGGATTTGCTCAGGAATTGCAGTCCCTGTGGCCTGCCTTAAAGTTTATTTAGGACCCAAGAGCCCTTTAGCTTATGGTGGTGGAGCTTGCCAGAATTTGGGTTCTGAACCCTGGAACAAACAATTTGCCTCTGGCTAGGGCTGGTCTAAATGTAGCCTCCATGGGCATAGACTGAGTTCTGCCACCACATTCCTTTCTACTGTGACAGGGCAGCACTGAGTTTGTATGCGAATTCCCACAATCACTGTATTATCTCACCTCCAAGCATACAGATTATCTCTCCACACCACACGGCTGCTGTTGGGTATGGGGGGGAAGGGGAGAGAGGTGGTTTAGGTGATTCAAAACTGTTTTTCCTACCCACTTCAGTGTCTCTTTTCTAAATATGATATTAAAACCAGGCACTGCGATCACTCACCTGACTTATTCTTCTTATAAAGGCACTTTTTGTGTGGATAGTTGCTCGATTTGGTGTTACTATGAAGGGCACAATTGCTGGTTTGTTTTCTTCAGCCATATTGCCCCACTGCCCTCTTGCTTTTCTATTTAAATATCTAATGACACTGACATAAAATTGTTTTTCAAGTTCTTTAGAAAATTTTAGTTATGACCTTCTTTATTCTTTAGAAAATGCTCCAATACACATGTACACACTAAGGAATTTAATGTTTTCATAATTATTTCTATGTTCAGGCCTGAATATTTTGAGATGGTATGAAATTTAAATGCTTGCAGATTAAAGCCCACTTACAGTGGTATCAAGCAGGGAGTGTTCTCTTTCTGAGTGCTGATTACTGAGAGTTACTTGGAACAACATTGGCTGAAAGCCCACTTATCTGCTTGTGGAAACCTCCCCATATATGAGGAAATGAAAAAAGCATTAATAAAATTTGGTTTTATTTTCCTTTTACAGAAATTGGAGGGTAGAATTTCCATGGTAAAATAATTAGTTCCCACCTTTTTTTGAAGCTATATATATCCTTATACATGTAATCTTAAATTTATTCTTCCTGGAAGATAGACACTGAAAAATACTTCCTTATTTAGTTTCACAGTGTCACCGACTGTCATCTAATCATTTTCATATATTTCTCTGAAAAAAGAAAACACATTTAATTGTTAAAACAACCAGAAACCTATAATCAATTTCAAACGGTAGGTAATTTAGTTCAACTTTGATTTCTGAATGGCAGCCTTATTTTGTCTTTCTGCTCTTCTCTCCCCTTTGGGTTGTCAATTCATTCTTCTTCTTTTGTGATAATTTTAAATGAAGCATGGAATCATCTGTGACATATTTCACATGAAAACTCTGTGAAATAGTTCATTTTCCTGCATCCTTACAGAGCCAAATTACTTATTTTAGGTATGAATTAGCATCTACCTCCTTCTATCCTGTCTGGGTCAGTGCTTCTTGGTCTTTTGCTTTGCCTGTTCATTTTGGTGTTGTAGACGGAATTTAAGATTTTCTATAGCATCTGTTTTCTCAGAACTCTTAGGCTAACTATTTGCGTAGAGTTTTGCTTAGGTGGGCACTATCTTTCATTCTCCTAATCTATATATTGATAGGAGTTAGATTAGTTGAATCTTAGGTCCTATATACATAAAAAATAAGAAAATAAAGAAACAATAAATAAGGAAGGGAAACAAAAAGAGAAAAAAGGATAGTAAAAAATAAACAAAAATGTGTAAATGTGTATTCTGAAATACTAAAATGGAAATCTGTAATACATTTAACAGAGCAGCACTAATCTTGGGCCCAGGCAAGGTTGTGCCCTCTCCCTCATTCAGAGTGTCTTCTTAAAATTTTTCATCCCGGCTATCAGGTCCCAAGTACCACTTAAAAAGAGTGCCCAAAGGTCAAACCTGATTGTTACTGGGTGCTGGATTCTTACTGGTTGATGAAAATGCCAACCTAGAAATTATTTAACTTCCCAACTAACTTCTGGGAACTCTGGTTCATCTGTGACATCTGGGTAGAATGCTTTAAACTGCATTGAGTTCTGTGTGAACCTATTTCTCCCTTTCAGGGCACTCTGTGACTCTCTACATTCTTTCCTAACCAGCCTGCACATGCCTGCTGTTGACCTGATACACTGAGGAGTTCCAGGTCTAGTGCTCATAAAGATGTCACAGGCCCTGAAGCTGAGCCCTTTTCCAGGAGCAAGCCTAGGGAGGATCATGCCTGCTAGAGGGAGCCTTTTTTTTTTCACTCTCAGAATGGTGTCAATCACTTGATTTAGGGTCTCTCATTCTCACTGGACTCACAATGAGTAAAGATGAGTCTTACTTTCCATATTTTGCCACCAATAACCAACAATAATTGGTCTTTTGCCTCTCAGTGCCTCTGAAGTTACCTTAGGTCTACAGCACCAATAGGTGGAAATTTTTTACCGTGTGTCTCCAGACACTGACACCAGGATTTTCTTCCCATCTCCTTTACAGGATCCACACCATGTGTCAGGCACTCTTCTGGAGTGGCTGTTACTCTTTCTATGGTTTATAAGATATTCACTTCACGATGCCAATGGACTCTTCCCATACATTTTATCTCTTGCTTCTCTGCTATGTGGTAACATCGTGCTCTCTTGGGTGAGAAACATTCTTTTGGCAAATTGGGCTGTTCTTTTGATTCAACTTATGGGCCTCTTTCTTATTCTCTCTGCTAGTGGTGGTAAAAAGGTGGAGTTACCACTGGAGATTATGTTCCAGGGTGAAGTGATTGCAGTCTAAAATGTTCAAGAGAATAAGATATAGTTGGAGGATGTGTTATACTATGTTTACACTACAGAATTCCCAATAACAAATTTAACATAATAATAAAATGAATTACAATTTACATTTTTTTCTGCAAAATCTGGGTAAGACTTGCATTTTTTTGTTATCATCAGCTGTCTGTCAATGGACAGTTACCACTTTGGAGAGTCATTGAAATCCATTATTACTGGCAGCATAATAAATGAAGCAGTCATAAGAAATGATACTAAATAAATCATATTAGGGAAATACTGACATATAGAAATGTATATTATTTCAATATAAACAGATTCCAAAGAGTCACATCATTGTGGACAATAGCATCATTATTACCTTTTTCTTATAATAAAGACACGAAATTAGACAGAAATGATGCACTTGTCAGTAAAGTAGGTAAAGAGATGGTTGTTCCTAGGTATTAAGGTGAAGAGATGGGGCCCAGACAGCATAAAGGACCTTCATGTGTAATAAGGCAAAAAAGCAAACGGGCAGTTATCTCTTTCCTACCAATTATTTTTCCATCATTCTAAATTCTCATTGATAAATTACTGCATGTAGCCCCATGAACTTTGAAATATTTTTTAAAATTAAATTGTATATATTGACAGGGGCCTCACAGAGTGAGTTTTATCCACTATGTATACCATACAATTCAATTGATCTACCTTTAATAATGCATTTTTTTTTGTTTATTTGTTTTTTGGTTTGGTTTGGTTTAGGTTTTGGTTTGACGATAGGCTGAAATTCTAGTAATTCAAAGTTGTATTTAATATGTTTCTAGGCATTGCAGAACATCTTTCTTCTTGAGAAGGGTCACATTGGATCTTATTACAATATCCTTCTTAGGCATCAAGGTCATTTTTATACTTACTATTGGAAGAAAGTGAACTTGGAATTGCATTAGAAATTTCTGAGTTCACTTACTTCTGCAGATCTAGAACAATGTCAACATGCACTCGGAACTCAGCAAATGTTCACTGATGATATTGTGAACAAATTTAAAAAACACTGAACATAAATAATGGAAGAATTGTGTCTTTTTTATAATATAATGTTTATGATGCCTGATTATTTTTATAATGCATTGGGTTCAATAAAATCAGAACAAGAATGTATTATTTCAGTGCAAGGATTTAGTTATATTACTTGCAGTCAATAGTATTCCTGTTCTTCTAATGTGCAGAGACTTCCTGCTGAGGGGATTCTGGCTAAGCACAAACTCTTATTTTCTTATTTGCTTGTGTTTATTTTACCATTAATGAAAGACATATTTTAAAACACATTTTTTACTCAGGCGCTGTCAAAGAGAAAGAGGGATAGAAGGAAATCAGGGGGAGGGTGTAGAGATTCTACAGGAGGCTGGTTGTCTATGCTTGCAATATGAACAGAAACCAAGAGAGGTTCTAGTGTTTGGCATTATGAATTACAGACTTTTAATTTTTCACATGCATGGGTCCTTTCAGAGGAACCATCTGGCTCAATGCTGGCTGTTGGTGCTGTGCAGAATCTCAATTGAGTATGTTGCATTTATCTGACAACCCATAGTTGCCTCTATTTTGTGTGTCAGTAACTCAAACTACAAACACTTGTAGTGGACATATGATTTACAAAGTTGATCATACTCCTATTCTCTGAAAGTATCCATGGGTAGTTAAAAGTACGCTAGGATCTCCCAAGTTTTCAAGCTTTCATTATGGAAAGCAATGAAAAATGGGTGGCTGGAATTATTCTACTGAGATCACACAAAGAAGAATCATCCATAAATAAAGATCTGGGGGCTGGGCGTGGTGGCTCACGCCTGTAATCCCAACACTTTGGGAGGCCGAGGCGGGAAGATCACGAGGTCAGGAGATCGAGACCATCCTGGCTAATACAGTGAAACCCCGTCTCTACTAAAAAATACAAGAAATTAGCTGGGCATGGTGGTGGGTGCCTGTAGTCCCAGCTACTTGGGAGGCTGAGGCAGGAGAATGGCGTGAACCCAGGAGGCAGAGCTTGCATTGGGCCCAGATCGTGCCACTGCACTCCAGCCTGGGCAACAAGGCAAGACTCCATCTCAAAAAATAATAATAAAATAAAATAAAGATCTGGGAACTGAGAAGTTGGGAGTAGGGGAAGGGGATGGGTTTTAGCCAGTCAAAAATATGACAGATATAAGACATAGAAGGCAAGTTAGTCTAATTAAACACTGTATTTAATTTTAGGATGCTTGAGTCCTACACTGCATTCTACCACTGATTGGAATATTATTTCATTTTCTAAATCTCAGTTTTCTAATACTTGAAAAGAAGGAAAAGAAAAGCAGGTAGGAAGTTTGAATTAGATGCTATCAATAATAAATTCCACTTCTAAAATGGATTCAGTTTTATGTAATCTTTTCACCTGATATTTTCCAAACCCATTTTTGTTTATCACTTAATGTCAACAAAAAGAGTGGGAGGTTCTAAGATTAAATTTATTTAGAACAAAAGCACATCAATGCAACTTTAATTAAAGGTGAGATCTTGTTTGCACATGCTAATGTGAACAAACAGTGAAAGATTTCTGCGGCCAAGCTACAAGATGTTGTTTTACATAAAGGGAAAAATTCTTTTTAAAAAATCCATCAAGGACTGTTCATTTAATCTCTGTTATTTGAAAAAGTCAAGGAATTTTGGAGCTGTCAGAAAGTTTATGATAGTGGCAAGCACTGTATTCTTGAATAGCCATTGCAAACTTTCTGAGTTTTGCTTATATTTATAGTACAATTATAGTAAATTGTATTTAGAAATATGTTGATGTAGAATGATTTTTCTTTTAGTCCTAGAACAAGCTTAGTATACAGAGACACTCAACACATATTTGTGGAATAAATGAATAAATGCATTCGAAAGGGTAAATCAACGAGTGTTTAAAATTTTGATTTAGTTATATCTTCTGGATGCAGAGTCACACAATTTTGAAAATATTTGGGTAACAGATTGATATTCAGGTTTCATCTGGATCCTTTTCAATATGTAAACTTCAGAATGATTGCTACAAAACTGTTGTTCTTTATATAACTATTTAAAAAATTCATTGAACAAATATTTAGTAAGAATATTATAGGCAATGGGGAAATGAAAACAGTAATGCTCATTTGCAGTAGAAATAGCATGAACTATGTTCAGGATCTAGTCCTTATAAATTATTCCAAGATTAAGAAGCCCATCAAGGAAATCACTGGCAAATGCTATAATTCCTTACTGAGAAGTTTGTCATTATGAACAGACAGAGCCAAGAAGCATGAGAACAGATGGTGAAATGCCAAGTATGAATAAATTCATGCCTGTCTCTAGTATCCTAAGCCTAAGGATTTGGATATGGACCAACACATACTGCTGTGGGCCCAGTGAGAAGCAAAAATTATTCAACAATCATCACAGTTAGGAATGGAATCCTGGAGAGTAATAGCAACACTTCAGCTATCTCCATTACAAATCCTTCATGGTCTCTAGAAGGCCATTTGTAATGCCGGGAGCCCGCCAATGCCCTTACTTAACATTAGCTCCAACTTCTGAAGAAGCCACTTCTAGGGCCGTTCAGAATCTGTGCTTTTCTTTTTTCTTTTTTCTTTTCATAATTTTCTACTCATCTCTCCCCATACATTATTTTGGGGATTAAATTAGTTAAATACAATTACTTTGAAAGATATATTAATAAAAGGCTAGTCAAGAGTTATTTATATATGCTACTTTTATTATCATAAGTTCATTAATTAAATCCAATTTTTGTATCTGAGGAGATGTCTCAAAAATTACTGAAGTTTTTAAAAAAAAATTGGTAAGAGTGATGATGTTTACACAAATGTTATTTTCTCTTTCTTTAAAAGAAACATTGGTTTAGGTAAAAATTCCAAATATTTTCTAGAATAAAACTGGAAATGTAATATTTCACCAGACAGCTTGTATTTTAAGTTGATTATGTTTGGTAAATTTTATCTATATTATGTGAAATAAGCCAGAATTTTGATTCATGGGATTCTGAAATAGATAAACTGCATAAGAATCACTTAATTTAAGATGAAACATAGTAACATAAGCTTAAATCACCAAATGCGGTAAACAATGATTATATAATGAGGGTTCACCTCATGGAAACTAGACCCATCAATGCAAAGTATATAAATTTAAAATAATTTTCCAAATTGGACCAATAATCCAATATTGAAATTGAGTGCTGCTGTGTAAACAGGACAATAATAATTTATCCAGGTAGTTTCATCTAAAGAAACAGAAAACTTAGGGTTAGGGATTTCCCATTAACTACTGAATTTAATAATTTTTAGCCAGTTAACAAATGACCCATATCTAGGGATAGCTTCAAATATGGCTTCAAAACATTTGCATATGTCTGACTATATACAGAAAAGAAACTATGGTATATAACTTTTTATTTTTTTTTTATTTTTTTTTATGTTGTTAAATTTTTTATTTTAAAATATTTAACAAAGATTGAATATATTCAAGGTGTACAATGTGATGATTTGATATACGTAGACATTGTATAATGATAACCACAATTGAATTAATTAATACATCAATTACCATCCATGCTGTCCATTAGATTTTCAGCACTTGGTCATCTTATAACTAAGGTTGAACCCTTTGACCCTGTCTCCCTGTTTTCTCCAGCCCCAACCCCCTGGCAACTGCTATTCTACTCTCTGCCTCAATGAGTTCAACTTTTTTAGGTTCCACAAATGCATGAGATCATACAGTATTTTTCCTTCCATATCTGGCTTATTTCACTTAGCACAGTGACCTCCGGGTTCATCCATGTTGCTGCAAACAAGTTTCTCTGTTTTCAATGAAAAAGTTTCAAAAAGGTAAACATCATAATGGAACTCCACATCTGGTCACATAAATCCATAACCACAGTTTTTTCTGCCCTGTGAATTTTTCATTTTACAGTAAGGACAAAACATACAAGTACAAAGCCCACAATACTTTAAAATCACTTCTGAGTTGGTCAATATACATAATTGTAAGTATATAGTTATTAGTAATCAATCCTAATTAGTGTTTCTGTGTTTTGCTCTGTCTATTTAATATGATTTAATATTTAAGTGCTCATGTGTCAGCATAGTCAACATGTGTAACTTGTTGACAGTGTGGCAATCACTGCTATGTGTTCACCAAACAATTCCCCTTCCACCCTGGGCTTATAGCAAGACTACATTTCCCAGCCTCCCTTGTAGTTAGATGTGGCCATGTGACTGGGTTCTGACTCCTAGAATGTGGGTAGAAGTAATGTTGCCTCCAGACCTCTCAATCTGGCTCATGAAACTTCCCTTGCAATCCTCTGTTCTCACTCTCTTCCCTCATGGATCTATCAGATACAGGGAGGAAATGGTGGAGCCACTAAACACAGAAGCCTAGGTCCCTGAGTGATGGCATACAGAAACCTCTCTCCCCAACAGACCCACATTGAGTTGCAATGTGTGTAAGAAATAAACTTTTTTTTTTTTTTAATGTTTTTTTTTTTTTTTTAATTGTACTTTAAGTTTTAGGGTACATGTGCACATTGTGCAGGTTAGTTACATATGTATACATGTGCCATGCTGGTGCACTGCACCCACTAACGTGTCATCTAGCATTAGGTATATCTCCCAATGCTATCCCTCCCCCCTCCCCCGACCCCACCACAGTCCCCAGAGTGTGATATTCCCCTTCCTGTGTCCATGTGATCTCATTGTTCAATTCCCACCTATGAGTGAGAATATGCGGTGTTTGGTTTTTTGTTCTTGCGATAGTTTACTGAGAATGATGGTTTCCAATTTCATCCATGTCCCTACAAAGGACATGAACTCATCATTTTTTATGGCTGCATAGTATTCCATGGTGTATATGTGCCACATTTTCTTAATCCAGTCTATCATTATTGGACATTTGGGTTGGTTCCAAGTCTTTGCTATTGTGAATAATGCCGCAATAAACATACGTGTGCATGTGTCTTTATAGCAGCATGATTTATAGTCATTTGGGTATATACCCAGTAATGGGATGGCTGGGTCAAATGGTATTTCTAGTTCTAGATCCCTGAGGAATCGCCACACTGACTTCCACAATGGTTGAACTAGTTTACAGTCCCACCAACAGTGTAAAAGTGTTCCTATTTCTCCACATCCTCTCCAGCACCTGTTGTTTCCTGACTTTTTAATGATTGCCATTCTAACTGGTGTGAGATGATATCTCATAGTGGTTTTGATTTGCATTTCTCTGATGGCCAGTGATGATGAGCATTTTTTCATGTGTTTTTTGGCTGCATGAATGTCTTCTTTTGAGAAGTGTCTGTTCATGTCCTTCGCCCACTTTTTGATGGGGTTGTTTGTTTTTTTCTTGTAAATTTGTTTGAGTTCATTGTAGATTCTGGATGTTAGCCCTTTGTCAGATGAGTAGGTTGCGAAAATTTTCTCCCATGTTGTAGGTTGCCTGTTCACTCTGATGGTAGTTTCTTTTGCTGTGCAGAAGCTCTTTAGTTTAATTAGATCCCATTTGTCAATTTTGGCTTTTGTTGCCATTGCTTTTGGTCTTTTGGACATGAAGTCCTTGCCCACGCCTATGTCCTGAATGGTAATGCCTAGGTTTTCTTCTAGGGTTTTTATGGTTTTAGGTCTAACGTTTAAATCTTTAATCCATCTTGAATTGATTTTTGTATAAGGTGTAAGGAAGGGATCCAGTTTCAGCTTTCTACATATGGCTAGCCAGTTTTCCCAGCACCATTTATTAAATAGGGAATCCTTTCCCCATTGCTTGTTTTTCTCAGGTTTGTCAAAGATCAGATAGTTGTAGATATGCGGCGTTATTTCTGAGGGCTCTGTTCTGTTCCATTGATCTATATCTCTGTTTTGGTACCAGTACCATGCTGTTTTGGTTACTGTAGCCTTGTAGTATAGTTTGAAGTCAGGTAGTGTGATGCCTCCAGCTTTGTTCTTTTGGCTTAGGATTGACTTGGCGATGCGGGCTCTTTTTTGGTTCCATATGAACTTTAAAGTAGTTTTTTCCAATTCTGTGAAGAAAGTCATTGGTAGCTTGATGGGGATGGCATTGAATCTATAAATTACCTTGGGCAGTATGGCCATTTTCACGATATTGATTCTTCCTACCCATGAGCATGGAATGTTCTTCTATTTGTTTGTGTCCTCTTTTATTTCCTTGAGCAGTGGTTTGTAGTTCTCCTTGAAGAGGTCCTTCACATCCCTTGTAAGTTGGGTTCCTAGGTATTTTATTCTCTTTGAAGCAATTGTGAATGGGAGTTCACTCATGATTTGGCTCTCTGTTTGTCTGTTATTGGTGTATAAGAATGCTTGTGATTTTTGTACATTGATTTTGTATCCTGAGACTTTGCTGAAGTTGCTTATCAGCTTAAGGAGATTTTGGGCTGAGACAATGGGGTTTTCTAGATAAACAATCATGTCGTCTGCAAACAGGGACAATTTGACTTCCTCTTTTCCTAATTGAATTCCCTTTATTTCCTTCTCCTGCCTGATTGCCCTGGCCAGAACTTCCAACACTATGTTGAATAGGAGTGGTGAGAGAGGGCATCCCTGTCTTGTGCCAGTTTTCAAAGGGAATGCTTCCAGTTTTTGCCCATTCAGTATGATATTGGCTGTGGGTTTGTCATAGATAGCTCTTATTATTTTGAAATACGTCCCATCAATACCTAATTGATTGAGAGTTTTTAGCATGAAGGGTTGTTGAATTTTGTCAAAGGCTTTTTCTGCATCTATTGAGATAATCATGTGGTTTTTGTCTTTGGCTCTGTTTATATGCTGGATTACATTTATTGATTTGCATATATTGAACCAGCCTTGCATCCCAGGGATGAAGCCCACTTGATCATGGTGGATAAGCTTTTTGATGTGCTGCTGGATTCGGTTTGCCAGTATTTTATTGAGGATTTTTGCATCAATGTTCATCAAGGATATTGGTCTAAAATTCTCTTTTTTGGTTGTGTCTCTGCCCGGCTTTGGTATCAGAATGATGCTGGCCTCATAAAATGAGTTAGGGAGGATTCCCTCTTTTTCTATTGATGGTATATAACTTTTTAATATTATAGAAAACATAAAAGAAACTTTATCAATAAATTGAATAAAAACACTTTCATTTTTGTATAATTTATTACGGTATTTCTTAATTTATTCTTTATAATCTTATATTCAAAATTAATATTAAAGGCTTATTTTGGAGTAATTTAACGATATTAATTTTACCTTATTAAATGCAAAGCCAAATTTTATAATATTGAAAAAAAATATGGATTTCCATTAATTTTTGTAAGCAGTTTGTATTAAACTACACTGCTACACAGTCAATTTGTTATACAGTGGCACATTCATGTAACAACACTTTTATAAAATATTCACGCATACCAGGCACTGTGCTGGGCATTCCCAAAGGTAAGATATTGCCCTCAAGGAGCTAATAGCCTAACTGGGTTCAATAATGTAGCATGAAACATATAAAGCTAAACAAAGGAATTGTGGAATACACAAGTAGGGCAATTAATGGTCAATGGTATCTCAAGCCACCATTTAATTAATTAAGTAGTAAACTGATCCATCAGTTTACAATATCAATTAAAAATGAAGTTTGTTTAAGAGTTCTCAGTAGAAATGCTTATGACTTTAATACACAAATGATTATTGTTCCCATCAGTGGTATTTGTCCTCTGCATATTTGTATTAACGTTAAACTTCTTTAATTGATTTTTTTAACAAGATTGGAAATCTTTTCCTTAGGAGATGCTAAGAAATTATTATTAAGTGATCTCAACCCTTTTAAAGAAACAAGAATGGGTATTGCTGAGTTTCATAATACTTTGTCTTTTTTTCCCAAAATTTTCTTATTTCTGGGAAGAAAAATAATCAGAAAAATACAATATTTGTCCACAGCCAAAGACAATATTGAGCCAGATGGAATTAATACAGATACATATGGCATATGATACAGTCAAAATTTGTACTAGCTCCTTAACAATCAGAAGACTGGGAACAATGACATATAATAATTTTCTTCAACTTACAAAACATAGAAAATAAGAAAATTATTTTTATTAATGTTGTTCTTTCTTGTTCAATATGGTTCCTCCAAGTAGAAATAAGACTTTTCTTCCTTCTTTGGATTATTTAGACATTTAATCATAAATCCTTGCATGTATATGTGTATGTCTATGTATTTGTACATGTGATGTATATAATACATATGTACTATAACATATATTATACATAACACATAATGTACATTACCCGCATACACACACAGATAGGGCTTGGCATGTGTATGTCAGACATTGGTACATTATTGACAATATATCACAATTCTAATTCACTTGAATGTTAAGATACTTTATCATTAGTAAAGTATTCAAATTTGTTTATTTAATCATTCAATCATCCAAATTACATTGACCATCAGATTAGTGCCAGAATTAAGTTAGATATGGTACAAAGATGAATAAGAACTAGGCTGGGTCTTCTAAGACCTTAACCTGTTTTTATAACAACAAACAAGGACATTATAGTGTAATGTTTTTACAGAGGTTAAAGCATAACTGCCTGCACATTTTGGAGAAGGCTTTGCAGATATTTATCTGCTTAATTTCTTAAATCTTGACATATTTTATATATGTATGAAAAATGCATTCAGACTTAGCAAACTTGATAGGATTAACTCAGATCCTTTGTTTTTATTTTTATTGTATTTACTTTATTTTGAGACAAGGTTTTGCTCCCATCTCCCAGGCTGGAGTGCAGTGGCGCGCTCTCTGCTCACTACAACCTATGCCTCCTGGGCTGAAGGTATTCCTTCTGCCTCAGCATACGGAATAACTGTGACTACAACCACATGCCACTACGCTCAGCTAATTTTTGTATTTTTAATAGAGATGGGGTTTCACCATCTTGGCCAGGCTCGTCTCGAACTCCGGAACTCAAGTTATCTGCCCACTTTGGCTTTCCAAAGTCCTGGGATAACCGGCCTGAGCCACCACACCCAGCTCAAATCCTTCGTTTTAAAGGAAAATTATTTAACAACAGAGCTTTCAGCCCCCTTAGTGGTCTTCTTGATTCTATTCCCCCCACTTTCTCCATACAGGTACCTACTCTCCCAGGGTTGTGGGCAATATTTCCCAACAGATTTTAATATTTTAGCTGTGTGTGTACATATGTGTATACACATATACAATATATTTTGAAATATTAATCAGTGCTCTCATAATTCACATTTCCTGCAAGTTGCTTTTCATTTAACATTTTATATATATATATGTATATATATACACACTATATATATACACACACACATCAATATATTTACATGTTAATACATGTAGACTATGTTCATTAAATTGCTGAATCAAAATATGATGTATACCCTATTTTTTAATCTTCATGTCTAATAATTAAGACTTAAAATACCCCATCCGTATTACTGAAAATAATGATCAAATGAACATCATTTTGCATGTGTCATTATGCACATATTTAAGCTTTTTTTTTTTTTTTTTTTTTTTTTTTGAGACGTAGTTTCGCTCCTTTTGCCCAGGCTGGAGCACAGTGGTGCGATCTCGGCTCACTGCAACCTACACCTCCCAGGTTCAAGTGATTCTCCTGCCTCAGCCTCCCGAGTAACTGGGATTACAGGCATGCACCACCACACCTGGTTAATTTTGTATTTTTTAGTAGAGACAGGGTTTCTCCATGTTGGCCAGGCTGGTCTTGAACTCACGACCTCAGGTGATCCACCCTCCTCAGCCTCCCGAAGTACTGGGATTACAGGCATGAGCCACCGCGCCCAGCCCATATTTAAGCTTTTTTTCCTAAAATGCATATTTAGAAGTGGCATGGCTATATCACGTGAAACGCATCATGAGCTATTTCAGATATTGTGAAACCGTATTTCAGTTTGAGAGTTCATTCAGCATTGCCCATACTTTTGATTCTTCCCTCAACTTTTAATGATGCCAATCAGATAGGTTTGAAATAAAATGGCATTGTTTTAACTTGCATTTTGCTCTTTGGTAATGTGGTTGAGCAAACGTTCTTATGTTTGTTGCCAATCAGATTTTCTTTTCCGTGAATTATCTGTGCATATGTTTTGAACAACTTATTTTTTCTTTTTGTTTTCAGCTACAACTCAAATGTTAATCCATTGTGACATATGTACATATATATAGTCATTCATAAAATAAAAATAACTATTTTTACACTTCGGTTATAGTTTTCTTAGCCATATCAAAGTTGAGATATTTTAAATGTCTGTCATATGTATCAATCCATTTTTAAAGGTTTCTGAATTTCTGTGATTTTAAAATATTTTTCTCTCATAATGTCATGAAAATATTTTCTTCTAAATTTTTGACGGTTTTTTTTACATATAATTATTAATCTAACCTGAATAATTTGTGTATCAGGTATGTGAATATGTGTGGGTGTTGTGTACAGTGAGAAGGAATTATCTATTTTGTTCTGATTTTTTTCCAACTAAATTGTCCAAGAATAGTTATAAAATTAATTTACATGTTATTCTTCTCATTTGAAATGCTCATTATATTATGTATCAAATCCCATATGTGCATAAGTCTGGTTTGAAAAACCCTAATATTGTCCCTTCCATCTACATTTATTTTTGAATTCCACTGCAAATACCATACTACTTTAGTTATTATGGATTTTAAATATTATTTTCAATTATCTCTTTTTAACTAAAAAATTATTTTTACTTTCCATGAATATTTTCCTTCTTATAAATGTTCCTCTTTTTAATTCTAAGTATTATCTTGATATTCTTATTGGAACTGATTGGTTGAGTATTCATTAAGAATCAATTGACTCGTAATATTTAGTCTTTATATTCATTAATTTGCATTTATTTGGGTTTTTCTTTAACATCCTTCAATAAAGTTTAAATTTTATTTTAAAGCCTTGCATATATTGTCTTAGAGTTACTGCTAGCTACTTATGATGAATGGGACAGTTTGATTTAAAATCATTATTTCCCATGGGTCACAGCTAGCTTGAAGGAATAATGTTTTGTTGTGTTTTTCTCTATTTTATTATAATTTATATTTTTAAATTTATTATTATTATTATTAATTGTTTTGTTTCTTTTTTCCAAATCTTTCATTTTTATAAATTCTATTTGCTAAGGCCTATATTTAAATATAGAATAGCACTTGTGGGGATGGACATCTTCCTTTCTATAATTTTTATAGAAACACCTGATTTTCTCTTGGATTCCCTTTCTCCATGCTAGTGCTGGAAATTCTTTTCAGACAGTAAGCAAGAACTCCCCTAGGGCTCACTGTACCTATTTTCTTTCTTTCAGGAATCACTTTCTCACACTGTTTTGTCCAATGTTTGGAAAACACTGTTTCATGTATTTGGTCTGGCTTCTCATTTCTAGAGTGGAAAGGTAAGTTTGTTTTTTGTTATTCCATCATGGCCTGAAGTCGATGTTCTATTTCAATCTTTAAAGTAGTATATTTCTACTTCTTGCTTTCTTGGGCTGGGTAGAAGCTTCACTTTAATTTTAAAGAGAACCTGTTATTTGGTGTACCCTTGTCAAGTTTTCCATCCTAAAACAAGATGTTTAATGTTAGAAGCAGAAAATGTTTGCTGGAGACTTATAGCAGATGCCATTTATGAAATTAGAATGGAAACTTTTATTATAGCTGGTTGAAAGCTTTTATAATTAGTGATTTAAATTTTATCATATCAGGGTGTTTGACAACTATGATTTTGTTTTTTAATCTGGTAGTAAGCTGAACAACATTTGTTTTCTAATTTTGAACAATAAACATCTCTAACCCTAAAGTAAATATTTATACCTAAAATAATTTTCAATAAGGAATTATTTACTTAATTATTTCTGAGTATATTTTGCTGGTGTTTTGCTTAGGATATTGACATTTACATTTGTGAGTGTGAAATTTGCCTGTTTAGTATCATTATGGTCAGGTTCAAGATTTGTCATTTTTAGCAATTTTTTAAAGAATCAAATTTAATTCTTTTCTGTCAAATGTGTATGTTATGGTTAATGAACTTTTGTTTTTTACTTAAATTCTTTGTAGTATCTGTGAATTTATTCTATTTTTCTGCTAACTCCTTAAGATTTGGGGGTATATCTAATTTAAGACTTAGAGTTTCTTTTTAAAAATATAAGCATTTAAAATCATACATTTCCTGTATTGCAGTTGCATTGCATAAGTGACTTGTAGTACAGTAACTATCATTCAGCTGTCTATTCTATTGACATCATGTTTTTTCAACTTAACACTATTTAAATATTTGATTTAAATTTTTGGAGTTGGAGGCCATTATCTTTAGCAAACTAACACAGGAACAGAAAACCAAACATCACATGTTCTCACTTATAAGTGGGGGCTAAATAATAAGAACACATGGACACATAGAGGGGAACAGCACACAATGGGTCCTTTTAAAGGGTGGAGGGTGGGAGGAGTGAGAGAATCAGGAGAACAACTAATGGGTAGTAGGCTTAATACTTGGCTGATAAAATAAACTGTACAGCAAACGTCCATGACACAAGTTTACCTACATAACAAACCTGCACTTGGTTCCCTGAACTTAAAATAATAGTTTAAAAAATTTAAATACATGTCATTTTATGTTGTTTTTCTTGTTTGTTATTTGGAAGATATTGAGATGTGCTTCATTGTGATTTTTACAAGCACTGTATATATGCTAAAAAAGAATGAATTTTCAGAGCTGGTTGCAGCATCCTATAGATATCTGTTCACACAAGTTTACAAAAGCTTGTTATTTAAACAGTTCAAATCTCTATTTTCACTTACATCAAAAATACACAAATATACATAGCATATGTGTAGTGTGTGTATTCAGAGATAATTATGTATATGATATATACATATAGACATATGTCTTTTAAATCATTAAATAATTATATTTATGTATTTCCATATATTTGTTCATGTGAATATACATATTCTCATATACATCTGTTGATCCTTTAAACGTTCATACATGTGTTTTGATATCTCTGACTTTGTTTCTGACAGAATTATTTTTGACAAATCGGGTGTCCTTTGTTAGAAAAAGATGAAAACAAGAATTTCTGCAGGATTTTATTTATTTCCTTATGTATTTATTCATTATTTCTCATTGCAAGTAACTGAAAGTCTGCATTGGCGTGAGTGATGAGGAATTGCCCTGAATGATGACGAAGACTGCACATGAACCAGTTTTGGCAGAAAGGTGGTGTAGGTCTTGACGTCATCAATTCAGAGTAGATTTGTACATTTTAAACTTGGAAAATAAACTAAAATCCCAAGTGGAAATGTCGAATAGGCAATTAGATATATAAGTCTGAATTTTGATAGAGAAATAAGTGTTTCTGTGTTTTTCAGAGTAAGATTTATTTCAGAAAGATGAGACTTTCCTCACTGTCATGTTGAAAATTACACTCTCAGTTCCCCAGCAAATTTTATTGCCCTTTACTATCTAACTTTCTTCTTATAAAACTCATCACATTTTAATATACTACTTATTTACTTTAAAATTTTGTTTCACAACCTTCCCTGATAGAATAAAATCTCTAAGACATTTATCTTTTTTTAAACTATTTTAAATAAGTGCCTAGAATATTGCCTGGCACATATTAGGTGTCCAATAAATGCTTGTTATTTGAATACAGGAATTATGCTTTCTTTTTGTTTCTGGCCTATCATAGTTTCTTCCATGATTACTTCCTTTAAACCATGCTTGCAAAAGAAATCTTTCCTTCTCAAATTTATAATTGTCTGTGTAATAAAGTATTACTCTGTGAATGTAATTTTCCATATTGTCCTACTTGATTTTTCCTTTGTTTTACAATTCATTATTTGATTACTTTATTATTTCATTTTTTTTATTTTGTTGATTTGAATTGTGTCTTAGTAATTTTCAGTTTTTCTAGTACTGAAACTTCTTTTTACAAGCTGTGTATTTGCCTCTAAATACTGCTTAGCTATATTTCACAAGATTGAAGTAAATTACTTCCATATCTTTCAGTTCAAAGCATGTCATAATTTCTCTGATTATTTCTTGTTTTCTTCAGTGAACTATTTTGAAGTGTATATTTGTTGATTTCAAATATTGATCACTTTTACATCTATTACAAGTTCGAAGGTATTATTTTAGAGAACACAGTAGATCATAGTTATAACATATGTATATGGTGTTTTTACCTAACAAATCATAAGGGCATACAGTCTATTTGATTTTTATTGGAGCATTATGCAATAGGTAAGGCAGGTAAAATTAATTTATTATTAAGGAACCTGGGATTCAGAAAGATAAAGGAAGTAGTATACATCTGAGTCAACTAAGACTTGAACTCAGTTATTATTATTACTTTTAACTGGGATCATTCTTTATTTCATGTATTAACAATGTGGCTCAAGTAGAATTGGCCCTTGTACAAGGAGGGAGTTAGGAGAACCAACCCTGGAAGAGTTGAAAATCTAAGTATAATTTTGACTCCCCCAAAATATAATTACTAAAAGTCTACTGTTGACTGGAAACGTTACTGATAACATAATTAATACAGTATTTTGTATGTTGTATGTATGCATGTATTAGTCCGTTTTCACACTGCTGATAAAGACATACCTGAGACTGGGCAATTTACAAAAGAAAGAGGTTTAATTGGACTTACTCTTCCACGTGGCTAGGGAAGGTCTCACAATCATGGCATAGGGCAAAAGGCACTTCTTACATGGCAGCAGCAAGAGAGAATGAGGAGGAAGCAAAAGCAGAAACCCCTGATAAACTCATCATATCTCATGAGGCTTATTCACTATCAAGAGAATAGCACGGGAAAGACCAGCCTCCATGATTTAATTCTAACCCATAGGGTCCCTCCCACAGCAATTGGGAATTCTGGGAAGTACAATTCATTTTGAGATTTGGGTGGGGGCACAGCCAAACCATATAATTTCATCCCTGGCCCCTCCCAAATCTCATGTCATCACATTTCAAAACCAATCATGCCTTCCCAACTGTCTTCCAAAGTTTTAACTTACTTTAGCATTAACTCAAAAGTCCGCAGTCCAAAGTCCCTTCTGCCTATGAGACTGTAAAATGAAAAGCAAGGTATTTACTTCCTAGATACAATGGGAGTAGAGGCGTTGGATAAATACAGCTGTTCTAAATGGGAGAAATTAGCCAAAACAAATGGGCCAGGGCCCCATGCAAGTCCAAAATTCAGTGGGGCAGTCAAATCTTAAAGCTCCGGAATGATCTCCTTTGACTCCATGTCTCACATCCAGGTCATGCTGATGCAAAAGGTGGGTTCCCATGGTCTTGGGCAGCTCCACGTTTATGGCTTTGCAGGGTACAGCCTCCCTCCTGGCTGTTGTCCTGGGCTGGTGTTGAGTGTCTGCACCTTTTTCAGGCACACAGGGCAAGCTGTCTGTGGATCTACCATTCCGGAGTCTGGAGGACGATGGCCCTCTTCTCACAGCTCCACTAGGCAGTACTCCAGTAGGAACTGTGTGTGGGGTCTCTGACCCTACATTTCCCTTTGGCACTGCTCTAGTAGAGGTTCTCCATAAGGGCCCTGCCCCTGCAGCAAACTTTTGCCTGGTCATCCCGGTGTTTCCATATATCTTCTGAAATCTAGGCGGAGGTTGCCAAACCTCAATTCTTGACTTCTGTGTACCCGTGTGATCAATACCATGTGGGAGCTGCCAAAGCTTGGGACTTGCACCCTCTCAAGCCATGGCCTGAGCTGTACCTTGGCCCCTTGTAGTCACGGCTGGAGCAGCTGGGATGCAGGCTACTGAGTCCCTAGGCTGCACACAGCACAGGATCCTGGGCCTGGCCCACAAAACCATTTTTTCCCTCCTACATCTCCAGGCCTGTGATGAGTAGGGCTGCCTTGAAGACCTTTGACATGCCCTGGAGACGTTTTCCCCATTGTCTTGGGGATTAACATACAGCTCCTCTTTCTTATGAAAATTTCTGCAGCCAGCTTAAATTTCTCCTCAGAAAATGGGATTTTCTTTTCTATTGCATTGTCAGGCTGCAAATTTTCCAAACTGTTATTCTCTGCTTCCCTTATAAAATTGAATGCCTTTAACAACACCCAAGTCAACTCTTGATTGCTTTGCTGCTTAGAAATTTCTTCCACAAGATACCTGAAATCATCTCTCTCAAGTTCAAAGTTCCAGAAAATTCAAGGGCAGGGGCAAGATGCTGACAGTCTCTTTGCTAAAACATAACAAGATTCACCTTTGCTCCAGTTACCAACAAGTTCCTCATTTCCATCTGAGACTGCCTCAGACTGGACTTTATTGTCCATATTGCTATCAGCATTTTGGGCAAAACCATTCAACAAGTCTCTAGGAAGTTCTAAACTTTCCACATTTTTCTGTCTTCTTCTAAACCCTCCAAACTGTTCCAGCCTCTGCCTGGTACCCAGTTCCAAGGTCACTTCCACATTTTCAGGTATCTTTTCAGCAATGCGAACTCTACTGGTACCAATTTACTGTGTTAATCTGTTTTCATGCTGCTGATAAAGACATACCCAAGACTGGGCAATTTACAAAAGAGGTTTAATTGGACTTACAGTTCCATGTGGCTGAGGAAGGTCTCACAATCATGGTAGAGGGTGAAAGCACTTCTTACATGGTGATGGCAAGGGAGAATGAGAAGGAAGCAAAACCGGAAATCCCTGATAAACCCATCAGATCTTGTGAGACTTATTCACTATCACGAGAATAGCACGGGAAAGACTGGTCCCCATGATTCAGTTACCTCCCAGTGGGTCCCTCTCACAACACATGGGAATTCTGGGAGATACAATTCAAGTTGAGCTTTGGGCAGGTGCACAGCCAAACCATATCTGTGTATTATATACTATATTCTTACAATAAAGTAAGCTAGAGAAAAGAGTTATTAAGCAAATGATAAGGAGGAGAAAATATATTTACTATTCATTAAATAGAAGTGGAGCATTATAAATGTCTTTATCCTTGTGGTGCTCACATTTTGTAAGCTGAGGAGGAGGAGAAAAAGAAGGGATTGGTCTTGCTGTTCATTGGTGGCAGGGGTAAAGATGACATAAGGGGAGGCAGGAGAAGCAGACACACTCAGTGTAACTTTTACTACAAAATTCTACATATAAGTGGACCCCACATTTCAAACACTTGTTCAAGGGTCAACTGTATTACACTTTTCTTTCATAGTTATAGAGAAAACATTTTGGGTAGCTATATCTTCTAACTGCAGTATTGTAATGCATATAAATGTATATATATATAAAAACATATATACATTTCTAATCTTATGGTCAGTTTTAATAAATGCCCCTCTGACTGCCTCATGGCCTTTTAATGTTCTTAGGCAAGAGAGCATGAATCTACATTATTAGAATACCACGCTGTATTGCATTTATTATGAATTATAGTTACTAAAACTAACTGAAGCATGAGGAGAGATTTTATTTATAAAACTATAATTGTTTCCAACTTTATAACTGTTGAGGTATTCTAAATATCTTTCAAAGAATTTGGACATTTGAAAATGATCGACTTTTAGGTTTCTTAAATCTCTTAGAGCAAGAACTTATTTACACGCACTGTCAAGCTTATTTCTGTATTATGTGAAGATATTAATATCAACATTTGATTTGTTCTATAAAGTACTGAAAGTATTAAAGTCAAATCACCTAAGTAAGGTAGAATAGTTTTGCCTTTTTGGGAATATTTTTTTCTATTGCTGCTGTGGGGTTTTATAAAGAAGATAAGTATGTTGCAGTGAAATGCACATTGATTTTATGGTAAGGATGTTGGATTTAGCACTTGTCTTTAGATAACCTTAGGCTTAATTTCTTCGAGCTTTAATTACTCAGAGGTAATAAAAATAAAATGAAAATTTACAAATGCATATTAAAATGGGATAAACACCCATCCAGCAAAAAGAAATATTAACATCTTTTGCTCCACACAGCTATCATGACTTTGGCATTACTATATGCCAGTCAAAGTATAGCACAAGAAATGACAGTGAAGCAGCATCAGTAATACCATCAGGAGTACTGACTCCAATTTACATATTCACTGGAGGTCACCCAGTGTCTAGTAATCATTACAATTTCATCTTTTTGCCTTTATTTTTTGTTCCCATATAAAATACAGAAGGTTAAACACATTAAATGGAGAAGGATGAACTATTCATTTATTCTACTGTGTGAAGGCAGAAAAGAATAATCAAGAGTAATGGAAGAGTATAACTTTTGGATCTTAATGTTCCCAACTTGGGAAATTTGTATACACAGTATCACTTGTGGCACCAAAAACTGGTCCTGGTCTTATATTATAAGAAAGTTATTAAGAGCAAACTTTTGACAGAAATTGTTACAGCAAATAATGACTCTATAAGCTGAATATCATTAAAAATTAACCTTAATAAAAGTTATTTATTCACCTCTACATTCTCTTTAGCCACATTTTACATTTGAAATAAAATAAATGGCGAACATATGTTTCACTTCTAAGCATTTTGTAATAATTTACTGATTACTTCTTTTCTTTCATGAACTATTTTGAAGCTTATTTAATTATAGAGAAGGGTATAAATGTATGTATATATATAATTATAACAACACCACTATGGTGTGGAAAATGTTTCTTCAAAAGTTAAGTTTGAATGTCAAAATTCAGGATGGTTATCCTTTGAAATAGTCAAAGAAAGATTTATTACTTACACCGGCTGTCAGTCCCGCTGCTAGGAGGCAAAAGAGGAGCTCCATGGAAGGAAGTCTGGAAAGAGTAGATGAGCAGGAAGTATGCAACCTTTTATGAAAACAAACAAACAAACAAACAAAAAAAACTTCACCTTTATTATATTTTCAATGCATATATTCTAAATGTAATGTTTTTTCATCGCTATGAATGCCACTTAATGGTATAATACTGTGTAAATTTTTATGTGGTTTGCTCCTTTCCCTTAATGTTACGTTTCGAGGTTCAATTACATTACATGCAAATGTAGTTTATTTAGTCCTTCACTTTATGCTATTCTGCTGCATTAATACAACACCATTTATTTACCCGTTCTAAGCTTGAAGAACACTTGTATTCCTTACAATTCTAAGTTATTTCTAAGAAAATTATTTTCTTCATTGTTTGACATGAGACATGTTATGTGCAAGATTTTCTCCACAGTATATTCCTAGGAGTAGAATGGTGTAAGCATGTGGTTAACTTTATTCTAAAATATCGTCTGAAATGTTTTTATTTTACTCACACCCTCATACACCACCACTACCATCATCACCACACAAGAAATATATGAAGGCGTTGCTCCACAACTTCACAAAACCATATGTTTTTAAAAAAGTCTATTTCAGTTAGACAGAGAGAATAACTCAGAAAATATATTGTTCAGCATAGTAAATACAGTTAATGTATTGTGTAGACTTGAAGATTTTTAACAGTAGATAGTAAATGTTCTCCTCAAACAAAAAATGACAAGCATGTGAAGTGGCAAATGGTAACTCACTTGATATATTCCACAATGTATAAAAAACAAAAATAAAAATAAATACATGAAATTTTTTTGGCTCTTGTGAGAAGGGTTGCTGATAAGTGGAAAAGACAACAAATTATATGAAAAAGGAAAAAATCTCTTGATTTTCCTTTTTGCTTACTTATGTTTTTTGGAGGGTGCTTCTGGTGGTATGCTTAATAATTGCTTGTTAAGAAAAGAAAAATAATTATTAGAAAAGGGCTAACCACAAAAAAGGATTATTGAGAAACAAATAAAATACTAAATGACGTACAGAGTAAAAAGTAGACATGCAAATCAATTTGTAGAAATGGATAGTCAAAAATGATTATAAATCAGAAAACCCATATACTAAAACTAATACATGTAAATATTAAAGTTTGCTGAATTAAACACTGCTGATTAATATTTCAGATAGAATTAGAGCATTAAAATATGTATAAAATTCTGGAGGAAATGCCCTCCTCAAAAGACATAGACTTTATTCTACTTTTTCTTCTCATGGAGAAATTTCTTTAAAATGTGTTGGATAATACAGGTAGATTTTTTTTTCTTTATGATGGTTTATTACAGTATAAAATATATAGAGTCATTAGAAGAGAGTGTAGAAAACATTTGCGGAATGTCTTTAACATCCATTCTCTTTTCTCTTTTTTACGTAGCATCCCAAATTTCAAAGTTTTACAGTCAGATAATTTAATAGAATGTAGTCCTTTTTGTTTTCTCATTGATGTATTTCTATTATCATATAGCAGGCATTTGGTAATATTTGCTGACTGAATTCATTGCTTTAGACCCGACAAAAGCTAAAGCCGTTCACTGTAGATAATCTTTCTAGCTATAGTAATTGGTCAGAAATGAACACACTCCCAAATACTGATAAACCAGAAAAAAAGGGACTAACAATTTAATTCCAGAACTTGGATAATCTATTTGGAAAATGACATTTGTCACTTTTCTTACTCAGATTGAAAGGGCAATACATTTTCATGAACTGCAGCTTTTATGAACTGCAGTTTTTATCTTTGGAACACAAAGGTTAACTTTTCTGAGAACATAATCAGCAATGAGGAAGTTGAGCCAATACTTGAAAACAGGGAACTCTCCTTTAAATCAGTGGTCTCCTCCTTTAAACAGTGGGTAGAGACCTTTCTGAAGAAAAAATATACCCTTTGGACATGATCGTTTGAATTGGAAATCTTCCTCATCTCAGCAAAGGGTACAATTCACCAAAAATCTGGGAGTCAATCTTGATTTTTTTCTCTTTTCACCATTTTTCAGTTATAATCCAATATAGATTCCAATATAGATAAATACATTTTGCATTTTTTTTTGTTTTTCTTGATCTTCATGGTCACTTCCCCAGATAAAACCATTATTATGTCTCATCCATCCAGATAATGGCAATAGAAGCATATGCTTTATTCCAATTCTTTTGTGCCAACAATCCATTCTCTACACTGATGTATGTGCTGTTAAAATCTATCCTCCCATTCTCAACCAAACATGCTTCAAGCTCTTGCCTGGATACCTACTTCATTAAATTTATGACTATTTTTTTTGCATGTTCACTGAAGCTTTTTTTAAATTGTATTCAAAGTTACAATTGCACATAATTGAAAGAGTAAATATTTCTGCAGAACTTCGTGAGAAAAATGAGAGTCCTCTCTGCCTTTCTAGGGAGAGTCCTCTATTTCTGCCTTTCTTTTTTATTTATTTATTATACTTTAAGTTCTAGGGTACATGTGATGTGCACAACGTGCAGGTTTGTTACATATGTATACATGTGCCATGTTGGTGTGCTGTACCCATTAACTCGTCATTTACATTAGGTATTTCTCCTAATGCTATTCCTCCCCCCTCCCCCACCCCACCACAGGCCCCGGTGGGTGATGTTCGCCACCCTCTGTCCAAGTGTCCTCATTGTTCAATTCCTACCTATGAGTGAGAACATGTGGTGTTTGGTTTTCTGTCCTTGCAATAGTTTGCTCAGAATGATGATTTCCAGCTTCATCCACATCCCTACAAAGGACATGAACTCATCCTTTTTTATGGCTGCATAGTATTCCATGGTGTATATGTGCCACATTTTCTTTATCCAATCTACCATTGATGGACATTTGGGTTGGTTTCAAGTCTTTGCTATTGTGAATAGTGCTGCAATAAATATACATGTGCATGTGTCTTTATAGTAGCATGATTTATAATCATTTGGATATATACCCAGTAATGGGATCACTGGGTCAAATGGTATTTCTAGTTCCAAATCCTTGAGGAGTCACCACACTGTCTTCCACAATGGTTGAACTAGTTTACACTCCCACCAACAGTGTAAAAGTGTTCGTATTTCTCCACATCCTCTCCAGCACCTGTTGTTTCCTGACATTTTAATGATTGCTATTCAAACTGGTGTGAGATGGTATCTCATTGTGGTTTGATTTGCATTTCTTTGATGACCAGTGATGATGAGCATTTTTTCATGTGTCTGTTGGCTGCATAAATGTCTTCTTTTGAGAAGTGTCTGTTCACATCCTTCACCCACTTGTTGATGGGGTTGTTTGATTTTTTTCTTGTAAATTTGTTTGAGTTCTTTGTAGATTCTGGATATTAGCCCTTTGTCAGGCGGGTAGATTGCAGAAATTTTCTCCCATTCTGTAGGTTGCCTGTTCACTCTGATGATAGCTTCTTTTGCTGTGCAGAAGCTCTTTAGTTTAATTAGATCCCATTTGTCTATTTTGGCTTCTGTTGCTATTGCTTTTGGTGTTTTAGTCATGAAGTACTTGCCCTTGCCTATGTCCTGACTGGTATTGCCTAGGTTTTCTTCTAGGGTTTTTATGGTTTTAGGTCTGACATTTAAGTCTTTAATCCATCTTGAATTAATTTTTGTATAAGGTGTAAGGAAGGGATCCAGTTTCAGCTTTCTACATATGACTAGCCAGTTTTCCCAGAACCATTTATTAAATAGGGAATCCTTTCCTCATTTCTTGTTTTTGTCAGGTTTGTCAAAGATCAGATGGTTGTAGATGTGTGGTGGTATTTCTGGTCCTCTGTTCTGTTCCATTGGTCTATATCTCTGTTTTGGTACCAGCACCGTGCTGTTTTGGATACTGTAGTCTTGTAGTATAGCTTGAAGTCAGGTAGCATGATGCTGCCAGCTTTTTGCTTAGGATTGTCTTGGCAGTGCAGGCTCTTTTATGGTTCTATATGAATTTTACAGTAGTTTTTTCCAATTCTATGAAGAAACTCATTGGTAGCTTGATGGGGATGGCATTGAATCTATAAATTACTTTGGGCAGTATGGTCATTTTCATGGTATTGATTCTTCCTATCCGTGAGCATGGAATGTTCTTCTATTTGTTTGTGTCCTCTTTTATTTCGTTGAGAAGTGGTTTGTACTTCTTGAAGAGGTCCTTCACATCCCTTGTAAGTTACATTCATAGGTGTTTTATTCTCTTTGAAGCAATTGTGAATGGGAGTTCACTCATGATTTGGCTCTCTGTCCATTATTGGTGTATAGGAATACTTGTGATTTTTGCACATTGATTTTGTATCCTGAGACTTTGTTGAAGATGCTTATCAGCTTAAGATTTGGGGTTGAGATGATGGGGTTTTGAAAATATACAATCCTGTCATCTGCAAACAGGGACAATTTGATTTCCTCTTTTCCTAATTGAATACCCTTTCTTTCTTTTGCCTGATTGCCCTGACCAGAACTTGCAACACTATGTTGAACAGGAGTGGTGAAAGAGGGCATCCCTGTCTTATGCCAGTTTTCAAAGGGTATGCTTCCAAGTTTTGCCCACTCAGTATGATATTGGCTGTGGGTTTGTCATAAATAGCTATTATTTTGACATATGTCCCATCAAATACCTAGTTTATTGAGAGTTTTTAGCATGAAGTGCTGTTGAATTTTGTTGAAGGCCTTTTCTGCATCTATTGAGATAATCATATGGGTTTCGTCTTTGGATCTGTTTATGTGATGGATTACCTTTATTGATTTTCGTATGTTGAACCAGCCTTCCATCCCAGGGATGAAACCAACTTGATCATGGGGGATAAGCTTTTTGATGTGCTGCTGGATTCGGTTTGCCAGTATTTTATTGAGGATTTTTGCATAGATGTTCATCGGGGATATTGGTCTAAAATTCTCTTTTGTTGTTGTGTCTCTGCCAGGCTTTGGTATCAGGATGATGCTGGCCTCATAAAATGAATTAGGGAGGATTCCTTCTTTTTCTATTGATTGGAATAGTTTCAGAAGGAATGGTACCAGCTCCTCTTTGTACCTCTGGTAGAATTCAACTGTGAATCCGTCTGGTCCTGGAGGTTTTTTTGTTGGCAGGCTATTAATTATTGCCTCAATTTCATAGCCTGTTATTAGTGTATTCAGGGATTCAACTTCTTACTGGTTTAGTCTTGGGAGGGTGTATGTGTCCAGGAATTTATCCATTTCTTCTAGATTTTTTTAGCTTATTTGCATAGAGGTGTTTATAGTATTCTCTGACAGTAGTTTGTGTATCTGTGGGATCGGCGGAGATAGCCCCTTTATCATTTTTTATTGCATCTATTTGATTCTTCTCTCTTTTCTTCTTTATTAGTCTTGCTAACAGTCTATCTTTTTTGTTGATCTTTTCGAAAAACCAACTCCTGGATTCATTGATTTTTTGAAAGGTTTTTTTTTTGTCTCTATCTCCTCCAGTTCTGCTCTGATCTTAGTTATTTCTTACCTTCTGCTAGCTTTTTAATGTGTTTACTCTTGCTTATCTGGTTCTTTCAATTGTTAGGGTGTCGATTTTAGATCTTTCCTGCTTTCTCTTGTGGGCATTTAGTGCTACAAATTTTCCTCTACACACTGCTTTGAATGTGTCCCAGAGATTCTGGTATGTTGTGTCTTTGTTCTCATTGGTTTCAAAGAACATCTTTATTTCAGCCTTCATTTCAATATTTACCCAGTAGGCATTCAGGAGCAGATTTTTCAGTTTCCATGTAGTCGTGCACTTTTGAGTGAATTTCTTAATCCTGGGTTCTAATTTGATTGCACTGTGTTCTTAGAGACAGTTTGTTATAATTTCTGTTCTTTTACATTTGCTGAGGAGTTCTGTTCTTTTACATTTGCTTCCAACTATGTGGTCAGTTTTGGAATAGGTGCAGTGTGGTGCTGAGAAGTATTATATTCTGTTGATTTGGGGTGGAGATTTCTGTAGATGTCTATTAGGTCTGCTTGGTGCAGAGCTGAGTTCAAGTCCTGGATATCCTGGTTAACCTTCTGTCTGGTTGATTTGTGTAATACTGACAGTGAGGTGTTAAAGTCTCCCATTATGACTGTGTGGGAGTCTAAGTCTCTGAAGGTTGCTAAGGACTTGCTTTATGAATCTGGGTGCTCCTGTATTGGGTGCATATATATTTAGGATAGTTAGCTCTTATTGTTGAATTGATCCCTTTGCCATTATGTAATGGCCTTCTTTGTCTCTTTTGATGTTTGTTGGTTTAAAGTCTATTTTATCAGAGACTAGGATTGCAACCACTGCCTTTTTTTGTTTTCCATTTGCTTGGTAGATCTTCCTCCCTCCCTTTATTTTGAGCCTATGTGTGTCTCTGCACGTGAGATGGGTCTCCTGAATACAGCACACTGATGGGTTTTGACTCTTTATCCAATTTGCCAGTCTGTGTCTTTTAATTGGGGCATTTAGCCCATTTACATTTAAGGTTAATATTGTTATGTGTGAATTTGATCCATCATTATGATGTCAGCCAATATTTTGCCCATTAGTTGATGCAGTTTCTTCCTAGCCTTGATGGTCTTTACAATTTGGCATGTTTTTGCAGTGGCTGGTACCGGTTATTCCTTTCCATGTTTAGTGCTTCCTTCAGGAGCTCTTGTAAGACAGGCTTGGTGGGGACACAATCTCTCAGCATTTTCTTGTCTTTAAAGGATTTTATTTCTCCTTCAGTTATGAAGCTTAGTTTGGCTGGATATGAAATTCTGAGTTGAAGATTCTTTTCTTTAAGAACGTTGAATATTGGTCCCCACTCTCTTTTGGCTTGTAGAGTTTCTTCCAAGAGATCAGCTGTTAGTCTGATGGGCTATCCTTTGTGGGTAACCAGACCTTTCTCTCTGGCTGCCTTTAACATTTTTTTCCTTCATTTCAACCTTGGTTAATCTGACAATATGTGTCTTGGGGTTGCTCTTCTCAAGAAGTGTCTTTGTGGTGTTCTCTGTATTTTCTGAATTTGGATGTTGGCCTGCCTTGCTAGGTTGGGGAAGTTCCCTTGGATAATATCCTGAAGAGTGTTTTTCAACTTGGTTCCATCCTCCCTGTCACTTTCAGGTACACCAGTCAAAAGTAGATTTGGTCTTTTCACATAGTCCCATATTTCTTGGATGGTTTGTTCGTTTCTTTTTACTCATTTTTCTCTAAACTTCTCTTTTCGCTTCATTTTATTCACTTTACCTACAATCACTGATATCCTTTCTTCCACTTGATCGAATTGGCTACTGAAGCTTGTGCATCCTTCATGCAGTTCTCATGCCATAGTTTTCAGCTCCATCAGGTCATTTAAGGTCTTCTCTACGCTGTTTATTCTAGTTAGCCATTCATCTAATCTTTTTTCAAGGTTTTTAGCTTCCTTGCAATGGGTTCAAACATCCTCCTTTAGCTCAGAGAAGATTGTTTTTACTGACCTTCTGAAGCCTACTTCTGTCAACTCGTCAAATTCATTCTCTATCCAGCTTTGTTCTGTTGCTGGCTAGGAGCTGCGATCCTTTGGAGGAGAAGAGGTGCTCTTGTTTTTAGAATTTTCAGCTTTTCTGCTCTGGTTTCTTCCTATCTTTGTGGTTTTATCTACCTTTGGTCTGTGATGATGATGACCTACAGATGGGGTTTTTGTGTGCATGTCCTTTTCGTTTATGTTGATGCTATTCTTTTCTGTTTGTTAGTTTTCCTTCTAACAGTCAGGACCCTCAGCTGCAGGTCTGTTGGAGTTTGCTGGAGGTCCACTCCAGACCCTGTTTGCCTAGGTATCACCAGCAGAGGTTACAGAATGGCAAATATTGCACAACAGCAAATATTGCTGCCTGATCCTTCCTCTGGATGGTTTGTCTCAGAGGGGCACCTGGCTGTATGAGGTGTCAGTTGGTCCCTACTGAGAGGTGTCTCCTAGTTAGGCTACACAGGTATCAGGGACCCACTTGAGGAGGCAGTCTGTCTGTTCTCAGAGCTCAAGCTCTGTGCTGGGAGAACCACTGCTCTCTTCAGAGCTGTCAGACAGGGATGTTTAAGTCTACAGAAGTTTCTGCTGCCTTTGGTTCAGCTGTGCCCTGCCCCCAGAGGTAGAGTCTACAAAGGCAGGCAGGCCTCATTGAGCTGCAGTGGGCTCCACCCAGTTCAAGCTTCCTGGCCGCTTTGTTTACCTACTCAAGCCTCAGCAATGGCAGATACCCCTCACCTAGCCAGGCTGCCACCTCACAGTTGGATCTCAGACTGCTGTGCTAGCAGTGAGCAAGGCTCCATGGGCGTGGCACCTGCCGAGCCAGGTGCAGGATACAATCTCCTGGTATGCCTTTTGCTACGATCTTTGGAAAAGTGCAATATTAATAAATAATTAATAAATTCAGAGTGTCCGATTTCCCAGGTACCATCTGTCACGGCTTCCCTTGGCTAGGAAACGGAATTGCCCTGGCCCCCTGTGCTTCCTGGGTGAGGCGATGCCTCGCCCTGCTTCGGCTCACGCTCGGTTGGCTGCACCCACTGTCCGACAAGCCCCAGTGAGACGAACCAGGTACCTCAGTTGGAAATACAGAAATCACCCATCTTCTGCGTCAGTCACACTGGGGGCTGCAGACCGGAGCTCTTCCTGTTTGGCCGTCTTGGAACGATTCCCAACTATTTTTTAATAAGCTCAGAAGTCTTAGGCCATATTTCTTCTACTCACCTTCCCAAACTCTACTGCTGTTTTGTCTTTCATTTTGCTGTAGCCAGCGCCTGCCTGCCTTCCTTCTTCCCTTCCTTCTTTCCTCCCCTCCTCCCCTCTCCTCCTTCTCTCTCCTTCCTCCCCTTCCCTTCCTTTTTTATCTCTCTCTGTTTTGTTCGTTTTTTGGAACAGGGTCTCTGTCATCCAGGCTGAGTGCAGCCATGGTGCAATCATGGCTCACTGCAGCCTTAACTTCCTGGGCTCAAGTAATCCTCCTGCCTCAGCCTTTCAAGTAGCTGGAACTACAGGTGTGCCACTGTACCCAATTAATTCTTAAATTTTTTTTGTAGAAACAGGGTCTCACTATGTTTGGCAGGCTGGTCTGTAGCTCTTGCTGTGCCTCTTTTCTGTGTGCAAACGCAATGTGTTCTTTCTCCTTCCAACTTTTTCCCAAAAGGCTCTTCCTTCCTATAACTAGTTTAATCTCATCATTCACATTTCAGAATAGATGTTGATTCCTCTGAGGTCTCTTTTACCAACATTAAAGGGAATTTAAGGCTCTAATCCAGGTTTCTCTCCATTTTCTATCTTTCACAGCACTTCTTGTAATCAATAATCATCTTGTTTAATGATAAGGGCACTCATTTATGCTCTGTTAATCTCAGTAGAATTTAAAGGTAATCGGCACTTACTCATTGCTGTTTGTTCAGCTGTGGGCACAGAGAAAATGTTCAACTCATGTTTGCTGAAAAAAAATATTTACATGACATTATCCAAGCCTACCTTATGTATGCTTGTGATGGGATAACAAGCTTGCCATATTTACATTTGGGATGGGATAAGAGAGCTTTAGGTGTCTGGTAGTGTGGTGCTGCCATCATCTCTTCACTGATAGTCTCACACACTTATTCAAAAAAATAGAGCCTTTTCACAAGATGATGAAGAAAGAAGCTCCAGAAGCCTCCTAAAGCCAAAGTGAAAGCAAAGGCTTTGAAGCTCAAGAAGGCAGTGCTGAAAAGAGTCCACAGCCACAAAAAAATAAAGAGGATCTGCACATCACCCACCTTCCAGTGGCCCAAGATACTGCAGCTCCAGAGGCAGCTCAAATATCCTTGGAAGATTACCCCCAAGAGAAAGAAACTTGACCACTATGTCATTATCAAGTTGTTGCTGACCACTGAATCAGCCATAAAGAAAATAAAATATAACACGCTTTTGGATGTTAAGGCCAAAAAGCAACAGATTAAAGAGGCTGTGAAGAAGCTCTATGACACTGATGTGGCCAAGGTCAACACCCTGTTCGGGCCTAATGGACAGAAGGAGGCATATGTTTGACTGGCTCTTGATTGTAATGTTTTGGATACTGCCAAAACAATTGGAATCATTTATATCAAATACAGCTGGCTAATTCTAAATATACATGTCTTTTTCACTAGAAAACTAAAACACAAATAGGAGAACTGTTGGCCACATATTTGTCTTTCAAATGACACTTTCAACTTGGTCATGCTTGATTAGACAAAGGTATGTAATCAGGCTGGGCTAAACAGTTTATTTCTTTTGAGAGTTTGCAGTGAGAGACAGAAATGTGATGTTAGAACCTGAGATACATTAATAATAAAACTTCAGATTTAAGGATTACAATAACCTATTGCTAATGTAATGGTGGCTTACTTCATTTTTGAAGTCTGTTTATATTTTTCTTGAATTTTTTTCCCACTCTCTTTAATATCTTTCAATAAAATTTATTTTTTTCTGAAAGTTTTATCGAAGTGGATTTGTGTTGCTTTAAAATAAAGACCTACAAGAAACAAAAAGCAATTAGAAAATCTTTATATAAAATTTCTATTTAAGTCTTTATATGAAGAAGTTTTCAAGATAAAATAGATTCACTCGCTAGTGCAAAGAGGATAACTTAATATTCATAAATATTCAATATTGCTTTGAATATATAAAGTTATATTGGAATATAAATATCAAAGGAAGTAAGCTAAATGAATTTATAAATGTATCTGTATTACATTTGGAAGTATTCTAGGTTAATTCTTTTAGTTTGATGCTACTTAGTTTTTGAATTTTGTATTAATTGTTTAAAAATGCTGCCAATGCTATCTCATTTGGGAGTTGTTGCTAAGGAATCTGGGAATCTGAAAATATGGGCAGACTGAAGAAAATTAGATTAACTTGTACAAATACAATTTAATATATCTAGGGCATTATAATGTGAAACAGATTACATGAGAGGGAATTGTTTGGAAAACAGTAATGCCAAAACATTTCCCTCAAGGATGATATGTAAGAGGATCTTTTATATACAAACACATTATAATATTGTACCAACTACATCCATTAGTTGGAGGAATAGCAAGAGAAATCATATCATGTAGTGCAAAGCTATGGGTCACTTTTATGAAATGGGCAAATAAATGTAAATAGTAATGAGAATGTTACTTATTTGAATTTATATGGCATCATTCATCTGAGATGACTATATAACAACATAGTCATCTATATTGTCTTGTCTTTATTATAAAAAAGTGATGAATATCATTAATAAGTAGGGAAACTGAGTCATAAAGTAAAAGCTCAAATGTGGCCTTGATGTACTGAGGAAGTTCTCTTAACTATATTACCCCCAATGACAATATAGCCAATGCCTCCAAATGATAAAGGCACAATGGAAACAAAAAGATAATTAATAATAAGGAAATCATATGATCACCATTTATTGGTACATTACATATAATTAAGAATTTATTTCAGTAATAAATAGAATCTAAATTGTACCTTACCTGAGGTTTACCTTACGTGAATGAGCCCTTTCTTACTTCTATAGAATATTTAAGAATACTTATTAGAAGAAAAAAAACACATAAGACAAATAAAATATTAAGATGGCTTAAATATAGTAGATCAGATTGAATAGTGAAAACAAGGATAAAATTTTATTAAATTACTGAAGTAGTAAGAGGAAACTTATAATAAGGAAATCTTTATCAGTAGAAACCTGATGCTTTATGTGTAGAGAGATGAGTATGTATGAACCATGAATCTAATTTATAAATGGTGGGTAGAGGAATTAATTTATTTTAAATAATTGAAACGTTCTTTCTTCTTGAAAAGTAGCAGTTTGAGTGTAAGCTATAAAATTTGTATGATAAATATGACTTTTAACAATTTAGTGCTTTGCAGCTACAAACAGTAGGAAGCATTTCTGAAATGTAGACATAGACACAAGCATGTAGATCTTTGTTTCTCATCCCATGATATAGGATATGACTATTTCCATGTCTGTTACCCATTTATGTTACGAGCCCAGGTATCTTATTTTCACTAGTATCTTAGAGAAAATGTCTTGGCACAGAACAGCCTCCAATAACTGCTGTTATCATAAATAAACATCATTTTGTTCCTTCTTATCTAATTTTATGTTACCATATATATCCATTCTTTAGTATTTTTTAATTAATTCTAAGTTTACAGAGATATTTTTCACCAAAATTATAACATTAATGGTATTTCCTTTATTTTTTATATATTATTTAAATTCCTCAGTCCATTTGGAATTTATTTTGTTGCTGGACTGGACTAAAGTTCTCATTTGTTTTCATAACTGATAGTATGAAACAATGAGGTGATACTTCCAAAATCAGTTTACTGACCCGTTCTCCTTAAGTCTTATCATAGTAAGGTAAAAGACAGAGGAAGTGACACATAAGGAGAAATGATATAACTGGTTTCCTTAATCATATGAAAGTTATTGTTCCTTTTCTTGCATATGACATTCTGTGAACGTTTCCATAGATTTTTAGATTCTAACTTACTGTTTATTTATATTTTACATTTTAACAATAATGACATTTAATTAAGAGAAAAAAATTCCATGAAATTTTTAAGCAAATAAAAATAGTCATGTAGAAGTATACAGTATTACATTTTTTAAGGGTCTCACTTTAGGAATTGGCTGTGGGTAATATGACTGTGAAATCTATCTTCCAAAGAGGGATGATTTTGAGAGTGAAAAATGTTACAAATTTTGAAATTTTAAACCTCAGTAGTTCTACTGGGGAAATGGAAATATTTGGTCACTCTTGCTTTAGGGGATGACCTTGACTTTGCAAGTCGAGAGGACTCAGAGATGAATTTAAAAGGCAGTGATATGTTTAGGCTTTGTGTTCCACCCAAATCTCATCTTGAATTGTAATCCCCGTAACCCTCATGATTCTCACATGTCAAGGGAGAGACAAAATGGAGGTAGTTGAATTATGGGGGTGGTTTCCCTCTTTGCTTGGCACTTTTTCTCCCTGCTGCCACGTGAAGAAGTTGCCTTGCTTCCCTTTTGACTTCCACCATATTTGTAAGTTTCCTGATGCCTCCTGAGTCATGCTGAATTGTGTCAACTAACCCCCCACTTTTTTTTTTAAATAAACTACCCAGTCTTGGACAGTTCTTTATAGCTGTATGAAAACAGACTAATACAGTAAATTGCTATGAAGATACCCAAAAATGTGGAAGCAACTTTGGAACTGGGTAACAGGCAGAAGTTGGAACAGTTGGAGGGCTCAGAAGACAGGAAATTGTGGGAAAGTTTGGAGCTTCCTAGAGACTTGTTGAATGGCTTTGACCAAAATGCTGATGTTATGTGGACAATAAAGTCAAGGCTGAAGTGGTCTCAGATGAAAATGAGGAACTTCCTGGGAACTGGAATAAAGGTGACTCTTGCTATGCTTTAACAAAGACATTGGTAGCATTTTTCCCCTGCCCTAGAGATCTGTGGAACATTGAAGTTGAGAGAGGTTATTTAGGGTATCTGGTGGAAGAAATTTCTAAGCAGCAAAGTGTTCAAGAAGTGACTTGGGTACTCTTAAAAGAATTCAGTTTTATGCATTCACAAAGATATGGTTTGGAATCAGAACTTATGTTTAAAAGGGAAGCAGAGCTTAAAAGTTCAGAAAATTTGCAGCCTGACTATACAATAGAAAAGAAAAACAAATTTTCTGAGGAGAAATTCAAGCTGACTGAAGAAATTTGCATAAGTAATGAGGAGCCAAATGTTAATTGCCAAGACAATAGGGAAAGTGTCTTCAGGGAATGTTGGAGGTCTTCACAGCATCCCCTTCCATCATGGGTCTGGAGGCCTAGGAGGAAAAAATGGTTTCATGAGCTGGGCTCAGAGACTTGCTGCATTGTGAAGTCTCAGGACTGCATTATGTCCCAGTCATGGCTAAAAGGGGCCAATGTGCAGCCTAGGCCCTTGCTTCAGAGAGTGCAAGCCCCAAGCCTTGATGGCTTCCACTTGGTGTTGTACCTGCAGGTGCAGAGAAGTCAAGAATTGAGGTTGGACAACCTCCACCTAGATTTCAGAGGATGTATGGAAATGCCTAGATGTCCGGAAATGCCTAGATGTCCAGGCAGAAGTTTGATGCAGGAATGGAGCCCTCATGAAGAACTTCTGCTAGGGTAATGCGGAAGGGAAATGTGGGATCTGATTTCCCATACAGAGTCCCAGCTGTGGTACTGCCTAGTGGAACAGTGGGAAGAGGGCCAGGCCACCATCCTCCAGATCCCAGAATGGTAGATCCATTGACAGCTTGCACTGTTAATCTGGAAAAGCTGCAACGGCAGCCCATGAAAGCAGCTGGGAGGTGGGCTGTACCCTGCAAAGCCACAGGAATGGAGATGCCTAAGGCCATGGGACGCCACCTCTGGCATCAGCGTGACCTGCATGTGTGACATGGAGACAAAGAAAATTATTTTGGAGCTTTAAGATTTGATTGTCCTACTTGATTTCAGACTTGCTTGGGGGCTCTAGCCCCTTTGTTTTGGCCAATTTCCCCCATTTAGCACAGGCGTATTTACTAAATGCCTATTCCCCCATTGTATCTAGGAAGCAACTAACTTGCTTTTAATTTTACAGGATCATAGGTAGAAGGGACTTGCCTTGTCTCAGATGAGTTGGGACTTGGACTTTGGGGTTAATGCTGGAATGAATTAAGTCTTTAGGGGATTGTTGGGAAGGTTTGATATGATGATTGGTTTTGAAATATGAAAGGAACATGAGATTTGGGAGGGACCAAGGGTGGAATAATATGGTTAGGCTTTGTATCCCCACTCAAATTTCATCTTGAATTGTAATCCCATAATCCCCATAATCCTCATGTATCAAGGGAGAGACCAGGTGGAGGCAACTAAATAATGGGGGCAGTTTCCCCATGCTGTTCTTGTGATTGATAGTGAGTGATTTCTCACCAGATCTGATGATTTTATAAAGGGCTCTTCCTCCTTTGCTCACCACTTCTCCTTCCTGCCACCTTATGAAGAAAATGCCTTGCTACCCCTTCACCTTCCACCACGATTGTAAGTTTCCTGAGGCCTCCTCAGCAATGTTGACCTGTGAGTCAATTTAATCTCTTTTTAAAATAAATAACTCAGTTTCAGGTAGTTCTTTATAGCAGTATGAAAACAAACTAATACAGGCAGTTATTTAAGATGTATTTTGAAAAGATGAGTAGTGATGAATTAGACAGATTTAAGGTTGAAAATTGTGGCGAGAAAGAAAGAATCCAAGGCATGATTGTGTTTGTTGCTTGTTCTCAAGACACAGAATAATGCCTGTTGCATAGTAGGTAGTTAATTGTTGGAAAAAATGAATAAATGCTATGATATTATCAAGCAATTCATCTTTTGGCTATTTAAAAGAAATGAAAGAAATGAAATAGGGACAAAAATAGATAGATATTTGTACACCGATGCTCACAGTAGCAGTATTCACAACAGCCAAAAGGCAGAAGATATCCAAATATTATGGATCGAATGTCTGGATCTCTTCAAATTTCATATGTTGAATGCCTAATCCCCAGTGTAGCTATACTTAGAAATGAAACCTTTAAGGGAGTAATTAAAATTAAATGAAATAATAAGGGTAAAACCCTGATCTCATAAGAAACACCGAAGAGCTTCTTTTTTTTTCTCTTCTCTCTCTTTCTGCATTCCAAAAAGAGATCAAGGAAGGGCACAACAAGAAAGCAACTGTCTACAAGCCAGGAGGAGAGTTATCCCTAGAAACCAAACTGACCAGAATCTTCTTTTCTCCAGAATCATAAGAAAATAAATTTATGTTTTTTAAGCCACCTAGTCTATATTTTGTTTTGGCAGTACAAACTGACTAATAAATTTAGGAATTGTAAAGTGGGGTGCTGCTGTAACAATTACCTGAAATTGTGGAAGTGATTTTAAACTTGGTAAAGAGTAGAGGCTCAAAGTGTTTTGAGGTGCATGCTAGAAAAGGCCTACATTCCCACATAGGGACTATTGGTAGAAATATGGATGTTAAAGCCAGTTCTGGAGAGGGCTCATGAAGAAAAGAAGAAAACTATAGAAAAAGCCTCTATTGTCTTAAAGAATACATATATTATCATGAACAGAATATTGATAGAAATGCCAGAAATCTTAGGTGAAGTCTCACATGGAAAACGGGGAATAGATTATTGGAAAATTTTTCTTTTTTGAGATAAGGTTTTGCTCTGTCACACAGGTTGGAGTGCAGTGATGTGATCATGGTTCATTGCAGCCTCCATCTCCTGGGCTCAAGAAACCTTCCTGTCAGTCTCCTAGGAAGTAGCTAGGACTACAGGAGCATGCCACTAAGCCTGGCTAATTGATTATTGAGAAATTGAGGAAAGGATATCTTTGCTATAAACTGGTGAAAAAAAAAGAGGCTGAATTGTGTTTTAGGTTTTTTTGGAAGGTTGAATTTGTGAGGAATGAAATTTTATATTTAGCTGAGGATATTTCTAAGCAGAGTGTTGAAGGAGTAACTTGGTTTCTTTTTACAGCTTATAGCGAAATGTGAGAGGAGAGAAATAAATAGAAAGAATTGCTAAGCAAAAATGAACCAGAACTCATACATATAGAAAATTTTCAGTCTATCCATCTTATAAAATATGGAGTGTGTTCTGAAGAGAACACTAAGCATGTGGCTGGATAACCATTTGATAAAATATAATAGATATGACTCACAGATGTGATCAGTCACCTCAGCAGAAGTCAGGGATTATACCAGTGAATACACTGCTAGTTTGAACTAGATAGTACAGAGAAAGCAGGATGGAATAAAGGCTGTTAGACTTCTGAGATTCTATACAATGGAACAATAGAGCTATTTGCCTGTGAACGTGCTTGAGGGATACTTCAAGAAAGGGAGAGAATAGCCCACAAGTCAATTCAGAGATCAGCAGAACTGCCACTCTCATCAAAGGCTCAGAAGACAAGGCTGCTTCATCACCAGTTTCATAGGATGGGATCCCCCTCTCAGTTAAAGCTAGGCAGACAGCTGTGGGGGCAGGGTAGCCCCACCAAGCCAAAGGGATAGGGCCTTCTTGAAGAGCTGTTGATGGGTTGATGTTGCCAACCCAATGGGGCTGAAGGGCAAATCATCAAACCAAAGAAGTTTATTATTTGCCTTTAAGATTAATGCCATTTGCCTTGCTAGGGTTTGGACTTGCTTGGGACATATCACCCCTATCTTCCTCTCAATTTCTCCCTTTTGGAATGGGAATGTTTATTCTATGCCCAACTCACCATTGTATTTTTGAAGCATATAACTTATCTGATTTTACAGGTTCACAGCTGGATAATTTTTGCCACAGGATGAATTATGCCTTGAGTCTCACCCATTGTTTGATTAAAATATTTATATGAGACTTTAACAAAAGAAGATATACAAACAACCAACAAATATATGAAGAAAATCTTAAACATCATTGATTATCATGGAAATGGAAATTAAAACTACAATCAGATATCTCTGTACTCCTGTAAAAATGGCCGTAATTAAAAAGTAAAAAATAATAGGCGTTGGCATGGATGTGGTGAAAAGGGAACACTTTTACACTGCTGGTGGGAATGTAAACTATTATAACCACTATGGAAAATGTATGTAGATTCCTTAAAGAACTAAAAGTAGAACTATATTTCATTGGATTCAGCAATCCCACTACTGAGTATCTACCCAAAGGAAAATAAGTCATTATATGAAAAAGGCACATGCACACGCATGTTTATAGCAGCACAATTTGCAATTGCGAAGATATGGAACCAACCTAGTGTCCATCAACCAATGAATGTATAAAGAAAATGTGGCATATATACACCTTGGAGTAACCACTCTGCTATAAAAAGGAATAAAATAATGTCTTTTGAAGCAACTTGGATGGAGCTGGAGGCCATTATTCTAAGTGAAGTAATTCAGGAATGAAAATTAAATATTGTATGTTCTCACTTATAACTGGGAGCTAAGCTATGAGGATGCAAAGGCATAAGAATGATGTAATGAACTTTAGGAACATGGGGGAAGTTTGGGAGGGGAGTGAGGGACAAAAGATTACATATTGGGTGGATTGTATACTGCCCAGGTGACGGGTGCACCAAAATCTTGGAAATTACCACTAAAGAACTTATCCGTGAAACCAAAAACCACCTGTACCCCTAAAACTAGTGAAATAAAAATAAATAAAAAATAAGAATATTTACATAAGACTTTGGACTTAAGAGTTGATGCCAGGTTGGGTTAAAACTTTTGAGACTTTTGGGATGTATCTTGCATTTTAAAAGAGCATGAATTTTTTGGTGGAGGCAGTGACAGAATTGTGTCCCTCCAAAATTCACATATTAAAGCCTTAATCCTCAACGTGACTATATTTGAGATAGGGTCCTTATGAAGTCATTAAGGTTAAGTGAGATCATGAAGCTGGGTCTCTAATCACGGAGGATTGGTCACTTCATGTGAAAAGGGAGAAGGAGAGAGAGAGAGGTTTCAGAAAGAAAAGGTTATGTGAGCATACTGTGAAATAGTAGCTGCCTTCAAGCCAAGAGGACAGGCCTCAGACTGAAACCTATCTCACTGGTACCTTGATCTTGGACTTCCGGCCTCCACAAACTGTGACAAAATAAACTTTTATTGTTTACATTAGCCTGTTTATGGTATTTTGTTATGGCAGCCTGAATAGGATACCACTTAATATATAGTCATCTGTAGCCTAACATATTTTTATTGCAGTTTTATTTGTATTTTATATTGGATAAGTAATTGCTAGAACCTATTATAGGACAAATGCTTTACCTATGCCCTCTAAGTGTTTGTTCTGCTGCTTTCATTACTCATTCTTGGTATTTTTCTGCCTCTTTAATCATTCTGCCTCAGGCAAAGTACAGTAATTTTTCTGACTTGTAAATTTAGGAAAAATAAACTGGGCATGCTCAATTCAGCTTCTACCTTTTTCTATTTGGGAACAAACTGCTTGTAAGAGTACTTGCTCTTTACTCCACTTTGCTGTCAGTCAGATCTGGACAGGTTCCTGTGCCCTACAGAGTGGTGGGACTTGCCCCAATCTAGTATGCTGAAGCTGGGATAGCTGCCTGTTTATAGGGTTCAGTTAGCAGGACATTGAATCTAACATTGTCTTAGAGCCTCCAACATAGTCTATTTCAATAATAAAGACCTGTCACAGGTGATTAAACTGCTATTCAATATCTGAAATTTAAAAAAGAAAATTTAAATATATTGCTTGGTATAGTAAGAAAAGATATATTAGCCAGGCACAGCTCCACGGCAGAGCAGAGTACTGATGTTACAAGTGTTTGGGGTGGCATGAAGTTCTAATCCACTAGGATTAGTGGATTTTGAAAAGCTTATAGGTTTGATGCCATTTTTAGGAGGGGTTACTCAGGTGAGACTGTTGTGGATAGGTTGACACTCACAGATGTATATTTGTAGAGGGTGCTTTCCTGACTGGCTGACTTTCGGAAGGGAGTGTCTAATACTGACTGGTTGGTTGCAAAACCTAGTTCATTAATATGAATATTCACTGAAATATCAAAATGGTGTAAAACTTTTGATGAAACTGTTCTGATGGCTGTTTGTTAGCATGGCTACAGAACAGTCTTTTTTTTTTTTTTTTTTAACCTGTGAGAACTTTTTAAAAAAATTAACCTGGTAACATTTTAATCTTTCTGCTACTTTTATTCGTTCTTATATTTTTAAGTTTGTTCAGAACTTAGTCCAGAAAAAAAGCATGTTATTTATTGGGCTCCCATAAACCACTAGCAAACCCCATTAATGCATTTTAAATGTTTTCCAAGTCACAAAATGGTGAAGGCCAAAGAAAAGTTTAGTACTATGGTTATAAAAAGAATTTTTGCTAAACCAAGTGTCTTTTGAAAACAGACTTTTAGATGGAAATTGATCTAGGCTTTTTCTGCTCTTTGTAATTTCCCACAGCTTTTTCTTGGTCTCTTGATGATGCTTTCCATCTTTTCTTCTTACTCCATCAGCCTGAGCAAAGTTAAATTGTGTCCATAGCTTTCTCAAGGTTTAATTTTTTTCTCCCTCTTTCATATTCTTTTTATTTTGCTTGTGGCAAAATCATTTTCTTCATCGGGAATATAGATGTTTTTTACAAAAAATAATCTTACAGTTTGCTTTGTTGCCTAGAAGCATCAATGTTTTTCTTCCTTCTTTTTGATTCCTTTCATTGTTTTAACTCAGTATTCAGTTTTCTTCCAGTTTTTTTGTTGTTGTTTTTACTTTTATAGCCAAAAATGTTTGCTTATATAACAAGTTTGAGAGCCTTAGTTCCAAATCCAGCATTTCAGTGACTCCTCATTTCTCAGCTTATGATGTGTATCCTTTTTATATTTTCAAGCTCATTCTCACTTTTATACTCCTCATACCCAATATTGGAGACACAGTTTTTAATTTACAGTTTCTCCCACCTGGAAATTGCCAAACACTCACCCAGGAGCCATTGGTGTTGCTTATTTCATCATGTAAGTGCCATCTCATACTTCTAAAATCAACTCAAGACTCACTACCACCTTCTGTGTTTCTTGAGGCTTCCCTAATCCTTAATCCCTATCTCCAAGTAATAAAGTGAAACTGTACAGTAATTAAAACATAGACTCTGGCTTTGTCACATGAGATCTATATGACCCTTGGGATAATTGCTTAACATCTCTGTGCCTCAGTTTCCTAAGTGTTTCACCAGGAATATATCCTAAGAGTATCTTCCTTATAGGGTTGCTACAAGGATTATTTGCATAAGTATAAATCTAGGACAGTGCATAGGTCAGAATAAGTGCTTGACAAATGTTAAGCATTTGTTTAAAATGTTCCCACAGAAAGCTGCACATAATTTATTGCAATTTCTACATTTTGGTATATTTAAAACATGCATTGTTGATGTTTCTCAATGTCTATCTCCTTAAGTGTTAATCTCCTTGGATGTCAGAGAACTTGTTATATTTTTGTATCATCTGCACCAATAACATAGCTTCACATGTAGATAGGTTCAGGGCAAGTTTATGGATATGATAAATACATAAATATAAATTAAATCAATTTTAATATGTATTGTAATTCAAACCAATGCAATTCAATAAGTAATTTTGAATGTCTGTTCATACAAGACCCTTAGACCCTAGGCTAAGGTCAAAAATGAAAAATTTATGTACCTACTTTTAGGAAACTCACAATTTAGTGGATAAAACAGATATATAATTATTAAAAATATGAAGGTGAATGTTTGGTGCTTTTAGTATAGAAACCTAGATACATGTAGAGGAAGAGAATGGGTTTATAAGATAATAAAAAACATGGAGAAATTGACATTTCTCTGGGAAACTGGAAAATAAGCCTTTCTGTAACTGTTGTTAGAGACTTTACTGGGCACAAGGAAGCTGGTAATTCCAGGGTAAAAGTAAAATGTAAGTAAATACATGGATGCATTAAATTATATATTATGTGCCAGCAGTGCCAAATTAACTCTGCAATGGGTGTATCAGCATACCCACTGACCACAAGATCCAAAGAAAATCATAATCATATAAATAAAAGCAAATATATGGGGTGAGGAGGTGCTATTTTGACCCACATTACATTAGAAATACTAAGACAACATTAACTGACGATAATTTGTGAATAATTAAAAACAAAACAAAAACAGATGTCTGTATTCTTTTTTTTTTTTTTTCCTGAGATAGAGTTTCGCTCTTGCTGCCCGGGCTGGAGTGCAATGGCGCGATCTCAGCTCATCATTGCAACCTCTGCCTCCCAGTTTCAACCAATTCTCCTACCTCAGTCTCCTGAGTAGCTGGGATTACAGGCGTGCACCATCATGCCCAGCTAATTTTGTATTTTTAGCAGAGATAGGGTTTCTCCGTGTTGGTCAGGCTGGTCTTGAACTCCTGACCTCAGGTGATCTGCCTACCTCGGCCTCCCAAAGTACTGGGATTACAGCCGTGAGCCACCGAGCCCGGCCCAGATGCCTGTATTCTTGTAAATTATCTGAAGGTTTGGGAATATGGTCAACATACTTGCAAAACCATTACTAGGAGCTGACTAATGCCTATGCTATCCAACTGGCCCAAGAGAGCCCTCCAGCTCACCAGCGTCAGGCTATTTCTTCCTCCCTTTTCTCCTTGACATTAGGAGGAGTTTTACAAGTTAGTTCATCAGCAGGCTTGCATAGTTATTTGCTTTTACATCAGCATGCTTTGCTCTTTTACTTAACTTTTTCTGTTCTTGAAGATAGTTGAGATTATAGCTGTGGTACAGTGTAATTAATGAAAAAAGAATTTCAGAGGTCTATTAAGGATTATGAATTCTTTTCTTTACTTCTGTTATGCCTTTCAAAATATTAGAAATACTATGGTTCTTTAATATAACTACAGTATTTCTTAATTACATGTATAAGTAGTTGCATTAATTTTAAATTAATATTTTAATTCCTTTTAGAATTAAAAATATAACCCTATTTTACATTTCCTAATAACTTTATAATTTTAATAGTTATTCCAAAAATATTCAATTTTGTGATATTCATAATTTCTAGTTGACAAATTTTATTTAATCTATTTCCAATGATAGAATTAACTAAAAGAAATGATGACACAAACTCCTTTACAAAGTTCTCATGTATTAAAATTTAATAGTAATGAGATGGCAGTCAAAAAAAGAATTAAAAATATATTTGAAGCAATAAAGTATTTATTTGTTAATAGATATTCTAAAGAGAAAGCATTGATGACATTTATACTTATCTAAATAACATAATTATAGTAAATATATACATAATTTAGTCTCACTTTTTCCTCAAAGTTCAAGCAAAAATATAGAAGTATTATAACTTACCTTGTATGGAGTTTATTTTTTCTTAACAGCTTCACCTCCATTGTCTGACTCAATGAAACAAATGTACCTTTTACTTTCCTGTTGTTAAAAAAAAGATGTTTAAATTCAGAAATGTTAAAAATTTTGTCCAGAAAAAATAAATTGTGGCTTAATACTTACAAAACATTTGTCTCTTAAACCATATAGATCTCTGTATTTCTAAAATTAATGTATACTTACACAAATATGTGAAAACAATCTTATTAATATATTGAGTATTATAAATAGGTTAATATCTTACTTGACTACTGCTTCATTACAGCTTTCTTCTTTTCAAAGCCAGAAGGAAAATAGTTAATTGTAGATCCTTCCAGGCATTTTTCTACATGTTTATAAACACATGTATGTGGTAGTAAAAATAGAGATTTTTAAAATAATTATTAATATAATCTCTTTTAATTATTCTGAAACTTGATTTCTGAAGTGAGGATAGAATGGAATCTCACTGTTTTCATTAAAATTTGCCAATAGAAACAAAATTTTCTATTGATTGTGTATCTGTGTGTGTTTGTATGTTTCTTGGACCAATTTTGTTTATATCATTTATCTGTGTTACTAGTTCATAAATTTAAAAATATATTCTAATATTCTGTTTTTCTCCTGTGTTATATGTATTTCCCCCCAGTATGTCTCTTGATTTGATCCTTTTCTATGGAGTTTTTTGTCCTGTGTGTGTGTGTGTGTGTGTGTGTGTGTCTGCCTGTATAATTTGTACTATCAAATATCTAACATGAATTATTTTTGTCTTTTGCTTTTAAAATCTTATTTAAGAAGATATTGCCTGTCTAAGAACAGAAACATAATCTGTTAAATTATTTCGTATTGTTTTTATAGTTTGGTTTTAATATCTAAGATTATTATAGTTTAGGTCTTTATTTCATATTACATGGCATATGAATGGTATAAGTAGGACATCTAAATATACTTGACTTTTGGTGGAAAACCAAGTGTTCCAATGTCATTAACTTAGTTCAGCCTTTCCTTATTCAGTTCTAATGAGTTCTATAACAATCCAAAACTTCATCTTTGGATGTGTCTCTGAGATATTAATTTCTTCTAATAATTTGTTTTTATTACTACAAAATTATTATGCTGTTGCAGTTATGTTAGCTTAAAGTAACTTTAACTATTTCTCACAAATGTTTTAAATACATATTTTGTAACCCATTTGTAAATTCTGTGGCGAGATTTTTTTCATAATTTTGGAAATGTTTAACATTTTTATCAGGTTCTTTTTCCAACATTCTCTAGGTAGTTTATGGTAATATTGCAAAATCCACCTTAATTGCCACATATTCAAAGATTTCATTGACCCCTTTCTCTAGTCTTGTCAGTAGTCCATGTGAGTCATATGTCCATGCCTAATTTCTTTTCTTTCCTTTTTTTTTTTTTTTTTGAGATGGAGTTTTGCTTTGTCATCAGGCTGGAGTGCAGTGGCACAATGTTGGCTCACTGCAACCTCTGACTCCCTGGTTCAAGCGATTCTCCTCCCTCAGCCTCCTGAGTAGCTAGGATTACAGGCACGCACCATCAAGCCCAGCTAATTTTTGTATTTTTAGTAGAGACAGTGTTTCGCCATGTTGGCCAGGATGGTCTTGATCTCCTGACCTCATGATCCACCCACCTTGGCCTCCCAAAATGCTGGGATTACAGGCGTGAGCAACCACACTCAGCTGCCCAATTTCAGTTGGATGGGGAAGGGCATATGTTCTGTATGCCTGGAAGGTGGAGCAGTAGAAACATTGGAGAAAGGTATGACTGACTAACACAATGGGTTTGGGAGAGAGAGGAGATAAACTCATATGCTCATCTATCATATTTCACAAATCAATCTATCAATCTATCAAAGTTACATGAATAATTAATATACATAATATTACATATGGAAAAAAATTCTATTCAAGCTTATGTAAACAAAAAGTTTACAAAATAGGTAACAATTTATAAAGTACTATCATGTAACTTCTCATCTTCATCCACTTGGCTCATTATCTGCTGCTCTTAACTCTAAATAAATATAATCTCTTTATAGGGTAGTCCAGCAGCCTCAAAACTAGATTAACAGCACAGTATCTCCTCCACAGTCACAGTACTCTTTTCAAATTCATATATGACTATATAACTTCGTGGCATAAATCATTTAGTGGCTTACCAATATTTTAGGATTGAGAACAATGCCCTGTATGGATTGTCCTTTGTTTACCTTTTGGCTTCTTGTCTTATAACTCACTTCTTTTTTCATGTTTTTTTTCTAAAACATGCCACACTTTCTCATAATACAGAGTATTTATATGTGTGGCTCACATGCTCTGACCTCTTTGCTCAGTTAACTCCTCTTCATCTTTGAGACTTTAAGTTAAGGGTTGCTTCCTTAGGTTTCTCATTTGAACCCCTACCCCCCAGTCTAGATCAGATTTCATTGTCTGTCTACACAGATTTTTTTGTGTGTGTTATGCTTTTCCTTACATTGTGCCATTGTGTGATATATTTTTCACACAGTAGGTAGTACGCTATGGGAATGGAACAGTGGATATTTACGCTTAATCTACTCCCAGTCTATAAGATGTTGCTTAACATACAGTAGTATTCAATAATATTTTCTTAAATGAATAAACCAGAAAGAAAGTATATTTAGAAGTTTATTATTATGCTCTCTCTGGTACAGAATTATATCCAAGAATAAAGAAATGAAAGTAAGCAATAGTATAAAATATGAAATATTTTATCAGTTCACTATTAAAATTTCAACAACAGTTTTGCGATTTTATTTTCATCATCTTATTCTGTTATCATATATTATTTTATACAGTCAAAATAAACAAGATCCCTTTTAAGTTAAAAATCATGATTGCATGATTTCCAGGATATGTGACTATAATTTCTTAGACAAAATAATTTTTATTGAAATACTTTATTAACTGATTGATCAGTTTGTATATATAGTGTACCAAAAGTAATTGGAATTGAAATTACTATCTTTTTATATGGACTCAGAGTACTTTCTTGACATGAATCACAGAAAGTTCAGAAATGATTTTGGTCTTCAAAGTGGCTGCCTCGGTGGGATGAAAAAATATAAATTATGAGAAAGGTTTAAGTTTCATTGTATTATTTTCATTACAAACCAGTTTTTGTGTCTCTTTTTTTTAAAAAAATTTTGAGTGAGGGTCTTATGCTGTTGCCCAGGCTGGAGTACAGTAACATGATAGTGGCTTACTGCAGCCTTAAACTCCTGGGCTGAAGCGATCCTCTCTCCTCAGCCTCCTGAGTAGTTGGGACTATGGTGTATGCTATGACACCCAGCTGAAGTGTTTTTTTTTTTTTTACATTTTTTGTAGAGATGGAGTCTTACTATGTTCCCTAGGCTGACCTTAAACTCTGGGTCTCAAGTGATACTCCTACCTTAGCTTCCCAAAGTATTGGGATTACAGGCATGAGCCACTGTACCTGGCCAGCTCCCTTATTTATATTCCCATTGCCTCATTAGTATAAATGTAATAAAGTTTAACTTTCTTTTTGATATAAGAGAATTCCTACAGAACAAAGAGTAATATCGTGTTTTTTTTGTTTTTAAATGCAACTAATTTCTTTTAAAGGCCAGAACATTACAACACCATTCATCTGTTTTGTATCATAACATAGATTATTTTTATGGAAACTGAGTTGTATGTGAAAAATAAATATAGTGGCTAGCAGTAAGATTAGAGCTGTGCAATTTTCAAATCTGGTTGAAAAATATGTTACCTATGTCAAAAATGTGTCTTCTCTGTAATGAGTTTATCTCAGTACAGGGTGTTAGGTGAGTAGCTCTACGGTGTGAAGTTCTGTTTGTCCACCTAGTTTGCATTTTATTTTGGTCTTCAAAAGCAGACTGAAGTGATATATGCATGTTATAATTCCATGGTTTTGGTATCTCTGACACTTCTCTTCAAGAATAAAAGGATAACAGGAAAGAAAAAGTCCTTTCATTATGGCACTGTTAGTACCACCACAAATACTGTGGGGAAAATGAAAAAAAAAAAAATCTGGACTTCTCACACAAAGCCCTTATTTCCCAGAGATTTACATTTTCTTCTGCTTCTCCTAGAGATAACAGATGGCAGGGTGGTGATTTGGGATGGTAATTAGGCTGCTGTGTTTTTCAGCTAACCTTAGGTAGACACAGTCCTTTGAGGGCTGATTACTACTATGCCATTTTAAAATGCTAGCAGATAACCATTAAACACCTTTTAGTAATGAACTTTTTATAAACAATAAAACTATGATTAACTCTAGTATAATAAAAAACTCTACAGCAGCAAGTCAGTAATTAAATGCACTGTGGCATTTTAGAAGAATAATTTCAAGTTTTAACTGAACTCAAGAATTAGTGGGCACACAACAAATGAAAACTGGTAGTATTTTTACGTGATTCATTGAATTCACTATAGTACTGTAATACAAAGGGAACTTCTATGGAAGTAAACAAATTCTCCATGGGTGGAGTTAACAGATGGGAAAATTGAGTCTAACTTGGTCACCTTGAATAAAACAGTGAAAGTTGGAGGAAAGTAAATGCACATTATCTTTGGAAGGTATGCTAGGAAAGAACTATGTTTAGATTCATGAACAGATAGTGATATTCTATACAAAGGAACATTTTTATCCAACTGCACTACACATATTTTTAAACTATTGCAAGAATTAGAAATGATACTGTTAAAATATGCCTCTGGCTAATAGCAAAATGGACTCCCTATGGATAACTGAGAGGCACAAAGTTAAAACAGAGGAAGGCAGCTATGCTCTGAGAGAGAGTTCACAGGCCATGGCTGGGTGAGGAAGCGTAGTCAAGTACTCTGTGCTCTCAGAAAGATGCTGTAAAAATTTAAAGGACCTTCCTTTCTACAATCAGCCAAACCAGTTTCTATTTTAAGTGTTAAGATAAACTGCAGGAGGATTTTGGGATCATGGCAGACGAGAGGCAGGACTAGATTGCAGCTCTGGACAGAGCAACATGCAGAGGCTTGCACTATGAATTTTAGCTCCAGATCAACTGCAAAAACAAACCAGCAATCCTGAGAGGACAAACAAACCCTCTGAAGGAAGCAGACTGCTCCTTCAGGACCTGGGAGACACCCCAAATACTGTGAGCGCCCCAACTGTGGAGGTGAGAAAGGGAGACCCTCCTCTCTTGAACACACACCCCCACTGGAGAAGTTGAAGGTCTGTTTGCAGAAGAAGTTTCCGACTTTACTTGGAGATGAATCAAGTTAGAGAGCCAAGCTGAGCGAAATACAGGGGTAGAAGAAGCAGCAGAAAGGCCCTGGGAGATCACTGGGTCCCCAGGCAGCCCATTCCTGCCTGACACCACAGGGACCCATCAGGAGGGTGGCCAGAGGAGCAGGGAGTAAAACTCCACAGAGTGAAGGAAATCTCTAGCTGAACTTTGTAACAATTTGAACAGGGTGAGAAGCCTCCTGGCCAGAACTCTGGGGAGGGTGTGAATCTGGCTTTCAGACTTCACAGGAGGGGGAAGAATTAAAGCCCCTTTCTTTCACGGCTGGAAGGCAGAAAGCCTCAGGCAAGTTTTCAAGCCTGTCTTACCCTCTGCCTGGAAACAGACTAGGGACCTTTGTGGGAGCATGGTGGGTGTGAGACTGGCCCTTCAATTTGCATGAGAGTTGGGTGAGGCCTGTGACTGCTGGTTTTCCCCCACTTCCCTGACAACTTGCATGACTCAGCAGAGGCAGCCATAATCCTCCTAGGTACACAGTTTCAGTGACCTGGGACTCTCACCCCCATCCCCCACAGTAGCCACAGTAAGACCTGCCCAAGGAGAGTCTGAGCTCAGACACACCTAGCACTGCCCCCACCTGATGGTCCTTCCCTTTCCACCTTGGTAGTGGAAGACAGAGGCCATATAATCTTGGGAATTCTAGGGCCCTGCCCCCGGCCAGTCCCTCTCCACACTACTACAGCTGATGCTTTCTGGAAAGTGCCACCTTCTGGCAGGCAGCTAACCAACACAAAATAGAGCATTAAAGCACCAAAGCTAAGGGCCCTCACAGAGTCCATTGCACTCTGCCACCTCCATCAGAACAGGCACTGATATCCACAGCTGAGAGACCCATAGATGGTTCACATCACAGGACTCTGTGCTGAGAACCCCCAGTACCAGCCTGGAGCTGGGTAGACTCGCTGGGTGCCTAGACCCAGAAGAGAGAAAACAATCATGGCAGTTTGGCTCACAGGAAGCCACATCCACAGGAAAAGGTGGAAAGTACTACATCAAGGGAACACCCCATGGGACAAAAAAATCTGAACAACAGCCTTCAGCCCTAGACATTCCCTCTGTCAGAGCCTACCCAAATGAGAAGGAACCAGAAAACAATCCTAGTAATATGACAAAACAAAGCTCATCAACACCTGCCAAAAATCACACTAGTTCACCAGCAATGGATGCAAACCAAGAAGAAATCTCTGATTTACCTGAAAAAGAATTAAGGAGAGTAGTTATTAAGCTAATCAGGAAGGGACCAGAGAAAGACGAAGCCCAATGCAAGGAAATCCAAAAAATGATACAAGAAGGGAAGGGAGAAATATTCAAGGAAATAGATAGCTTAAAGAAAAAACAATAAAAAATTCAGGAGACTTTGGACACACTTTTAGAAATGTGAAATGCTCTGGAAAGTCTCGGCAAAAGAATTGAACAAGTAGAAGAAAGAAATTCGGAGCTTGAAGACAAGGTCTTCGAATTAACTCAATCCAACAAAGACAAAGTAAAAAGAAGAAGAAAATATGAACAAAGCCTCCCAGAAGTCTGGGATTATGTTACACGATCAAACCTAAGAATAATCGATGTTCCTGACAGGAAGAAGAGAATTCTAAAAGCTTGGAAAACATATTGGGGAGAATAATCTAGGAAAACTTCCCTGGCCTTGCTAGAGATCTAGACATGCAAATACAAGAAGCACAAAGAACACCTGGGCAATTCATCACAAAAAGATCTTCATCTAGGCACAGTGTCATCAGGTTATCCAAAGTTAAGACAAAGGAAAGAATCTTAAGAGCTATGAGATAGAAGCACCAGGTAACCTATAAAAGAAAACCTATCAGATTAACAGCAGATTTCTCAGCAGAATCCCTACAAGCTAAAAAGGATTGAGGCCCTGTCTTCAGCTTCCTCAAACAAAACCAGTATCAGCCAAGAACTGTGTATTCAGTGAAACTAAGCATCATATTTGAAGGAAAGATACAGTCGTTTTCAGACAAACAAATGCTAAGAGAATTCACCATTACAAAGCCATCACTATGAAAACTGTTAAAAGGAGCTCTAAATCATGAAACAAATCCTGGAAACACATCAAATCAGAACCTTTTTAAAGCATAAATCACAAAGGCCCCATAAAACAAAAATACAAGTTAAAAAGCAAAAACAAAAAACAAAAAACAAACCAAAGTACTGAGGCAACAAAGAGCATAATGAATGTAATGGTACCTCACATTTCAATACTAATATTGAATGTAAATGGACTAAATGCTCCACTTAAAAGATACAGCACTGCAGAATGGATAAGAACTCACCAACCAACTATCTGCTGCCTTCAGGAGACTCGCCTAACACATAAGGACTCACATAAACTTAAAGTAATGAGGTGGAAATAGGCATTTCATGGAAATGGACACCAAAAGTGAGCAGGGGCAGCTATTCTTATATCGTATGAAACAAATTGGAAAACAACAGCAGCTAAAAGACCCAAAGAGGGACATTATATAATGGTAAAAAGCCTTGTCCAACAGGAATATATCACAATCCTAAACATATATGCACCTAACATTGGAGATCACAAATTTATAAAACAATTACTAATAAACCTAAGAAATGAGATAGACAGCAACATAATAATAGTGGGAGACTTCAATACTCCAGTGAGTACTAGACAGGTCATCAAGACGGAAAGTCAACAAAGAAACAATGGATTTAAACTATACCTTGGAACAAGTGGACTTAACAGATATGTACAGAACATTTCATCCAACACCCACAGAATACACATTCTATTCAATGGTGCATGAAACTTTCTCCAAGATAGACCATATGATAGGCCATAAAACAAGCCTCAATTAATTTAAGAAAATTGAAATAATATCCAGCACTCTCTCAGACTACAGTGGAATAAAACTGGAAATCAACTCAAAAAGGAACCTTCAAAACCACTCAAATATATGGAAATTAATAAACTGCTCCTGAATGAGTATTGGGTCAAAAACAAAATCCAAATGGAAATTAAAACAGTCTTCGAACTGAATGACAATAATGACACAACCTATCAAAACCTCTGGGATACAGCTAACGCGATACTACGGGGAAATTTCGTAGCCCTAAAGACCTATATCAAAAAGTCTGAAAGAGCACAAACAGGCAATCTAAGGTCACACTTCAAGGAACTAGAGAAATAAGAAATAAGAACAAAACAAACCCAAACCCAGCAGAAGAAAGGACATAACAAAGATCAGAGCAGAACTAAATGAAATTTAAACAAACAAACAAAAAAAAGATACAAAAGATAAATGAAACAAAAAATTGGTTCTTTGAAAAGAAAAATAAAATTGATAGACCCTTAGCAAGATTAACCAAGAAAAGAAGAGAGAATATCCAAATAACCTCACTAAGAAATAAAACAGGAGATACTACAACTGACACCACTCAAATACAAAAGATCATTCAAGGCTACTATGAACATCTTTATGCACACAAACTAGAAAACCTGGAAGAGACAGATAAATTCCTGGAAAAAATACAACCCTCCTAGCTTAAATCAAGAATAATTAGATACCCTGAGCAGATCAATAACAAGCACCAAGATTGACACAGTAATTAAAAAATTACCAATTAAAAAAGTCCAAGACCAGATGGATTCACAGCAGAATTCTACCAGATGTTCAAAGAATTGGTACCAATCCTTTTGACACTATTCCACAGATATAAAAAGAAGGAACCCTCCCTAATTCATTTCATGAAGCCAGCATCACCAAAACCAGGAAAGGACACAACCTAAAAAAAAAACTGCAGACTGATATCCTTGATGAACATAGATGCTAAAATCCTTAACAAAATACTAGCTAACTGAATCCAACAGCATATTAAAAAGATAATCCATTATGATCAAGTGGATTTTATACCAGAGATGCAGGGATGGTTTAACATACACAAGTCAATAATGTGATACACCACGTAAACAGAATTAAAAACAAAAATCACATGATCATCTCAATAGATGCAGGAAAAGCATTTGACAAAATCCAGCATCACTTTATGATTAAAACCCTCAGCAAAATTGGCATACAAAGGAAATACCTTAATGTAATAAAAGCCATCTATGACAAACCCATGGCCAACATAATACTGAATGGGGAAAAGTTGAAAGCATTCCCTCTGAGAACAGGAACAAGACAAGGATGCCCACTCTCACTGCTCCTCTTCAACATAGTACTGGAAGTCCTAGCCAGAGCAATCAGATAAGAGAGAGAAATAAAGGGCATCCAAATCGGTGAAGAGGAAGTTAAACTGTCCCTGTTTGCTGATGATAGGATCCTTTACCTTGAAAACCCTAAGCACTCCTCCAGAAAGCTCCTAGAACTGATAAAATAATTCAGCAAAGTTTTCAGATACAAGATTAACATACACAAATCAGTAGCTCTTCTAAACACCAGCAGCGACCAAGCAGAGAATTAAATCAAGAACTCAACCCCTTTTCCAATAGCTGCAATAATAATAATAATAATAATAATAATAATAATAATAATAATAATAATTTAGGAATATACCTAACAAAGGAGTCAAAAGACCCTTACAAGGAAAACTAAAAACCCCGCTGAAAGAAAGCATAGATGACACAAATGGAAACACATCCCATGCTTATGGATGGGTAGAATCAATATTGCAAAAATGACCATACTGCCAAAAGCAACATACAACATATGCAATTTCCATCAAAATATCACCATCATCGTTCACAGAATTAGAAATAACAATCCAAAATTTATATGGAACCTTAAAAGAGCCCAGACAGCCAAAGCAAGACTAAGCAAAAAGAACAAATCTGGAGGCATCACATTACCTGATTTCAAACTATGCTCTAAGGCCATAGTCACCAAAACAGCGTGGTACTGGTATAAGAATAGGCACATAGACCAATGGAACAGTATAGAGAACCCAGAAAGAAACCCAAATACTTAACAGCCAAGTGATCTTTGACAAAGGAAACAAAAACATAAAGTGAGGAAAGGACACCCTTGTCAACAAATGGTGCTGGGATAATTGGCTAGCCACATGTAGGAGAAATGTAGAAGAATGAAACTGGATCCTCACCTCTCACCTTGCACAAAAATCAACTCAAGATGGATTAAAGTCTTAAACCTAAGGCCTGAAAGTATAAAAATTCTAAAAGATAACTTTGGGAAAACCCTTATAGACATTGGCTTAGGCAAGGATTTCATGACCAAGAACCCAAAAGCAAATGCAATAAAAACAAAGATAAATAGCTGGGACCTAATTAAACTAAAGAGCTTTTGCAAGGCAAAAGGAACAGTCAGCAGAGTAAACAGACAACTCACAGAGTGGGAGAAAATCTTCACAATCTACACATCTGACAAATGACTAATATCCAGAATCTGCAACAAACACAAACAAATCAGTAAGAAAAAAAACAAACAATCCCATCAAAAAGTGGGCTAAGGGCATGAATGGACAATTCTCAAAGGAAGATACACAAATGGCCAACAAACATATGAAAGGAGGCTCAGCATCTCTAATGGTTGGGGAAATGCAAATCAAAACCGCAATGTGATAGCACCTTACTCCTGCAAGAATGGCCATAATCAAAAAATCAAAAACAGTAGATGTTGGCATGGATGCAGTGATCAGGGAACACTTCTACACTGCTGTTGTGAGTGTAGACTAGTACAGTCACTGTGGAAAACAGTGTGGAGATTCCTTAGAGAACTAAAAGTAGAACTGCCGTTTCATCCAGTGATCCTCCTGCTGGGTATCCACCCAGAGGCAATGAAGTCATTATTTGAAAAAGATATTTGCACACGCATGCTTATAGCAGCACAACTCACAATTGCAAAATCACAGAACCAACCCAAATGCCCATCAGTCAACAAGTGGATAAAGGAACTTTGGTATATATACGTGATGGAATACTGCTCGGCCATAAAAAGGAATGAATTAACAGCATTTGCAGTGACCTGGATGAGATTGGAGACTATTATTCTAAGTGCAGTAACTCAGGAATGGAAAACCAAGCATCATATGTTCTCACTGACATGTGGAAGCTAAAGCTATGAGGACACAAAGACATAAGAATGATACGATGGAGTTTAGGGACCTGGGGGCAAGAGTGGGGGTTGAGCAAGGGATAAAATACTACAAACATGGGGCAGTATATACTGCTCGGGTGATGGGTGCACCAAAATCTCACAAATCACCACTAAGGAACTTATTCATGTAACCAAATACCACCTGTACCCCAATAACTTATAGAAAAATAAAAATTAAAAATTTTAAGGTGAATGGTAATGGTATTACTTCTAATTATGGAGAATTCTGCAGTGGATAAAGAATAGTTAATTGAGTAAAAAAGTCAAAGAAATGTAGCAAATATGTTCTCCATTACTCAAGAAGACATTTCACTGCATGCTTCTGTAGATCCAGTAATCATACTTTATTGTGATGGTTATTTGATGCACGTTAACTGATAATACTCATTTGGATGAAGAACATGGAAGTCTTGAAGCCCTAGGAGACCTCCTTTTAAAGGTTCTTATTTTTTGATATAGATGATCCATTAAATGTATTTTTTGAATCTCCTAATGTATTATAAATTCTGTCTTTCTAAATAAGGTAATCTCATACTCAAATTTTAAAGTTTCATATATTTAAATGTAGATACTGATCATTTTTAATGTGTTTTTATTACTAGCTCTATAAAGAAGACAGACAATATAACATTTCTTTCTGACTATATGTTTTTCAGTGTTGTGAAAATATAGCAAATTTATTTAAGTAATTATTTCATAAATTATTGGTCATATCAAGAAACGTGTTCATTGTTTACTTGAGATAATTCTGTAATTTATTATTTTTCACATTTAATTAGTTGCATAATTAATTGTAACTTGGGGGGCAAAACATGACAGATAACATGTGAGTTTTTTTCTGTTTGACTTCTCTAAAACTAATTTTCTTCTCCTGTGCCACATACATGCTGAGATCTCAAGTAATATTTGAGAATGATTTCTTGTTATTTCCCTGAAGTTAGGTTTTACTTTCTTGCTTTTGTAAAAACATACTTTGTAGTATTTTGGCAGAGCTATATGCTTTATTTGACAATAATCTACTGTAGTTTTCTTATTTCAAAAACCAATGCCTTTATTTCTAATTTTATGCTGTAATACTTTATAAAGTAGTTCTTTTTCTCCAATGTAAATTTAATTTGGTTATTCCGCTTTTCTATCTTGATCATCTATGGAAGATATTTCAACAGACTACATGAACTTTTTAATTCTTTCAATAAGCAGAGGACAATTACACTTTCTTTTAGCTTTTAATTCTAATGATCAATCTTTTATAGCAAATCAGTGACCAAATAAGATAAAACCACTAAGATTTCACTGAATCTCTGTATAGCGACAGCACTGTGGCATAAGTTTTCTTTCTCTTCTCATTTTCTACTGACCCCAGAATTTAAGTTACTAGATTGAGATTCAGTACTATGCCAACAGCCCATGTTGAAACAAGTTTTAAGAAGCAACAATATGGATATTTCAAGTGTTTTAATAGTTTCAAGTGTACAGTTCAATAGTGTTAAGTACATTTACGTTGTGCAGCCAATCTCCAGAACTCCTCCAGTCTCACAAAACTAAAAGTCTATGTCCATTAAACAACAAATCCCCATTCCCCTTTCCTCATGTCCCCTGGCAATCACCATTCTACTTCCTGTCTCTGTAAATTTAGCTATTCCAGGTACCTCATAAAAATGGAAACATATAGTATTTCTCTTTTTGTGTCTGGCTTATTTCACTAAGTATAATGTCTGAAGTGCATCCATGTTGTAGCATGTGTCATAATGTCCTTGCTTTTGGGGGCTGGGTAGTATTTCATTGCATGTTAGATACCATGTTTTGTTAATCCATTCACCCATCAATGCAAACTTGGATTGCTTCCTTCTTTTGATTATTGTGAATAATGCTGCTTTGAACATGGAAGTACAAATATTTCTTTGAGACTCTTATTTTAATTATTTTAGGTATATACGCAGAGGTGGAGTGGCTGGATCATGTAGTAGTTCTATTTTTAACTTTTTGAAGAACTTCCATACTTTGTTCCATAGTGGGTGCCATAGTGGGTGCATCATTTTGCAGTCCCACAAACAGTGCACAAGCATTCTAATTTCTCCACATCCTTGCCAACACTCGTTATTTCTGATTTTTTATAGTGGTGTGAGATAGTGTCTCACTGTGGTTTTGGTTTGAATTTCCCTGATGACTGGTGATGTTGGGCCTCTTTTCATGTGCTTATTGGCCATTGGTATATCATCTTTGGAAAAATGTCTATTAAAGTTCTTTGTACATTTAAAAAAAAAAAAAGATAAACTGCAGCCAGAATGTCTCCCTCTGCCACCAGCAATTAGTTAGTATAAAATAATCTCAAGTCTGCCATAAAATTTAGTTATCTGTCCAGGAGCAAGAGCATAGTGAAATAGTTAAAAGCAAATGTCCTGTAGTAGAACTCCCTTGTCCAAATCGTGTTCCTACCATTTATTATCCTTGTGAAATTGGGCAAGTTTCTAAATCCTCTTTAAATTCAGTTTCCTCAAGGTACCTAATAGGGCTTCTGTGAAAACTAAGAGAATTCACATTAAATATTTAGCGCACAGTCTAGAACATGATAAATACTTTGCAAATGATGCTAGATATCATTATTGTCATCATTGCCTTTGTCAGGATTTGAGAGACATAAGATGATGTGTAAAAATAATACTAAATATAGATTAATACTAAATACAGATTAGGAAAAATGTTTCTAGGAATTTTATAATAATTATGCCTATAACTGACATAATTTCAAATTTGTAAATACTATTCAATAAGAATTCAAAAGAATTGGATAAATTAAACATACATCAACCATATTTGGGTTAGTAACCATATTTTTCTGCTCCAAGTCTATTATAAAAACAGGCCATTTTGCAGTAGAGTTTCATTGGACATATTGAGCTGCATTTCCAATATAAAGAATATTTCAATGGTAAGAATGTGTTTTAATTCATAACTCTCATCTATGTGAAGATGCTGCTTCTTCTAAGATTTATAAGCCTCCCTACCTATAAAACATAGTTTGAACAATATCCACCAATGTCCAAGCCTATGGAATTGAATGAGTCAAAAATACATTTTTATGGTTTTGAAAAAAAATTATTAAAGTCAGAAAATTGGAAACTCATGTGTGCATTGGCACCAGTCCTTTGTCTGCAGATAGTCTTTCAATGGCTTTGTTTTCCTCTCTCATTCCTTCCTACTGTGATATTCTGCATTGAGGTTATGGAAGAGAAACAAAGTTGAAAAGACTTTTGTCAGTATTTTGGGGAAGCTGAAACCCCCTATTTAGTGCCAAGATAAACAAGACAGGGAAGCTAGATTGCAACATTCTCTCACTTGCAATAGCTGATAGTCTACAAGATTTGCTTCAACTGTCACACCTTTTATTTACAAATGTATCAATGTGTTTCTTTTTACAATTAGTTTATGTAAACACAGAAATACATGATTTTAAGTAAAATTTTATGTTATTTCATTTTACAAAAAATTATTATCTCTGTTCCAAGATGTGATTCATTTGAGAAATACTAGTCCCATTTTACAGATTTGATTTCTCTCATAAGTACATATTATCCTCACTTTTAAGATAATTAAAGTTCAGAAGAGCTAAATGACCATATAAGAAACCACAGTGAATTAGGGGCAGAGCCATAGTTATAATTTTAATTTTAATTAAAATTAAACTAGTTTAATTCCAGATAGTTTTAATTCCACTGTAATGTACTTTCCATTGCATATTGTTGCCTCTGTGTGTGTGTGTGTGTGTGTGTGTGTGTGTGTGTGTGTACGTGGATGCGGATGTGCTTCTGAGGAATTGTACTGCAAGGCCTCTTAGATGGCACTGACTTGTCATACTATTCTTATATGTTATTATTGTTATACTTTAGAGCGTAAGAAAAGTGTTCATCTCCTTTTTGTATATAACATTAGTGATTACTCTCTATGCCCTATCCACTTTTCTTGATATTTTTCAGCTATTTGGAAATTTCAGCCAAAACAAAATTTATAAGAAATTTACTAGTTTGTTTCTCTAATAAAAAGAGAAAAATTATAAAATAAGCTCTTAATGATGTTTTATCCAGTCTAGGATTCTGAGTTTGGCAATAACACTAAGAAGCAACCAACCGAAAAGTATGTCATTTTTCCAGGAAGTTAATTTCCAAAGCTCTTTAACTTTGATTTTTATATTACCTTAGCTGAATATGAACATATAGTTTCTCTGTTGCTTTGTTCTTATATTTACAATAAGAATATATAAAATGTCTGTAAAGCAATGACTGCTTGCTTTGTTTGGCTTCTGGTTAAATCACCATCTTTTGAACACTACCTATCAGTTAGGGCCTAAGTTTTGATGCATATGGCAGTTAGTAAGACTCAATTCCTAACTTTTAGGCACCTAAATCTTGTGCAAGTGATAGGAAACATTGAAATATTCCTGTAATGCAATGACTTAGGAAAATTAATGGAGAGTGTAGTGAAATTGGCAGCAGGAATACCAATTAGGAGACTGCTGCACCAGTCCAGATAAGATAGCAGGACTCAGAGTATTGTAGTGGCAGTGTGATGGAAAAAGAAAGATTATATTAAGGTTCATTTTAGACAAATTTTAATTGGTCTCATTTGTTTTCAGTTAACCTGTTTTTGTTTCTTCCCTTTTGTTCTCCCCCTATATCATCAAACAGTAACTTCTAGACATGAAGGAAAAATACATTGGCTAATTTCTAACTGTTTAGTTTTGTATTTTATTCTTATCTTTTAATTTTGACAATTCCAGACATATTAAAGTTGCAATAATAATACAAAGAAATCAGTTTCCCAAATACTTCTATTTTATCACATTTACATTAACCTTTTCACACATATACACACATAAACACACAAATGCACACACACATACATATGTGTGCATATATATATATATATATCTTTTCTTTCTGAACTCTTTGAGAGTAAGTTGTAGACATGGTGTCCCTTTAGCCCTGAATACTTCTGTGTGCATTCCCTTAAAACTAAGACTGTATCCTACAAAACTAGTGTACAATTATCGAAAGCCCTGATTTGTTTCTATGTCTCCAATTTACTCTTTAGCCACTCCACTGTTATACTCAGGATAAGCTCTGTTTTTCACCATGTTTAACTCACTTATCTATCGGTTTCAAAAATTTGAATTTTCATGTACAATCCTTTAGCTAATTTCTAGTGATTCCTGGCTCTAAGTGAAAACATAGCCACACCTAATACATTCCACAGAAAAATCTACCCTGTCAAGCAGAGGCTTTGAGTCTACATCCAAGATTGTGAAATGGAGCCAGTCATCATCTAGCAAGAAATGAGGCTTCTGTCTCCATGGAGCTAGTTAGCCTCAGGAAGAAAATAACTTCCCATAGCAATGCCCATGAAGTTGAACTGTGCAAAAGCCTATCTATGCACTGAGTCTAGAAAAGGGAAGTAAAAAAGATAATTTCAATGCAAGTCCAAGTTCTGTCATGGGAAAAAGTTTCTGGAGGAAGAGATTATGGTAAATGCTCTCTCTTTCTTTTTCAGAAATTTGTCATAATAAAGCCAAAAAATACTGCCATTGAAAGCTGTAATTCTCCTTTAAAGAAATTTTGTTAAAAATTCACATGTAAAATATAATTACATATTTATACAGCACATAGTTACATAAACAATTATACTTTAAACATATATTTTATAAGTATATTCTTCAAGAGTAAAATGCATCTTTTTCTACTTAAACATGATGCAACTATTCACGTTTATACAGGATATATTTTAAACACCATGTAACTTGAATAATTATACTTTAAGCATGTACTTTACATAAATGTTTTCCACTGGCAAATATATCTTTCCTGTGAATTTAATGAATTACATTAAAAGAAGTACATAAAATTATACCTGAGTTTTTGTTTTGTTCATTTTTAAGGCACAGAAAGAGCACTATGGAAATAATTATAATCAGAAATCAGTTCATGTACAATGTCTATTGTGATAATCATCTCAACCTCTTAACCTCATTTTAATATCTGACTTGGAATATCTTAGAAACTGGCCTTCTCACTTCTGATTTATATGCAACTAAGTGATGGTTACATTTCATTGCATCCAGTAAAATGAAGGTGTCAGGTGTGATGTTTCTTCAAATGTTCTTAATTTTTGAGTTCTAAAAACTTCAATTCACCAATTTTTATCCATGTATTTTATTAGGTAGAGAAATAAAATATTTTGTATATTTAACTTTGAAAATACTCAGATATATGGTGTTGAAATTATTAAGTATCTGGACTGTGATGATGAATACACAAGTGACAAAATTATATAGAACCTAATAAATGCACACAAAGATACACACACAAATAAGTACACTGAAAGCTGACTAAATCTGAATGAGATAAGAATACTGTATGAATGTCAATATCTTAGTAGAGATATTATACTACACTATTGCAAAATATTACCAGTGGGGGAAATAGTAAATTATGCAAGGTATATCTCTATATTATTTCTTATAACTGTATGTGAATCTAATTATCCCAATAACAATTTCAATGAAAGAAAAAATCTTCGTGTAGCTTTTAAACAATCTTATCCCTCTTACATTAATTAAGAAAAAATATAACATGCATATTCATTCTGCATTATTTTGAAGTTTATCTCAAGGAATTTTGTTAAACTTGTTTGTAGTGAGACTTTAGGCAAAGGAATATCAAAAAATAATTATATTTAATATTTGATTATTTAAAATGAAGGATGACTGTTATTTATTACATTCTGAAAAAGACCAAAAATGTTCATTTGCCTTTACCAGTAAGGAACTCATTATGTGGTTAATTGGGTTAGTTTTTGTAGGGAGAAATCTTAATAATAAAAAACTGAACAATAAGAAAATCAACAACCTGATTAAAAATGGGTCAAAGACCTTAACAGTCACCTCACCCAAGAAGACATACAGATGGCAAATAAGCATATGAAAAGATGTTTCACAACACATATCATTAGGGAAATAAGCAAAACAACAATGAGATATCACTATGTACACATTAGAATGGATAAAATCTGGAACACTGACACTGCCAAATGCTGATGAGGACATGGAGCAACAGGAACTCTTATTTGTTATTAGTGTGAATGCAAAATGGTACTGCCACTTTGGAAGACAGTTTGGTTATTTCTTATAAAACTAAACGTATTCTTACCGTATGATCCAGCATCATGGCACCTTGTTATTCATCCAAAGGCTGAAACCTTATGACCACCAAAATGTGCACATAAATGCTTATAGAACCTTTACTTACAATTGCCCAAAACTCTATGCAACCAAGATGTTCTTCAGTAGGTAAATGAATAAATAAACAGCAGTATATCCAAACAATGGAATGTCATTTAGTGCAAACAAGAAACAATAACAACAAAAAGAGCTATCAAGCTATAAAACAGTAAGGAAAAATTTTAAATGCTTATTACTAAGTGAGAAAAGCCAATCTAAAAGTATTATAACTGTATAATTCCAACCAGATGACACTCTGGAAAAGGCAAAACTAGGGAGACAGTAAAAGGTCATTATTTGCCAGGGGTTGGGGTACTTGGAGGGATGAAAAGGGAAGAGGTAGAGCACAGGATTTTTAAGGCAGTGAAAAATGCTCTGCATCATACTATAATAATAGATACTTGTCATTAGACATTTGTCCAAACCCATAGGCTGTACAACATCAGGCATAAACCCTAAGGTAAAATATGGTCTTTGGGTGATTATTATGCGACAGTGAGGCTCATCAATTGTACCAAGGGGGATTTTGATAGTAATGGAGGCTATGCATGTTTGAGAAAAGGGGATATGAGAAATCTCTGTACCTTCCTCCAATTTTTCTGTGAACTTAATATTGCTCTAAGAAAACAAAGCCTTAATAATAATTAACAATAGATATTGTCTTTAAACTGTTTTCATCTCATGTTTATTGCCATCTTTTACTTTGTTTACCTCCTGACTTCCATGCCTAATATCCATTCTCCATGGCACAGCTAGAGCAATACTTTTTGCCCTTCACACAAAATTCATCAGCACATTATGATGAGAGGCAAACTTACCATGAAGCTAAAATGTTTAAGTGTCAGTGTCCCACACCTGCACAGACCCCTCCCAAGGCTTCATGCTAATTTTTATGTTTATGATTTTCTGTTCTTTTCTTTAAAAGAGGTATGATTAAACTTCAGGGTCCATGAAGCTGATTGATATCCAATGCTGCCTGGCATTTTAATTTTCAAACTCTTTCTCCTACCTTTTTATTTCTCTCTAGTGCTGGTGGAACCATTCCAGTTTCTTATCTTTTCATCTGTATTACTTTGATTGTGAAATGATCTTGCCTTCCTATGTCAAATAGGCAACATCTCCCTCAAATATCTAGTTCCATGTCTATAGTCTTGTTTGTTGTTAAAATGATTTCCTATTCTGCTTCCTTAAAATTGGAGATGCCCCTTTCTTTTTCTAAAGGTAATAACCTGGATTTTTCAACTTCCTTTTTTCCCTCAGTCAACTCACTCTTTTCTCATCTACATGTTCAAAATTTTCTTCAGTTTTAATTTATTAATGTAAATATATAGGCTTATTTACATTTGTCTCTTCTCAAATACTACAGAAGCTGGACGCAATCTCAATAGATAAACAAAAAGTCCTTGGAATTCCCATTCTTACCCAGCTACTGCCCTTCCTGCGATGGAGTTTCCAAACTAAGCATCTCAAAGGTGATGAACAATTTATGTTTCTGAGTTCTCACCTCCTCGATATATCTTCTGAAACTTACTCCTAAGATCATGCTGAAATTTGATTTCCAATGTGGCAGTGTTGGGAGGCAGAGCCCAGTGGCAGTTGTTTGGGTTATAGGAGCAGATCCCTCATGAATAGGTTAATGCTCTCCCTCAGGAATGAGTGAATTCTGTCAGGAATGGGTGAGTTTCGGTGAGCAAGTTTTTCTTTCCTCTCTCACCATGTGTTCTCCCTGCACACACCAGTTCCCCTTCCACTTTCCTTCAGGAGTGGAAGGAGCATGAGGTCTGTACCAGATCCAACTGCCCATCTGAAACCCTCCAGCCACCAGAATTGTAAGCCAACTCAGTATTTTTTCTTTGTAAATTGCCCACCCTCAGATATTCTGCAATAGCAACATTAAACATACTAAGATCTGTGGCTTGACTGCTTCTTCCTTTAAACACTCTCCTCGTAGTTTCTGTGACTCAGCAAAATCTTTTTTTTTTTTTTTAAACTACTGAACTGAGCATTCCTTTGGGTTCCTGTTCCCCTGTTCAGCCCTGAAGTGTTCCTGTACTAGGCTTATTCTATTAAAGTTATTTAATAAACTCATACATTCTCATATCAAATAGCATTCCTATGCTTATTCATTTATTCAGTTATTGCATGTGGCACACTCACTTTATGAGTGGCACTGTGCTTAATACTGGAGATAATATTTGAGCAAAAGTGATATGCATTTTAACCTTTAATCAAATAATCACACAAGTAAATTGCTAACTACAAGAGATTAACATGATTATCTAGTAAAAAATATGCTATACTCAGTGAACATACAAAAATTGGAACTGATATGGGAAGGGTTTTCCTGAAGGCATTGTATTTTAGCTAAGTTATAGAAGTAGAAATTCAGTTAACTTATTAAGCTGTTAAAAGTACCACAGGTTGTGGCAGCAGCAAAATAAAGATTCTGGGGCCTTATACAAGACTTTAATAATTTTACTATCATAAATTGCAAATTCTTTTGTACTAGTACCTCAGTTTACTTTTGCCGGATTACCTTCCTTCCACTGGAATGTGGTAGGTGTGTAGTTAATCAAGATTCTCTGCTTTTCCCTTGCCAAGGAATGTGTGTGTAATCTAAATTAAGTCAGTCACATATTTTCTTACTGAAATGTAATTTTTTTAACAGAATAAAAGAATTGGAAATGAAATTGGAATTCATTCATTGCTGTGTGGCTACTGATATCAAACTGTTTAATCCTGCTCTCTGGATCCCAGATAAATCTTTTTTTTTCTGTGCCTGTTTATCTAGCCTTATTGTTAGTTATGTGGACATTCTCATATAATTCCTTATAATTTTCCTCTCTGCTAAAGTTAGCCCAATTCAGTTTCAATTCCTCACCAGATTGAAAATTGATAGATATCTCTTTCTATGACCTAATTTAATCTTGTTTTATTCCTCCCTTCTTTTCTTTCATCTCCACTGACCAACTTTTCATTCAAAGTTTTCATTCAATTTTTCATTTATTCCTATGACTGGGAATCTTGCATATTAGCATGGGGTTTTTGAATGAAAAATTGGTTATTATGGAAGAAAGGAAAGAAAGGAGGAATAAAACAAGATAAAATGGGCCGGGCGCAGTGGCTCACGCCTGTAATCCCAGCACTTTGGGAGGCTGAGGCGGGCGAATCACGAGGTCAGGAGATTGAGATCATCCTGGCTAACATGGTGAAACTCCGTCTCTACTGAAAAATACCAAAAATTAGCCGGGCGTGGTTGCGGCCCTACTAAAAAATACCAAAAATTAGCCGGGCGTGGTGGCGGCCGCCTGTAGTCCCAGCTACTCCGGAGGCTGAGGCGGGAGATCGGCGTGAACCCAGGAGGCAGAGCTTGCAGTGAGCCGAGATCGCACCACTGCACTCCAGCCTGGGCGACAGAGCGAGACTCCACCTCAAAAAAAAAAAAAAAAAAAAAAAAAAAAAAAAAAAAAAAGATTAGGGCCTAGGAAGAGATATCTATCAATTTTTAATCTAGTTTAAGGGTTAGGCCTCCATCCTAAAATCACAGGGGAGACATTATTACAAAATGTTCAAAGAGAAGAGTTATATGATCACATTTATATTTCTAAAACACAGCTCTGGATTTAGTTAGGAAAACACAATACAAGCAGAAAGCATATATATGGGACCATTTAGGAAGCAATTGCACTAGGAAAGTGAAAGTTGAAATAGAGAAAGCAGATGGATTTTAGAAAAATTGAGAAAGCAAAATGGACAGATTTGTCACTCATGGCAGCAGGAGGAAGACAGCTTCTTCAGGATGGCCCTTGGGTTTCTCGAAAGTCCTTAATGTCAGAGATGGCTTGGAGAAAAGTGTTACTTAAATTTCTGGCTTGTAGAATTGGATGTTTGGAAACGCTACTTCATAATGAACTAAGGGATAATGAATGACAATTAGACTTAGGTAAGGGCATATTTTGAGTTAGGTAAGGGGATCTTTCAGAACTCATTATATTATTAATAATTTTGTGACATCAAAGAAGAGTTAACCAATAGGCATTGGCTATTTGTGTCTGAGGCCTGGGAAATAGTTTTGAGGGTTATCTCCAGCACTGACTATTTTGAGCTCCAGACCCACACAGCTAACTTCCTACTCAGCATCTCTACTTGTAGGCCTCCAAGGCACCTCAGACATCATACGTATAAAAGCCAAACTCTGCATCACCCTCAAAAAACATACCTGTTCCTCCTCCTTTATTGTTCATCTCAATGAAATTTATTACTATCCCCCTGGTTGCCATAGTCATTAACCTACGGATCATCATTATTTTTTCTTTCTTCTGTATTACTATTTCAAAAACAATCTACAAGCTCATTTTACATACTCTCAAATTAATTTTGATTCATTTATATCCTCATGTCATGCCATAATCTTTTGTATTTATTATGTAATTGTGAATATCAAACTTTTCATTTTGTCTAGAAGTTGAATGTCTTCCAAAGAGTGATATGTGTGATCCTTTAACATCAGTCATTATTCTCTCTGGTTTTGCTATTGTTATTATGTTGCTATATTTAAATTTAATGAAGCATTTATTCTCAATCAAGAAGACCATTGAGATGATACAATTCAATAAGTCTGCAGTGTGAATCAGAGTAATAAACTTTATTTGGTGTGAGATTAGAAATGACTGAATATGCTTTCTATTTATTAATAAGGTTTTATTCTTCCTCTATGACATTTGTAAGTGAAGTAAATAGTACAAAGGTATTAGATGTTTTCCTAATCTTTAGATTTCAGTGATAAATTATTAAAGAGAAAACTCCCTGGGCAAGGACAACCTGCCCCTTTTTAGGTATTCACTTCTGAGATGCCATGGTAAAGTCAATCTTTATCTTCCTACAGATGTAGTTTTTAAAGCATAAGGTAAAGGAAACACTGAGACATATTAGCATATGTTACTTACTGAAGTCTAGGTTTTAAAACAGTTATTTTTGAATGTCAACATAGAAAATTCAGGTATTTTATACCCACATTAATTAGCCTATAGATCCATAATACATAAAAAACGAGGATGATATTTCTTCCATGTTTCAGGATTAACTAGAATTTAAAAAAAATAACAAACAGAGAAGCAAAAGCAACTTATTTTTTACACAACTGTTTTCCAATTTTCTCTAAGCAAACAAAAATGTACTATTCACAATTGAAAATTACTCATTCACTGAACTAAAGTAATTTTGTAGTATTAATGTGCCTTACTTATTATACCTTTTACCATCTCTTTCACACTTAAATATTTCCCAGATTTGATTCAGGAACCACTGTACTTACTAAAAAATATGTATTTCTGATCCTTGGCTCAAACATATCATAGTAGACTCTATGGATGTAGAGTCCAGAACTGCATTTAAACAGCACTCTGAATGATATTTTACTCTTTAAATTTTAGTACTTGTGCTGCTAAGACTCAAAAAATGGTGATTTAACTTTGATCATCCAGAGAGTAATACAGAGAGTAAGCAAAGGTGATATCAAACTTACATTGCTAAGAAGTAAAACTGATAATGAGGAAAACAACATGTTTGGATTTGAAATCCAGTAGCCCTCTAAATGAAGGCAAATTTCATGTAAATATGATCTTTCCTTAAGCAAAACAAAAATAGGAAGAAAACCTAATGAAATGCTATTGCCGAATTTTAGGTGTCTTGCCCATCTTCCGTTTGCCTTTCCAAAATATAATCTAGTGATTTTTGTAGCCACAATAGAGAAGTTGTTTCAAAACTAATGATAATTGTGAAATAATTTTATGTCAGTTTTAGTCTTTTTATTCTTTTGTATGTGCAAATATAGAGTACACTTTAAATAGATACATTTAGATGGATAAATTTAGCTCTTATACTGCAGTGACTTGATTTTGATGAGTCAAATATTTTATTTAAGAGATTAGATTATATATACATTCATTTTTATATCATCACGTATAAGGTATAAGTTAATTCCCTAATATATATTTTATATTATTAGGATTAAAAGTCAAATCAAGAAATATATTTGTAAGAGAATCTGATCAGCCTACTTTCCTCATTCTGAGAAAAAGAAATCTAATTACTTTTTGAATAAGCACTGACATATTTGGTTATCTTTCCTCCTTTGATAAACTACGTTAAGAAAATGACCTACAAAGTGTCTTCTTATTAGTGCATGTCTCTCACTTGTATTCCAGAGCAAGATATAATAACAATGACCAAATACCCCAATACAGCTTGCTCTCTATTTTTGTAAATAAAGCTTTATTGGAAAGCAGTAACCACCATTTGATTACATATTATTCATGGCTGGTTTCATACTACAACTGTGGAATTGAGTTGTTGTCACAGAAACAGTGTGGCCTATAATCCCTAACATATTTACTATTTGGCCCTTTATACAGAAAGTTTGCCAATTCCTGTGGAGTATACCTAGTATATAGGTCAAATGGAGTAGATCAATTTCTGTATTTTCCTACTATGGCAAATTAATATTCAACAATAACTGTAAAATGAATTGAAAATAATGACTTGAAAAGATATGCAGCATGGGAAAATTTTCTGTTGTTTATTTTTATATTTGTACCAGTAGAAAAATAATTTAGTAAAAAAAGTAAATAATGGAATAATATATTGTAGTACCAAAAAAGAAAAAAGTACCCCCTTAATTCTTTTAAATTCGATTTATTTTTACATGAGAAAATATTTACCTACAACAGTTCATCAAAGTCAACCATAATTTTACAGTAACTCAAAGGGAATTTTAATAAACATGGAATGTTTGTGAAAGATATATTTTAGACAAATAGCAAATTTTACCACTGATACAGTTTTCTTTCCTGGTTGTAACAAACACAATTAAATATTATTTTAAAGAATAAATTTTAATTTAAAAGATATTGTTAAAATATTTTTAGCAAAGCAAAAATATTACACCCATAGTTTTCACTTGCTGCTTTAAATTTTAAATACAAGTAAAAACTCCAAGTGGTCATAAAAATAAGAGTAAAGTAACACAAGTTTTGTTTCTTGTCTTTACAATCCCCGTGTGATGTCTAATCTATTATTTAAACACAAGAATATGAAATACCACAGGAGCTGGAGACACAAACTGTGCCTGAAGCAAGCCTGAATGATTCTGAACTGTTGTGAATTTAATCTTGAATGAGTGTGTGTATTCTTCCAGGTAGAATACAGAGTTTATTAAAGTATAAGTAATTAATATACTACTAATTTGAAAGTTACATATATTGTGAAACTCAACGGTAACTGCAGCAATTATGTAGCAGTGATTTCAGCAATTACTTGTTTTTTAAGTTCTCTACATACTCAACTTTTTATTGATGTACACTGAGGTAGCCAGTGTTACCTACTGTCTATTCCTTATTGGGTCTTTATGGTTGTCCCTATTTCTTTGCAATTTACCTTTTACTCTCTCTAATATTTATTCTTCTTTTCTTTATCTACAAAATGAATAAAGCCTAAATGTATTTCCTTTTCATTTCACTGTAAAAAATTCCTTTTCAAATTTCAAGCCCCAACATGTGTCACTTTGTTATTGGTTCTTTTCACATTCTCACAGGCTGAACTAAGCAGCTTTTTTCTGCACTCTTCCAACACTTCATTCATACTACAATCATATTGCAAACATAATATTTGTCATATTGTTAAGATAACCCCCCTTTTCTTTTGGCAGGTCCTCTGAGGCCAGATAGTGTATTATGATCATGTGATCATTTCAGCATTATCACAGCATGCAATGCTCAGACTGTATAGCAGGCATTTGAAGAAAAGTTCTAGAGAGTGAAACCAATCAATTTAAGGATTACAAATGGATCCTATGGTGGCAATCACACTAATTTGCAGTATTGGGCCTTTCATTTTATAGCAATAAAGGTTATTTTACATTTTAAAAAATAATATGTCTCTTGTATTGTTTCCAGAATAAAACAAAGATGAATTTTCTAGCTTCTTTTCTTTATTCGGTACTCAAAGATTTTCTTTCATTTTTTCTTTTTCTTTTCTTTTTTTTTTTCCCCAACTGGGAAACTTATATCAGGGCTTTTGCCATGGACATTTGTATTAGGGTGCACATTAATCAGCTCTAGTACTTACTATTGGTTAATAATAATAAACATATGTTACTACTTTTTATTATGTGTGTAGGTGGGTACACTCATTTTAAAAACTATTTTATTTAGATATCTTTACCTGATGCCCACCTAAGCATTTTATAAACGTGTGTGTGTGTGTGTGTGTGTGTGTGTGTGTGTGTGTGTGGTGGGGGAGTAATTATTGGCTATTAAAAATTGTACATCATTAAAATAAGACAATTATATGTACTAGAAACATAAAAGGGATGTTCATTATTGGAAAAAATACAGGAGAACTATTTTATGGTTTTTTTTAGAAGATTATAATTAAGTTCACATTTTCCTGAACTTTATTTCGTCAAACTTTTTTCTTGTTTCCTTTAGTGTGTTTTATTTTTCTTGGAGAAGTAGCCAAAGTATTTTATTTTAAATACCAGCATTTTAAAATACAAGATATTTTATTTTTAACACAAGCAGGCCAGGGCTTGTGTTTCCAATAAGAAATAAAATGGCTCTTATTCCTCCTCTCTTCTTCTTAATCATCTAAATGTACCTTTATTGCTATAAAATTAAAGGCTCAATACCACAATAAAGAAAACTATTTTACAATAGGGTCTTATGATATGATGTAAAATGTATTTTTTCTTTCTGTAATGTACATTTATCTTAATCCGGAGAACATAGAACATAGATGATTTTTAAGATTATGATTATGATAAAAATTTAGGAAAAACATTATTTTGGTGTTCCATGAAATTGCTTTTCCTGAATTGCACTTTGGCATTTTGTGACAGTTTGTATTGAGTAAAAATACAATATGTACATTAGGGCCTTATTTAGACTTTAGACATTGACAGAAGGTTTTGAGGTTCTCATACGTGTGGTAAAAACACATTATTGGGAAAAAAGGATTTTTTGTTTGTTTTGAGAAAATGAGAAAAATCAGTGGGAATTTGGAATTCATGCTAAGAAATTCATACACATTCCTGAATACACTTTTAATTCATTCTTCAGTGTGTGTGTATCTATACACTGAAGAATGAAACTATATGTGTAAAACCCCAGAAAAAGGAATTTGGATACAATATATATTCATTGAAAAATAATGACAGCAATTACTATTTAGTGAGTAATATTTTGAGCCAGGACTGTGGTAAGTGCTTTCTCTAAAGTTTTGTATTAGTAGATTAAACAAAAGCAATCTGGAAGTGTACATATCTGAGGTTACAGTTTAAGAACTTAATGTTAACACATTTTTGAATTATTGCAATATAAACATCATAATTTTATATTCAAGAATAAAGGAGGAACCCTATTATAGAAAGAATTGCACATTGTTTTTCTGAAAGTATTAGGCTTGTTTTAAATAAATTAAAGGTTTGTTCAGCATGAAAATCTTGATATTTAGCTCATGGTAATTCATTTACCGTGCCATTTTCTTATTGAAAAACATTTTCCTAGCAAGACAAATATGTTGCTTAGAAGATAAATAGAATCAATCTTTTACCACAAACATAATACACTTTTCTGTAAACTACTATGTGAGTAACTGAAAAATAGCACTATGGAAAAAATGGAATCAAGTAAACAACAACAAAGATTTTCTAGAATGTTGCTTTTAAATTCCTTTTGAATACATTGTTTCACATTGTTAAATGGTGTTTTATAAATAACATATACTTTGGTAAGACATTAAGATAATTTTAATAAAAATGATATTTAAATTCACTGTCAGTTTAAAAAGTGTATATTTAACTCAAATCAGATGTATTTTGTTGATAAAATAGCTATATCCATGGAAGTTGGCAGTCATGGGGGAAGTGAACTAATAGAAATGTTTCTACACCTGCCTTCTTTATGCATTAATGTTTAAATGCATTATGGAACATATGTACATGATGCCAACATTTGGTATAATAGTATGAAGTGTTCAGTGTACTTCATAGGGTAATATATGCCTATGGAAATAATTTTCTAAATGCTAAACTTACATGGTTCTTTGCTATTCAAAAGTGAGTGTTTCTTGGTCTTTTAGTATTTCCTTTATAAACACTTAAATGCAGTAATATTTGTAATTGATAAATTTTCTCTCACTGTGCACCATGATGTTGCCTCCAATCATTTAACCATTTAACATTAATCAAGAGTATTGGTCAAAATATGTTGGAAAGAAAAAAAAGAGGAAGAAAAACACAAAGATAAGAAATGAGAATGATCAGCTAAAACAACAACACCCCCACCCCCGCAAAAAAAAGAAAAAAACTCAAAATAGCAATGACCAAAATAAATTAGGATGATTAAATTAGTCTTCTTTAGAACCTATCTTAAACTACTGCTTAGTTTCAGTGATTTATAGATGAATTAATAGTGGCTCACTTACAAAGCAGACATCTATCACTGGGATACATATATACACACTGATTATTGTTTGCATGCTTTTTGCAACTATTTAGACAAATAAGTATTTTATAATTAAGTTTTCACATACACATACATATACACTCAATTTTCATTATCTGCATTTCAAAATTGGGAGTTTGCTAAGTACATTATAACAAACTCTTTGTAATTTTAAAATTCTAAAAGCAAAATCACTTCTACAGAGTGTATGTTTTATCTACACATACACATGCTTGTGCATTTACTTGTGGTTTTTTTTTTTTTCACTTCTGTGCATGTTATAATTTTCTAGGCCTAAAGTCTCTTTCTCCACATGGGAATTTGTAAAATGGGCAAAGCACCCCTTTGTACCTGGAAACTTGATGCTGGTCTTTTACTTCAAGTCTTTTTCATATCTTACCCTAATCACAATCAAATTTTTCACTTGGTTCCATGATTGGCTTGAGAACAATTTGGATTGAAATCAAATGAGCAACACAGATGGTATCTAATATTGCATCTCAGTTTTTGGCTTGACTCTGTGTGCTGCTTACTCAGAGGCAGAGGAAAAGGGAAGAGCTGCTGACAGATGACACTATTAGAACCATCATAGCCAAGATAGACTGGCACAATTAGAGTGTTCAACAATCTGCTTTATATCTCCATGTTTCTAAGTCTATGTTATTTAACAAAGGAGTCCTTTGAACATGTAGAATAACACCTGCAACAGAGGCCATATACAAAACACACATTTTATTCTAAATGGCTTAATGAGCAGAATGGTTTCTGCAGGTATCTACAGAGTGAGAGGCTGCATATGATACAGGTTAACCATGTGGAGTAGCAATATATTAACTTCTATTAACTAATTTAAAGCTATTACACATTTTTTGTACATTTTTGAAGGCAAAAGTTCTGTTATATTTCATTGTAACCTCAAAAAAGTTAAGAAAGTATATATAAGAATAAATCAATAGTTGACTATTGATTATTTAATAGTCATGCATTTTGATTCACCATGGATATTGTTTTAGGAAAACTGCAGTCATTTCAAAAGGGTAAATATTCCTTTAAAATAAAATACAAGTAGAGTAGAAGTAGAGAATTTTTCTGTTTATAAGATGATGTACATGCATTTCAGACACTTTTAGAAAATATCAAAAGAACAAAGAAGAAAATGCAAATCAAATATATTTCTCTCACACAGAGATGATTGTTAACTTACTGCAATAGTTTATTTTTTCTATGCCTGTGTCTCAATATTTATGGCATACTTTGTATGCTATTTATTTAGAAAAAACTATTTTTATTTGTGAGATATATTGAAAGATGAGATAAAATTGGTTGTAAAAACATAGCAATGTATGTATAACACAATGATGGTTCCAACCAGAGTTGAAAATAAAAGAGTAAAACATCATACTTCTGTTTACCATTTACTAAGCACTTTCCTATATTCATCTAATTTGATTTTCACAGCAACTCTCCTGAGATAGGCATCTTATTTTGCAGTTTTCATTTGTGAAAACTGTTTTCTGAGAAGATGGACAAAGTAACCAAGGCCATGTAGCCTGTGAATAATAAAGTAAGGCTATAATACTGTTCCTCCAAGTCCGAATACTATGTCCCTTCCCTACAGATCTGCCTAAATGAGTAAAGTGGCAGCTAAATATCAGCAAGATTAGCTAATAGGTTATGTGTTTTAGAGAGTGAAAGAATAAAATGAAATGTCTAATTTTGAGTTTGAAAATTCTACAGTTGATTGAATGACTAAGATAATATGCTTCTTTCATTTTTATGTATATAGCCCCAGATTTGACTACTTTTTATTAAACAGAAGAGATTCCACTAATTTTCCTGCAGGTAGATTATTATAATGATTTGTAATATTTTTCTCTTAACCAATGAGCTTTCAGTGCAAGTTGTTTTAATGATGATTTTTTTCAAAATGAAATTGATAAAAACTTACATTGGCCAGTTTGCCGCAGAAAATTTAGTCTGCTTAAATGCTGAGGTTAAATGTTTTCCATTGGCTATAGAAATTATGTGAAAACTTGATAATACCTGATCTATTCAATATATTTTGAAACTTGAAGTTTGATTTTTCCTTATCGTTAATAATTTAATAGTATTTTAAATAAATTTATGCAGCAAGCTTTCCTTGGCACAAAATATAAAATCTTCTTAAACAGAAGCTAATTTTGTCAAACATATTGATCCCTTTTAACTTTTTAAAATTTATACTATTTTTATAGAACTGTAAGGTAAATAATTTTATCAATTATCTATATAATGGATAAAATGTTTTTTATCTGAGCATTGCATATATTGTTTTGTTTTACAGTATATACTAAACAGAGTAAGTTTAAAGGAGTATATTTTCAAAATTACTTATAAAAATAAACATGTTATAAATTCAGTTTTAAAGTTTTCATTTTCATAAAACCAAAGGGGAAAAGATAAATTATTTTAACCAAAATAAATAATTATGAGAAACTTCCAACAAGTTATTTTGTGAATAGTGATCAACTGATTCTAAAATTTATATGGAAATCAAAAATCTCACAGTAGCGAACCCAATATTGAAGAACTAAGTCAGAAGACTGATGCTACAAAACCACAAGACTAACTATAAAGCTACAGTAATCAAGACAGATTTGTACTGGCAAAAGAAAAGACAAAAAGAGCAATGTATCAGAATAAAGAGCCATGAAAGGGAGAGATACAAACATAGTCAATTATCTCTGACAAATCAGTAAACAGAATCCAATGGGAAAAGGATAAACTCTTAAACAAATGGTGCTAGAACAAGTAGATATCCAAATGCAAAGACGTGAATCTAGACATAGGTCTTGGACCGTTCATGAAGATCTTAAAATGGATCAAAAACCAAATAAAACTCCTGGGAGATAACCTGGGAGAAAATCTAGCTGACCTTTGGTTTGGCAATGACTGTTTAGATACAACAGCAAAGTCATAATCTATGAGGAAAAAAATTGATCTTTAAATGAAAAATATGTCAAAAAGAGAATGAGAACACAAGCCACAGGCTGTGAGAAAATAATTGCAAAATTTGTATCTGATAAAGTAATATAATTCAAAATAAACAAAGAACTCTTAAAGCTTAACAATAACAATACACACAACCAAATAGTAAAATGGGTAAATAATCTACATATACATGTTATGGCTTTTGCACTCCTGTAGTTTGGTGAGTGGAAGGGAGTGATGCCCAGCAGCTTCTCTCCCATTTTTTGGTGAGCGGGAGGGAGTGCTACAGCTCTTTTACTCTCACCACCCACAGCTCACTGAGCAGGAACACTATAGCTCTTATGCTCCCATAATTTGGAGTTCCAGGTTCTTGTCCCACTACCAAGAAAAATAAGGCATGCAGACACCAGAGAGTGAGTAAGGCAGAGTAAAATTTTATTGAACGACAGAAAGCAAGCTCACAGCAATGAGAGGGGACCCAAAAGCAGGTAGTCATCTGCGAGGCTGAGTCTGGGGTTTTTATGGGCTTAAAATGGGGAAATGAGGGCTTACTGGTCCATGAGTGGGCGTGGAAAAGGAACAATTCAATTGCTTCAAAGGCGTCATTCAGAAGGAACCAATCAAGAGAGAGTATGTAAGATGGGGATGGAAGTTCTCATTCCATCGTGGACACAATCCAGAACTGGCAGCTTAGTTTTCAGGCTTTAAACTGTCCTTGGCTTGAAGGTCAAGTTTCACCAGGGACCCATCCCTGTCTGCCTAGGAATTTGTCTGTCTCCTGTTACTATCATATACAGATGGCTAATATACATATGAAAATATGCTCAACATCATACTTATCAGAAAATTGCAAATTAAAACATCAATGAGATATGACTACACACTGATTAGAATGGCTAAAATCTAAAATATTGACAGCAGCAAATGTTGGTGATGATATGTAGCAACAGAAACTCATTTATTGCTCATTGAAATGCCAAATGGTACAGCCATATTGAAAGACAGTTTGGCAGTTTAGTACAAAACTAACTGTATTCTGTCATATGATCCAGCAATTGAGCCCACTGGTGTTTACCTAAATGAATTGAAAACATGTTCACACAAAAACCTGTACACAAATGTTTATAATATCTTTATTTACAAATGCCGAAAGTTGGAAGCAACCCAGATCTTCAATGTGTGAATGCAAAGGTAAACTGAGGTACATCCATACAATGGACTATTATTCAGTGGAAAGAGGAATTGATCTATCAAGCCACAAAAAGACATGGAGGAACTTTTGATGCTAAGTGAAAGAAGCCAATCTGAGGCTACATACATATGGTTTCAACTATATGGCACTCTGAAAAAGCCAAAATTGTGAAAACAGTAAAAAGATCAGTGGTTTCTACGACATTAGCAGAATAAATAGAGGGATGAATAGCTGGAGCACAGAAGATTTTTGGGCAATGAAACTATTCTGCATGTTATGCTCATGTTGTATACATTTCATTACACATTTATCAAAACCCACAGAATGTACAACATAAAGCGCGAACCCTAATGTGAACTGTAGACTCTATGTAATAATAAATAAATACTGGCTCATCTATGCTAATGTATTGGATTTGTATTGGCAAAAGAAAAGACAAAAATTGCAATGAATCAGAATAAAGAGCCACAAAAAGGGAGGGATACAAACATAGTCAATTATCTCTGACAAATGAGTAAATAGAATCCAATGGGAAAAGGATAATCTTTTAAACAAATTGTGCTAGAACAAGTAGATATCCACATGCAAAGACAGATAGTAATGGAAAGACAGTATGGGAAACCGTGGTGGGGGAGTGAGAAATGGGAGGGTATGTGGAAACTCCATACTTTCTGCTCAATTTCTCTGTAAACATAAAACTTATTTAGAAATAAAGTCTCTAATTTAAAAATACAGGAAAAACTTAGAAGTTTATTTTAAAATTTGGGAATAAATTTAGTGAATTGAAAATTTTACAAAGTCTCTTTTGACTCTCCATATCTTGCTTCATGTATCCCTGAAAGCCCCTGTTTATCTTAATAATAAAGCCCTTGGAGAGAGTTATCAATATTCACTATCTCCATGCTTCCTCTTTTTCTCTCTTTAACCTATTTCATTCCTCACACTCAACCAAAGATGTTCTTACCCAAATAATTGCATATGATGTACACATTGCAAAATTCATTAATGAATTTGTAGTTCTTATCTGCAGTGTTTGAGACAGACCATCACTCTGAATTCCTTGAAACACTTTCCTTAGTTGCCTTCCACTAATTTATACTTTTTCTCCTTCCTCAATAGGCTGTTTCTTTCAGTAACTTTCGCTGGTGTGTCCTCATTTGTTTGAACTCTAAATATTAAGAGTGTCCTGTAGGCCTGACTATAGATCTCTTTACTTATCTCCATATTCAATCATTCACTCCAGGAGCTTAACATTGTACCTATAAGCTGATGAATCACAAAGGAAAATCCCCAGCCTGGATCTCACTTCGAACGTACAGATTTATTTATCCAAATTTTTACTCAACATTTTCATTCTTACCATATCCCCAAATGAATCTTTCTTACTCCAAACATGTTCCACTTCATGTCCTCTTCCTCTCAATTTTTAACTCATATTCTTTAGTTCTCTGGACCCAAACTACAAAAGTATTCTTAGCTTCTTTTTGTTAATTCACAATCCACATTAAGTATATCAGCAAATATTGGCTCTGTCTTCAAAATGTACCCAAAACCTGAAAACTTGTCTTCACTTCTATTTGTTACCTTTATTCTGTTCTGTGTCCCCATCCCCCTTTGCTGCTCACGAATTAATGAAACCTTCCCCAAACTGGCCTTCCTGCTTCAGCAACTACCTCATTACAAACTTTTCTCAATGGTGAGTTATCTCACTCAGCGTAATAACCTCAGTTCTGACATTGGACTATTAAACTCTATACCAGAGCAATATGATGGAAACATATGAGTCATGTTAATAGCCATATTTTTTAAAAAGTAAACAGAAAATGATGAAATTAATTGTAATACACTTTAACCCACTCAATGCAAAATATTATCATTTCTACATGTAATCAGCACAAAAATTATTTAAATATGTAACGCTTTTTTTCACACCTTCAAAATTTGGTGTGTATTTTACATGTATGTAATATCTCATATTGAGCTAGCTGCATTTCAGATTCTCAGTAGTAGCTAATGTACTGAACATCACAAATATATTGAGTCTGTCACCCACTTATTACCTCTCTAATCTCAGCATCTACTACAAATCTCCTTACTCACTTTGACCTTGTTTGCCTTTTCCTGTTTAAACAGATCGGACCTTTTCCCACTTCAAGACCACTGTACTTGTCATTCTTCTTCCTGGGATTGTCTTCACCTAGATACTTAAAACTTCCCTATATTTTTTCCCATATTTGCTCAAATAACAGCAATTCTGTTACCTTCCTATTTTTCCTTGTATCACTTCATTTGCACCTATCACCATCTGGAGTAAAATTACTTTCAACCATATAAAATTATTAACATTTAATCATTATTTCTGCAAAACAGTGATTTTATATGGTTTAAATTATATGTTTGCAGGTGTTTTATATATATGTGTGTATGTATATATATGTGTGTGTGTGTGTGTGTGTGTGTGTGTATGTAATGCATGTGTGTCTATTCAGTGTTCCACTACATTCTGGGAGGGAGACTGTATGAATGGAGGGATTTTTATCTGATTGTGCACTTTTATATTGTACTTTTAGTGCAATGATGTCTTATATTAGATACTAAGTAATAAAACATTTGTGTAAAAATTAAAGGTCTAAAAATTATAAATTACAAATAACAACATAGAGTGATACTATATTTAATGAAAACAAACATTACTGGAAATATTTTGCTAGATGTACATGTTTTCCCATTACAGAGTTACAATCTACCTCAAAATGTAGTGGTTTAAAATAGGAGTCAATAAATTTTTCTGTAAATATCTATATGGTAATTATTTTAGTCTTTGCACATCATAAGATTTCTATTGCAACTAGTTGACTCCACTGTTGTAGCATGAAAGCAACCACAGACTACATATACATATTCCAGTGGATGATGCTGTGTTCTAATAAAACTTTATTTACACAAACAAGGAGACAACTTATGGGCCCTAATTTTGCAGGGCTTAAAGCAAAAGTCATTAACATAATTCATGAGTCTCTGGATCAGGTGTACGGCTTTGCTGATCTAGGTCTGGCTTGTTTGAGCTCAGTTAGGTTCTCTAACCTGCCTGAGGTGGGTTGTCCAATTGACTGAGCTGACTGTCTAATCTACTTCACTCACATACTTGATGCTTGGCTGTTGGCTCAGGCAACATGAATAACTGGGCCAAGTATCCTTCATCATCCAACAGGCTAGACTGGAAATATCCATGTGGAGGCTTGGCAATATTCCAGGAAAGAGAGTATAAGCAAACAAGTCTTCTCAAGGCCACTTTCTATTGGTCAAAGGACGTCATAAGGCTATCCCAGACTTAAAGAGAGAGAGATCTGATAAGATACAGAGTCGCAGAGTCACAATGCAAAGAAGCATGGATATGGAGAAGGGAAAAATGGCATCCATTTTTGCAAGCAATTTTCCATACTATGCATTCCATATATTAAGCAAAATAATCTCTCGGAAATGGTTCATTGTTAGAAATCCCCTGTATCTATGGCAAGTAAGTAAATATGAGGCCAGGAACATTTCCTGCTTAAGTAGCTGCCATTATTTTAGTTTATATGATTGTTTGAATTTCATGAATAAGAATTTTTGCCAATACCTGTAGGTTATTATATATTGTTTAAATCATATGTGCTTCAGACTGTAACTTGACTCATCAGAACCATCTGGACCTGTACTGTGTCTTTCAATATGTAATTTCAGCTAAAGATTCTTATGACTTCAATTTTATTACTTACATTATAATGTCAGAAGCACATCTTTTACTGAGGTACATTAGTTAATGCTCTCATTTTGGTAGAGAATGCTGAAAACTTCAACTCCTGCAAATAATTCTAGATTTTAATCTCTGGTGTTAAATATCAACATCATGCCTTTCATTTTGGTGGTACCCTAGAGGTAGTGATTCAGTCAAATATTTTATTACCTCCTTATCTCTGTTTGCTTCACCAGGCTGCTTGGAAAATGAAAGCAGATGGAGCTGGCCAGAAATGTAGTTCATAGAGACAGTTACTTACCCATTAAAGTTTGTGATAGATCTAAACAGGCAGTGCAGAAAACTTGTTTTTTATGGTAGCAATTGATTTTTTTTCATACACTGCCTTATCCTCATAGAAAAGAAAATACTGTCTGACATCAGAATATTTTTAGAGTATTTTACTCTTCAGAAAACAAATGTAAAATTAATAAAATTTAGGTTATATTCTAATGAATTTATTTTTTTATTGGGAAAGTCACTAAATATTTTTGAATGAATGATACTAAATTAGTGAATACAAAGGTATTTATACTATATTCAACTGTATCTGTACTATTCACTCAAGCCACATAGGAAATGGTAAGCTCAAATGGAATTAGAAATTAATTACACAAATTCTTTCAGCAAATCAAGGCAATGTTTTCTCAATTTTCTAAATATTTTAATAACTTATCTAGAAAATTGTCAGATTTAAGGCCAGGAGCGGTGGCTCACGCCTGTAATCCCAGCACTTTGAGAGGCCAGGGCAGATGGATCACCTGAGGTCAGGAGTTGGAGATCAGCTGGGCCAACATGGTAAAATCCTATCTCAACTAAAAATACAAAAAGTAGCTCAGCATGATGGCAGGTGCCTGTAATCCCAGCTACCTGGTAGGCTGAGGTGGGAGAATCACTTGAACCTGGGGGCAGAGGTTTCAGTGAGCCGAGATTACTCCATTGCACTCCAGCCTTGGTGACAAAGTGAGACTCCATCTCAAGGAAGAAAAAAAAAATTGTCACATTTGTCTTTATTATTTTATTTTAGTTAAATTAATATCTCACCACTCCATGAATTAATATTAATTTTGGGATGTATGTCAGTATTACTGTCTGAATGTCTCAAACAGAATGATGAGTATTACAGCTATTCATGGAAATATGAAATTAATTTGCAGACATTTCTGGTTAAAGCTACTATAGGGAGAGATATTGATTAGAAGTGAATACATCATGAAAATACTTACATTCAGAATGAGGCAAGTGGATCACCTGAGGTCAGGAGTTTGAGACCAGCCTGACCAACAAGTTGAAACCCTGTCTCTAGTAAAACTACAAAAATTAACCGGACATGGTGGCAGGCATCTGTAGTCCCAGCTACTTGGGAGGCTGAGACAGGAGAATTGCTTGAACCTGGGAGGCGGAGATTGCAATGAGCCGAGATCACGCCACTGCACTCCAGCCTGGATGACAGAGTGAGACACTATCTCAAAACAAAACAGAACAAAACAAAAACACAAACAAAAACAAAAAAAACCTGTTTGTAAATTTTATTATAAAAGTATGTATGACATAGTGCTACTCAAAGTTTCTTTTATATAAGATATGTAATTAGTAAAAGAATACATTTTATATTAGGAAATTTACTCAAGGATAAATGGTTAAAAGCTCTTGGGAACATAAACTCCCTAATTATTCTTCATTCAGGAACAGTGTCTTTAGCTTCAAAAAACCTCAAGCACTAGTAAGTTCACACACACACAGACACACACACACACACACAGACACACACACACACACACACTATACCCCCACACAAAGACAATAAAACCTAGCATGTATTCTGTTCATAACTTGCTTTTACAGTTTTGTATTTGAAAGGATACTGTTCCTAAGGCTGCGTATTTTCTTCTGGGTATTTGATTTATACTTAATTTATATCATAAGCACATTATGATTCTAGTATTTCTATGTTGTTACTCTATGTAAATTAAAAATATGTCTATTGAAAAATTTAATTGACATATTTAAAGTTGATACATAATATTACAGTAAGATGTAAAGAAATGCAATCATAAGGGGCTCATTTTTCTACAATAATATTCACTCTCATTTGATGTACTTCTTATTCCTTCATAGACAAAAGAAAAAAACTGTAATTTATTTGAACTGATTACTATTTTAGTGTCAAAATCCCTTTTGACTTCAGATAGCTCTATGGACTTCACTTAAAAACCTCTGATCTTCTTTAGCTTGGGATAGTGACCTACTCTCTGACTTGGTGAAAACAAAATAAACAAACAAAACCTCAGTTTAAAATAAACAACCAAAAAAAATTTTTCCCTCCAAGATCTTATCTCCCTTCACGCTCCTGTTGTATCCTGGTAACAGTAAGCAAGCTGAGTAGATGATGGCTATCTACTATTTCTGCTTGTCAGTAGCTAGAGTCCTAGAGACAGTCTTTTATGGAAATTTCCACATAATACTTCACAATGAAGGAAACTTCCAATTTTGTATCTCTATTTGATTTTACTCTGTGTTAACTGTTACTAATTAAATTGATTCAACTATAAAAACTGTAAATTTTCAGATTAGAACTTCTGAAATTATTCATTTAAACTGTCCAAATCCCTTTCAATGAATATAATGTAAGATTAAGAATTAAAATAACTTAATATGGTGTAAGTAAATATTCATTCCACATTTAATCAGTCCTTATACAGATATATCTATGTACAATCTCGTAAGTGATTGTACAAGCAACATTTTAGGTAGTTTGAACATTCAGAAACGATGCTTTTAAAATCTCTTTATTCTTGTCCAGCCTCTCCATGATTGCTATTGGTTTGCATGTCTTTTAAGGTTCATGAAACTTAATGACTGAATGATCACACAATCATTTAAATTATAGAAGTTCGATATCTAGTAAGGACATAGGACAAAATATTTTTCTACACTAGTTGTAAGACGAAGAGAGCTACCGAAGAGACAAAGACGTCAACCAAAGTGAGCAGGAGAAAGGGTTACAGCCAAGGATCATAGCAAAAATCTTTAGTCACCACGTTTCTGCAGTAGCCTGCCAACACCAAACAGACACCCTATTGCCATTTATAACTCTCTCAGCAGGAAGTCATGATGCCTGGTGGGTGTTCCGTGAATGTTGGAAGACTGCTGTGCCCTGAATTAGTTTTATCCTCTTACAAAAAAAGAAAAACAAATGAGTACCTAATATGGAAGACAGACAAGAGACAGATGATATAAACATTAGTGAATATTGCTTCATAGGATTTGTGGATATTGCTTTTTAATATATGTATCATATTACAAACATTTTTATAGACATACAATACATGTTGTTATTTTGTTATTTACATGTTGTTATTTTATAATGGGTTATAAAGGGTATTTGGGAATAGAATATTCTAGTTAATAAGATAGACAGTAGCATTTTAGGGTTATGGTAGTATAAAACATAAGCATTATTCTTTCCAGGAAAGTGGGAATCTCATTAAATTGACAAAACAGGGCCTGAAGAAATACAGAATAAGGGAGAAGGGTTGTAGAATAGAAGAGGAAATAAAAAATGTCTAGGGATTTTCTGTTTGAGTATCCTAAATAAAGGTAAGCCAACGACTACTCTTCTAACATTATTTTGCCTACAGAAAATACAGAAAAGCTAGTCAGAAAGATATTTGGTGAACAGACAAAAGATGGGAGAGCTGGGGCTCAAGAGTGACAGGGCAGTCTGCTTTTCTCCCTGCAAAGTGACTGCGACATTTGGATAGCAGTTGTTTTCTGTTCCTTTTTAAAAAATCCTTCCTTTTTATTTTCTATCCAATTAAAATCAAATGAGTGCCTCTGTTCTTTTTAAACCCACAGGCTTTTCTCATTTTAAAAAATATTTACCTATTTTATTTCTCTACCTTTAAATATCTTGTGTTCATTTTTTGCATTTTTTTCAAAATGCAATAGAAAATAGCAAAATCTGTTGTTTTATAAAGTTTTCCAAAGGCATGGGAAAATAATTTTATTTAAAAGAGGTTGCAGACATGTAAAATCAACAAGTTTAGAGATTTAATGTACAATATGAAGAATGTATTTGATAAAATTGTATTGGATTAGAGATTTTTGTTAATTAAGTAGATTCTTAGCTACTCTGGTCAAAACAGAGTAACTATATGAGATAATAGATATGTTAATTTGCTTCACTATAGTAACCATTTTACTATTTCTCTCTATATATATATCCCATAACATTATGTTGTAAATCTCAAATGTGCACAGTGATATTTATTTTAAAAATATGAATTTTTTTCCAGTTTAAGTTTAATCTTATATTATGATGCATCTTATGAGAGGCAATATACAATATTTGAAACTGAAAGTTGATAAGGATTCCCCAGAAAAGGCATGCTTCTTGCATACTGAATTTATTTTTTGTATATAGGCATAACATATCATCATTTCTAAATGGAGTAATGGCAGATAAATTGTCTCTAGAATTTAATATTTTTTCTCATAAGCTGTACATTTTCATAGTAATGATGGCACATAGAAGAACTTAACTATATGTTTAAATGAAGAAATTTACCATCTAAGTTTTTTACCATAATAATTAGTCTTGATTGACATTATGTATAATTTTTGAAATAAGTGCTACATTTTACTCTTCATTTTCCTTTACATATTATTTTCAGCATGAAAATTTCAATAAGTTACTATTTTAATATGGTATTGCCGCAGATATTTTATAAAATAAGGTCAAAAGTCCAATAAAAAATAAAAATGATGAAAAAACCCAAAAGGACATGGTTAAACGTAAACTGGTTATGTACGTATAAATGGCTGAATAAATACATCTATATACTTAATACATAATAGGTACTCCACAAATGTTGACTAATAATAGTTATGAAGGTAATAATGTTGATGTTTAAAGATGCATCCTTAATGTTCAAATTAATCACTCTTAACGGTGATGAGAACTATTTAAGTGATGAAACAGGTCCTGTTAACTGGAAGATATACTCTAAATAAAAGGCATACCTTATATCAAGAAATTTGATAATTTAACACAGTTCTGAGCTACATATTGTTGTTGCTTTTGTTTTATTAAGTGCAGTGCTTTACTTTTAAAATTTACTGCGATTTAAATAGAAAGATATATACATATCTATGTACATATATATATGTTTTTCTTTATCTGTTCCACACATCTTTAGCTAAAGATGTTTTTTCTTATTAATTTGGAAAAGTTCTGTTTGTGGGCTTGGATCTATTTTTTCCACATTATCATAATGATATACATTTCAGTATTAAAATAACAGACAAAATATTTTAATAATTTAAATAATTGCTTAATTTAATCTAAATTAAGTAAAGAACAAAGAAATACCACTAATCAGCCTGTTTTCATGCAGGCTGTGAACTCTAATACGAATAATTTCAAATATAGAATAGTCTATCATTTCTTCCTCCAAATAGAAGGTATTCAATTTAATTCTGTTTTATAAATTAGCATATTGTTTATTTTTTTTAATAAGAACACTGCTATGGTGTGGCTGTGACCCTACCCAAAATCTCATTTTGAATTGTTATCCCCATAATCCCTACATGTTAAGTAGAGACCAGGTGGTGGTAATTGAATCAAGGGGGCAGTTTTCCCCATGCTGTTCTCGTGACAGTGAGTGAGATCTCACGAGATCTGATGGTTTTATAAGTGTTTGGTAGTTCTTCCTGAGTTCATGCTCCCTTCTGCCGCCTTGTGAAAAAGGTGCCTTGCTTCCTTCCCCTTTGCTTTCTGCCATAATTGTAAGTTTCCTGAGACCTCCCCAGCCACGCAGAACTGTGAATCAATTAAACCACTTTCCTTTCTAAATTACTCAGTCTTGGGCAGTTCTTTATAGCAGTGTGAGACACCAAAAAGGTGTCTATGGTTGCTTCATGTTTTCCGTGTTAATGTGGTTTCTATTGACCAATTTTTATCATTTATTACTGAGTAAATTAGTATTATCTATCTTTTTCTTATTAGCTTTAATACACTAATAGCCAGGGAGATAGATTTGGGAGGAGTTTTGAAGTTAAATTTATATGGTGGCTTGATGAAATTTAATTAAAACTATACAATGTCTCAAAGTTAAAATTATATTCTGGTATGAATAGTTCAAAATAGTGGCATTCCTTGAAGCAATTACTTCTGATGGAATAAGATGTTTGACTGATAATTGTTATATTAATGTGATAACTTTTAAACAATGCTAAGAATATTTGTGTTTATTTTGGTATGGCACACATCTTTCTAATTTACTTTCCAAATTTAAATGTGCTGTTTAAAGCCTGAATCAGAAAATGAAAACCAGACTGCTAGTCTTTCTGGAATCTTCTAAATATATGAATGAGAAAGAAAAGACTACTTTAGATTCAGGTTCCACCCTTTTAAATCTCAAAGGTATTTCAAAATTAATTAAGTCAAATATTAACATTAAACCCACATTCGACAAATGATGATATTCATATCTCATATCAGTAATAGGGAGATAATGCAATAAACTGCTTGGTTCCTCGGATATGCCACACACTTTTCTGCCTTGGTGACCATTTATTATCTTTTTTAGCCAGTGTTCTCTCTCAGGTAATCTTATCCTCGAGGCCCCCTCAACTACCAGCATTTATATTAGTCTTTCTGTGATTTTCTTCTCTGGAATTAATTGCCCTGTTACTCTGCTTCTATAAGACCTTGTACTTAACCTCTATTATAACACATTTCAGAAGGTATTATAATTATTTCCTCAGGTATTTGTCTCTCCATGAGACTTTCTATTTATTGAGAGCAGGTCTAATGCTGACATATTTGGTATCCCTAGCACAAATCATATAACCTGATACACCACAGTTACCGAATACATATTTGCTGAATGAGTGAATACACAGTCAAGAAAGTCATTCAATCCCAGATCTGAGGTCAGAATGAATAATCATGCTGTGACCTAGAAAGGTTGTTAAAGTGGTTACTGACAAGCCACACCAGATTCTGTTGCTGGATAGTGGCTCTTACCTGTCTATTTGTGGATGTTGTCTATGTGAGCCAATTGACCTGGACTGCAAATAGTTGGTACTCGTTGATCTGGCTTTCTTATATGCATCACAGTCCTTTACTGCCCAACAAGTACTTTAAAATATCAGGCTTGACACTTTCTCCAAGTTAATGAAGAGAATTCAATATACAGGTTCATGCATTTTATGGTTCTAAGATCGCAGATTTAAAACTCAAAATAAAACTGCAGTTAAAACTGTAACTTACATAGCACATAGCCATCTGTGTGAGACTCATTGGTATAAACTTACCAGAGAAGTCTGTCAAATGCATAAGTTATTTTGTGAGTGTTTGTATGTCTTTCTTTAAGGTGTTTTAACTCCTGTAGGTCTCTGGGAGCTCATTTACTAAGTTAATATTATAACTGTTCTTGTGATCTGATGTACCTACCAAGGTGCTCACTGTATTGTGACAATCTAATTTCTTTATGCAGTATATATGGGTCTTAAATATTTTTTCCTTGAAGGCTTCATTTTATCTGGTTAGCACTGAATTTAGTCAAGAACATCTTCACAGTTACTTGGATTTGGAAAGCCTAGGGTTTTACATTTCTAGATGAGTTATCGAATCATCTCATAGCTCCAGGTCAGTCACTAAACTTCTCTGCACCTAAATTTATTCTATATGTCAGATATGTAGGACAAAAATATCTATGGATTCACAAATTAAAAGTTTACACAGTAAACCCTCTTAGGTTACTTACATTCAGCAAAAAGATTAGGTTTGCTAATAAGCTTCAAGTCACTGTATGTTTTTGTCAGCAATCTCAAGCCAGGGTTCTCCAGGCCGGCCCTGGCTAGCTTTGCCTGTTCTGTTCCAGTTCATGACCTCGACTTCTATTTCTGGCATGAGCAAAGCGTTGATGCTCAATAAAGATTTTCTGACTTGAACTAATTAATTCACCATTCATCCATTCATTCAGGAGACATTTATCAAGTGCCAAATATCAGCCCATTGATATGAGAGTTGTGCATTCCATTAATTCTGAGGTCTATTTTTTCCCCCACTGTTTTAAAAAGCAAATTTTTAATAAGTGGTTTTACATCTAATGCTGAATACTGATTGAAAAACACCTTTGAGGAAATGATACCATGATTTCCAAAAAGTTAAAAACAAGAAGCAGTATAAATAATAATAATTATGTATTGAGCAAGCAAACCAAACAATTATGTGTTGATTACTTATATACAAATTTCCATGATGAATGATTTAAACATATTAAGAATATTTCTGGACAAGATGCCTTGATGAGATAATTACAGATAAAGAAACGGAGGGCCAGAGGACTTAAGTAATGCATACAATATGTGATGATATTACGATTAGAAAAAGAGGTGGTCTAGATACAGATTTTTTTTTTTTTTTTTTTTTTCGAGATGGAGTCTCACTCTGTCTCTCAGGCTGTAGTGCAGTGGCATGATTTTAGCTCACTGCAACCTCCACTTCCCGAGTGCAAGTAATTCTCCTGTCTCAGCCAGCTGAGTAGCTGGGATTACAGGTGTGCATCACCACACCGGCTAATTTTTGTATTTTTAGGAAAGATGGGGTTTTGCCATGTTGGCCAGTCTGGTCTCGAACTCCTGATCTCAAGTGATCTGCCCCCCTCGGCCTCCTAAAATGTTGGGATTACAGGTATTAGCCACCACACCCAGCCCTAAATACAGATTCCAACGTGTTAATAGTCACAATTAGGAGAGTACTTGCATCCCTAGAAATTTTGGAAATACTCATTTGTATATATATAAGCATCCTAGTTTCGCTCTCCAACTGCTTATAAATTGTCAATTAACAGAATTTACAGCGTGGGTGGTTAATTGGTCAATAGACCAGAGCTTTTCTGTTAACTAACCTCTTCTAACTTTTTCCTTCAGAAGGGAGCCCAAAATAGTAATTAATTGGAGGTCAAATTTTTCTATATTGGAAAAGAAGGATTTAATAAAGCATTCCCATTTTAAGCTGAGTAGAATAATGTGGCATAATCAAAGGTCAAATTAACCAAATAATTTGGGGAAAATGAAATGGAATATTTTCATTTTTTATTAGAATTTTATATAGATGTTTCCAAATTTTATATCAGATAAAACAAAAAGAGAAATTGGGTTTTTCTTCAAGTGGGTTAGTATAGAGACAGAGTCAAAACAGTCTAAATAATGCTAAAGTCCTATAAATAGTACGGTTTAAGTCAGAATAGGTAGCTCATGCTATGTAAATAAAAATTCTCTAGGTTTTATTGTTCATAGCAATAGTAATAATATAGATTGATTCATGGCTTAGTCTGTGCATCCATTGCTGGTCAGCTGTGACCGCTGCTCTACCTTATCCTGACTCAAGGATGCAAACTGAGGGAAGCTCTGTCTCAATGCCTCCATAATTGCTGAAGCAAGAGGCAGAAAATGAACAAATCACATATCTGCTTTTAGAGTCTCTTCTGGGAAAGAATATGTATTGTTTCCAATCACATTCTATTGGCCAAAGGAAGAATTTTTGCCATTGTCAGCTTTAAAGGATATAAATAAAAAAAGAAGTTCTGCCATATACCCAAAAGACAGAAAGCTGTACATGTTTGGGGACAAATGTCCAACTCATAGTACCACTTCCAAGGAGCATGAGGGAATAAAAGAATCAGATGAAATAAGGTCTTAGTGTCATTTGAGGAGACAGAGTCCTTTTAGCCAAGATATCTAGGCTGCCACTATGTTTGTATTTTATATTTCTTAGAAGACATTTTGATGTTTGTTCCTAAAACTTCCCACCCAGAAGTAAATTTATCTAATAAAAAAATTATTATGCTTTAATTTTACAAAATAATCATCTGCAATTTTTCACTTCTGCTCAAATTGTTTTCAATACTCCCTTTTCTCTCCTCAGGGACGAACTTATTCATGTAATACATATTTTCATTACAGAGAAGTGGATGATTTAAAGGTGGCTTTCAAATTATACGCAATCTTTAGGCACTGGTTATAATTTCTACCTCTATTTCACAACTGATGAGTGGATAATAGTGTTTTCTTACTCAAGAACTGCTGGCCAATGAAGTTCCTCCAAACACATGTTTTCTTTTTAATCTTTTTTTTTTTTTTGAGATAAGAGTCTCGCTCCTGTCACCCAGGCTGGAGTGCAATGGCACAATCTTGGCTCACTGCAACCTCCGCCCCCTGGGTTCAAGCGATTCTCCTGCCTCAGCCTCCTGAGTAGCTGGGACTACAGGCATGCACCACCATGCCTGGCTAATTTTGTATTTTTAGTAGAGATGGCGTTTCTCCATGTTGGTCAGGCTGGTCTTGAACTCCCGACCTTAGATGATCCTCCCACCTTGGCCTCCCAAAGTCCTGGGATTACAGGCATGAGCCACTGCACCCGGCCCCAAACACATATTTTCTATATTTTAATAGTAAGACCATTTTTTCCTTCTTTAATCAGTATCGTATTTTCATTTGTTTTTAGAGTCCATGTTTGTGTAATTCCTATCCAAATACAAAAAAGTGCAAAAATGTGACTCTTGTTCTTAGCTACTTGGTGTGTATGTGAAACAAAAAATAAATATATTTTTTGATCTTTTTTTCTAAGAACAGTTTTAGGTTTACAGACATATTAAGTAAAAAGTACAAGAAATTGCCATATACTTACTCTCCCCTGAAAAACCTCCCTGTCATATAATTTTGCCTGTTTTTATCATCTTGCATTGATGCATTGGTGTGGTATATTTCTTACAATCAATGAACCAATATTAATACATTATTTATTAGCTAGAGACCATAGTCTATATTCCGGTTCATTTATATAGTTCTGTGATAAATGGATAATTGCATGTATCTTCCATTATAGTAACATATACCTGTGATGCTCCAACTATTGACTCCTTCCTTCCTCCCCTGATATCATAAGAAGCACTGATTTTTTTTACTGTGTTCATACTATTATTGCCTTTTCCAGAAAGTCATGTAGTTAAAATCTCATAGTATTTAGTTTTTTCAGATTGTTATCTTTTACTTAACAATATACATTTACAATTCATTCATGTCAGTGTATAGTTTAATAGCTCATAATTTTATGTCATTCATTAGCATCCCATTGTATGAATATACCATGGTTTATTGGTCCACTCACCTACTAAAGACATCTTGTTTGCTTATATTGGTTGTATTGGTTATGAATAACACTGCCATAAACATCTGGGTGCAGTTTTTCATATGGAAATGAATTTTCAAATGATTAGGAAATACCTCTGACTGTGAATTCTAAACTGTACTGTAAGCATATGCTTAGCTTTGTAGGACACTGACAAATTGTCTTCCAAAATGGATGTAAAATTTTGCATTCCTGTCGACAATGAGTAAGAGTCACCATTGTTCTGAAAACAATGGCATTATCACTTTTTTTCTTTGTTAGGTATCAAATAGGTGTATATCTATCTCATTTTTGGTTTAATATGCTTATTTGATATCTATAAATCTTCTTTGTTATAGTGTCTTTTCAAAACTTTTGCCCATTTCTTAACTTTTTGAATTTTTTTCACTTTGTTCACTTTTAGGAGTTCTTTGTACATTAAAAATAAAAGTCTTATAGTTGATATGCCTTTTGGAAATATTTTCTCTTAGTCTGAGGCTGTCTTTAAGACTCCTAAAAATGTCTTTTGCAGAACAGGTTTTAATTTGAATTAAGTCCAACTTTAAGTTCAGTAGGAAAATCTGTTGCTTTTTGTCTCTTAAAAATTCACCTGGCTAGGTGATAATTTTTCTTATAATTAAAGTCAACTAACTAGGGATCTCAATTAGATCTGCAAAATTCCTTCACCTTATAATATAACATAATCACAAGATTTATCATTATTATTTTTATAAGTCTTGTTTACATGAAAGAGGAGGATATTATGCAGGGCAAGTATACAGACAGTAGAAATCCTGGAGATTCAGAATTCTGCCTACCATAGTCCACTCTCTGGCTCTTAACTACTCATATCCTTTACAAATGCAAAATACATTCTCCCTTTTTCGAGGTTTCTAAGGGTCTCATCCCATTATAACATCAGTTGAAAGTCCAAAGTTTTTCCTTCGAAATCTAAATCTCATAAACTCAAAACCTCCAAGTTCAAAATTTCATCACCTAAATAAGGTGTGGATGAATCTTTTGGATATAATGCACTAAATGTAGCAATTTGAAGCATAATTCCTTTCTGCGTATAAACCTGTAAACTGAAAGAAGTTATTTTATAGACATTCCAATTGTTTTCTAACATATACTATAAGGCTTTCCAACATGAATGTGTAACTGATTTCAGAGTATTGTAGAGCTTTATAAGAATAACAAAACTGCACATGTACCCTTGAACTTAAAAGTTAAAAAAAGAATAACAATGAGAGCCAATCAAAGATAAAATTTGAATTAGCATTTGAATTCATTTGAAGAAATTACCATTTGAATCTGTAGACTGCTGCCTTCACCATTGTGGATAGGCATCTTTCAATCTATTGAGGGCTTGAATAGAACAAAAAGTGAAGATTCTCCTGCCCTTGGACATCAGAGCTTTCGTTCACGTCTTCAGACTCAAGGACTTGCACCAGGGACACCCAGTCTCATTCTCAGGAATGGAATGAGAATGAGACTAGACTGAATTAATTATAGCACTAGCTTTCCTGGTTTTCCAGCTTGCAGGCAGCATATCGTGGAAATTCCTGGCCTCCATAATTTACATAAGCCAACTCCTACAATAAATCTCCTCTTATATATATCTGTATATATCCTATTGGTTCAGTTTCTCTGGAGAATCTTAATACATACCTTATTTATAAGTGAAATTTCTTCTCTAATTATTTAATATTTTAAAATGTTACACCAATTGCTGTATCTTATGTCATAAAAAATTTATATTCTCATACATATATTATTGGTGTGATTATGAATTATTTCATATTTTCAGGACTGCAGTTTAGTAATATGAATCAAGAATCTTGATAGGTATCATATGTATTAATTCAGCTTCACATCTTGTTTTAAAAATTTATTCTAAGAAAACACCTTGAGATGGAGCAAAGTTTTCCTAAAAATAAAAAATAGCTGTTTTGCTTTTGCAATAATTCAAAAAACTTAAATATTTAATGTTTGGGAATTTGTAAAATTAAATCATCTATGAGTGTGGTGACATGAGACCAGTATAAAAATGTTTGATGAAATTATACAAAATTGCTAAAACAAAAGTTTAACTGAAAAAAAAAGGAAAAACTTTATACATAGTATAGCCTTACTTAAAATCATATATTCATATACTAGGGTATAACAAAAATTAATCAAAAATAAACTTTATATAGCAATCTGAAAATCTATAAATAAAATATAAAGGCCTGAAAATATACAAAAATTTTATAGTTAACATTGAATAGTGGAATTTCTGTTAATTCTGGATTTTGCTCCTCATATTTTCTAAATATTTCTCTAAATTTCATGTAATTAACATCAGCAGTAATTTTAAATTATTTTTATGATTGCAAAGAGCAATGTGTTAGGAAGAAAAAAAACTTTTGCCATTTTTACTGTCTGCCCTCTAATTATTTAAGAAACTATATAACCTTCTATTAGTTTTCAATGCATCTTCAATGCTTAAAATAGTTAAATTCATTATCCCTATCGCTAATGATCACAAATTAATATTTAATATTTATCACTGTCCTGTATATAAGAAATATTTTTTCTCACCAAGATATTAAATTTAAAAATTTAAATATCTTAATTTTACAAATTATTCAATGAGATGAATTGCACATCAATTAAATTGAGATAAAAATCTTCCTATTTATTCCTGAGAGTGAAATAGAAAGTCTTTTGTGTCAAGCAGACAACAAATCAAATTTTAAAATTATCTATTGATTTGAAGCCACTTGAAATATAGAAGGCTATGCCAACTTATTATAGTTGACATGTAAATGTCCATTCATATCTTCTTATATGAAAACTCCTCTTTTCACAAGGAAAAAGGGAGCATGGCCATTATAAGAGTCATAATTGTATTCATGGAAAAATGTTGATTTTCCTAAAGACAGAAAAGTTAAAATGAAACAAAGAAAAGAGAGAGAGAGAGATTTTGGTTTTGCTATAAATAGAAATAATTTAAAAATTTCCTTTTAAGCTGCCTAGGCCAAACTATTAGGCTACCGTTATTATAGTATAATAAAATATCAGAAATGTTTTCTTTGGATAAATATAAATATGTCCCAAAATCTAAAAGGAAGAACCATTTTATGTCTTGACAGCGGTCTGAACATACTTCTTCATGTTCATTCCTTCTCTGTCTTGAAGACAAATTTTACATCAGAATAAAAGGAGAAAAGAAATGACCAGTCTGCATATATGAAGCTGCTTGTGTTACTTGTGACAATATAAAGGCATAAGAGAGATGCTGTCATCTGTAGATGTATAAACTGAATGCTTATGGCCCCTCAAAATTCAAATGTTGAAATCATAATCTCCATTGTGATGGTATCAGAAGGTGGAGGTTTGGTGAGATAATTTAGATCCTGAAGATGAAGCCCTCATGAATACAATTAGTGACCTTGTAAAAGAGACCCCAAAGAGCTCTCTAGCCCTTTTTCTGCCATGTGAGGATACAAGGAGAAGATGGCAGGCTACAACCTAGAAGAGTCCCCTCACCAGAACCCAAACATATTGGTACCCTGATCTCCAGCTTCAGCCTTCAGAGCTATGAGAAATAAATGTGTTGTTTATAAGCCATTTGGTCTATGGTACTTGTTGTAACAACCCAAACTGACTAAGACAGTAGAATAATATTGTTCATAATAAGTTAAACATTTAAGCACATTTTCCTTTATTCACCATATCCTAAGCTATTTATGTCATTCAATTATAGGAATATGGGTTTTCATTTCTTTGGTCTCATAAAACATCAGCACAGAAAATCAGTAATAAAATGGAGTTGGAATGTATCTGAACTCTAGAACATCTGCCTTAATGGAAAACCTGTTTGAAAATGATGATCCATTGAAATAGAAACACCACCTTAATTAAAATCATTGAAAGATGTTGACAGAAGAAATATTTCACAAATATCAGTGTAGTTTTCACATCCCTTTTGAAAAGAAAGCTGTTTCTATATATCATTTGATATTATTAAAAAGTATTGAGCCATTGATATTAGGATGAAAAAGTGTGCTATTTAGTTAAATGTGTAATTTGTATGAGGTTTTGTAACAAAGCCCAAAGATGCATTTGTTCTTCCAGCTTTATGAATTTTCATTTTGATGCCAATGTTTTGCAGTAGAATCATTCCCTTCTGAGAAATTCTAAGCAAGGATCATTGTGTTAGTGATTGATGCCCTTTGAAAAAATTGCAGTGTAAGGCTATCTCTTCAGATATTTTATTTTATTCTAGTCTATTTAGTTTAGTTTCATCAATGTCATACTAAATATTCACATTGTTTTAAAGTCAAGGTGATAAGACAATGGCAATAAAATAGAGGAAAACGCCCTTCTCTATGCCCCAGTTTTATTCCAAGAGACAATCATTTTTAGTGCTTATTTTTATTTTATTTTATTTTATTTTTATTTATTTATTATTATTATACTTTAAGTTTTAGGGTACATGTGCACAATGTGCAGGTTAGTTACATAGGTATACATGTGCCATGCTGGTGCGCTGCACCCACTAACACGTCATCTAGCATTAGGTATATCTCCCAATGCTATCCCTCCCCCCTCACCCCACCCCACAACAGTCCCCAGAGTGTGATGTTCCCCTTCCTGTGTCCATGAGTTCTCATTGTTCAGTTCCCACCTATGAGTGAGAATATGCGGTGTTTGGTTTTTTGTTCTTGTGATAGTTTACTGAGAATGATGATTTCCAGTTTCATCCATGTCCGTACAAAGGACATGAACTCATCATTTTTTATGGCTGCATAGTATTCCATGGTGTATATGTGCCACATTTTCTTAATCCAGTCTATCATTGTTGGACATTTGGGTTGGTTCCAAGTCTTTGCTATTGTGAATAATGCCGCAGTAAACATACGTGTGCATGTGTCTTTATAGCAGCATGATTTATAGTCCTTTGGGTATATACCCAGTAATGGGATGGCTGGGTCAAATGGTATTTCTAGTCCTAGATCCCTGAGGAATCACCACACTGACTTCCACAATGGTTGAACTAGTTTACAGTCCCACCAACAGTGTAAAAGTGTTCCTATTTCTCCACATCCTCTCCAGCACCTGTTGTTTCCTGACTTTTTAATAATTGCCATTCTAACTGGTGTGAGATGGTATCTCATTGGGGTTTTGATTTGCATTTCTCTGATGGCCAGTGATGGTGAGCATTTTTTCATGTGTTTTTTGACTGCATAAATGTCTTCTTTTGAGAAGTGTCTGTTCATGTCCTTTGCCCACTTTTTGATGGGGTTGTTTGTTTTTTTCTTGTAAATTTGTTTGAGTTCATTGTAGATTCTCGATATTAGCCCTTTGTCAGATGAGTAGGTTGCAAAAATTTTCTCCCATTTTGTAGGTTGCCTGTTCACTCTGATGGTAGTTTCTTTTGCTGTGCAGAAGCTCTTTAGTTTAATTAGATCTCATTTGTCAATTTTGGCTTTTGTTGCCATTGCTTTTGGTGTTTTAGACATGAAGTCCTTGCCCATGCCTGTGTCCTGAATGGTAATGCCTAGGTTTTCTTCTAGGGTTTTTATGGTTTTAGGTCTAACATTTAAGTCTTTAATCCATCTTGAATTGATTTTTGTATAAAGTGTAAGGAAGGCATCCAGTTTCAGCTTTCTACACTTTCATCAGTTTCAGCCAGTTTTCCCAGCACCATTTATTAAATAGGGAATCCTTTCTCCATTGCTTGTTTTTGTCAGGTTTGTCAAAGATCAGATGGTTGTAGATGTGTGGTGTTATTTCTGAGGGCTCTGTTCTGTTCCATTGATCTATATCTCTGTTTTGGTACCAGTACCATGCTGTTTTGGTTACTGTAGCCTTGTAGTATAGTTTGAAGTTAGGTAGTGTGATGCCTCCAGCGTTGTTCTTTTGGCTCAGGATTGCCTTGGCGATGCGGGCTCGTTTTTGGTTCCATATGAACTTTAAAGTAGTTTTCTCCAATTCTGTGAAGAAAGTCATTGGTAGCTTGATGGGGATGGCATTGAATCTGTAAATTACCTTGGGCAGTATGGCCATTTTCACGATATTGATTCTTCCTATCCATGAGCATGGAATGTTCTTCCATTTGCTTGTATCCTCTTTTATTTCCTTGAGCAGTGGTTTGTAGTTCTCCTTGAAGAGGTCCTTCACATCCCTTGTAAGTTGGATTCCTAGGTATTTTATTCTCTTTGAAGCAATTGTGAATGGGAGTTCACTCATGATTTGGCTCTCTGTTTGTCTGTTGTTGGTGTATAAGAATGCTTGTGATTTTTGTACATTGATTTTGTATCCTGAGACATTGCTGAAGTTGCTTATCAGCTTAAGGAGATTTTGGGCTGAGATATGGGGTTTTCTAGATATACAATCATGTCATCTGCAAACAGGGACAATTTGACTTCCTCTTTTCCTAATTGAATACCCTTTATTTCCTTCTCCTGCCTAATTGCCCTGGCCAGAACTTCCAACACTATGTTGAATAGGAGTGGTGAGAGAGGGCATCCCTGTCTTGTGCCAGTTTTCAAAGGGAATGCTTCCAGTTTTTGCCCATTCAGTATGATATTGGCTGTGGGTTTGTCATAGATAGCTCTTATTATTTTGAGATACGTCCCATCAATACCTAATTTATTGAGAGTTTTTAGCATGAAAGGTTGTTGAATTTTGTCAAAGGCCTTTTCTGCATCTATTGAGATAATCATGTGGTTTTTGTCTTTGGTTCTGTTTATATGCTGGATTACATTTATTGATTTGCGTATATTGAACCAGCCTTGCATCCCAGGGATGAAGCCCACTTGATCATGGTGGATAAGCTTTTTGATGTGCTGCTGGATTCAGTTTGCCAGTATTTTATTGAGGATTTTTGCATCAATGTTCATCAAGGATATTGGTCTAAAATTCTCTTTTTTGGTTGTGTCCCTGCCCGGCTTTGGTATCAGGATGATGCTGGCCTCATAAAATGAGTTAGAGAGGATTCCCTCTTTTTCTATTGATTGGAATAGTTTCAGAAGGAATGGTACCAGTTCCTCCTTGTACCTCTGGTAGAATTCAGCTGTGAATCCATCTGGTTCTGGACTCTTTTTCTTTGGTAAGCTATTGATCATTGCCACAATTTCAGCTCCTGTTATTGGTCTATTCAGCGATTCAACTTCTTCCTGGTTTAGTCTTGGGAGAGTGTATGTGTCAAGGAATTTATCCATTTCTTCTAGATTTTCTAGTTTATTTGCGTAGAGGTGTTTGTAGTATTCTCTGATGGTAGTTTGTATTTCTGTGGGATCAGTGGTGATATTCCCTTTCTCATTTTTTATTGCGTCTATTTGATTCTTCTCTCTTTTTTTCTTTATTAGTCTTGCTAGCGGTCTATCAATTTTTTTGATCCTTTCAAAAACCCAGCTCCTGGATTCGTTAATTTTTTGAAGGGTTTTTTGTGTCTCTATTTCCTTCAGTTCTGCTCTGATTTTATTTATTTCTTGCCTTCTGCTAGCTTTTGATTGCATTTGCTCTTGCTTTTCTAGTTCTTTTAATTGTGATGTTAGGGTGTCAATTTTGGATCTTTCCTGCTTTCTCTTGTGGGCATTTAGTGCTATAAATTTCCCTCTACACACTGCTTTGAATGCATCCCAGAGATTCTGGTATGTTGTGTCTTTGTTCTCGTTAGTTTCAAACAACATCTTTATTTCTGCCTTCGTTTCGTTATGTATCCAGTAGTCATTCAGGAGCAGGTTGTTCAGTTTCCATGTAGTTGAGCAGTTTTGAGTGAAATTCTTAATCCTGAGTTCTAATTTGATTGCACTGTGGTCTGAGAGATAGTTTGTTATAATTTCTGTTCTTTTACATTTGCTGAGGAGAGCTTTACTTCCAAGTATGTGGTCAATTTTGGAATAGGTGTGGTGTGGTGCTGAAAAAAATGTATATTCTGTTGATTTGGGGTGGAGAGTTCTGTAGATGTCTATTAGGTCCGCTTGGTGCAGAGCTGAGTTCAATTCCTGGGTATCCTTGTTGACTTTCTGTCTTGTTGATCTGTCTAATGTGGACAGTGGGGCGTTAAAGTATCCCATTATTAATGTGGGGGAGTCTAAGTCTCTTTGTGGGTCACTCAGGACTTGCTTTATGAATCTGGATGCTCCTGTGTTGGGTGCATATATATTTAGGATAGTTAGCTCTTCTTGTTGAATTGATGCCTTTACCATTATGTAACGGCCTTCTTTGTCTCTTTTGATGTTTGTTGGTTTAAAGTCTGTTTTATCAGAGACTAGGATTGCAACCCCTGCCTTTTTTTGTTTTCCATTTGCTTGGTAGATCTTCCTCCATCCTTTTATTTTGAGCCTATGTGTGTCTCTGCCCGTGAGATGGTTTCCTGAATACAGCACACTGATGGGTCTTGACTCTTTATCCAATTTGCCAGTCTGTGTCTTTTAATTGGAGCATTTAGTGCATTTACACTTAAAGTTAATATTGTTATGTGTGAATTTGATCCTGTCATTGTGATGTTAGCTGGTTATTTTGCTCGTTAGTTGATGCAGTTTCTTCCTAGTCTCGATGGTCTTTACATTTTATCATGATTTTGCAGCGGCTGGTACTGGTTGTTCCTTTCTATGTTTAGCGCTTCCTTCAGGAGCTCTTTTAGGGCAGGCCTGGTGGTGACAAAATCTCTCAGCATTTGCTTGTCTGTAAAGTATTTTATTTCTCCTTCACTTATGAAGCTTAGTTTGGCTGGATATGAAATTCTGGTTTGAAAATTCTTTTCTTTAAGAATGTTGAATATTGGCCCCCACTTTCTTCTGGCTTGTAGAGTTTCTGCTGAGAGATCTCCTGTTAGTCTGATGGGCTTCCTTTTGAGGGTAACCGGACCTTTCTCTCTGGCTGCCCTTAACATTTTTTCCTTCATTTCAACTTTGGTGAATCTGACAATTACGTGTCTTGGTGTTGCTCTTCTCGAGGAGTATCTTTGTGGCGTTCTCTGTATTTCCTGAATCTGAATGTTGGCCTGCCTTGCTAGATTGGGGAAGTTCTCCTGGATAATATCCTGCAGAATGTTTTCCAACTTGGTTCCATTCTCCCTGTCACTTTCAGGTACACCAATCAGACGTAGATTTGGTCTTTTCACATATTCCCATATTTCTTGGAGGCTTTGCTCGTTTCTTTTTATTCTTTTTTCTCTAAACTTCCCTTCTTGCTTCATTTCATTCATTTCATCTTCCATCACTGATACCCTTTCTTCCAGTTGATTGCATCGGCTCCTGAGGCTTCTGCATTCTTCACGTAGTTCTTGAGCCTTGGTTTTCAGCTCCATCAGCTCCTTTAAGCACTTCCCTGTATTGGTTATTCTAGTTATACATTCTTCTAAATTTTTTTCAAAGTTTTCAACTTCTTTGCCTTTGGTTTGAATGTCCTCCCGTAGCTCGGAGTAATTTGATCGTCTGAAGCCTTCTTCTCTCAGCTCGTCAAAGACATTCTCCATCCAGCTTTGTTCTGTTGCTGGTGAGGAACTGCGTTCCTTTGGAGGAGGAGAGGTGCTCTGCTTTTTAGAGTTTCCCGTTTTTCTGCTCTGTTTTTTCCCCATCTTTGCGGTTTTATCTACTTTTGGTCTTTGATGATGGTGATGTACAGATGGGTTTTTGGTGTGGATGTCCTTTCTGTTTGTTAGTTTTCCTTCTAACAGACAGGACCCTCAGCTTCAAGTCTGTTGGAGTACCCTGCCGTGTGAGGTGTCAGTCTGCCCCTGCTGGGGGGTGCCTCCCAGTTGGGCTGCTCTGGGGTCAGGGGTCAGGGACCCACTTGAGGAGGCAGTCTGCCCGTTCTCAGATCTCCAGCTGCGTGCTGGGAGAACCACTGCTCTCTTCAAAGCTGTCAGACAGGGACATTTAAGTCTGCAGAGGTTACTGCTGTCTTTTTGTTTGTCTCTGCCCTGCCCCCAGAGGTGGAGCCCACAGAGGCAGGCAGGCCTCCTTGAGCTGTGGTGGGCTCCACCCAGTTCGAGCTTCCTGGCTGCTTTGTTTACCTAAGCAAGCCTGGGCAATGGCCGGCGCCCCTCCCCTAGCCTTGTTGCCACCTTGCAGTTTGATCTCAGACTGCTGTGCTAGCAATCAGCCAGACTCCGTGGGCGTAGGACCGTCCGTACCAGGTGCGGGATATAATCTCCTGGTGCGCCCTTTTTTAAGCCCATCGGAAAAGCGCAGTATTCGGGTGGGAGTGACCCAATTTTCCAGGTGCCGTCTGTCACCACTTTCTTTGACTAGGAAAGGGAACTCCCTGACCCCTTGCGCTTCCTGAGTGAGGCAATGCCTTGCCCTGCTTCGGCTCGCGCATGGTGCACGCACCCACTGACCTGCACCCACTGTCTGGCACTCCCTAGTGAGACGAACCCGGTACCTCAGATGGAAATGCAGAAATCACCCGTCTTCTGTGTTGCTCACGCTGGGAGCTGTAGACCGGAGCGGTTCCTATTCGGCCATCTTGTCTCCTTGCTTATTTTTATTTTATATGGCATTTATCTTTGTATTTCCATAATAGTTCTACAAGTATTTTTTAGTTTATTTATTCTGGATAAATATTGACTTCTGATTCTTAAGCCTAATAACCAATAATAACCTGTGTCATTTTTATAACAAATAAGTCTACTGTGTCTTATGTTCATATTATATTTACATAATTGGTTTTATAAAATAGTGGAACTGAATTTGTGGTATAAAATATGTTTGAAATTTTTCCCATTTTAGTAAGTAGTCTTGTTAAAAATTATTATAATTTCTACATAGTATTTCAGCATATGACTGTTTCATGATTTTTAAAACAATAGCTTTGTGTTGGATATATACATTTCACTCTAAAATAATTTTTATACTTAACTAGAGTAATACCTCTTTTATCTGTGGATCACTGGTCTGGAAAATTTAATTATTGAGACCATAGCTGAGAAACTGAGTCTACTTAGCAAAGGCTCATCAAACACACATCCAAATGCACACATAAATACACACACACACACACCATAAAATCTGTGTTAGAACACCCACCTTCTTTTTAGAAGGCGGAGTGCAGTAGTACTCCACTAAGAGCTTAATTACTTTTATAAATTAGAAGATCTCTAGGGACATGTATTTAGAAAATGCCATCTGGCCTAGAGTTAGAGAAATAGATAAGAACCAAAATTTACAACCAGCAGCCTGATAAGAAGGAAGAAAAAAGAAAAACAATTTAGCAAATCAGAAAAGATAATTCAAAAATTGTGTAGCCATAGACTCTTTAACGTATAAGCAAGCATTTCCACTGTCACAAATACCCCATCAATGCATCACTGTGTTGTAACATGCAACATAGAACGTTTTTTCCCTAGTGAGGACCATTTTATTCCTAATGTGGACCATTAAGCCATAAAGGTAGAATTTATTTTCATAGCAACTGTTCAAGAATAAAAGGAATTACTTAACATATTTTAGATAGATTTCAATATTTAAAAATCCAGACTTTGGCAATAATTTTGACAGTTGGAAGGTAGCATTAGTTATCTGGATATTTGATAGATAATGAAGAAAAAGGAAAAAGCAGAGTCTTTGAATAAGCCCAATCTGCATTTAAATGAAAGATCAATTGGCCACGTGATACTGTGCAGATAAATGTATGTCTGTAAATTTAAACCTTTTCAACATTAGAGTGTATTATATTGAGAAATACGGTTATTGTACAAAAAGTCTTGGCATGTAGTAAACATGCACAAAACGAATCCTATTGTAATTGTTCATTGATATCAAATTCTTCACACTCTGATTACAATGGAATGCGAAGTTACTACAGAAAAAAAAATTGTTCAAATTTTCTTTTCTTTTCTTTTTTTAACTAAAGCAAGCTGAATTTTATTGGCCTCACTCTATAACCATTCTGCTTTATCTCTGGGTATCAAGTAGCACTACAAATTCACAGGCAAACGACCAAACCCATATGTAGGGCAATCCCTGTATTTCTCACTCAAAATTGCAAAATTAGTGAATTTTGGAAACCGTACTACATGGCTGTAGACTTCAAAGGTACCTATTGAGATGGATGGGGTGGGGGGGGGGGCGGTTGCTTACTTTCTGTATTAAAATATTCTTATTCACATCAATGAAATTCATAAGAGTTTTAGAATACATCTTCATAAATGTTTTTAAAAATCAACCTATACTTTAAAATACTTTAAAAATTACTTATACATTGAGCTAAAAATTTTTTTCTCTGAAACTGGAGTCAATAACTGTACTTTATTATGCTTTGAGCAATTCAAAAAGTTCGCAAAGGTGCCATTTAAACTCATCTCATTTTGTTCTCCACCTGAGACGAGGTTCTGTCTGGTACTGCAGTGTAACAATAAAGTCACACTCAAATTTACAGTGTTTTAGGGGTGGATGGTTCACTTCCACGAATGCTCAGATGGGTAGTTTACCCAAACAGCATGTGTGCAAATGCAGCTGGCATGTCCGCAAGAAAATGGGATCAGGAAGCTTGTGGTTTAATTATTTCAAGGATAGAGCTTGAGCTGTCCTCTAATTTATTCTAAAGACACGTCACTCTAATGGGGTTTCAATTAACTGTGCACCAAAGGCATGGTGTTAAAAGCAAAAATGTGCTGCTCTTTTCCTCCCTCTGCAAAAGTGAAGATATTGATCAGGCTCATGATTAAGTGCTATGTGCAGACTATTTTCCATAAGCATAAGCCTTCTGTATCTTTCCTTATAATTGCAAAGGAGACATGTGCCAAGCCAGTATTTTTGGCTAAGTACTGACATATTGATATGCATACATTGTAAGCATGGTCAGGCTGTCTCTATAGGTGAACTGATAAATGTGGGGACCGTGTGTGTGTGTGTGTGTGTGTGTGTGTGTGTGTGTGTGTGTGAACTATTTTAATCTACTAATTATGTATGGCCTGACATCTATTTTGTCTATACTGAGTGAGTAATTTGGGTAGCTTTATGAATGTGTGTACTGGATACAAAATTTGACAAGTACTGAAGCATTTATTCTTTTGTTTATTCAACTAAGAGGTGCAACTACAGTGTAAGCAAGCATATACCCACATCTGTCTTCCTGAAGTTCAGCTTTACTTTGTTTTTATCACTGTGATCAGTGATTCTAAAGATAACATGGTGTTATAAGAGAACAATATTCAAGAACATAATATAGTCACAGAGAATAGGAAAGTATTTCCTAAGAAAGTAACAGCTGAGTTGAAGAAAAATAGCAGTTAACTAAACGGCAGGACACATATGCCTACATTTTGGTAACTCTATTTTACTACTTCCTTGGAGAAACACCATTTCGGGGATGGCCATCCATGGAAAAAGGGAGATTTTTCTTCTGTATGAGGAAGATCTTTGCTAAGTTTGTCCTTCCTTGTCTTTTTCATATCTTGTTTTCCCTCATTCAAACATTGGGATAGGTAATTTGCCTAAAGAATATGGAAATAAATGTGAAACTCTTAGGAAATGATTGTAATTTAAATCTGCAGGTAATAATATTAAACTTCGAAATGCTTTCCTCAGAAGATTTAGCTTCACATTGTGCTGCTAAACTCTTAACCATGCAGGAATATAGAACAACACACAAAAAGAGTCAAACCTTTGTAAGGAATAAATGAAGGCAATTTTCTCTGATGGGAGATTATAATTAACTAAATCTTCAGAAAAAAATTCTTTAGAACTTTCTTAACTGGTTTTTGCATTAAATTTTTGAATCTGGTAAGTTAAGAATATAATTTCAATAAATTTTATGAGTTTCTGTAGCTATTTACATTTGCTCCTAAATGTTAGTTTCATGCAGTCTAAAGATAGTGCAGGTTTATAATTAGACCCAATAAATCTAACAAAGCGCATTTATTTTGTTGTTGTTAAATAATGCTCATGAATTTAGACTTGTCATTTGGGAGAACATTAGGAATAATTTGTATCAATAAAGGCTTTTCATTTAAAAAAAATTATCTATTTCTATGTATATCAGTCACCAGAGATTTGCTTTGCATTAACAGGTTTGAAATTATGACACTTTCCAAGCTCTTTATGAACTTGTATGTGTTTACAGTAACTCTTTTCAAATAAAAATACAAGTTTGAAAAGTCCTCGTAAGGTTACTTGGCTACTGTTTTAAACCTTAGAACTCGATCTAAAATTTATAATGCGATCCATTTTAAATAATTTCTCCATTCATTCTCTTTTAAATCAGTAGTTTGTAGTGTAACACATTCCATTTTAGTCTGAGTAACCCACATTTCTCTAACTCTTACTCACCCATCAATACTAATGGGCTTATAGAAAGTCAGTGTCAACTGGAATTTTGTGTATCATTTAAATGGCCTTCAAAGTATGTCTGGAACTTAGCTGTGGGCATCTCACTCATGTCGTCAATAAGTTAATCACTATTGAGTATAGGTATTTCTCAATGTGGCAGAAATCTGGAGACACAGGCACATCAAGTAAGGAGAAGATGCATCCTTTCTTTTTGGCATGTTGTGTCAAATATTAGCCAAGTTGTGTTGTTTATGTTCCCACAACTTACAGTTTTTAGTGAAATAGCTCTTTTAAATCAAACTCACCATTTTTCTACATTCTGTAGAAATTATTTGTCAAAAACGGGCTAGCATACAAAACATGCCTGAGTAAAAGATCTAGTCTTATGTTCAGAAACCGTTGTCACTCTGGTGAATTCTTTTTCTGGGTAGTTTGTCTCATTGATTTCCGATTTCCTTAAGAAAGAAACCTTTGATCTTGCCAGTAAACGAGATATTTGATGATGCAGGTAAACCTGAGATTACCTCATCAGTGTACCAGACATGTTTGAATTCCAGTTTGGGCTCAACCTGTGACTTTCACTAAAAGCCTACTATATCTTGGCCACTGTATCAAACCCTGACAGTTCAGAAATATGTGATGTAGCTACTTTCCATAAGTAGCTCATAATCCAGCTGTAGATATAGTCATGCATATAATTTCAACACAGTGTGAAAATCACTATAACGATACTGTGTGCTGTGTAGGCACAGAGTATAACTATTATATAACCATAATAATAAACAAAAAAGATAAAGCCAAACCCCACAGTTTTAGTGGTAAGGACAGATTTTAATCAGTAATACCTTTGTAATTGGGAAAAGCCCAGTATGAACTGAACCTTGTACAGAGGTAATGGAGAATGTTAAAGGAAAATTGGGGTAATAGGGAGGCTGGGTGAGTGAGGGCTCAGTAGTCAGAAAAGTGAAATCCACCTGTTTGCTAACTGTCCCTTATTGAAATTAGGCATCTCCTCTCTCACAGAGGCTGGAAGACAGAGACTCTCTTCAAATGTTGACTGGAACAAGTGGCAAATTATTTTGGCAGCCCTGAGTTCCCTTTGGGAGGCATATTTTCAGGGAGGATAGGGTCACCCTAAGGATGTGGGCTTGAGCTGTTAGAGACTATGCTAGTGTTTTATTCAAGTCTTTAGAGGCCAATGTTGAGGCCTTGTCAAAAAGAAGGACCCAGAGGACCCTGACTAGAGCTTGGTCAAGGAGAGAATCTTTGTCAATAGAACTAATGACTAACTTTCCCATAATCATCTAATTTGCATGTTTAATGGCTTTTTTTGCACTGTTTTGCCTAACATGTGATTTTCTTCATTGAGGAGTCCCATAAAGACTTAAATAATATTGAAGGACCAATTTCTTTCAATTTCTTTAAAAGGAGATATAATTAAACTAAATTATGCAACAACAGTAAATATGGGCATGTACACAGATATACAGTATGTAGTGGATTGAATAGTGCCCTGTCCCCCAAAGCCATGCCTATCTAGAACCCCAAAATATGACTTTAATTGGAAATAGCGTCTTTGCAGATGTATTAAATTGAGATGAAGTCATAGTCAATCAGGGTGGGCCTTAGATCCAAAATGATGATGTCTTTATAAGAAGAGGAGACACAGACATACAAGGAAGCATGATATGTGGTTATAATAGCAGAAATTGAAGTGATGTATCTACAAGTCAAGGAGGTACCCAAGAGCAAACACCAGGAGCTAAGAGGGGAAAGGAAAAGATGCCTTCCGAGAGCCCTCTGAGGAAGCATGACTCTGCACACATCTAGATTTCAAACTTCCAGCCTCCAGAAACATGACAGTACAAATGTCTGTTGCTTTAAGCCCCTAATTAATTGCACTTTGTTACAGCAGCCCTAGGAAGCCAACACATAGTATTATGTGTATATGAGACCAAGAATGCCAGGATGAGAAGGACAGGAACTTCTGTACAAACAGTGCATTCTGTTTGGTGAGGATCAGCAGGAAATGGCTGGGACTGGGGTAAAGGAGGGGAATTCACATTGTATATTTTCAACACTTCTCTGTGATGGGATTATGTTGGTAGTTCATCCTTTCAGCCTTGTGTTTTCAGCAATTTGCAAATGCGTCATTTACAGAAAAAAAGTACCAATGATGAACATTGACAAAGTTTAAAGCTTCCTCAGAGGAAGGCTGAGGAAATTGGCATATGTATTAGCAGAGTAAATATCATCATACTAGGTTAGGGTGCCTTGGCTTACTTTGTTATACTTGAGAAGAACAGACTAGGATGTATCATGATTATATGAAACTGATGGGAAGCTTTAACTTCTTTATTTTATGTTTTGAAATCTTGTTAATGTGGGTTTTATATTAAAGTGAGTCCTCTTATATAGGCACAAATCTGACTATATATATAATAAGAGGAAAAATGCCAGCATTTACTATCATTTCTGTAACTTTTGTTTGGTATCTCACCTACTGTCAAAAAGAAATAAGAAAATAAATATAGGTTTCTTTAGTAAATCTTAGAGTAAATTTCCGATTAAGATATATTTCCATGAGAATTCCACTTTGATGAGTACCACATCAATTAAATATGAAATTAAGTACATATGCCAACAAAACCATTTCTAGAATAATTGGAAATTTATATGTTGTGAAGAAAACCTGTATGTTTGAGCAAATAAAGTACTTTCCTGGAAATCAGGAATCCTATGTTAGGAGTTGCCTGTTAGTAAAGTTTCTTAGTCTCAATATTTCCATTTGTAATTCAATAGCTTTTTCTCCAAATACTTTTTCAGTTACTTTGAAGATACATGAATAAACATCTGAAGCATTTAAGTTCCAGAGGAAAAAAAACATAAGCAATAATATGCTCCATTAAGGCAGGAATTATCCATTTTGTTTTATCCCTACCACCTTGAAAAATATTTTGCATGGAGTATAACTCAAATTTCTGTTGATAAAAGAACGGATGGATCAATAATGCATGATTTAACTTCCTCTAGAAATAATTATCTTTTTTTCAAGGGTGCTAGGGAAATTGTGTAAATTTACAGTGACCCAGATATTCAAACATAAATGAAATTCTGCATAATACCATTCAGGTAAGATCATGTTTTAAGAAAATGGAATTTTAAACTGATTTACCTATATATTGCATTTTACAAGTGTTTCTTATTTAACCCATTAATTTATCTTCATAGATAAAATGAAGACCAATTATTATAGTTTGCAAATCTCCAATTGTCCCCATTAATTATTAAAAGTATGCTATTCTTCAGAGGCATAATTACACTGACATAATCTTTCAGGGTTCAAACTTACTTGTACAGTGAGTTACAATTTTTCAGCCATTTAACTTACAACTTCTCAGGCTTTTACATGCCTATTTCACTGAAAATTACTCTCTCTTTATTCTATTTTATTGCTCTTAGAGTTTGACTGTATTTTACTACAAATCATTAAGAATTCTGACATATTCATGAGACCTATGGTGGTGGTTTAAATAGTATTTTATAGATTCATAGATTCATGTAAGTGCATGTGGAGAAAACTCATTTTTAACCATTTTTCCTCATATGTGCATTTATATAAAGGTGTATGTTTATAATGAAGTCTCATTGATCACTGGCTTTTAAAAAGAAAGCAAATATGACATTTTCACATAATTCCAAATTTTATGAGGAGTTGCATACTTTTTTGTGTTAAGTACAAGGTAAAATTAGACAATAAATTTTATCTTTAACATAATTATAATGTGTAATACAAAAACTGCAGAGCTTAGAATTTCTGCCACTGCAATAATGACAAGTTCAAAGATAATTAGATAACTTACTTTCTAATGGTTTCTAGTTAGAGCTGCAGTGAGCTGTTCATGAGAGATTAAATATCAAATACAAATAAGATTCTAATCCTGAATTTTGAAGAAAAATAATCATTCAAGAAATACCTGCTATATTTATAGCAAATGGACACCTCAAATCAAAGACAGCTGTATTTTTTTTTTTATTATTTCCCTTTTGATTGAGGGGAAAAGTATTGGCGTATTCACAATATCTAGTAAGAAAGTATTGGAACTGTCAACAGGAAGACTAGGAATCAGGAATGCTTCTTGTTGCTATTGTCAGTTAACATTTATTAAGGCCTAAGTGCCATAGAGAACACATAATTAGGCTTGGTTTCTGACCAGGATATTAACAATGTATGTTAAAGAAAAAATGTCTAGGCACTAAAACAATTTATTCTCCTCATCTTTGGTAACCTTAAGGCACTAAATTAGATTCCTTATGAGAAACAAATCTTGTTGAAAGGTTTTAAAGAGACCTGAGGGCTTGAGAATCAGACTTCATAGAATGATCTTAGTCTTCCCTGTCAAGAGTCATTAAAACTAAATTATTGCATTGTCTAGATTAATGTTGATTCTATTTTAATTACAAGGTATATATGTATATGTGTACAGTGCATGCATACATATATACCTTGTAATTTATATGCATATATATCTTGTAATAAAAAATATATATCCTGTAAAAATATATATAATATGCACTATAAAGTGTATATATTATATAGTATATATATATAAAGTGTATATATATGTTTATATATGTGTGTGTGTATATGTGATGTGTACATATATATACTTAATGGTTAGTCTTCTTAAAAAGTTTAAGCAATTCCTTGGATATTTGTCAGTCATTATATCTGCCTTTGCATTCAAATGTTGATAAATAACTAATATTTATTAGCTATTGACTGTGGACCACCTTATATTTCTCCAGTATAGCCAAATGCAATAGAAAGTAGGGTTAACAATGGAGTTGGCAATGGTTTAAAAAGAAAGGGCATTTTCTTGCCATAGGAAGAGTAGCTATTTGGACATAGGGCAAGACAATAACTCAAAAAGATATTTTTAAAAATAAAAACTATATATTTGTATATGTAATATTCCATACTTATGTGCTATGGTCTGAATGTTTGTGTCCTTCTGAAATTCATATGTGGAATACCCAAGGTGATGGTATTACGAGTTTGGGGCCTTTGAAAAGTGGTTAGGTCATAAGGGTAGAGTCTTCATGAATGGGATTAATGCCTTATAAGAGTCCTGAGGGATCTTATTCATCCTTCCACCATGTGAAGATACAGCTAGAAGGTAACATCTATGAAGAAGTGGGCCCTGCCCTGACTAGTTATCACTGATGTTTTGATTTTGGATTTCCCAGTCTCCAGAACTGTGAAAAATACATTTCTATGTTTTATAAGTTACCAGTCTAAGTTGTTGTAGCAGCTTGAATGGACTAAAACACTATCTAATTTTGAAACTACAAGATTATGAAGTCAAAATTAATTCACAGGGGATTCTAATGGCACGTTTGTTTTTAACCTACTATGACTGTCAAGGTATGTGTGTGTGTGTGTGTGTGTGTGAGCACGTGTGTGTGTATATATATTTTCTAAATATGTATATATAATTCTATACTAAATGTATTACAATATTATTAAGATATTAATATAGTATATATTTATATTATATAACTTTATGGGAGAATATTGTATTATAAATATATATCTAACTCTTAATTTTTCCTAGCTTGAAATTTTACCTAATATATTTGACATTCTTTATCACAGATGATAATGTATTGATGCTAGATAACAGTTTTAATTACTTTTTACTTTAGAATTAGTAGCATAAATCTCAATAGTAATAGAGTAACAGAAATACTTTAAAGTCAATTAAATGAAACAAGTTTTGGACACTTCAATAATAATGGTTTCCTGTCTGTAATTAGACTTCATTTGTTTTTTCTACTAAATCAAAATTCACCTAAAAATTCTTGAAAAGAATTGATATTTTTTATTAAGCTCAATTTGGACAAACTGGAACAACTACCTGTAATGGGAATGATTGAGTGGGATTTTAGATACAAATGCTAATAACATGATCTATACTTCATTTAACAATGAAGTTTGGAGTGGAAATGCATTTAGAAAACCCATATCAGGAAGACCCATCTGTTATTAGAGAAAGTAAAAAAAAAAAATGAGTGAAACAGTTAAATAGCCAAGTTAGTACAATAAGGAGAATTCTTAAAATAATTAAACATGCTATAAAAAGAAATTTCTCTCCAAAAAGGGGAAAATATCTTTTTTGCAGTGTTTTTTTAATATCAATGTGGATTAGAGAGGAAAATATTAGATACAACTTGAGAATATGTTGAAGACCAGATTATCAGTATGACACACAACTTCAGTCCAGAATTGCATGGTTTGTCTTACTTTCTAGAAATTAAGAGAATTAATGCTCATTGAGAACTTACTATTTTCCCGATGTGTGCCATACAAATGACTTTGAGGTTACTATGGTGGTCATCTTTTTAAACATGCATTTGTAACTGGTACTAATGTCATATCTAAATAATTATCAGATCTCCTTTGCTTTAGACAGAAGACTGGGGGCTTCCTAGGGAAGGAAATGAAGGAACAGAATAAAAACATAAAAGGCACACTTAGAAAAATTTTGAGTTGAAATGTCACAGGTTAACTGGCTATAAATCTAGTTTCTCTGTCAGTGAGGAAGATTTCATTTAAATATCTAAGTATTATTTTTAGTAGGTTACTAAAAGATGAGGGATGCCTTGTGAACAATGTTAATTTCTTAATACAGCATTATAAATATTTTATTCATTGTTTTATCGTTGTTGAAATTATGTAAATTTTTTATTCTTACCATATTGGAAGGTATTGAAATGTACAAGAATTTTGTACTAGGTACCATAATATTTCCCCACAATATGGATTCTCATAGATGGAGTTCCAGAAATAAGAACATTGTAAAATAAAGTCCACCTGTTTTATAAATGGAGAGCAAAGGGAGAAGACAGGGAAGAATAAAGAGTAAAGGAGATTTGGAAACAAAAGAAACAACCTGATGCTTTAATCTACATGAGTCCATTTATAGATACTACATAAATCAAAGCAAATAGTGTACGTTTGGGGCTTCCTAATGGGATAAGCAGATTCTGGGTTATTATCAGAATATGGGTTTGGGGTTCCCTTTTATGAGTCTATTAGCTTAGTTTGCTCTTTATATTGTTAAAAGCAGAGTCAAAAAGGCAGTTGACTTTGTGATGATTTCAACTTTTAGAAATGCCCTCATGTTAAAATTTTTGTTCTGATACATAATATGTTACCATTGGTAAATTATTTTCTCTATATAAAATATATTATTAATCTGTAAAATGGGGACAGACTACTTAATGCTTTTAAGAGACTTATGTAAGTGCCTATAAAGTGTTTAGCATAGTTCCCAGAGAAAACTAATTAAATATTATTTATTGTGATTAAGTCACATAACCAACTGTTCCATTCCGTATAATTTATATCTATAATCAGACTTAATTTGTATAACAACAAGTTTTACAGGCCTCTTCATTTTAGATATTCCAAGGTCTATGCTAGCTTTATGAGCAATTTAAATACAATTTGCTTCTCTGTCCAAATAACAGATTTGATTTTTCCTCTTCTTTTTCAAATAATACATTTAAATGAATGTTTATATTAGCATTAATAAGCTTAACTTGATATACTAGAGAAAAGAAGATTGACAACAAAAATTATTTTCCTGCAATATTAATAACAAATGACTTTAAAGATTTTCCAAACATATAACCTGTTAGGATTTTATTTTAACTCAAATAAGAAGTTATGTTACTTGTGCCTTCCTGTTTCTTCTTAAAATGAAGCATCAGGGAATTTTTATTACAGTTCAGTTTTACCAGAGCCATAGAAAAATGACACTTTAGAGGTTGGGTTATGTAGAGCTGTGGGTCCATACATGCTTAATCAAAACAAATGACTGGGCAAGGTGACTCACCCACTGTACTCCTAGCACTTTGGGAGGCCAGTGTGGGAGGATTGCTTCAGTACAGAAGTTTGAGGCTACAGTGAGCCTGTTAGCTACGATTGTGCCACTGCACTCCAGTCTGGGTGACAGAGTGAGAGCCTGTCTCTAAATGATTGATTAATTAGTTAAAAATAAACATTTATAAGTTTCTATTAGGCACGTTCCCCACAAAAGAAAATTTGGATTAATATATAATTTGCTAGTTAGTTCCCGCCAAACCATAGTATTGAAAACCATTCTTGAGAGAGAGGAAAAAAAAAGAAAAAACTTTTATGATTCATTTCAGCACACAGATCAATAAAGAGATATAATCTTTATATGAAAGCTGGTGGTTAGCCAGAAAACAAAGCAAACATTCTGGCTAGTTATTATGGAAACTGCTTGAAAATTGCAGATGCTCTAAATTTATTGCTTCTGCTGTTTCTATATCATTTTGCAGTTCACAGCTCAAGAGAAAACACTATTGCTTAATGACAGAGAGTTGCTTTTGGGTTGCATTTCCTTTTGTGAAGCAGAATTAGCATTTTAGAAAATATAAATTATGTTTGTCTCAAACTGGTAACTTTAAAAACATGGGGAAAATATACAACATCAATGTGTAAAGAAAAAATAGTGTGGGAAAAATAATGGGTTTGTAAATAGGTAAATCTTTACAACATAAGATGTCTATTTAAAGACAAAACAATGTATTTTTGTCTGTAAAGTACTTTAGTTTATAAACTGCCTCCAGAACCTCTTCATCTAGATGTCTGTTTCCTCAGGTTATTGATAGTGAAAGCCATCAATGTATTTTAAAAACAAACTCAATTTTATAAGGAACTCATTTCTGAGTACACATTTTAATGTTCACTTGACCTGTGTGATACATGTTTATTCTAACATTTTTAATAGAAATTTCATTAGCAATGTCATGTGTACTTTTCCTCAAAAACATTTTTCCTTTTTTATTTTACTCAATTTTGCAATGTCAGTTTTCTCCAAGAGAAATGTAAGTCAATTTTTTATTGCACAGTTTTTTAAAAATTCAAATTATAATGAAAATTAGAATTATCTGCAAGACTACCACAATAGTTAGTGCTTTGTCACCATAATTTCAGAGAATATTAATAATCTACAGAAGAGGTTGGCAAACTCTTACTGTACAGGTCAGATAATAAATATTTTAGACTTTTTGTGCCATATGGTCTGTCTCAACTACTCAATTCTGCTGCAGTAGAGCAAAAACATTCAGAGATAATAGGTAATGACAGGTATAGTTCTGTTCCAATGAACTTTTATCTTTAAAAACAAGCCATAATTTTGTTTAATCTGTAAAATAAAGTTCTTATCCTAGCTATCAGAACCTGCATTATTAATATTCTTAGTATCTACTTCAAACAACCTTTCTATGTATGGGTAGTCACAAGTATATAAAACAGATAAATGCCATTTATTTTTGTTGCCCTTGCTTTAAGATGTGCCTGCTTGGATTGTCCTCTGATTTATGAGAGCACTGGGAGATTCATGGCCTACTGTAGCAAAATGAGACCCTCACTTTCCTCACTTTCATGTTCTTTTGCAGCTAAAACACTAGTATTTTACGTTAGGTATATCTGTAAATGAAATTGAATATAAAATTTGAAAGCTAAAGACTTAGGGTTCAAACAGAATCCATTCTGGCTGAGAATGGCAGCAAAGGCCACAGGTAGAACACTGAGTTTCCAGGTACCCAAGTTATTGAAGTACAACAGTTGCTTGCAGAGACCAGGGCTGTCACAGTCAGCAGTATAATCTGAGCTATGCATTGTTAAGTGATGTAAGCATCAATATGTTGATCAGACTGGTTGTATGGCACATCTTTGCTAGTTTCCATCTACTTTCCAAATCTCACATTATAATTTTCCTTGAAAATATTACATTGGTTAGCTAAAAACAAGGGTGGTAAAACTCTAACCAACAGAAATTTGTCTCTGGAATCTCAGGGCTTTCAAAATTATAATTGGTTAAATTATGACTTATTGTGACCTAAAATGAAATGACCACCCAAGACAAATCTTAGCAAAAACTTGTGGCTGGGCCACAGAACAAAATGAACATATGAATAACTCAGCATCTGTGTGGTGGGGTGGTTACTGGTAACTGCACTGTACAATCTGAAAGAAAGAATGAAAACTTGTAAGTTTCTAATTTCAAATGTTCATTCCATGGCGTATACTTTTTCTTATTATAATAGATATTCTCTTTTAAACAAAGCCAGAGAACCACCATAGTCAAAACAAAAACAAAGTTTGATTCTGTAAGATTACAAGTTACAATATTAGTCAAATTTGCAATCTCATCCAGTATCTTATATGAAATTTATGGCATTAATGGAGAATGGATGGGACCCTGTATTATTCTGTTTTCATGCTACTGATAAAGACATACCTGAGACTGAGCAATTTACAAAAGAAGGAGGTTTAATTGGACTTATAGTTCCACATGGCTGGGGAAGCCTCACAATCATGGTGGAAGGCAAGGAGGAGCAAGTCACGTCTTGTGGATGGCGGCAGGCAAAAAATGAGAGAGAGAGAGAGAGTTTGTGCAGGATAACACCTCTTTTTAAAGCCATCAGATCTTATGAGACTTATTCACTATTACGAGAACAGCATGAGAAAGACTTGCCCCATGATTCAATTACCTCCCACCAGGTACCTCCCACAACACATGGGAATTCAAGATGAGATTTGAAAGGGGACAAAGCCAAAGCATATCATTCCGCCCCAGTCCCTTCCAAATCTCATGTTCCTTTCACATTTCAAAATCAATCATGCCTTCCCAATGGTCTCCCAAAGTCTTACTTTATTTCAGCATTAATTCCACAGTCCACAGTCTAAAGTCTAATCCAAGTCAGGGCAAGTCCCTTCTGCCTATGAGCCTGTAAAATTAAAAGCAAGGTAGTTACTTTTTTGATACAATGGGGCTACAGGCATTAGGTAAATACAGCCATTCCAAATGGGAGAAATTGGCGAAAACAAAGGGGCTACAGGTCCCATGCAAGTCCAAAATCAAATCTTAAAGCTCCAATATGATCTCCTTTGATTCCGTGTCTCACATCCAGGCCACGCTGAATTAAACTGAAATAGTTACTAGAATGAGCACCACATATTTAATCAGTAATAGATGAAATTAACTTGTCTTAAATTATATAGTTTTAGAAATTATAATGGTGTGAATATTGATTGATTCATATTATTATATTGATTTAATGTCTTCTATGAAATTCATAGAGCAATAACATTTTTATTATTTTAAAGTTAATAGAAACCCGTTTAATCTAGAAAAACAATTTTTAAGATATATTTATCTGGCTATGTTTGACATTAATGAATTACTGCTTTAGGCATTTTCTTTAAGAGCTACTGGAAGTGCCCTTTTTCTAGTGTCAAAAAATATCAATGTGCTCATTTGAATGTTATTAAATGTGTTTTAAGTATATACTTGATTAATGGTTTCAAATAGTAAGAAATGATTTTATAATGAATAGTCTTGCAAGAAATACATCAACAATCAAGTTAAGAATTTCTAAATTTAATTTTTTACAAATTGTTTTTTAAACACTTCTTGTTTGATTCTCCTTTCGCATTAACTTGTACAAAGCTCTTTGCTAAACTTGTAAGGAGACCATCGGTTTGATAGGAGCAGCATTGCATCATGGGCAAAAACATTAAATCTGGAGGCACACTGTCTAGTATTAAACCCCAGCTCCAAACTTACTCAACTCTCTGCTATGTCTATATTTAACTTCCTCATAGTATTGCTGTCATAAATAAATAATGCATTACATGTGCTTACAAAAATACTCAGTGCATATCAAAGAATATGTATGTACTAGCTAAATCTTAATTTTGATAAGAAAGATGTTTGAAATACAGATATGCTTGAGAAATAAAGGCATTAAAGTTTACCTTCAGAAATACTAAAGGCTTGACTGATACCAAAATACTTGAATGATTCTTGTGATATATAGAAAGATCTAGATTAGAGTCAGAATACCTAAATTCTAATAACCCTATTATTTATATGTTATATGATTTTAATAAATCATATCTCTTCTTTACTCTAAAACAAACGCAAGCATGTTGAGCCTAAATCATAGGATTGAAAAAATTTAATGGAATAATTTAAACAAGTTGTTTTAGAAATTCATACTCATTCACCCACAAAGTGAGAGACCAGACTTCAGTTTCTGCAAGGAGATTCTGGAACCTAGGGCTGGATATGAGAGTGAGTGGGCCTACCTTATGGTTAGCCTTAGGACAAAAAGTCCAATCAGATGTCAGGATAAGCTGAAGCCACATATACAGGACAGGCAGGTGGAGAAAAAGGACATGATTACAAAAGATGGGTCTGCAAAGGGCAGGCAAGGTGAAACATACAGGTTTCAATAAGTAGGAGAGCCTGAAAAAGAGAAGACTTTTAAAAGTCCATGAATAGAGAGAGAATGCTTAATGTACTAAAAGAGTCAGCCAGCACACTCTAAAGCACCCTCTAAGTGTAAGTCTTAGGCATTAAATAGTGTCTCCCACCCAAAGATGTCCAAGGTAGACATTAATTGTTCTGTTTAGAGTTTTAGATGAAGTAACTACTGTTCCTTCACATTGATTCCCTCCTACAAAAGACAATATTTAGCAGTAAAAAGAGGATAAAATACTTTTCTGATAGGAAGATTTCTTTAACCGTAAGTTGTGATTCCATGTTCTTTTTTGCCAACTCCTCCTTTAGGCACTTACGTTGTAGTAGAAGCAGAAGCAGCATTTGACGCTGGGGTTTTCAGCTGATTCGGGGTGATTTTTTTCACAATAGTGGCACTATCAAAATCTTACGAGATTCATCATACTTTCAGTCGGTGGCTTTCTTCAGTTACCTATTACTGATACTGATGTTCTGTTTTTCTCATTTAGGCTAGGTTGCATTTACATTATTTTTTCTAGCAGGATCTGTCTTTCCACATCAGAGCTTGAGGGAGATATTTTCCAAATATAATACACGTATGTACATATATGTACATATATGTGTGCACACACACATACACACAGACAGTTCCTGACTTACAGTAGTTCAACTTAGTAATTTTTTGACCTTACAATGGTGACAAAGTGATATTCATTCAGTACAGTGGGCTTATGTTGAAATAAAGCTGTCCTATTGTAAGTAATCCAGGTACAATATTTTCAATTTAGGATGGGTTTATCGAGATGATAACTCTATCATAAATCGAGGAACTTCTGTATATATAACCCTTCTTTTCATGAAATTTCATGTTGACCCTCTTCTGTTGAGAGGTGAAAGGCACTATTTTTAGTTCTTACAATGAGTAGACTTTGTAACTACCTTGACCAATATATTGTGGTGAAAGTGATGGTATGTGATTTCTGAGGCTTCTATCTGCCTCTTTCTTGGACAAGTGTTTGTGGAGTCCTGAATTGGCATGTAGGAAATCGGGCTCTACTGAAACCACCATGCTGGAGAGACCACAGAAAGAGGCAAGCAGATATAGAGAGAGCTGGCTGAGGAAATTCAGGTGTTCTATCCTCCAGGTGTTCTCACATAGTCTCAGCATGTCTTCAGAGTATTCCAGCCCTATTCTCCCAGCCACCTTAGGTGATTCTGAGTACAGCAGAGATGAACGACTACATGCAAAATAAATGTTGTTTGAAGTCACTAAGTTATTGGCTTTATTATACAGCCCTAGTAACTGAGTTGGTGCTCTTTAGAGATTGATTGGTAGTATTGCAAGAAGTCCTGTATGTGTGGCAAAATAATACCAAATTTTTCACTCCAGTTTAACCATCTCTTATGAATCACTGAGGTAAGAGACCTTACTACTAAAGATTCTTCAGCTGAAGTTCATATTTACATGTGGCAATATTTATTTATCTTACATCTGAACATCTGCTTTCTCCTTTTTATGAATATTGTATGGAGAAGTATCAAACATGTATGTTTAAATTCTTCATTTATGTTTTTTACAAACTAGTAGAAATTTTCAAATTTATTAGAATGTGTTTAACAGTAGCACTAATATATAAAATACTTTTGTTTAAATCATTTGAACCTGAGCATGAGGAAAGTTTATCCAGCTGTTATAGAAAACATTAACATAACTAAAATAATAGCATGTATCTCATGAGATAATGCATTTGTTTTGATATGCATTTTTTTCTGGATTAGGTCAGATTGGAATTTATCAATTTTCTTTTTCCTACCTTAGTATATAGTCCAACTATATGGTTTAAAAAAATTGCAAACTAAAACCCGAAATTAATATAACATAATTCAGTCAGCAATATAAATGTCACTTTTATTAAACAGTAAGCTGTTCAAATTGAGCTCCAACTTATATGCTAAATAGGACATTTTATTTTATGGGTACTTCCATGGTTATATTAAAACTTATTTATGTAAATCTCTAAGATATATTTGTAGATTTTATTAACACTACCTTTTAAATGATAAAATATCAACTTTTTTATGCTTTGAATAATTGGCCAAATTGAATGGAGAGCTCAAGTTAGATGATTTATGGAAATATAATTTTATACAGTTTCCTCCAGAGTTAATTTTCCTTTGGTCAGTTATGCATTACTAACTGAAACTTGGTGAAGCAACTTCAGATATACTGTACCTCAATATCTGGACATAGGTACATTTCTTTGGAGGAATAATCCAGCAAAACTTGAACAGGATCATACTGCAAACAACAGAGAAAGTCAATTCTTACCCTTATTTAAAGTATGATGAATCTGGAATATTGTGTTGGTTCTTAAAGTTTGACTACAAGAAAAATGTAAAGTAAAATTAAACAGAACTTATGATTAAAATTAAAAAAAGAATTTTCAAAGATATATTATTTGGTTACAATGTCAGAAAAAATTATATGTGCTATGGTTTGTTGATGCAATGGTAGAAACACTATAGTATAGTATTTCTTATACTCATAAAATATAACTGTGTCTATTTATTATGTACCAATCTAATCTATCATCTGTCTCTATTATTTAATCATCTATGTATGTATGTATGTATGCATGCATCAATCTTTGTATATTTAACATTCAAAAGAGAAATAACAATAAATAGACTTGTATAGAATGCTTTTCAATTTCTGCACTATCTCGATTTCTCATTAAACTAAAGTCAAAATTGATGAAGTATGTATTGTAAGTATTAAACAGAGAAGATTAAAATTCAAAGGAATTTAATGGCTTTGTCAAAGCTATACGTTGGCTGAATGCAAAATCTTGTATTGAACAAATGACTTCATTCATTACTCATTAATTAATTAAACACATACTGAGTATGATCCTGGAAGAAAAATTTGAAATATACATGGTCAAAATAGATTAGTATTTAGAATATATTAAGAAATTATTTAAATCAATAAGAAAAGTTTAAATAGCTCAAGAAAAATGGCATAAATAGGTATCTAAAAAAGGAGGTAATGGTATAGGCAAGAATATATGAAGAAATGTTTGTCCTTATTAGTGTTCAAAGAAATAAAATTGTAGCCACAATGGAATAATATTGTATACCCATTTTAATGAACAAAAAATGTATCACGAATAACAAATCTGACAATAAGAAATGTTTGGGAAGATGCCAGTCTACCTGGATTCATTCTTTGTGAGAGTGAAAATTACATATTCAATTTGAAAAATTTTCGTAGTACAGTTTAGCATAATCATAATTATGAACTTATACATGTCCAACTTTTTAGCAATTTAACTTCTAGGTATATACTCAAAGGATATGATTTACATGTGTTCCATGAGATATGTGCATGATATTCATAGCTCAGTATTCTTAAAAGCAAATTCTGGGAAAAAAATCAAGCATTCAAAAACAAGATAATGATTTAAAATAATTTTTAAAGGCGTGCATTCACATAATTAAATAATACATCATTCAAAATGAATTAAAATATATGAAATTTTTAGCAAATAAATACTCCTTCAGCAAATATAACACTCCTTTTGTGCATTTTATTGTATTTATTTATTTATTTTTAAATTTATTTATTTTTATTATTATTATACTTTAAGTTTTAGGGTACATGTGCACAATGTGCAGGTTAGTTACTTATGTATACATGTGCCATGCTGCTGTGCTGCACCCATTAACTCGTCATTTAGCATTAGGTATATCTCCTAATGTTATCTCTCCCCCCTCCCCCCACCCCACAGCAGTCCCCAGAGTGTGGTGTTCCCCTTCCTGTGTCTATGTGTTCTCATTGTTCAATTCCCATCTATGAGTGAGAACATGCGGTGTTTGGTTTTTTGGTCCTTGTGATAGTTTACTGAGAATGATGATTTCCAATTTCATCCGTGTCCCTACAAGGGGCATGAACTCATCATTTTTTATGGCTGCATAGTATTCCATAGTGTATATGTGCCACATTTTCTTAATCCAGTCTATCATTGTTGGACATTTGGGTTGGTTCCAAGTCTTTGCTATTGTGAATAATGCTGCAATAAACATACATGTGCATGTGTCTTTATAGCAGCATGATTTATAGTCCTTTGGGTATATACCCAGTAATGGGATGGCTGGGTCAAATGGTATTTCTAGTTCTAGATCCCTGAGGAATCGCCACACTGACTTCCACAATGGTTGAACTAGTTTACAGTCCCACCAACAGTGTAAAAGTGTTCCTATTTCTCCATATCCTCTCCAGCACCTGTTGTTTCCTGACTTTTTAATGATTGCCATTCTAACTGGTGTGAGATGGTGTCTCATTGTGGTTTTGATTTGCATTTCTCTGATGGCCAGTGATGATGAGCATTTTTTCATGTGTCTTTTGGCTGCATAAATGTCTTCTTTTGAGAAGTGTCTGTTCATATCCTTTGCCCACTTTTTGATGGGGTTGTTTGTTTTTTTCTTGTAAATTTGTTTGAGTTCATTGTAGATTCTGGATATTAGCCCTTTGTCAGATGAGTAGGTTGCAAAAATTTTCTCCCATTTTGTAGGTTGCCTGTTCACTCTGAAGGTAGTTTCTTTTGCTGTGCAGAAGCTCTTTAGTTTAATTAGATCCCATTTGTCAATTTTGGCTTTTGTTGCCATTGCTTTTGGTGTTTTAGACATGAAGTCCTTGCCCATGCCTATGTCCTGAATGGTAATGCCTAGGTTTTCTTCTAGGGTTTTTATGGTTTTAGGTCTAACGTTTAAGTCTTTAATCCATCTTGAATTAATTTTTGTATAAGGTGTAAGGAAGAGATCCAGTTTCAGCTTTCTACATATGGCTAGCCAGTTTTCCCAGCACCATTTATTAAATAGGGAATCCTTTCCCCATTGCTTGTTTTTCTCAGGTTTTTCAAAAATCAGAGAGTTGTAGATATGCGGCGTTATTTCTGAGGGCTCTGTTCTGTTCCACTGATCTATATCTCTGTTTTGGTACCAGTACCATGCTGTTTTGGTTACTGTAGCCTTGTAGTATAGTTTGAAGTCAGGTAGCATGATGCCTCCAGCTTTGTTCTTTTGGCTTAGGATTGACTTGGCGATGTGGGCTCTTTTTTGGTTCCATATGAACTTTAAAGTAGTTTTTTCCAATCCAGCAGCACATCAAAAAGCTTATCCACCATGATCAAGTCGGCTTCATCCCTGGGATGCAAGGCTGGTTCAATATATGCAAATCAGTAAATGTAATCCAGCATATAAACAGAACCAAAGACAAAAACCGCATGATTATCTCAATAGATGCAGAAAAGGCCTTTGACAAAATTCAACAACCCTTCATGCTAAAAACTCTCAATAAATTAGGTATTGATGGGTCGTATCTCAAAATAATAAGAGCTATCTATGACAAACTCACAGCCAATATCATACTGAATGGGCAAAAACTGGAAGCATTCCCTTTGAAAACTGGCACAAGACAGGGATGCCCTCTCTCACCACTCCTATTCAACATAGTGTTGTAAATTCTGGCCAGGGCAATCAGGGAGGAGAAGGAAATAAAGGGTATTCAATTAGGAAAAGAGGAAGTCAAGTTGTCCCTGTTTGCAGACGATATGATTGTATATCTAGAAAACCCCATTGTCTCAGCCCAAAATCTCCTTAAGCTGATAAGCAACTTCAGCAACGTCTCAGGATACAAAATCATTGTACAAAAATCACAAGCATTTTATACACCAATAACAGACAGAGAGCCAAATCATGAGTGAACTGCCATTCACAATTGCTTCAAAGAGAATAAAATACTTAGAAATCCAACTTACAAGGGACGTGAAGGACCTCTTCAAGGAGAACTACAAGCCACTGCTCAATGAAATAAAAGAGGATACAAACAAATGGAAGAACATTCCATGCTCATGGGTAGGAAGAATCAATATCGTGAAAATGGCCATACTGCCCAAGGTAATTTATAGATTCAATGCCATCCCCATCAAGCTACCAATGACTTTCTTCACAGAATTGGAAACACTACCTTTTGTTCTTTTTAATACTTTGTTTTTTATTTTTATTAATTGATATGAAGACATAGTGTCTGTTTACTGTATCCTGAAAAATGATCCAGACCTAACTGGAGGAAGTAGAACTTGTATTCCAAACCATAAAAATACAGCTACTAGAAACTGACACCCTTGTTATTCGTTCTAATTCTTTTAAGTCTATCTCAAAGAAATTTCATGTATTCTAAAGAAAATTAATGGCTTCATGTTGGAGGCCAAAAGATTAAGGGTCATGATGAACTGAGTATACCACTGGAGGTTATATAAGTAAGCAACAAGCTGTTTCTCATAAATGTATAATGTTGGCAGACTTGTAACAGGGTTTCTCGTTTGTCTGGTCGGTTTTAGTTTTTTCTGCTCCAGCAGACCTGCCTCGTTCAAGTTCCTATAGGACTCTATCTGTCCCTATCTTTTCTTGTCTGTCTTCTCTGCAAGTTTCTGCTAGTCTTTGCTAGTCTATGTTGACTTGTAATGGGGTTTCTTGTTCGTCTTGTTGGTTTCAGTTTTTTCTGGGCTTTAGTTTTTTCTGTTCCAGCAGAGCTTCATCGTTCAAATTCCTATAGGACCCTATCTGTCCCTACCTTTCCCTGTCTGTCCCTATGGTCCCTGTTAGTTCCTGCAAGTTCCTGCAAGTCCCTGTCTTTCTCTACCTATCTCTATTTGTCTCTGTTTATTTATTTATATTTATCCATACTTATCTCTATTTGTCCCTGCAGGCCTCTTCAGGTCCATTCAGGTCTCTTCAGGTCTGTGTTTCTCCCTGATTGTCCCTGTTTGGGTGCCACTTGTGACAGACTGCCATGGTTACTACTTGAGACCGTCATTACAGCAGTTACTACTGTTATTGCTTGAGACTGTCATTATAGCAGTTACTACTATTACTGCTTGAGACCATCATTACAAGACTGAACAAACAGATGAACGTAGAAATGAAAACTTAAGACAAAAGAAACTGTTTTAAAGGAAGGGGGGAAGGGGAAGAAGAGAGCTCCCTACTTCTAGTGAGCGAAGGCAGCTGCCGAGCTTCCACAAGCCTCGGTATTTATTGGGTAACAAGAGCAGGGAGGAGGAGGTAATGATTGGTCAGCTGGTTAATTGATCACAGGTTCATATTATTACCAACAGGCTTCAGATGCACCTAATCACAAGAAACATTGCACTTGGGGTGGGGTGTGACTGCCCTCAGCATTCCTTCTGGGTGGCAGATGCAGTTTGTCAGTCTGCCAACATTCTGCATTTATAAGAAACAGTTTGCTGCTTATTCATATAGCCTCCAGTGGTATGCTGAGTTGATCACGACCCTCAATCTTTTGGCCTCCAACAGCTTCACATATATCTATTTCCCAAGATAACAACTCTTAAGAATTTCTCCCAGTTTTTTTTCTCTTTTTGTATATTAGATTTTTTTAGAAGTAACTTAGAGAAAATTCCAGTTATCATGTTATTTCACCTTTTTATAGTCCATTTCACACAGTCTTATATAATCACAATGCCTTATAATTATTTACAAAGCTAATAATAATGCTTTGGTATAAATTAACATTTAATATATTTTTAAATTTTTATACTTGTCTGAAAATGTATTTTATACTTTTATTTTTTCCAGTCAGCATCCAAATTCTGCAGATTATATTTGGTTGTAATGTTATTTAACAGACCTTCAATCTAGAAAAACCTCCTTTGTTTTTATGCAAAAGTATAGGTGTAACAGAAGGAAAAAAGTATAAGATCATTTCAGTAGAGGCAGAACAACTTATGCAAGATAACTCAACAAAACTTCATAATAAAAACTGTAAGCAAATGACAGAAGAAAATTTATCAAAGCGATAAGGTATCTACGAGAAATCTACTGCAACATCAGAACAAATGTAGGGTGTATAAACATGAACAACAAAATAATTTTTACTCTACTTTTATTTAATATAATTCTGAAGAACTTAGCCTGTACAATAAACAATAAATTTTTAAAAAGAAAGAAATAATAAAGCTTTGATAAGAAGTAGTAAAACACTATATTTATATGTAGTAAACTGGGGGAAATCCTAGACTTTGAAAATTTAAATAAGCCTACAAAGGATTATTAGAGAACTACTAAGTAAATTTAGCAAGCTACGGAATGAGAAAATAATGTGTGTCTGTTAGAAATAAATAATTGGAAAAAATTAATTTAAAATAATTTAAGCTGACAACTACAAAACACTGCTGAGAAATTAAAATATATCTAAAGAAATGGAGAGAAGTACCATGTTTATGAATCAGATGTTTCAGTACTATTAAGACATCAATTATTTTCAACCAGAACTACAGGTTCAGCACAATCATAATCAAAATACCTGCAAATGACTCTCCTGGTAATGACGAAGTAACTGGCACCCAACTTGCCTACTGTTGAAAACAATTATAACACTGGACAAAATATACGAGGTAGTAATTTTCAAGCATCAAACTGCAAATATCAGAGGACTTTCACCTTGAAAGAAGGGAAATACACAAGGTGAGCCCAACATAGCCTCTCAATCATTCTTTCTTCCTAGTGAAACTGTCACACAATAGGACAGAGAGTGAGAAGCAAGGGGGTGGAGATTCCACCTTGTGGTTTGCCCTCTTTTAAGTCTCTCGTCTTTAATTGATCTTATTGAAATAGCTGGACCTCTTTAATTGATCTTATTGAAAGCAGCAAATGTGATAATGTTGCTTTTGTGATCAGGGTAAAAAGAATGGCTTGACCCAGCTAGCTGACTTTCTCTGTAGCCCTCTTGACTTGCACATTTTGATGAAACAATCTGCCATGTTGGAAAGACCCATAGGCCAAGGATGTGATGGCAGCAGCCCTCTGGCAACAACCAGCAAAAACTGAGACTCTCAGTTCAATAGCCTGAGAGGAAGTGAATCCTGCCAACAACTACATGAGCTTGGACATGAATTTTTCTACAGTTGAGACTTTGGATATCCTCAGCCAAATGACATCTTGATTGCAGTCTATGAGAGACTCTGAATCAGAGGATTCTGCTAAGCTTTTCCTAGGTACCAAACCCACAGAAGCAATAAGAAAATAAATATGTATTGTTTGAAGTTTCATGGTAATTTATATGCAGCAATATATGACTGATACAGCACTCAAGGGCACATGGGATAATCACCAAGATATATCATATTCTGAGCCATAAAAGTAACCTTAAAAAATTAAAATAATAGAAATCACATAAAGTATGTTGTCAGAAGTTAATAGAATTAAACTAGCAATTAATAACAGAAAGATATATAATACATCCCCAAATATTTTGACATTAAACAGTATATAAATCAAAGAGGAAATAGTCAAGGAAACTAAAACATTTTGAACTAAATGAAAATTAATATTTAGTGAATGAAATTTGTGGGATGCACCTAAAGCCATACTAAAAGAGCTGCCAGCTTGTGAAACCAAACCTGCGTTATACCAAATCCAGAGAAAGGTATTTCAAGAAAAAAAAGTCTACTACAAAGTAGTATCCCTCACAAGCACAGATGTAAAAGATCTTTAATAAAGCATTTTCAATATTATATATTGAATCCAATTATATGTAAAAAGAAAAACATGTTTTGTCAAATTATAATTTTCCTACAGCATGCTAGGAATTGAAAACTACAAAATGTTTCTTGAATAATTTAAATAATACATAAATAAATAATATACTGTATTGAAAGGCACTATAAAAATAGTGTCTTTTTCTTTGAGATGGATTGTTCTGCAGATTCAATCCAGTACTGGTTACATTTCTTAAAAGTTTTTTTACTTTAAACTGGAATGAAATGGCTATTAAATGGAATTTTATATGAAAAGGCAAAGGCTTTGAATGGCCAGGGTAATTGAGATAAAAAAGTTTAAAGTTGGATGATTTACTTATACTACTATAGTAGAAAAGTACTATAAAAACATGGTAATGAAAAATTTTTAGCATTGTTGTAAATTAGAAATACAGCTTAATAAAGTATACTAGAGTCTAGAATTTTGCTTTCCAATGTAGTACGCATCAGCCATAGTACGCATCAGCCACTTGTGGTTATTTAAGTTTATATTCAAATTTACCATCATTAAATTCAATTAAAAATTCATTTTCTTATTTGCACTGGCCATATTTCAAGTACTCAATTGCCACATGTGGCTAGTAGCTACATTACTAGACAGCAAAGATACAGATGAAGTCCACTCTCAGAGAAAATTCTGCTGGACAGAGTTTATTTACTAATACATTGACACATGATTATTTAATTTTTGACAAAGTTAACAAAGAAATTCAATAGAGGAAATGAACATCTTTCTAACAAATAAATGGTGCTCAAACAACTGGATATCCATTTGGGGAAAAAATGAATTGACTCCTCACACTGTGAAACAAAAAAATTGAGATAAATCCTAGCCATGAAAGTAAAAGCTAAACATGTTAACCACCTACCACAAAACCACAAGAAATGAAAAAAACAAAAAACACATACAAAAACACCACACACACAAACACAAACATATATGTATATGTATTCCAGGTTCCAGATCTAAATAAATAAATACATATAAATATATATATATATATATGTGTGTGTGTGTGTGTGTGTGTGTGTGTTCCAGGTTCCAAGATAAAAGTCCACTGTGTGTGTGTGTATATATATATATATACACACATATGCATAAATATATACGTGTGTATATATATATATACACATATGCATAAATATATACATGTGTATATATATATCACACATATATACACACATACTTTTATATATATATATTTTGATCTGGTACCTGGTACACACACACATATATGAATGGAAATATATATATATATATATATATATATATATATATATATATATATGCATTCCTAAAATATATGGTGTTCCATGTTCCAAGATAAAAGTCCACTCTGTGTGTGTGTGTGTGTATATATATATACACATGTATATACATACAAATACATATATTTTTTATATACATATGTGTATATATACACACATATATACGTATGCTTTTATATATATGTTTAGATCTGGTACCTGGAATACATACATATATGTGTGTGTGTGTATTTATATATATATATATATACACTGTATGTGCATATATATAATATATATAATTATAGATATATATAGACAGATACCACATATGATCTATAGATATTTACATTGATATTGATTTTTATATATATGATACATATTGAGGACTAGTAAGTAAAGTTGAATGCATAAGCAAATACTATCTATTTGGTGGTTGGAGAGTCTTGTTAGATAGACTTTCCTAAATTGGTCATGTTCTTAGGAAATGAAATTTAAGGAGAGACTTTTATCAAGTCAGGGAATTGCCATGCCAAGATCATGAGGAAAGAGCATTTCAGGAACAGGAATACTAAGTACCAAGGGCATGAAACAGAAAGGAGCTTAATATTCTAAAATATATATTCACACACAGTGGACTTTTATCTTGGAACCTAAACTGTTTCATTGAACACATTTTTAGGTTTATATTTATCTAGGAACCTAAAAACTTGTGGAATTCAACAATTTTTTAAAAAACGCAATAAATATGGGCCACAGACCTGAAATGATCTTTCACAAGGGAGACAAATCACCAACATACACTTGAAAAAATGTTCAACTTCATTAGAATAATCAAGGATAATTTCAATATAAACACACATGATGAGAGGCCACTAGACATCCACTAGAACGGTTAATGGAAAAGCGACAACATTGAATGATATTATCACTTTAGGAAAAGGTTATCAATTTCTTATAAAACTGTATATACTGTGGGCTGGGCGCGGTGGCTCACGCCTGTAATCCCAGCACTTTGGGAAGCAGAGGCGGATGGATCACGAGGTCAGGAGATCGAGATCATCCTGGCTAACACGGTGAAACCCCGTCTCTACTAAAAGTACAAAAAATTAGCTGGGAGTGGTGGCAGACGCCTGTAGTCCCAGCTACTCGGGAGGCTGAGGCAGGAGAATGTCGTGAACCCGGGAGGCGGAGCTTTCAGTGAGCGGAGATTAGGACACTGTAATCCAGCCTGGGCGACAGAGCGAGACTCCGTCTCAAAAAAAAAAAAAAAAAAATTGTATATACTGCTAATAAGCAGGTCTACTTGTATTTTTATAACTGCAATGAAACATTCCTCCACTAAATGACTTTATGCAAAAATAATTGTATCAACTTTACTTTTAATACTAAATAGCTGGAAACAATCCTAAAGACTGTCAATGGAATAAACTGTACACAATTGCACGTTATATTCATTCAGTGGATTATTACTCAGCAATACAATGGAACTAGCTACTGATATACTTACATCATGAATGTACCTCATAGATACTATCCTGAGTGAAGAAAAGCAAACGTAAAAGAGTGTAGCCGTGTTTATGTATGTGAAGTTCTGGCACAGACAAAAATAATTTGTGGTAAGAAACAAATAAAAAATATAGTGGTTATCTTTGGGGAGGTTTTACTGATTAGCAGCACCAGGACACTTTCTGAGTGCTATGAATACTCTTTATCTCAATAAGACTGTGGGCTACATGCATGTATGTATTTTTCAAATATCAGCAGAGTGTTTATTTAAGAATTGTACCTTTTCTTTATGTTATTTTTACCTAAACAAAGAAGATAAACAACTTTTAAATTCCAACTAGTTACAATTTTTAAACCTCTAATATAGGTTGGAAATTCTAAGAATACTTTCTCAGTATTCTAGGTCTGATAGTGACACCTAGGTTTATAATTTTTTGAGAGAGGCGTTATAAACACAGAAAGAAGTTAGAGTAGAATATACCCCAAATTATTATATTGATATCTGCATGAACTCAAGATATTTAACATGGATGATAGAGAGCTGTTAGACACTAGAGATAGAGAGAGAGAAGTAGATAAAGACATTGGATGGGTGTTCCCATACTTTTAGGAAGAAGATTCTGTATAGGGGTTGTGGGTATATTACTAGAAGGCTTTCTCTTATGTTGTTACCTCAAAAGTTTAAAATATGGTTAATCTGAAATAGCAGCCTTCATAGTTTTGTAATCTGCCTTCTCTGGAATCCTTGCTGACAAATAATTGAAATTTTACCTGCACCGAATCTACCCTATTGAATTTGTTTATATGTCACATTTTTCTTTAAAGTGTCTCTGTCCTATTGAACCCTTAGTGGGTCCCTCATTTTATTTCTCCCATCTCCTTCTTCCCATCTCCCTCTCCTTCTCTTTCTCCCTCTTCTCCCTCTCCAATTTCATTGTTAAACTCTGTACAGCTTACCGGAGATTCTCTTGGTGTGAGTATTGGTGGTTGATTTCTCTCACCCTGTGCTTTTAGGATCATCCAAACATTTCTTTATTTTCCCTCCACCACCTTTGTACACCTATTAATCTTGTATGGATCCTGATTTTTAATGTGTTTTGCCTCAAGCACTCTTAATCTAACACTCTCAGGATAACTTGCCACCTAGTTTTGTTGAAGATGTTCTTTGTGATTTTTTCTTTGGCTACTTACAGTCTGTCTGTTTTTATGAGGAGTTTTGGTGTATATTGAGAATTTTACCACAGTTATAAAATGGTACTGACTCTAAATAGGATATTCTAAATTTAAGAAAATTAACCATAACACAGAAATACTCAAAATAGATAGTTACCTCAGGTAAAGGAAAATGGGTAATTAAATGAGGAACACTGTACAAATAGATGTTATTGTCAAATTTTTGGTTTTTATGTTGGCATCTGATGAGTTTTTACTTTCCTAATACAATATTAAAAATAAGAAAATGCAATTATTAATCATTGATGAAACTGTGCTTTAAAAGAAGATTTGCAAATAAGCTTATTTTGTGTATTCAAAGTTGTAAAAAATAATCCTTAAAATGACAACAATTATATTTATTTTTGTAGAGATATTTTATGGTCATTATCCTATATGATTTAGGCTTTGGGAATAGAGTAGTGGATTTACAAATGTTTCTGTCTTTATGGAATTTAAATTTTACTGGGAAAGAGACAGATAAATAATTCAATAAGCATATATGTAATATATATCATACATGGTATATATATTTATCTATGTTTATCAGCATGTTATTGATATCATATATAGATATACATACATAGATAACATATGATATATAGATATTTACATTGATTTTGATTTATATATATATGATACATATTGAGGACTAGTAAGTAAAGTTGAATGTATAAGCAAGTACGATATACTTGGTGTGGAGAGTCATGTTAGATAGACTTTTGTAAATTGGTCATGTTCTTAGGAAATGAAATTTAAGGAGAGACTTTCATCAAGTCAGGGAATTGCCAGGCCAAGATCATGAGGAAAGAGCATTTCAGGAACAGGAATACTAAGTAGTAAGGGCATGAAACAGAAAGGAGCCTTAATATTCTAAAATATTAAGGCACAGAAAGAAATGCAAACTGGAGAGTGGCTGGAGAAAAAGTTAGCGGAAGTAGGCTGTTTCCACATCATGTAAAGCCCTGTATTCCATTTGGATTTTATCTTTAAAGTAAATATTTGAGTTTTATTCTGAAGTAGAAACAAATTGCTTAGCAGGATAGTGATAGGTCTGATTTTCATTTGGAAGATATCACACTGGTTATCTTTTAGACTTATAACTGTAGAGTTAGAAGCAGAGAAAATGATTTGGAAATTACTGTATTTATTAGGCATAGAATAACTGAACTGAAGGTGTTAACAGGAAAGGCAGTGATGAGTAGCTGTATTTGGTAAGTCTTTTTAAGACAGCACTCATAGATCTTGCTTACTGAATATGGTAATGGAAGAATAAATGAAGAAAACAATGACTTAAGCTTTAGGCTTGAGCAAATTGGCTAATAGAATTACCATTTACTGACTTAGAAAACATAGGAAAAGAACAGGTGAAAGGCAATGACAAAAATCACTAATTTAGTTCAGAACATGTTAAATTTGAACCATTTACTAATCAATCAACTAACCCCCATATCAGCTAGGTAGTTGAGTATTAGATTCTATCCTTAAGGGAGAAATCATTGATAGAGATGTTAATTTAAAAGACATTAGTGTACAGATGACATTTTAAGCCACCACTCACTTAGGGAGCAAGCGAAAAGAGAAAAGATCTGATAAATTAGTCCTGGGACATGCCAACATTTGGAAGATAGAAAGAGGAAAATAAGGCAGGAATGGAGAAGAAGAGGGAATAGCAATGAAAAAGAGGGAAAATGGGGAGAATTTGCTGTCCTTCTAGCCAGGATAATTAAAGTATTTCATGAAGGAGTAAGCAACTATTTCAAAATTTAGATTCTCTATGTATGACTTTCAATTTTAGTCTTAAAAAATAAATGTATTTACACATATTCTGCAGCTGTTCCCTTTATTTATGTTTGTTTTTGTGTTTGTGTCTTATTGTCAGTGGACAACAATTTTCTTCTTTGCTTTGGCTATCATTTAATGAAATGATTATACTAACACTTTAGTTGCACTTCGTGCTGTGGAATAGCTAGAAGAAATGGCTTGCCCTGGAATAAAGGATTTAAAAAATTATTGTTTATTGTGCATGGCTGGATTCCACAAATGCATTTGAATGTGGCAACAGTAGAGAGAGAATCATATAAATACATCATCTGAAATAATGTCATCTAGGCAAAGGCATCTGTAGGAACTCAGCTTAGAGTAAATGGGCAAATTGGGAGGGGGGAACATAACATTTGAAATGGGCAATAATTCATCTGCACTTAGTCTTTCTGTGCAGAAAAAGCAATCTATGTTTTGATGTATTTTCAGATACGATGATAGCATGTAAACAAGGAGATCAACAAGACTCAGAGTTCTATTTCTGGAATGGTTATAAATTTTATATTTGACACATAAGAAAATATTGGAGATGAAGCTTGGAGTACTTGGAGAGGAGCTTGTCATCATTATCACAACAAATTTTTATCTATTAATATGAATTTATTAGGTGCTTAATCAATGCTTAATGTTGAGTGAATCATTAATGAAGCATACTTAATGTAATACAGCTACTTCTAGACATAAGTGAGAGACACCATATGTGTACTAGCAGAATTACTAAAGAAGTTACAGATTACAATTGTCAAATATATTTAAAATATTTTCTTTGGTTATCTGGCATAAACTAGAAAATCTGCACACAGCTTAATCAGCTATATACTGAAAACTAGGAAGACAAAAGAGGCACTTGGTAGCAACTTTTAGGTTCAATAATGATATTAACACATTCAAATACGGACCTAAGGACCAGTTTTGAAAGGTGCATAGGATATTAAAACATTTAAGATATTTACTGACACATTACTGTTTTTTATTTTCAGGCTCAGCACATTGGAGGTTTTATTTCTTCTCTAGTAGATTATCAATACTAATGTCTCACACTTTATATTTTATCAGACTTTAACAGAGACAAATAAAACAGGTAAGGTTATTGCCTAAATAATACAGCCTGACTTAATGTCATGTGCATGTTTGGTTTGTATAATTAGCCCTGTTTTCCTAAAATGAAATATTATTTTTCACTTTGTTTTTAACCAATTTACAAGTCATATTGTAAGATTTAGGGTACAGACCAATATGCTATGAAAAAGATTATCCAATATATAGTGATTGAAACAAGCTGGACTGGCATTTGCTTTTATTAGACAGGATAGGATGTGCAAATTGGTTATATTCTGCAATTTCTTGTGCAGAGTTTCCAAAAGTGGTTTTTGCCTTGTCTTTTTCCAGTTTTCAAGGGGAGGGCTTCCAGCTTTTACTCATTCAGTATGACATTGGCTGTGGGTTTGTCATAGATGACATTCATTATTGTGAAGTATGTTTCTTAAATCCCTAGTTTATTAAGAGTTTTTTTAAAAAACATGGAGATGTTAAATTTTATCAAAAGCCTTTTATGCATTTATTGAGATAATCATCTTGTTTTTGTTTTTAGTTTTATGTTATTAATCACATTTATTGATTTGCATATGTTAAGACAACCTTGCATCGCAGGGATAAAGTTTACTTAATTGTGGTGGATTAGGTTTTTGATCTGCTGCTGGATTTGATTTACTAGTATTTTGTTGAGGATTTTTGCATCTATATTCATTATGGATATTTGCTTGAAGTTTTCTTTTTTTGTTATGTCTCTGTCAGGTTTTGGTATCAGAATGATACTGGAAATATTCCATGCTCTTGGATAGGAATCCAAGAGCATGTTAAAATGGCCATACTGCCCAAAGCAATTTACAGATTTAATACTATTTCTATCAAACTACCAATGACGTTTTTCACAGAATTAGAAAAAAAATTATTTTAAAAATCAAGTGGAAAGAGCATGAATAGCCAACACAATCCTAAGCAAAAAGAAGAAAGCTGAAGGCATCATGTTATCAAACTTCAAACTCTACTGTAAGCCTACAGTAACCAAAACAGCATGGTACTGGTACAAAAACTGACATGTAGACACATAGACCAATGGGACAAAATAGAGAGCCCAGAAATAATGTGACACACCTAGAATCATCTGATCTGGGACAAAGTCTACAAAAACAAACAATAAGGAAAGTGGTCCCTATTCAATAAATGGTGCTGGGATAACTGACTAGTCATATGCAGAAGGTTGAAACTGAATCCCTTCCTTATACAATATACAAAAATCAAGTTAGGATGGATTAAAGACTTAAATGCAAAACCTAAAACTATACAAATACTGGAAGATAACCTCCTAGGAAATAGCATTTTGGGCATAGGGCCTGTCAAAGATTTCATGATGCAGATGCCAAAAGCTATTGCAATAAAAATAAAAATTGGCAAATAAGATCTAATTAAATTAGAGAGATCCTGCACAGGAAAAAGTAAAACTATCAACAGAGTAAACAAAGAACCTACAGAATGGGAGAAAATATTCGCAAACTATGCATCAAACAAAGGTCTAATACCCAGAATCTATAAGGAACTTAAATGGATTAATGAGCAAAAAAACAAACAACTCCATTAAAAAGTGGGCAAAGGACGTGAACGGACACTTTTCAAAAGAAGACATACATGCAGCCCACAAGTATATGGAAAAATTCTCAACATCTTTAATTATTAGAGGAATGCAAATCAAAACCATTATGGGATACCATCTCACACCAATCAGAAAGGTTGTTATCAGAAAGTCAAAAAACAACAGTTTGTCAATTTCTCAAAGAGCTAAAAGCAGAATTGCCATTCCACCCAGTAATCCCATTATTGATTATATACCCCAAAGAATGTAAATGGTTCTACCATAAAGACACATGCAAGTGTTTGCTCATCATGGCACTATTCACAATAGCAAACACATGGAGTAAACCTAAATGTCCATCAGTGGTAGATTGGATAAAGAAAATATGGTTCTCATATACCATGGAATACTACACAGCTATAAAAAAGATTGAGATCATTGTCTTTTGCAGCAACATGGATAGAGCTGGGTGCCATTATCCTAAGTGAACTAACACAGAAATAGAAAACCAAATATTGCATGTTCTCACATATAATTGCAAAATAAATATTGAATACATATGAATGCAAAGAAGGGAATAACAGACAATGGGGACTACTTGAAGATGGAGGGTGGGAGGAGAGTGAGGACAAAAAGTACCTATTAGGTGCCATCCATATTACCTGGGTAGTGAAATAATCTCTATACAAAATCCTGGTGACACAATTTATCTATGTAACATACCTGCAAATGTACCCCTGAGGCTAAAATAAAGGTTAAAAAAAAAGACTCAGAAATTAAAAGAATAAAAATTTCATACTCAAATTGTTCAACATTTCTACTTTCATAGTATCTTCTCATCTTAGTATCTTACACCCTGTTTTCCCATTCCCTAGTAATTGTGAGAAAAAGAATGCTGAAAAAGAACTCAACCTCTTATCTATGTGTAAAAATATATAATTTGTTAGCATGGCATGTGAAGCTAGCAAAAATCCATTTATCCATATTTCCCTCTGACAAAAAAGTTTTTATCTTATCTTTATAAATCACATCTTATGTGAACTGAATATATAAGAAACCTTTCCATTTGTGATTTCTTGGTATGATTCTTTGAGTCATGTTGTATTCCTCTGTGATCTATATTTAACATTATAGTAGTTGATTAACTCAGCTGTGTATGGACGTAATAATAAATATACCCTAATATGAGTGTGCTAAATCCTAAATATCACAATGTGTCACTCAATTTAGAATCTTATTTTAGTTAAGGTAATAATCTCAATATAACCTTGCAGCTACTTTTATTTTTTTTGTCTTTTATTTTTTTTCTCCTTTAGAAACATTACACTTCCCAATAAAATCCTCTAAGAATATCTATGGTGTGTAACTGGCTTCTGCCCATTTCTAGAATCATGTCACATAAGTAATAGTAGCATGGAATTTGGTGAAATTAGAAAATTTAGAGAAGGATTTAAATAAATCAAAAAATATTTACTTAATAGTAATCTGAAAGTAAAAATTTGCTACTGTACTTGTCAAATCACTTAATGGCATTGTATTATCTTCAATATGTACCCACACATTCTGTGTATATACATGACAGATAGTCATGATAAGTATTGCTATTATTAATAATCATATTATGTAATCTGATGAGTTTTTTGTTAGGTATAGATCTATCTGTGTCAATGGTCTCTATCTAGATTTTTTTTCACAACTAAAGTTTCCATCTGCTGTAGGAATTACCAGTCTTTTGATGTGATAGCCTTTGTCGGCTTATTAGATAATATGTAATCCTTTTTAAATTTAATTACTCATATTTACTATTTGTTTGCATAAGAGATGCATTAGCCCTTGATTGTTTTCAATTTTGTGGGATCCATATGTTAGACTACATCAAAAGGTGAGAAATGACAATATCACAATTAATTCTTTCTTAAGAGAGGATCTGTTCTCTTATAACATCCATTATACATGAGGATAACCTCTTAACCCTACAAACATCTTCTCCAACCTCTGCCCTTTGAATGTTACAATTTATATGAAAGTTAATTTTAAAACAGAATACTGTATTAGTTTGCTAAGACAGCTATAGCTAAGTACCACAAACTGAATCGCTTAAACAACAGAAATTTATTGTCATACTTCTGGAGGCTAGAAGTCCACAACAAAGGTGTCAGCAGGTCCATGCTCCCTCTGAAGGTGCTAGGGAAAGATCTATTCCTTGGCTTCTGGTAGCATAATTCTAATTTTCACAGTGTTCTTCCTGAGTGTATGTCCATCTCTGTCTCAAATTTCTCCTTTCTATAAGGACATCAGTCATATTAGGTTAGGACTCACCCTATTAACTTTATCATAACATAATTAATTACATCTGCAATTACCCTGTTTCCAAATAAGGTCACATTCTGAGATTTTGGAAATTAGGACTTCAACATACGAGTTTTGGGGGATGCAATTCAACTTGTAACAAATACTACTTTGCTTCATTTATTAACATTTTATAACTAATTTCTAATACATAAGTTCTGATACAAATTTTCCAATGAGGGCCAGTCTAATCTTTGGATTCAGAATAGGTAATCAATTTATTGCTATGATTTGAGTGTTTGTCTCTTTCAAAATTCATGTTGAAATTTAATCGTAATTGTAATTATTAAATAGTAAGAGGTGATTAGGCCATTATAGTTCTACCATCAAAGATGGGATTAATGCCATTATAAAAGAGCAAGTTCAGACACCTCTTGCTCTCTTGCCCTCTTGCCTTCCTTCCTCCATATAATGTAACACAGTAAGGAGACCCTTACCAGAAGCCAGCACTTTGATATTGGACTTAACAGTCTCCAGAACTGTGAGCCAATACATATCTGTTCATTATAAATTACCAAGTCTGTGGTATTCTGTGATCGCATCACAAAACAAAGTTTTTTGTGTGTAGATAGAATTGCCCTTTTTTTGTGTGTAGATAGAAATGAGGTTTTTTTTCTTAACTTTTAAGTTCAAGGGTACACGTGCAGGTTTGTTACACAGGTAAACGTGTCAACTTTTTCAGGTGTGAAAGCTTGCTTCTATCATCGACTGTGGTGGATATTTTTATTTTAAAATTAATACATTATAAAATGCAAATGATCTTGGGAAGAAAATAATGCTCTAAAATTTATCTCAGTGGGAATTAAAATCTTGTATTAATGATGTTAAGAGTTTGAGAATATTTAAAATATTAGACTGGCAGACAGCAAAGATGGCACTGACAAAATGGTGTCACCAAGGGGAAATGGTCTGGACATGGAGAAACTCAGCATCCTAAAAACAAGTTTCTTTTTACAGTATTTTTGAGGTCAGAATCTATGTACAATTTCACTGCCTGAAAGATTTATCCTTATCTGTTTTTACTGTTTATATCTTCCTTAATCTTAAGTAAAGTTTAACTAACCCAAAGCTTCATATATTTTGTTGCTCCTATGCAGGACTTTTTAATAAATCAGCATTTCTGGTCATTTAATAGGAAGTTGATGTGGCTACTTGTCAGTACTCTGTCCTTTTCAACTCAAATCAGGACCTTGCTATCTCTTAAAACTGTTTAAACTGCAGTACTAGTTTATAGTAGATGCTACATTTTAAATTGCTTATACCTAAGTATAATAACGTTTTTAATAATTCATTGATTGTTCAGCACCTAGTGAATCAATTCTGTTTGAAATATCTTTATTATATTGTGTTGTCATATTTATGCCACCATTTACAAATTAGGTATTCTATACTTGGTGGTTTTGTTATACCTTATGTGCCATTTTAGGATTTCTTTTTTATGTTTCACTCAAATTATGTAGTGGCACATACTTAATTTTGATGTTTTGCCCTATTTTTCTGCCTTTTCCCTATATTTTTGGGTCTAAAATATTTATTTAAATGCAACTAGTTTTATATGGCTAATTTAAAAACATGAGAAACATAAACTGAATTCCTAGTATTATTTAAAAATTATGATAAATTTAATAAAAATCCATGCATGCTGCTTTGGCTTTATTATAAGACTTACTGTGTTCTCACTTAAAATGGTATATGAAAGTCTCCAAAATTTTAGCACATTGCTGAGATTGCATTTTGGTTATAGAATGAGAGTCCCTATAAGGGGCTAGAATTGAGACTAAGAAAAAATCCATTGCTTTGTATAAAAAAGGAACAAATATATATATATATATATATATTTATGTATGTTATATGTATTTGTTCCTATTTATATATATAAATGTATATACCATGAATTATACAATAAACATATATATACCATTAAAAAATTAATTGCTTTGTATAAAAAACCTATATATATTATATATATTATATATAATATATTAATATATATATGCACCATAAATTATATGATTAATAATAGCAATTTAGGAATAGAGGAAAGCATTTCAAAGGATAAAAATTCTAGAGTAATAGTTACCTGATGGGAAGATGAAGTAAAAGACAAACCAAATAGAAATTCTTTAATGTTGTAATTGGATGAAAACCTTTAAAAAATAGAAAGGTTTAATATCACGTTTTAAGTTGTAACCATGTTATTTTGAAAATTAACTCTTAGTTATTTCTTCCCTACCTTCAAGAAAGTCCACTATACTGACATATTTGAGTCAGTGGTATGCTGGAAGAAAGAAAACAGTGCAGTATTTAGTATGTTACAATATACAGGAAAATTAAAATACGTTCTGAGTGGGCATGGAAAACTCAGTAAATATGGGAATTCACAAATGCTGGCTATATATAAGATGAGAATTCAAGCCAAATCTCATTAAATCTTAAAGGGCAAAATGAATCAAGCAAGCTGGAGTATTTGGGAAGTATCCAAAAAGCTGACATCAAAGCTCTGTGATGTTTTCCATGGATGTTCAATTAATTGCATGTATGTCAAAATTGTCTATTATCCTGTATTTTCAGGTTACCAAAATGATTGCAAGCTTCTTTAAGTTGTCAAGAAAATAAAATAAATTATATGGATCTGAGACTATATTTTATGTGTTCCAGGCACTGAATTAAGGGATGTATATGTTTTCTCATGTACTCATTACAACAATTATTATATAATTTTAATAATGAGAAAAGTGAGTTTTATATTGGAGTCTATAAAGGATATTAAATCAGAATTGGGGTAACTTGTAATGTGAACTCAGTTAATTGAGAGAATTCTGAATTCAGCAGATATTTAAAAATCAGCAGATATTTAAATTATGCATCACTTTACAATAGATTCACATTCTGAGAAATGCTTTTTGTCATTGTGTAAACATCATAGAATGTACTTACACAAACCTAGATGGTAGAGCCTAATACATATCTAGGCTATATAAAATAGCCTATTGTTCCTAGGCTACAAACCTGCACAGCATGTTATGCTGAATACTGTAGGCAATTGTAACACAAAGGTAAGTAATTGTGCATCTAAACCTATCTAAACATAGAAAAGGTGCATTATACATACAGTATTGTAATCTTATGGGACCACCATCTTATGTGTGGTTTGTTTTTTATTGCTGACTTCCTGAAATGTCATTATGAAGTGCATGACGGTACTTTTGTTCTTTGTTTGCCCATGCCAGGTGACCAGAAAACTAAATCCATTTTGCAAATGTAGGTCATTGCTTCAGCTTTTTTTTCCAAGTGTAATATGGAAAAGAGAAGCTAGTATAGGTATATAATGCACTGTATATTTACAAAATTAACATTCTAAATCAAGAAACAGAACAATACAAGAAACACAGAAGTCCCTCTCATGTTCCCTTTCCAGTCACAACCGCTCCAAATATAACCACTATCCTGATTTGTAATAGCCTGGATTACTGATACATAAATGGATTCATATAGCATGAATTATTTTCTACCTGTCTTCCTACCTTAAATATTACATTTTTTTACATTTAGCCACATTGTTGTGTGCTAAATTGTAGATTGTTCTTTTCTGTGTTATGGTATTCTGTTGTGTGAACATGCTTTAAGTAATTTATCCATTCGATGGTGAGTAGGCATTTACTATTTAGATAGTTTGCATTTGGTGCCAATTATAAATAGCACTTTTTTGAAAATTCATATCTCTGGGTGAACACATGTATGCGTTTCTGTTATATATACATTGAAAATGGTAATTGCTAGGTGACAGGATGTATTTATATTCAGCTATAGTCAATAATGTTACAGTTTTCTAAATGGTTTTGCCAATATTGCACTCCCAACTTATACGAGTTCCAGCTGTTCTTCATCTGCACCAACACTCAGCATTTTTTTTTCCATTTTAATCATTGGATTTGGTGTCCACATATATTCATATTTTCATTGACCTATCAGATGTCCCCTTTTCTGGAATATTTTGTTTTAGTCTTTTGCCTGTATTTCTACTAACTTTTCTTCTATCATTTGTTTTTAAAAGGAACTTATTTATGTATTATAGATAGTAAGCACTTTCATACTGATGTAATATATTTTATTTATATATACTATGTATTATTGGATTTAATTTATTAACTTTTTAAAAGATCTTTGCATCTATGTCTGTGAGAGATAGTGTTTCTAGTTTAATTTCCTTGTAAGATCATTTGCTGGTTTTGAAATCAAGTTTATGCTTTCCTCATAAAATGAGAACATCTTTCTTTTATTTCTGTGCACTGTAAGGGTTTGTGTAAGATTGATGTTATTTCTCCCGTAGATATTTGGAGACATTCTCTGGTGAAACTGAGTCTGGAAATTTCTCTGTGGGAAGAATTTGAATAACCATTTCAATTTATTTTATTTTATTTTATTTTTGAGACAGAGTTTTGCTCTTGTTCCCCAGGCTGGATTGCAATGGCGAGATCTCAGCTCACTGCAATCTCCGCTTCCCGGGTTCAAGCGATTCTCCAGCCTTAGCCTCCCGAGTAGCTGGGATTACGGGCATGCGCCACTACACACGACTAATTTTGTATTTTTAGTAGAGACAGGGTTTCTCCATGTTGGTCAGGCTGGTGTCCAACTCCCTACCTCAGGTGATCCTCCCGCCTTGGCCTCCCAAAGTGCTGGGATTACAGGCGTGAGCCACAGTGCCCAGCCTTCAATTTCTTTAATACATGTACAACTAGTAAGAATTCTAATAATTCTAATACTATTTCTCTTGCATTTTTGGGGGAATTTGTCCAAGTCATCCTAATTGTCAAATGTATTGGTATAAAGTTATTTATTAATATCCTCTTATTATATTTTTGATGTCTGTAGAGTCTATAGTGAGATCTTTTTTTATTACTGTTATTGACAATTTGTATATTTTCTTATTTTATTTTGATAAATCTTGCTGGAGTATTTGATTTTTTTTCTATTTTTTTAAAATTATGACCCTTTCTCTTATTTTATTTATTTTTACTCTTTTATTATTCATTTTATCTGTCTACACTTATTAGGTTTAAAATTCTGTTCCCAGAATGAAGCTTCACATGAATAACATTTAGTCTTCCTTATTTTTTTAAACATGAAACTAAGGCTATAAATTTTTCTCTAAACATATCTATCTCTGCATCTCACAAGTTTTAGAATGTTGATTTTTATTTTTATTCACTTAAAAGTTTCTAATTTGGGTCTTATTTTTTCTCATTTATAAATTATTTAGAAATTCTTTAATTTCAAAATAAATGTGAATATGCTGAATTCAATTGTGCTATGAAACACTGTGAATAATTAATATAATTTAAAATTATTGAGGACTTTTTATTAATAATTGTTTATGGTATAGTATATTTTGGTAAATAGTCAATACATGATTAAAATAATATCAATTATGTCTTCAAAATACACATTGTTTTACGTTATTCAGTTATATAAATTGAGTTGCTAATTAAAATATATATTCATTATTGCCATTGTTCATTATAAATCTATATTCTAATTATGTTTTGTCTTATTACTGTACATGCTATTATGATAGGTATATTAAGATCTTATTATTATGGATGTTTAGATTTCTCTCTTTAATTTTGTCAATTATTGCTTTTTATACTTTGAAATAATGTTATTGGGTATATACATATTTAGACTTATAATGCCTTTCTTCTGAATGTTTTCCTTTTTATTAAGATATATACTGTTTCTGTACTCATCTTTCTTAAAGTACTTTACTACCTTCAGTTGTGTTTCTTTCAGAAAGTACTCCTTTTCACATTTTCTTTTTCAAAGAGGCATCTATTTTGTTTATTAATTTTAATTTCTAGTTTTGTCTCTACTCTAAATTATCTTTTTACCATTTTACATCTTCTTTTTTCCTCAGTTCTATATTGTTTTTGCTACTTTCTCTAATTAGAATTCAATGTTTTTCTTTCATATATTTTATTATTTCCTAATTAAATTTGTATTACTTTGAAATGTTAATTTATAGTTTTGATCTGCTTGTGGGTAGGTTTTTCAGGAATTTTAAAATATTTTTAAAGGATATTATTCAGCTTCTTATGGTCTTTTGGCTTATAAATACTTTGGAGGAAACTTGGCAGTGATTCCTTCCCTGCTCATTCTATATGAAATTAATTTGTCTGAATTATTAGGAGAAAGAAGCAGGTCAGAATAGTATTTAGTCTTCATTAAAGTTGAAAGATATGGCTATCTATTCTCTGAGATGACCTCTTTTTCCCACCCCTACCTCTAACTATTTTCTCTCTCTTCCATTTCTATTTTATTTATCTGAAATTTAAAATCAGTATCTCTTAGTTTTTCTCAGTATATGGCTTTGTTCTGGACGACAGCTTCAGCTTTTAAATTTTGTTTCAGCCCATCATGGACGAAGAGGGCATGAGGCCTGTCATAACCCCTAGCACAGGGTGATCATACATACTTTGGGAAATCCTCTCTCGTTAAGTGTGGACGTTAACATTGGCTTGTTTTTAACCAATAAACTATGACCAAAAAAAATAGTGTGATGTCATCCCTATGATTGTTACATTGTTCAGAACTCCTTCCTGGTAACAGGCTTGCTCTAGAGACTTTCTGCCCTACCTGGTATAAAATGAGAGGCCATCATTAGGGGCCCACATGACAAGGAACTTGGAGTGACCTCCATGAGACCACCAGCAAAAAGTTAGGGTATGCAGTTATACACTTGCAAAGAAATGGGTTCTGCAACAACCAGAGTAAGCAGAGAAACAATTCTTCCCCAGTAGAGCCTCCAGATGAGAATGCAGATTGGTTGACATCTTGATAGCTGTCTTCTGAGGCTTTAAGTAGAGGACTTCAGTAAGCCATATCCAGAATCCTGACATACAGAAAATGTGAGATAATACATATGTGTCATTTTAAGTCACTAAGTTTCTAGTAATTTGTTATACAGCAGTAGAAAACAAATACAAGCTTCTTCAGAACTTGCTTTGGAACCTTGTCAATTACCTGTGGATGTGCAAACACCCGTGCAGTTTCAGCTATTATTCAATAACTGCCCTTTTGCACTCTCTAGTTGAGTGTCTAACTGTTTTTCATATTGTTTTGTTCTCAGCTCTGGCAGCATCTTTCTTCTTTCCCTGCTCATATAATGTATTCCCTCAAGCTGTAGGTAATTTTTCTCTACCTATTGTATTTTGGAGTTCATGTGGGTACAATTGCAGTTGGCTTTGTTTGTTAAGTTATGCATAGATTTTTTGGTTATATTTTCCTTTTGCTCTGTCTGTTCTTTTAAAAGGGATTGGATGAGATTTTAAAAACTATGTCACATTGTCATCTTCCAAGAATTTCTTTATCACATTGTTAAAATTTACTGGATCTTGCCAAATTGTTCTCCAGACTGGTGTATTCTTTAAATCCATGGAAAACAGTTCCAATTACTCAACATTCTTGGCAGTGGCAGAAATTGTCAGCTCTTAATATTTTAGTCAGTTTGCTAGATTTGAGATAGTGTCTAACTGTGGTTACATTTGCATTTCCTTGGTTACTATCTTTATGATCCTTTCTTAAATTTCATAAATTACTTTTTCATATTCTTTGCTGTCTTTTTTGGGGGACCATTTTACCTTTTATTAATCCTAGTGATTATCTGTTTTGGATACCAGTTTTCTGTTGTTTGTACTCATTTCAAAATATCTTTGATAGTCTTTAGCTTCTATATAGACAATATTTTATGCAAAAAGTTATGATATAATTATATTTATTATTATTTTTTCTTTTTTTCACTTGTCCTGTTTTCACCCTCTTTAAGACACCTCCTGAGGTCTTTACTGATATACTTTCTTCCAAAATTTTAAAAGTTTGCTTTTCAAATTTAGGTAATCAAATCTAACTAGAATTGATCCAGGTCCATGGAGCAGATATTTATTTTTTATTTCTTTGTAAATATAGTTTTATTCATACATTGTATGCACGTTGTTTGATTCAGCTTCTGACCCAATAGAGTTTGCTATCACTATTAGTAATTTTGAGACAAATTAATATTTTATATGAAGAAAATTATAATTGGCTTCTTTAATTTTTTCCTATTCTTATATATTTGAGTTATTTTGTTTCTGTGAAATTACTGGCTTGACCATATAATGTTGAATATGCATAGTAAGAGTAAAAAATAATGTTGCCTTTTGAGTTTAAGGAGAGTGTTATAAGTATTTCAAAATTAAGTGTGAATTATAATATATGTATGTTATCATATCAAATGTAATATAAAGAATGTTCCCATCTGTTCCTGGTTTCTTCTGATTTTTAAATAATAAATGATAATTTATTTTTTTATTAATTTTCTGCATTTTCAAGATAATCATTTGATTTTCTTTTTTACTTTATAATTTCATAAATTAGTCTGGTGAGTTTTAAAGTAGAAATTAGTTCTTCAGAAGTGAATTTGTTGTTCAAGATGTGCTGTCATCATTGACATAGGATGACATATTGTATATTTTTTCTAATGGACTTTGTCTTTTAGATCAATTGTAGTTTCAAAGCAAACTGAAGAAAGCACAAAGAATCCCCATATACTTCCTACCACCCCATTGCCCATATGCACCCTTCACTTTCAACATTCCCCATCAGAGAGCTACATCTGTTTTAAGTGATTAATTTACATTGACACATTATCACTCATAGTCCATAGTTTGTATTAGGGTTTATTCTTGATGTTATACATTCTATGGGTTTTGATAAATGTATTATGACAGGTATGCATCTTTAATAGCAACATCCAGAATAGTTTCATTGCCCTAAAAGATCTCTGTGTTCTGCCTATTAGTCCCTTCCTCTCTTTTCCCACCTTGGCAACCACTGATCTTTTAATTGTTTCCATAGTTTTGCTTTTCCAGAATGTCCTATAGTTTGTATAATACAGTGGATGACCTATTTTTTATTTTTCTGTTTACTTGTTCACTGTCTGTGGTATGCTTGTGTACTGGAATGTTGACAATATCTTACTTTTACCTATTTGATCTTTCTCTAGGCTGTCCTACTTCACTCTCATTCTTATGTCCTGGATATTCAATAGTATACTTTTAATATATTTTTTAAATAGTGGACTTTAAAAATAGTGTGACCACAGATATGGTTTGCTTAAATATTATATTGTTTACCTATTGTTTTTGATCTTTATTAAAAGGAATGTTTTATGCAATCTTTTTAGATTTGCTTATTTAATTCAAAATATTGTTATGCCAATGGCCTTTGGATTCTTTTCTTTTTATTTAACTATTATAAACAGTGCTATTATGAACCAATTTATGTCTACCTCATTTGCAGATATGTAGGAATTTCTCCTGTTACATACTTAAGAATAGAATTGTTGGTGTAGGCGCTATGTGAGTAGTTTTGCAGGATAATTCCAAATTGTTTCCTAAAGAGGATATTTTAATTCATAGACATGTAACCTGTAATATATAACAGAGGACTTTAAACACAGGCTCACTAACATCTAGCGTGGTTCAAATTTATAATTTTGCCGTTAAAAATTATTCAATAATGTGTTTAAAGTGCTTGTTTACTATGGCCTTTGTTTACAATATCCACACTAACTAAAATATTTTTAAACTCAATGATTTCCTATCATTCTCTTTTCATTAAGGATTATGTCCTTCAATAAGAATTATATCAAGGATTCATATATAGGACTGGTCTCACACATGGTAACTTTAATGTTTTTATATTAAAATGTATATCAAAATTTTCTCCCTTGAGCCCAGTTTGATATTTCACATTGTTTATTAAACGAGTCCAGTGGGCAGCATGGAATGAATTATTTCACTAAAATTTTATAAATCATATTAATTGCTATCTTTACTAGATTTCCCAGCACTTTGTTTGTCCAAGAGCAATAATGAGGGGCCAGATTGATCGCAATATTTTAATAACTTGTCCAAGAACATAAAATTAGTTTGTTGCAGAAAAATCTGATCTCACATATGGCTAATGTGAAGCTTCTTTGGCACTTTACAATGTAATCCTTCCCTTGACCTTTGAAGCATTCCCAAATGATTTAAATTTCTCACTAAGAACTTGTTTTCACTGTTTGACTCACCAAAAGGAGTCTTTGGCTTGCAGGGCTGTTTTGTTTAAATAGTAGAGCTACTCAATAAATATTCAGTAATGGCCAATCACAGGAAGTCACTTGTTAAGTAGGAATTTATTTTGTCTTACATAATATAAAATTAAAAAAATGCTTTCAAAATGTTTCAGTAAAACATGAAAGTATATACACTCACTAAACATTTCAAACAATCTTACAGGAAAAAACAATAATGGAGACTAGATATTATGAAAGACACATATACCTGCTTTTTATTTTAAATATTTTTTTAATCACAGAAATGTTAGGTCTAGCCTGAAGAAAATTTTATTTTTGTTCCACACAAATCTGCATTTGCATATTGGTATGAGAGTTTAAGGGGGTTTATTCTCTCTGCTTTTCAGTAATGGATAAATAGTTCCTTAGAGACATTGTGAAATGTATTGTCTTATAAAAAGCACATTAATTTGCTGCCCAGTTTAATTTTTTTTCTCATAGCCCTAGGCTAACTTACTATGAATTGAGAATACTTGATTTTCTTAATACTAAGGGTCTGTTATAATAAGAATAATTATAGAACATGAAGTCTTGTTCATGTATCATTTATTTCAGAAATCACAGACATGTTTCAAAAGTACAATAAAATAATTTCATAGAACATTAAAGTGGAAACAAACTATAAAATTAATTTAACAGTTTTATAAATAACATGTTGTCTTTGTTCAATATGGGACTACATAATGGTTTAAAAATGTTAGTCAATATTCATTACACATCTTCATTTTTAAAAACTCTTCCTTTTATAACTTGAAAATACATGTAATAATATGATATGCCAAGATATTTTGTATCTGAATTTTCATTTTATGTAATCATGTCCTTTTTTTCATGCACATAATTGCAGGAATTTTTGTTTGTTTATATTTTGCTAAATGTATCTGTGGATATATTACTTTTTAAAGAAATATCTAGGGTATATGCAAAAAAAAAACAGATTTGCATAATCAAATATTTCTAGGGAGTGCCTGGATAAAATCCAGGCATAGTTGAACAATGCAGTTCTTTATTGGCACATTGATAAAAATCTTTATTAAGCGATTTAAATCTTTATCAGGTAGTTAATATATAGTGAAACTTCAAAAATAGAATATAGGATGTAGCAATTTAATTTCCACAAATTATTTAATCATGTGACATTACATGGGATTTGGATTTTTTTGGAACACCTTTGAAAAATCATGTGCTGTTTATGACAGTTATTCTAAATAATAAGTAATTTTATGCTAAATTGCATTGTTATCCATGATGTCAAGGATTTTAAACCTGATTTTTTGTATTATAATCTAATCTGCTTTGTGTTATTCTCCACTGGAGATATATATATATATATATATATATATACACACACACACACACACACACATACACATACACACACACACACATATACATATATACGCACACACATATATATACACACACACGTATATATGTGTATATATACATATATATACACATATATACACACATATATACAGACACATATATGAATATATGTGTATATATACACACACATATATATGAATATATGTGTATATATACACACACACACACACACATATATATATATAGAGAGAGAGAGAGAGAGAGTTTGGTTTTATAAAAATGTCGTGAATTTCCCATCCTTAAGTTACTTTATAAACTTTTGTGTATCCTGAAATAGGCTATATGGATTGTTGAATATGTGTAAGGTTAGTTGCATGCTATTCTGAGAGCAAATATGTTTATGAAAAGGGGCTATGGTTCAATTAGTTATTTTTCTATATTATACATTGACTAAATTTAATATTTGTGTTTTGGAAATAAATCTTTTTATCTTAGAATAATGTTAGACTTCCATAAAAATTACGAAGATAATACAGAGAATTATCACATACTCCACACTCAGTTTCCCCCTATTATTAATATTTGACATGTATATGCTACTTTTGTTACAATTATGGAACCAATATTAATACATTATGACTAATTTAAGTCCATTCTTCACTCAGATATTCTTAGCTTTTAGCTATTGTTCTTTATTTCTTTCAGGATTTCATCCAGGATATCACATCCCATTTGTTTGTCATGTCTCTTTAGACATCACTTGTCTGTGACAATTTCTGAAATTTCTTATGTTTTTTTTTATGACCTTGAGAGTTTTGAGGAATACTGGTCAGGTATTTTATATTTTTCTCATGATGAGAGTGGGATTAAAGTACCATTTTCATCATCTCATGTATTAAGGGTACATACTATCAAAATGACCTATCAATGTTGATGTTGACCTTGATGATTTGGCTGAGGTAGTGCTTGCTAGATTTCTCTATTATAAAGTTACTCTTCTTAAACCCATTTTCTACTATAATATTTGAGTGGAGGTCACCATTGCACAGCTCATACTTAATGATTGGGAAATTATGCTCTTCTCCCTTGAGGGCAGAATAGCTGCATAAATTATTTGGAATTCTTCTGCATGGGAGATTTATCTCTTCACCTCTACTTATTTTAATTAATTAATATCAATACAAACTAATAATTATTTAACATTTTCAGTTATAATCAATATTATGTTATTCATTTGTTTCTCAAACTGTTGGCCATTCTGAGATCTTTCTGTTGACTCCTATGTCTCTTTGACTATCCTACATCATTGTGGATTTTCTTCCTCTTCCTCCAGGTTAGAATCGGCCATTTCTCCAAGGATTCTTGTTCCTTTTATTTTAGAATAAATCTAGAAAGCGAGATCAGAGTGCTAGGTATGCTTATTGCCACTGCGGCCTCTTTGCTTTGAGGCCCTTTTAGCTGACAGAGCAAGGAAATATATGTGTATACTAATGAATGTATCTACACATATTCTTAAATATTTCTATATGTAATCATCTGTATCTATATTAACTAAGCATGATTTAATACAATATCTTCCACTCGAATCCATTACCACATGGAACATTCTAGCCTCCTGCCCTTCCTTTTATATAAATTCCCACCATCCATCATCCATTTACTTAATTGTTTAGTATAGATGCATATTAGTATCAGGATTGTTAACCCCATACACCATGGGAAAAACTCTTATAGTGATTATGTACAGCCTTTGTGGCTTTTTTGTTTGTTTTGCTTTTATACTTACAAATTCTACACACTTCTAAAGAAACTCAGGCTAGTACTTATTTCCCCTAACCACTTCAGAAAAGTTATTTCATTCACATATAAGTCAGATTGACATGTTACATTCTTCATTCCATGTTGGAATCCTCCAGTCTCCAAAGGGATTTTTTAAAATTTGTGTTCATTAATGTTCATTCTTTATGCTCTAAAGTTCTATGACTATAAGAAAATACATACTGTCACATAACCACCAGTATAATATCATATGGAATAGTTTCACCACCCTAAAAAAGCCTTTTGCACTTCACCTATTCAAATCTTTCTTCTTTACCATAAACTCCTGCCAACTACCGTCTTTGTACCATCTATATACACTATATACACTTTTTCCAGTGTCATATAGTTGCAATCACATGGTAGTAGCCTTTCCAGACTTACTTATTTCACTTAGCAATATGCATTTAAGATTTTTCCATGCCTTTTTGCATGATCTTGATAGGTCATTTTTTTAACTCTGAATTGTAATCCATTGTTTGAATGTAGTACAGTTTGTTTATCTATCCACCTATTGACAAACATCTTTCCTGCTTCCAGTTTTTGGCCATCACAAAGCTGCTAGGAGCATTCATGTGCAGTTTAATGTAGACATACATTTCAAATCAGTGGGATAAATATGTACGCGTTCTATTTCTGGTTGTGTGGTAAGACTATGTTTAACTCGATAATAAACTGCCAAACTGTCTCTCAATGTGATTGCACCATTTTGCATCCCAGCTGGCAATACATTTTCTGTTCTTCATTTTTGGATTTTAGCTATTCTAATAGTTGTGTAGTAGTATGTCATTGTTGTTGTGATGTACAATTTCTAAATGATAATGATGTTGAACAATTTTAAATGTCTATGTGCCATCTGTATATCTTCTTTGATTAAATGTTTGTTCATATATTTGCCCATTTAAAAACAACTGAGTTGTTGCTTTTCTTATTGGTGAGTTTTAAAAGTTTTTTTGTATAGTTTGTTAAATGCTCTTTTGCTTTTTTTTAAAAAAATTTAGATTCAGGGGGTATATGTGCAGGTTTGTTACATGGATATATTGTGAGATGCTGAGGTTTGGGCTCCAATGAAACCCATCACCCAGATGGTGAATATGGTACCCAATAGATAGTTTTTCAACACTTATTTTCCCTCTCCTTCCCTCCTTTTGGAGTCTCAGTGTCTATTATTCCCATCTTTATGTGCAAGTCCTTTATCATATATGTGTTTTGCAAATATTTTCTCTCAGTCTATGGCTTGATTTTTTATTTGCTTGCCAGTGTATGTCACAGATAATACATTTTAATTTTAATAAGATCCAGCCTATCATTTTTTTCTTTCATAAATTGTGCTTTTGGTATTATATCTAAAACTCATCACTAAACAGAAGACTACCTCATTTTTCCCCTATGCTTAGTTTAAAACTTTTACAGTTTTTTTTTTAACCTGTAGGCCTATGATCAATATCTATTAATTTTGTGGAAGGTATAAAGTTATATAGGATTTTTTTCTATGTATACATAATAAGATTCCAACATCATTTGTTGAAGAGACTATTCTTTCTGTATTGAATTACCTCTGTTTTTCTGTCAACAATGAGTTGACTCTATTTGTGTAGGTCTTTATTCTGCTTCATTGTGTATTCTTTTGCCAATGCCACTCTATCTTGATTAGTGTAGCTGTGTAGTAAGTTTTGAAACCAGATTGTATGAGAACTCCCAACTCTGTTCTCAGTATTGTGATGGCTAGTTTAGTTGTTATAATTCCAGATAAACTTAAGAGTCAGTTTCTTGATACCTTCATAATAACTTGCTAGAATTTTGATTGGAATTTCATTGAACATGTCAATAAAATTGGAAAGAACTGACATCCTAAAAATATTGATTCTTCCAAACTTCATTCATGGAGTATCTTTCCATTTATTTAGAGCTTTAAAAATTTATTTCATAAGAGTTTTATAGTTTTTCATATACAGACAACGTTCTTGTTTTAGATTTATACCTAAGTATTTCAAATTTTGGTACTATTATAAATGGTATTAATTTTCTTAAAGTTTCAAATTATAATTATTTATGACTGGTATATAGAAAGCAATTGAATTTTGTTTAAAAACTTTACATGCTTTCAGGTCCAGAAGTTTTGTTTTTGTTTCTGTTTTCAGTATATTCCTTGAAATGATCTACCTAGATATCATGCGATAAAACTTGACTGTTTTGTTTCTTCCTTCCCAATTTGTGTACTTTTTATTGACTTCCGTCTTCTGATTGCAGCAGCTAAGATGCCCAGAACAACGGAAAGAGAGGGCTTCCCTGACCTGTTTTAGATCTTTAGGGGTGAGGGTTCAGTTTTCCACCGTTTCTGTAGGAGTTCTTTATTTCTAGTAAGTTCCTCTTCTATTTCTAGTTTCTGAGAGTTTTTGTCATAATTGGTGTTGGGTTTTGGCAGATGCCTTTTCTGATTAAATTGACACGATTATATGATTTTTTCTTTCTTTATAGCCTGTTGATATTGTGAATTTTATTAATTAAATGTGGAATTTTGAACAAATCTTGCATACTTGGATAAATCTCACTTGGCTGTGTTGTATAAAGCCTTGAACTCCTGAGCTCAAGAAATCCTGCTGCCTCAGCCTCCTGAGTTACTCGAACTATAGGCACAGGCCATCAGGCCCAGTTTCTAGCTTTCTTTTGATTAATTACTGTTAGTATAGTGTAGTTTTTTCATCCTTTTACATTTTACCTATCTGAGTAGGTTATATGAATATAATTACTTATATAAAATATATACTATTATTATATATAAATAACACATAATATTTAAAGTATATATTCTATAATATATATTATATATTGTTATTTAAAGTGGTTTCTTGTAGACAATATAGAGTTGAGTCTTTAGCAGGTCTGACCATTCCTGCTTTTGTTTTTAAGGTTATTCTAATTATCACTTGGCATGTTCTAATTATTATAGTTATTGAATTACACTAGGTTGGGGAAGTGTAAAAATCAGTGTTCCTTCAGGAAAACAAAATTCACTCTATGTATTCTAGGTACTACATATTTTAATGTAAGAAAGCTTCTGTTTTCTTGGTCCTTGGAAGGACAGAGGAAGCAATCAGCCACTCAAATCAGCTTGTAGCACTAAACTTAGTGTTTTACTATATCTCATAAAATGCATCTGAAAGTCTGAAGAATCTCCAAAATGCTCATTGTTAACTCTCACAAAGGGCAGCAGCAGAGTAGATGTTTCTTAAGTCCTAGCAAGAAAGCTCTTGTGAATCTTAATCCTGCCCAAAAGTAAGCTTGCTACTGCCACTGGGGGAAAATATGGATCCTTTTTTCTTAATCTTTCAAATCTCTAGAGATTTCCTCTTCTTGGAAAACTCCAATTCAGATACATATTGGAAGGGAGGTTAAGGGAATTGCAGATTCTCACTCTCTTCTGTACTGTAATAGATAATGTATCCTGATAGTTTGAAGAAGTAGACGAGTGTCATGATATACAATATGCGTACAGTTTAAAATAATTACTCTTGAGGTTTAAAATCTGATTTAGAAAACAAGAAATAATTACATTTAATAATTATAAAACATCAGCAAATGCAGATGTAGCATATTTCTAATATAATTTAAATCTCACAGTAGACTGTAAGATTTAAGGGTATAATGATTACGTTTTGTTCATTTTTGTATTCTCAAACCAAACATATTTCTCTGGCACCTTTATTTATGTACTTATTAGATGTTTGATCAATGAGTCAATTTTGTAGTGAATAAGACTTCTCTATTGGTAATTTAAATTTAACACAATCTTCAAACAACTCTTTTAGGGTTGAAGAGATTTTTTATATTACAGTATTTGGACCAAGGATTTTAATACTCCCTAAGATCTCCTATGGACTTTACAAGATAAAATGGGCAGTTTGAAATCAAGTCTAAATGATCAACAGGTTGCCATCTACTCTCTCATATAACCTTGCTCTGATGTGTTCAGTTAACTAGAATTGGTGAATTTTTTCTTTGCTTTGTATGTTTTATTTGAGCTATTATTTTAATGAGCATTTCTAATTTTTGTATTTGGTTTTAGGTATTTTTTTTCTTATTATATGCTCTTCCCTTGTTCATTAATTTTGAGGATGTATTCAAAGCCTGAATGAGGAAATGAAATAGTGCTCTAGCTTTCTTATAATGTAAGATATTTGGAAATATAGCCTAAGTTGATGAGCACAAAGTGTTGGAATTATGTGAAATAGACTGGTACCAAATGAAATTGGTATAGGGAGGAGTGAGAGACACCCTGAGCCTTGGAAAGGAAGTGAAGCATGATGGAAGTTGATGGAAGGTAATGGAGAAAAGAAGGGCATTAGCCAAACATTACCAAGGTGATTACCACACTCTGGTGAAAATCATTCAGTGGAAATACTTTTCCCCATCTATTTCAATTTTCCATGCAATTGGTCATCTGACAGCTGCAGTATAGCTTCCCAAGTTCCTTACTAGGAGGGTTTTCTGAATGATTTCAAAACCATGTTAGCAAGGGTCAAGAAACAAGAAATTAAAGTTGCTCTGTTACTAATCTGTAAAAATGATGTTGTAGCATGCATGATCTCTATTTATAACAAGTTTAGAACTGTCTTTCCTTATTTTGGGGTCTATGTTCAGCATAGGAATGATATTTGGAGTCCTCTGCCTAAATAGTTTTAGATAAAGTCCCACAATTTATGGTGAAAATAGAAATATTTACATGATATTCTAAGTTTTGTAAAAATCAATCAGAGAAATTAGGAAAGCTACCTCCAACCAAGGACAACTGATGGATTATTTTGCATAAGTGGGGCTGACTTTACCTGTTACATAATACTTTTGATAAAGTATGAAGTTATATAGGGAGTTTTGTACATCAATACCATAGACCATAACTGTCGCTTTGCACCTAGAATTGGCCACAGGCAATAAATAATTACTTAGGCTATTAATATTTCTATTGATCACTGATAGATGGCTGGATCAAATGGTACTTTAAAGTAGGTTTTCAGACTAATATTGATAATTTGAATGTTTATGTTCTGTATTTGGCAAGATCACATGTATGTAAACTTTGCGTGTTCTATCTAATTTACAAATATCTCTTTACGTAGAAATAACCCTCCAAAAGGGATATGGAGTCAAACTATAAAGAAATTTTGAAAAAGATTCCAAAGTGGGTGTTAAATTTTAGTCACAGAAGTGATGAAAGGTTTTTAAATTATTATAGTTCTTCCATTTTTGTAGTCTCCAGACCTATATGGACTCCACAAAACAAAATAACTTTTTTTTGAGACAGAAAAAAAATAGTAGTCCGCATTGTTTCTGGAGAAATTTAGTATTCCTAAATATTTGTGGGTAATTGAAGTTGTCTAGTAATTCTTTAATATATTTCCATTGACAGCGTGATGCTGAGGTATTCCCTGTATCTTCTTTGAACAATGGGATGGAATGGCATACAGCAGAAATAATGCTCTTAGTTTCTGCCTTGGACCAGAAGCTCTCTCTTCCTGTTACTTGGAGCCCTGTGTCTCCCTGTGAGTAGCCCAACTACCTTCCTGCAGAGATATCATGAATCTTGGGGAGCACACAGAAAGGAAGACAGCCCCCAGGTAAGTCCAGCTTTTCTATCATCATCAGCAGACAGCTAGGTATGTGAGAGAAGTCATATTAGACTCTCCAGACCACACCACGCATTGAATGTCACCAAGTGACACTGGTCAATGCTACTTGAAGCAGAAAAATCATTCCAGTGAGAATTTCCAGAATGCTTGGCCTGCAAAATTATGAGCTATAATAAAATGATTGTTGTTTTCAGTCATTAGGTTTTAGGGAAAGTTTCAGCGGTGAGTAACTAAAAATGCTTCTTTTATTTTTTTCTGCAGAAGTTGCTGAGGAAATACACAAAGCCTAAATTAGTAATCTATTGCTGCATAACATATTACCCCTCAACTTAGCAACTTAAAAAAAACAGTATTGTCTCATGGTGTCTATGGATTAGGAGTCCAGATGAGGCTTCCATGGGTCCCAGGACTGGGTCTTCTGAAGGTTACAGTCTAGGTGTTGGCTGGGGCTGAAATCAGTTTAAGACTTGACTACTTGACTAGTGGTAGATAAATTTTAAATTTCCTTAACATGTTGTTCACCAGAAATAGTTACTTGCTGATTGCTGAACTGAGGGTCTCCGTTCCTCCTGAACTTGTGGCACAATGTTTTCCTCGATTTTTCACCAAATGGACATCTTCCAAATCAGGCAGCTCACATTGGCTTCATTGGAGCAGCAAGTGAGTGGGCAAGAAAGAGTTCAAGAAAGATGGTTCCAAATATATGCAAGTCTTAGTCACCTGTAACCTAATATCAGTAGTGTCATCCCATCACCTTTACTGTGTTCTAGTCATTAGAACCAAACTACTAGTTCCAGCCCACACTCAAGGGTATGGAATTACACAAGGGAAAGAATACCAGGACGTAAAGATCATTCATGACAATTTTAGCAGTCTGTCTGCTACAAATCCTTAGCTTTCCAGAAGTATACAAAAGAATTTTAGCCCCTCTTCGGTCATGGAGTTATCTATCAAGATTGAGTTACTCAAATAACCTGGTATATTCTATGATTTCTCATATTAAACATTCAATTTAATGTCAATAATCAATCAAGGATGTATTTTGTCTCTTTTAGTAAGATTTTCCTTCTTTGGGTTTAAAAAAATCTATTAAAGTTTCAATAGAGTTTCTTGCATGTGATAAATGTTTAATAACTGAATGCATGGAGAAAACAAAATTACACACTACTCAGACATATATTGGTAGACATTGGATATGTTTAGACTTAAATGATACTTTTCATTTAAATTAAAATAACTGAAAGAATTTTTTGTATGCATTAACTCTGATAGATATGTATGCTCATTATCTTCAGCTGCCCTCTTCGTGATGATGTCCTGTCTCTATTAGCATGATTTGGTTAGCTGGCCCAAAGCCAGGCTACCTGTGTTCCAAGTTGACTATGCATTTAACTGGATTCGTAAATTTGAAAGGTCTTTTTCTATGCTATGCCTCTGTTTTCTCATCCCACATCCATATCCTCAATTAAATACATCAACAAACCTCACTATTATTAACTCAAAATGTATTCTTAATCCAACCATGCCCATTGTTTCCATCACTATTTCCATGTTCTAAACCACCATACATTTTGGTTTAGGTTTTGTCAAAGGCCTTCAGACACTTCCCTTGACCTCCACCCCTACCTTGAGCAGCAAATATGCCTTAGAATATTTGTCAGCTAATGTCATTTCTTTGCTTGGAAACTTCCAGTAACTTCTTTTCTCATTTAGAATCACATTCAAATTCCTTAACATGCCCAGCTGCATTCTAGAAAGTCTGGGCCTTTTGTTACTCCCACAACTAATTTCATTTTCTTCTTCCTTCACTCACTTTCCATCCATGTTGCTTTTTTGCTCTTCGTTGATCACCCTGTGTATATTTCCAGTTTGCAGCATTTAATTGTCAATTCCTCTGCCTAAAGTGTAGTGTGATCCACTCACTTCCTTTTAAAAATTTCTGTACAAATATCAATTTATCAGGGGTTTGTATCCTTGGATTTCTCCATCTGCCCTCCTTATTTCACTTATTTTAAATCAATCTCTCACGATTGGTCATTTCATATATCTTGTTTATTTACTTATTATTTGTTTATTTTCACCCAAATATAGGCTCTATAAATAAGGAACAGTATCTGTTTTATTGCTTATGAAATAAACATTGTATGAATGAATAAATTTACATATATAAATATAAAACAATAAAGATGCATAAAAGAAGAGATATCTAATTTGGCAAAACCATATACCATTTGTTCTGACTAAAAGAGCAAAAGTGATTTTATATTAAAATATTGGAAGTAATCTGGATCAAACTCTTAGTAGCTAATATATAATCATCATAGTACCCTTTTATCATTTTATTAATAATTCTCATTGACCATAGAGAATATTGGGATTTATAATATTCAGAGTGACACACATTTGGAATATAAATTTGTATAAATTATTCTAATACAATAGTTAGGAAAGCCATGCCCTAATACATAATAATATGTTAGGACATTTGTAAAAATGCCTATAATTCTTAAATTAAGATAATATATTATACAGATGATATGGCTTTTTGCAATCTATTAAAGCACACATATTAAACGTAGCATTTAAATTGTGCACATTCTAAATGGATGTTTTACTCTTGTTGCTCTGCTTTCTTTTTAAACTGTGTTCATATGTATTAGTCAAGCTAGCCTACATCATATTTTTCTAGTGATATGAAAAGTCTTTAATTTTCCTTAGTAGTTTGGAAAGAGACAATTAAGAACCACAGGAATCAAGTATCTTACTCTCCAAGGATAATAAAGGAGAACTATAATTTGACAAGTAAGGAAAGCTAGTTAAAGGACATCCCACAGGTTTGATTAAAACTTTGAAGATTAAATCTGTTCTCATGTCTGTATGAAACTGGCATTAAAAAAAGAGCTGCCCTTTCTAGGGTGCGATTATACAAAGAGTTCTATAATTTTAGATGCTATTCAAATACTGTCATTCAATAATACATCTCTGATTTTTTAAAAAAACACACTTGCACTGTGAGCATGTGGGAAAAAATGTTATCTGTATAATATAATTAATAGCCAGTCCAAAGATCAGGGATCAGGATGCATGCTGATATTTCAATCCCAAATACTCTGTATCAAAGATGGACTGCTCAATATATCTTTCATGTAAGAAGTTTATGAGGTGACTTAATAACTTAGCTGATAGTGCAGGACCTTATTGTGTGAAATATCTGGAAATGTGTCATTTCAGATATATGACTATGGCCCTGCAACACAGTGTGGCTAGAGAATGAGATATGGTATTTACGTTCATCCTTTCATTAGTGCTTGTGCAAGTGAAAATAATTACTTCTGTTACATCTTGACCTTTTTCCTGGTTAGTATTTGACTTTCCAGTAAATGAAGTGGTATATATCTTGGAAGAAACTATAATAACTGGTATCATAATGCCTTCTTAATCTCAAGTTACATGGCCTTTGGTGTTCAGCAAGTCAAATTAATGGAATTTATCTAAAGGATTCAACTCAGATACATCATAATCCATCTTCCAAAGCAATCAACTTAAGACACTATTATAATTATGCAACTATACCATCAAATTACTGAAAACTTACAGTTTGTGAAACCAACCAAAACTTTATGTAATAAGGCCTCCTTCATTTTATAATTTTGCTATCCTTCTGCTAAAAAGACGATAACATTGACCTTCTAACAGTAAAACATACATATTTCCCCCCTTGAGATACTGACCAATTTGCACTGCTTAGTTGTAATCTTTGGAATGACAGAGCTGAACATTTTCTCGAAGATAATAAGTCCCAGGTCAGATAGCCTTTTTTAAAAATATTCACTTTGCCATTATCCGTAACCCAAGCTATCCTAACAATTAGCAGGTATTCTGTCAAACAATGATATATTTCACACTGCCCTGGGACAAAAATGTGCATATTTTGTTTTCATCTGAATACCAGTTCTGGCCAAAGTAATACTGGGTTGTGATTTTTATTTAATTAAAATAAGGATTATGGTAAACAAACTTGAAAAGGTGATAAGAAATGAATCGTTTGCAAATAGAGTTAGACTTGGGAGAACAGAATTACGGTCAACTTGAAATGCATGTTGTAAAATATGTGGCTAAATGTGTGAAGTATTTTACAGGACTGTATATTTCCTTTTGTTTGAAGAATTTAAAAAAACAAATTATTAGCTTATAATGCAACATGATATAACTGTTTCCCTTATATTCACCTGTTGTAAGTTCCATTTTTCTATACTTAGGTGAAAGTTATTATACATAACAAATAAGTAGTAAAAATAAAATTATCAAGTGCCATTTATACCTGAAATAATCAAAAGAAAGGGAACAAAAATTAGACCATGATCATCTAGGAAAGAACTGTCAAAAATGAAGTTTGCATAGTCATTTGAGGCAAAAAATTTAATATGAACATGAATAAGCCAAAACCTATGAAAAGACAAAATTTGGGGGAAAACATTGGCTATTTGCATGCTGGCTTTCTTGTGTTATTGTGGTTTAGAGATATACACAGTGAAAACTAAGTGATTCCGCTAAAGTGATTCTAGCTCAAACACCTGCCAAAGGAAGTATTACAACTAGCACCACTGTGAAGCAAAGTGCCACATACAGATTTATAAAACTTAAGATGAGGTGACAATGCTAAGAAGTAATCTGTCATTTACGGTAGCACATAGAAATGAAAACCACGGGGTTCCATGGTAAGTGAAGAAAAGTATAGAAAATTAAACTGTGTGAAATTAAATGGCAAAACAGATTTCTGTATTTTTGATATTCCATTGGATAAGAGAGACTGTCTCCTTTTTACATTTATGTGCTCATTTCACATCAGTTGCTCACATTAGAAGAGAAGAGCTTTTAGCATTATAGGAAAAATAGTCTCAGTTCTCAGCTTTAGGAGATCACATAAAATTGCCCTCCACAAAATAATCCGTTCAACATTCCCTTCTGTTTCTAAACCTTTCTTTTATTATGTTTTCTTTCTGCCCAAATGCCGTTCTTTAGAAGTATTATTTGTTAAGGCATTTAGGTAATAAACTCATTTACTTACTTTTTTTGCTTAAAACATCTGTATTTCATTTCCATTCATGAATGTTTAGCCACATACGCCATTCTAGATTAACATTTATTTCAATTAAGCATTTTAAAGGTATTATTAGATAGTCTTTGGCATATTGCTAATGAGAAGTCTATATAGATCTAATTGTCATTGCTTTGTACTTAATCGGATTTTTTTCTTGCACTGTTTTAAAAATTTGATTTTATGATTGGCATTTTGTAATTCCACCATGATTGTAGTATTCTCAACAATTACCCCAGGAATGCAATATTCGCTTTTAGTTTACTATTTTGCTCTGCAGTGGCAGATCCAGTGGTTTCTACTTAGATCATCCTACCACATAGCCCTTATTTTGTATGTCTCAGGACCAGTTATCCATTTAACCAGTTGCTGAGTAAGGCTACTTTCAACTTTGTATTCAGGAACTGGGAGAAAATCAAAGGGTATATTTGTAAATCATCCATATCCATTATAAAATAGATTCATCCCATGACTTTATCAATCACTTGGCCCTCATACATTTCCTCTGTGACTGTAGATCAAAATGGCAGTTGAGGTATCCAGGGATTATTGTAAATTTTTAGCTGTGACCAGGAATCCTGTTTTGTCTGGGATTTTTTCCCAGCACAGTTGTCACCTTAAATGCTACAGAATACTTTAGGAAAGTTGAGGAGAAATTAAGTACATACTTGTTTCAGTGCATCAAGATCCTTCCTAAAAGTGATTCAGCTTTTATATCATTCAAGAGACTCCACATGTATGAGCAAGCTCAAGTCTGGAAATTCAATGTGGGACATTGATTCTCTATTACGATGACTTATGTTAAAACTCTTCCACCAGATCTAGATTTTTTTTTTTTTTTAGTATACAGATTGAGCAATATTTTACTAGATAGTCCACTGATAATACTGTCAATAGAACATATCATTGAATACCATAATTTGCCCTGTTCCCTATTATTTTATAGGGTGCTGTCACTTGTACTCTATGATTCCAGGATCTCATCACCCTCAAACCCTAAAGCCCAGAAAATTCACTTCAATGCTGACATCTCCACCAAAATGTTTGCCTTTCATAATATAGCAGTTTTTTGTATTTTCTACAAATGCTGGAGCTCTCTTTATTTCTATATATTTATATATAGAAATATATATATGCTTGATAAGGCTATCTTACAAGTCATCAAATTTACATTGTTGGGCTACAGTTGAGCCTGTCACATGTGGCAAATGCTCAGATTCCTACCCACCTAAGATTCAATAAATTCTTTTATATTTTGGCCTTGTATCTTCATTTAATTTAAGCCATCATTATAAATTCAGCCTGATCAAGTGTTGTGCAATTTCCTCCCTGTTCTAACACTTTTAGAATCCATTCTCATACATAATCCCCAGGATTTATCACCCTGCTCCAATGTAACCTTCACAAGTCAAGTATTTTCAGGGTATTCAAGAGCAGAGAGGCAAACCACCACAAACAGAGGAGGAAAGATTACCTTTGTTAAGAGTTTAAGTGTTAAATAATTATTAGAATCTTCCCAACTACATTCAATCCAATTTTAAGGCTCCCACTTTCTTGGAAAATAAGAGATTCTAATTTTCAGTAAGAAACCTGGGGATGCTTTGAATTCATGGGCTATAATTCTGCAAACTCTAAGATCAAACTTAGGTCTAGTTTTCTGATCACTGATCCTGTGCTTGCAATAGATAAGAAATCTTACCTAGGCAGTAAAGAAATTGTCTAATCTCTGACTTATGAATTTCACATCTTGAGTCTGTCATTTTCTTTTCATAAGCTCCCTAGTGCAGTAAGACTGGGCTAACCCAACTGTATTTATAATCATTATTTTCTTCATAATACTCTAATACAAAAACCAGTTTGTCTCTAAAAATGTTTCTCGGAAAGATGATGAGTCAAATAATTGGTTTTATAACTGAAGCTATCTGTCATGAATTACCAGCATGTCATTGTCTTTTGGCAGCTTTTTTATGTTTTTAATTTTAACCAAATTAAATAAATAATCATAGATTTCTATCAAGAGTCACATTTCTTAACCAAATATTGTATCAGTTATCAATTATTTAAGAAAACAAAAACTGGTGTAAATGTTTTAAATACAAGGATATTGAGTACAGTAAATGAGGTTTTTCATACATATTGGAAGGGCTAGAATCTGTTCCTACCAATCTAAAATGCTGATTCATAGGAGGGTACCCAGAAGGTTTAGAAAAACTTCACTTTCATATCTTCATGTCCAAAGACACTTCTTTTAATTATATGACACTGTCCAGAACCCTACTGGAGAGGAAGTATGAGAAATGTAGTTTTCAGGTTTTTTGATCCTTTATGCTGTTAAAAAGTACTTCAAATGAGTGAGAAGGTACTGAGTATTAGCAAACAACATGTAACAAAAGTCTGTAGGATAGAGATCCTGATAATAGCCCACAGGGCAGCCATTAAGTTCATGTTTTTACCATCTTCTTTTCTGGTCCCTCTTTGATTGATCTTTGACAATTATTTTTCTTGAAAATTATATATGGATACATGCATACAATCTCTCTATCACCCTCCTCCATCCCTCTATTTCCTCTCTCAATCTATTAATATATAGTTAAGCAATTTTAAGTAGTTACAGCTATAGGTTTTCTTTATTACCTTGGTCTGGAAACTTTGACCAAAAATATTTCATTTATTTTCATAGCAGTGGTTCCCCTCTGGGATCTTGACTCTTCTCTCTGAGTGATCCTTCCTTTTTCATGAAAAGTTTGCAGCTGAGCAGTTTTATTAAGCTGAAGCAAATATCCCAAACTGCAGATGCTGTAGTATTCATAGAATCATTACAAGAACGGATTAATAAGGGATTATGTGCATGTTATTGAGTCATTGATATGGAAAGTGATTTATTTTCTATTTTGATTAGAAGAGAGGATAAGGAGTTTGCATTCATGTAGAATAGACAACAATTTTAATTTACAGCTTGACCTCAGAGCTAATTTCCTATACTCCTGTGTAATATAGTCCAACGGTATGTGCATTGCCTAGACATACCACAGAACATCATGTTGGCCCATCAAATCAGTGGTATCATGCTGATCAGACAGAACATAATGGCAGTAAGAAGGCGCTAGGACACTGGAGACTTGGTAAACAAGTACAATTCAGGGGGTGCAAGATACCCCATGAAGATTCGGAAACATTTCCCATAATTGAAGTTTATTTTAGGGTTTCTATGGTGAGGGTATGGTAGGATATTTGTATCAAAGAAAGACAAATGTTATTCCCTATGCTAGTATGATTTTTGTGGTTATATTACCAACATGTTTCCCACCTATGAATATACCGATTTGCCCCATATACTGGGGAAACAAAAAGCTGCTTGTTTTGACTGGGGTCTAGAGCACGAAAGTGTTTTGCAGCAGGTTCAGGCTGTTGTGAAAGCAGTTCTGCCACCTGAACCACATAATCTGACTGATTCTGTTGTATTGGAGGTGTAAGGGCTGGAAAGGATGCAGTGTGGAGTTTATGGCAAGCCATCGTTTGAGAATCAGAATAAAAGCCCTTGTAATTTTAAAACGTGGCCACACCGTGTGTGGTGGAGAATTCTATACTTTTTGAGAAGCAGGTCCTAATGTGACACTGAAATGAAATGTTTGACCACTAGGCACTAAGCAACCATAACTGTGTGTCTTAGTCTGTTTTGTATTGCTGTAAAATAATACCTGAAACCGTGTCATTTTTATAAAGAAAAAGGTTTATTTAGCTCACTCTTTTGCAGGCTGAGACATTGAAGAGCATAGCCCTGGCTTCTGGTGAAGGCTTTAGTAGTGTGTCTTGACATTGTGGAGAAGGTCAAAGTGGAAGCAGACACATGCAAATGGGGGCCAAATATGAGGAGGAAACTTGACTTATAACAACCTGCTCTCTTGGGAACTAGTCTATTCTCAGAGAACTAATCTAATCTGTGAGAGTGACAACTCCCTTACTACCCAGCCATTCATGAGGGATCTACCTCCATGACCCAAACACCTCCCACTAGTCCCCACCTCCCAAAGTCATGTTATTGAGGATAAAGTTTCAACATAAGTTTTGATGGGGACCAACAAACCATATCCAAACCATAGCATGGTAGAACTGTTCATTAGGAGCATGGCTTCTTGGGAACTTCCAAATCATAAAGTCAGATGGACCCAGCAGTACTCCACGATCAGATGAAAATGGTAGATTTAGAATTTGGTCCAAGAGGACCAGAGGGCATGAATAAGCTACATGAGCAGGTGGCCCAGAACTCTGTATCACTTACTAAGGTCTATGTCAACATCTCTGTTCCAGATCCACCTCTGAACCTACAGGAGTCCCATGTGATCAGAAGGAGGAAAATGAAAGAACTTGATTTGGGGATGGGTCAGCTCAATATACAAGTGCAATCCTTAAACTTGATAGTGATTGTATTACACACACATCTAGGGTTAACAGGAAAAGCACATAAGAAGAGAAAATCTTCCCAGTGGGTGGAGCTGATCACTTACTTCATGTGGAAGGAAATGTGATTTTAGGTTAGAATATTTACATTCATGAGCAGTTAAAAATGGGTTTTTAGTTAGAATCCTGAAGTGGGAAATTTGAAGCCTGAGGACAAGGATATCTGAGGTACTGTTGAAAAGCTAGGCATATCACGTTAACACCAACTAGAAAGATTCAACTGCAGAAGTGGCACAGAAAAACAGGAGTAAACAAAATTACTTGTGCATTTGATGGTGGCACATGAATGGAGTAGGCTGCATTTGGGCGCAGTTGTTATGCGTGGGTCCATCAGCTTTGACTTCTACTTATCAAAGTAGTTCTATCTTTTTCTTAACCTCTGTATGTCCAACCTGCCATTAATAGAGATCAATCTTGAAACATTCATATGACACTATCCCTTGAGGACAAATACCGCTTGTTAGCAAGTTGACTAATTGAGCTTCTTTAATCCTAAAATAGTGGTTTATCTTCACTGAGACATATGCTTATTCTGGGTATGGGTTTACATTTTCTTCCTGCAGAGCTTCAGCCAACACTGTTATCTAGGGACTTATGGCATATCTGATTCACAGCCATGTGATACTGCACAGCATAGCATCTGGCCAGAGGGCCTGCCTGGTAGCAAAGAAGTTATGGGTATGAGACCCACATCCATAAAATCCCTTCATTATATCACACACTGCACTATTCAGAAGCATCCTACATCATAGGTCACTGGAAAAGCCTATGGAAAGAAAAGCTGAAGCATCACTTTAGAGCAAATACTGTGAATGAGTGAGCTGACTTTTTTTGGATATGGTGTATACATTTAATCAAACATGTCTTCCTAATGAGAAAAAAGCATAGGTCCAAAAACCAACCATTAAAATCAAATATTACCGCAATTACTGTCACTTTCAATGGTCTATTGGAGGAAATTTTGCTACCTGTCCCCACAACTACTGCCCCTCATAAGAGGCACATTATTGTCAAAACATACAGCCTGACATGAAACTAAAACTATGGCTGCTGCCAAGGCAGTTTGACCTCCTTGTGCCCAGGGACCAACGGACTAAAAGGAGAATTACCATCTTTGCAAGAGAAATTAAGTGTGAACAGCAGAAAGGCATGCAGAAATGTGTATAAAACCCAGGTAATCTATGTGGGTGCCTTTTGGTGTAATCCCTTGATTAACTGTAACTGTGAAATATATGTACTGCAACCCCAGGCTGAAAAGAGCTCAGTTGCCTCAGAAATGAAGATTGGCATCACATCACTAGGTGCTGAGGTGATAGCAAAGGGTGAGGGCTATTTTAAAAGGATAGTGAAAGAGAGAAGAAGAGTATCAATTGGATACTCACACTCAAAAATGATACCGACCATTGAGTATACTCAGGACTGAAGTCCACCTGTAGCAATGTGGGGGTGTACTTTTTTCCACTAACCTCTCACTTCTACTTTTTCCCATAACAAGTGAGTCCCACAGGAACCATGGAGTAGCTGCTCCCTGAATCTGCATAAAGAGCCTGCATAAAGAAGTGGATTTGTGTGGGGTAAACAGTGGACTTTGGCAGTATTGTAGATACTCAGATCTCATCAAGAGTTCTTTCTATGGGGAGTAGAAATGAATAATAGCCCCCGCTAATTCCCTTTTGGTTCTACTACCAATTTCTAGCCAAGGAAATGTTTCCCTGAATTGCTCCCTATCAACGATTGAACTTGGTAGATTACCTAGGCCAGCCTGTTCCTTGCTAAAACAGATCCCCATGTGAAAATTTTGCATGAGGATTCCCCATCTCTCTGGAAAAAACTTTGATCTATACTTTTTTCCTGAGGTGCTTCCAATCTGAGTTATTTCTTTATCTCCTTTCACAGACTGAAAGGTGTACTTGACTACTCCTGTTTTTTTGTTGTTTGTTTGTTTTTTTTTTTCCTTTTTATTATTTACAGTCACTTCCACCCTACCTTCCCCAAATCATGTCCTGTTTTGGCATCTTGTTCTGTCTTGGTTTCTGCTTCTTGTAAGATCCAAACAGATGCAAGAGAAGTGCATTCCAAACAGGAATTTAGCCATTCGCAAAAGCTTAATGTTGAGATAAAGTTAAGCTAACCATTCATTCTAGTTCACTATAACTATTTTAAGCTTGACATGGAAACAAAAAAAAAGTTTACACTCAACATACATAGTAAGACTTTTGAGAAATGGAGATTGATACGGTTTGGCTGTGTCTGCACCCAAATCTCATCTTGAATTATAACTCCCACAATTCCCAGGTGTTGTGGGAGGGACCTAGTAGGAGGTAATTAAATCATGAGTGCAGATCTTTCTCATGCTGTTCTCATGACAGTGCATAAGTCTTACGAGATCTGATGGTTTTAAAAACAGGAGTTTCCTTGCACAAGCTGTCTCTCTTTGCCTGCCATCATCCACGTAAGATGTGACTTGCTCTTCCTTGCTTTCTGCCATGATTGTGAGGCCTCTCCAGCCATGGGGAAGTGTAAGTCCATTAAACCTCTTTCTCTTGTAAATTGCCCAGTCTTGGGCGTGTCTTTATCAGCAATGTGAAAAGGGACTAATACAGTATATTCATACCAGTAGAGTGGGGCGTTGCTGAAAAGATACCTGAAAATGTGGAAGTGACTTTGGAACTGGGTAACAGGCAGAGATTGGAACAGTTTGGAGGGCTCAGAAGAAGATACAAAGATGTGGAAATTTTGGAACTTCTTAGAGACTTGTTGAATGGCTTTGCACAAAATGCTTATAGGGACATGGACAATAAAGTCCAGGCTGAGGTGGTCTGTGGTGGAAATGAGGAACTTGTTGGAGCAAAGGTGACTTTTGTGATGTTTTAGCAAAGAGACTAGAGGCATTTTGGCCCTGCCCTAGAGATTTGTGGAACTTCAAACTTGAGAGAGATTATTTAGGGTATCTGGCAGAAGAAAATCCTAAGGAGCAAAACATTCAAGATGTGACTCAGGTGCTGCTAATGGCATTCAGTTGTGTAAGGGATGCAGAACATAAAAGTGAAAAATTTGCAGCTTGACAGTACAATAGAAAAAAAAAATCCCATTTTCTGAGGAGAAATTCAACCCAGCTGCAGAAATTTGCATAAGTAGCAAGGAGCCTAATGTTAATCCCCAAAGGCATGGGGAAAATATCTCCAGGCCATGTCAGAGGTCTTCCCAGCAGCCCCTCTCATTATCCGCCAGGAGGTCTAGGAGGAAAAGATGATTTCATGGGCCTGGTCCAGTCCCCCCAGCTGTGTGCACCCTAGTGACTTTGTGCCCTGCATCCCATCCTTTCCAGCTGTGGCTCAGTTCATGGCTTCAGAGGGTGCAAGCCCCAAGCCTTGGCAGCTTCCATGTGGTGTTGAGCCTGCAAGTGCACAGCAGTCATGTGTTTGGGTTTGGAAACTTCCTCCTAGATTTCAAAGGATGTATGGAAATGCCTGGATGCCCAGGCAGATGTTTGCTGCAGGGGTGAGGCCCTCATGGAGAACCTCTGCTAGGGCAGTGTAAAATGGAAATGTGGGGTCGGAGCCCCCACACAGAGTCCCTACAGGGGCACCGCCTAGTGGAGCTGTGAGAAGAGGACTGCTGTCATCCAGACCCCAGAATGGTAGATTTATGGGCAGCTTGCACCATGCACCTGGAAAAGCTGAGAACACTCAACATCAGCCCATGAAAGAAGCTTGGAGGGAGGCTATACCCTGCAAAGCCACAGGGGTGGAGCTGCCCAAGACGATGGGAACCCATCTTTTACATTAATGTGACCTGGATGTGAAACATGGAGTCAAAGGAGATCATTTTTGGGTTTTAAGATTTGACTGCCACACTGGATTTTGGACTTGCATGGGCCCTGTAACCTCTTTGTTTTGGCCAATCTCTCCCATTTGGAATGGATGTATTTACCCAATACTTGTACCCTCATTGTATCTAGGAAGTAACTAGCTTGCTTATGATTTTACAGGCTTATAGGTGGAAGGGACTTGCCTTGTCTCAGATAAGACTTTGGACAGTGGACTTTTGAGTTAATACTGAAATGAGTTAAGACTTTGGGGGACTGTTGGGAAGGCATGATTAGTTTTGAAATGTGAGGACACGAGATTTGGGATGGGCCAGGGATGGAATGATGTGGTTTGGCTGTGTCCCCACCAAGATCTCATCTTGAATTGTAACTCCCACAATTCCCACATGTCATGGAAGGGACCCAGTGTGGGGTAATTGAATTGAATCTTGCTGTTCTTGTGATAGGGGATAAATCTCATGAGATCTGATAGTTTTATTAAAAGGAGTTTCCTTGCATAAGATCTTTCTCTTTGCTTTCCGTCATACACATAAGTTGTGACTTGCTCCTCCTTGCCTTCCCCCATAATTTTGAGGCCTCCCCAGCTATGTGGAGCCTCTTTAAAGAGGTTTAATGGACTTAAATTGCCCAGTCTTGGGTATCTCTTTATAAGCAGCATGAAAACAAACTAATACAGAAATGCAAAGAGAATCAGTTGAAATCTGATTTAGAGTCAATATTTCATTATGCTACCAGACCAATAAAATCAATACAAGCATTACTTTTTCTTCTGTATCATTGAGAGCTTTGCTTTTAGGTCATATTACTCAGTAAAAATATGTAATAGACGACTTGTCGCTTAAAAATAAGTGAGTAAAATACGATTTTGTTTTTACATTGGCAGTTTGGTTTTATCAAGTGTACATGTTGTTCAAGGAGTTAAAACAATTTCACATGATGATGGATGATATTGGAAGCAATTGTGTTTTATTTTTGCACTCTATCACAGCTCCCAATCACTACTCACTGAGAAATCTTCCTAGTGAGAAATGCCTATATTTTAAACTTTTAATATAGAATTCCATAATGTTTTTACTTTTATTATTACTCTTGAAAGTTGGGTCCTAATTTCTATTGCATAAATCAATAAATTATAAGAATTAATAGAGAAGCAAAAATGGTCATGCCATTCTGCTTTCTATAATGTTCATCAGAAGGAAATTTACTTAATTTTGTGGTGCTTTTTTAAAAAAAGGAAATTTTCAATTATGGTCCTTTTTTCTATGGATGTCTCCAGGCTCTTCATTCCAAATGGATCATAGATTCAAGCAATAAAAACTAAAATTTTCCACTTGCAATGAAAGCTGTCTCCCCTTGATATGGTTTGGCTGTGTCCCCACCCAAATCTCATCTCATCCTCCATGGGAGGGACCCAGTGGGAGGTAATTGAATCATGGGAGCAGGTTTTTCCTGTGCTGTTCTCCTGACAGAGAATAAGTCTCATAAGATCTGATGGTTTTAAAAAGGCAGTGCCCTGGACATGCACTCGTGCCTGCCATTATCTAAGACATGCCTCTGCTCCTCTTTTGTTTTCTGCCATGATTGTGCGGTCTCCCCAGTCATTTGGAGCTATGAGTCCATTAAACCTCTTTCCCTTTATAAATTACTCAGTCTTGAGCATTTCCTCATAGCAGTATGATAACGGAGTACTACATCCCTTTTACAAAATGATGTTTGTCACATGCACAAATGCAATAGAAATCAGTCTCACTTTTGTAAAAAAATTATATTTATCTACCTCATGTCTGATATATGCTGTTAAGGTTTTGCACTATTTTTTTCTGAAAACTTTTTTTCCTTAATTTAGGATTTCTATAACATTGCACTATTATTTATTTATTTTCATATTGTCATTCATTCATTCTGTAAACATTTACTATTCATATAAGTTGCTCAAACTTACGCATGATATTTATAATTCATGTGGTGATCTTTGTTGACTACTTTTTTATCAAATGTCATTAGTGCCTTTTGACTGCCTAAGCAAACCCTCCTTGCTTTGACATTTAGGCATCCAATAATATGAATATACTGTATGATTCTAGATTTATTTTCAGTCTTCCATGTTTACTCTGTGTTACCAACAATTTGTTATTGTTTTACAGAAACATATTGTGGAAGTCTTTTCTAAATTTAAAAAATTTATAATCTTAATTGTACAATTTGGAAAATATCCGGAATTAATCATGCTCATGTAACACCACTTTGTTAAAGAAATAATACATTGCAAATATTACAAGCACATTACTATGAAAGAAATGAGACACAAATACTTTATGCTATATGATATGTTCATTAACTGAAACAGCCAAAACTATTTTATAGAGATAGTAGTTATTTTTAGGAGGAGATGTTAGTGACTGGATATGTACACACACACACACACACACACACACACACACACACACACACATGCATGCATGCACAATTTCCTTGCTTATTCATTTATTTATTGATTGATTTGTTTGCTTAGTTTTAGAAATGACTTTGACATATTTATTTTACATACATGAAAAATAAGTATTAAGAAGGCAACGATCATGGTCACAAAGCAAATTACACTTACCATATTGATGTATATTTATAAGTCAAATATTAGAGTATCTAAAAATTACTTGAAGGACCTTGCCAAAATATAGATTCTTAGGCCTTCTCCTCGGAGTTTCTGATTTATTAGGTCTTTTCTGAGGGACAGGAATCTATTTTTTTGTGTTTTGGTTCTTCTTTTATTTATTTGAATAATTTCAACGTTTATGTTAGATTGAGGGGGTACAGGTGCACTTTTGTTAGATGAGTATCTTGCATTATGCTTAGGTTTGGGGTATAATTGATCTCATCACTCAAGTACTGAGCATAGTATCCAATAGTTTGTTTTCCAAGCCTTTCTTCTTTTAACTCCCTTATAGTAGTCCCCAGTGGCTTTTTTTCCCCTCTTTATTTCCACATGTACCCAATGGTTAGCTCCCACTTATAAGCGAGAACTTGTGGTATTTGGTTTTCTGTTCCTGCATTTGTTCACTTCAGATAATGACCCCCAGATACATCTATGTTTCTGCAAAGAACACGATCTCATTCTTTTTTATGGTTCCATTTGTTTTTGTGGATAGTGCTGTGATGAACATATGAGTGCATGTGTCTTTTGGGTAGAATAATTTATATTTTTGAATATATGTTCAGTAATGGGATCGCTGGGTCAAATGTTATTTCTGTTTTAAGCTCTTTGAGAAATCTCCAGATTGCTTTCCACAGTGGCTGAACTAATTTAAATTCCCACCAAGAGTGCATAAGTGTTCCCTTTTCTCTACGGCCTCGCCAGTATCTGTTGTTTTTAGACATTTTACTAATAGCTATTCCTACTGTTGTGAGATGTTATCTCATTGTGGTTTCGATTTGCATTTCTCTGATGATTAGTGATGACAAGCATTTTTTCATATATTTGTTGAACGCTTGTATGCCTTCTTTTGAGAAATGTTTTTTCATCTCTTTTGCCCATTTTTAATGGGGTTATTTTTTTCTTGTTCAATTGTTTAAGGTCCTTATACATTCTGGATATTAGACCTTTGTCAGATGCATAGTTTATGAATATTTTCTCTCACTCTGTAAGTTTTTTCTTTGCTCTGTTTATAGTTTCCTTTGTCATACAGTAGCTCTTTAGTTTAATTATGTCTTATGTGTCAGTTATTATTTTTGTTTCTCTTGCTTTTGAGGACTTTAGTCAGAAATTCCTTTCCAAGGCTGATGTCCAGAATGGTGTTTCCTAGCTTTTCTTCTATTATTCTTGTATTTTCAGGTTTTACATTTAAGTCTTTAATCCATCTTGAGTTAATTTTTGTATATGGTGAAAGGGAGAGGTCCAGTTTCATTCTTCTGCATATAGCTAGCCAGCTATCCCAGAACCACTTATTGAATAGAGAGTCCTTTCTCCATTGCTTATTTTTGTGAACTTTGTTTAAGATCAGATGGCTGTAGATGTGTGGCTTTATTTTTAGGTTTTCTATTTTGCTCCAATGGTCTATTTGTCTGTTTTTGTTCCAGTACCATGCTGTTTTGGTTACTACAGCCTGATAGTATAATTTTCAGTTAGGTAATGTGATGGTTTTGTTCCTTCTGCTTAGAATTGCTTTGGCTATTTGAGCTCTTTTTTAGTTCCATATAAATTTCAGAATAGTTTTTTCCAGTTATGTGGAAAATGATATGGGTAGCTTGCTAGGAATAGCATTGAATCCATAGATTGCTTTGGGCAGTATGGCCATTTTAGTAATATTGATTATTTTAATCCATAAACATGAAATATCTTCCCATTTATTTGTGTCATCTGTGATTTCTTTCAGCAGTGTTTTATAGTTCTTCTTGTAGAGATTTTCAACTCCTTGGTTATATGTTTTCTTAGGTATTTTATTTTGGTCTGGCTATTGTAAATAGTATTGCATTTTTTATTTGGCTTCCAGCTTGAATATTATTGATGAATAGAAATGCTACTGATTTTTGTACATTGATTTTCTACCCTAAAATCTTACTACCATTGTTAATCAGTTCCAGGAGCCTTTTGGTGGAGTCTTGAGTTTTCCAGGTACAGAATCATATTGTCAAAAAAAGAGAAAGAGTTCGACTTTTTTTTCCTATTTGTATGTCTTTTATTTCTTTGTCTTGCCTGATTACACTGGCAAGAACTTCCATTACTGTGTTGCATAGTAGTAGTGAAAGTAGCCATCCTTCTCTTATTTCAGTTCTCAAGGAGAATGCTTGAAAGTTTTCCTTTACCATGTATGAATGTTGGATTTTTTATCCAAAGCTTTTTCTGCATCTATTGGGATGATCATATGGTTTTTGTTTCTAATTATATTCATGTAGTAAATCACAGTTATTGATTTGCATATGTTGAACAAACCTTGCATCCCAGGAACGAAGTCTAGTTGATCATGATGAATTAACTTTTTGAGGTGCTGCTAGATTCAGTTTGCTAGCATTTTGTTGAGGATTTTTACATCTATGTTTATCAGAAATATTGGCTTGAAATTTTCTTTGTTGGTGGTGGTGGTGTGTTTTTGCCAGGTTTGGGTATCACAGTGATATGGGATTTGTAGAGTGAGTTAGGGAGTATTCTCTCCTCCTCAATTTTTTGGAATAGTTTAATTAGAATCAGTACCAGCTTTTCTTGGTACATCTGTGAAAATTTGGATGTGAATTCATTTGGTCCAGGGCTTATTTTTTGGTTGATAGATTTTTTTTTAAATTTCTGATTCAATTTCAGAACTTGATATTGGTCTGTTCAAGGTTTAAATTTCTTCATTACTCAATTTTGGGACATTATGTTACCAGGAATCCCAGCATTTCCTCTACATTTTCTATTTTTTGTGCATAGAGTTGTTTATAATGATCCATAAGTATCTTTTTTTTTGTATCTGTGGGATCAGTTATAATGCTACCTTTGCCATTTCTGATTATGCTTCTTTCAACCTTCTCTCTTTTTTCTTTGTTAGTCTATCTAGTGGTCTATCCTATTTATTCAAATAACAAATTTTGGTTTTGTTGATCCTTTGTATGGATTTGGGGGTCTCAGTTTCATTCAGTTCTGCTTTGGTTTAGTTATTTCTTTTTTTTTCTGCCAACTTTGGGGTTAGTATGTTCTTGTTTTTTCTAGCTCCTGTAGATGTAATGTTAGGTCCTGAAATTGAGATCATTCCAACTTTTTGAAGTAGGCATTTAGGGGTATAAACTTTCCTCTTAACACTGCTTTTCCTGCATCCCAGAGATTTTGGTATGTTGTGTCTCCATTTTCATTTATTTCAAGTATTGTTTTGATTTTTGGCTTAATTTCATTATTAGCCCTAAAGTCATCCAGGAGCAAGTTGTTTAATTTCCTTGTATTTTTATAGTTTTGAGAGATCTTCTTTGTAGAAATTTCTATTTTTATTCTAATTTGGTACAAGAGATAACTGGTATGATTTTGATTTTTTAAAATTTATTGAGACTTGTATGGCCAAGCATATGGTCAATCTTGAAGTATGTTTCATGTGCAGATGAGAAGAATGTATATTCTGTGGTAAATGGGTATAATATTCTGTAGATGTCTATCAGGTCCAATTGGTCAAGTGCCAAATTTAAGTCAAAAATTTCCTTCTTAATTTTCTACCTAGGCAATCTGTCTAACACTATCAGTGGAGTGTTGAAGTTCCCCCACTGTTATTGTGTGACTGCCTGTGTCTTTTTACAGATTTAGAAGTATTTGTTTTATGAACTGGAGTGCTCCAATGTTACGTGCATATATATCTAGGATAGTTAAGTCTTGTTAAACTGAACCCTCTATCATTATGCTATACCCTCCTTTGTCCTTTTAACTGCTGTTGGCTCAAAGTCTGTTTCATCTGATGTTAGAATAATAACTCATGCTCTTCTTCATTTTCCATTTGCATGGTAGATTTGTCTCCAACCCTTTATTTTGAGCCTTTGGGTTTCATTACATGTAAGATGGGTCTCTTGAAGAAGGCAGACAGGTGGGCCTTGTTTTTTTTTTTTAATCCAAGTTGCCACTCTGTGACTTTTAAATGGGTGTTTAGACTATTTACATTCAAGGTTAATATTGATATGTGAGGTTTTGATCTTATCATGAAGTTGTCAGCTGATTGTTTTATAGTTTATATTTAGTGGTTACTTTGTAGGGCCTGTGATCCATGATTTTAAGTGTGTTTCTGTTGCAGCAGGTATTGGTCTTTCATTTCCATGTTTAGAAATCTCTTAAGTGTCTCTTGTAAAGTTGGTCTAGTGGTAAAAATTTCTCTTAGCACTTGCTTGCCTGAAAAACTTTTATTTCTCCTTTGCTTATGTAGTTCATCTTGACAGGATATAAAATTCCTGGCTGGAAATTATTTTCTTTAAGAATGCTGAGAATAGGCCACTAATATCTCTTGTCTTATAAGCATTCTGCTGAGAAATCTGTTAGTCTGATGGGGTTCATTCTGTACGTAATCTGATCTTTTTTTCTAGCTGCATTTAAGATTTTTTCTTTAGCATTGACCTTGGGAAGTCTGGTGACTGTATGCTGTTGTGATGTTCATTTTATGTAGTATCTTACAGGTGTTCTCTGTGTTTCTTCCATCTGGGTGTCTACCTCTTTATCAAGATTAGGAAAATTTTCTTGAATTATTTCCTCAAGTATGTTTTCCAGGTTGTTTACATTTTTTGTCTCTCTTAGAAATGCCAACATTTTGTAGATTTGGTCTCTTTATATAATCCTACAGTTCTTGAAAAATGTTCATTTTTTACAATTATTTTTTCTTTATTTTTGTCATACTTGGTTAATTTGAGATACTGTTCTTCAGGATCTAAAATTCTTTTTTTTCTGATTCGGCCAATCTATTGATAAAGTTTTTAATTGGGCTTTCAAATTCTTAACGGAGTTCTTCAATTCCTTTAGCTCTAATGATTTTTTTTTTAAATGTTTATCTCTTTCTTCTTTCCTGGATTGCCTTAGAAGTTTCTTTGTGTTGATTTTTAACCTTGCAGGCATCTCACTGAGCTTCCATGACTCCATGCTTTAAATTCCTTTTCTGTCATTTCTGAGTGTCTATTTTGGTTAGGGACTATTGCTGGAGAGCTGGTGTTCTCCTTTGGTGGTGTCATTAAATTCAGATTTTTCATAATGCCAGAACTCTTGCACTTATTCTTTCTTATCTGGAGATACTGGTGCTTCTAATCATTGTAAGTATCTTTATCCAGGTAGAATTTTTTCTTTTACTTTCTTTCTGTATAATATTATTGGATTTTCTTCTCATTTCCCTTTCTTTTTTTTCACCCTCTCTAGAGACTGTGTCTGCAAAAAATTATAGATAGGGTCTTTTGGCTTTGCTTTTATAGCCCTACGCACTGCTGAGGCTAGTTTTATAATAAACTATTCAGTTTGACCTATAAGCCAGTAGATGGCACTTATATGTAAGAGCCAGCTATGGCCAACACAGCTGAGTAAATGCTTGATACCTATTTAGTGGGAAAAAAAAACTCTTTGTTGCTTCTGCCAATGGGTTGATGCATGGAATACACAGTTGTCTGAACTCCTTTCTCAGCCCCAGGATGGTGAGGGGGCAACGTGGGTAGGGCCAGACCAGGAAGACTCACCTACAGGTCCCATGATGGCAGGCACAGACATCAATGCCAATGGAGAACCCACTGAGTTGCCACCAAGTGCACAGAGATGTGCCTAGGCATGGAACTGGGAATCCTTCTCAGCCCCAAGTTCTGTGCATGGGGATAGTGGGGGTGGCAGGTGGCCTAAATTCCTAACCCAGAAGAGCAGGTGCTCCAGATGCCTGAAGATTTGCCTGGGCGTGAAGTGAGGAGGGTTCCCTACATCAGAACCACTGCACAGGAATGATGAAAGACTCAGGCTGCTGGACCATACAGACAGGTCCTCTGAATGCCTGCAGATCTGCCTGAATGTGAAATGGGGAGGGGCCCTTGCACATGGATCTTTGTACAGAAAGAGTGGGGCAACTCAAGCCTGCCAATCCAGGCAAGCAGGTGTTTTGAATACCTAGAGATCTGCCTGAGCATGGAGTTGAGAGGTCTTTGTGGCACTGAATCTCTGCACAGAAAGAGTGATGCAATTCAGGTTGCTGATCTAGTTGAGGGGGTGTTCTGAATACCTAGACATTTGCCTGGGTGTGGAGTAGAGAGACATTGCAAAATGATCTATATTCATGAATGTGTGATGGCTCAGGCTGTTGGTTCAGGCAAGTGGGTGTTCCAAATGTCTGGATGGAGCAAAGAGGGCCCCGCTGCACCACAGTCTCAGGGAGAAGTCTGGGGCACCCAGGAATGATACATGTAGACTGACTGCATGTTTCCAAGCAGGCCCTGGCTGTAAGTCTCATTGTCCAGGATAAACTGCAGCTGTAGCAGCTCTCCTCCTGCCCCAGGCCTGCAATGGGGAAGAGTACAATTCCAGTGCCTACTGCTGAAGCGCTTTCCATAGTTCTGGCTGTGGAGGCCCCTACCCAACTTTAGAGCAAGCGCACCATTCTCTGGCCCAAGACTGAAATGCCTGCATGGGCACACATTTGGGTTGCCAAAGAATGGTAAACTTTGTATGTGCTCGGATTAAAAATGGTGTTCCACTTCTGGGAAAATGCCTGCAGATTTTCCTGATGTCTTTTCCTCACAGTATCTCAAACCTCTCCCTAAGTTAGCTCCAGGGCTTGGGAGAAACAAAGTGCCCTCCCTTGGACTTGTTGCCTGGATCCCCAGGGGAAAGATGAGTCACAGAAGGAAGATCTGCCACTCTCACATATTCAGGGTTCACTCACTATTATCAGCTGGATGCTGTCAGGGGAGCTATTTGCCTGTGTTCTTCCTGAGATTTGAGATGTCCTTCATGATTCTGGTTGATTCTCATTTACCTTCTTGAATTAAAGCTCACAGAGTTAATCTTATGGACTATGTTGTTCTTTCCAAGTGGCTGAGGTATGCTAAAAGCATCTCAGAAAAAAAAAAAAAAAAAAGAAGCTTGTTGCATATTTTATATTTCAAGTCTATCTTCAAAGCTCTATTTTTTTTTATTTTTTTTAAATAAAAATTGTATATATTTAAGACACATAACATGTATATACACACAGACATTGTGAAAAGGTTACCCAAATCAAGCTAATTAGCATATTCATGACCTCACATTTTTATCTTTTTTATATACGTGGTGAGAACACTAAAAATGTACGCTATTAGCAAATTTCAGGTGTACAATACAGTATTGTTAACTATAATCACCATGCTATATATTAGATCGCTATAACTTATTCTTTCTACATAATTGAAACTTTGCACCTTTAACCAACACCTCTCCTTTTCCTTGCGCCGGTAACCATCATTTTATTACCTGTTTCAATTAATTTGAGTTTTTTAGATGGCACATATAAGCAAGACCATAGAGTATTCATCTTCCTGTGTCTGACTTATTTTATTTAGCATATTATCCTCTAGGTTCATCCATGTTGTCATAAATGGAAAGATTTCCTTTCTCTTTAAGGATGAATCATATCCCATTATATGTGTATATCTATATCTATAACATTTGTTCATTTATATCTGCTGGGAATTTGTAGGTTTTCTTTGGAAAAATGTCTATTCAGGTCATTTGCCCATTTTATATTCAGGTTATTTGTGGTGTTTTTGCTTTTAAGTTGTTGTAGAAGTTCCCCACATATTTTAGATATTAGCCTCTTATAAAATATATAATTTTCAAATATTGTATCCCAAATTTTTTGTGGCCTTTTTATTTTGTTGACTGTTTCTTTTGTATTGCATTAGCATTTTAGTTTAATATAGTCTCATTTGTTTATTTTTGCTTCTACTAGTTTTATAGTTTCATGGCTTATATTTTAGTCTTTAATGTATTTTGAGTTGATTTTTGTGTATTCTATGGGAGTCCAATTATTTTTTCTTTTTTCTTTCTTTTTTTTTTTTTTTTGCAGGTGGATATCCATTTTTCCCAACCATCCAATTTGTTGGCATGTAATTAGTTATTAAAGTCCCTAATGATCCTTTTTTATTTCTGAGATGTTCACTGTAATGTCTCCTTTTTCATTTTTAATTTTGTTTACTTGAGTGTTCTCTTTTTTTCTTAGTTTAGATAAGGGCTTATTTATTTTATTTTTTTTAAAAACTACATAACTATTCGTTTCTTTTATTTTTTTCTGTTCTCTGTTTGCTTTATTTTACCTCTAATTTTTATTATTTTCTTCCTACTGATAACTTTTTGCTTATTTGTACTGTATATTGTTCCTTGAGGTTTAAAGTTGGGTTCCTTATTTGATTTTTTAATGCAGGCATTTATTACTATAAACCTTTGTCTTAATGCTGCTTTTCATGCACAAAATGCATTTCATTGTGTTGTATCTTCATTTTGTTTTGCCTGAATATATTTTTAAAATTACCTTTTGATTTTACTCATTGATCCAATGATTACCCAAAAATGTGTGCTTCAGTTTTTATGAAAATTAATTTTCCAATTTTCTCACTGTTACTAATTGCTAGTTTCATTTCACTGTGTTCTGAAAAGGTACTTGGAATGATTTGTATCTTCTTCAGTTTGTCAAGACTTTTTTTGTAGTTAACATATAATCTGTTCTGGTGAATTGTCTGTGTGCTCTTGAAAAGAATGTGTAATCTGCTGTTGGTTGGAAAGTTATAAATATGTCTGTCGGTTCCTTTTGGTCTGTAACAGTGTTCAAGTCAGCTGTATGGATATTCCATTCATTATTGAAAGTGGAATATTGTAGTATCCTACTATTAATATAGTGCTATCAGTTCCTCTCTTTATATCTGCCAATGTTTGTTTATATATTTAGGTGCTTTGATACTGGGTGCATATATGCTTATAATTATTATATCTTCTAGTTAAATTGACTGTCTCATTGGATAATGAACTTCATCCCTAGAGATAGTTTTTTATTTAAATCCATTTTGTGGAATTATAATCACTTGTGCTTTCTTTGGCTACCTTTTACATAGAATAACTTTTTATTTCTTCACTTTCAGACTTTATGTATTCCTCACATACATCTTTATATAATACATTATATGCATCTTTTTATAATTTGTATCCATTAACAAACTACTATAGCTATAGTTGGTTTAAGGAATTGAACAATGAGAACACATGGACACAGAAAGGGGAACATCACACACCGGGGACTGTTGTGGGGTGGGGGGAGGTGGGAGGGATAGCATTAGGAGATATACCTAATGCTAAATGACGAGTTAATGGGTGCAGCACACCAACATGGCACATGTATACATATGTAACAAACCTGCACGTTGTGCACATGTACCCTAAAACTTAAAGTATAATAATAAAATAAATAAATAGTTTTGTCTTTTAAGGTTTTACTAGAGTTATAATTGATTTACATATTGATTTATAACATTAGACTGTTTTGAAAGGTAAGTCCCATGTTGATAAACTTCTTCAACTTTTGTTTGAGAAAGTCTTTATCTCCCATTTATATTTGGAAAACAGGATTGCTGACATCATATTTTTGTTGGCAGTTTTCTTCTTTCAGGATATTGAATACATCATCTCATTCCATTCTAATGTGCAAGGTTTCTGCTGAAAACTTTGCTGATAGTTTTATGGATTCTTCTTGTATGTGACAAGTAGCATTTCCCTTGCTGTTTTCAAAATTCTTTCTTTGTCTTTACTTTTGACAATTTAATTATATTGTGTCTCTATGGATATCTTATCTGCTGTTCTGAGATTCCTGATTCTAGATTTCTGTTCTCTTCCCCCGCCTTAGGAAGTTTTGTGCTTTTATTTGCATAAATATGTTTACACTTTCTTCCTGTCTTTCCTTTCTTCAATTCTGATAATGCGTATTGTTGTGCTTGTTAGTATTCTATAAACCCCTTAAACTACTTTTGTTCCTTTTTAATTTCATTTTCTCCTCATATTCGATGGTTTCCAGTGACCTGTGTTTGAATTCACAGATTCTTTTTCTTCTTGATCTAGTTCACTGCTGAAACCTTCTATTGAATTTTAGTTCAGTTATAATATTCTTTAGCTCTATGATTTATGTTTGTTTGGTGCTTTTTTATACCTTCTATTTTTTTCGTTGAAATTTTCAATTTGCTCTTGCATTTCTCTCTTGATCTTGATAGGTATCCTTATGACCATTATTTTTAATCCTATGCTGGGTGAATCACATATCTTTATTTCACTAGGGTCAGTTTCTGATAATTTATCTTATTATTTTATTTCTAATATATTTCCCTGCTTCTTCATTTCTCCTGAATGTCTGTTGCTTCCTGCACATTATGGAAGACAATAGCTTCTCCCAGTCTTGTCAGACCTGCCTCATGTAGGAGAAGGATCTCACCAATTTGTCCAGTCAGATAGTTTGAGATACTCCTCAAATATTTGTGATTGATTGTTTAAACCCCTGCTTCTGTTTTTGCTGGTCCTGGATTAGAATGTACTATATCGTGCTGGTTCCTCAAAATAGGTAAGGTAGAATACATATCCTTTAGATGTTGCTGGAAAGGTAGGTTGTCAGATATTTATTCCAGGTCTTTCTATACTCATGTTGAAGCTGCGAGTGGATGTTTAACTTTCACACTCTCTGCACTAAGACTAAGAGAAAACCTGAGACAAATGCCTGCACTTTCATTCATACTGCACCCTGTGATCATGAAGAGACAGATACTGGAAGTAGGCTTGTTGTATATCTACCTCTTTGCTTTCTTTGGTCTAGGGAGACTCAAGAATGCAAATATATATGTGTAGATATGTATATATGCCTCTGTGTGTGTGTGTGTGTGTGTGTGTGTGTGTCCATCCTATTGGTTATGTTCCTCTGGAGAAAGCTAACAAATATCGGGAGGTTTTGAATTAATATACCAAATTTCATAATCAAGTTTGTACTCAAAGCAAAAAAAAATTTAATATGAGACACTAGAGAAATAACTGCTTAGGGAATGAGGGAACGTAGGTTTTATAGCATACCACTCTTCCTGTGAGAATTATATAAGAAAATTATTTAATCTATAAAATTTGGGAATCTGATTAGTATAAAACACATATAAGGCAGTAGATACATAGTTGGATATATGGTATCTTGTACATTGTTTCTAAATGTACGATGCATCAAAACCTTTTATCATATTTAGGAGACCACATCTGAACTCATGATTTTTATGTACATAAGTTTGATGATACCTGGTATAGTAAACTCTCGGTTTGATTTCAGTTAGTGGAAAAAACATTTTCAACAATAAGAATGTGTACAGTTACTCGCAGACTCTCACCTTCATGATTAATTTACAGAAATCATTCTAGTATGTGATGGCTACAAACAATGCTTTCTAAGGCACCTTTTCAGAAGTATGTAGAGTACCTAAAACATCATTTAATCATTTGTGCAATTACTCTGGCATCAAGAAAGTGAAGCATTTATGCACACTCAAGTGTGGCTGGACGTAGTGACGTCATTCTAAAGTGTAGATAGAGTAGGCATAGGGAGAAAAGGCTAACTTTCCAGCAGAGAAACCTGACAAACACAACCTTAGCCAACTGCTAACATCAGCAATGTTAAGTCATGTTCATATATATGCCCATATATGTGATGAAATTGGTACTTTATCTTTATGGTCTTCTCCACCCACTCTGTAAATTACAAAACAAAGCAAAATATAAACCCAGTCTAATAATGTAAAATTCATCAAAGATATACTGACTTATAGACATTTTATAAGACACCTGACCAGAAAGTCCCCTAGACTTTCAAGGTCATTTACATAAAGAAATTCAGGGCTACTCTTACTGCTTAAGAATCCTGAGACTAAAAAAAGTAATATGATACCTTTAATGGGATCTGGGCACAGAAGAAGAATATTAGATAAAAATTAAGAAATTTGAATACACTATAGACTTTTTAGTTAATAATAATGTATTAATATCAGTTCATCAATTATACCAAATGTACCATGCTAATATTAGATGTTAGTAATAGAGGAAATTGGATGTAAATATATAGGTATTCTTTCTGTTCTATCTTCAAAAATTTTCTGTAAATCTAAAACTTAGATTTTAAAATAAAATTGATTTTAAAAATACTTTACTAAGTTCATTAAATATATTTCCCTATAACTCTAGCATTAATAAAACTGTGATATAGCTAGATACAAAATAGAAAGAAGGTATTATGGTTAATTATATTAATTTTAAATTGAGCCTATATAGGAAACTATAGAATGCAAAGACCCTGACATTCAACAGATTTTCCCACCAAATCAGAAAACATAGAAACACCAAGCCACATTAATAGCAATTAGGAAAGGCTGTGTTTATCAACTATACAATCATAAAATTATTCAAACATATCCTAGGCACCAGCATTTATATAATAATTTGAAAATATTTATAGAAAAAGTTTTTATTTTATTGATTGCACTTTAAAACAGAATATAAATTAGTGGTAGAAAATAGGTTTAGTCTTTTGCAAAACCAAAAGAAAATTTATACAGCATATTTTAGTTTATTGTACCTTTTAAAATTCATAATAGCTATAATATCAGGAAAAAGTTTCAATATTTAGGCCTCGACTTTCTAAGATTTCACTGGGAAATTAAGCTTTGTAATAATCTCTTAAGATTTTAAGGGAAAAATTTTAAAAAAACAGATTAGAAAATAAAAATTATTAAAATATTTAGCTCTCATTTTTGTTCTTTGAACGTAACAGCAAATATATCCACATTCCAATTGAAAATCTCTAAGAAAAGAGATAAAGTTAACTTGGATCCATAAATTTCCTCTGCAATAAAGTACATTTTTGAGACATTTGAATATTTCTTTAGTTTCTTGGCCATGTTTATTACTTTGAGTAAATATTAGGTTGTCACATCGAGCTGCATCCAACTTCAGTTTTGTTCTGACACTTCCGTTGCTAAGCTTAGCTAATAAGTCATGTCCTGTAGTATGTAGTCAACACATAGTCCAATGTTAATAAAAAGTGGAGGGAAAGGCCATCCACTCATGCCATTTTAATTACATCAGCTTTTTATTCAGTAACTGATTGTTAATATCTACCAACCCCCTAATTTTGAAAATATTCTCAAATGATGATTCTTACATATATAATCAACTCTCAGAAAGGTTTATGAAAATATTTTCTCATGTTATTGAATATTTTGATTTACTTCATATTCTTTGTAATAACTTGTCAAGGCTGTCAGTATTATTTGTAAGAAAAAAACAAAACCATGCAGTATCCTATATTATGTTCTAATAAAATATGACCATTAAAATTTTAAGTATAAATGATGGGTAATGCAATTTTCCATGCATGCTAAGTAATTATTGTTATTAATCTGTTATATAAATACCCTTCATGCAATATTAACTGATTTTCAGCACAGCAAAAGTATAATATTTATGTACGTCAAGATTGCCTTGCTATTATGCTGCAATAGCCTAACACCTTAAAATTTTAATGGCTAAGACAATTAAAAGTTCACTTCTTACCATATAAATTCCATCTTGTCTCAGCCCAGTGCTTTGCTCCACGTCATTCTGACTGTTAGCCTCATCCTTATAAGTCTTCGCTCTCTCGAATATATATATATATATATTTTTTTTACCATCTCAAAGAGAAAGAAACAATAAAAGGCCTCACACTCATAATTTAATGCTCCAGCCCAGAATGAGGCATATCACTTCTACCAAAAACAGAATGTCTAGTAACTATATGGCCCTGCCCAATTGCAAGGGAGAATATGCTGATGTCTGTAAGACCACTTCTAGTAGTCCCTAAGAGGACTCATAGAACTCGGCATATCACTCTACTCATGACTAAGATTTTTTATAGTAAAAAGATACAAAGCAAAATTAAGAAAATAAAAAATATACATGGGGTGAAATCAATAAGAAGCCAGGTATAAGTTTCTAAGATTTTTTTGTTTGTTTGTTTTGTTTTGTTTTTGTTTTTGTTTTCCCCAGTGGAGTCACATAGACATGCTTAATTCCATTAGCAATTAGCTGTGTTGGAATACATGTCAAGCATTGTCTGCCAGCGAAACTTATTAGAGATTCAGTGCCCAAGAGATTTTACTGGGTGTTGACCATGTGGGTACCCTCTGCCTAGAAAATACCAAATTTCAGATTCACAGAAGAATAGCAGGTGTTCAGTCTAAATTATAAGCAGCCTAGACACAGCAAACTGCGATTATTGGTCAACTATTGACTAGGAAAACTCAGAGAGCCAAGTTCCAAGATGCCAGCCAAGGTCCAACCTTGCAAGCAGGTCGTTCTAAAGTTAATAATCACAGGACTGCTATGTTAACTCTTTTTTTTTTTTTTTTTTTTTAGATGGAGTCTGGCTCTGTCACCCAGGCTGGAGTGCAGTGGCGCAATCTCGGCTCACTGCAAGCTCCGCCTCCTGGGTTCCCACCATTCTCCTGCCTCAGCCTCCCAAGTAGCTGGGACTACAGGCGCGTGCCACCACGCCCGGCTAATTTTTTGTATTTTTAGTAGAGACGGGGTTTCACCGTGTTAGCCAGGATGGTCTCGATCTCCTGACCTTGTGATCTACCCGCCTCAGCCTCCCGAAGTCCTGGGTTTACAGGCGTGAGCCACCATGCCCAGCCTCCTTTATGAACAGGTAGTGAGAGTTTAATGTCCACTGTACCCAAAATAATGAGAGAGCAGAATTCAGATAAGCATTAAAAGTATCTTCTTCACCATTACTAATTGTAAATCTAAGGAAAGTTCAATTATATCTATATGAATTTATAGTGCTGAGATTTCTCTGATAGTGTTTTAGCAATATGTAGTAGATTTTAAAAAAACCTAAATCTTTGGCAGAAAAATTTTTATAGCCAAATATTTAGCTATATTTACCAAAAGTATAAGTCAAAAAGGAAATTAATGTTAATATTTTATGCTGAACTAGTAAATAAGTGGGAAGAAGGTAGAAAAAATTACAATTGTTAAAAATATCTATATCAATATTTGTACATAAAGATACATATACATATAATTACAAACATATATATGCTTGCATATACATAAAATATTTAAGGAAGGACACATAAGTGAACAAAATCTCATCTCATCCTGTGAAGAGAAGAAAGGCCTGAGGTAGGTAAAGAAAGAGAATTACTTGTTAATATATAAACTTGTTAAATTTTTATATATTACATGTTAATATATAAAGGAAAATACTTGTTAATATATAAATTTCATTCAAAATTAAATTTTTTGTCTTCCTATGTTACTTTAAAAAATAGTGTTTAGGAAGTTCATTTGGAAGGATAAATATGTGAATATATCTTATAGATTAAAAAATATATAGAAAGCTATTTAATACCAGCTGATATTGCCTTAAGAATAGATTGATTTAAAAAACTAGCAAACCAATGAACAAACCATGTTGAACACATATGAGATCATATATTTAAATTGTGGTGTTCCATGAAGATATACCACAAGTTTACATGTTCTTAAATGTCAGAAGCCTATTTTCCCATCAATTTACCATTCTTTATATCCTGGGCCTAAAAATAGTACTGCATTGCCCCCAAATTTCCAACTCTTCCAAAGAGTCATCAATTATATATATGCATTACCCCTTTAAGGATTCATTGGGTTATACCCTAAATCAATATTAGAGAATGGCATGCACTTTTCTTCTCATTGTATTTTTTTCTCAAGTTTCCTTTTTTCCTAAGAAGAACCTTCTGCATGCATGTTGCCCTGCAGATAGACTATTAAAGACTTGTCTCCCCAATCACTTCATCAAATGTATGTGTACGTGTGTAAATATCATAGGTGAAAATTATGGAACTAAAGTTTGTAATCTGTATTAAAAGAAAGATATCATGGTTCCACATATCAGATCAGCAGAGGTTTTTAAAAAATTAATGCAAGCTACAGTAAGAGATATACCCTAATACATAAATGGTGGATATAATATTAGTAAATATTTCTAGAGAATAGTTTGAGAAATCACTTCCAATGGCATAATTAATAAGACATTGATTTTCAAATACAAGAACCCATTTTTTAAACTATCTAACTAAAACTAGAAGAATGGGTAAGTAAATCAAGGTATAACAATACATATGATGTATCTTTTGTGGCAATTAAAATAGTATTTCAGACTCAAATACTTCAGTAAAATGATCAAATAAGATGTTAATATTTAAAAAATTGTTATACAGTCAGATCCCATTGCATTGCAAAAGGTAAGTATATGGATATTTGTGTGGTAACAAATATTGGAAAGAGACAGTTATCATGTGGGTAGTAATTTCCTCAAGGCATTGGGATTATGAGTGCATTGTTTTTCATATGCACCACTCTATATTTTAAAAACTATTTATAATGATGATATATTACTTTCAAAATTTAAAAAGAGAAAATAGATTATATTTTAAGAGATATAGAAAATCTAAATAAATTAAAAATAGAAGGATAATTATTATACCAGAAAATAGTAGCTTTTAAAACTGACAGGAATAAAGTACAATTATTCATCACTTAACAATGAGAATACCTTCTGAAAATCTCATAGCCAATTCTGTTGTTGTGCAAATATTAATATAAGAATGTACATGAATATACCTAGATAGTATACCCAACTACACACATAGACTATGTGGTGTAGCCTATTGCTCTCCAAGGCTTCAAATCTGTACAACATGTTATTGCATTGAATACTATAGGCAATTGTACCACAGTGGTAAATATTTGTGTATCTAAATCTATGTAAACATAGAAAAGATAATGGATTGTGTTGCACTACAATGACTAAGTCAATCAATAGCTATGAAGTCACTGGCAATATTAAATTTTTAGCTTCACTATAATCCTGTGGGACCACTGTCTTATATGCAGTCCATTGTTGACTGAAAGGGCATTGCGCAGTACATGACTGCATAGTAATAAATTCCATGAGGATAATGACATTTAGGGAAAATATTTAAGAAAATGTTTGTTCCATTGATAGTTACAAGTATCTATTCATCACAGTGTCTGTAAGTGCATCTTTTATATAACATCCTTCCTCTACTTATCTACTGTTTATTCATTTAGTCTTATCTAGTGACCATCAAAATATAAAGAATAACATTATTTTACATTTACAATATAACACTAGAAGGCTTTAAAACAATTAAGGAGCTAAAAAATTCAAACAATACTTTTGCAGGAACTATATATGTTTGAGCACTTTGCCTGCCAACTTCTAATCCCATGCAAATTAAGGTTGTTGAATTTCACTAGCACATCTTCCTCCTTACAAAAACTGGAAATATTTAGAAACTCATTACTGAGCTAATCATTTATTGGATCCTACTTTATAATCATTGTAAGAGGATGGGATGCAAACATGAAACTTTTCCCTCATCTATTAGTTAATTATTGAGACCTTTTATTTGCCTTTAGGGTCAAATTCTTCCTTATAAAGGTTAAAGTCATCCCTAAATTTCAGCATTTATTAGTCAGTGATGGATAAAAAGTGACTACATTAAAGTAAATTAAATCCACCATGACTAATTTACCTTATTCTCAAATATCTTAATATACTTGGAAGCCCCCATCTTTTTTCTCCTCCTCCAACTATCAGGATGTATTAATTTAAAATATAATATATGTTTTAAAACATGTATTAATGTGAAGTAGAGAGACATGAAAAGGAAAGAGAATCACTGTCCTTTCTCAATGTTTATGAGAGGGCAAGTGTCAGCTATAGCAATAAATTTAGAAAGGAACAAAAATAGGTTTTATTGCAGAAGATAGCAGGGATACTCAATTTGATGGAAAGCTTCATAACACAGTGTTTAGGCTCTTTCATTAAAAAGAGAAAATGATGATACTGAACCCTGAACTGGGATCTGGCATCTTCATCATTGATTTACAGTAGCATCTGTGGAGGGAAAGGTCACCATGCTGAATAAGCTACTAATGTGGCTCAGAGAGAAGGTCATTTGTGCATATTGTAACTCTCATCATTTTAGGAGCAAAGAGAATTTGCAAACAAGACTTTGACTTTTGCAGATAAGTATTGTATTGCTAAAGAGTTCAAAGTGTTTGTTCTTGATACCTGGTAAATAAAGTGCCTTTTGCTCTGAAGTTTTCAAACAAGATTGCTATACCAGTGTTCAATCGATATTCAGGCAAAAATACTCATCTGGGGGCTGAGGCTAGATAACAGAATTTTAAAAGACTCCCTTCTTTAGACTTTTAGTAACAAAGACAAATGAAAGTAGAATGTGAGGACAAGGAAAAGCTTAAATGTTTGCTTCTAAACTTTTTCTCTTTGGCACAGAGAAACATAAACATTTTTCCGTTCATTTTTTTCATACAAGTACCTTTATTATATTTGTGATAGACTTCTGACTTCTTGGGAGAATCTCAATCTATAGTTCTTTGACCCCCCCACTGCCCCACAACACACACACACACACACACACATGCACACAGACATCACATCAAATTAAAGTTAAAACTAAATTTTCTTCCCAAAATATAAGCAGCCACTTTCAGTAGCTTTTCTGTCTACAGATTTCAGCATAGAAATTAAAAGGTGTGGAAATCAAAGATAATAAAGAAAAAAAGAAAAATCTTTCCTGTGTTTGTCCTGATATGCCCTTCAAACTCATGGGATTATTAGTAAGACTTCGTAACTTTTTTCTATTATTTTAACAGAAAGTTCTATTTATTTTTTCTCTTTTTTGTCTGACACAAATTTGATGGCTTCTTGTTGGCTATGGCCACCAATATCCCCCTACTATTAACTAGGTCTTGTTTCTCTAATATAACAAAACATCTTTTTAGGTTATGTGGTAGGTGGTGACATCTCAACACAACATTGTTTATTCATTTTATCATTAAGCACACTTGCAAATGTATTTGAAAGAAAAATTCCTGGAAGTCAAAGAGCTGATTGAACAGGTGTAGACATTTAAAATTTTGATAGATGTGGCTAAATGGCATTCCAAATTGTACTAATTACATTTACACTAACAAAAGACAGGATGTTTTTAATCTCCATTTAACAACTACATGTTACTTTGTAATATTCCATGTATTATTTTAATCTTTTAGATATTTTAACCAGTAATTGTTTTACTAGTTTGTTCAAATAGCATATAACATTCTATTTATTCTGCTCCTTCCTATACGGCTTATTAAAAGTTTTGTTTGTTTTCTTATGTGTTTATATTTTACTTTTTATATTTACTTATTTTACTTTTAATCATTGACTATACAAAATTTATTTTTATAGAAATTGTTCTCATCACCATTGACTAAATAATATGTTTTCTTCAAAATGTATTATGCCATGTTTATTATATACTAAATTTTCATGTGTATTGAGTTCATTTCTAAAATATGTATTCTGGTTTTAAGACATGTGTACTCATTCATCAGTCTCACACTTAAAGATTATGTTAATTCTAACAGAAGAGACCAAGCTGAGGAAAGAATATTAGAGTTCAAAGGCTGGTTCTTTGAATCAACTCAGTCAGATAAAAAATAATTATGAAATGAACAAAACTTCTGAAACTATAGGATTATGTAAAGACACCGCACTTACATTTAATTGGTATTCCTGAGAGGAGACAAAATAAACAACTTGGAAATTATATATCATGATATACTCCATAAAATTTTCCTAATCTCTCTAGAGGTTGACAAGCAAATTTAAGAAATACAGAGAACCCTGTCTAGATACGCTACAAGATGATAATCACCAAGGCGCAGAGTCATCAGATTCACCAAGGCCAATGTAAAAGAAAAAAAATTTATTAAATTCAGCTAGAGAGAACCATCAGACCACATTCAAAGGGACCCTGCTCAGGCTGGCAGTGAACCTCTCAGCAGAAATATTACAAGCTGGGAGAGATTGGAGGCCTATTTTCAGCATAATTAAAAGAAATTCCAATCAACAATTTCACTTCCTTTCAAACTAAGTGTATTAGCCCATTCTCACACTGCTAATAAGGGCATATCTGAGACTGAGTAATTTATAAAGAAAAGAGGTTTAATTGACCTATAGTTCAGCATGGCTGGGAAGGCCTCAGGAAACTTACAATCATGGCAGCAGGGGAAGCAAACACATCATTCTTGACATGGTGGCAGGAAGAGAAGTGCCCGGCAAAGAGATAAAAGCCCCTTATAACCCTTATAAAACCATCAGATCTCATAGGAACACAGTATCATGAGAACAGCAGTGTGGGGGTAACCACCTCCATGATTCAGTAACCTCCCACTGGGTCCCTTACACAACACATGGGGATTGTGGGAACTACAATTTGAGATGAGATTTGGGTGGGGACAAACCATATCACTAAGCTTCATAAGTGAAGGAGAAATAAAATCCTGTTCAGAGAAGCAAATGCTGATGGTATTTGTTACAACTAGACAAGCTTTACAAGAGGTTCTTAAGGGAGTAGTAAACATGGAAAAGAATGAATGACACCTGCTACCAGAGAAATGAAATAAAGCAGATACCCCACCAACCCTATAAAGAAACTGCATGATCAAGTATACAAAACAACCAGCTAACAACACAATGACAGCATCAAATTTTCATATATCAATACTAACACTGAATATAAATATTCTAAACACATCATTAAAAGGCACAGAGTGGCAAGTTGGAAAAAAAAAATCAAACTGTCTACTGTCTTCAAGAAACCCATCTCATATGTAATGACACCCACAGGCTCAGAGTAAAGGGATGGAGAAAGGTCTAACACATAAGCAGAAAAATAAAAGGAATCAGTAACTGTTTTTCTTATATCAGATAAAAGACTTTAAACCAACGAAAATCAAGAACTACAAAGATGGGCACTACATTATAATAAAGGGTTCAATTCAACAAGAAAATTTAGCTATCCTGAATATATACACACCCATCATTGGAGCACCCATATTTATAAACAAGTCCTTGTTGACCTTCAAAACACACTTAGCCACACAATAATAGCGGGAGTTTTGTTTTTGTTTTTGTTTTTTTTCTTTTTAGATTGAATCTTGCTCTTTTGCCCAGGCTGGAGTGCAATGGCATGATCTCGGCTCACTGCAACGTCCATCTCCTGGGTTCAAATGATTCTCCTGTCTCAGCCTCCTGTGTAGCTGGGATTACAGGCACCCAATAGCAGGAGATTTTAACCCCCCCACTGAAAGCATTAGATAGACCACTGACGTAGAAAACTAACAAAGAAATTTTGCACATAAACTTGACACTTGACAAATTGGGTTTAATAGACATCTACAGCATATTCAATCTACAGACATCTACAGAATATACAATCTTCTCATCTGCACGTGGAACATAATCTAAGATGCATTATAGGCTCAATAATAAGGTAAGTCTCAATAAATTCAAAAAAAAGTAGAAATACTACCCACCACACTCTTGGACAACAGTGCATTAAAAATAGAAATCAACATCAAGAAGATCTCTCAAAACTACACAGATATATGAAACTACAGAGCTTGCTCCTGAATAATTCCTGGGTAAACAACAAAATTAAGGCAGACATCAAAAAATTATTTGAGCTGGGCATGGTGGCTCATGCCTTTAATCCCAGCACTTTAGGAGCATGCAACAGACTGATCACTTGAGTTCAGGAGATTGAGAGCAGCCTGGCCAATATGACAAAACCTCATATCTAGTAAAAATACAAAAATTAGCTGGGCATAGTAACCTGTGCCTATAGTCCCAACTACTCAGGAAACTGAGGCACGAGAATCACTTGAGCTTAGGAGGTGGAGGTTGCAGTAAGCGAGATCACAACAGTGCATTGCAGTCTGGATGACAGAGTGAGACTGTCTCAAAAAAAAAAAAAAAGAAATTAATGAAAATAGAGACATAACCTACCAAAACTTTTGAGATGCAGCAAAAGTAGTTTATAGTGCTAAACTCCTTCATAAAGAAGTTAGAATGATTTCAATTAGCAATATAATGTTGCACTTAGAGAAAATGAAAAAAGAGAAGAGCAAAATAGTTGTAAAGCTAGCAGAAATAAAAGAAATAACTAATATTAGAAAAAAATGAATGAAATTAAGGTGTAAAATATCTATACAAAAGATCAATCAACCAATAATTAGTTATTTCAGATAATAAGGTTAATAAACCACTAGTTAGATTAAAAACAAAAAAGAGAAGATCCAAAAAATACAATCAGAAATGACAAAGGTGACATTACAACTAAGCCCACAAAAATAGACAAGTTCCTCAGAGACTATTATGAACAACTTTATGCACACAAATTAGAAAAACTGGAGGAAATGGATAATTTCGGGAAATACACAGCTCCCAAGAATGAACCAGGAAGAAAATGAAAACTGGAACAAACAAACAACAGGGTCTGAAATTGAATCAGTAATAAAAAGCCTACCAACCAAAAAAATGTCCTGGATCAGATGGATTCACAGTAGAATTCTACTAGACATACAAAAAAGAATTGATACCAATTTTACTGAAACTATTCCAAAAACTTGAGGGGGAGGAAATCCTCCCAAACTCATTCTACAAAGCCACCATCAGCATAATACCAAAATCTGGCAGAGACACATCAACAAAACAGGCACTGGAGGTCAATATCCTTGATGAGCAAGACAGAATAATCCTCAAGAAAATGCTAGCAAACTGAAACCAGCAGCACATCAAAAAATTAATACACCACGATCTCATAGGCTTTATTCTTTGGAGGCAAACTTTGTTCAACATATGCAAATCAATCAATGTGATTCACCACATAAACAGAATTAAAAGCAAAGTACAAAATTATATCAATAAACACAGAAAAAGCTTTGGGTAAGATCCAACATCCCTTTATGATAAAAACCCTCAACAGAGAAGGCGTTGAAGCAACGTACTGAAAATAATAAAATCCATGTAAGAGAAATATACACCCAATATCACACTGATACCGCAAAAACAGCAAACATGCTGCTTAAGAACTGGAACAAGACAAGAATGCCCATTCACCACTCCTATTTAACATAGTACTGAAAGTCCTAGCTGGAGCAATAATGCAAGAGAAAAAAATATAAAGCATCCAAATAGGAGATGTCAAATTATGTCTCTTCACTGATGATATCATTCTATACCTAGAAAACCCTAAAGATTCTACCAAATGGCTCCTAGAACTGATAAATGACTTTAGTAAATTTTCAGGATTCAAAATCAATGTAAAAAAAATCAAAAGCATCAATGATGTCCAAGCTAAGAGTCAAATTAAGAGCACACTATCATTTACATTAGTCACAAAAAAAGAGGAATATCTAGGAATACAGCTAAGGAAGTGAAAGATCTCTGCCATGAAACCATAAAACACTGCTGAAATAAAGTGGAAGTGATACAAATAAATGGAAAAACATTCCAAGCCCATAGATTGGATCAACCAATATCATTAAAATGGCTATACTGCACAAAGTAATTTGCTGATCCAATGTTTTCCTATCATTCTATCATGATAACCATAAAACACTGCTGAAATAAAGTAGAAGTGTTACAAATAAATGGAAAAACATTCCAAGTTCATAAATTAGATCAACCAATATCATTAAAATGGCTATGCTGCAGAAAGTAATTTGCTGATTCAATGTTTTCCTATCCAACTACCAATATTATTTTTTCACAGAACTAGAAAAACTATTTTTAAATTCATATAGAATCAAAAAAGATCCTGAGTAGCCAAAGCAATCCTAAGCAAAGGAAGCAAAACCAAAAGAGCCATGTTTACCTGACTTCAAACTATATTGCAGGTCTGCAGTAAACAAAACAGCATGGTAGCATGGAACAGGTACAAAAACAGAAACATAGACCAGTGGTACAGAAGAGATAACCCAGAAATAAAGCCACACACGTATACCCATCTGATCTTTGACAAAGCTGACAAAAACAAGCAGTGGAGAAAGGACGATTTATTCAATAATTGCTGCTAGGAAAACTGGAATATGCAAAAGAATGAAACTAGACTCCAATGTTTCATCATATACAAAAATTAGCTCAAGATGCATTAAAGATTTAATGTAAAACCTTACAGTATAAACATCCTGAAAGAAAATTTACAAAAGGACACTTCTTGATATTGGCTTTGGCAGTGAATTTTTGTCCAGGACTCCAAAAGCAATTGCAGCAGAAAGAAAAATTGATAAGTAGGACTTCATTAAACTAGAAACTATCAACAGAATAAACAGACAATCTACCCAATGGGAGAAAATACTTGTAAACTATGTATCCAAAAAAGTTATAATATCCAGCATCTATGAGAAACTTGAACATTTGAAAAGAAAACTTTACCCCATTAAAAAGTGGGCAAAGGGCATGAACAGACACTTCTCAAAAGAAGACATACAATCAGCTAACAAAGATATAAAAATATTCTCATTATCACTAATTATAAGAGAAATGCAAATCAAAACCAAATGAGATTCCATCTCATGCCAGTCAGAGTGTTTGTTATAAAAAAAATTAAATAATAACAGATGCTGGTGATGCTGCAGAGAAAAGGGAATGCTTATACATTGTTGGGTTGGTGGAAATGTAAATCATTTCACCCACTGTGAAAACTAGTTTGGAGATTTCTCAAAGAACTTAAAACAGAGCTGCAGTTCAACCCAGCAAATCATATTACTGGGTATGTACCCAAAGGAAATAAATTGTTATACCAAAAAGACACATGCACTTGTATGTTCATTTTAGTGATATTCACAATAGCAAAGACATGGAATCAACCTAGGTGCTCATCAATGCTGGGTTGAATAAAGAAAATGCAGTACATACATAACATGGAATACTATGAAGCTATAAAAAATGTTGAAATTATGTCCTTTGCAGCAACATAGATGCAGCTGGAGGCCATAATCCTAAGTGAATTAATACAGAAACAGAAAACCCAATACTACATGTTCTCACTTATAAGTGGGAACTCAACATTGAGTACACATGAACATTAAGATGATGATAATAGACAATGTGGACTACTAGAGTGGCAAGGGAGGTGGAAAAGCTGTCAGTCTATATATATACACACATATATATACATATGTGTATGTATATATGTATATGTATGTATACATATATACACATGTATACATATATACACACATGTATATACACATGTATACATATATACACATATATGTATATATACACATGTATACATATACATGTGTGTATGTATACACATATATACATGTATACCTGTGTATACATACATATATACACAGGTATACATGTATTATATATATTCCCTGTATTTAAAATGAAAGCTTAAAAGAAAAATGTTGTGTTAGCTTCTTACAAACTTTTTAAAAATTGTGTATTGGTATTCATTGCTACCTAATTAACCTTAATTTTGAGAATTTTATCAACTATTTTACATGTTCATATTCATATTAAAATTATCTGCCTTTATTAAAAATATCTATATATCATTTGGGAAACCTATATGTATAGATAAATATATTAGAATGCTTTATGCTTTAACTGTAATTGATTCAATGTGTAAGATAAAATATTATAAGTAAAAGAGGGTATTTGTTACCCCATATTACAAGATATCCAAAGACATGATGCTATTGGGGCATACTAAATTAGTAGCTCAAAGCTGAATTCTCTTCTTTCTGTGCTACCATTCTGGCTCTTTTGACTATTGACCTGAAGCTTCCCTCTAATAATGATGTGGCATATGCTGTTCTTGCATTAGTGTGCCTTTGACATTAATGATTAATTTATAGAGAAACTGAAACTTTATCTCTCAGAATTGGCCCTTACAATCTCATATGCACACCTCTCCCACGTTAGTACCTGGGCCTTGAGGAGTTGTATAGTTTTAATTTCTGGTCCTGTGTATGTCCCAAGAATGCAGTTTAGTTTGATTGACATCTTCTACCAGGCCTGAAGATGAGGCTTTAATTGCTGTCAGTGTTTAAGATTTAGCAGGACTTGGTGTCCTTCTTAAACCCAAGAGTCAGAGCCCTGTAACTCAATGTCACAATTACTTTAAGAGCACATGCAGAAAGATAAGTGGATGTAATAACCTTAATTTAATTTTTTTAAAATCACAGTATTTTTCCTAAGCAAACCAAAACTTACTGATAATGGCATAGGAATTGCTTCAATAAAATATAAAATCGTTAGGCCAGTTACTAAAAGGCAAAAGTAAAGATGCTTTGCACTGCACAGAATATTATGTTTGAATAAAATGTTTCCTTTAAACATTTAAAAAAACATTGTTAGCATCAAGCCACAACAAAGAAACTCGAGGAAGAAAAACTTATTTGACCTGAAAATGAGTTGAAGGAGAGCATTACTATTTCACACCCTTTTAATAGGAGAGGGAAAATTGAAAATGGCCAGATGCAATAAAAGTTGAATTTTTGGTTTAAAAAATTAAAATTTTATAATTTATTAATAATAAATCAATCCCTTAAAAATTTCATCATTTTAACCAAATATTTAATGTATAAGTGTTTTCATTTTTTTACATCAAGCCCAATCTCTAGAAAGACCATTATAATTTCTCTTTAATAGACAACTTGATCATATAAAAGTTTTTTTTTAATAAATCCTTTTATTGTGACTTAGACCATTTATGACATGCTTGGACTCTCTGGTTCATCCTGAACATCCGTCTTTCTTAAACAATCAGTCATTTTATTCTGGGACTAAATCTACCATACAAGATTATTTCTCATATAAAATTAGTTATCTTTAAGCTTTCTTACCAAATAAAGAAACCTCTTTATTTTTATAACTTTCTTTACATCTCTCTTATTTCCTGGTTCCTTTTACCTTGTTTTATACATAACCTTTAGATAAGCTTTAAATTAGACAAATTATTCACCTTTTTAAAAAGGACACAGGGGTTTTAATAGAAAAGACGTTTTCCTACAAATACCTTCTTATTGGAAAAAAACTAATAATGAAATATTTATTATTTAATATAACAATAGATTCTAAATTCTGATTTAGAATTTATTATTATTAACATGTATTAATCCCATTACATTTACCTAATTATTTAACTGTTTATATAGATGATTTATGAAAACTGCAAGAGTCATTGATATGGTTTGGCTGTGTCCCTATCCAAATCTCATCTTGAATTCCCACTTGTTGTGGGAGGGACCAAGTGGAAGGTAATTGAAACATGTGGATGGGTCTTTTCCATGTGGTTCTCATGATAGTGAGTAAATCTCATGAGATCTGATGGTTATTACAAGGGGGAGTTTTCCTGCACAAGCTGTCTTATTGCCTGCTGCCATCCATGTAAGATGTGACTTGCTCCTCGTTGCCTTCTGCCATGATTGTGATGCTTCCCCATCCATGTGGAACTGTAAGAACAATTAAAACTCATTCTTTTGTAAAGTGCCCAGTTTTGGGTATGTCTTTATCAGCATTATGAAAACAGATTAATACAGTTACTTGTTACCAGTGGAGTGGAAGGCTGCTGAAAAGATACCTGAAAATGTGGAAGCTACTTTGTAACTGGGTAACAGGCAAAGGTTGGAACAATTTTGAAGGCTCAGAGGAACCCCTCAAATGTGGGAGAGTCTGGAACTCCCTAGAGATTTGCTGAATGGCTTTGACCAAAATTCTGATAATGATATGGACAATGAAATCCAATCAGAAGTGGTCTCAGATGGAAATGAGGAACTTGTTGGGAACTGGAGTAAGGTGACTCTTGTCATGTTTCAATGAAGAGACTGGTGGCATTTTGTCCCTGCCCTAGAGATTTGTGGAATTTTGAACTTGAGAGAGATAATTTAGGGTGTCTGGAAGAAGAAATTTCTAAGCAGCAAAGCATTCAAGAGGTAACTTGGGCACTGTTAAAGGCATTCCGTTTTAAAAGGGAAACAGAGCATAAACGTTTGGAAAATTTACAGCCTGACAATATGACAGAAAAGAAAATCCAATTTTTCTGAGGAGAAATTCAAGCCAGCTGCCTAAATTTGCATAAGTAATGAGGAGCCAAATGTTAATCCCCAAGACAATGGGGAAAATGTCTCCAGGGCATGTCAGAGGTCTTCATTGCAGCCCCCCTCATCACAGACCCAGAGGCCTAGAAGAAAAAAGTGGTTTCCTGGGCTGGGTGCAAGGTCCCTGTGCTATGTACAGTCTAGGGACTTGGAACCTGCATTCCAGCCACCACAGCCCTGGTTGAAAGAGGCCAATGTAGATTTTGGTCTGTAGCTTGAGAGAGTGCAAGCTTCAAGCCTTGGCAGCCTCCATGTGTTGTTGAACCTACGAGTGCACAGAAGTCTAGAACTGTGGTTTGGGAGCCTCTGCCAAGATTTCAGATGTATGGAAATGACTGGATGCCCAGACAGAAGTTTGCTCCAGTGTTGGGGCACTAATGGAAAACCTCTGCTAGGGCATGCAGAAGAGAAGTGTGGGGTGAAAGCCCCCATACAGAGTCCCTACTGGGGTATTGCCTAGTGGAGATATGAGAAGAGGGCCACTGGTCTCCAGACCCCAGAATGATAGATCCACCAACAGCTTGCACCCTGTTCCTGGAAAAGCCACAGACACAAAAACCAGCCTGTGAAAGCAGCTGAGAAAGAGGCTGTACCCTGCAAAGCCACAGGGGCAGAGCTGCCCAAGACCATGGGAACCCACCTTTTGCATCAGAATGACCTGCATGTCAGACAAGGAGTCCAAGGAGATTATTTTGAAGCTTTAAGATTTGACTGACCTGCTGGAATTCAGACTTGCATGGGGCCTGTAGCTCCTTTGTTTTGTCCAATTTCTCCCATTTGGAATGGCTGTATTTACCCAATGCCTGTACCCCCATTGTATCTAGGAAGTAACTAATTTTTGCTTTTGATTTTACAGGCTCATAGGCAGAAGGGACTAGCCTTGTCTCAGATGAGATTGGGACTGTGGAATTTTGAGTTAATGCTGAAATAAGTTAAGACTTTGGGTGACTGATGGGAAGGCGTGATTGGTTTTGAAATGTGAGGACATGAGATTTGGGAGGGGCTAGGGGTGGAATGATATGGTTTGGCTGTGTCCTCATCCATACCTCATCTTAAATTCTCATGTGTTGTGGGAGCAACCCAGTGGAAGGTAATTGAATCATGGGGGTGGACCTTTCTGTGCTGTTCTTGTGATAGTAAGTCTCATGAGATCTGATGGTTATTATAAGGGGGGGTGGTTCTGCACAGGCTCTCTCTTTGCCTGATGCCATCCATGTAAGACGTGACTTGCTCCTCCTTGCCTTCCACCATGATTGTGAGGCTTCCCCAGCCACATGGAACTGTAAGTCCAATTAAACCTCCTTCTTTTGTAAATTGCCCAGTCTTGGGTATGTCTTTATCAGCAGCATGAAAACAGACTAATACAGTTGTAGTTTAAAGTTATAGAACCATCGTGGCAAAATTATAACAGACAGTGAAAAAGATCTGACCTAAATGATTTCATCTCTCTTCTAACCTCCAAGCCGTCCTTGTTCATTCCTGGGCATATTCTGAGCTAATTGGGAGGAACTTAGTTTATAGTTTACCTTTAAATCAAAGATGATAAGAGTCCCTTTCCAAAACAAATCTTATAGCCTGTGGACTAGACTATCTAAAGCCACAAGGTTGGAAGTTATGGTAACCTTATTAAATTCAAGATGTAGCATTTTTATTAAACCAATATCAATGTCTTATTTATTAAAGATTACATAAGCAAAGATCATTCTGTTTTGGGATGGGTTTATGGTTTTGTAACCCCTATGCCACATTTTGATACCTTATAGTATTTGGCAGGGACAAGTATGAAATTGCTTGATTAATAAATGGAAACTAAAATGAATGCTGGCAGTTTTAAGACATTTCTAATATTAGTTAACCAATAATTTTAAAGCTAGCTTATTAAAGATTTTACTTAATTTACATAAACTTGAAAGAGCATTTGATTAGTCTTTTCCTTCTTCCTGATGAAGTATTTGATTCAAGTACTTTTATTTTCTTAAGCCAATTAGTTGGAGCTCTTTTATATATTTTCAGTAGTGAAACATTCTGTACACAACACATAGATACACAGACATATTAGGTATGATGATAAAAATATATCTTATAGATTCATAAAAACCTTTTTTTCCTACCTTACACTTTCAAATTTTTGATAACCTGTTTTACTACCCTACGCAATTGTCAGCTAAATAGACTTAAATTTGCATATTAAAGGAAACAACTTAGGTGAAAATCAAATAGCAAAATTTACATCATAAGGTACAGAGAAAAAATGTCTAGTGTGCTAGAAAGGAATTAAAATGGATTTAATTGCCAATTAAACATTAAATTATAGAAATTATAAAGGCCTTTTAAATACGCGCGCACACACACACACACACACACACACACACACACACACAAAGATCCTATAGCTTTTATTTCAGAACTTTAACCATGAGATATATACAAATTCACTGGCTTGTAAAAAGAACCTGTTGGATCCAAACAGCGGATTTAAAGCAGGCAGAAAAGAACAATAGAGAAAAAGAAAACTTAGAAACGCTATAGTTTGCAGGTCGACCTTAGGGCTCTTTTTCCTTGATGTAAATGTGCATAAAGACCACATTACTTCCATTTTACATAAACTCTGGTGAGTAGAGGTGTCGTAAAATCTAACAGGTCCTTGAAAAGGTAATTCTCCTTGTTTTCTCCTTATACCAATATTACTTGTTTCCCACTTTTTTTCTTAAAAGGAGAAACTGAGCTGTTGCCTAGGGTTTTTATGTGGTGGATTGATGCGTGCTGCTTGTGAGCAAGACTCCACAGTGTGTCACCACTGTGTTGTATCATCTGTCCTCTTACGTGTCTCAGTTTATCTCTTCAAAGGTCTATGACCTCTGAGAGGGCCCAAAACGCTGGGTGATCAGCCCTTCTATGCATTTCCGGGATGAGCCTTTTTTAAAAAATAATTTTTGTTGGAAATTTCCCTGTGGGGCCACTGCTCGTTGTGGGGGATCAACCTTGCAGACACTCCCATGAGGCCCCCAGTCACTCAGGGGCACCTTTCAGCTGGGAGGAGCAAATGTCCTTTCTCTCTGGAGCTGAGAAAACTCAGTCTTTTACCTATGAAAACAACAGTTCATTCAGTTCCTCATGCAAATGTTCACAGACAACCCAAATTGAGATTAATTTTGAGAGAAAAAGCAATACTGAATACCCCTTAGAATGCATCTCTGAATTAGAATTAGGATCCTTAAACAACTTCTTAGGAGAGGAATACTAATAATAATAATAAAACAGCCAAGACTACTTCTTGTAAACTGTGCTCAGTCACCCCTACTTTGTAGCTCTTGTCTGCCATTACACATGCCAAGGTCAAATCCTCTCACAGTACAAGGTAATCTCTGGTACCTCCACAGCCAAAAAGGTCAGGTAATGCAAAACAGGAAAACAGAGCTTTACACCTAAGAAGAATTTGCCTATGACTCTTGAAACTCCACAAGAAAACAGAACACCTCAAAAGGGGCGAATGACACCTTTGTGCCATTAAAATTATTTAATGGGGTTCAAGTCAATAGAAGCTTTCTATAGACTTGTTTCTCGTTGTCTTCTGCCATGATTGTGAGGTCCCCCAGCCACATGGAACTATAAGTCCATTAAACCTCTTTCTTTTGTAAATTGCCCAGTCTCGATTAGGTCTTTATCAGCAGTGTGAAAATGGACGAATACACCATCTTGGAATTAGTGAACAGCCCTCACCAGACAACAAATGTGCAATAGCCTTTATTTTGAAACTCTAAGCTTCCAAAACTGTGAGAGAATACATTTATGTTCTTTATGAATTTCCCACCTTTTGATATGTTGTTATAGCAGCATAAAATGGAATAAGGGAACACTGCTTTTTATATATATATATATATATATATATATACACACACACACATATATATATATATATATATATACTTTTCAAAGGAGCTGTCACCTCATTATTTCAGCAGATTCTATTATTAGTATACAAAAAATAGGACAGAAAAACAAGGGAACCAAGACAGAGGCAAATGAATGTTATCCAAGCACTCATTATGTGATGATGGTGTCAATGCCGCTAGAGGTAAAGGAAAAAAAAAATGCACCTAAAAGGCAAAAAATATTTGAACATTACTTATTCAAAAACCTCATAACTACAATAAGGTATATAGATTATTTACAAAGGGCCTTTCAATAATATACTACTAATGATGATGAAAAATTAAAGAACAGTATTATAGAATACAGTCAACTGTATTCATTATAGATTTATAATCTCCAAAAATGCATTGCCCTAAGTTTATCTTCCCCTTTGGATGCATTAATCTTGAATTATGCCAATTTTAAAACATGTAATGGGCATTCTAACTTTATTTTATTACATGTTATTTTTGGAAAACTAAAATGCTGTGTTTAAAGATACAGATGTTAAAAATGCTGTTACCTGTAAATATTAATTCCAATCAAGGTTCTTAAGTCAAACCATAGTGAATATATTTTTAAACAAAAATTCTGATAATTAGAAACTTTTAAATTGAAAACAGCTTTTATATTTTCTCAAGCATTGAACATTTCACTCCAAAAGTTAGCTGGGAAAGAGACAATATCAAATTACACAAAGATAACACTGCTTGGTTCAATACCTTCAGGTGTGAAAAATGAATGCTGACATCCCACCTCTAATTTGTGGTTATCACAAGGGTCTAGTTTTAAGAACATTGGCCATACATTGTCTTAAATTTTTGAGACCCTAGGGACTCTTCAGAACTAGTATGCAAGCAGTAGTTGGATTTGAGAATCCTTGTGCAATACTGTTTAGCGAGACATAAAGATTCTTCAGTCAAAATGTTGAAAAATGTCTGTTTCAAGTGAAAGTTAAGGTCATGTACAAAGGCTTAAAATTTTCTGCAAAAGAAATAATTTTCCTTATACAAGGATTATGATTTCTAAGAATCCTATGGTAAAAAACAGGCTTGCAAGAATAATCATAAGGGACTACAAGGAAACAGAAAGTACTAAGAACAGAGACTATACTTTAAGACAATGTTAAGGGTTGGTTTATTTTTGTAAGCTTTCTTTGTTTTACTAGTGCCTTCTTTATAAAGAATATTACATTTACATATTAGAATTCTATCTTTTCGCAATTTCAACACTATAGTTTTATGTAGTATGCCAAAATTAACTACAATAGGATATACATACACATATATACACATACTTGCATACAAAAATAGAAAGTTGCATAGCATATATATGTGGTACATATGCATAGAGATACCTAATATATACATAAAGTATATATTCATGTGTGTTCATGTGTGTACATATACATATATATTATACACAATGCTCTTATTGAAGCATATGTATTCAATAATTCTCAACAATTCCTTTACAAACTTTCATAAAGTCCTGACTTAAAAGGCTCTCAATGTTTATTTTTATATAGAATTAGCAGAAAGTAGTTTCCTTTACAGGATTCTACTTTAACCAACTTTGTTCTGCCTAGGTGGGTTAGATATTAACATGCATAGTCACTCATCTGCATGGATGCAATAATTTATCTCACTGGGGCATAAACCATCTTTAGTATCTACATTTTTTCAAGTTATCTGCAACCTTTCTAACAGTAACCTTAAAGTTTTTTTAGAATCTTATGATAGATTTTAATTATAACCTAGATTGATTGTGGCATAAACAATGGTCTGAGAAAGGTGAATGTATGGAATAAAAATGGACTCTAAAATAAATGGGAAAAATCTGACCTAGTGGGGGTAGATGATCATCTGCAAGAATACCACACATTCATTTTCTGGTGGAAGTCTGAATTAATAAGCCTGTATTACAAATACTGTAAAATACATACTAATATAAATCTCTTGTAATTAGACCAAGGATGGGGGAGTGCAGATTCAGAATTATCACCCCTCAGACACTATGCAACCTTAGGCAAGCCCCTTGGAAACCTTGAGATTGAAGTCCACATAACAAACAAAATAGTTAAAACAGTTGATCTCTGTATAACTGGATATTTTAGTTAACCTTTTCTAAAAATGTTTAATTACATTGGTTATGAAGCCTAATATTTGTTTTTTAGCATTTAAATTTTATTAATATACTTTCTTTCTAAACTTAGTAGTTATCTGGCTTACTATTTTGACAAATTGTTGATCTTCATGTCCTTTTAAACATGCTTGTAATTTTCTCATCCTGTATCATAAAATTCCTTAGTCTTAGAAATTTTATCTAATTTCATGGCTATTTTCAAAGACTTAAAGTATACATTAAGAAAGATTAAAGTTCTGAAACTTTTAAAGATTCCACAATTTGTGACATATGTATTTATCACCATCATCATCATACCAAACGTATGTGTGAAAAGTTATAGTTTGTGTATAGATATGTACATATACATATACATACATATATAGTATGCAGAAATTCTTCTTATGTATTAAGCATGCATTAACTTTTTTAGTCCTCATAACAAACCATTGTGGTAGATAATATTGATATTCATTTTTTAGAGATGAGAACACCAAAGTCCCAAAGGTTGAAATATTTTTTCAAGATGATGCAGCTGTCAAATGGCAGCTATTCATTTTGAGTCTTTATTAATTTGTGGAAACATCATTCTAAGAAGGAAAAGCATCATTATTATCACGAAATTGAAAGCAATGCCATTGACCCACTGTGTCACTACTGGTAAATCACAAGTCTGTCTAGATTTCAGTTTTCTAAGCTATAAAATGCAAAAAAAAACCGAAAAAGCATTAAATCATTGTAAATAATCCCTTAGCTCTTAGGTCAATGATTTTAGATTTTGTTTATTATTTTAAATCCTGGTTAGTAAAACCTACTTACAAAAACTTGTACTAGTTATCTTTTCTCCTTATCTAAGCCTTTAAGGGGTAGTCAAATTAATAAATATGCATTTAGTGCTCTCAATTTACCATAGATTTATATGCTCACATATCAGTTCATTTAATTTTTAACCTTCACTTACTTATTAAATATTCACTCTGATTCAATGTCTTTGCTCTTCACTGCGGTGTATGGAGATGGCACTATCTACTAGGAAATCACAATATATGGAGGCGGCAACAGTAATGAAATAATCACAGCAGTAATTTCACAATTGTAAGTTGATAAATGCTATGAGAACAAAGTTTAGAGTGTTAGGAGAACACTTTAAAGCTGGGGGAATAATTATGGCTATGTATGTGCAGGAATATGTGTATAAGCTGTGCAGTGCTGGTTCTAAGGAAAATCACTATAATACTTAGATATACTATACAATAATATACATTTTATGTATAGAGGCAACGTCTCTCTCATTTAACCACTCCATTTTGATACCAAAGGATTAATATTCAAATGTTTAAAACCATCAGCAGTCAGGATGGGCTGGACTATGCTATGGTAGCAAACAACTCAATATCTTATTGATACATGAGACTAAATATTTATTATTCCTTTACATTAAATGTCCATCAAGGAGCAGGTTGGAATCTGCTTATTGTCACTCAAGAATGCAGGCTCATAAAGGCTCATTCTCAATGTGAGTATTCGTGGTCACCATGACAGATGGAATAAAATGTGTCAAATAATACATCAGATCTTAAAGCATTTACCTAATATAGCAGACACTACTTCCACCCATATTGCATTGATCGAATAAAGTCACTTCTTCAGAACTACCATTAAATTAGGAGAGAAAGTACAATCCTACCATGTAACCCGAAGGAGAATCTGAGTGCTTAATACCTGAGAAGTACCATAAAACACAGCTGATAGGGGAGTTTTGAATAGTGATAAAATAAACCTGAATGAGGGTGTGAATATCTCACTAGTGACATTAGCATGGGTTCTGTTATGAAAAGTGGTTGAATTTTGTTTATAAAAGAATAATACATTCCTATTTTTATTTCTTTGGATATCTAAGTTCCATTATTTAAAATGCCTTTTTATCCACCTGATGAATATTTTATTCATTCTTAAGTCCCAAATCACACATCACTTTCTTTGAGAAGTCTTCCCTGACTCCCTTAAGTTGTAATAATCACTCACTCTCTGTGCAATATCTGTATGCTTTTCCTGCTTTGCATTTATCATGCTTAACTGTCGGTGTTTATTTATGTCTCTGACTCTCTTACTGAATGACAAGTTCTCCTAGTACAGAGACCATGCCTTATTCCTAAGTCCCCAGTATGTGCCATGGTGCATAGAACATAAAACATTTCCAATTTAAGGTAAATTATATATTATATCTTGTGAGCAATGTTTTTAATAGCAAAACATAGGTAATTGTTTGATAAGAAAAATATATTAAAAGCTGGAAAAAGGTTGTGACTCAAAACAGGGAGAAACTTGTTCAGAAAATTGTTACAGATGTATTCCAAAGGATACTATTGCATCAGATGTATTAAATTTATAATCAGAACTACAATATTTTTTATTTTGGGGGAGGTTGTTTTAGAGGTAGGAGCAACTATCAAGATTAAAATGTAGATAGCTAATTTGTATTTTGTTGTATAAGATTTACTGATTGAAAGTATTCACCAGTGGTGTACTTCAAACCCTTTCAAATCCATCATGAGTAAAGCACAACCATTCTTGTCATTACTGCAACAACTCCACTACTCCTAAGAAGAGTACAATTATATGTAATTTTTCTGCATAAAGGCTTTTCTAGGCTCACCTCTTAGATGAATTTTTCATTTCTCTTAATTACTGTTACCTCAAAATTGAAAAATATGACAGTTTAGTCAACCACTGATTGTAATATGTAAATTGGAGTTTTAACTTAATCAGTGTTATATATGCAGAACTGAGAAGAATAAGGATGAACTAACTTACCATAATTGCTCGGTTTCATAAACAATCTTACTGAATAGTAAGTTAATTCAATTTGACGTTCTTGGCCTGGAGGTTAAAGTGGAGGGGAAAAGTAAATTTGCCTGCTCGGAGTTAAGATGGTACATGGATAAATGTTAGACCACAAAGAAATGTGCAATTTATTTAGTTTTTATGTCACCTCCTTTTTTCACTGTAAATAATATGTAGCATGTTTTTCACCCTATTTTAAAAGACTTCTATGTAAAATTAGAACTGGTGTTGGAAAACTTTATTTTTAAAACATTTCAAAGACGAGTAGGTCCATTTGGAGTGCAGTTATGATGATGTAATTTTGAGGTAGATGGCTCTGAAAGAAAGTTATCTTCTCTGGACTTAGTTACATGATATCCTCACTGAAATGAGTATTGCTTTAGAATATTGTTCAGGAAATAGCAATGATCAAAATGCACTCAGGGTAAAACCTTTGAGTTCAAATCTTTCACTTTAGTGTCCTGATAGAAAGAATCAAATAATTCAGTTGGCTTATTTTGAAATGAGCTAATTGCTTTATAAAAGCTCACTTTCATTTTAAGAAAAACCCTTGAATGTTAGCAACACTAAAATAACTATGCCACCCCTGTCGAAGAGTCATGAGTGAAACTGTTAGTAAAAGAGGGGAGAACCTTAGCTATTAGTTTTCATGAAAAACAAAGTATTGGCCAGAAATTAAACTACAGTTTAATGCAGATAAAATTATTTTGTTCAGCCATGTCTGCTAGAAGAATAATAATGGATATAAAATAAAATAAAACTCATCTGCTTCCAATAGGCACCCTTTTATGTCCCTGAGGAAGGCAGATGCATCTGCACCTGTCAAATGCATTAACTTTATCACAAGCTGAGCTTTGGCCCAAACTCCATTTAGTTGCCTGAAATGGTGACTGTATGTGAATCACAGAGACTAATTTGGATCTCCAATCCCTGGCAGAAAATAAAATCAAGTTGAGTGGCTTCTTTGACCCATTTCCTGTAGGTCTTCACCCCATTTTGGACCTCTAGATCTTACAATTTTAAAGACAAAGGAAGATGAAGAAAGAAGCCTCCTCACAAGGAAAAAGAACATTTTTTATCCCTAGGGTTTGGGGCAGAAGATTTAGTAGTTAAAAAAAAAGCGTTCAGAGATAAAATCTATTTATTAAAAATTACCAAATGGGTATAGATTTATTCATTTCTCTGCATGATATCAAACTTCCCTTGGATTAAGATAGGCTACCTGAGAATCAGGTTTTTGAATCACTCCTTTTCATCTAATTATTTTTTAAAAATGTTCTTTGATGTGAGTACCTTAATCTCTGTTGAGGGATATAACAATCTATTTTTATTCTTAACATGTGGTTAAAGTATTGCTCAGAATATATTCTTTATGGGGGCAAAAGCAAATAACACTTGTCTATTTATATCATTTGTGCTTTTCTAGAACATCAGATTTATATTCACCTCATGCACAGTGTGAATTTTGTCTTTGCTATAAAGTTTGGAGGCAAGTTTTTGGCCTCTACATAAAAAACTAGAATTTAAGGATATACTAACCTTATTCCCTAAATCTTTACATTTTTGTTTAAATTTTCTTGTATAATTTAATGTACTTTATGTTGCTGTAATGAATCTTTTAACATAATAGTAAATTATTTCTGAACAAAAGATGTATTTGTGTGTATAAAATATTTTATGCAATTAAGAATCATGATATTTTCAATTTCATATTCTTAAACTAATATTTTAGTTTTTGTGACTGCATAGAAATTACTTTTGACTAAATCTTAGTAACTGTATAATTTATAAATTAACCCATTTCTTTTTGATTGACAGACAAGAACTTTGTTCCTACACAAACGATTTGGAAAGAAATATAAATGTGAGAAAGAAATAAAGTTTTATAAAAGAAACCTTAAAAGGAAAATAAATTATAGAAAAAATATAAATGTAAGGTCATTTACTTAATAAAAATGGGAGACTATCTTTAGATAATATATGTCTTGTGCAGTCTATTTTCTTGTCTTGGAGAAATAGAGTGTAATTTTTCATTTCCCAAAACAATAAAATCAGACTTATTGAGGTATAAACTGGATAAAATAACAGTATTTAAAACTGTATTGCTCAATGACTTATGGCAAGTGTATGAAGTCATACAACCATCATAAAAATGAAAATACAAAACAATTCTATTGTCATAATAAAGTCCCCTCATGCCCTTTATTATCACTTCCCTCATCCCAGGCAATAGCCTATGGCCATGACTGATTTGATACTTGACCCTATAGTTAAATCTTTTTCATAATATCATATAAATAGAATAATATCGTACCTAGCTTTTTGTGTCTGGTTTTTCTAACATAATGAAATGCTTTTGAAATTTAACCATGAGTTTGCAGGTAGCAATAATTCTTTCTCTTACAGAGTAGATTATTCTATTTTACTCATCCATATATTCCCATGTATCCATTCAAACTTAAAGTTGATATTATTCCTATATTTGAAATATTATTAATAATGTTACTATGCACATTCACAGTCTTGTCAGTACATGTTTTCCTGTCTCTTAACTGATAACTAGCAATTCAAGTAGTGGGTTATATAGCAAAAAGCATGTTTATTTACATAAGGAAATGAAAAACTGGTTTTCAAAGTAGCATTCACAACAGTTTCAGTTATATTACATTATCACCAATAGTTAGTACTATACATTTTAAACTTGAACCATTGTGTTAAGAATCTGGTAGTATCTCACTATGATTCTAATTTAGGTTACCGTATTGACTATGATTAGAGCATATCTTAATGTGATCATTTGCCGTATTTTTCTGGTGAATGTCTGTTCAAATCTTTTGCCCAGGCATATTAACCATGTATCTTGCCACATTGCTAAACTCACTCACTTATTTAGTGCTAGTAGCTTTTCTTGTTGTTCGTAATTTGGTATGTTCTATGCAGATTTTCATCCTTTCTGCAAATAAAGAGAGTTTTGTTTCTTTTCAATCTGAAGAACTTTTATTTCCTTTATTGTCGTGTTGTATTGGCTAGGGCAATGTTTAATGGAAGTAGTGGGAGCAAATATCCCTCTCTTGTTCCAAGTTGTAGGGCAAAGGCACTCACTTTTTCATAATGAATTAAGATGTTTGCTACATAATTATTAATTATAATTTTTTGGTAGTGAACTGTTACTACTTTAAGTTCTCCTCTGTGTTGAGTTTGCTGAACACTTTTGTCCCTGAATCGATATTGTACTACATCAAAGGCTTTTGCTCCATGCGTTGTGATAATCATGATTTTTACTCTTTAGTCCTAATACATACAGGAAATTAAATTAACTGATTTCAAATGTCTACATACTCTTGCATTCCTAAGACAACATGTTTGGAGATAATATACTATCCTTCCTATATTACTAGATTTGATTAATTAATATCTGGTTAAGCTTTTCTTTAGTTTATATTCACAAATAATATTGGTCGGTAGATTTATTTTACATTATGTCTGTGTCCAGTTATGGTTTCAGGTATTGCTGGCTACATAAATCACATAGGAAATGTTCCCTCATTGTGCATTTCTGAAAGAGTTAATACAGAAATAGTGTTAAATATTTAACAAAATTCATGAATGAAACTAATTGGACCTGGATTTTTCAGGGCTTTTAAAGTTTTGCTTTTGTTTTCTATCTTTTTAGGGGTTAAAGAGATTCAGTTAAACTTAATGTAATAGATATACAGCTCTTCACATTATCTGTTCCTCCTTGAGTGAGTTTTGATAATTTATAACTTTAAAGGAGTGTGGATAATGTAAATATTACTGACATAATAAAGTCATTATATTTCCTTTTAATACTCTTACTGTCTCCATGATCTGTAGCAATCTTCCTTCTTTTTTCCTGACATTAACTTGTTCTTTTCTTTTCTTTTTTTTTACACTAATCTGTCTAGTATTTTACTGGTTATATTGATTTATTCAAAGAACCAATATATTATTTTATTGACTTCCTTTAATCATTTTTGTTTTCTGTGTCATTAATTTTGCCCCTTATGTTTATTATTTCCCTTGTCTCCATTGTACTTAGTTTGCTGTTTTCTTTCTAGTTTTTTTCAGGTGGATGTTTGAGTCATTAATATGAAAATTATCTTATTTTTCTTACGTAAATATTTGATTTAATAAATTTATCTCTAAGCATTAGTTTAGCTGCATCCCACGAATTTTGATGTTTTCATTTTTGTTTAGTTCAAAATACATTTAAATATGTTTTTGCAATTCCTTTTTTGATTGGTGGATTATTTAGAAGTGTTTTAACCGACAAATAGAGCCAATTATCATCATTCATGTTCATCATGTTTTCTAAAGTCACAGTGAACACTGAATTAGTGAATACAGAATCATTACTCCTAGAGGAAATATTTGGAGTGTATGGGGTGTGTGTGTGTCACATATCTCACCTAGATTATAATCTTATACACTAAAAACAATTCATCTTGCTTCTGTATTATTTTTTTAAAAGAGTCAGTCAGGTTGAATCAGGTGCGAAAGCTGGGATTCAAACCTTGTCCAAATGCCCCCAGAGACAGATCTAGCCTTTCTTCAAAGAGCCCAAACCAGAAGACAGAGTATTACCTTATTCAATCTCAGCTAGGAATGTGTGCATCCTAGCAGTGCATGCAAATTTTCAGAGCTCTATGTTAACAGATGCCCGGTCAAATGCTGGCAGTATTGATTTGAGATTTCCAAATAAATTTTAGCAAGAAGGCAAATTTGCAAATACGAAATCTGCAAATAGCGAGGATCAATTTTTGGAGAGTTTACTATTGTGTTTAATTTACTTCCAGGTATTTCAAGTTGTTTCCTTTTTTAATATGTATGTATGTATGTATTTATTTATTTTTGTAAATAAACAAGTTCTTAAGTGGTGATTTGTAAGAGTCTGGTGCACCTGTCATCTGAGCAGTGTACACTGTACTTTTATCCCTCACCCTCCTCCCACCCTTTCCCCCAAGTCCCCAAAGCCCATTGTATCATTCTTATGCCTCTGAGTCCTCATAGCTTAGCTCCCACTTGTGTGTGAGAACATACAATGTTTGGTTTTCCATTCCTGACTTACATCACTTAACAGAATAATATTCTCCAATTCCATCCAGGTTGTGGCAAATGCGATTATTTTGCTCCTTTTTATGGCTGAGTAGTATTCCATGGTGTGTGTGTGTGTGTGTGTGTGTGTGTGTGTGTGTGTATACATACATATATATATATACATATTTTTATTTATCCACTTGTTGATCGATGGGCATTTAGGCTGATTTCATATTTTTGCAATTGGGAATTGTGCTGCTATAAACATGAATGTGCAGAGAAAATACCTTGTAATATTTCCATTTCTTTAAATGAATCAACATTTTTTGTGGTCTGGTACATTATACATCTTCATAAATATTCCCCATGCATTTGAAAAGAAAGTTCAATTTTATCTTGTTTATTGGAGTATTCTATATCAATTAAGGAAGTAGTTTGATAGTGCGTATCTGTTTCTTTTATTATATGTAAAGTTTTCTGGACTGTAGGTGAGTTTTTTCATTTTCTGAGATAGTGGTGTTGAAATATCTGATTCAGTTCTACCAGCTTTTGCTTTATGTACTTAGACTGTCTTTAAGTCCATATAAAATTAGGATGGCTATATCTTCTTGCTTAATTGCTCTCTTTTCTTATTTAAGGTTCCTTTCTATCCCTGAGGTACTTACTTGCTCTAAATTCTGAAGTGTCTAATATTAATACAGCCACTCCAGTTTCCAGGTATTTTTATACTTGATCATACATACATTTTTTTCCATGTATGTCTTATATATAAACATATATGACCAATAATGTATATATAATGTGTTAAATATATATTTAAATATGTGTATATATTTAAAATGTACAATTGGTGATTTTGACATATGTATGAACTCATAAAAACATCACTAAAATCAAGACAATAAGCATCTATCACTCCCAAGAGTTTTCCCACGCTGCTATTTAATCTCCTCTTCCTCCTCTGCACATTCATATTCTCCCATTCCAAGCAACAACTTATCTGCTTTCTGTCACTGTAGATTAGTTAGTATTTTCTAGAATGTTATATAAGTGGATTCATGCACAATATTATCTTTTCTAGCTCTCTTTCACTCTGCAATTATTTTACTATTTATCTATGTGGCTGTCTATATTTAGTGCTACATATCATTCCATTATATAGATATACTGTAATTTGCTTATTTGTTAATTTGTTTCATTATTAATGTTGAAGGCCATTAGGGTTGTTTCAAATTTAGAGCTATTACTAATAAAGCTGCTATGAATATTTATATGCATGTCATTTTGTAGACATACATTTTAGGTTTCTTAGTTAAATCTCAAGGATTGGAATGCCTGGAATCTTATTCCTATCCAGGGTTGAACCTACCCCTGCTATGCCTGTTCCTGGTGATAGACAGAAGGACAGAAAGGCTGACTGACAGATAGGTGTAGATATGGAAACAGCTACAGATATTATTTCCTACTCAAGCTCATTTTCCTAGACATAAATTTTGGCTTTTGGAAACAAAATCTAGGAAGAGTCACAAGTAGTTTCTGCTTTGTATCATATCATCTAAATTCTAGAATTGAGGGAAGAAAAATGCTAATATACTATAATGCAATATGATATGATATAGATAAAAATGAATAATTAATATCTCAAAATATTGCTCCCACTAGATGAAGATACATGAATTAAAACATTCTATTGGATGTCTTATAAGTTGATCTCAATTTTTATAATTAATGAACTTTCAAGAACATTTAAGAAAGTAAATGCATCAAAGTCACAAAAGACATATTTAGTGGAGGCTTTTTATTTCTACAAAACTAAATGTATTCTAATGTTCATAATCAGGTTTTAACATTCAGGGTTTTTGAATTTGAGTTGTATGCTATACATGTGTCTTGTATTAAATGTAAGCATTGAATATAATCAAAAATAATTGTAAAAACCACGTCTTAGAACTTTATTCTTTCAGTTGACTTGAAAATTAATAGATTTAAATAAGCATATTTTAATATTGGGAGAAAGTTTGTTTTTGTGATGTTGTAAAAGACTAATCAGAACAGCAAAAGATTTTTGCATGAAAATTGTGTCAATGATTTTGACAGGTTCTTAACATGTTTCCTTAAATAAATTGTCAAGATAATTTTAAAGGCCAGATTTCTGCTCTTTAAAAGGAGTTTGGTTTCAGTTCTCATAAACCTATGCAAACTGCACATTAATTATTTTTCTTGAACCATCACAAAAACTGAGGTTACAGTGCAATTAAATAACCTGAATTAGAAAATACCTTCAAGAAATAAGACCCTCTTTTTTGCTTATTTCTGGAGTAGATAAGAAATATGGTCATTGCTCAAAACCAAGAATGGACTAGATGAGTGTGGGAAACCCTTAGGTGCTGTAGACATGAGGGCATCACAACTTTCTGCAGACTTTCCCTGTTTAAACCCAATGAGATCACAGAAAAAAGTCTGAACTGTCCAAGAAAGCTCACTCCTGGTGCTGGCTGGGAAAATGGAATGGCATTCACTCCTGAAACTACCTAGATCACACCTCCTCTATCTTCCATTCAGTATAAAATATTTAAGCAGCCAAGAGAAAGCAAAATAAAAATTGCCTCCTTAAGGCACCGTTGGAAAGCCATTGCAGATGATGGAAGGAAAGAAATTATAACAATTATAAATGATATATTTTAAAAATAGAAGGGAAGTAAACACTTCTCACCTCATCATATAAAGATGATATTGCTTTAATTTAAAAAAAGTAATTAAACGAAGGAAACTAGAGGTCAATATACCTTGTTAAAGTAGATGAAAAGCTCCTCAACAAAACATTAGCATATTATATTCAGCAATATATATAAGAGGTAATAGCTCACCACTAAGTTTGGTTCATCCTAGGAATGCACAAAGTGCTTCAAAAATAAAACAAATAAACAAACAAAAAACAATGTAAATCACCAGATTAATATACTAAAGGAAAAATACAATATGATTTTCTCAATTGACAAAGAAAGAGCATTTGACAAAATTCAACATCAATTCATGATAAATATTCTTAGCAAATAATGAATAGAAGATTATCACTGTATTACTCCACTTTTGTACTGCTATACAGATAGTACCCAACACTGGTTAATTTATTAAACCTCTTTTGTTTAATAGAAGTTTAATCAACTGACAGTTTTGCCTGCCTGGAGAGGCCTCGGAAAACTTACAATCATGGCAGAAGGTGAAGGGGAAGCAAAGCACATGTTACATGGCAGCAGGAAAGAGAGAGACAGAGTAAGCAAGGGGGAAGTGCCACACTTTTAAATGATCAGATCTCTTGAGAATTTACTGTCACAAGAACAGCATAGTGGAAACTGTCTCCATAATCTAACCACCTCTCACCAGGTCCTTCCCTTGACACAGGAGATTAGAATTTGAGATGAGATTTAGGTGCGGACACAGAGCCAAACTATATTAATGATCCTACCTTAATAAAGTGCCTTCTTGCTCTCTAAGTTCAGGAAGAGACCAAGAATGTCCACTCTCATTATTGCTGATCAACATCACAGTGGAATTTCCAGCCAATGCAATAAAAGAAAAAAAAATAAAATGCATATGAAATTTAAAGGAGAAAAATAAAAAATGAATCTATTTACCCGAGACTTGTTTTTCTGTATAGAAAATCTCAAAGACTTGACAAAGAGTCAATGTGTTTAAATATGTTAAGCAAGAATACAAAGTCAATATTCAAGTCAATAGTACAGCCATGTTGCTATGCAGACATTAATAGTATATTTTAATGTCTAGCTTGTCTGGTATCTCCTATGGCTCCCCTTTTCAAGAGATTTTTAAAAGTTCTTTCTTAATTTTAACTTTCCATAGGAACTTCATTATTAATATTTGTTGTTTTAGATAAAAATGAATAATAGCTTGTTAACAATTGTATTTGGATTGCATCGTGTATAAAAGGACATTAGTAAGGCAAGAGACTTGTGTATTGAGATTGTGTTGATTTTGATATGTTCTTATAGTTCCTTAAATATAGTGTGTTTAATTTTATTAGGGTGGATATATACACATACAAACACATACACATACATACATGTGTGTGTCTGTGTATCAGAAAAGCAGATTAGCTAGGCATCTTTACACCTTAATGTTGTTGTGTAAGTTATCCAGGAACAAAAAATGGCTTTCCATTTGTTCAAATATACTTGCAATCCTTTCAGTAGTTTTCTTTTCTTTCCATAGAGATGTTGCATTAAAAAAAATCAAATCCCCAGCATTTTATATTTTTCTTACTCTTTTAAATTGTTTTTCTCTTCCATTACATCTTGTATCTATTAGATTGGTGCAAAATTAATTGCAGTTTCCCCATTAAAAGTAATTGCAAAAACCGCAGCTACTTTTGCACCCACCTATATTTGTGTATGTGGAAGAAGTAGAACTAGACAGAAGAAACTGCTAAACCGTTACACAGGCCTAAGGAGGCTTCAGCCTACTTGGTACGGAATGCTGCAGCAAGGATTACCTATGATATAACATCAGGGGAGTTTGTTCTCTGCAGCTGATACAGACCCTGAAGCTACTGCGTGCTGAAAGCTAGCTTACAAGTTCCTTCCCCAACGGTGGGGCACGAGTCTGTCTGTGGAAAGAAATTTGTGTAGTGCATCTGTCTGCCATGAGCTGGGAATCATTACTTGAAGCTCAGGGAGATGGCTAAGGGTCTGAGGAGGCGAGAGTTAATAAAGTGGCCTGAGGAATATTTAATGGATAAACATAGGAAAGAGATTTTGAAAAGGAGATTGAGAAGAAGACCAGAAGGTGGAGAAAGTTCTGGTATTATGTCAAAAATCTCACTTTTATAGGATAAGGATTGAAAAATATTGATTTTTATTAACAGATGATTTATCATGTAGGTTTTGACTGTGTGTTTTAATACAAGAATGAATGTTAGTTAGTGTGCAATGTGAGGTAGAGTGAGAAAAAATTCTCAAGGAAATTGGGCATATTAAAATATTAGAGAAATGATCTAGAATAAAAGAATAAATTAAAGATATAGGGAGAGGGGGACTAACTAATAATAATAAATATTCAAACACCCCAGACCATATTTGAAATAATAATAATTTATTTATTTATTTATTTTTGAGATGGAGTCTCTCTCTGTCGCCCAGGCTAGAGTGCAGTGGCGCAATTTCGGCTCACTGCAACCTCCGCCTCCCAGGTTCAGGTGATTCTCTTGCCTCAGCCTCCTGAGTAGCTGGAACTACAGGCGTGTGCCGCTATGCTCAGCTAATTTTTTTATTCTTAGTAGTGATGGGGTTTCACCATACTGGCCAGGCTAGTCTCAAACTCCTGACCTTGTGATCTGCCCACCTCGGCATCCCAAAGTGCTGGATTACAGGCGTGAGCCACCGTGCCCGGCCGGAATAATTATTTTTTTTAGAAGATTAGTGACATTTTATTCATTGTGACTGGATGGTAACAGAAAATGATTGGTGTGTTTGCAGTAAGTTCACGGTGTTTGTGACAGTAGCTTAATGGAGTATATTGTGTGTTAAAAAGTCAGTCATTTAATGAAAGTGAGAAAGAAGGTAGAGAATAAGATTAAAGAACTTGGAGAAGCCTGACTCTTATCTAAAATAGTAAAGATTGAGAGAGAAAGTTAAGAAGAAAATTACCAAGTTTCTGGACTTCATTGAAAGCCCAATTAAGGTCGGAACAGTATATATATAGTAACATCAGTCATGATCTGTGCTGCCGAATACATAGCCAGTAACCACATCTGGCTATTATATTAAAATTTAAATTAATTCTAATTAAATAACATTTACAACTTAGCTCTCTAGATGTAATAGTCATATTTCTAGTGCTCAGTAGTGGCTAGTGGATATTGTATTGGACAGGACAAATATAGAACATTTCCATCAATACAGAAAATCCTGTTGAGTTAAACAAGTGAGATCAAGATCCTAAAGCATTCCTTCAAAGAACTGTAACAGGAGATGAAATGGCTTTACCAGTATGGTCCTAAAGACAAATCACAATCATTGCCATGGCTTCCCAGAGGTGGAAGTTATCTCTTCAAACCAAAGTGGACCAGTGAAGAGGAAAGGCCATAGTAATAGTTTTTTGGGATCTTGAGGTATTTTGCTTATTGACTTTCTAGAGGGCCAAAGAATAATAACATCTGCTTATTATGAGATTTGATAAAGTTAGCCAGAACTATAGCAGAAAAATGCCTGAGAAAGCTTCACCAGAGAGTCCCTCTCCACCATGACAATGCTCCTGTTCATTCCTTTCATCAAACAAGGGAAATTTTGCAAGAGTTTTGGTAGGAAGTCATTAGGCATCCACCTTTAACTCTAGATTCGGCTATGTTTGACTTCTTTATGTTTCCTAATCCAAAAAAAAAAAAAAAAATCTCAAAAGGGCACCCATTTTCCTTCAGTTAATCATGTAAAAAAGACTGCATTGACATGGTTAAATTTTCAGGACCCTCAGTTATTTAGGGATGCACTAAATGGCTGGTATCACTTACAAAAGTGTTTTGAATGTGATGGAGCTTATGTTGAGAAATAAAGTTTATATTTTTAATTTCTATCCGTTTATTGAACTTTTTTCTCAAACTTCTTGAGGTCCACTCATATAACTGATCATTACAAGTCCTTAACACAATGCATGGAACACTTACCCTTGTTTTCATGTATCTGCAGACTGCAGGCCTAGGTAGTTCTTTCCTAACTGCCATATATAATATGGCTTTCACACTTACTCTCTTTCCCAGCAACAATGATTACTGCCTTTACATTGGAACTATGTTACTTATTTTGATTTATTTTATATCTTGTGTCTTATATTATTAGCCCAAAAAACAGAGACCATGCCACTTCACTTTACTGCTATATCCTATATGCTTCACACAGAACTTGGCAAATAGTAGAAACTCAACAAACATTTACTGAATAAATAATGTCAGGAAAATAATAGGCATTCAAGTAACTATACTTTTCACTTTTCTCCATAAGGCAGCATTTGTTCTATGATTAATAAATGAATTAAGAATTATTTTTATTTTCTTTGTGTTACAAGATTGCATTCATAGATTGTCTGACATCTTAAGCCTCTCCACCCACCACACACACACAGACACACATACACATATATGAAAGTAGTTTACTTGAAAAATTAGTCTTGTTTTAATATCATATTATAAAATATGTTTCATATTTTTAATTTTAGACTACTTAAAATTGAAAATTTAAATTATATTTAATTCATTATATATATATGTGTTTTTAAACATCTTATAAATGTGGTTAGGTTACATAGTGTATAATGTTTGGTTTACTTTTTAAATTTTCCTCTTTTGCTCATCTTTCTCCCTTGAACTTTTTGCTTTTTCTCAACTGATATTACTACTCTGACCACTCCTGTTTACTGGTGGAATGTGTTTTCATATCTATGCTTGTGTAATTATAATCAAACATATATGGGATCATACTATACTATTTTGAGTCATGGCTTTTTACTCAATAAGACCTTGCAGATTCAATTGACTGGTATCCCTCCAATGTATTTTTAATATCCATATGAGAGTACATGACATGAATGTACCATCATCTTTGAATTTTTTAAATTATGAACATGCACAGTATTTCTTTATGTTAGCCCAGCATCCAATGCTGCAATACAAATGCTGGAAGCATTCACTTACTTTGATTTCCATGGGATATATCCAGGGGAATGACTTAGGTTCACAAGGTGTTTTTCCAAACAAATTACATCAATTCACATTTCTATTGACTATGACCTCTAAAGTCTTGCCATAAATAGATCTTATAGTTCTTTTGCTCTTTGTGTGATCGATATAAATTAACATGTTATTCTATTTTATTTTGAACATTTGGATTTATTTTGAAATTTGGATTTTCTAAACAAATCCAAATGTTCTTTTCATATCATTTAATCAGTTGTTCAACTATAAATATGGGTAAGTCTAAAAGTTTTCCATGAAAAATATTCATTTTCAAGTCACATTTCTTTAATTTTTTAAAGAATTACGCATGTTCTTTTGGTTACTGGGTACATCTCAAGAAAGGCTGTGGTACTCAAATTTGTCATGTTCCTTAAGGAGCAGCCTGAGTCCACATTTGGCCTATGTGCCAGAAAAGCTGGTGGATTTCATGCTCTTTCAAACTTATTTTATTCTATATTTCTGAAGACAAAATTAAAGTTATTTTACATGAAAATTAAACTGCTGTATATTATTTTATGTTATAAAACACACTGTATTGTGTCTAAAAATTGAGTCTTTTGAACTTGAAAATGAATTAAGGCAAAATAATACATTCCTTACCCCTTATATAAAATAACATAAATCTTTCCAAGATTAATAGAAGTCAATATGGAAAAAAATCTCAAAAAGACAACATAAGTTTTCTACTGATTTTATTTCTACTACTCTTGACAGAAGTATATCTGTTCCAAAAATTGAACTTTTAATATTAGTGAATATACACATATGTTGTAGGGAAAAAAATTACATGAATGCTTGCTTTGCTTAGGAAAACACATGTTCTGGAAAGTCTTTTATTTTTATTTATTTTTATTATACTTTAAGTTTTAGGGTACATGTGCACAACGTGCAGGTTAGTTACATATGTATACATGTGCCATGTTGGTGTGATGCACCCATTAACTCGTCATTTAACATTAGGTATATCTCCTAATGCTATCCCTCCCTCCTCCCCCCACCCCACAACAGATCCCGGAGTGTGCTATTCCCCTTCCGGTGTCCACGAGTTCTTATTGTTAAATTCCCACAAATGAGTGAGAACATGCGGTGTTTGGTTTTTTGACTTTGCAATAGTTTGCTGAGAATGATGGTTTCCATCTTCATCCATGTCCCTACAAAGGACATGAACTCATCCTTTTTTATGGCTGCAGAGTATTCCATGGTATATATGTGCCACATTTCTTAATCCAGTCTATCATTGTTGGACATTTGGCTTGGTTCCAAGTTTTTGCTATTGTAAAGAGTGCCACAATAAACGTGTGCATGTGCCTTTATAGCAGCATGATTTATAATCCTTTGGCTATATACCCAGTAATGGGATGGCTGGGTCCAATGGTATTTCTAGTTCTAGATCCCTGAGGAATCGCCACACTGACTTCCACAATTTTGAAATAGTTTACAGTCCCACCAACAGTGTAAAGGTGCTCCTATTTTTCCACATCCTCTCCAGCACCTGTTCTTTCCTGACTTTTTAATGATAGCCATTCTAACTGGTGTGAGATGGTATCTCATTGTGGTTTTGATTTGCATTTCTCTGATGGCCAGTGATGATGAGCATTTTTACATGTGTCTTTTGGCTGCATAAATGTCTTCTTTTGAGAAGTGTCTGTTCATATCCTTCGCCCACTTCTTGATGGGGTTGTTTGTTTTTTTCTTGTAAATTTGTTTGAATTCATTGTAGATTCTGGATATTAGCCCTTTGTCAGATGAGTAGATCGCAAAAATTTTCTTCCATTCTGTAGGTTGCCTGTTCACTCTGATGGTAGTTCCTTTTGCTGTGCAGAAGCTCTTTAGTTTAATCAGATCCCATTTGTCAATTTTGGCTTGTGTTGCCATTGCTTTTGGTGTTTTAGACATGAAGTCCTTCCCATGCCTATGTCCTCAATGGTATTGCCTAGGTTTTCTTCTACGGTTTTTATGGCTTTAGGTTTAACATTTAAGTCTTTAATCCATCTTGAATTAATTTTTGTATAAGGTGTAAGGAAGGGGTCCAGTTTCAGCTTTCTACATATGGCTAGCCAGTTTTCCCAGCACCATTTATTAAATAGGGAATCCTTTCCCCATTGCTTGTTTTTGTCAGGTTTGTCAAAGATCAGATGGTTGTAGATGTGTGGTGTTATTTCTGAGGGCTCTGTTCTGTTCCGTTGGTCTATATCTGTGTTTTGGTACCAGTACCATGCTGTTGTGGTTACTGTAGGCTTGTAGTTTGAAGTCAGGTAGCGTGATGCCTCCAGCTTTGTTCTTTTGGCTTTTTTTTGGTTCCATATGAACTTTAAAGTAGTTTTTTCCAATTCTGTGAAGAGAGTCATTGGTAGCTTGATGGGGATGGCATTGAATCTATAAATTACCTTGGTCAGTATGGCCATTTTCATGATATTGATTCTTCCTACCCATAAGCATGGAGTGTTCTACCATTTGTTTGTATCCTCTTTTATTTCATTGAGCAGTGGTTTGTAGTTCTCTTGAAGAGGTCCTTCATGTCTCTTGTAAGTTGGATTCCTAGGTATTTTATTCTCTTTGAAGCAATTGTGAATGGGAGTTCACTCGTGATTTGGCTCTCTGTTGGTCTGTTATTGGTGTATAAGAATGCTTGTGATTTTTGTACATTGATTTTGTATCCTGAGACTTTGCTGAAGTTGCCTATCAGCTTAAGGAGATTTTGGGCTGAGACGATGGAGTTTTCTAGATATACAATCATGTCATCTGCAAACAGGGATAATTTGACTTCCTCTTTTCCTTATTGAATACCCTGTATTTCCTTCTCCTGCCTAATTGCCCTGGCCAGAACTTCCAACACTATGTTGAATAGGAGTGGTGAGAGAGGGCATCCCTGTCTTGTGCCAGTTTTCAAAGGGAATGCTTCCAGTTTTTGCCCATTCAGTATGATATTGACTGTGGGTTTGTCATAGATAGTTCTTATTATTTTGAGATACGTCCAATCAATACCTAATTTATTGAGAGTTCTTAGCGTGAAGGGTTGTTGAATTTTGTCAAAGGCCTTTTCTGCATCTATTGAGATAATCATGTGGTTATTGTCATTGGTTCTGTTTATATACTGGATTACGTTTATTGATTTGTGTATGTTGAACCAGCCTTGCATCCCAGGGATGAAGCCCACTTGATCATGGTGGATAAGCTTTTTGATGTGCTGCTGGATTCAGTTCGCCAATATTTTATTGAGGATTTTTGCATCGATGTTCATCAGGGATATTGGTCTAAAATTCTCTTTATTTGTTGTGTCTTTGCCAGGCTTTGGTATCAGGATGATGCTGGCCTCATAAAATGAGTTAGGGAAGATTCCCTCTTTTTCTATTGATTGGAACAGTTTCAGAAGGAATGGTACCAGCTCCTCCTTGTACCTCTGGTAGAATTCGGCTCTGAATCCATTTGATCCTCGACTTTTTTTGTTCATAAGCTATTAATTATTTCCTCAATTTCATAGCCTGTTATTGGTCTATTCAGAGATTCAGCTTCTTCCTGGTTTAGTCTTGGGAGGGTGTATGTGTTGAGGAATTTATCCATTTCTTCTAGATTTTCTAGTTTATTTTCATACAGGTGTTTATAGTATTCTCTGATGGTAGTTTGTATTTCTGTGGGATCGGTAGTGATATCCCCTTTATCATTTTTTTGTTGCGTCTGTTTGATTCTTCTCTCTTTTCTTCTTTATTAGTCTTGCTAGAGGTCTATCAATTTTGTTGATCTTTTCAAAAAACCAACTCCTAGATTCATTGATTTTTTGAAGGGTTTTTTGTGTCTCTATCTCCTTCAGTTCTGCTCTGATCTTAGTTATTTCTTGCCTTCTGCTAGCTTTTGAATGTGTTTGCTCTTGCTTTTCTAGTTCTTTTAATTGTGATGTTAGGGTGTCAATTTTAGATATTTCCTGCTTTCTCTTGTGGGCATTTAGTGCTATAAATTTCCCTCTACACACTGCTTTGAATGTGTCCCAGAAATTCTGGTATGTTGTGTCTTTGTTCTCGTTGGTTTCAAAGAACACCTTTATTTCTGCCTTCATTTTGTTGTGTACCCAGTAGTCATTCAGAAGCAGGTTGTTCAGTTTCCATGTAGTTGAGCAGTTTTGAGTGAGTTTCTTAATCCTGAGTTCTAGTTTGATTGCACTGTGGTCTGAGAGACAGTTTGTTATAATTTCTTTTCTTTGACATTTGCTGAGGAGTGCTTTACTTCCAACTATGTGGTCAATTTTGGAATAAGTGTGGTGTGGTGCTGAAAAGAATGTATATTCTGTTGGTTTGGGGTGGAAAGTTCTGTAGATTTCTATTAGGTCCACTTGGTGCAGAGCTGAGTTCAATTCCTGGATATCCTGGTTAACTTTCTGTCTCGTTGATCTGTCTAATGTTGACAGTGGGGTATTAAAGTCTCCCATTATTATTGTGTGGGAGTCTAAGTCTCTTTGTAGGTCTCTAAGGAGTTGCTTTATGAGTCTGGGTGCTCCTGTATTGGGTGCATATATATTTAGGATAGTTAGCTCTTCTTGTTGAATTGATGCCTTTACCATTATGTAACGGCCTTCTTTGTCTCTTTTGATGTTTGTTGGTTTAAAGTCTGTTTTATCAGAGAGTAGGATTGAAACCCCTGCCTTTTTTTGTTTTCCATTTGCTTGATAGATCTTCCTCCACCCCTTTATTTTGAGCCTATGTGTGTCTCTGCACGTGAGATGGGTTTCCTGAATACAGCACACTGATGGGTTTTGACTCTTTATCCAATTTGCCAGTCTGTGTCTTTTAATTGGAGCATTTAGCCCAGTTACATTTAAGGTTAATATTGTTAAGTGTGAATTTGATCCTGTCATTATGATGTTAGCTGGTTATTTTGCTCGTTAGTTGATGCAGTTTCTTCCTAGCCTCTATGGTCTTTATAATTTGGCATGTTTTTGCAGTCACTGGGACCAGTTGTTCTTTTCCATGTTTAGTGCTTCCTTCAGGAGCGTAGGGCAGGCCTGGTGGTGACAAAATCTCTCAGCGTTTGCTTGTGTGTAAAGGATTTTATTCCTCCTTCACTTACTTATGAAGGTTAGTTTGACTGGATATGAAATTCTGGGTTGAAAATTCTTTTCTTTAAGAATGTTGAATATTGGCCCCCACTCTTTTCTGGCTTGCAGAGTTTCTGCCTAGAGTTCAGCTATTAGTCCGATGGGCTTCTCTTTGTGGGTAACCCGACCTTTCTCTCTGGCTGCGCTTAACATTTTTTCCTTCATTTCAACTTTGGTGAATCTGACAATTATGTGTCTTGGAGTTGCTCTTCTCAACGAGTATTTTTGTGGCGTTCTCTGTATTTCCTGAATATGAATGTTGGCCTGCCTTGCTAGATTGGGGAAGTTCTCCTGGATAATATCCTCCAGAGTGTTTTCCAACTTGGTTCCATTCTACCCGTCACTTTCAGGTACACCTATCAGACATAGATTTGGTCTTTTCACATAGTCCCATATTTCTTGGAGGCTTTGTTCGTTTCTTTTTATTCTTTTTTCTCTAAACTTCTCTTCTCGCTTCATTTCATTCATTTCATCTTCCATCACTGATACCCTTTCTTCCATTTGATCAAATCGGCTACTGAGGCTTGTGCATTCGTCACGTAGTTCTCGTGCCTTGGTTTTCAGCTCTATCAGGTCCTTTAAGGACTTCTCTGCATTGGTTATTCTAGTTAGCCATTTGTCTGTTTTTTTTTTTTTTTTTCAAGGTTTTTAACTTCTTTGCCATGGGTTCGAACTTCCTCCTTTAGCTCGGAGTACTTTGATCGTCTGAAGCCTTCTTCTCTCAACTCATCAAAGTCATTCTCCATCCAGCTTTGTTCCATTGCTGGTGAGGAGCTGCATTCCTTTTGGGGAGGAGAGGTGCTCTGATTTTTAGAGTTTCCAGTTTTTCTGCTCTGGTTTTTCCCCATCTTTGTGGTTTTATCTACCTTTGGTCTTTGATGATGGTGACATACAGATGGGGTGTTGGTGTGGATGTCCTTTCTGTTTGTTAGTCTTCTTTCTAACAGTCAGGACCCTCAGCTGCAGGTCTGTTGGAGTTTGCTGGAGGTCCACTCCAGACTCTTGTTTGCCTGGGTATCAGCAGCAGAGGCTGCAGAACAGCGGATATTGGTGAACAGCAAATGTTGCTGCCTGATTGTTCCTCTAGAAGTTTTGTCTCAGAGGAGTACCCGGCCATGTGAGGTGTCAGTCTGCCCCTACTTGGGGGTGCCTCCCAGTTAGGCTACTCGGGGGTCAGAGACCCACTTGAGGAGGCAGTCTGTCTGTTCTCAGATCTCTAGCTGCGTGCTGGGGAACCACTACTCTCTTCAAGGCTGTCAGACAGGGACAATTAAGTCTGCAGAGGATTCTGCTCCCTTTTGTTTGCCTGTGCCCTGCCCCCATAGGTGGAGTCTACAGAGGCAGGCAGGTTTCTTGAGCTGCGTTGGGCTCCACCCAGTTTGAGCTTCCCAGCGGCTTTGTTTACCTCCTCAAGCCTTGGCAATGGCAGGCGCCCCACCCCCAGCCTCACTGCCGCCTTGCAGTTTGATCTCAGACTGCTGTGCTAGCAATGAGCGAGGCTCCATGGCCATGGGACCCTCCGAGCCAGGCATGGGATATAATCTCCTGGTTTGCCCTTTGCTAAGACCATTGGAAAAGCACAGTATTAGGGTGGGAGTGACCCGATTTTCCAGGTGCCATCTGTCACCCCTTTCTTTGACTAGGAAAGGGAATTCCCTGACCCCTTGCACTTCCTGGGTGAGGCAATGCCTCTCCCTGCTTCGGCTGGTGCTCAGTGCGCTGCACCCACTGTCCTGCACCCACTTTCCAACACTCCCCAGTGAGATGAACCCAGTACCTCAGTTAGAAATGCAGAAATCGCCCGTATTCTGCATTGCTCACACTGGGAGCTGTAGACTGGAGCTGTTCCTATTCGGCCATCTTGGCTCCACCCTGGAAAGTCTTTTAAACAAAAGTCTATCAGTATGTCTCATTTACAAATGCAAAATTGTGTAGTCATGTTGCTATGTTTGAGTATTCATTTATTTCCTACATTAAATGCTTTTATCTTTTGACTAAATTTTCAGAAACTATAACTAGCACAAACAACAACTCTAAAACATCATAGCCAAGAAGTATTCATTGTTTAATGAGTTCTTGCACTTTATCTTACTTTAAAATATAAGATACATACAAAATGTAAATGGTCCCATAATGCTCCTTCATATCACATCTTGTAAAACCAGTTTTTTAATTTATTGCACATTGGATGAAGAACAACTGGAAAACCTCTGCTTAATTTACAATGTCTTGTATAACTTATAAATTTTGCAAAACTTTCAGCCACTTTACTCGTGTTGACCATAGCTATAGTTGAGTTTTTAATTGTATTTAGAAAATGACCCAATGTAATCACATAACATGTTTGAAAGTCTATGTTTTATCTACCTCTCTTCCCAGGGGTTGCTAATTGGTGAGCAAATTCACCAGAAGTTGTGATGAACCCACATCAGCCAGTAGGGCATTGCAAATAATTCCATGGTGATGGAAGTGGATACAATGTTAGAGATAAAAATAAGGGTGATAGAAAGACAAAGGTCAATTAGTTTCAGTTTGGACCTCTCTAAATTCAATTTCTCGCAACTATAATATGATGTGGTGCCTAAAGCTATCATGAAGGCCACACAAAACTCTAGGATGTTTCCTGCAGCTTAAAGCTTTATGTTATGCATTATCTTTTGTGGCAGAATTTGCTAATCACTGTTTTTGAGTAATGAATGTGAGATAATTATGATAGCTTGAGAAGTGTAGTAAGTGTAACTACAGAAATTTTACAAAACTTACGGTGTTTTCTTAAAAATAAAGACTGGTAAACCATTTTATTGCCAAGTGTGGTAAATTTGGTCCAATAACAATTTGTCCAGTTTTAAGGATGAAAGGAATAAGGTATGACCCATGGCCTCAGTAAAAAAAAAAAAAAAAGTGTGAAAAGGCCATAAAAAAGACAAACATGCACACGTATGTTTATTGCAGCATTATTCACAATAGCAAAGACTTGGAACCAACCCAAATATCCATCAATGATAGACTGGATTAAGAAAATGTGGCACATATACACCATGGAATACTATGCAGCCATAAAAAAGGATGAGTTCATGTCCTTTGTAGGGACATGGATGAAGCTGGAAACCATCATTCTCAGCAAACTATCGCAAGGACAAAAAACCAAACACTGCATGTTCTCACTCATAAGTGGGAATTGAACAATGAGAATACTTGGACACAGGAAGGGGAGCATCACACACTGGGGCCTGTCATGGGGTGGGGGAAGGGGAGAGGGATAGCATTAGGAGATATACCTAATGTACATGACGAGTTAATGGGTGCAGCACACCAACATGGCACTTGTATACATATGTAACAAACCTGCACGTTGTGCACATGTACCCTAGAACTTAAAGTATAATAATAATAAAAAAAATAAAGTGGGTCTCCTGTAAACAACAACAACAAAAGACAAACCCATCCAAAGCGAAGAAGTGATGTTAAAAAGCAATCAATGCAGCCTTTTTATTTCACAATGTGTAAAATGTAAATAAAAATGACAAAATGTAAAACCAGTACCTGTATTTCAAAATACACATTTAGCTATATTTTCTATAATTCTAAAAATCTACATTAATTTTTTTCTTCTTATTGTGTGTTCTTCTCCTTACTAAATAACTATACTGTGTTTCAGGCATGGGGTCTTACCTAAATAGTTATGGCAGTAGCCCAAATTCGGGCCATTTTTCCAGACTCCTCATCCTTCTCATTCATCTATTCTTTTCATAAATTACACTGCCTTAATTTTTATATTCCAAAAAAATTGTTGATGTGAGTAATCAGTAGTTCTCATTGTATGTCCATGAGTAAATGTACTACATATATAATCCTTCATTGAGACATCTCTTCAAAACAAAACCTTATCCAAAAGTCAGGATTCAGCATCTATAACAGGAAATAATCCTTAAAATAGGTATACCTTTCAAACCCTTTTCATGTCACATTTTGCTTTTCTGGCAAGTTTTAAACAAAGAAATTGGAAATATAATGATTTAGAGACTCAAGCTTTGCCACATATATTGGTGGATTGTGGGGCAATTTCTATGTTTATTTATCTGATTCACAGTTCTTATTCTAGATATCTAATATACAAACTCGTAATGATCACATACAACATATTTTCTGTGAGGGTGAATTATGAAAGACGTAAAATAATGCATTTTGGGTGCTAAAGTGCTACATCAGACACCTTAATTTGCTGCAAATAAGACCAAATTAGAGTTTAAAATGAGAACATTGCTACCTGGTGCTTCTGGTAGCAATGCAGCATCCTAACAGCATGTAAGCCATCAGAAGATTTAGAGCTCAACTCAATCAGTGGCAACAAAATTAGAAATAAATAGAGAAGGATCAATATAAAGTGTTGTCTGGAATAATGAAACAACCGTGGGCTGGAAAAATCTATTTTATTTTTCTTCTCTTAGTTAGGTGATCAGGAAATATCTGACTTAGCCCAGCAGAAACTGTTTACTTTGTTTATAAAGAGAAGGAAGAATCATTGTAAAATACTATATATTATATGTAAATATAAACAGAAACGTATGTTATATATATGTACCTATCTTTTTTAAATCAATTGACAGAACAATAGGACACTTAAGTAACACAGGTTTGTCATTAAAATTATATTCAAATTAATTAAAATTGGTAAACCAGTTTTAAATAAATTTACAATTTGACATGTTATTGCCTAACCTCATTATTTTTCCTTGAATGTATTCCTTCAGGTTTAGGAGGTCATGATATTATTTTTGCAAACCTACCTAGATAAGGAACTTCTAATGCATTTTAGTGTCCATATATGTGATATATCATGGAAAGAGAACAGTAACAATCAGGATTGCTCATCGTACTCGGAAGTTTTGAGTACAAGATCTGACCTGTGAGCTGGGGAGCTTTGAGCTGCCTTATTAATGTGATCAGGATATGACAGTAATGTGACTTGTTAAAATCTTCGCTACAGCTTCATCCTGATGGTTCAGCATTGATGGTTAGTGGAAGAACCAGCATTTTTATGGTATTATTACAGGGCTGGAGTTTAATCCTTGTGGTTGCAACTATGTGGCGGAGCAATCCAATGACAGACTTTACCACTCTAGCCTTTGTGTTTGGTGAAGCATCAGTCTTTCCCTTTAATGACAGAGCTAGAGGTAGAGTCTTAGTATCCAAGCACTGCAACTGAGGAAGTTGAATTTTCTAAACCTAACCTAAGCCAGTTTCTGTAACATTTTGAGAAAGAGAAAATACTTTTCATATATACATATATATAAAATGTGTATATATATATGTATATATAATATATACATGTGTATATATATATATAAATGAAAGGTCATATTATGTATATATATTGTGTGTGTGTGTATATATATATATATATAAAAAACAGGTCACTTGGCAGATGATCAGTCTTAGGCTATTACCTCTTACACTTCAATATCTTTGTTTGAAAATGACTTATAATACATTTGAGTATTGAATGTTCAGTAAACTGTGAGCTTACTTGAAATTTTACCTATAAATTTGATCTATGGATAGAGAGACTTTTCTCTTGAAAATTTTTTTTTTCAAGCTTGGGGTTACAGTGTATCTACCAAATCAAACATAACATTTAAATTCTATTGAGCACGGCCGGGCGCCATGGCTCACTCCTGTAATCCTAACACTTTGGGAGGCCGAGGCGGGTGGATCATGAGGTCAGGAGTTCAAGACCAGCCTGACCAATATGGTGAAACCCCATCTCTACTACAAATACAAAAATTAGCTGGGAGTGGTGGCAGGTGCCTGTAACCTCAGCTACTCGGGAGGCTGAGGCCGGAGAATTTCTTGAACCTGGGCGGCAGAGGTTGCAGTGAGCCGAGATCACGCCACTGCACTCAAGCCTGGGTGACAGAGTGAGACTCTGTCTTAAAAATAAATAAGTAAATAAATAAATAAATAAATAAATTCTATTGAGCACAAAAAAACTATTAAGTGGAAATTTAAACACACGCACACACACACACACACACACACACACACACCAGAAAAATCTTTACAAGTAAAGGAAGGGTACCATCACCAATTAATATACATTTCCTTTAACAGATTTATAAAGCAAGAGGTTATCTTCTCACTGGAAGTGATCCTTTAGAAAAACATTAGTTGTTTTGGTGCTCCATTTTTTTTAAATTCACATAAATCTATAATGACAACGTTTTTATTAATCATCCAATAAGTACATTGTTTGTACATGTAATATATAAATATGTACAACTATTATGTATCTATAAAAATTAAAATTAAGTGTAATGCACATCAACACACACCCACAGGAGCACAACCAAAATACTCCCAAAAGTCATTCTATAGGTTCAAAATATTTGAGTATAATATTATCATATGTATAGGGAGATATTTAGAATTATTTTTCAATTTTTAAAAATGTTTGATTTTGTACTCTTTATATATATAAGTGATAAGATAAAAGAAATAGAATTCATTTTCTTAATCTTTAGCACACTATACAGAAAATTTTATAATACTTCACCTGTTGTTTCACTGCATTCTTACTGAAATTATATTAAAAATGTAAAACCTCAGATATTTTCATTTAAATATTATTACATTTAGAGTGATTGTACTGGAATGTCAACGATTCTAATGCCAGTTTGGGTTGGCATTCATTTAAAGTACGTGGTTTTATAAAACTGTTGTCATAGAAAAAAATTAACATAAAACATTTTAATGCTACAGTCTCATCTATCAATAGTTCCAGTTTATGCATGCAAATTCAAATGAGCTTATATTTTCTTTAATCTACTAAAGCCAGATGTGTAATAAGTCATTTCAGAAAATAAACAATGTGCTACCTTTGTAGCTAGAAGTAATGTAATCAACAAGGTTGAATTAATGCTTTTTGTAGGCTGCTATGTCTATCATAAAAGAAGAATGCAGACATAATTACCACCTTAGACCTTTGTAAAGGTGAAGAAATGTTGCTGCTGTACCTCGAAGGTGGGTGATAATGAGAAACAGCTGATTCATTTTCTGTGCCTTTGAGGTGGTCACCTGAGATATCACCTCTTTCTCAGGTATTCAGAATTAGGTCACAGTCTGTTATCAGATTTCTTAAACACTATTTGCAGAAAATTCATTTCAAGAAATAAAACCTAACACTACTCAAAAATTATTGTATGGATATTCTGAAAACATGTAAAATGAAATTCAAAACTAGATTTTTTTCTTAGCCAAAATATTATACTTCAGTTGTATCTTTAAATCCTTACTTAGTTGGTTGGATTCTAGGTATTGGGAGAGGTCAAGCACTAACAAAATTAAAGTGAAGGGAAAAGGATAGTTTCTTGCTGGTATCTATATTTTTCTTTTTCTTTTTTTTTATTATTGTTTTTGCCTCCTTCTTTTGTACAAGGAGGAATAGATGTGTGTTCTATCCTAATTGAAGATGTGAGGGTGAATTTAACAACAGTAATGTGACTCAATTTTTTCCTTTTAAAGTACACATTTTTTCCACCATAGATTAATTCTGCCTGTTTTGAATCGTATGTAAATAAAATCATACTGCATGTACAGACGTACTCAGTTTCTGTTTTCTTTCAGATATCTGTGATATTTATTCATTTTGTCACACTTAGCAGTAGCTCAATCTTTTTTGTTGCTGTGTAGTACCCTTTTGTGATTTATCGTAATTTATTTAATGTTTACTGCTGATAAATACTTGTTTTTTTTTAAGAATTGACAAATGAGACCTAATAAAACTAAAAAGCTTTGGAGAGCAAAATAAACTGTCAAAGGAGTAAATATACAACCTACTAAATGGGAGAAAAATTTTTGAGAACATCTGACAAAGGACTAATATCCAAAATCTATAAGGAGCTTAAACAAATTAACACACACAGAAGAAACAAACAGCCCCATTAAAAAGTGGGCAAACAACACGAGCAAACCCTTTTAAAAAGAAGACATAGATGCGGCCAATAAGCATATGAAAAAATACTCAACATCACTAATCATCAGAGAAATGCAAACCAAAACAATAATGAGATATCATCTCACATGAGTTAGAATGGTTATTATTAAAAAGTCAAAAAGTTACAGATGCTGGACAGGTTGCAGAGAAAAGGGAACATTTATACACTGATGGTGGGAATGTAAATTAGTTCAGCCATTGTGGAAAAAAGTTTGGCAATTTCTCAAAGAACTTAAATAATTACTATTCAACCCAGCAATCCCATTATTGGATATATACTTAAAAGAATACAAGTCATTCTACCATAAAGACACATGCAAATGTATGTTCATTGCCGCACTAGTCACAATAGCAAAGATATTGAATCAACCTAAAACTTATCAACTGTAGACTGGATAAAGAAAATGGGGTACATATGAAATACTATGAAGCCATAAAGCAACAAGGTAATGTTCTTTGCAGGAACATTAATGGAGCTGGAGGACATTATCCTTAGTGAACTAATGAAAGAACCAAAAACCAAATACTGCATCTTCTCACTTATAAGTGGGAGCTAAACATCGAGTATACATGGACACAAATAAGGGAATAACAGACTCTGGGGCTTCCTTGAGGTGGAGGATGGTAGGAGAGCTAGATAAAAAAACAAACAAACAACCTATTGGGTAGTATTCTTATGACTTGAGTGAAAAATAATCTGTACACCAAACTGCTGTGACATGCAATTCATCTATATAACAAACATGCATTTGTATCCCTGAACCTAAAATAAAAGTTAAAAATAAAATAAAATACTTATTTTTTTTCTAGTTTATGCAATTATAAATAAAGCTGCAATTTATGTTTGGGGGCAGGACTTGTGGTGGATATATTCATTCATTTCTCTTGGGTATATACCTTGAAATGAAGTTACTCTGTTTAGCTTTAGTAGATACCACCAGACAATCTTCCAAGACTTATTTTTCATCATGACTTATTCCAGGAATAAATTTTCTCTTATTCTATTTAAGTAAATGTCTTCAATTTCATTAATTATATCTTCTGTTGTTTCCGGAATGCTGATAATTTTAATGAATTCTTAATTATAGGTATTGTATTATTTTCAATTCTTTACAATTATTTTAATACTTTTTCTATAGATTGAATATCTCTATTGAAAATCTTCACATTTTGAAATTTTATCCTTTTCTCCTATTTTCTTGACTGTATTCTCAGAATTTTAAAGTAACTTTGGCAACTCTTATGGGAATCATCTGTAGGTCTGTTTTCATAGTCTGTTTTTATTCCTTTTTGATCATCTGGTCATATTTTATTTCAAGTTTCTGAATTTTCAGTAGAACCTATATTATTGTGGATGAAAACATTTTAGAAGGGCTAGGTGATATAACTTTTTATATATGATTTATTTTTCTCTTGGCAGGTAGATAGAGTACCAGTGGATCTCTTTGATACTATATTGGGTTGGTTTTAGATTATCACTGGATGATGAAATCAAAATTGATGTCTAAAATTTTTTAAAAATTGAAACTATCTCTTACTATATTAAGGGAAAATTGTTTCTATTGGACATATAATTTCCAAGTAGAGCTGAGAACTCATCTTCCATAGGGACTTTGATGAGGACAGAATTCATGTATTGGAAGACTTTCAGAAGCATGAGTGAGCTGACATCAACCACACAGGTTGTTATTTGAAAATAGGCTGTTTATCAGTTATCAAGCATATAGATGCATATTTATTGGAATCATGTTTATGATTAGCTGACTACCATAAATGAGAGATTTACATTGATTTATTGGCTTGTAAAAATGTGTTCACTGAGTTGCCGCTGATCAATGAAACTCAGATTTTGATGGCTATTTACAACCATGGCTACAGAATAATCAGTTTTTGCTTAAATTTGTGGGAAATATTTTCATTCTCAAGGGTTGGCTGGGTCTGGTTTATTTTAGTTTTGCTTTCACTTACATGGTATAGCTGTAACTTCTGTGGTGTGCCTCTTACTTTTTAGAAATGATCCTGCATTCTACAAATCTGTTTAAACTATGTCAAGCTCCAACATCTGTTTCCTCAAGCCAGTAATACTACTGCTTTCAGCTTGTACTCTATTTCTATAAAAAATTAAGAAAAAAATCCTCAGAGGAAACATAAGATGAATATATAGCTTATCTTATATGCTTAATGTTTCTCAGTGATTGTCTATGCTCATATCCTTCCTCTATTGGTTATTCTTCAAAATTTCATATATATATTGTCTCACATTTACAGTTATTTGCAGCAAAAAAGTCAGTCCAAAATAAGCTAATCTATCTTTGCTGAAACTGAAAGTCTTAGAAAAGAAAATTAATTTTAAAAATTAACTCAAGGGAGTCAGAGCAAGATGGCAGAATAGAAGCCTACACCATTTGTCTCTCCTGCCGTGAGAACATCAAATTTTAATATCTATCTGCACACAGAAAAGCACCATCACAAGAACCAAAAATCAGGTGAGCAATCACTGTACCTGTTTTTAACTTTATATCACTGAAAAGGCATTGAAGAGAGTAGAAGAGTTAGTTCTGAATTGCCAATCCCACCCCTCCTCCATCTTCAGCTGTGCAACAAAGAGAGCCTGTGCACTTGAGGGAGGGAGAACACAGCATTTGGGGGACTTTACATTGAACTCAGTGCTGTTCTGTCATAGCAGAGAGGAGAGAAAAGCCATGCTGGGCCCAGGCAGTGCCCATACATGGAGGGAGCATTTGGACCAGCCCTAGAAAGGGGCATTGCCTATCCCAGAGGTTAGAATTTGAGTTTCTCAGCAAACCTTACTACCATGAGCCAAAGTGTTCTGTGGTCCTAGGTACACTTGAAAGATATTCTAGGACACAAGGACTGCAAGTCTTAGGCAAGTCCTAGTGTTTGGCTGGGCTTAGAGCCAGTGGACTTCGGCTTGTCACCTAGGGAGACACCTCCAGGACGGCTAAGGGAGAACTTGTGTCACCCCTCTTCAGGCAGATCAGCTCAAGAAATGAAAGTGACTCCTTCATTTTGCTTAAGGAGAGGAGATCAAAGAGTAAAGAGGACTTTGTCTTGCATCCTGAGTACCAGCTCAGTGACAATAGGATACGCCACCCGGCAGAGTTGTGAGGCCACCATTCCATGCCCTAGCCTCCAGATGACATTTCTAGGCATGGTCTGGGCCAAAAGGGAACCACTGCCTTGAAGGGAAAGACCTAGTCTTGGCAGGATTTGTCTCCTGCTGATTAAAGAGCCTTTAGGCACTCAATAACTAGCAGTGATACCCAGGTAGTACACTGTCGGCCTTAAGTGAGACTGAGATGTGCTGGTTTCAGGTGTGACCTAGCACATTCCCAGTTGTGTTAGCTGTGGAGAAAGACTCTTGTTTGAGAAAAGCAGACGGAAAAGTCAAGGGGACTTTGTCTTGCACCTTAGGTACCAACTCAGTCGCAGTGGGGCAGAGCAAATAATAGGCATTTGGAGTCCTCAAGTCCAGGCCTAGGTTCTTGGGCAGCATTTCTAGACCTACCCTGGGCTAGAAAGGAGCCTACTGCCATGAAGGGTGAGTCCCAGGCCTGCCAGCGTTTACCACAACCTGACTCAAGAGCCCTTGGGCTCTTGAGTGCACATTGGCGGTGGCCTAGAACAAACCCCCATGGGCTGGCAGTCGTGGTAAGCACAAGGAGAGGCTCCTTTGCCTGTGGAAAGGAGAGGGAGAAGTGGGAAGGACTTTGTATTGTGGTTTGAGTGCCAACTTAGCTGTGGTAGAATAGAACATCAGATAATTTTGTATAGTGTTTGACTGTAATCCCTGGCTCTCAGACAGTATCTCTGGATCCGCCTGGGGCCCATGGGAACTCACCACCCCAAAGGGAAGGATACGAACCTTACTGGCTTCACCAACTACTGATCTTAGAACCCTACAGCCTTGGGTGAATATAGGTGTTAGCTGGTAATGGTTACTGAGAGCCTTGTGTAAGACCCAGTGCAGTACAGGCTTCAGATCTGTCTCAGCAGAGTCCCGTGGCAGTGGCCAAAGGGGTGCTTGGATCACCACACCCCCAGTTCTAGATGACTCAGTGCAGAGAGAGAGACTCCATTCGTTTGGGAGAAAGTAAGGGAAAAGAACAAGAATGTCTACCTCATAATCCAGATAATTTTTCTAGATTTTATCCAAGACCACCAAGGTGGTACCTCTACAAGTCTGCAAAAACCACAACATTATTGGGCTTACGGCCCAAGTTCCTTCAAATACTTGTAAAGCTTTCCCAATAAGTACAGGCACAAACAAGCCTAGACTGAGAAGGCTGTAATAAATACCCAACTCTTCAATGCCCAGACACAGTCACACATCTGCAAGTATCAGCACTATCCAGGAAAATATGACATCACCAAGTGAACTAAATAAGGCACCAAAGACCAATCCTGGAGAAACAGAGATTATCCTTTCAGAAAGAGAATTTAAAATAGTCATTTTGAGGAAACTCAAAGAAATTCAAGATAACACAGAATAGTAATTCAGAATTTTATCAGATAAATTTAACAAAGACATTGAAATAAAAAAGATCAAGCACAAAGTCTAGACATGAAAAATGCAACTGACATACTGAGTAATGTATCAGAATCTCTTAATAGCAGAATTTATCAAGCAGAAGTAAGAATTAGTGAACTTGAAGACAGGCTGTTTGAAAATACACTGTGAGAGGAGACAAAAAAAAAAGCACACATACGAGATCTAGAAAATAGCCTTAGTAGAGCAAATATAAGAGTTATTGGCCTTAAACAGGAAGTAGAGAAGGAGACGGGTAGAAAATGTATTCAAAGGGATAATATCAGATAATTTCCCAAACCTATATAAAGATATCAACATTCAAACACAAGAAGGTTATAAAACACTAAGCAGATTTAACCAAAACAACACTATCTCAAGGCATTTAGTAATAAAACTCCCAATGGTCAAGGACAAAGGATTCTAAAAGCAGCAAGAGAAGTGAAACGACAACATACGATGGAGCTCCTATACATCTAGCTGCAGACTTTTAAGTGGAAACCTTACAGGCCAGAAGTAGCATAATATATTTAAAGTACTAAAGGAAAAAAAAAAGGCTCTTACCCTAGAATAGTATATCCACCAAAAATAACCTTCACACATGAAGTAAAAATAAAGACCTTCCCACACAAACAAAGGTTGAGGGACTTCATTGACACCAGACCTGTCCTACAAGACATACTAAAAGGAATTCTTCAATCTGAAAGAAAATGATATTAATTAATAAGCATGAGGAAATCATCTGAAGGTACAAAACTCATTGCTAATAGTAAGCACGAAGAAAAACAGGTTATTATAACACGTAATTGTGTTGTGTAAGCTACTCATATCTTAAGTAGAAAGACTAAATGATTAATAAAAAATAATAATTACGACAACTTTTCAAGGCATAGACAGTACAATAAGACACAAAGAGAAACAACAATAAGTTAAAAAGCAGGGACAGAAAGTTAAATTGTAGAGATTTTATTAGTTTTCTTTTTGCCTGTTTATTAGTTTTTTGTTTATACCATCAGTGTCAAGTTGTCATCAGTATAAAATAATGGGTTATAAGACATTATTCTGAAATTGAAAAAAATACAATAGATATACAAAAAATAAAAAGGAAGAAATTATTAATGGCAATAAATCTTACCACCAGAGAAAATCACCTCCACTAAAAGGAAGACAGGAAAAAATGAAAGAAGGAAACAAGGAAGAGAAGACCACAAAACAACCAGAAAACAAATAACAAAATGGCAGGAGTAAGTCCTACTTATTAATAATGCCACTGAATGTAAGTGGAGTAAACTAACCAATAAAAAGATAGAGAATAGCTGAATGGATGAAAAAACAAGACCCAATGATCCATTACTTACAAGAAACACTTCATCTGTAAGAGTCATGAAGGCTGAAATTAAAGGATTGGAAAAAGATATACCATTCAAATGGAAACAAAAAAAGAGCAGAAGTAGTTATACTTATATCAGACAAAAGATGTTTCAAGACAAAAAAAGTAAGAAGAAACAAAAATGGTCATTATATAATGATAAAGCAGTCAATTCAGCAAGAGGATATAATGATTGTAAATATATATATGTATATATATATACATATATATATATATAAAACACTGGGGCATATAAAGCAAATATTATTAGAGATAAAGAGAGAGACTCACCTCAATACCTCAATACAATAATAGCTGAAGAATTCAACACCTCATTGTCATCATTGGACAGATCTCCTAGGTAGAAAATCAATAAAGAAAAAATGGGCTTAATCTGCATTATAGAACAAATGTACCTAATAGATATTTATATAACATTTCATCTAATGGCTGCACAATACTTTTTCTCCTCAGGCCATAAATCATTCTTAAGGATATACCATATGTTAGTTTACAAAATAAGTCCTAAAACATTAAAAAAAAAACTAAAATAATATCAAGTACATTCTCTGACCACAGTGAAAGAAAACTAGAAATCAATAACAAAAGGAATTTTGGAAACTATATGAACACATAGAAATTAACTAATATGCTCCTGAATGACCAGTGAGACAATGAAAAAATTAAGAAGAAAGTTGAAAAATGACTTGAGATAAGTATTAATGAACACACAACATAACAAAACATATGGAATATAGTGAAAGCAGTACTAACTGGAAGTTTATAGCTATAAGTGCCTACATCAAAAGAAGAAAATGTTCAAACAAATGATCTAATGATGCATCTTAAAGAACTGAAAAAGCAAGCACAAACTCAACCCACTATTAGTAGAAGAAAATAAATAATGAAGATCAGAGCAAAATAAATGAAATGAAATGAAGAACACATACAAATAAAATAAAAAGGTGCTTTTTTGAAAAGATAAACAGAACTGAAAAAACTCTATGCAGACTAACGATGAAAAACAAGAGAAGACTCAAGTAATTAAAATCAGAGATGAAAAGGAGACCTTACAACTGATACTTCAGTTGTACAACTGATACTTCAGATATTAAAATGATCATTAGTGACTACTCTGAGCAATTATATGCCAATAAATTGGTAAATCCAGATGAAATAGATAAATTCCTATAAACATACAACCTACCAAGATTAAACCAATAAGAAATCCAAAACATGAACAGACCAATAAAGAGTAACGAGATTGAAGCTGTAATGAAAACTCTCCCATTAAACAATTATCTTGGGACCCAATGGTTTCACTGCTGAATTCTACCAAACATTTAAAGAATTAGTATCAATCCTACTCAAACTATTCCAAAAATAGAAGTTCGCTATACTTCCAGTCTCATTCTATGAGGTTAGTATTAGCCTGATATTAAAACCAAAGACACGTCAACAAAAGAAAACTACAGACCAATATCTCTGATGAATATTGATATAAAAATTCTCAACAAAATACTAGCTAATGAAATTCAATAATACGTCAAAGAGATTATTCATCTTGGCCAAATGGGGTTCAAATAAATAACCCTGCGGTTTATCCTAGGGACACAAAGATGGTTCAACATATACAAATCAATCAATATGATACATCATACCATCAGAGTAAAGGACAAAAACCATATGACCATTTCAATTGGTGCTAAAAAACATTTGATAAAATTCAATATCCCTTTGTGTAAAAAGCCTTCAAAAAACTGGGTATCAAAGGAACATACCTCACCATAATAAAAAGACCCACAGCTGGTATCATACTAAATGGGAAAATTCTGAAAGCCATTACCCTAGATCTGGAACACAATAAGGATGCCCACTTTCAACACTGTTATTCAACATAGTACTGGAAGTTCTAGCTACAGCAATCAGACAAAATAAATTTTTAAAAAAGTCATCCAAATTGAAAAGGGAGGAGTCAAATTATATGTTTGCAGATGATATGATCTTCTATTTGGAAAAACCTAAAGACTCCACCAAAAAAAAAAAAAAAACAAAAAACTATTAGAAGTGATAACAAATTCAGTGGCAGGATACAAAATCAACATACAAAAATCAGTTGTGTTTCTATATACCAACAGTGAAAAATCTGAAAATGAAATTGAAAAAGTAATAACATTGTGGGGGAGAACTACACATACTGGGCCCTGCTGGTGGGGGTGATGTGGGGAAGGAGGGCATCAGGAAGAATAGCTAATGGATGCAAGGCTTAATACCTAGGTGATGGGATGATCTGTACAGCTAACCACCATGGCACATGTTTACCTATGTAACAAATCTGCACATCCTGCACATGTATGTACCACTGAACTTAAAAATAAAAGTTGAAGATTAAAACAGTAATCTCATTTTCAATAATCATAAAAAAATAAGTACCTAGGAATCAACTTAACCAAAGAAGTGAAGGCTCTCTACAATGAAAATTATAAAACACTGATGAAATAAATTGAAGAAGATACAATAAAATGAAAATATTCCATGTTCACGAGTTGGAAGAATCAATATTGTTAAAATGTCCATACTAACCAAGGCAGTCTACAGATTTAATGTAATTCCTATCAAAATACCAATGACATTCTTAACAGACATAGAAAAAAAGAATCCTAAAATTTATATGGAACCATAAAAGACCCAGAATAGCCAAACTTCTCCTAAGCAAAATGTACAAAACTGGAGGAATCACATTACCTTACTTCAAATTATGCTACAAAGGTATAATAACCAAAAACAGCACAGTACTGGCATAAAAACAGACACATAGACCAAGGGAACAGAATAGAGAACCCAGAAACAAATTCACACACCTATAGTGAGCTCATTTTCAACAAGGTGCCAAGAACATACACTGGGGAAAATACAGTCTCATCAACAAATGGTACTGGGAAAACTGAATAGCCATATGCAGAAGAATGAAACTAGACCCCTATCTCTGGCCATATAAAAAATAAAGTCAGAATGAATTAAAGGCTAAATCAAATTATGAAACTACCACAGGAAAATATTGGGGGAAACTCTCCAGAACATTGGACTGGGCAGAGATTTCTTCAGTAATATGCCACAAGCACAGGCAACCAAAGCAAAAATGGACAAATGGAATCAGAACAAGTCAAAAGTTTCTGCACAGTAAAGGAAACAGTAAACGAAGTGAAGAGACAACCCACAGAACGAGAGAAAATATTTGCAAACTACTCATTTGACAAAGAATTAATAACCAGAATATATAAGGAGCTTTAACAATTCTACAGGAAAGAAATATCATAATCTGATTAAAAATGGGCAAAAGATCTGAGCAGAGATTTCTCAAAAAGAAATACATGCAAGTGAAAAACAGGTATATGAAAGGTGCTCTATATCACTGACCATCAGAGAAATGCAAATCAAAACTACCATGAGATACCATGTCACCCCAGTTAAAATAGTTTATATGCAAACAACAGGCAATAACAAATGCTGGAGAGGATATGGAGAAAAGAGAAACTTCCTACATTGTTGATGTGAATGTAAATTAGTATGACCACTATGAAGAGCAGTTTGGAGGTTCTCGTAAAACTAAAAATAGAGCTACCACTGCTGAGTATATAGAAAGGAAATCAGTACATCAAAGAGTTATCTGCACTCCTGTGTTTATTGCAGCACTCTTCACAATAGTGAAGACTTATAAGTAACCAAGCTAAGTGTCCATCAACAGATGAATGGATAAAGCAAATGAGGTACATATAAACAATGGAGTACTATTCAGCTATAAAAAGACAAGATCATTTCATTTGTAACAACATGGATGGAACTGGAGGTTATTATGTTAAGTAAAATAAGCCAAGCACAAAACAACAAACATCACATGTTCTCACTTATTTGTGGGATCTAAAAATCAAAACAATTGAACTCATGGAGATAGAGAGCAGAAGGAAAGTTAGCGGAGGCTGGGAAGGGTGAGGGTGGGGAGTGGGAGGAGCTGAGGACAGTTACTGGGCACAAAAAATAGAAAGAGTAAATAAGATTTAGTATTTGACAGCACTACATGGTGAATACAGTCAATAATCATTTAATTGTAGCGTTTAAAATAACTAGAAGAGTATAATTGGATTGTTTGTAACACAAAGGATAAATGCTTAAGGAGACAGACATCCCATTTTCCATGATGTAATTATGTATTGCATGTCTGCATCAAAATATCTCATGTACTTCATGAATATATGCAACTACTGTGTACCCACAAAAATAAAAAATGAAACATTTAAGAAGATGTAGAATTGATTTATATTACAGGGCAGCATGCTTTCTCTAGAACTAACTGAGTTTGACTATGATATACAGAAATAGCAGCTACATATGAGTTAACAAACCCTTTGAGATACAAAGCCTACAACCATAAATAAATGGTAATTGAACATAATTCAAATTCTCAGAGTAATAATTTATTGATTTATGTTAAATCAACATTGATTGATTGCACTAATTACCCCGTTTAAGTGTTCCCACTGTATATGTCCTTTCTTTTATAACTTTGTAGTCTACTTTCACTCTGACTTTTTGTTAAACTGTATAACCTGCTTTGCACAATGAGACTGTAGCAATTTTAATACAAGCAAAATCTTGAAAATTATTTGCACATTTCACTCTCTGTTTTCAGAACCTTCCACTACCCTGAGAGCCAGACAGGATAAACTGGAGGAGGACAATAAATTACATGGTGGAGCATCCTAATTGCAGCTATCTTAGGGTAACAGGCCTCCAGCTAACCCACTTGCTCATTTCAAACACGTAAGTCTAGGAGAGATAAGCTGAGCTTCATCCACTTCAGTAGACCAACCTGGCTAACACACAGACTCGTGAAAATAATAAACACCTGATATTTTAAGCCATTTTATATTAGGGTAAATTGTTACTCAGAAATAGCTAACTGATGCACAAAATAAAAATGTCTATAACATTTTCTGTAGAAGATATAGGAGTAAGTTTTTGTAAACATTAATGCTTATATACACTAAAAGAGCCTTTTCATAAAAGAGTCATTTTTCCTTCCCCAAAATTTTTTCTAGTTTTTGCATGACTTGCTCTTTCATCTTTCACTACCTCTCGTCTCTGCTTAAGGGTCACCTAATCAAAGACTTTTCTGACCATTCTATATAAAGTTGCACCCCCTACTGCCCACTATAGTCCTTATCTCCTTAACCTGCTCTATTTTTTTCGTTACCATTTAGTAATTTAACATCCCCTTTCAAACGTATCACACACACACACACACACACACACACACACACACGCACGATTTCTTTCATTTTAAAAAAACTTCCCACACAGAACTAAACTGCATAATGCAAAGGTTAGGACTTTTTTTCCAGTGAAATTCAGTAGCTTCAAGGTATAGAAAAGCCTAAAATGTAATGTATTGAAATATATTGTTGAATTAATATTTATAGATGACATTTGTTTATGTGGTGGACATCTCATCTGAAAAACGAAAATGGTTAAAACCAAAGATAAAGTGAGACAATTAGAATTCCTTGAAATATGTCTAACAATCATAGTAACAAAACTAAATAGAAGGGCTGAATAGCAGAATTAATACATTAGAAATAATGAGCCTACAAACCTGAATTTTGTTCTTTTTTTTACTAAAAAGTAGTAAATGCAAGACAATGAGAGAAAAATAAGAAAGGAAGGTTAAAATAGAAGATATAAAGATTAGCTGCAACAAGAACAGAAGAAAAAATGTTACCAAAGAAACAATAAAAAATCTTTTTCCAGAGTTGAAAACAGATATAAGTAAATAAGATATCTAGAGTGTACCATCCAGGTAATAAACAGGATGAATATAAAGACCTAGGCATACGACTGTAAACATTTCAATGCCAACAGCAACAAATAATAATAAAAATGAACAAATGAATAAGCAAATACATATATACATGCATATATGGTAAGTGGAGAATCAATGAAAGTATGGGAATAAAGTTATCTATGGCCAGCTCATGCACAATACTGACTTATAAAAAGCAATGATGAAATAATTACTTTTTCATTCATCAAGAAATTTAATGGACCAACCATAATTTTTTAATCACGGTCCCAGCTGCTTGAAATGCATTCATAAAGAAAACAGAAAAAATAACCGCCACCTGCCTTCTTATTAATTTTGAACCCTAAATGTCAATGACTAAATGAACATTCAAGTGTCAGGGTAAAATGAATATATTTTTAACATACAATGCTTATCAAATTTATTGTGAATTCTAGTCATCTGCAATATAAGAATGCTACATACTTAAAAAGCACTACATCGCAAACTCACTAATGAATATAAAAGTCTTAAATAAAATATTACCAAACCAAAGGCAATGACATCGTTAAAAATACTTTAAAATAGGGTTCATCTCGGAATTCATTGGAATGCATTATATCCATTAATAAATCTAGTGCATTTACTACAAAATGTATTGATTTATATTGCTGCATAACAAATTATCTCAAGCTTAGCATCTTGAAACAATTTACTTCATTATCTCACAGTTTTACAGCTCAGAAGTTCAAGCATACCTTAACCGATTCTTCTGGCAGGGTCTTCCAAGGCAGCAATCATGGTGTCTCATCTGAAGTCCTGGGTGCCCTCCGAAGATCACAGGATTGTTGGCATTTTTCACTTCCTTTAGTTGTAGAATCGAGGTTCCCAGTTCCAAGAAGCTGTCTCTGTCCATTGAGAGTTCAAACCAGGCTGTTAGCTTCTTCATGGCCAGAAGAACATTTCTACTCTTCTAGTCTCAGATTTCTGTCTGATATCTAGACCTCTTTTAAATGGCTAACCTGATTATGTCAAACTCATCCAGTACAATTTCTTTTTTGATTAACCTGAAAGTAAACTGACTAGGAACCTTAAATGCATCTTTGGTATCTCTTTATTTTTGCCATATTATGATACTTAATGTAATCATTGGAATAATATTATCTTCCCTTTGCTATATTCTAAAACGAAGTTACAGGTCATTCCTACACTCAAGGATATTAAACATGGATACAGGTCATTGGGGATTATCTTAGAATTATTTCTCTAATTTATAATAATAGACATACATTAGTAAATCTATTATTATCTTCATTTAGCCACTAATTTATCCATTATTACACATTAATATAGGTAGATAAAATTAGCATATGATTATATCTGTAGGTTCTTAAAAGGCATTTGACAAAATATTACCCCCAATTCTGTTAAAAAGACAGTCAATAATTTGGTATCAGTTAATGTATCCTTAGCATGTTAGAATTAATATATCTCAGCACTAAAGCCAGACACTAACTTAATGCATACATGCTAAGAGCTTTTCCACCTGATCAGAAACAAACGAACAAAAAAGGATTTATCTTATCTTCATTATTACTTAACATTATGTTGGGAGAAAATTCTTCATGGTATCTCTAAAGGTCTGTATTAATTTTTTTCCAGAATATATTCTCAAGTGTGTTTCTATGATAAACAGTTTGGAAGCAGGAATAATGTCACCCTACAGAGCAGAGGGTAGACTTGTTCACTGACCAGAATAATAAAGATAATATATACATCTTATCCTGGAATAAAGGTTGGACAGGATTGTTTGTTTTCTCCTTGTAAGGTTGGGGATGTCCCAAGTTGAGAGTTCGTCATTTGTGACACAAAGCATTGTGGCTGCTCCAAATCACCCATGCGGAACATTGTAGGCTGCTCCAAATCACCCGTGTGGAACTTGGAGAACAAGAACCAATAGAAATATGAAGCCCCTTCTGTCTGCTTTGGTGTAAATAATAAAATCCTTTGTATTTGACCCAGGAGTCTCATGTTGTCTATTAGCAAAGTTGGAACTGTGGCATTCTAATTTGTTAGTTGGCAAGTAGTTAAAATATCAGACCCTTTGTCATTTTAGCCACATCAATTTGAAAATACTAGCCACATCAATTAGGTGAGACAAAATCATTGAAATTGGAAAGAAAAACATAACATAAACTTTATTTAAATATAACCTGAATATACATCTAGGAATCTTCCCCAAAAATCACTTTCACAATCCAAATAAGAAAGTGGCTGATTTCACAATCAACACACTAAAATAACATTCACTGATACAAACAGAAAACTAAAAAGTGAAGAAGCAATACTAAAAGAGAAGTTTTATCCTGCCATATGCAACGAGTTAACTTCCAAATTTATCTTTTTTTGGATTAATTATGTAAATGTACCAAGTAAAACAAACAAAAAAAAGCTATTAAAAGAAGCTGTGAGTGAATTTCTAACTAGGGAGGGAGAAAACTTCTCTATCAGGACTACAAGTCCAACAAAAATAGGAAATATGTTAAGTTCAACTTTATGTTAAAAAATACTTGTTAAAAACAACCACAGGAAAAAACATTAAAATTTTATTTTTCAGAATCTCAAATCAAATGGAAAGATTATTTCAAGATTTTAATGAAATGATAACACTTGAACGAAGTTAAGCTCTTAAGGGAGTGTTTGCTTACAAATCAAAGCTTAGTGACCTCCCAGGTTCTCTAGTCTCAGTATTCAACAATTATATTTGTTTTCATAGGTACCTCTTGCTTTCACAATCTAATATTGAATTGTTTTATTTGTATTTATATTTTATTGATTAATAGTCTTTAAGTTCAGCATTCGCACAACTTTCATGTATTCATCTTTCAACATTTATTTCTTCTAATATTTTTTAAATATTCCATTAAGCTCATCCCCCTTTCACCCCAAGTATTTTGGAAATATTTCTACAATTTCATTTATCTCACCCCATATCAAGAAAATATGTGTTTTATAGACTCCATCTTTTTCTCTTACTTTGAAATTTTTCCCATGATCTTTTTGATGTTTTAAAAAGATAGTAATCCAGGAACATATATTGAGTCATTATAGACAAGAAGGTTAAGATCACAGCTCTTTAGGGCCAAGCTCTGTGACATGATCAAGATACATATCAGTACATCTGCTACTGGAGAAATTATTTTTTCTTTCATTCAACTAACGTGTTTATATACTTTATGTTCCAAATGCTAAACAAGGCTGTCAGTATCCCAAACATGTAATTTGGCCTTAGTGTATAAACTCTTCACCAGGAAGCAATGTGTATTTCTATTTATAGAATGGCATCTTTAACTGTAAGTTCTACATCAGTCATGTGTTTTTATGATAAAGTTTCAAATCATAGAGGTACCATGACAAACTCCTGCTGTGGTGTACTGTGTATTGCACCATACTGTGGGCAAGTAGAAGGCTATTTTCTGGTATATGTTTATTTACACACACACACACACACACACACAGACTTTTTGGAGAACAACCAAATATTTAATGGCATATGTACTTGTTTTGTATTCTTTCTTTTATAGCAACTTTTAAAAGTCATGTCATACCTTAGAGATTTTTCTTGAATTTTATTTTTCTTCGACTTTAGTGAAATGTATCTTATGTGTTTATCTTCCTGAGACTTTAATCATCACATTTTTATTTTTGTGGTCCTCAAGTTGTTCTGTGAGATTCATTCATTATTTTTTTACTAGTTTACTATTTTAAAATGGCAGTACCATAGACGCTTGTCATGATTTTCACCTCGAATGTGGCAAAAGCATTGTCAGAATAATCATTTTATGGTAAGGTAACATTTCAGTCTTCTTAATTTTATTTTCAAGATGAACACCTATTGATATTCTCTCAGAGCAAGTCCTGAGAGAAGTGAGAGAGAGAAAAAAAAAGAGAGAGAAAGAAAGTGAGGTAGCTCAAAGTTGTTTATCACCCAATTTCTGAAGTGACATTTCATCACATTTGTGGTATTCTGTTTATTAGAAGCAAGCCGGCAGATCTGGTGTACACAGAAGTGAAGCGGGTTACACAAAGGTATGGTTATCATTGGGATCCATTTTAGAATCTGTGCACAATATCTGTATTCAAATGCCGGCAATATAATTAAGAGAAATACAGCCTTAAATGAGATGTTCTATCACTTTTCAGCTTCCAAAAAAAAAACTGTTTCCTCATGTGTTACACGAGATCATGATACTGCCCTTGAACACCACACCATGTAAGAATCATGGCAAGATATATACACACATGAATGCATGTTAAAAGCATCAGGTCCTATGTAAGGAGAAGTCAGCATTGTTGTTGTTATTAATTGGTAATATAAATAAAAATTAGTTTGATAGTTGTATTACTGACATATTTGTGAGATTGGGTTTGATTAAGGATCCTGCAAAGCAACATTGCAGAAGCTAAAGATAAAACCTTATTTTTTGAAAAATATGTAGGGTTTAAAGTAAAATATTCAGTAAAGTAAGGGAAACAGTCATTCATTTATTTCACAAGTATTTTTGCAGTGCCTTTGTAGTGCCAATCAAACTAAATGTGGTTTGACAATAGATCCGAAGTGAGTAGTTTAATTTTCCTGTAGTATGAGAAATGAATTTGGGGGTAGTAAATGCCTCAAAAGAATATTAGAATTAGCTTATTGCAAGCCTAATGTTTTATGAAAGTGAAGAGAAGCAGGATTAAAAGTTTACCTAAATCTTACAGCAAGTGAGCTGCAGAGTCATCCCTAGAATCCTGATCCTCTATCTAGGCCAATTTTTTTTTTTAGAAAGACAGTGGTTTTTTTTTTTTGGGTTTTTTTTTTTTTTTTTTTTTTTTTTTTTTTTTTAGAAAGACTGATTTTCTTTCTGTTGAATATTTTATTATTTCTAACAAAAATGAATAATCGTAAAGAGCAATGGGATGAAATAGTGGGAATGAATATTTCATTCTAACACATAGACTAAGATAGTTTATATTTTAAATTTTATTTTTAATATGGTTCTATCCTGTAAAAATATTTTGGAGATTTAAAAATAAATTATACCAACATTTTCCCTGTGTGATTAAAAATGAGAACACATGGACACAGGAAGGGGAACATTACATACCGGGGCCTGTTGTGGGGTGGGGAGAGTGGGGAGAGATAGCTTTAGGAGATATACCTAATGTTAAATGACAAGTTAATGGGTGCAGCACACCAACATGGCACATGTATACATATGTAACTAACCTGCACGTTGTGAACATGTACCCTAAAACTTGAAGTATAATAAAAAGATTATTTTACTGAAAAGTGTTGAAAACATTTGACATTAAAATGAAGCACAATTTGTCTTACATGTATTAAAAGGGAAATATTACTGTCCTTTTCACTTGCACAAATTCCTATATGAGAGCCAGAAAAAAATACTTAATATTTATACTTACTATTTATAGACAGTTTTGGAACATACATGGGCAAGTCCATGATAAGAGGCATACATCAGTGTGGGTACTTGAAGACTGAGTTAAAATTGGTTCTCACTAAGGATCATGGCCTGCAGTTCCAACCATGTTACTGCAAAAGGCACTATTTCATTTTTTATGGCTGTGTACCCCCAAACACCAGTATCACAAAATGTTCTTAAGTAACAGACCTACATATGTACCCATTGTATCTACAATAATAGTTGAAATTTAAACTAAATATTTAATCACTGGTTCTCATCAGAGGCTTCTAGGTAGAAAATGTTGAACTCATAGAAGAAGAGAGTAGAATGGTTTCCAGGGACTTAGAGGATGAGAGGTTGGGAAGATGTTGGTCAAAATATGTAAAATTTCAGTTAGATGGGATAAATAAATTCTAGACATTTATGGTACAACATATTGACTATAGTTAGTAATAATGTATTTGAATCTGAAAATTGCTAAGAGAGATTTTTGTTTTCTAATGACAAACAATAAGTACGTGAGGTAATGTGTATGTTAATTAGCTTGATTATGTCATTTTACAGTGTAGGTACATTTCAAAACATCATGTTGTACACTATATATTATATATGGTATACAACTATATATATTTGTTTGGTGAGCTTTGGTGTCAAGGCATGTACTGATGTGCCTTGACACCATACCTCACCAAATAAATCAGGACCTCTGGGATTGGGATCAAGGTACCAATATTTTTAAAGTTCTTTAGGTGATTCTAACACTGAGCTAGAATTGAGAACCTCTGAGTTATCACAGAGATGCTGATGAGAATTCGAGTGTCGAATGCATACACAGCATTCACAGAAACTACCTAGTCCAAATACTTTCTACAGAAGGAGGACTTTTCAGTCTTTGGTATTCAAAGACATTTATAGTTACTTTTCTCTCACAGAGCTCTTCTCGGCTAACATTTCTGATGCTTGTAAAGAGTTGGAACCATCAAGTTATCAAATTAATCATGTGTCACCTGCTAACATGAAATAAGTGCTATGTTTCTAACAGCAAATGCTAAATTAATGTCATTTTAGTCACAAGGAGTTCAAAATCAATTTCAATGCTAATCAGTGGTTGAAAGAATAGATTAGCAATGCAGTGAATGCCATTACCCTTTCAAGCATCTCTTTTATGTGATGCTCCCTGCTGAGGTGAATAAGGTTGTGAGGCTGTGATATCAAGAAGCAAGGGTATCAGTTAAAAAAAAAGAAATAAGAAGTAAAGTATAAAGATCCTGGAGAGGAAAAAGTTAAGTTAAAATCCTATTAAATTAATTTATTTTATTTTTGCCTACAATAAACTATCATTTCAGCAATAGAGTGAATGCATTGCTATTTCAAATAAAAATGACCTCTAAATCAAAAAATGGAAATAACTTGTATGATTTTTGAAGAATTTTGTGTTAAATCATTTTAATTTTAACATAAAATTCTTAAATTCAAAGCCTTTATTTTTATCTCTACTGTATAATGTTATTTTACACTGATATGGCTAAATCTTCTCCACTATATTATTAAAGTAACCCAATATTATAACATAATAATAATAATAATAGTAATAATAATATAGGAGAGAAGGCACCATCTTGATAATACTCCTAACAGAAAATATGATCTTATTACTCTGCTTCAATGATAATATGTAAAGGACTCAAAGCACATTTTCTTTTGCTACATATCTCTTATTCATTTACAGTGTAGGTTTGAATAATATATCGTAATTATACTTTGTATATACAAAAATCTTCTCTATGGAAAGAAATTTAGATGAATATTAAGTGGATTTTCTGTTTAAGAAAATTATTTTAAACCTTGACTGAGAATGAACTTTTTTGCATGATATTTCTGTACTATAGAAAGGTTCAGCAAAAAAAAGGTTCAGAAAAAAAAGGGAAAATATATATAGATATATATTTTAGAAATTTTTTTAAAAAATATTTTATCTTCTCTTTGCATTTATAACATAATTCACTTAAACAATCACAGAATCCTTTTTTTCCAATGCCACAAACTCTGTTTGCTTAGAATGCTGGTATAAATCCATGAATTTTATGTAATGAACTTAAACATAGATTAGAAATTGAACTGATGAGCAAAACAATTTGTGTTTCTCAAGACTAAAAAATTATATTAAGTAGATTAGCTGTGCAGATCTGTACAGCTTATTACCACATGTATTATGATAAATGAAATATAGCATATTCTCTCATATCAGCAGTACATTTTTACTTCTTCTAAACCAGAGTTTATGTGTTGCTAGTTTCATGCACATCCATGTGAAGAGACCACCAAACAGGCTTTGTGTGAGCAATAAAGCTGTTCATTTCACCTGGGTGCAGGTGGGCTGAGTCTGAAAAGAGAGTCAGCGAAGGGAGATAAGGGTGGGGCTGTTTTATAGGATTTGGATAGGTAAAGGAAAATTACAGTCAAAGGGGGTTTGTTCTCTGGCGGGCAGGAGTGGGGGTTGCAAGGTGCACAGTGGGGGTGCTTTTTGAGCCAGGATGAGCTAGGAAAAGGACTTTCACAAGGTAATGTCATCACTTAAGGCAAGGACCAGCCATTTACACTTCTTTTGTGGTGGAATGTCATCAGTTAAGGTGGGGCAGGGCATATTCACTTCTTTTGTGATTCTTCAGTTACTTCAGGCCATGTGGGCCTGTCACAGGGGATGAGATGGCTTGGCTTGGGCTCAGAGGCCTGACATTCCTGCCTTCTTATATTAATAAGAAAAATAAAACAAAATAGTGTTGAAGTGTTGGGGTGGCGAAAATTTTTGGGGGGTGGTATGGAGAGAGAATGGGCTATGTTTCTCAGGGCTGCTTCAAGCGGGATTAGGGGCGGCGTGGGAACCTAGAGTGGGAGAGGTTAAGCTGAAGGGAGGTCTTATGGTAAGGGGTGATATTGTGGGGATGTTAGAAGAAACATTTGTCATATAGAATGATTGGTGATGGCCTGGATACGGTTTTGGATGAATTGAGAAACTAAATGGAATAACAGAAGGAGAAAAACAGGTATAAAAGTTCTAGGAATTGGGATGACTCAGGACATCTGATTAGAGAGTGCCTAAGGAGATTCAGGATAGTCCTGCCAGCAAAGATTATTTATTTACTTCAAGAGTTAAGAGTGGAAGTTTGGGGATAGCACTAGGAGATATCAGCTGTGATGGCCTGGAAAAACAGTGTAAACTGGCAGTGTAAACAAGAGCAGGGCATATATGAGTAGTTGAGAACGGTGAATAGGAGTATGACTAGACAGAAGATAGTAGGGATGACAAGTTTTTTGGGGGCACAGTCTAAGTTGGTCTGGTGTCTGGAATGAGACTGGGGCCTAATAAAAAGGAGCGTCTATACAGGAGCTTAAATGGGCTGTACCCTGTAGCATTCAGAGGACAGGCCTGAATTCTGAGAAGGGAAAGTGGTAAAAGTATTGTCCAGTCCTTTTTAAGTTGGTGGCTGAGCTTGGTGAGGTGTGTTTTTAAAAGACCTTTAGTCCATTCTACTTTTCTTGAAGGCGGAGGACTGTAAGGGATATAAAGGTTTCACTGAATACTAAGAGCCTGAAAAACTGCTTGGCTGATTTGACTAATAAAGGCTCGTCTGTTATCAGACTGTATTGAGGTGGGAAGGCTAAACTGAGGAATTATGTCTGACAGAAGGGAAGGAAATGACTGGGGTGGCCTTCTCAGACCCTGTAGGAAAGGCCTCTACCTATCCAGTGAAAGTATCTACCTAGACTATGAGGTATTTTTGTTATCTGACTCAGGGCATGTTAAGTAAAGCTAATTTGCCAGTCCTGGGTGGGGCAAATCCTCGAGCTTGATGTGTAGGGAAGGGAGGGGGCCTGAATAATCCCTGAGGAGTAGTAGAATAGCAGATGGAACACTGAGAAGTTATTTCCTTGAGGATAGATTTCCACGATGGAAAGGAAATGAGAGGTTCTAAGAGGCTGGCTAGTGGCTTGTACTGTAGCATAACCTGCCTTTACTGGTGTGTGGCAATTAGGCCTGGTGGAACTACCATCAATAAATCAAGCGTGATGAGGGTGAGGAACAGGAAAGAAGGAAATCTGGGGAAATGGGGTGAATGTCAGGTGGATCAGAGAGATACAGTCATGGGGGTCAGGTGTGGTATCAGGAATAATGTGGGAGGCCGGATTGAAGTCTGGGCCAGGAACAATGGTAATTGTGGGAGACTCAACAAAGAGTGAGTACAGCTGAAGGAACCGGGAAGCAGAAAGTATATGCATCAGGTATGAGGAAGAAAATAGATTTTGGAAGTTATGAGAACTGTAGAGAGTGAGTTGAGCATAGTTTGTGATTTTGAGGGCCTCTAAAAGTATTAGGGCAGCAGAAGCGGCTGCATGGAGACATGATGGCCAACCTAAAACAGTAAGGTCAAGTTGTTTGGACAAAAAGGCTACAGGACGCGATCCTGGTCCTTATGTAAGAATTCTGACTGCACAGCCCTGCACTTCAGCTGTGTGTAATGAAAAGGGTTGGGATGAGTCAGGGAGAGCTAGAGTGGGGGCAGTTTCTAAAGCTGTCTTCAAGGAACGGAAAGAGGAGTGGGGAAAGGATTTAGGATCTATGGGGTCAGCTAGGTTTCCTTTTGTGAGTTTATGTAATGGTTTTGTTAGGGTGGCAAAACCAGGTATCCAAAGGCGAAAGTATCCAACCATGCCCAGGAAGGAAAGGAGTTGTTGTTTTGTAGAAGGGGTTGGGGTTTGAGAGATCAGTCGGACACGATTGGCAGGCAGAGCACGTGTGTTTTTATGAGAATTATGCCGAGATAGGTAACAGATGAGGAAGAAATTTGGGCTTGATTGAAGTAATGGGGGCTGTCTGTGAAGCTTTGCGGCAGTACAGCCTAGGTAATTTGCTGAGCTTGATGGGTGTCAGGGTCAGTCCAAGTGAAAGCGAAGAGAGGCTGGGATTAAGGATGCAACGGAATAGTAAAGAAAGCATGTTTGAGATCTAGAACAGAATAATGGGTTGTAGAGGCAGGTATTTAGGATAGGAGAGTATATGGGTTTGGCGCCACGGGGTGCATAGGCAAAACAATTTGGTTGATAAGGTGCAGATCCTGAAATAACTTGTAAGGCTTGTCTGGTTTTAGGACAGGTAAAATGGGGGAATTGTAAGGAGAGTTTATAGGCTTTAAAAGGCCATGCTCTAGCAGGTGAGTGATAACAGGCTTTAATCTTTTTAAAGCGTGCTGCGGGATGGGATATTGGCGTTGAGTGGGGTAAGGGTGATTAGGTCTTAATGAGATGGTAAGGGGTGCATGATCGGTCGCCAAGGAGGGAGTAGAGGTATCTTATACTTGTGGGTTAAGGTGGGGGGATACAAGAGGAAGACACAAAGGAGGCTTTGGATTGGGAGGAAGGGCGGCAATGAGATACAGATGTAGTCCAGGAATAGTCAGGGAAGCAGATAATTTAGTGAAAGTGTCTCAGCCTAATATGGGAACTGGGCAGGTGGGGATAACTAAAAAGGAGTGCTTAAAAGAGTATTGTCTAAGTTGGCACCAGAGTTGGGGATTTTAAGAGGTTTAGAAGCCTGGCCGTCAATACCCACAACAGTTATGGAGGCAAGGGAAACAGGCCCTTGAAAAGAAGGTAATGTGGAGTGGGTAGCCTCCGTATTGATTAAGAAGGGGACGGGCTTACCTTCCACTGTGAGAGTTACCCGAAGCTCGGCGTCCGTGATGGTCTAGAGGGCTTCCGAGGCCATCGGGCAGTGTCAGTCTTCAGCAGCTAAGCAAAGAAGATCTGGGAAGGAGTCAGTCAGAGAGCCTTGGGCCAGAGTTCCAGGGGCTCTGGGAGTGGCTGCCAGGTGAGTTGAACAGTCTGATTTTCAGTGGGGTCCCACACAGATGGGACGCGGCTTAGGAGGAATCCCGGGCTGCAGGCATTCCTTGGCCCAGTGGCCAGATTTCCGGCACGTGTAGCAAGCTCCTGTGGGAGGAGGTTCTGGAGGAACGCCTGGTCGCTGCGGTTCAGGTGTTTGGAAGTTCTTGTGTGCTGGAGATGTGGCTGGGGTTTGTTTCACAGTGGAGGCAAGGAATTGCAACTTTTTTCTATTATTGTACACCTTGAAGGCGAGGTTAATTAAATCCTGTTGTGGGGTTTGAGGGCCGGAATTTAATTTTTGGAGTTTTATTTAATGTCGGGAGCAGATTGGGTAATAAAATGTATTTTGAGAATAAGACAGCCTTTTGACCTTTTAGAGTCTAAGGCTGTAAAGTGTCTCAGGGTTGCTGCCAAATGAGCCATGAACTGGGCTGGATTTTTATATTTGATGAAAAAGAGCCTAAACGCTATCTGATTTGGGATAAAGAAAAAGGAACATTAACCTTGACTATGCCTTTGGCTCCAGCCACCTTTTTAAGAGTAAATTGCTGGGCAGGAAGGGGAGGGCTAGTCACAGAACGAAACTGTAAGCCGGACCAGGTGTGAGGAGGGGAGGTGATAAAAAGATTATAGGGTGGAGGAGCAGAGGCTGAGGAAGAATTGGGACCTAGCTCGGCCTGGTGAGGAGCAGCCTGGGGAGGAAGGGAGAAGTCAGATGGGTCTGTAGAAAAGGAAGATTAGAAAGACTCAGCGACGCTTGGGATTGGTACTGAGGGGACAGGCGAGAGGGAAAGAAGGAAGATTTGGGACGAGTTGCACTGGGCACAGAGACTAGGAAGGGACTGATGTATAAAAGAATGCCTGGATGTCAGGCACCGCAGACCATTTGCCTATTTTACGACAAGAATTATTTAGATCTTGCAGGATGGAAAAATTCAAAGTGCCATTTTCTGGCTATTTGGAACTACTGTCGAGTTTGTATTGGGGTCAAGCGGCATTGCAGAAGAAAATAAGGCATTTTAGGTTTTAGGTCAGGTGTGAGTTGAAGAGGTTTTAAGTTTTTGAGAACACAGGCCAAGGGAGTAGAAGGAGGAATGGAGGGTGGAAGGTTGCCCATAGTGAAGGAAGCAAGCCTAGAGAAAAGAGAGAGTAGAGAAATGGAGGGAAGGGGTTCAGGGGTTCTTACCTTCCAGAAAAGTGGGAAAAGGGGTTGGGGCACAGAGATAACAGGTCAGGGCATGGAAATAAGGGATGGGGCACAGAAATAAGAGGTTGGGGCACAGAAATAAGGGATTGGGGCACAGAGATGTAAGAGGTTGGGGTGCAGAAATAAGGGATTGGGGTGCAGAGATATAAGAGGTTGGGGCTCAGAAATAAGGGATTGGGGCGCAGAGATGTGAGGTTGGGGCGTGGAAATAAGGGATTGGGGGTTCTTGCCCCATAGAAAAGCGGGACTTGCCGCTAAGGGTGAAGGAGAGGGGTTGAGGGGTACTTGCCCCTCCCCTAGAAAAGCAGAGAAGGGGTAGAGACAAGGAGAGAAGGGGTTGGGGTACTTGCCCCTTCCCCAGAAAAGCGGGACTTGCCGCTAAGGGTGAGAGACCAAGGCAGGTGTCCCTGCGTGGTCTGACATCTTTGAAACGTGGGTGAATAATCAGAGAGGCATCCCTGAAATGACTAAACACCAAGGGAAGCCTGCCTTCGCAGTCTGTGACCGGTGCCACAGTTTTGGGTCCATGGATAAAACGTGTCTCCTTTGTCTCTACCAGAAAATGAAAGGAATTGAAATTAAGAGAAGGGAGCGATTGAAGTGTGGCGCCAAGATTGAAAGGAGAAACAGGTTGAGGGATAGTGAGGGAGGTTGGAGAAGAGTAAAAAGAGGCCGCTTACTGGATTTGAAATTGGTGAGATGTTTCTTGGGCTGGTCGGTCTGAGGACCTGAGGTGGTAGGTGGATCTTTCTCACGGAGCAAAGAACAGGAGGACAGGGGATTGATCTCCCAAGGGAGGTCCCCCTATCTGAGTCACGGCACCAAATTTCATGCACTTCCGTGTGAAGAGACCACCAAACAGGCTTTGTGTGAGCAATAAAGCTATTTATTTCACCTGGGTGCAGGTGGGCTGAGTCCGAAAAGAGAGTCAGCGAAGGGAGATAAGGGTGGAGCTGTTTTATAGGATTTGGGTAGGTAAAGGAAAATTACAGTCAAAGGGGGTTTGTTCTCTGGCGGGCAGGAGTGGGGGTTGCAAGGTGCACAGTGGGGGTGCTTTTTGAGCCAGGATGAGCTAGGAAAAGGACTTTCACAAGGTAATGTCATCACTTAAGGCAAGGACCAGCCATTTACACTTCTTTTGTGGTGGAATGTCATCAGTTAAGGTGGGGCAGGGCATATTCACTTCTTTCGTGATTCTTCAGTTACTTCAGGCCATCTGGGCTTATACGTGCAAGTCACAGGGGATGCGATGGCTTGGCTTGGGCTCAGAGGCCTGACAGCTAGTATTGGGTTTTTGAGTAATTTCCTATAATGTGTACTCATTTTTGAACAATGCTTTCTTAATATGATCTTTATGTAAGAACAGAGCCAAACAAGGGTATAATAAAGAGGAATTCTCAGGCACCACCTTAATTCATTTCTAGTTATGAACACTGGGTCTTGTGATGGCACTGTTTTAGTTCTTGTAGCAGGGTTAGTTGTACTTCATGGTCTTCTTTTCTAAAATACATTCATTCTTATCATTTAATATTGACCAACTATCATTTTGTCTTTTCCATCCTGATGCCTAAATTTATTTACTCTTTTCTATTCCCTTTTATTCTTGCTTGCAAAATGGCTAATGCTTTGCTTAGCTATAAGTTTCTTATAATGCCTTGTCAAACACAGCAAAGAGCAAAAATTATGTGCTACCAACAAGCTATTTTAACCTCCTGTTACCCACCAATCCTGGGTAAATTAGCTGTATCATATGTTTTCCAGTTCTTTGCTGGTGTATTGCACTAAATATTTTCCACTACAAAATTTGGATACTGTCTCATACCCTGATGATATATATTTTTTCTCACTACCTACTGCTGAACCCCTAAAACAATTCTACAAATATTTGATTTTAGTTTTTGAGGCAGTACCCCAGTCATAAGTACTAATTTCTATTACAGAATGGACTAAATTATGCTGCTTTAAGATATTGACACTTATTTTCTAATACCTCACCAATATTTATTCTCATTTGTATTTTTTCTAATTTTAGTTGAATATTTACAATTTTCTTTTTTATGGAGTTAATTTTTATGTCAAAGTTTTAACTGTTTTTCTTTATAATTTCTTACATAACTTTTCTGCTTATAAACCCCTTGCATTTTTATTTTGGATTAATATTCATCTATATGTTGCTCTACTTATTAGGCTATTTTATTACTTATAAAATAATTATTGGAAAACAACAATGACTAAAAAAACTCATCTTATTTTTTAAATTAATATAATTCATTTTTTAGAGAAGTTTTAAGTTTACAGAAAAAAATTAACAAAAAGTACAAGGGTTCCCAAATGCCCCCTCTGATTTTCCTGATTATTAACGTCTTCCATTACTGTGGTACATTCATTATAATTGATCAAGCAATATTGATACATTATTAATAACAAAAATGTATATTTTATTTTGTGGTTTGCACCTTGTTTTGTAGAGTTCTGTGGGTTTTCCCCAATACATAAAGTCCTTTATCTGTCATTACACTGTCATACAAATAGTTTCACTGCCCCCAAAATCCTGTGTTCTGCCTGTTCATTCCATTCTCTGCTCAAGATCCTGGCAACTACTCATGTTTTTACTGTCTCTTTAGTTTTGCCTTTTCCAGAATGTCATATAGTTGGAGTTATATAGTATGTAGCCTTTTCAAATAGGGCTCTTTCACACAGCAGCATGCATTTAAAGTTTCCTTAATTCATTTCATGAGTAGATTTCTTTCTTTCGCTAAATAATATTCTGTCCTATGGATGCCCCACAATTTGCTTCTAAGTTTTAGCAATTAGGAATAAAGCTGCTTTAAACATTTGGGTGCAATTTTTTTGTATGGACACAAGTTTTCAACTCGTTTGAGAAAATACCAAAGAGTGTGATTACTGGAACATACGGTAAGACTCTTTAGCTTCATAAGAAACTGCTAGACTGTCTTTAAAAGTAGCTGTACCATTTTGTATTTGCACAAGCAATGAATGCGAGTTCCTGTTGCTCCACAACCTGGACAGCAATTCGTGTTGTCAGCATTTTGGATTTTAGCCATTCTAATAGGTGTGTCGTGATATCTTATTGTGGTTTTAATTTGCAATTCATTTCCCTTATCATATACTGATTTGCCATTTATAGATCTTCTTTGATAAAATGTCTGGCCCTGTATTTTGCCCATTTTTTAATTAAAATGTTTTCCTTACTGTTCAGTTTTAAGAGTTATTTGTATATTTGGATAAAAGTTCTTTATTAGATATGTGTTTTGCAAATATTTTCTCCCAGCCTGTGGCTTAACTTTGCATTCTCTAAACACTGTCATTAGGAGAGTGGAAGATTTTATTTTGATAATGTCCAAATTACCTGATCTTTTTCCTGTATAGTGTTTTGGTGTTATATATAAAATATCACCTCTAAACTCAAGGTTACCTAGATTTTCCCTATGTTATGTAGAAATTTTATAATTTTGCATTTTAAATTTAGGCATATGGTCCATTTTGAGATAATTTGATATGTGTAAGGTCTGTTTCTAGATTCCTTTTTTTAAATCATGTGCATGTCTAGTTGTTCCAGCATTATTTTTCTTTTCAGCATCTTTTTTCCATTGGATTGTCTCACTTTATTCATCAAAAATCATTTGACAATGTATGTGAGGGTTGATTTGGGGACATTTTATTCTGTTCCACTGATTGATTGATTTATTCTTTCACCAATAACACCATGTCTTTATTATCATAGCCTCATATGAGTCTTAAAGTTGGGTAGTGTCAGTCCTCTGGCTGTCCTTTGCTGTTGTGTTGGCTCTTCTGAATCATTTCCCTTTAATATAAACTTTAGAATCACATTGTCAATATCCATAAAATAAATCCATAAAATAATTTGTTAAGATCTTGCTTGATATTGCATTGTATCTTTAGGCTAAGTTGGGACAACCTGACATATTAACAATATTGAGTCTTTCTGTTCACGAACTTGAAACATCTTCATTTATTTAAATCTTCTTTTATTTCTTTCAACAGAGTTGTGTAGTTTTCCTTGTATAGATCGTATACATATTTTGTCAGATTTATACCGCAGCGTTTGCATTTTTGGTGCTAAATTTTAATGATATGTTTTTAATTTCAAAGTTCATTTTTTTCTTACTGATAAACAGGAAGGCAATTGACTTGTGTGTATTAACTTTGTATATTGAAACTTTGCCAAAATTACTTATTAGTTTCAGTAGGTTTTTTAAAATTCTTTGACAATTCTTACATAAATAATTATATCATATGTGAACAAAGATGTTTATCCCTCCTTTCTCATTGATATATCTTTTATTTTCTTTTCACGATTTTCTGCATTGTCTAGGACTTCCAGTAGGATGTTGAATAGTAGTTATGAGAGAGGACATTCATGCTTTGTTCTTATCTCAGTGTGAAAGCACTTAGTTTCTCACCATTAAGGGTGATGTTAGCTGTAAATTTTTTGGTATATGTTTTCATGCCAAAGAATCTCCACTCTGCTCTTTGTGTTTCTTAAGAGTTTATCATAAATGGCTATTGGATTTTGTCAAATCCTTTTTCTACATCTATTAATACAATAGCATGGGATTGCATGTTTTTTTCCTTTAGCCTGTTGATGTGGTGAATTACATAAATGGATTTTTGAAAAACTTAACCAGTCTTGCATACTGACATAAATCTCAATTGTTCATAGTGCATAATTCATAATGCTTACATTTTGTTGAGGATATTTATGCCTAGGTGTATGAGAAATATTGGTCTGTAATACACATTTCTTATAAGGTTTTTGTCTGGTTTTGATATTAGGGTAACATTGGCTTCATAGTATGAGTTAGGATGTATTTCAATTGCTTCTATTTTCTGCAAGATATTGTGGAGAATCAGTATTATTTCTTGCCTAAAATTTACCAGTGAATCCATTAAGACCTGGCTTTTTCTGATTTGGTTATTAAACATTGGCTTAACTTCTCCTATTATCTGTTTGTTTTTGTGTGAGTTTTGGCAGATTGTGTCTTTTGAGGAATCGTCCATTTCATCTAACTGTGGTCATAGAGTGTTTCTTAATATTCCTTTATTATTCTTGAAATGTCCATGAAATCATAGTGGTGATGGCCCCACTTTCATTTCTGCTAAAAATTTGTATATTCTCTCTTTTTTTAGGGGGGTGGGGGTAGCCTGACTAAAGGATTATCAATTTTATTATTTTTTCAAAGAAACAGGTTTAATCTGTTTCTATTGGTTATCTGTTTTTAATTTAATTGATTTCTAGTCTAATTTATAAATTATTTTATTCTGCTTACTTTGGATTTAATTTTATTTCTTTCTAGTTTTATAAGATAAAAACAAGTTTTTAATCTTTCTTATTTTCAAATAAATGCATTCAATGCTATAAAATTCCCTCTAAGTACTGTTTTTACTGTATCGCACAAATACTGACATTTTGATTTTATTTTCATTTAGTTCAAACTATTTTAACCATACATTATTTAGAAGTGCAATTTTTAGGCTGGGCACAGTGGATGGTGCATGTAATCGCAGAAGTCTGGGAGGTCAAGGAGAGAGGATTGCTTGGGGCCAGGAATTCAAGACCAGCCTGGGGAACATAGTGAGACATCATCTTTCCAAAAAATAATTTTAAAAAATTAGTTGTGCATGGTGACATATGCCTGTAGTCCTGGCTACTGGAGAGCCTGAAGCAGGAAGATTGCCTCAGCCAAGGAGTTCCAGGTTATACTGAGCTATAATTGTGCCTCTGCACTCCAGCCTGGGTGACAAAGCAAGACTCCTCTGTCTCTACAAAATTAAAAACAAAGGCCGGTGCGGTGGCTCACGCCTGTAATCCCAGCAATTTGGGAGGCCGAGATGGGCGGATCACGAGGTCAGGAGATTGAGGCCATCCTGGCTAACACGGTGAAACCCCGTCTCTACTAAAAATACAAAAAAAATTAGCCAGGAGTGATGGCGGGCACCTGTAATCCCAGCTACTCCAGAGGCTGAGGCAGGAGAATGGCGTGAACCCGGGAGGCGGAGCTTGCGGTGAGCCGAGATCGCGCCACTGCACTATAGCCTGCGACTGAGCGAGACTCTGTCTCAAAAAAAAAAAATAATAATAATAATAATTAAAAAATGCAATTTTATCTTATACATAATTTTGGTTTTTTTTTCCAATCTAGTTTAATTTTGTTGTGATATGAGGTTAAACTTTGTATGATTTTAATTTTTAAACATTTGTTAGGTGTGTTTTATGGCCTAAAATTTAAACTATCTTTGTGAATGACTCATGTGATCTTGAGAAGAAAGTGTATCTTGCTGTTGTTGGATGAAGTGGTCAACAAATGGTAATTAGATCCAATTAATGATAGTGTTCCTCATTTCATTTACATCCCTCCTGATTTACTGACTGCTGAATTAGGTTTGTGTGGAAATTTCCCACTGTAATAGTGGATTTCTGATAGTAATAGTGGACTGCTGATAGGTTTGTGTTGAAATTTCCCACTGTAATAGTGGATTTCTGATAGTAATAGTAGACTGCTGATAGGTTTGTGTTGAAATTTCCCACTGTAATAGTGGATTTCTCCTTAAACTTACATAATGTTTACCTCACATATTTTGATGCTCTATTCTTAGGTACACATACATTAAGGATCATTATGTCTTCTAGATTTGACTTCTTTATCAATATCTAATGCTCCTTTCCATCTCTGATCATTTCTTTTGCTGTAGGCTAGCTTTTGTCTGAAATGAATATAACTAATCCAGTTTTCCACTGGCCAATCTTAGCATACTATATCTTTCTTTACTTTCAATCTATGTGTCCTTGTATTTAAAGCATGTTTCTTCAGCCAGGCATGGTAGCTCAAACCTGTAATCCCAGCACTTTGGCAGGCCGAGGCAGGTGGATTGCTTGAGTCCAGGAGTTTGACAGCGGGCTGGGCAACATGGTGAAACCTCATCTCTACAAAAAGTGCAAAAATTGGCCTGTGTGGTGGAGCTTGTTGCGTCCTGTGGTTTTAGCTGAGGAAGATCGCTTAAGCCTGAGAGATCCAGGGTGCAGTGAGCAGTGATTGTGCCACTGCACTCCAGCCTGGGTGACACTGTGAGACCCAAATTGAGACCCTGTCAAAAGAAAAGAAAAAGAGAAGGACTAGTTGGGTGTTGATTTTTTATTTTTAATTAAGAAATAATAACTACATATATTATGCCGTATAATGTGCTATTTTGATATATGTATACATTGCATAATGATTAAATCAAGCTAATGAACATATTTTGGTAACCATCATTCTACTCTACTTCTATGAGTTCAACTTTTTTAGATTCCACAAGTAAGTGAGATCATGAGGTATTTGTATTTTTGTGCTTGACTTATTTCACTTAGCATAATGTCCTCTAGGTTCATACACATCGTCACAAATCACAGAATTTCCTTCTTTTTTGAGAATAAATAGTATTTCACTGTGTATATATACATACCATTTTGTTATTTTTAAAAATGCATTATTATAGTCTTTGTCTTTTATCTGGAGTACCTAAACCATTCACAGTTTATAAGATTACTAACAGACATAGTTGGTTTATCATACCTTATTTTTAACTATTTCTGATCATTCACTTTTTTCTTTTTTTCTTCTTCCACTTTCTTTCTTTCTACAGGATTCTATTTATCCTCCTTTCTTAGCATATCAGTATACTTATTTTAAAAACAGACATTCAATGCTTGCCCTAGAGCATAAAAGATGGATTACAACTAATAAATCTAGGTTCAAATAACACTATAATATTTCACTGGTAGCACAGTTACTTATAGATGTATTTCCAGTTCCTCTCTTGCATCTTTTATAAAATTGATATCTTTCATTTTATTTATGCATAAGCTATAATCCCCAAATACTTTGCTATTACCATGTTGAACTAACATAATTATGAAGAAGTGAGAAGTATATTGGGTATAAACATCCCTTTGGAAGTCTCTAAGTTTTGAGCAGCTTAACAACTTGTCTCAGCAAGCAAATTGATGACTATGTACTAACATGATGATATACTTTTAAATGGTCTTAGTCATCTCACCATTCTATCCAGCAACATCAAACATCTACAACCCACCTTATTTCTTAATACTATGGAATGTATATTTATGATTTAAGTTTTTTTAAATGAAGTTTTTTCTCTTGGTTTACTAGTAAGAGCATTCAATGCATCCAAGTTTCCTTGCCTTACCTCAAAGTATTGCTTTGATTATTTCTTTCCAAAAAGAAATATAATCTTTAATAAAATAGGAAAATATTTCCAATAAGCTTATTTATATAATTTATTTTAGTGATGTGTAATGAAGTGATGAATTTAAAATTAGTTATCACCTTTAAAATTCAGTACTGAATGCATAAAATGTACTTGCAGTGAAATAAAGTTAGGTGTGATTCTTAGGCATTTCTGAGTTTTTCTAATTTTTTAAAAAATCAGAACATGAACATATTTCTCAAGATAACTGAGAAAAGGTAATGCAGAATATGGTCACAAGTTAGGAGCTATTCATAGCAATGAAAACTCCTTACTCTATAAAATAATCACTTTTGTGTTCATTTTCATTTTTCGTAGAATCTGATAGTTTGTTGTTTTTTTTTAAGCTACATTTTGCAGACAAATCATTGGAAAAATGTCCTGTTTTATCTATAAACCTAAGAACTACAGAAGTAGACTGAAAATTGTCAGATAATTTTTTTTCAAAAACCTGTATGGTTTTTATATTCTGATACAACTTGAAATGCAATGTAATCTTTCCCATAAAATATCCAGAAAATTTGAAGTTTTTGGTAACCAAAAAATGAATATGGAAGAAAACTTTAACAAATAAGTATTCTATTTTACTTTTTATCTATTTTCAGTAGGTTGAAAGTGCATTTCAAAATTATTCAACTCCGTCTCTTTGAAATTCTAGCTTACATTTGGTTTTGGGGGATGATATTTCTACTTTGATGCTAGGAAATATAAAAATATGTATCATTCAGATAAGTATCTCATAAATCATTTTGTGTAAATACTCCCAATGATAGCAATACATAGTATGAGTGAACTTAGCAAGTTTTAGTGCCTTTTTGTTTCAAGATTTTATAAAATTAAAATGGTAAATGAAATAATGTCAAAAATATTGTCTTACTGTAGAATGTTGTATGGAAAATTAAACAATAGCAACGAAGCAAGACCCAGCTACCCTGAGCCAAGGAAACAATGTCATCAGGATCAGTGATAGCAAATTAACTACAGAGTAGAATATATGCTTATAATAAAAAATAATTATTATTTTATTTCTGTAGTCCATGACACAGAATCAGCTCATACAGTGAGATATCATTAAGTTTAAATTAATCTTTTGGATTCTTTAATAATGAAAATCTGTTTTAGTGTAAAATCTCATAAAAATTAAACAATACATAGGCAAACTGTTTAACACAGTGTCTGTAACCGATATTGTTTAGTGATAATTTGTTAGAACGCTACCATTTTATGGCAAATATTTTTTCTCTAATTTTTCTCCACAGTAAGAGACAAATATATTTTTAATTTACAAATATAATTTGTTCATTGAAGAAAAATCGAACCAATTTAGTAAAAAAGAAAAAAGTATTCTGCCAACGCAAGTCACTTTATAGTAATAATGAATATTTAACACCATTTTTAAATGCAGAAGAAGCTCTCACAATCTACTCTTTGAGAATCTAATTTTGGTCTTCTGAAATTAGAAAAGTATAAATGAATAGTGCATTTGTGGTTTATCAATTACATTACTCTGTTGTTTTTGGCAACTTTACCCAGTATGTGTCACAGCTCTCCTGCCTTAGAAATCCCAGAAAAAAATTTAATGCATATTTTATGCATATGGTTTTGATCTCTCTTTTTCTTTTCTTTTTTCCTTTTTTTTTTTTGGCATTTATGAAAAAAGAAATAACAGATTTTTCCTAAATATATCTAGTTTTCTTGCCTAGGCACACAGAAAAATTATATTTTCCAGCATCTATTCTTTCTTTTCATGCAGTTAGGTGGAGACGTCTGACAAATTTCTGCTTAATAAAATATGAGAAGAATGGATATATGGTACAATCAAATTTGTTTTGTAATATCTTCCTCACACCATACTTCATTTCCCTTTTTTTCCACATGGGCTATAACCTCTTGGGCCACATAAGAAGGAGATCAGCTACAGAAGATTAAAAGATGGACTGGGTATGATTTTCTAATGGCAACCATATTGGATTGTGATATAAGCGACTGATCAACCTCCAGTGTTAAAATCTTATTTATTTCTTGATGCAGTAGCTAGCCTTATACACCCAAAACCTATAATCTTGTTTAATTTACATAAATTATATGCAGTGTAATAGAATGTAATTCATTGAAATTGAACTTTAATAATTTAATATTTTAAGAAAAGTTAAGTGAGAGTAAAAACATTTAGTTTTTGTTAATATATTTTATATAATACTATAACCCCCAAAAACATGTTAGCTTACAATCAGTGTTTTCGGTACTTGTTATACAGACATGTCATGCAGAAATTTTACTTTGACCACTCTCCTTAAGTATGATAACTCATAGGTAAACACATATTGAGTTTGCTGTTCTGCTTATATCTTATCTAACAGAGAAGTCATTTTGAGGATTATGTAAAATAAAGAGTAAATATAAAACATTCTCTTACATAATTTTAAATAATTTAATTAAAATATAAGATATAGCCTAGGAAACACTTTTGGTGCATTTTTAAAGTTTGACATGTTCAGTAATAAGTAATTATAATTATTTTATACACTTGAATGTTATCTTTAGCCTACAAAAGTACTATAGATGAGTCTATAGTATTATAGATTTAGCCTACACAAAGAGATTTGGCCTACAAAATTGCTATACATGCTATAGATGAGTCTCATTACCAAATCAAGTATCATTTATTCTTAAAATATCATTTACAGAGACTAAAGTTAAGAAATTTTAAAATTTGTTATATAGAAAATAATATGGGTCTTTGCTGTGAAAAATAAGATTGTGATATATTGTATGTGTAGAAATTAATCATATATAGGTGAGGAAATGGTTTTAATGGTAGTAAAGCACTAGTCGTTTCAGTAGGGTTTCTCTTTTCCAGAAGGTTTATAAATGTAATTTTTAGTCATCATGATTCTGTAATTGTAATTGTTATATATGGAATACAAGATATTTCCAATTTTATAATGTTACTTTGCTCACAAATAAAATACCAATATAGATGTAAATCTACTCCAGACCATTATGGTATAAATGTTCACTAAAGGCAGTATAATCTACTCAGTCATATTTGTTGTGTCTAACATAAAATATTGCTTTATATATGTTACAAATTATAAATATGATACATTGAAATTTATTTGTAAAGACATCAAAAGTACTTGTCAGATATATTTCACAGACAATTTTGTGGCAATCAGGGCAAATGGGATTGTATCTTAATTAGAAAGGGAAACAGATAGCGTGGTCTAATTTAAAAACAACGCTCCATAGGAAAAAAAAAAAAAACTGGATCTTGCACCATGCAATTAGGCATATTTCCATCAGTAGAATGGTTCTAAAAATTGATCTCAGGCACTGGTAAAATGATCATTCTTGAACATAAGCATCAGCCAAGAAAATCTTCTGCTACAAGTAATACAGAGAATAAAAACTATATAAATCCTTATTTACCTTCCAAAAAATAGGTTTTTCTTACAATTCAGAGAGATTTGTAAAAAAAAATCTTTTGCTTTCACACTTTACTATGAACATGAAGCCTAATTATAATATTGTCTCTCTTTCTATTTGAATGTGTCAGTTTTTATATTATGACTTTCACACCTTTACAAGCTAAGATTAAATAGCCATGTCATCTTAGACCACCTGGCAACTAAACTGTGAAAATTAATTTCAATTTCACCTAAGCTCAGCCCCATGCTGTTTTTCTATTACTCCCATACCAGGATATCTGTGACTTTTGCCTACCAAATGGCTTATTTATTTTTATAGAAAATACTCTAAAGAATTGTGGTGACAAACTCTCTTTTACTTCAGTATAACTTTAATAAACATATTTTATGTTTGATGGAAGGGTATTATGAAATGATTTTTCTAGTTTCTCACTACTATTTAATGAAAAACCTATTAATTATAAATATTAAACTTAAAAGTGTTTAGGTTAGCTTGCAACATGTGTAGTAATATTGTATAATAAATTTATAAATGCCTTTTGTAACTATTTAGTATTTTTAGAAAAAAAAGTGTTTCAAAATAAGTAAGACAAAAACTGACAAAACTCAAAGAAGAAATAGAAAATAAAAATCACATTTGGGGATTTAATAGTACTGTCTTTATTAATTAAAATAACAAAACCAGATTATGATATTACAAGTAAACTACAGTCTAATATGAGTTTGTTCATATGTGTGTATATTTATATGTATCTATATATGTACATACTGCATGTATAAACTTTTTATAAAATACAATTAGGATTCACCAATGCATAAAAATGATAGCACATCATGACCAAGTAGACTTTATCCCATAAATTCAATAACAATTTCACTTTGAAAATCAATTCACTCCATCATATTAACCAAATAAGTGAGAAAAAGTTATCATTTCTCTAAATGCAAATAAATCACCTAATAAAATCCAACATTATCTAGATAAAAGTTTTCTTCAAACTAGGACAAGAAAAGAATTCCCTTAACCACATAAAAAGGAGCTTAAATAAAACAAGCAAAGAATCTAGAGCTAATATTATGTTTAACAATAAATATAAAATGCTTTTCTCTGAAAATCAAGAACAAGGCAAGGGTAAACATCTAAACTTCTTCTCATTTCTACCTAATGTTATACTATGATCCTAGACAATGCAATGAGAGAGACAGATAGAGAAAGAGAGAATGCAGATTGAAACAAAGCAATAAACCTCCTTTATTTGATTTGAGGATATGATCAAGTATGCAGAAAATCCTAAGGAACCTACCAAATATGAGATTTGCTAAGCTCAAATCTAGTATAATCTTAGCGAATTCTAAGATGCTAGGTCAGTATGCAAAAATCAATTATATGTAATATAAGCAATTGGAAATATATTTTTAAATCAAAATATGAAGTTTTATAAATACATTTTACTATATATGTGCAAGATCTGTGAAATGAAAAACCACAAAATATTGCTGTGAGAAAGTAACAAATACCAAAATAAACAAAGAGATATACCTTGTTATTGAATTGGAAGAGTTGATGTGGTTAACACATTCTTTCTCCTCAAGTCAATCTGTAGATTACTTTCAATGCCAATCAAAATCCCAGGAAACTTCTTTAGAAATAGACAAGATTATTCCAAAATGCATATGGAAATACTGAGAACATAGTATAGTCTACTTTCTCCTCAAGTCAATCTATGGATTACCTTCAATGCTGATCAAAATCCCAGCAAACTTCTATAGAAATAGACAGGATTATTCCAAAATATATATGGAAATTCTAGGAACATAGTATAGTCAAAGCAATTTTGAAAACAAAGAACAAATTTAGAGAACTAACACTGTCTATTTAATTGGAATACTATAAAACTACAGTAATCAAGACAATGTGGTATTGGTATAAAGATAGACATATGAATGAATGGAGCAGAAAAGAGAAATGGACGCACACTTACAGTCAGTTGATACCAAACAAATGTGTCTAAGTAATTTCATGAGATAGACTACTCTTTTTAACCAATTGTGCTGGAAAAGCAGCACATTCAGTTCTATAAAATAAACTCTATCTGGAGAGAGCCAGGACGGAGTTATGTTCTGTCCAAGCTAAGAGGATTATCTTCAGGGAGTACATAGTATTTGTGTGGAGTGGACTGCTGCAAAGTCAAACTCTGGAAAAAAATAATTGTTGGCTGAAGGAGCATCAAAATAAACATCGTCAGGGGAGTTTTAGCTGATGGGCCCAAAATCGGTCCGTGAGAGCGACAGTAAGCTTTAAATATTTTCAAAATCCAGAATCTGCTAAGCTCTTTTAAGAGTAACCATCAAGTAGGAAATTTTCTATACCCTTCATCTTTCTTCTTTACTTTTGCTCTGATCCTGGAGGGGTTGGAAACAGCAGCTAATGAGCGGTAAATGAGGAGAGCAAGAAAGAATAAAGACTCCAATGATTTCTTCTTCTTTAACCTGCACAAGGTAAGGGGAGATAAACAAAAAAGGCTTACTGTTTTGAGTAATATATTAGAATGCATATAAGAATATTTATAACTCAAGGAAGCACTTCTTGATTTAAGTAATTTAGAATTCTCTATTACTTATGATTCTGGAAAAGAAATTTATTCAAGAGCAGAGGAAACACCTACAGAATATTTTTAAAGAAAGAAGATAGAAGAAATATAAAGTCTCTGCTCTGAATACTTCCCAGGGTGCTTATTGTTTGTAAACAACTCTTAGGGGCAGAGATTAAAATTTTAATGGAAGTCAGGGATTCCGTGTCTGATCATTACATCATGATGGGATATAATGTGAAAGCAATAGGCTAGATGGTGATTCTAAACTCCATCAGATACTTTCCCTGGAGAAATTTAAATAAAAGAGGCAAATAAGAAAACTCAGTGAAATGATGCTAAGAACACTGGAGAAATTTAAATAAAAGAGGAAAATAGGAAAACTCAGTGAAATGATGCTAAGAAAGACACATAGATAAGACAATGCAGAAATCAAAACGTGGTTGTGATTATTAGTAAGTTAATCTGTGCAGTAGAGAGCTAGAGAAGAGAGCTATTAATAGCATTCAACATTTCTGACAATGTTTGGAGTGGCTCTGTGTCTAGATAAACAGCAATACATTTCTGTAAAATGTTTAATATTTGAATTTCTTTTGGGGCATAGGAGTTGTCACTGTATTCTGAATAAGAAAGAACTGCAGTCACTGTCAGGATAACTAGGAGAATAATTTTGCATTTCTACACAAGGCTTTGTGCTTTTTAAAATATTAGCTTTTATCTCCAGAGATAATCTCCAGAGATAGCCCAGTTTTCTTACATTCTACATACAGAATTTGACAACTGATAACAAATATATATAATAGATACATTTATATAATTTTTCTTTCTCTTTTTCTCTCTCTCCACACACACACAAACGTATGCACACATTCATAATATCTAAAACCACACACATCTTTAACAATGCTGATGGCTGTATAGCATCAGCATTTCAATATATCCTCATTAATAATTTACCTTTTGACACATTTATTTTTAAAATAAATTTTATTGTGAATATTTAAGGTACACACATGTTTTACTATATATGTGTATATATAAATGATATATATATATATCAATCATATATATACACACACACATATATATATATAAATGATTACTATAGTGAAACAAGTCAACACATCATCTCATATAGTTACTCATTCCACCCCTCCCCTGCACTGTGGTAAGGGCACCTATAATCTACTCATTAAGCAGAAATCCTAAATACAATGCATTATTGTTAACTTTAGTCTTCATGGTGTAAATTACATTTTTAGACCTTTTCCTCTGCTACTTTGAATCATTTGACTTAAATCTCCCTAATTCTTTCTTCCCCACTGTGCTGGTGGTAACCACTGTTTTATTCTCTATCTCTGTTCATTTAATTTCCACTTTTTTAGATTCCATGTATAAGTGAGATCTACAATATATTTCTTTCTGTGTCTGGCTTATGTTACTTAACAAAATGTCCTCCAGATTCATCCTTGTTGTGGCAAATGACAGATATCCTTATTTTTAAAAGCAGAATAATCCATTGTGTGTGTGTGTCTCTGTGTGTGTGTGTGTGTGTATGTGTCTGTATACACATGTACTATATGAAATGATTTTTAAAACTGTGATATATATATATATATATATATATATATATATATATATATATGCACATACACACACACACATACATACCACAATTTTTTAAATTCATTCATCCATTAGCAAACACAGGTTGTTTCCCTATCTTGGCTATTGTGAATAGTATGGCCGTGAATATGAGGATACGAATATCTTTACAAAATGGTAATTTCATTTCCTTTGGGTATATACCTAGAGGAGAGATTGCTGCATCATGTGAGAATTCTATTTTTAATTTATTTGGAAATCTGCGTACTATTTTCCATAATGCCCACGCCACTCTACAGTCCCTCTAACAGTATACAAAGTTTTCCTTTTCACCCTTGTCAACACTTGTTATCTCTTTTTCGCTTATTTTTAATGGACATTTATATCATGTATAATTTCTTTTTTGTTTGTTTGTTTAGAGACAGGGTCTTTCTCTCCGTTGCTCAGGCTGGAGTGCAATGGTGTGATCATAGCTCACTGAAGTCTAGAACTCCTGGGCTCAAGTTAACCTCCTTCCTTAGCTTCCTGAGTAGATAGAATTATGAGCACTCACCACTACATCCCAATAATTTTTTTAAAAGTTTTTGTAGAGATCGGGTCTCACTACATTGCCCAGGCTGGTCTCAATCCTCTAACTTCAAACGATCCTCTTAGCTTGGCCTCATAAAGAGCAGGGATTACAGGTAAGAGCCATTGCACCTGACCAATGTGATAGTGAAACAGTGAAAGAATGAACGTAATTCACTCCATTTTGGGTTAAGGGGCCTTTACCCATTCCCACCTGTAGAGTAGGATAATTTTAGAGCACTTGGATAAAATGCAAAACCAGCAATCTTCCAGTTTTTGAAACTAACTCTGGGATTTAACGGCAAGTGTGTAAACGACTAATTATGTTTTGTTAAAGATTTATAGGAGCACTGTGGCCTGACCAAAGACAAATAAATTCCCTATGTCCTAGGACCTAGGACCCTCACTGGCACTCAGATGTTTGAGGTCATGGGTCACTCTTGATTGCAACCTTTCTTCCTCCTGCCCTTAACAAAAAAGTGCCTGATACCGGGCGCGGTGGCTCACGCCTGTAATCCCAGCACTTTGGGGGGCCGAGGCGGGTGGATAACGAGGTCAGGAGATCGAGACCATCCCGGCTAACATGGTGAAACCCCATCTCTACTAAAAATACAAAAAATTAGCCGGGCGTGGTGGCCGGCGCCTGTAGTCCCAGCTACTCGGGAGGCTGAGGCAGGAGAATGGCGTGAACCCGGGAAGCGGAGCTTGCAGTGAGCCGAGATAGCGCCACTGCACTCCAGCCTGGGCGACAGAGGGAGACTCTGTCTCAAAAAAATAAAATAAAATAAAATAAAATAAAATAAAATAAAATAAAATAAAATAAAAGTGCCTGATATTTGTACTAACTTTGTACTAACTTAATATGGTACTTTCACCATCTTCTTGGTTAGTTCTCTGAATAAACCTGCTTTTCTTCCCACTAGCTCTTGTCTTTTGAGTTTGGTTTTTGATTGGTGAGAAGCCAAATCTGGGTTTGGTTATCTTTGTAAACCAAAAATAAAATTCGAAGGGCCCCCAGCCATCTGAATGGACTTTCTCCTCATTCAGGGCTGGTTCAGGCCATAACGGGAAGTAAGTGTCTAACATGTCTCAGTATACCTCTCCAGTGTTAAAATCAACATAGACCTTTAAGTCTGATCAAGAAGCATTTACAGCTATTCCCTCTGAAGCCTGCTACCTGGAGGCTTCATCTGCATGATTAAACTTTGGTCTCTACAACCTCTTATCTCAATCCAGACATTTTCTTTCTGTTGATCCCAGGTCTTTAAACTCAACCAATTGTCAACAAGAAATTTTTTAATCTACCTATAATCTGAAAGCATCCCCCTCACCCCCTTCCAAGTTGTCTCAATTTTCTGGACCAAACCAATGTATTTCTTAAATGTATTTGATTGAAGTCTTCTGTCTCCCTAAAATGAATAAAACCAACCTGCGCCCTCGACCACCTTGGGCACATATTCTCAGGACCTCCGGAGGGCTGTGTCACAGGCCATGATCACTTGTATTTGGCTCAGAATAAATCTCTTTAAATATTTTACAAGTTTGACTCTTTTCATTGACATAGTCATAGATACTTACATATAAATATTTGTACCGATCACTGTTTTCTTTTGAAATGATGCATATTTAGAAATTGTATTACCCCAATAAAGGCTTTCATAGCAATGCTGGATCATTTTACCAACACTCTGGGAGATTCTTATTTTCTGGGGACATGGTGTTTGTTGGGCCTCGCCTGGGTAAGCATTCTTTATCCTTTATTTTGTAAAATACATTTGATAAATACTCAGTAAAGTAATACTTTTATCAATGTTGCTCTCATAAAAATATTTTATGGAGTTTAGAATACTTTTAAAAATAAAAACTTTTAATAATGGTTTCTAGTTTATACTTTGATTTATGTTATTTGTTTTAAATTAAGCAAGTGTATGTCAGAAATTAAAATTTTGTTTATGCCTAGAAGCAATTCAATTAAACTAATTTTTGACCGTACTAAAAAATAATTTCTAAACAAAAGTTCCACACAAATTGTAAAGAGCCATGCTGAAGCATAAACTTTATCTTTAGAGATGACCAAGACAGCCTTTAATTTGACTGTTCCCCTTCAATTTGACTGTACTCAAGAATTTTTTTTTTTTTTTTTTTTTTTTTTTTTTTTTTTTTTGAGAAGGAGTCTCACTTTGTCGCCCAGGCTGGAGTGCAGTGGCTCAAATCAGGTCACTGCAACCTCCACCTCCTGGATTCAAGCAATTCTTCTGCCTCAGCCTCCCAAGTAGCTGGGACTATAGGCACGTGTCACCATACCCAGCTAATTTTTTTGTATTTTTAGTAGAGATGGGGTTTTGACATGTTAGCCATGATGGTCTTGATCTTTTGACTGGTGATCTGTCTTCCTCGGCCTCCAAAGTGCTAGGATTATAGGCGTGAGCCATGGAGCCTGGCCTGGACTCAAGAACTCTTTTTTTTTTTTTTTTTAATATACTTTAAGTTTTAGGGTACATGTGCACAATGTGCAGGTTTGTTACATATGTATACATGTGCCATGTAGGTGTGCTGCACCCACTAACTCGTCATTTAACACTAGGTATATCTCCTAATGCTATCTTTCCTGCCTCCCCCCACCCCACAACAGACCCCAGTGTGTGATGTTCCCACTCCTGTGTCCTGTGTTCTTATTGTTCAATTCCCACCTATGAGTGAGAACATGCGGTGTTTGGTTTTTTGACCTTGCGATAGTTTGCTGAGAATGATGGTTTCCAGCTTCATCCATGTCCCTACAAAGTACATGAACTCATCATTTTTTATGGCTGCTTAGTATTCCATGGTGTATATGTGCCACATTTTCTTAATCCAGTCTATCATTGGTGGACATTTGGGTTGGTTCCAAGTCTTTGCTATTGTGAATAGTGCTGTAATAATCATACGTGTGCATTTGTCTTTATAGCAGCATGATTTATAATCCTTTGGGTATATACCCAGTAATGGGATGGCTGGGTCAAATGGTATTTCTAGTTCTAGATCCCTGAGGAATCGCCACACTGACTTCCACAATGGTTGAACTAGTTTACAGTCCCACCAACAGTGTAAAAGTGTTCCTATTTCTCCACATCCTCTCCAGCACCTCTCGTTTCCTGACTTTTTAATGATCGCCATTCTAACTGGTGTGAGATGATATCTCATTGTGGTTTTGATTTGCATTTCTCTGATGGCCAGTGATGATGAGCATTTTTTCATGTGTCTTTTGGCTGCATAAATGTCTTCTTTTGAGAAGTGTCTGTTCATAGCCTTCGCCCACTTGTTGATGGGGTTGTTTCATTTTTTCTTGTAAATTTGTTTGAGTTCTTTGTAGATTCTGGATATTAGCCCTTTGTCAGATGAGTAGATTGCAAAAATTTTCTCCCATTCTGTAGGTTGCCTGTTCACTCTGATGGTAGTTTCTTTTGCTGTGCAGAAGCTCTTTAGTTTAATTAGATCACATTTGTCAATTTTAGCTTTTGTTGCCATTGCTTTTGGTGTTTAGACATGAAGTCCTTGCCCATGCCTATGTCCTGAATGGTAATGCCTAGGTTTTCTTCTAGGGTTTTTATGGTTTTAGGTCTAACATGTAAGTATTTAATCCATCTCAAATTAATTTTTGTATAAGGTGTAAGGAAGGGATCCAGTTTCAGCTTTCTACATATGGCTAACCAGTTTTCCCAGCACCGTTTATTAAATAGGGAATCCTTTCCCCATTTCTTGTTTTTGTCAGGTTTGTCAAAGATCAGATAGTTGTAGATATGTGGCATTATTTCTGAGGGCTCTGTTCTTTTCCGTTGGTCTGTATCTCTGTTTTGGTACCAGTACCATGCTCTTGTGGTTACTGTAGCCTTGTAGTATAGTTTGAAGTCAGGTAGGGTGATGCCTCCAGTTTTGTTCTTTTGGCTTAGGATTGACTTGGCAATGTGGGCTGTTTTTTGGTTCCATATGAACTTTAAAGTAGTTTTTTCCAATTCTGTGAAGAAAGTCATTGGTAGCTTGATGGGGATGGCCTTGAATCTATAAATTACCTTGGGCAGTGTGGCCATTTTCACAATATTGATTTTTCCTACCCATGAGCATGGAATGTTCTTCCATTTGTTTGTATCCTCTTTTATTTCATTGAGCAGTGGTTTGTAGTTCTCCTTGAAGAGGTCCTTCACATCCCTTGCAAATTGTATTCCTAGGTATTTTATTCTCTTTGAAGCAATTGTGAATGGGAGTTCACTCATGATTTGGCTCGCTGTCTGTTATTGATGTATAAGAATGCTTGTGATTTTTGCACATTGATTTTGTATCCTGAGACTTTGCTGAATTTGCTTATCAGCTTAAGGACATTTGGGGCTGAGACGATGGGGTTTTCTAAATATACAACCATGTCATCTGCACACAGGGACAATTTGAATTCCTCTTTTCCTAACTGAATACCCTTTATTTCCTTCTTCTGCATGATTGCCCTGGCCAGAACTTCCAACACTATGTTGAATAGGAGTGGTGAGAGAGGGCATCCCTGTCTTGTGCCAGTTTTCAAAGGGAATGCTTCCAGTTTTTGCCCATTCAGTATGGTATTGGCTGTGGGTTTGTCATAATTAGCTCTTATTATTTTGAGATACATTCCATCGATATCTAGTTTATTGAGAGTTTTTAGCATGAAGTGCTGTTGAATATTGCCAAAGGCCTTTTCTGCATCTATTGAGATATCATGTGGTTTTGTCTTTGGTTCTGTTTATATGATGGATTACGTTTATTGATTTTTGTATGTTGAACCAGCCTTGCATCCCAGGGATGAAGCCCACTTGATCATGGTGGATAAGCTTTTAGATGTGCTGCTGGATTCGGTTTGCCAGTATTTCATTGAGGATTTTTGCATCGATGTTCATCAGGGATATTGGTCTAAAATTCTCTTTGTTTGTTGTGTCTCTGCCAGGCTTTGGTATCAGGATGATGCTAGCCTCATAAAATGAGTTAGGGAGGATTCCCTCTTTTTCTATTGATTGGAATAGTTTCAGAAGGAATGGTACCCACTCCTCCTTGTACCTCTGGTAGAATTTGGCTGTGAATCCATCTGGTCCTGGACTTTTTTTGGTTGGTAAGCTATTGATTATTGCCTCAATTTCAGATCCTGTTATTGGTCTATTCAGAGATTCAACTTCTTCCTGGTTTAGTCTTGGGAGGGTGTATGTTTACATTTTATCCATTTCTTCTACATTTTTCTAGTTTATTTTCTTAGAGGTGTTTATAGTATTTTCTGATGGTAGTTTGTATTTCTGTGGGATCAAAGGTGATAACCCCTTTGTTATTTTTTATTGCGTCTGTTTGATTCTTCTCTCTTTTCTTCTTTATCAATCTTGCTAGCGGTCTATCAATTTTGTTGATCTTTTCAAAAAACCAGCTCCTGGATTCATTGATTTTCGAAGGATTTTTTGTGTATTTATCTCCTTCAGTTCTGCTCTGATCTTAGTTATTTCTTACCTTCTGCTAGCTTTTGAATGTGTTTGCTCTTGCTTCTCTAGTTCTTTTAATTGTGGTGTTAGGGTGTCAATTTTAGATCTTTCCTGCTTTATCCTGTGGGAATTTATTGCTAGTAATATTCCTATAAACACTGCTGTATCTGTGTCCCAGAGATTCTGGTATGTTGTGTCTTTGTTCTCATTAGTTTCAAGCAACATCTTTATTTTTGCCTTCATTTCGTTATGTACCCAGTAGTCATTCAGGAGCAGGTTGTTCAGTGTCCATGTAGTTGAGCAGTTTTGAGTGAGTTTCTTAATCCTGAGTTCTAGTTTGATTGCACTATGGTCTGAGAGACAGTTTGTTACAATTTCTGTTCTTTTACATTTGCTGAGGAGTGAACTCAGCTCTGCACCAAGCAGACCTAATAGACATCTACAGAGCTCTCCACCCCAAATCAATAGAATATACATTCTTTTCAGCACCACACCACAGTTATTCCAAAATTGACCACATAGTTGGAAGTAAAGCACCCAAGAAGTCTTATTCCTGACCATAGGTACCTTTCTTTTTCTCAGTGAATTTACATTAGAAAATGTGTAATTGTAAGTACTTCCCATGCCCCTTTGAGGTGTAAATTCTTATAAAAGCCTCTTACCCTTGTGATAACCCAAGAATGTCTTTCTTAAGGACCTGGGAATCACCTCAGAAATGTAATCATCAAGGAAGAAAGCACCCCTATCTCTCAGTTTCTGTGGGAAAGTAGGAGCTTAACTTCGCCAGGTGCCTTGTCAAACTATATCCTGTCAGGAAGATAGTGGAAAGTTGACTTTTGTTTTGGGTAAAGTTAATTGGCAAATGTAAATTACCTGTGAGTTCCCACCCCAACTTTTACAAACTCTGTTCCCTTTGTGTAGCTGAGAATATAGCATGTATTTGTTACTAAGCTTTTTTTTTTTTTTTTTTTTTTTTTTGAGATGGAGTCTCGCTCTGTCGCCCAGGACGGACTGCGGACTGCAGTGGCGCAATCTCGGCTCACTGCAAGCTCCGCTTCCCGGGTTCACGCCATTCTCCTGCCTCAGCCTCCCGAGTAGCTGGGACTACAGGCGCCCGCCACCGCGCCCGGCTAATTTTTTGTATTTTTAGTAGAGACAGGGTTTCACCTTGTTAGCCAGGATGGTCTCGATCTCCTGACCTCATGATCCACCCGCCTCGGCCTCCCAAAGTGCTGGGATTACAGGCGTGAGCCACCGCGCCCGGCCTGTTACTAAGCTTTATGAACAATAAGGGATTAACACAATGTATAAAAATTTCATGTTAACAAAATTACATACAGTCACATCATCTAAAATTTTAGTCCTTCTAAATAAGGTAGCTATGAATAGTAAAAATTAAAAGTGATTATATTTCATATAAAATATTATAATTGAAAATTTTAAAAATGTAAATTGTAGCTACAGTATAAAGTTATATGAATGATATTCTGTCTTCTAATAATTGTATAAATAATAATCTATAATTAATGTGCTGACATTGTTTTTGGTCTGAGAATATTTCAGTTCAAGCACTTTTTTAAGAAAATAGGCCATATTTGTGTAAAGTTCTAGGTAACTTTTATATTTCAGAGTAACATTTTAAAAACAAATGTAAATAATTTACTCAGATTTTAACATGTTTGATTCAAATAACTAAAAAGTAATTATAAAGAGTCAAAATTTTATATTCCTGGATAATTTGAATTCAATTCTTTAGTTTTTAGGTAGAGAGGCTAAAACCTAGAAACTTTTGATTTTGTATTATTTGGAAAGCTATCCTTAAAAGTTGTGGAAATTTTTTGGCGGGGAGGAATGCTATATGTATACATACAAACTGTGCAAAAAATAGTTGCACAAACAACAAAGTAATACACAGCTTCACATACACAAATTATTCCTTTAATTTTTCTCTCCAGGGACTAAGAAATATAAAATATCTGCACATGGGTATTTTAATTATTTCCTTAATATGTTTGTCTTATAAACATTATTAGCTTTTATTTTAGAAAAAGCTTTTACTTTAAATGAGACAAAAATGACTTTAAGAGAAAGCAGATTTGATACACCTTAAAATTGTCTATTCATAGAAAAACATTTAAAAAAATGAATCATAAACACATACACAAGTGCACACAGACACATGTACATACGCACATGATAATCCTGAGTAGTCATTTTTCCATTGACAATGGCCATTTTTCTATCTTTTAAAACCTTTTGTAGGAGGATATGGGAGATATAACTTTGAAGAGTTTAAATGTTGAGTTATTTAGCTGCATTAAGTGTTTAATTGTATTTCAAGATGTTAGCTAAACAGAAACCCCTTGAAAACATTTTATTTAACATAAATGTATGACTCCCATAGTGGAAATTTTATTAGGACATTTGAAAGAACACCCTTAAAAGACTTTAAAATTATCTTAATAAAGGTGATCCAGATATTTTAATAAACTATTACAGTATACTCCTATTCTATTAAAACAGTTTTAAATTATCCATCTTAGAATGTGTAGGTGAGGGTAACTGAGGAGGTTAAATTAATCCTTCTAACTTCCTGGCTTCTATGAGATGAGGGGTTTTGCTTTCCTTTCAGTAATATTTGTAGGCAGAGTTTGTTTCTTAAACCCTATCCAGTTACATGGCCTTCCTGAAGACAGGACTCTGATGCTGTATCAGTCTGGTTTTCTGTATGGTATTTTCTTCTAGTCTTTCTTTAATAGTCCACGATCTTCATTCCCAGTTATTAGATCTTCTTAATTATAAATTCGTATTTCTTTAAGACATAAAAACCTGCTTTGATGTCTCTTGATTATCTGTAAGTATACTGACTGTATGCTGGGCTCTATCTTACGTATAAACTTTCTCCTGAAATCTGGTCTACTTATATTGTGTATAAGTACCTGCCTCACCCTTATTAACAGATCTAATTACTAGCTGACCCATCCTAATGTTTACTAAGCTGTAAGCTTCTGTTCTGACAGTCTCACTCCTTGAATTTTGCAAGCAACCCATAAGCAGACTATTGCCAAAGTGTGAAGAAATGTACCCAGTTGAGGGACCATGCAGTAGGGGGTGCTATGTCATAGAGAGAGAGGAAGACAGTGGAAAAACAGCTCCAATGCTAAAAAAGAGAATCTAAGAAATTCACCTGTTAATTAGCTCAATTTAGCCATTCTACAATGCATACATATTTCACAATAACATGTTGTACATACTAAATATATATAATTTTTATTTGTTGATTAAAAATTTACAAATAATAAAAAAAAATAATCTGTGCTTTAGGAAAGTAGGACATGTTACCAGGAAATAGAGATTTGTATACCTCGTAAAGCTGAGCAAAATACTATCACCATACTCCACTCATGAACCAGATAAAAGTTCAATCTCTACCAAAATTAAACATCAAAGTAGGGCCCTCATGTAAATAGAACACTAGAGGAATTCTAGCAATTGTGTCTCAGAATTGAAAAAGCCAGGGAAACGTTAATAGTGGAATTTTGACTCAAAGATTTCCATCATGACTAGACATGGACTGATAGACAAGTGTCCTGAGGATTTTCCTAAATTCAAAGCCAGTGTTTGAATGACCTGAGTTTAATGACCTAGAAGGCTGAAGGTACTTAGGAATGTAGAGGAGATGGGTTTGAGAAACATCCCAGCCATTCTCACCTTGCTCTGAAATTCCACAACTAATTTTGTTGGATATGTAGTTCCTAATTTTATAAAAGTGAATTATGATCTAAAAAATGTAGAGAAATTAATTTTTGATTTGTTTTGTTACCAAATTATACCCCAAACTGGTAGTCCTAGAAGCAATTGTTTCAAGTGGCTAATTTTATTTGATCATTCAGTCTGTGTGTACTAAGGATTTCTTTCTTATTTATGTATGTATGTATGTATTTATTTATTTATTTATTGAGATGGAGTCTCACTCAGTCATCCAGGCTGGAATGCAGTGGCACTATCTCAGCTCACTGCAACCTCTGCCTCCCAGGTTCAAGTGATTCTACTGCCTCAGCCTCCCGAGTAGCTGGGACTACAGGCATGAGCCACCATGTCCAGCTAATTTTTGTATTTTTAGTAGAGACGGGGTTTCACCATGTTGGCCAGGCTGGTCTTGAACTCCTGACCTCAAGTGATCCACCTGCCTGTGCCTCCCAAAGTGCCAGGATTACAGGTGTGAGCCACCGCACCCAGCTTGAACTAAGAATTTCTGAGTGTCCTTCTTTTATTTATCTTAATTGGAATTAAATACAAAGAGGACTGGGTGGTGAAGCAAAATGGAAGGAATTCTATAGCTTTCTGATAAAAGTAGATTCAATTTATTTTTAATTGATTTCTCTCTTTTAGTATGGAATCTTTGCCCAAAAGATCCAGATACTTAGGAAATATGACTTAAGAAGGCCTCAATCATATTCAAACTAGTATTTATTTCTATAATGTTAAAATAAAATTAATATTTAACAAATACTTTTTTCTTCCTTCTTGTATTAGTTTATTTTTGCACTGCCATAGAGAAATACCTGAGACTGGCTAATTTATAAAGGAAAGAGGCTTAATTGACTCACAGTTCTGCATGGCTGGGGAGGCCTGAGGAAACATACAATCATGATGGAAGATGAAAGGGAAGCAGGCACTCTCTTTACAAGGCAGCAGGATAAAGAGTGTGAGTGAAGGGGGAAGAAGAGGCACTTATAAAACCATCAGATATCCTGAGAACTCACTCTTACTATACTGCTCTCACTATACTGAGAACAGCATGGGGGAAACTGCCCCCATAATCCAATCACCTTCCTCCCTTGACACACAAGATTTACAGGTCCCTCCCTTGACACGTAGGTATTGCAATTCGAGATGAGATTTGGGTGGGCACACAGAGCCAAGCTATATCATTCCACCACTAACCCCTCCAAAATCTCATGTGTTTTCACATTTCAAAACCAATTGTGCCTTCCCAACAGTCCCACAAAGTCTTAACTCATTTCAGTGCTCACTCAAAAGTCCACAGTCCAAAGTCTCATCTGAGACAAGGTAAGTCCCTTCTACCTATAAACCTGTAAAATCAAAAGCAAGTTAGTTACTTCCTAAATACAATGTGGGTACAGGCATTGGGTAAATGCTCCCATTCCAAATAGGAGAAATTGGCCAAAGCAAAGGTGCTACAGGCCTCTTGCAATTCTGAAATCCAGTGGGGCAGTCATTAAATCTTAAAGCCCCCAAATCATCTTTAACTGCAGGTTTCATACCTGGAACACACTGATGTGAGGGATGGGCTTTCACAGCCTTGGGCAGTACCTTCATGGGCTGGCACTGAGTGCCTGTAGCTTTACCAGGAACACAGAGCAAACTGGTGGTAGACGTAAAATTTTGGGGTCTGGAGGATGATGGCCTTCTTCTCACAGCTCCACTAGGCAGTGTCTCAGTGGGGGCTCTGTGTGGGGGCTGCAACCCCACATTTCCCTCCCACACTGCCTTAACAGAGGTTCTACATGAGGGCTCTGCTCCTGCAGCAGACTTCTGCCTGAACATCCAGGCATTTCCACAAATCTTCTGAAATCTAGGCAGAGGTTTCCAAACCTCAATTTTTGACTTCGGTGCACCCACAGGCCCAACACTACATGGAAATCACAAAGGCTTGGGGCGTGTACCCTCTGAAGCAACAGCCTGAGCTGTACCTTGGCCTCTTTTAGCCATGGCTGGAGCTAGAGTCGCTGGGACACAGAGCACCAAGTCCTGAGGCTGCATACAGCAGTAGCCAGGCCCTGGGCCTGGCCCATGAAACCATTTTTCCCTTCTATACCTCCAGGCATGTGATGGGATGGGCTGTTGTGAAGGTCTCTGACATGCCCTGGAGATATTTTGCCCATTGTCTTGGTGATTAACTTTGGACTCCTCATTACATATGCAAATTTCTGCAGCTGGCTTGAATTTAGCCCCGGAAAATAGATTTTTTTCTACCACATGGTTAGGCTGCAAATTTTCCAAACTTTTATGCTTTGTCACCTCTTGAATGCTTTGCTGCTTAGAAATTTCTTCCACCAGACACCCTAAATCATCTCTCTCAGGTTCCAAATTCCACAGATCTCTAGGGCAGCAGCATAATTCTGCCAGTCTCTTTGTTAAAGCATAGAAAGAGTGATCTTTGCTCCAATTCCCAATAAGTTTCTCATCTGCATGTGAGACCAACTCAGCCTGGTTTTTGTTGTTTACATCACTATCAGAATTTTGATCAAAACCCTTTGACAAGCCTCTAGGAAGTTCCAAACTTTCCCAAATCTTCCTATCTTCTTCTGAACCTGTCTCCACCTATTCCAGCCTCTGCCTATTACCCAGTTCAAAAGTAGCTTCCACATTTTCAGGTTATCTTTATAGCTGTACCCTATTGTCCACAGTATCAATTTAGTGTATTAGTCCATTTTCACACTGTTATAAATGACTGAGACTGGGTAATTTATAATGAAAAGAGATTTAATTGACTCACAGTTCCACATGGCTGGGGAGGCCTGAAGAAACTTACTGTCAGGGTGGAAGGTGAAGGGGATGTAGGCACCTTCTTCACATGGCGGCAAGAGAGACAGATTGTGAGCAAAGGGGGAAGAGCCCCTTCTAAAAACCATCAGCTCTCATGAGAACTCACTCAGTGTCACGAGAACAGCAGGTGGGAAACTGTCCCCATGATCCAATCACCTCTTTCCCTCAACACGTCCAGATTACAAGTCCCTCCCTCGACATGTGGGGATTACAATTCAAGATGAGATTTGAGTGGGAACACAGAGCCAAACCATATTACTTTTTTTCTTCCTTCCTCCCCTTTTTCTTTTTTTAAAAAAGATAGAAAGGAAAAGGTAATATTTTTAAAGGAGAATGTATATAGACATTGGTCTTAGACTTAAAGCAAAATGTAGTTTCTGTTTAAATATAATCACATTCTTTTTAGCAAAAAACAAAACAAAACAAAAACTCTTTGCACTTTTTTTAAAAAGCTACTCATTGAACTTTTAGAACACTTTATTTTTAATTCTTTTAACCAAATATGGTAAGACTGAGGATCATCTCCATTGATTTCCTTGACTTTCATGTTATTTTTTAAGTTAAATTTTGTTAACTCTTTTATTCTTTTAAGAAATTTTCTATATGATACATTTTTTACAATGACAGAAACATCTGGAGGTAAATGAGAGAACTATCAGAGTTTTCTAAACAAACTAATGACTTTCAAGCCAGTGATCTGCCATGTAGAGTCCTAGGTAGTCATGTATCAGTGAGTGTCAGCTTGAACAAGAGGTCCATATAACCTGTCAATACATAGCTATAGAGTGCATCAATGTTATCTGAATGAAAGGTGCTATAATAAACTTTGTAGAATGGGGGGTGAAAATAGTATATAGTATGATATGTTAGTAAAAATACCATAATTTTTTTTTCATTTAACTTGTAAATTTTTTCAGAAGCACCTTCATTTTAATAAAGAGTAAAGATAGCCCAAACTACAAGAACTTTGAAAGTTGATTTATTAATTTGTTTAACTTTCAGATGTAAGCATTACATAAAATAAAATTCACTCTTTCTAACGATACAATTTGGTGCTGATAATTGTATTCAATCATGTAATTTCCACCGCAAACATGTTATAGACATGACATCATTCTAAAAGGTTCTCTTGCTTCCCTGTAAAATTCATGACCCACTGTTATGGGCCGAACTGCGCTCCTCAAAACACATATGTTGAATTCCTATCCCTGAGTACCTTCCAATGTGACTGTATTGGAGATGTGGTCTTTAAAGAGGTAATTAAGATGGACTGTGGCCACACAGGATAAATATAACACATGTTTTATATCTATTTTCAACTGGATAAATATTTAGGTAGTCTTCTATATTATGGCTAATATAAATAATGCCACTATTGACATGCACATGCCTATTCATGTGTGAATGTACTTCACTTAGAAAAACACCTAGAAGTGAGATTACTAGGTTCTGTAAAAACTAATTTTTAACCTTATACAATACTGCCATATCAAGTTTTCAGAAGTTGGTGTCCATATTGTTTTGAATTTCAACAGCGATACCTGCATGATATTTACAGCTGAACTTTATTCTTGCAAACACTTAGTCATATCAGGAATTTTATCTTTATTGTATTGGATGTATTGTTATTTGTAATTGTAATTTTAATTTGAATATCATTAATGACTAGTGATATTGACCATCATTTCATGTGCTTATTTGCCAGCCTTGTAACTTTTAAAGTGCTTATTTAAATAATTTATCCATTTAAAATTAGATTTTGTACTTATTACTGATTTTTGAGATATCTTTATGTATTCTTAATATAAGTCAGTTATCAGATTGGTGTTTTTCAAATATTTTTGCAGTCTCTAGCTTGCCCTTTCATTTTCTTCAAAGAGTAAAAGTTTTTAAACTTCATTAAAATCATTAATTTTTTTTATTTGGGGGATTGTTCTTTTTTATATAGTGTTTGAAAATCTTTGCCTAACACAAATTCACAATGATTTTCTTCTATATTTTCTTCTTTAAGTGTCGTAATTTTAATTCATGCACTTACGTCAATGTCTACTTTGAATTTCTTATGATATAAAATATGTATTGAGATTCATTTTTCCAGCTATATGAAGTTGTTAATAGAAAGTTATTATCTAACTGAATTATCATGGCAGTTTGTCAAACCAATTAACCAGTGAAGTATGGGTCTATATGTGTACTCTCTATTGTGTTCCTTGAATCTATCTTCTTTCTAATATCAGTGTACCTTTAAAGTAAGACTTGAAATTAGGTGGTGTTAGTATTCCAAAATTGCTTTTCTTTTAAAAATTATTTTTCGTCTTCAGGATCCTTTACCTTCACCTATAGATTTTAAAGTCAGCTTCCCAATTTACTCCAAAAATCTTGCTGGAATTTTGATTTGGAGTGCATAGAGTCTACAGAACAATCTGATAAAATTGTGATCCTAATAATAGTGAGTGTTTCAGTTGATGAACGTGGTATATTCTTCCATTGATTTTGGCTTTATTAAAAATGTCTTTCTGAGGTTTTGTAGTTTTTTTTTTTTTTTGAAATTTTAGGTTAAATTTATTTCTTAGTATTTTGTTTTATACTATTATATGTGGATTTATTGTTTGCTTGCCTTCTGGCTTATTTTTTTTGCTAATGTTCACTGTTGTTATGTATAAAATTAACTCTTGTATATTGACCTTGTAACTGCAAACTTTCTAAATTTACTTATCAGTTTCTACAGCCACCTTTAAATAAAACAAAATTAATTCTTAATTTCTAATAATTATCACCATTACCTCTTTTCCTTATGTTATTACATTAGATCTCTAACAAAATGTTCAATAAAAATGGTGAGAGCAGGCACCTTTGCCTTTTTTTTTTAGAGGAAAACATTGTCTTTCATCATTAAGTATAATATTAAGTTTTCCATAGATGTTCTTTAAGTCGTTGCAGAATTTTCACAAGACAGATTTGCTATTGTATGCTATTATATGCCTTTGAAAATTTTACTTTGGAAGTCATTTATACTACACTGATTAGGATGGCATGGCGGATGCACAAGTGGAAAGGGAAATCCAATTAAGAAATGAATAGAGTGGTCAAGATAAGAAAAGTATCTCCTGCTAGTCTAAAATAAATAGTTGGGGAGGTGAAGAGACAAGAATTGGTTTGAAGAATTTAAATAGGTAAAATCAATAAAATTTGGTGACTGAGAATATGAGAAAGGGGGAGAAATAATTATTAAGAGTATTTTTAATGTAACAATTTGAATGGTTGCACCAGCAACTGAGCATAATGCTGGAGGATGATTATGGTTTTGAGTGAATGATGGATAGCATAATTATGGTTTTGTATATATGAAGTAGATATTCTTAGTGGAAATGTAAAATGAACTATTGGCTATATATTTCTGGAGCTCAGGTGAGAAACGGATACAATATTATAAGAATTATTGACATAATAATTGATAAGTAAAGCTTTGATTCAAAAATATATAACATCATTTATTTTACGCTTTAAAATTTATTTTAGCCTCTTTAGAATCTCTCTTTTAGTGTGATAATATTTAAAACTCTTTTTGATTCTTTTCATCCATTCTATATAGGACACAATTTTGAAATAATTTAAAGTTGTCCTTAGCATCACTGGGACACTTTTACTGAATTTACTGTTTTCTTCCTTGCCGTTTTAATCTTTTAAATTTTCTCACTTATTCCTTTGGTGCCTTTATGCTTACAGTAATGTTCGGTTGGTAAACTTTTTCTGTAAAGGTCAGAGAATAAATATTTTAGACATTATAGGCCACAGACACTGGAGGATGATTATGGTTTTGGAGTGAACGATGGATAGCATAATTATGGTTTTGTATATATCTGTTATTTAATTTTTTGACAGTGTTTAAAAATATAACAATTATTCTTAGTTGATGTGCCAACACAAAAACAGGTTACAAACTGAAATTGGACTATGGGCCATCGTTTGCCCATATCACAATATATGAGGCTTCCCTCTTGGCAGCATGTTATGCTCTAATAGATTCTTGCCTACCCTTTACTCATTTCTATCAATCAGTACTGAGTACTATTCCCTTCTGACCATAAGTATTTCCTATTTGAGCATAGTTTACTGTCCTTTATCTGAATTTTATTTACTTTCTAAAATTGAACTTTAAGGATTTTCTTGACCCCACCCTTAAGATAAGTGAATTACTCCCTTCTCTATGCATCCACTTTACTTATTGCATATTCCTTTTATTAAATTTTTAAATGTCTATGGTAGGCTTTGCTTTTATTTTTATCACTTCTATTAAACATTGTCCCACTGAAGGCCAGATTGATATCATTTCTTCTAGATGCCTAAAATGAAATCGCAGGTTAAGAGAAGTTACTTAATATGCATCTGTAGATATGTACTGAATTGAACTGAATCTCTGTATTTGAATCTATTTGCAACTATTGCTAATACACGGTGCTTATTAATGTCATTAAATTGTGCAAGACAGTGTAACATACACATAGCCTACTTGTGTAGCATGTCCACATTGCATGAATCTTAATTTCTTATGTGCCATATAAAATTTAGCATTAGTTTTCTAGTCTAAGTAAATAGTGATACTTGCACTAGCAAAGTGCTAGTATTGGACCAGTCAAAGGGTGTTGTTATTACTATTATTAAGTCTTTTATCCAAAAGACATTTGCATTTTAACTAGAAATGTCAATGGCTTAGCTTAAATGAATTATCATATAAGGTGCAATAATTTGTCATTAGGTACAATGATTTTGTCAAAGTAATATTTTCCTTCCTTATCTAAAATTTGAATTATTCTGGTTTTCTTAGCTATAAAACAACACTTACTATTACACAGATTGTAAACAAGTGACAGCTAAGCTTATTGTCAAACTTTGTAAATAATTTATAATGGTGCAACAACATTGTAAAAATAAAATAAAATATTGTTTGATCCAAAAATACAACAGTAATTTAATTCAGGGAATTCTAAAATTTCTAAGAACTGTTCAATCTCTTCTGGCCTACTGTACACACATAACTATTCCTTGGGGAGTGGTGTTGGTGACAAATTATAGAAGAACTAATATTTTTAAGTTTAGATTAGATTTGGAAAAGCTACAGGATTCTCAAGTGTTTAGATGATGCAGTTATTCCAGAAACAAACTTGATTCTCTCTAATAACATAGTTATTTTCACATGATGTTTCCACCATTGGAAATATTGTATGACCAAAAAATTTTGTTAGACCTATCCAAATAAATTACATTAGAGAAAAATTTAGTAGTTGTTTAATTTATCTCATAAAAATAACCATAGATAAGTATCAGCTTACTTACTAAGGATAAAATGCCCACAACCTATAATAACATTTAATGCATTATGAAATGTAACCTCATGAAAAAAAAAACACTGTAATTATATTTGGTAACATGCCACATCTTAATTAGGGCTAATTAAATTGCACTATTAGCAATTTTGGCTTATTTGACTTATAAAAAAAAACAACTACGATTTAGAGGATAATTGCAATATTTATAAGATAAAATTGTTTCTTCACCAACTTTTTTTCTTAATTCAGATAGATAATATTGTTACTCTCTAAATAAACTTATGGATTATGTTTAAATATAATGCAATGAACATAACAGAAGAATGTAAAGACCTTAAAGAGTATAAATATAAAATTTTATTTTAAACTAGTGATTATGATGTTGATCATTTTTTATATAGATTATTCTTAACACCTAAGAGGGTGGTCTTCTATGTTTAAACAGCCTTCCTTTTTTGAGCTTCTGTTGGCCTCACTAATCTTATGAGAGCAATTCAGTTGTACCTGCTTTTATTCAGCCCTGGTAAGCTCTTTAAATCATGGATTTCTTTCTAATTTTTAGATATCTCAACCAAAATCCCTCAACTTAATCAAGCTCATGTCTATTGCTTAATTGCTTTATAATTTTTTGGCTTCTGATGTGGGAGGCCTTATTCTTTATGAGTTTTCAGATCCACTGCTTACACCTGTCACTAGCATTTTATCACCTCTGAGTAGCATGACCCAGCCCTTGTTAAATTATGTATTTCTCCAAAACTGCACTAAATAGCCAGCCACCCAACCACCAGTACGACATAGGGTAAAAATTGCCGGCTAGCTCAGGATATCTAAATTTCACTTGTAGCTCTACCGCTGTATGACACTGGGTGGTGTAATTAAAAGCTCAAATCCTCAGTTTCTTCAACTTTAAACTGTAAGTGGTAATAATTATATTTAAATATTAATAAAATAATGTAATTAGCCCATGTTCTACCTATTTCTATTATTTGCTTTGACCTTTTACATTTTGGTTCTCAGTCAAGTTTGTGTATTTATTATCATCATCGTTGTCAATCTGTCCATTCTCTATGCAGAGACAGAGATCAATCACAAACTATCATAGTTATGTGACACCCCAAAATCCACCCTAGATAAATGTGTTATAGCAGGAGGAGAAAGTGTCTCTTTGACCTGAAAGGCAAGTCAGATATTAATGAAATGGCTTGCAAGTTATAAAGATATATTTGCCTCTTTGCTTTCTCAATATCTTTTCCCTTATGTCTTGGCAACTTAATCCTATGCAGCTCTAGTTCAGGTAAATTGTCAGTTGTAGATAAGAGGATACAAGTAAACAAGGTCATAGCAAGAACAGAAATCGAGTACATTTGGTACACAGACCACTAGATATTGAAGCAGAACTTTTCCTCAGCAAAGCCACAATGAAACTAAGTGATTCTCTTTGGAGAGACGCTGAGCAAACCATTTTAATATGAGCTGTTTCTGGCCAAATAGTAGTCTGAACAACTCTGAGGTTTAATCACATAGCTAAGAACTTTGGAAATAGGGAACCAAACTTCAATTATGATCAATTTTTGTTTAACACAAATCAGATTCTAGATGTTTACTATTTTGCTGTGAGGCAGTAAAAACATTACATGATCCAAGCTCATATTTTAGTTTTTTAGCCTGTAATCACATGTCCCTGGGTAGAAAATTTAATACTGACAAATATGGAGCTAAAATTTACAATCAGTTTTTCAATACTGGTAAAATAAAATCTAATATTCCATGTCCTGAGATTTTATTTTATGGTCCTTATAAATTAGAGTGTTTTGGAAATACATTGGAGAAACTTGTGCTGTGAAAAGATAATCGTTTCAATTCATATCATCTTTTCATGATGTACTAAATAAAATTTCTAGCATTATAATATGATTTGTTATAATTTATTTTAGTCACTATTCTTTCACTCTATGCTTATAGAAAAATATTATTGAAACAATTGTAAACACTTTAAAGATACTAAAATGATTCTTTTTAAAATCACTTTCTTTACAACCTATTAAAGTTCTTGGAAATGTATTTCTTCTGATATAAGAACTTGAACCACAATGCTGAAATAAGTCATGTGCATCTAATATTATTACTATACTAATTATATTTTTTCTATGATATTTCATCAGAAGATACAAATGAACTTATTATTAAAAACAAATAATTGGCAATATGTACAATAGAATTACTTTCTTAGTAAAATCTAGTTAGACTTTTTCCAATGGCATATATGTCTAAATTATCTTGATATAATTATATTTTAAAATTGTGGATTTTAGAGTATGTCATAATTTTAACAACTGAAATATACACAAAATATTTACTTCATGGGTGCGTTTATATGTATGTACTTAGACGAACTGATTTAGAATGACACAGGTATATAAAAACATGAAAATATTTTGCCACTCATGTGTTTTAAGTAATGCAAATGTAGAAAATTATGGCCTTGTTACCTAGTGTACCACAGATATTTTAGTGCAGCTTCACAATTTTAAAATAGCATGAAGTGATTAATATTCATCAAAAGGAAGTGGGAAGAGAAGCATAATTTTATTCTCAATTAATAGAAAACATGGCATTGTCTATTTTTATTCTCCTGGCTATTTATCCATTCCCTATGAAAGTGAATGGTCTGCCACACTCCTCGTCTGCTTTCTTGCTGAAAGTGCTTGCTTGTGCTGCCAAGCTCACTAACACACTTTCTATTTGGCATGGAAGCACTATCTTTTTCAGCCATGCAAGTCTGTGTTCTGTGATAAAGTTCAGTTATGGGCAGCCTTGCTGACTCTACTCTGCTATAGAAAGAACTCTCTCTTGCTCCAATATTCATTTGAAAACTGCCTTTCCTGGTGCTTGACATTCTTCTAAAATTGTACTTGCCATCCTAATGGTTGTCACTTCAATATTTTAACTTATTGTACTTGTTTAATATGAACTAGATATTTAATTCTAATTTAAGCAGCAAAGGAAGTTGCTGATTGCTGCAGTTTTGTAAGGGATAAATTACTATTTATATACTTGATTTAACTGAGCATATATCATTTAAATGTAGAGATTTTTAGTCCCTAAGTTATTGTGGAGGTAGTCTGACTTGTAATGTGTTGATCCATTTGTTTCAAATTCTGTAAGATTGACAACAATTATTTCAGTCTATGTGATGGCATGGTACTCTATATCTGCAAATATTTTTAGCATGATAAATGAATGGATTAGTTATTCTATCAACCATTTATTTAATGTGTGACTAGGTATTTTGTAGGCACCTGGATACTCTCTTGCTTCAAACACCTAAAGAATAAAATATCAAAAATAAAATTTTAATGTATATCTCAACTTCAAGTATCAGAAAATAGAGAACCAAAAATAAATAGCCACTTAGTAAATTATTGAGCAGCAGTTAATGAAAGAAAAAAGAACATTGTTAAATAAAACAATTTTGCAGAAGTCCCAGGTTAGGTATATCTTGAGGGGTAGATGGGATTAAGATTTCTATGTTGTTGCTCATGTATAGATGAAAAAAAGTGTCTTGACAAAGAGCCTGTATATTAAAAAAAATTGGAGAGAGGACTCTCCATATAGTCAGGTTTCTATAAAGGCTATAACCTGAAGAATAGAATTTTTAAAAACATGAACTGGAAATAAAATTTAATCACCAATAAAAGAAGATGAGAGTCTGTCAGGAAAAGTTTAGAAATTTGCCTGTGCTTTGACAAAACAAAAAAAGAGTCCAGTTATTACAATGTTCCACTGTCAAGCAGGTTTAGCTACTTCAATTACATAACATATTGAGTGTTTAAAATTGAAAACTGAAATATTAACATAATGTTCCCTAGTGAGTGATGTACTGGGTGTCCAGTAAAGGCGAAATTAAAATTTAGTTGGATATATGCATTTTAATCCAACATTAAACAGTATTTTCAGAGAATTATGCTCACAATCCAAATTTAAAAGCCACATGATTGCAACTTCAACCATTAAAGAGTGATCTCAGGAAAAAAAAATACGAAAAAGTATCTGACCCACAAAAACTTCAAATGATAAAAATTATGAAATAGAGAGTATAACATAAGCATGTTAAAAATTGTAAAGGGAAGCTCATGAAAATAATATTCATTTAGTTGCAGAAGAGTCAGTAAAGATGATATAAATTTCAAAGGATATAGGATATGCGATCTAGAATTCTGATTTTCAAAGGAAGTAGAATTTGAGGGCCCAATATTTGGAAGAGAAGAAGAGTTCAGAGAAATGACCAGGACAATTGGCAACTACGTATTTATCAAGTGATTAAGTTGACCAGGGCAGTAGCCTCAAAAAACCACAAAGGGAGTCTCTTAAAAGCAGAGGCAAGTTTTTACAATTTTCATGGAGCTGAAAAGATAAAACTTTAGTTCAGCATTTTCAAAGGGAATAAAAGACTAGAAAATACCTCAGTTTCAAATTGCAAAGCATAATGTGGATAATAATAAAATATTAAAAGCTTCATTCCTGAGGTGGAGAAAAGATGGTGGCACCAGCCAAAAACTATAATATTAAAAGGTATACTGAAATTTCAAGCTAATAGACTAAGGTAAGAAAAAAATAAAGATTGGAACAGAGAAAGTTAAGCTGTTACTGTAAGACTGTCTAATTAGGTTCTTAGACAATCATAGAGTCTACATTTATATTATTAAATTAAAAAGTGAATTGAAAGATAACAGAAAACAAGATAAAATACAATTTTTTTCTTACATCACCAATAAACAAATTGAAGTAAAATTGAACACTATTTCTAACAATGCAATGTCTTTTAGAATGTATCTAATAAATGATGTGCAAGACCACTAATCAGAAATTCACAAAACATTATTGAGAAAAAAATGAAGCAGATTTACATCCCAACAGATGTGTGTGTGTCTAAAATGACAAATGAAAGGCTGATATAGGACTATGATAATTAATATAGTTGGTATTATGCAAGTATATGCAAGTAGACCAATGAAACAGAATAGGACAGTGGTTCCCAAACTTTATTGTAGATCATAATCATCTGAAGAAAGATTCAGTAGAAATAGGGGAGGAGTTCCCATTTACACTAAATTTTTGGGTAAAGCTGTTGCTACTGGTCTGGGTATAACACTTTGAGAAGAACTGAAAGGGAACAAGTCCAGAAACAAGCTCACGTTTATATATTTACTGGACTTATGGCAAAGGCGAAGTGCAAGAATATCCATTTAAATAAATTTTACTGGGCTAATGAAAATTTAATTGGAAAAAAATAATGACAACCTATTTGCAAAATGGCAAAGAAATATGCACAAAACTTCACAAGAAAGGATAACCAAATAGCTTTTATAAACATATGAAAAGTTTCTGATTTTAATTATCAGGAAAATGCAAATACAAAACATAACAAGATATCGTTACCTATTCAAAAAATTCAGGAGAATGATAAAATCTGTCAGTGGCAAGTATTGGTGAGATTGTGTATAAATCCATATCTAGTTACAAGACTGGAAAATTGAATAAGACTGAAGAAAAATAATGTCAAATATGAAGTTTGTAAAAGCATTCAGGTAGAAGAGAAGAATAATTTAATTTATAACATACTTCTTAATAGCAACAGTGATGACACAATGTAATTTAAAAGGCTGAGAAAAAATAATAGTCAACCTAAAATGTATTCCCATCTAAACTGTCATTCAGAATTAATCTACAGGAACAAGATGTAGAAATGATTTACAGGAACAAGATAGAAAACTTAAGAGACCAAAACCTGCAGCCTGAAAAGGTCCAGAAGAGTTTTAAAACCTGTAAGCTTTTGAATTGTTCATGAGTATGGGGAAAAGCCTTAGTTTGTTTTGGATTTTATGTTAAGCATTTGTTTAGAAATACTAAAGATAATGATTAATGGTATTATTATTTTAGCATTTATTAATTAGTATTTTAGAATAAATAAGCAAAGAAGAGAGGGAAATCGTAATATCTAGAAATCTCAATCAAGTGAATACATGGGAAAAAAGAAAAACAAAGAAGGAGTCAATCCCTGCAGATCGAGACTCCAGACCCACCCCAGTGCCAGATGAATAAGGCCATTACATAATAATAAAAGGATAAATTCAACAGGCATATATAACAATAATTGATACACATACACTCAACATCAGTGCACCCAAATATATGAAGCAAATATTGACAAGATGTGAAGGGAGAAGTAGACAGCAATGCAATGATTGTCAGATTCTTCATACTGCACTTATCAATAAGAAAATAGCACACTCGAACTACGCTATACATGAAATGAATCTGACAGATACATACACAAAATTCTACACAACAGCAGCTGCATTCTCACATGCTTCTCAAATGTACATGGAACATTCTCCAGAATAGATCACACGGTAGGTCACAAAACAAGTCTTAACAAATTTAAGATTAAAGCCATGTCAAGTATCATTTTTAACCACAATGGAATAAACCAGGAAAGAATAAATAGAGTGAACTTAAAAAAATTTAAATATATGGAATTTAAACTACATACTCTTGAACAATTATTGGGTCAAAGAAGAAATCCAAAGCAAAAATTTATGTGTATATAATTTATGCACACACACACACACACACACACACACACATATATATATATCGAGAGAGAGAGAGAGACAAAAATAAAAACAATATTAAAACAAATTCTAGGATACACCAAAAGCAGTATGAAGAGAGGAATCTATAGAATTTAATTACTTTTCTTCTGGTTGAGATTAATTTAATTACCACACATATATTAAGTACTTAATTTTTATTGTCACTTTTCTAGACAATTGACAATTTATTGAACAAAACAAGTGACAATCCCTGGACCTCAGTTCTGTTTGGGGAGTCAGATACTCACCAGTCACATCATAATCAGGTCATGTCCACAGAATGTGAGATGTGATGCCCTCATGTCCTCCTCTAGGTATGGTGGCATCCTCCCAGATTTTTGACTAGGACGACAGACTCAAGGACCACTACAACATTTAAATAGATGCAAAAAAAGGACATGACAAAATTCAATATTCCTTCATGACACTCAACAAATTAGGTAGAACAAATGCACTTCAACCCAACAAAGGCCCTCTATGACAAATGTACAGCCAATATCACGTTAAACCAGAAAAACAATGTAAGATTTTTCTCTAAGAGCTGGAACAAAACAAAGATGCCCAGCCCCATAACTCCCACTCAACACAGCACTGAATAGTCAAACCAGAGCAATTAAAGAACAAAATCAAAGGCATCTAGATTGGAAAGGAGGAATCAAACTGTCTTTGTTTGCAGATGATGTAATCTTGTATATAGAAAGCCCTAAAAACTCCAACAAAATACTGCTAGAACTAATAAATTCAGCAAACTTGCAAGATACGAAATCAACATACAAAAGTCACCAGCATTTGGATACATCACTAACAAGATATAATGCTATTAGTGTATAGAAATATTACCAGTTGTTGTGCATTTATTCCACATCCTGAAACCCACTGAAGTAGTTTATCAGTTCTAGGAGCCTTTAAGCAGAATTTCCAAGGTTCTCTAGGTATATATTCATATTATCAGCAAAAAGGGACAACTTGACTTCTTCTTTTCCTATATGGATGACTTTTTTTTCTTCTACTTGTGTGATTTTCTGGCAAGGACCCCCAGGACTACATTAGACAGGAGTGGTAAGCATCCTGCTGTAGTTCTGAAGGGGAATGCTTCTAGCTTTTGGCCATTGAGTATGATGCTGGCTGTAGGTTTGTCGTAGATGGCTTGGGTTATTTTGAAGTATGTTCCTTTGATGCTTAATTTGTTGAGAGTTTCCATCACAAAGGGACACTGGATTGTATGAAAAGCTTCCTCTGCATCTATTGAGATGATCATATGATTTTTGTTTTTAATTCTGTTTTTATGTGTGTGTATGGTGAATTGCGTTTATTGATTTGCGTATGTTGAACCAGCCCTGCATCCCTGGAATAAAGACTACTTGATCATGGTAAGTTAACTTTTTGATGTGCTGTGAGATTCGATTTGCTAGTATTTTGCTGAGAATTTTTTGTGTCTATGCTCATCATGGATATTGGCCTGTAGTTTTCTTTTTCTGTTGTGTCTTTGCCAGATTTTGGTATCAGAGTGACACTGACTTTGTAGTATGAGTTAGGGAGGAATCCCTCCTCAATTTTTTGAAGCCATTTCCATAAGATCGTTACCAGCTCTTCTTTGTATGTCTGGTAGAATTCAGCTGTGAATCCATCTGTTCCAGGGCTCTTTTTGGTTGGTAGATAATTTTTATTACTGATTCAATTTTGAAAATTGATATTTGTCTATTTGAAGTTTTTATTTCTTCCTTTGACTGACTCTACTCAGTCTTTGGAGTTTGTGTGTTTCCAGAAAATGTATCCGTTGTCTCTAGATTTTCTAGTTTATGTGCATAGAGGTATTCACTGTGGGATCAGCTGTAATGTCACCCTTGTCATTTCTGATTGCACTTGCTTGCATCCTCTCTCTTTTTTTCTTCATTAATCTAGCTAGTGATGTGTCCATCTTGTTTACCCTTTCAAAGAACAACATTTGGTTTTGTTCATCCTTTGTATAGATTTTTGGGTCTCAACTTTATTCAGTTTACTCTGATTTTAGTTAATTTTTTTCCTCTAATACTTTTGGGGTTAATTTTTTCTTGTTTTTCAACTTCCTCCAGGTGATCTTAGATTTTTAGGTTCAGATGTTTCTAATTTCTTAATGTAGGCATTTAGTGCTATAAACTTTCCACTTAACATTACGTTCACTGCATACCAGAGATTTAGGTATGTTGTGTCTCTGCTTTCATTTACTTCTAATTTTTTTTTTAATTCTTGCCTTAATTTCATAGTTTACCCAAGGGTCATTCAAGAGTAAGTTATTTTATTTCCATGCAATTGTGTGGTTTTGAGAGATACTCTTGATATTGATTTATATTATTATTATAAAGTGACCTGAGAGTATGACTTGTATGATTTTAAGTTTTTAAATTTATTGAGACTTGCTTTGTGGGCAAGCACGTGATCAATCTTTGAGTATGCTGTGTGTGTAAATGAGAAGAATGTATATTCTGTGGTTGATGGGTGGAGTTCCCTGTAGACGTCTAGTAGGTCCAATTGGTCAAGGGTCAAATTTAAGTACAGAATTTCTTTTGTTAGTTTTCTGCCTTGATCTCTCTACAACTGTCAGTGGTATGTTGAAGTCCCTCATTATTATTGTGTGGCTAAGTCTTTTTGTAGGTTCAAAAGTATTTGTCTTATGGATCTGACTGCTCCAATGTGAAGTGCATATATATTTAGGATAGTTAAGTCATCTCGTTGGATTGAAGCCTTTATCATTATGTAACGGCCTTCTTTGTCCTTTTTTACTGTAATTGGTTAAAGCTGATATGAAAACAGCTGATATGAAATATAAAAATAGCAACTCTGTTCTTTTTTGTTTTCCGTTTGTATAATAGATCTTTCTCCAACTCTTTACCTTGAGTCTATGGGTATTACGGTTGAGATGGGTCTCAGCAGATGAATGTGTATTTTATTGTTATTTTTTGAGACAAAGTCTTGCTCTGTCACCCAGGGTGGAGTGCTGTGGCATGATCTCAGGCTGACTGCAATTTCTGACTCCCGGGTTCAAGCGATTCTCCTGTCTCACCCTCCCCAGTAGCTGAGATTATAGGCCTGCACCACCACACCTGGCTAATTTTTTGTATTTTCAATAGAGACGGAGTTTCTCCATGTTGGTCAGGCTGGTCTCAAATTCCTGACCTCAAATGATCTGCCCGCCCCAGCCTCTCAAAGGGCTGGGATTACAGGCCTGAGCCTTCTCACCCCGCTGGTCTTGTTTTGTTTTTGTTTTTGTTTTTTGAGATGGAATCCCACTCTGTCACCCAGGCTGAAGTGCAGTGACACAATTTTGGCTCACTGCAACCTCAGCCTCCCGGGTTCAAGCGATTCTCCTGCCTCAGCCTCCCAAGTAGCTGGGATTACAGGCATGTGCCACCACGCCCAGCTAATTTTTGTATTTTTAGCAGAGACGGGATTTCATCATGTTGGCCAGGCTGCCCTGGAACTCCCTAACCTCAAGTGATCCACCCGCCTTGGCCTCCCAAAGTGATGGGATTACAGGCATGTGCCACCACGCCCAGCTAATTTTTGTATTTTTAGCAGAGACGGGGTTTCATCATGTTGGCCAGGCTGCCCTGGAACTCCCTAACCTCAAGTGATCCACCCGCCTTGGCCTCCCAAAGTGCTGGGATTACAGGCGTGAGCCACTGTGCCTGGCCCGGTCTTTTTTTGTTTGTTTGTTTGTTTCCAACATGCCACTTGGTGCCTTTTAAGTGGGGCATTAGGGCCAGGAGTGGTGTTGCACACCTGTAGTCCAAGCACTTTGGGAGGGCAAGGCAGGCGGACCATTTGAGATCGGGAATTTGAGACCAGTCTGGCCAACATGGTGAAACTCTACCTCTACTAAAAATACAAAAAATCGCCAGGTTTGGTGGTGGGTGCCAGCAATCTCAGCTACTCGGGAGGCTGAGGCATGAGAATCCTTTGAACCCGGGAGGCAGAGGTTGCAGTGAGTTGAGATCATGCCACTGCACTCCAGCCTGGGCGACAGAGTGAGACTCTGTCTCAAAAAAGAAAAAAAGGTCGGGGGCGGGGTTTGGGGAGGCATGAGAAGGATTTACATTCAGAGTTAATTTTGATATCTGAGGTTTTGATTTGATTGTGAAGTTGTTAGCTGTTTGATCGCTTCTACTGTGTAGTTCCTTTCAAGGGTCTGTGGGTTATGTACCTAGGTGTAGTTTTGTGGTAACAGGTATCATTCTTTTGTTTCTGTGATTAGAAATTCCTTTATAAACTTTTGTAAAGCTGGCCTAGTGGTAATGAATTTGCTTAGCACTTGCTTATCTGAAAAATGTTTTATTTCTCCTTCATTTATAAAGCTTGGTTTGGCAAGTTATGAAATTCTTGGCTGTAGTCCCCTTTCTTTGAGAATGCTGAAAATCGGCCCCCAGTCTCTTCTGGCTTACAGGAGTTCTACTGAGATGTCTGCTGTTAACTTGACAGGTTTCCTTTGTGTGCAATCTGGCCTTTTTCTCTAGCTGCCTTTAAGATTTTTTCTTTAGTGTTCGCCTTAGACATTCTGGTGACCACTTACCTTGGTGGTGTTCATTTTGTATAGCATCTGGCCAGTGTTCTCGGGCGTTTTTGTTTTGAATGTCTACTTCTCTAGCAAGGTTAGGAAAATGTTCTTGGATTATTTCCTCAAATACATTTTTCGGGTTGTTCACTTTGTCTCCCTCTCTCTCAGAAATGTCAACAATTCATAGTTTGGGTTGCTTTACATAATCTTATATTTCTCAGAGACTTTGTTCATTTAAAAATTTTTTTCTTTATTTTTATCTGACTGGATTAGTTCAAAAGACTGGTCTTTAAGCTCTACAATTCTTTCTCCTGCTCAGTCTAGACTATGGATAAATCTTTCAGTTGTGTTTTAAAATTCCTTAAGTGAGGTTTCCAATTCTAGTAGCTCTGATTCATTTCTTTTTAAGATGTTTACCTCTTCCTTTATTTCCTGGATTGCTTTAGAGGTTCTTTTGTATTGATTTTCAGCTTTGACTTGGATCTTGTTTGAATTTTCTGCAATCCATGCTTTGAATTATCCATCAGTCATCTCTTTGCCTCCATTTCAGCTAGAGACCTAGATTGCTAGAGACCTGGAGTGAGCCTTTGGTGGTATCACAACATTCAGATTTTTTATGATGGCAGAATTATTTTGCTGGTTCTTTCTCATCTGGAGGTTGTTTTAGGTAGTGTCTTTTGTCTTGGCTTCTATAGTCCTATGCACTTTTGATGGAAGGTTTTGTATTAGGCTGTGCAGTTTGACCTACAGGCCAGTGTATGGCGTTTGCTGGTGAGAGCCAGCTGTCACACAAGCAGGTGGGTTTGGACCTGATCTCTGTTACTGTGAGGCACTGTCCTGTTGTTTCCCGTGATAGGTGATGGGCTAGTGGGATGTCTAGCTCCCTGAGCTTCCTTCCTACGGGAAGGGGGGGATACAGTTCGGTGGAGCTGGAGCCCCTGGATTACTCACAAATATCCTGATGGCAAGTGCAAGCACCAGCCCTAAAGAGGATGGCTGGGAGGAGCTCCTGGTGTAGTGCACTGAGGTTTTTGTTAGGCCGGTGGTTGGTAAGGGACCTGCGCCGGCTCCCTGTCCTAGACAGCCAGGAATGTGATTTTTTTTATTTTTACCTATCACACCCTGTTCAATGGCTCATGACTCCTAGTTCAGAGGCAGACTATAGTCTATCTCCAGACCACAATGGGGTTGAGAGCCACAGGGAACATCTGTTTTGCTACTCTCCATGGGAGTGGTTTCAAGGCATAACCTCGTCCTACAACCTGACACAGATAGCTTTAATACTTGTCTATTCTCTGATGTGGCAGTGCTACTGTCTCTTGTAAAAGGTTTCCACATTTGATCCCATGCTCATGTGTGTTGGTTGTGGTGGTATCAGTTGATTGGGTCAGCCCAACCTCTGGCCCTAGAGGAAGTGGTCAAGTGCCAACAGAGTTGGAGTGGGGCAGGTTGTTCTCCAGTTCCCAAGTCCCTAAATGGCCCACTAGACAGCTTGCATAAATCCTGGCAGGGCTGCATTTCAGTCTAGCTAGTCCAGGTGCTGGCTTTCAGTGGGATGAACAGGCTGGTCCCCAGGACGCTGGCCAGATTCTCAGGCAGGGGCAGACAGTACGTTTAGGTGATGAGAACCTGAGGGAATGTCACAGATCTTTTGGGGTTGGGTTTTCAGAGGAGTTCTGAACCACAAGTGGAATGATTTGGTGGAGGCAGGATAGCTGTGCTGTGGGCCTTTTACTGGGAAAAGCAGGTCTCCTCAGCTGAGCAATGGAGATTGGCAGCTGTGGAGCATGTGACACACTCACACTTCCCTTCCATCTAAGCACTGTTGAGGTTAACTGTTGGGAGCATGCAGAGGTGCCAAGCATTGTTACCTCTAGGAGTTTTGCTCCAGAGGAACACAGAGGCACAACCAACCATACTGGTCAGGCAAGGGTAAGACTGTTGCACTGGAAGCCCAAGCCAGTGAGCCTTACCTAACTAGAAGCAGCAGGGGCAGGGGGTTTCACAGTCTTCATCCTGTGTGATTCCCAGGGAAATACAGAACTATGCCTGCCCACAGAGTTCAGGCAGGGACTGGATTGCTGCACTGGAAACCCAAGTTGGCAAGCCTTGTCTGGCTAGGAGCAGTGGGAGAAAAAGGTCACATGGTCTATCATCCAGAAGGTTCCTCAGGGAACATAGAGCTGTGCTTTCCCACAGAGCCCAGGTCGGGGCAGGTTCACTGCACTGGATGCCAGAGTTGAACCTCACCTGGTGAAGAAGAGTGGGGTAGTCTGGTCACTCCTCTTCATCATGACTGCTTCCTCTATCAGGGCTACAACAGCCGCCGTCAATCTACTCAGGGATCCAGGGCCTGCAGGGCTCCATGTGTGCTTGAGTAATGCCTCTGCAAAAACTCCAGGCAGCTCTCTGGAGGTCTGGGGGAGTTATGGGTGTTCTCCCCTGCCCAGGATAGCAAAGGTCTGTGTGGAAAATATGAATTCTCTGGGGACTCTCAATCACTCACCTTTTCCCCATGTTAGGGAACATCACTTGGCTCCACTTTAGTCCCAGAGAGGTGGTTTCCTGGCTTCATACCTCTCTGTTCTCTGTGCGTCCCTTACTTCCTTAGTGAATCCTGACATGGTCTTTTAGAAGATCCAGTTGAAGAGCTAGTATTTACTTGCCACTTTGTTTCCTCTCCATGTGAATGGTGCACACTAGCTGCTTTTAGTCAGCCATCTTGAACCTATCTTCTTGATTCTAGAATTTAATTACTACGTTAAAAATGAAGAAGAATGTTAAATTAACAACCTAATATAACAATATGAAGAATTTGAACAAAAGAACAAACTAAACCAAGTTAACAGAAGAAAGGAAATGAAAGAGCAGAAATAAATGAAATAAAGAATAGAAAAATCAATAATATAAAATATGGTTCTTTGAAAAAAATAAAATTGACAGACCATTAGCTAAGAGAAAAGACTAAAATAAATAAAATCAGAAATAGAAGAGAAAACATTAAAACCACTGGCACAGAAATTAAAACACACACACACACACAAATAACTATTATGAACAGCTCAAGTATACAGCAAAAAGCTGGACAACATAGAAAAAATTCATAAATAGAAATGTACAACTTACCAAGAATCAATCAAGGAGAAATAGCCTGAAAATTCCAATAACAAATAAGAAGATTAAATAGTTATCAATACATCTGTACAATGGAAACCATAAAACACTGATGAAATAAATTGAAAAATAAAGAAAAAAGAAAGATATTCTATGTTCATGAATTGGAGAAATTAATATTTTCAAAATGTCCATATTACCCAAACTGATTTATAAATTTAATATAATTCATCAAAATACAAATGACTTCTTTACAGAAATAAAAACACAATCATAAAATTTGTTTGGAACTACAAAAGACCCAAAATAGCCAAAGTAATCCTAAGGGCAAAAAAGGGACATAGCTAGAGCACATTGCATGACTTCAAAATACACTACAAAGTTATAGTAACCAAACAAACATTGTACTGACATAAAAACAGACAAATAGACCAATGGAACAGAATAAAGAACCCAGAAATAAATGCATGCATTTTCAACCAAATCATTTTTAACAAAGGCATCGAGAATATACATTGAGAAAAGCACAGTCTCATTAATAAATTGTCCTGGAAAAACAGAATATCTATGTGAAGAATAAAACTCTATTCCTACCTCTTACCATACAAATCAAATAAAGATGGATTAGGAACTGAAATACCTGAAACTATAAAACTACTAGAAGAAAATATCAAGAAAATGCTTCAGACCTTGGTCTAGGCCAAGATTTCCTGAGTAAGAAAGCAAGGCACCCAAAACAAAAATTAATAAATGGCATTGCAGCCAGGTGTGGTGGCTCACACCTGTAATCCCAGCATTTTGGGAAGCCGAGGTGGGTGGACCACCTGAGGTCAGGAGTTTGAGACCAGCCTGTCCAGCATGGTGAAACCCCATCTCTACTAAAAATACAAAATTAGCTGGGCATGGTGGTGTGTGCCTGTAATCCCAGCTACTCAGGAGACTGAGGCAGGAAAATGGCTTGAACCCAGGAGATAGAGGTTGCAGTGAGCCGAGATCGCGCCATTGCACTCTAGTCTGTGTGACGAGAAACTCCGTCTCAATAAATAAATAAATAAATAAATAAATAAATACATAAATAATTAGGGCTGCATCAAGCTAAAAACTTCTGTACAACGAAGGAAGCAATCAACAGAGGGAAGAGACAACCCACAGGATGGGAAAAAATATTTGCAAACTATTGATCTGATAAGAGATTACTAACTAATGTATGTAAGGATCTCAAACAACTCTATAGGAAAAATCTAATAATCTAATCTTAAAAGTGGGCAAAGTATTTGAACAGACATTTCTCAAAAGATATACAAATGGAAAACAGGCATATGAAAAGGTGCTAAACACCATTAATCATAGGAGAAATGCAAATTAAATCTACAATGAGATATCATCTTATCCCAGTTAAGATTGCTTTTAGACAGGTAATAACAAATGCTGATGAGAATGTGGAGAAAAGGGAATCCTTGTACACTGTTGGTGGGAATGCAAGTTAGTACAACCACCATGGAGAAGAGTAGAATGGTTCCTCAAAAAACTAAAAATAGAACTACTACATGATCCAGCAATCCCTCTGCTAGGGATATACCAAGAAGAAGGTAAACCAGTATATCAAAGAGATATCTATGCTCCCATGTTTATTGTAGCACTATTCACAATAGCCAAGATTTGGAAGCAACCTGAGTGTCCATCAACAGATGAATGGATAAAGAAAATATACATTATGTATCACAGTTTTTTGTATATTCAGCTATAAAAAAATAACCCGTCATTTGCAAAAACATATATGAAACTGGAGGACATTATAATAAGTGAAATAAGCCAGACACAGAAAGATAAAAATTGCATGTTCTCTCTAATATTTAAGAGCTTAAAAATTGGTCTCATGGAGATAGTGAATAGAATAGTGTTTACCAGAGGCTAGGAAGGGTAATGGGGCAGCAGAGGAGATATGAAAAGATTAGAAAATGGTTACAAAATTACAGGTAGGTAAGAGAAATAAATTCTTGTCTTCTATAACATTGTTAGATAACTATAATAAACAATAATCTCTTGACTTTTTTCAAATAGTTAAAAGAGAGAATTATGAATATTACCAACACAAAGGAATGATTAAGTTTGATGTGATGGATATGCTGATTACTCAGATTTGATCATTACACATTGTATGCTTTTATCAAATTATCACAGGTATGTCATAAATATGTACAGCTATTTTGTTTCCATAAAGATTAAAGATAACAAATGTGGAGAAAAGGAAACACTGTACATTGTAGGTCAAGGTACAAAATGTGAAAAGTTGGTATAGCCACTATGGAAAGCAGAATGGAGATTCCTCAGAAAACTAAAAATAGACCTACCATATGATCTAGACTCCTCACTTATTGGTATATATCTGCACTCCTGTGTTCATTGCAGCATTATTCACAATAGCCAAGATCTGGAAGTATCCTAAATGTCAATTGTTTAATAAGTGGATAAAGAAAAGTTGGCATATATACACAATGAGGTACTATTTAGCCTTGAAAAGATGGAAATCCTGCCATTTGCCATCAACATGGATAAACCTGGAGAACATAAACCTAAGTGAAAAAGAAAAAAAAAACAGACACAAAAAGACTAATACTACATAAGTGCACTTATATGTTAAGTTTAAAATCATCACATTCATAGAAGCAGAGAGTAAAATGGTAGTTAACAGGGACTAAGGGAGGGCAAAACTGGAGGTATTAATCACAGTATAATGTTTTGGCTATTAGCAATAAATAAGTTCTAGAGATCTACTGTACAGTATAGTGCTTATAGCTAATAATAATGTATACTTAAAAATTTGCTAAGAAGGCAGATCTTATCATAAGTGTTCTTATCACAAAAATAATAATAGTGGCTATAAGAAAGCAGAATAAAAGTTTTGGAGGTGATGGATACGTTTATGGCATAGATTGTACTGATGGTTTCACTAATGTATACTTATCTCCAAGCTCATCAAGTTGCTTACAATATTTATGTACTGCTTTTTGTGTGCCAAAAAAAAAAAAATCTAAAAAATTGTAAATAAAGTGCAATGGAAAAATAACACCATAACATATTTCACTGATGGAACCATCAAAAAAAACAAGAAAAATAGAAGAGGAAAACAGCATGAAAAATAATATAAATGAAAAACCAAAAATAAGTTAGTAAAATAAATTTATCAGTAATTAATAAATATAAACTAAATAAATGTAATAGTTAAAAGAGATGGTCTAAAAGTTCGCATTAATTATCAGAAGGATTTTAAGGCACAAGATTACCACGAGTAGAGAGGGCCACCAATTACTTTATAAAAAGTCTCTGGAGAAGCATGCTAATGCAAAAATTATACACATCCAATAACATAGACATGGCTTTATATCTTCAAATATTTTATCAAAAAGGCACAAAATTAATTCTGTATATCAAAATTTTTATAAAATTACTTAATAGTATTTTAGTAACAACATATTTTTAAAAATGTTTATGGGCAACTATAACTGTTTTAAATTTATACACAGATCATTAATTTATAAATATAGTATTATTTAAATCTTTAAAGTAAACTTTTTAAATTGACTTTACTATTTTTATATGTAGTAGATAACAAATATTTCTAGCAAGCCCTTTGAATAATATAAATTAAATCAAATTGGAGAAAAAATCCTAAAATAAGCACTCTGCATATAATTTTAATTAATAAAATTTTTAAAAATTGTTTTTCCTACATTTACAAATTAAATATATTTATTTTTTAGGCATTTCAGAAGCATAACAGAAAATTCACAACTGTAAAAAAAACTCTCAAAACTTTTAAAAGAATTTTTATAAATATAAACAAATTCATAAAATAAATTTATATAGTCTAATACTGGTAACAGAAAAATCAAATCATGTTAGATATTTTAGCTCAAAATAAAGCATCACATATGCCACATTCTTCTAAATGTAGTAAGAATTCTCAATAAAAAAGGATACTGATTATTCTAAACTTATAATGAAGTATTTGTGATCTATACCTGACTCCTCTTATTATGTCTTAACCTCATTACCTCAGCTGACTTTCTAAGGGGGATGCTGGGGTAATTTGGTAGAAAATCAAAAACCATTGTGCTGTTTGCTGTAGTAGTTTGCTGTAATTATCGGTGTTTGTTTATCATTCATAAATTTGAAGCCACTTTACAGGAACTTGTTCTATGTCCTAGGGTCTGCCCAGGTACTTAATGGACAGCAGAACTATTTTTTAAAACCACCTGATTTGGTAAGTAGAATTCCCCACTTGTACTTACTGCCTAATTGAATTCTTCTTCGTTCCCATAATCTTATTTGGCTACAGTTCTAAAGATATTTTAATGTCTTCTCCTCTGGCTTGGCCACAATTCTAAAGATGTTTTCATGTCATCCATTGGATTTTAAAATTCTTCACATGTTTACATATATTTGTCTTCAATAGCTGTAACTGTAATGTCAGGCTGATGACATTTTAGAAATAATAAAGGAAGGATATTTATGAGTAGCATAAAAAATAACTGGTATTTGTTTAATTTTGCTCAATTATAGACTGCTTCTTTCCAAACCAGTGAAGTTGGCTTTCGGGTCCTTTTCTTATTAAATAATAGCAAGTTAAACATGTTATTCATATAGGAAACTACAAATGTCAGCAATCTTTTGATTCTTTAGGCAATATCCATGCCAAATTTCAACGGAGACCCTGAGTTACAGTATAGAATACTGGGAGGAATTTGGGTTTTACTGTTAGTCCTAGTACCAGATTGATTACTAATCTGGCTCTATCAATTACCACCTGTGTGACTTGGAACTTGTTACTTAGTTTTTAGATATCCGTTTCCAAATATTTATATCTGGAATAACTAAACATACCACACTGACTTGCCATGAAAATAAAATTGCCTCACATCTCTGAAGTACATTTTAAAGTGCCTGACCCTTAGATAATTGTTATTTGATTGTAGTTGCAATTAGTTAATCTATCAAAATAATCTTCATGGAAGGGTGGAGTGGTTCATGACTAATTAAATGAAGCTTCTAAAAGAGATTTTACTTTTAAGCTCACTAGTGAAAAAAAAAATTTTATATCTGCCATCTTTCATATAGATGTCAAGAACTATGAAGGGTCTGAGAGTTTACACTACATGGAAGCAAAAAAGATAACCTGCCACAAATTTATGGATATTGGGAAAAGAAACCAGATTCCTGCATAAGAGACAAAAGCCAGCTTATTACTCGCAGCAACAGGAGTAGTCAACATTAGATTATTTGCACCAGTTTCCCAAGTCCTAATTCCTACAGGGTGATATGATAAAGTCCAAGTGACGACAGTTCACACAATGAGTTGTGTTACAGGAGAAAACTCCAAGCTTAGGAAATCCCCAATCTTTCATAAGAAGGCTGCTAGCAAACCTGTCCAACAGTTGGACTAGAGAGTCACACTGTCATTGGTAACATACACAGCAAACCAATATGCTCTCTGCTCTAGAAAAAGGCATTCTAATTTCCAAGGTTGTTTATAAGCATCTTTGAAAGATATTTTTATATATATAATATCTGTATTATATAAATTATCTGTAGTATATATAATATAACTATATATACCTAATTATATATATATATCTGTATTATAAAAGTATATATATCTGTATTATATATATAATATAACTATATATATATATATATATAGTTTGAACCCAGGAGGCAGAGGCTGCAGTGAGCCGAGATCGTGCCATTGCATTCCAGCCTGAGTGAAACTCCGTCTCAGAAAAAAAAAAAAAAATGCCTAAATCCTCATAGATAAGTGTTGATTTGTAACTATATATATAGTAATAACAGTATATATATGTATATATATATACACACACTGTTACAGAAGATATAGAAATAGGCAAAAAATTTATAGAGAATTGTCTTCCAAAAGTAGAATAATGAAAACTTTGGCCCTTCTAATATAACGTATAATTGATTATTGGATTTGTGGTCATTTTAAAGGATTCAGGGTACTGAATTTCACCAAAATAACGTATTCATTAGTCATGGTACAAAATACCACTTTCTGAGAATGTCTTAATAGTGTTTCAGAGAGAAGAGGGGAAAGTTGGAATATTTATGAGGTGTTGGAGGTGTAATTTAAAGCATGTATTTCAATGTGAGGGCTCAATGAGGATTACTTAATGAAATAATAGTTTAGAATTTGTGGGCAGGGCAAGGCTAAGGTTTTGAGGAAAAGATTCTAAGTGAGTGCTGTTTATTGAAAGTGCAGCAGTGTGATGTTCATCTAAAAGAGGCTTTCAGTAGTTCCTGAAAGAACAAATAATGTTATTTGCATCTTTTATCTTTCTGAGAAAGGGTTTTCTGGAGCAGCAAGGATAAGTTTAAGATTAGTGAAGTCATGCTAATATGGACTTTTAGCTGTGTGGGTATAAATTGTGTTGGTTCTCAAAACAAATGACCTTTAGCCAATGCCTTCCATTACTTGTACATGAAACTAAACTCGTGATGAGAATGGCAGAGGTGCACTCATTTTTAGTAGACTAGATTTACATCTTGAATACAAAGATGAGAAGAAGAGTAAAATATACCTAATGAGGAAATAAAAAATTGACCATACTTTGCAAGGAAATGACTTATTTAAGATAAAAATATATGTAGAGAAAAATAAACTGAAAAATGTTGAACACTCAGGAAATATTGTTTGCAGAACACTAGGAATGAATATAAAGATAACGTCATCTTAATATGAAAATGGAATGTCTCTCTCTTGAGTTTAGGACAATGGGGAAAACAGTTCCTAACATAAAACCTGTTCTTCTAAGTATATATAGATGTTTATTCTTCTTTAAAAAAATACTCGATTAGATAGTATTTTGAAGGCGACTACCATAATTCACAATTTGCAGCCAGCTGAAAATTCATTTGTGTCTTCAGATATTATTTTTATTTCCTCCCCTATTTTCTTTCTGTATATATCTAATTTTTTCAAAATCAAAAGTTTCATAAGGCTGGGCGCGGTGGCTTACGACTGTAATCCCAGCACTTTGGGAGGCCGAGGCGGGTTGATCACCTGAGGCCAGGAGTTCGAGACCTGGCCAACATGGCAAAATTCTGTCTCTACTAAAAATACAAAAAATTAGCCAGGCATGACAGCAGGTGCCGGTAATCCCAGCTATTCTAGAGGCTGAAGCAGGAGAATTGTTTGAACCCGGGAGGCGGAGGCTGCAGTGAGCCAAGATCATACCATTGCCTTCCAGCCTGGGCCACAAGAGCAAAACTCCGTCTCAAAAAAAAAAAAAAAAAAAAAAAAAAAAGCCTAAATCCTCATAGACAAGTGTTAATTTATAAGCAAAAAGGGTCATCAAGATTAGGAAAGATTAGGATGAAGTTCAAGAGAAGGAATAAGAGAGAAACCACTTGAGAAAACAAAAGTCTTCTTTTCCAATAAGGTTTCCCAAAGCCTGTCACTCTCAAAGGTTTATCTGGAAAATAAAACTTCTTATTGAAATACACACTCAGATTTATAAACCACTTTGTTTCATATGACAAAATTAGATCTCTATAAACAATGAACTTCCATTTCCTAGGAATAATTATTCAAAATGATAAAAAAGTGGCAATAATATGTATAAATTTAAAATATTTAATTTTCATTTTCCTCAAATAGAATTGATGTCTGTTCATACTGTTTGTTGAGCTGCTTTTTTCTTGCATTCTTGTTTATATCTGTTTTTCCATTGAGTATTTTCACTGGGTGCATTACTAGGAAACTCATTATTATAACGCATCATCCCTCCATCCTCCAAACTCACCCATATGCATAATGAAGATAATATTTAATATTCATCATTCAGATTCTTTTGTCCATCAAAATTGTTTCCAATTTGGATATGGTAAATAGTGCAGCAATATCTAATGGTGAGGACAAATGAGATCAGAAAGAAAAATGGAATAACTCCTTCGTAAGGAGCTAAGATCCAGTGGAAAATTAAGATGCGACATTTTAAAGCAGTAGATTGAGAGCTAGTAACAACAGCAATTGAGGACCAATCACTTAGATACTGTGATCACTGAATTGAATTGTCACAGAAAATTTGGGCCGATTTTGAAGTGGAAAACTGGACAGATCAATGTAAAAACCTTAAAAACTATTGTGTGACTTTCAAGATGAACACTTACTCTAGGTAGAAACACAGGTATTTTCTGTTTCTTCATGAAATATGTCTGACAAAAATGCAATTTAACTTCTAAGGGAAGGCACTACCAAGATTACACATTAAATGTTCCTCAGCCCAGGGTCCACCTGAAAGTACAACCTGAGTCAAAGCTCCTATGAGGCTAGTCTATTTCAGAATATGATCTCAGGTAAGAGGTGGAATCCGGGGCAAAGAGAGTGAAACAGGGAAGGAGAAAATGTCGATGTAAGAATGTATTATTAAGCTGGATGCCCTCTAAGCAGCTGAGTTGTTTCCACTTGGACCTCCAGAGGAGCCTTATACAGTGTACGGTTGTCCAAGACAAAACAAGAATATTTCTCAAACATCCATCTGTCCTCATTGGCCCAGGGTTGCCCTGTTGACATAAATCTCTTGTACTTCCAGGTTTCCAAAGAAGTCCAATTGGCTAACATTCTTTATATGGGTCTCAGAGAAACTCCAGGGCAGGAATCACACTATAAGATCCTCAACCTGAGGCAAGGTGCTATAAGATTACATTTTTAAAAACAGGTTGAGGTTTGCATGGATTGGGTTACTGTGACCAGGGGATTTTTAAGTAGTTTGCAAGGTGTGCTCAAGACAAAGGGTAGTTAGCATGAATAATCATAATATATTGAATCTAGGTAGGGCTTAGATGTTGTCTGATAGACAATTTTAGAGGGAGATTTAATTATTTTAATGTTTCCAAAAAAATGGCATACTAGTATATTTGATTCGAAAAACCAATTGCTTTTAAAGACCCTTATCCTTTACATAATAAAATTATGTTTAAGAATAATAATGAAATTTAATTTATAATGATAATGGCCAAAAAAGAAAAGCAGATAGGGAATTTTTTTATAGAATTTGGTATAATTTTGCCAGTAAAATTCTATAAAATAAATATTACAGTATAAAAAGGAAAAAAACAAAGGCAATAATTAAAACACAAATACAAATTTATATTTTGATAAAAGGTAAACATAAAAATCTTATACCTAAATTCTGGTTTATTGCAGTAATGAATGATAACAGTGCAATTTGGTTTTGAATCTTAGTGTCTATAAACTTGTCAAAATTTTGTAATTTTTTTTTTACATATTAGTGTTCAATAAATGGTATAGCCTAATTGTTCAATTTATCTTCATAAGTGATTGGTAAAAATATTTTAAATAAATTTCTAATTTCAAATTTTTTTTTTTACTTAACTGACACAAGTTATCTTAAAGGAAAGTTCTTAAATATAATAATTACTTTGAGAGAGAGTCATAAAAATAAATCTTGCAATAAAAATCTCATTTTGTTTATTATTTTATTTCTTCAGACTTTATTCTAACAGATTTTCAATATTTCTATAGTCCAAAAATATCTTCAACAAAGAATTCATTATGCATTTCTATCACATTTGATAAAAATATGTTTGATGTTTTCTTCAAAGAAAAATTACTAAATGTTTATATACATTGATTTCATTTGATCTATTGATTTAGAATGGTTGTTCAGCTGTTAGTCAAATCAGTTGAGACATTCAAACATTGTCTATTTGATTTCTTCTGACAACGGAGCATCACCATACTTTATAATTTTTTTAATTTTTTCTTCTAAATTTTGTTCTTTCTATACAATTTTTTTGCAAAATTAATAACTTTCTTCATTATTTCTTTTTCTAATATTCATTGGATTAATTTAAGAGCTTGATGTTTCACTATAACTTTTTCAAGTCTTACTCTGGCTGTTTGCAAATGTTTTTCTGTTTTATTAATATTTGCATTTTAAATTTTACCTTTAAAAAAAAGGTACCACAGAAAAGCAACATGCAACAGAGAACAACATCTGAGCTGCTCCTCCTGTATCCACATTTTCCTTTGGATGACCCAGTACTTCATAGTTTGGAATTAACGTCCAAAAATTGTCTGTCCTTTGCCTAGAGCCTCATAATGAGTATTCTATCTATTTAGATAGCCTTTATATGGCTGTGCTTATTTTAGTAGCATTTTCCACTGATGAGGTAAGACAGTAAAAAATGATTTTATAAAAAACAATTTTCACAGTACATTACATTGAGGAAATTCTTCTAAAAGAGGCTTATATGACTTTTAGCCTCAACACCATCAGTCGTGGTGGTGGTGTATCCTTGACTATCGTGCAGTATGATAAAAGTCTTAAGAATGCTGTCAAGAATTTTAAACTGTTTCACATTTATAATATTTATAACTATCTGTTTTCAACATTATGCCCCAAAAGATGAATGTAATTATTTGTATCAATCTCTTTTCAGAAAAAAATAGCATACTAATTTTTACAAAATATTTTTTCAAATTTTGGCTATTATTTGAAAGTAATATCCTCAATTTTAATATGATGTCCTTTATTTGTTGATAATAAAATGTTTTTGAGACCAGGGAAAGGAAGGTTTTGTTTGGTTGAAAGCGTAATTAAGTCCAAAGTATGATGTAACCATCATTTTTTTCTTTTTACATACATATATACATAAAATGAAAAATAAAATGCTGATTTTTCAGTTTAAAAGAAGAAACGATTTTTAGTTCTGTTGCCAAAATCTTCTATTTTATGAGAGCTATCATTTAGATATTCAAGTTCAGGGATTTTGGTTTTTTTTTTTTTTCTAGGTCTACAGTCATTTGTAAAGTTGAATATTCTAGCTTTTGTCTAATTATCTGCAAATAGATAAAATAATTCTTTAATAAAAAATGTAAATTTCCCACATTTTCCACTGTATGATAAATATAAAACTGTAAAGTTGAAAAAAGTTGCCTTTTTTTTTGTATTTTTCTTATTCTCACTCAACTGCATAACAATGTTCATTACAAAGTAGTTCACCCTTTTTAACTAGATTAATTTGCAATTACCTAGAACCCTTATTGATCAATTAGTGGCATTAAAAATATTATAATTTCACTTGTTATGTCTTCGTTTACCTCTTGCTCTTGGCAGTTGCAATCATCACTTTCTTCTATTATTATTATTATTATTATTACTATTAATATTTATTTGTTCTTGATAACACTTATTTTATCTTCAACATTATCAGAAATTAGAGAAAATAATTTATTGTCATCTTTTAATTGTATCATTTAAGTATCATCCTTTTTTTTTTTGTATGGATACTTTGAATGTGCAAGGTTGAACATCCTTCCAATTTTTATGAACTATAAACATTATTTCATTTGGAAAATATTACACCTTCCAAAATAAACTCAGGTAATAATTCAAATACTCTCATTTTTACTTCTTTTTCCCTTTGTTGGAGTGCAATGGATTGATTTCGCTCTTCACTTGAAATAATAGCATTGGCCGGGCGCGGTGGCTCACGCCTGTAATCCCAGCACTTTGGGAGGCCGAGGCGGGCGGATCACGAGGTCAGGAGATCGAGGCCATCCCGGCTAAAACGGTGAAACCCCGTCTCTACTAAAAATACAAAAAATTAGCCGGGCGTAGTGGCGGGCGCCTGTAGTCCCAGCTACTTGGGAGGCTGAGGCAGGAGAATGGCGTGAACCCGGGACGCGGAGCTTGCAGTGAGCCGAGATCCCGCCACTGCACTCCAGCCTGGGCGACAGAGCGAGACTCCGTCTCAAAAAAAAAAAAAAAAAAAAAAAAAAAGAAATAATAGCATTTTAAATTGATGTGGATATCTCACTGAAAATTCTTTATAAAACCTACAATAATTATGAACCAGTTACTAATCCAGGCTTCTTCAAATACCTGCAGAAAGAAAACAACAAAAGCACAAGTATATAATCAATAGTTTTATGTTTAGAGAATATTGTGAACTTTGATTCTTTGATTATAATGTGACATTAAAATATGTTATTTAAATTATTTTTGTAAGTTAAAACATAAAGTGTTCAATTTGGGTAACTACAGTACTGAATTGCTCCACTGATGTGATATTTAATTTTATAATTTTTTTAACTTTTATGTTTGGGGATACATTATTTAGGTAAATTCGTATTGTGGGGGTTTGTTGTACAGATTATTTCATCAGGCAGGTAATATGCCTAGCACCTATTGGTTATTTTTCCTGGTCCTCTTTCTCCTCTCACTCTCCACCATCTGGTAGGCCTCAGTGTCTGTTCCTCCCCTCTATGTGTCCATGTGTTACCATCATACAGCTTCCATTATAAGTGAGAACATGTGCTATTTGGTTTTCTGTTCCTGCATTAGTTTTCTAAGGATAATGGCCTCCAGCTTCATCCATGTTTCTGTGAAGGACATGATCTTGTTCTTTGTTATGACTGCATAGTATTCCATGGTGTATATGCACCACATTTTCTTTATCCAGCCTATCATTGATGGACATTTGGGTTGACTCTATGTCTTTGCTACTGGGAATAGTGCTGCAATGAACACACATGTTTATGTGTCTTTATGAGAGAACAATATATATATAATATATTTGGATATATACCTATTAATAATTACTGGGTCGAATGGTAGTTTTGTTTTTAGGTCTTTGAGGAATCACACTGCTTTCCACAATGGCTGAACTAATTTACACTCCCACCAACAGTGTAGAAGTGTTCCTTTTCCTCTGTAACATCACCAGCATTGTTATATTTTTACTTTTTAGTAATAGGCATTCTGGCTAGTGTGAGACGGTATCTAATTGTGGTTTTGATTTAAATCTCTCTGATGATGAGTGTGGTTGAGCTTTTTATTTTTCCATAAGCTTCCTGACGGCATGTATGTCTTATTTAGAAAAGTGTCTGTTCGTGTCCTTTTCCCACTGTTAAATAGTGTTGTTTTCTTCCTTGTAAATTTGTTTAATTTCCTTATAGATACTGGACATTAGATCTTTTTTTGATGCATAATTTGCAAAGATTTTCTCCCATTCTGTAGGTTTTTACTCTGTAGATAATTTCTTTTGCTGTACAGAAACTCTTTAGTTTAATTAGATCCCATTCGTCAATTTTTGCTTTTGTTGCAATTGCTTTTAGTGTCTTTGTCATGAAATCTTTGCCCATTCTTATGTCCAGAATGGTATTGACTAGGTTATCTTACAGAATTTTCGTTTTATGGTTTTGCATTTTACATTTAAGTCTTTAACCCATCTCGAGTTGATTTTTATATATGATGTAAGAAAGTGCTCCAGTTTTTATCTTCTGCATTATGGCTAGCCGGTTTTCCCAGCCCTGTTAGAAATGACAAAGCAAATATTTTCTGTTTTTAAACAGGAAAAGCAATAAAATGAAATAAAAAATTTAATTTTAAATGTAAGTTCAAATCAATAATAGGTTAATTAATTAATTTTAACTTATCAAACAGGAACTGTACACTTCAGAGTTCACGTATTATTTTACTGTATTAAGTTTTAAAACACAAGCACAATTTTCAGTGGTCACATAGAATGACATAATTGAAATAATTTAACTTCCATTTTTTTCACCTATACAATTATACTATCATTGTTTATTTTGTATTTACCATTGAAAAAAACTAATATGTCCAACCATATTGGCTAAGACAAACATTGTACCTGAAGGGAATTCAAATGATTACAACCCATTACAAACTTATTTTAGAAAACAATGACTACAACTGAGTCTGCTTGTTTCAGGGGCCTACCATGTAACTGGGAATTCTCCGAATTAACTTCCACGTGGTGTACAATATCTAATAAGGGACACATATCAAGAGAATATAAATTGAATGTGTATATACATATTTTTAAAATTTAACTCTAAAAACAATTTTTTTGAACTTTATGATAGCTAAACTTTTCTTAGGTAAGAGTATTTTTATTACTGACTGTTTAAATTTTTTGGATCATGAGATAATAAAAATATAGAACTTTTACATAATTTTATTATTTTTATACTTTATCTCCTGCCTTTGCATGTCCTTATCATCTGCTCTCAGGCAGACTGTTACTTCTTCACATCCCATCATATGCTGAAATAGAGGCTTACAATGAATAAAATTTTCTTTAATAGTCAATTCTTTGGACAAACCCAGTACTCATTGATGTAATATCTCTCACTACAGGGAGCTTGTAAGACTGAATTTAGAGAAAATCAGGAAATTCAAGTATTGGGATCAAAAAGTAATGGGAAATGAAAAGGAATGATGGTACCAGGTAATACTCTCAATTTAACAATCAATTTAAGTAGACTAATTTAAGAAGCATGTTTAGGTGTTGTGCAATCAGCTGATATTTTCTAATAGTATCAGGAGAATGCAAAGAAAGATAACACATGGGAATTGTTTCTTGATTGTAGTAAAAATATTTAGAACAAATAGCTGCCATTTTACTCTTAAAATGTCAAATCTATGAAAAGCCAATGCTTGAGAGATCACATGGCAAAAATACTGATCACAATTATAGCTTCAGGTAAGATTTCTTATTCTAGGAGGCAGGATGCAAACTTCTTAATTCTAAGCAATTTCATGTTAAGTTGCAATAGCGGAGGAAATGGAGCAAGATGGCCAAGTAGAAATCTCCAGCAATTGTCCTCCTGCAGGAACATCAAATTGAATAACTATCCAAACAAGAAAGTACATTCATAACAACAACAAAAAAAAACAGATGAGGAATCACAGTACCTTGTTTTAATATCATATCAAAGAAAGAGTCATTGAAGAGGGTAGATATGATATTCTTGAATTGCCAACACCACCCCTAACCCATTCCCCAGGAGTAGTCATGTGGCACAGAGAGGTAAATCTGTGTGCTTGGAGGAGGGAGAGCGCAGTGACTGTGGGACTTTGCATTGGAACTCAGTGCAGTCTTGTCACAGTGGAAAGCAACATGGGGCACAATTCAGCTGGCACCCACAGGGGGAACATTTAGATGAGCCCTAGCCAGAACAAAATTATCTATCCTAGCAGTCAGAATCTGCATTCTGACTAGCCCCAACACTGTGTGCTAAAGCACTTGGGAATTCTCTAGATTAAACTTGAAATAATTCACGTTTAACTGAATTATTAATTGAGGCTTCAAATAAATTTGACAGGCAGTCTAAGTCACAAGGACTTCAATTCCTGCGCAAGTCTTGGTGTTGTGCTGGGCTCAGAGCCAGTGGACTTCACGTGCATGTAATGTAGTGAGACACCAGCCTGGGTGGCCAAGGGAGTGATTGCATTACCTTGCCACCAAAAGACATAGAGTTGCAGAATGGTTAAAAACAAAACAAGTTTCAATAATGTGTTGCTTACAAGAAACACACCTCACCTATAAATATACACATAGACTGAAAATAAAGGAATGAAAAAGATATTCCCTGCTCATTGAAACCAAGAAAGTGCCAGTGTAGCTATACTTATATCAGACAAAATAGATTTAAGAAAAAAAACTATAAAAGGAGATAAATAAGTTTATTATATAATGATAAAGCAATCAATTCAGCAAGAGGATGTAACAATTGTAAATATATTTGTGCCCAACTCTGGGGCACTCAGATGCATAGAGCAAATATTGTTGGAGCTAAAGAGAGAGACAGGCCCCAAGACAGTAATAGCTGGAGACTTCAATACCCTACCTTCAGCATTGGACAGATCATCCAGACAGAAAATTAACAAAGAAATATTCGACTTAATCTGCACTATTGGCCAAATGGATTTAACAAATATTTACAGAACATTTTATCCAATGGCTGCAGAATACCCATTATTCTCCTAAGCACATGAATTATTCTTAAGTATAGAACATATTGTTAGGCAACAAAACAAGTCTTAAAACATTCAAAAATACTTAAATAATGTCAAGTATGTTGTCTGACCACAAGTAATAAAACAAGAAATCAATAACAAGCTGAACTTTGGAAACTGTCTAAACACATGGAAATTAAACAACATGCTCCTGAATGACCAGTCTGTCAATGGGGATTAAGAAGGAAACTGAAAAAATTTTGGAAACAAATGACAATGCAAACACAACATGACAAAATCTATGAAATATAGTGAAAGCAGTACTAAGAGTAAAGTTTATAGCAATAAGTGCCTATATCAAAAAAGTAGCAAAACTGCAAATAAACTAATGATACATCTTAAAGAATTAGAAAAGCAAGAGCAAATCAAACCCAAAATTAGTAGAAGAAAAGAAATAATATAGGATAAATAAATTAAATTAAAATGAAAAAAGTAATATATAATCTAGAAAAACCTACAAACTCCATCAAAAAAAAACTATGTGAACTGATAAAAAAATTCAATAAAGTTGCAGGATACAAAATGATCATATATGCCATTTCTATATGGCAACAGTGAAAAATTTTCAAAAGAAATCAATGAAGTAATCCCATTTACACATAAGTTGCCTGGGAATAAACTTAACCAAAGAAGTGAAAGATCTCTACAGTGAAAACTATAAAACATTGATGCAAATCATTTTACAGAACACACACAAAAGATGGAAAGGCAATCCATGTTCATGAGTTGGAAGAATCAATATTGTTAAAATGTTCATATTACCCAAAGCAATTTACAGATTCAGTGTAACCCCCATAAAAATATCAGTGATATTCTTCACAAAAATAGAAAAAATAATCCTAAAATTTATATGGAACCACAAAAGATCCAGAATAGCCAAAGCCATCCTAAGCCAAAAGTACAAAACTGGAAGGATCACATAACATGACTTCAAATTATACTACAAAGATATAGTTGCCCAAACAGCATGGTAGTGGTAAACATACACATAAAATAAGGAAACAGAATATATAATGCAGAAAGAAAGCTATACATCTACAGCGAACTTATTTTTGACAAAGTTGTCAAGAATATACATTGGGAACAGGACAGTCTCTTCAATAAATGGTGTTGGACTAAATATTCTTATGCAGAAGAATGAAGCTAGACCCCTACCTCTTGCCATATACAAAAATCTAGTCAAAATTTATTAAATACTTAAATCTAAAACTTCACACTATGAAGCTACTAATGGAAAACATTGGAGTAGGTCTCCAGGATGCTGTTCTGGACAAAGATTTCTTGAGTTATATCCGCAAAGTATAGGCATCCAAAGCAGAAAACGGACAATAGGATCACATTAAGTTAAAATGCTTATGCACAGCAAATGATACAATCAACACAACTAAGAGACAATCCACAGAATGAGAAAAATATTTGCAAACCATCAATCTCACAAGAGATTAATAATCAGAATATATAAGGATCTCAAACAAGTCTATAGGAAAAAATCTAATAAGCCCTTAAAAATGAGCAAAGGTCTAAATAGACATTTCTCAAAAGATAGACAAATTGCAAACAGGCATATGAAAAGGTGCTTAGCATCATTAATCATCAGAGAAATGCAAATTAATGCTATAATGAGATATCATCTTACCCCAGTTAAAATGGCCTTTATGCAAAAGACAGGTAATAACAAATTTTGGCAAGGATGTGGAGTAAAGGGAGCCCTTTTACACTGTTGCTGGGGATGTAAATTTGTGCAATCGTTATGGAGCGGAGTATGGAGATTCTCAGAAAACTGAAAATAGAACTACCATATGATTCTGCAATCCCACTGTTAGGTATATACCAAGAAGAACGTAAACCAGTATATTGAAGAGATATACACATTCCCATGTTTACTGCAGCACTGCTTACAATAGGGAAGATTCGGAAACAACAGAATGTCCATGAACAGATGAATGGAAACATGGTAAATAAACACAATGGACTACTATTCATCCATAAAAAAGAGTAAGACCCTGTCATAAAAACATTAGATGAAACTGGAGGACATTATGTTAAGTTAAATAAGCCAAGCACAGAAAGACAAACTTCGCAAATTTTTACTCATTTGTGGGAGCTAAAAACTAAAACAATTGAATTCATGGAGACAGAGGGTAGAATGATGGTTATCAGAGGTTGTGATGAATAGTGGATGGGGGATGTGAGGATGGTTAATGGATACAAAAATATATTTATATAAAATGAATAATGAATAAGACCTAGTATTTGATAGCATAATAAAAATTTGTTATACATTTAAAAATAACTAAAAGAGCATATCAGGAATATTTATAACACAAGGAAATAAATGCTTGATGGGATAGATATCCCATTTACCCTGATGTGATAATTATGCATTGTATGACCATTTCAAAATACATCATGTGCCCCATAAACGTACACTCCCATAAAAATTAAAAATAAAAAAGGCAATAGTAGTTGTACCTGTTTCGGCTAAATTTGAGTAGGCAGTTTTGTTTTTTTCTCTTGTAACTAACATACTTCAAATGCACTGACCATGTAGAATATCTGATGAGTGTTCTAATATGATAGCCATTAATGTAGTTACTATTATTATTAATAGCTTTCAGCAACCTATACTTTATGCCAAGACATTCAGTTGATTTTATCAGCTTAAGCACTTTGGTGCCATATAGATTACTATCCACTTTTACTAACAATTTATTTCTATCTGTTTATCTCACTTTCCACCATGTTGCTGGGCTGGAAATAAGTATTTAATCAGATCTTTTTCTATTTCTCTTCTTCATATGTCCAGTCTTCACTGTAATTCAGTGAGATACATGCTAAATATTTTTTTCCAAATTGAGTCAGAATATTTCAGATGGTCTTCACTCTTCCTTGATCTTAAATAGCTCTTCTTGAAATTCTGTATCTTTCTCTCTTTTTGTTTTGAATTATTGGCTCTGTTCTTAATTATTAAAATGTTTCAAAGCCTCCTTACAATCTATGTGTCACTGTCATAGAAAATAGAAATTAAGCTACAAATTTAGGAGTTTGCCACCCTTATGAGAAACAAAGAAACACTTCAAAGGTCCATTTCTGGGAAAGGATTTACTAACCTGCTATGAGATTATAGCTTCTAAATAGATAATCTTCAGGAAACAGAAAAAATTTAAGGATAAAAGAATGCCTACTCATTCACAATTATTGGCAATTATATTTTTTTAATAAGCCAAGGAATTTTTTTCCATTTACTATTTGAGTACTCTACTATTCCATTCATTTTAGGACACATATCTTAATCCTAAAAACACAGAACATATTAAATTGTCCATATAAGCTTCTTCAACCAAAATGTAAAACAATATGCTTTCAAATTGTATGAACTTGGAAGACTATTTAAATGTATTTAGTAGACTAGGTGTAACAGAGTAAAAGTCAGATTTTTGGATAAGCTCATAGCGAGGGTTTCTACCTTGCAGAGCTAACAGCACTTATTTTAATTTCATGCATGGACCATGCTTCTATTAACTTGCAGAGTTCAACATTTGTTGTCTTGTTATTTCCGTAGGCCCTTTATCCTTACTTTTTATCGAGTACTAACTGATTTTAAAATGTATTAGATATTACTTCTTCCTGAAAATTTTCCAGAACCCTTAGATCATTACTTTCCCCCATTTTGTCGTTTTATTTCGCACCGTTCTTTTATCTAGTTATAAAAATGCTTTTTAAATTGTCTATTTTATTTCTCAGAATTTTTAAGCTCTATGAAGCCTTGAGTCATCTTGCCTCCTTATTATCCTTTTTCCTCCTTGGCAAGAACAGCATCTGATAAATAATTGGTACAAATAATTGTTGAATAAATATTTAAACAAAAGAGTGAGAAAGGAGTTGTTTTAAAGAAAATCTTTTGACAAATGTAACAGTTTGAGCAAAATGAAAAAAAAATAATGAATCAGTAGCCCTCAGAATTAGAAAAGGTTCAGAGAGCTACACTCAGCACCATGAGCAGTATTTATAGACAGAATATGGAAATAAACTACAGAAATAGCTTGATTGTTTACAGCTAGCTTGTTCTCCTCATTTGAACATGGTCTGATCAGTTGACAGAGGGCGATTGGGTGAAGCTCATCTGCTTTTGATTGGCTGAGACTAGGCTAGGTATTACAAAAATTAGACTCCATATTAGTTTTCCTTTATTTATGTACTAGGTTACACTGCAGTTTGTTACGTGGGATCTACAAGTACAGAGACAGCCTCAAACCAGTGGCCTCCTGCTAATTTCATTCAACAGAGTGAACATAATGAACCTGATGACAAGGTTAGCATCATGGAGTTCAGGTCCCAATCTGTTTTTACCACAGTACACTGCCTTAATTAATCATGTTCTCTGATTATGTAAATTAGAGTAAACTGAGAACAAAAAACAAACTATTTCTTTAAAATCCACTTAGGGGTTAATATGTGTGTTCATTTTTACTGACTTTAGTAATTCAGGTGCATAAAACTTGCTCCAGAACTGTAACTCATTTGTTCTCATTTACATCTCTAAAGGGCAAGAATTCTACTATCAATGAATAATGAATCACAACAGCTGGATTTTTATCACTGAGCAGATATATATAGTGCTTTAAATAAATCAATATTTTTATTTGTGTGTGATGGCCAAAGTGTTTTTTTTCTCTCTTAAATTAAGCCTTAATGAATTTTGTAGGCTATCTTGGAATTCAATGAAAAGTTCATCAGCAAACTACAAAGGTATTCCTCTGTGAGGTATTAAAATAGACAAAAAAAAAAAAACAGTAATGCTGGATGGCCTACTTTAAAGAAAGAAAAGCACATAGATTTTAGAATCTCAATTTGACTTTACTCTGTGATTATGCTTCCAGAAATTTTCTGAGGCAATAAATACAATAACTCATTGACTGAGATGGGGTAGGAAGAGAGTGAAGAAAGAAGGTGATAGAGGGCTGGTAGAGGAAGAGGAAATAGAGACACACCATAGCATCCCTCCAAACAGACACTGAAGCATCTTCTCTTAAATCACCTTTTGGTCACACTTACGATGGCTAATAAGTGCTCTGTTTAAAACTCCAACTTCTCTCATAAAGAGAAAATTAATACATAATATAGCCCAAGAGTAAAAGGTCAGAAAAGTAGTTCTTATTTTTCCTCTCCTGAGTTCTTCCTTGCAAAACAAATATGTAAAAGTATTGTGCACTATTTGAAGATATTCATTTCAGATAGAAGCATTAAGAGAGTCAAATGTTTTTTTTTTCTCACTACCCTGTAGATGGAATTTATTTTGTAGTTGACATATGTAAGTTTATATTGATAGAACATCAAAATATAAGTCACATTGTAGTACTTGATATGACGCAGCTGTGTCCCCTCCCAAATCTCATCTTGAATTGTAATAATCCCTACATGTCAAAGGTGGGGCCAGATGGAGATAACCAAATCATGGGGGTGCTTTCCCCATACTGTTCTCATGGTAGTGAATAAATCTCACAAGATCCGATGGTTTTATAAATGGGAATTCCCCTGCACAATCTTGCTTGCCTGCCGCTATGTAAGACATGCTTTTGCTCCTCCTTGCCTTCTGCCATGATCGTGAGGCCTCCCCAGCCATGTGGAACTGTGAATCCATTAAACCTCTTTTTCTTTATAAATTAACCTGTCTTGGGTATTTTTTCATATAAGTGTGAAATTGGCTAATAGAGTACTCTTCTGTATCACTTGCATTTTTTTACAATTCATTTGATTAACATAGCTAAGTTACAGTCATTAAATTATCATCCATTTAATATGTTTTATTTTGCAGACAAAAATTAATGAAAACGGGATTAATACCTAACACATAATTGTTTTTAACTGTTTTATGTAGAAATTAGAGAAAATGTTATTAAGGGTATTTATGCAGAAAACATGTTTTACACAAAATATCTAATATTAGGCTAGTGTCAAGCTTTCCATCTGAAACTATTTTAGCTGAAGGCAGTGGCTCAATTTCCACAGAAGTTTGTGGAAAAATTCTCGTTCCTCAGTACCTATATATTTATTTTCATTCTTGCTTGAAAAATAGAATGGACTCAGACTGGTAACACAGACAGAAATGATTGAATTCTAATTGAATACTGTATATTTTTTAAGTCATTATAAGAACAATTTAATTTAAATTCATTTTAATGGTGATTAGATTTTTATTGAATAGTTCAATTTTTTTAAAGAAGAAAAACAGTGAAACTTGGTTTTAAGAATGAAGGCAGCCTAACTATATTAAAATTATTAATTCCTTTTAAAGATTATGCTTCTAGATGTCAATCTATCAGCCGTCTGGTTTTCAAATTGATTTTAACGATTATTGGAACAAATCCAGTGAAATGAATTGAGTTTGTTTTGAAGACCTGAATACCTTCCCACTAGAATATAGGGGACTCAAGCTTCCAGGCTGACAAACTATTATGTGCCTTGTGTATCTTAGCCATCCTCATTAACATAGCAAGGACTACTTTCCTAAATGCGTGTGGAGAAAATGTTTAGCTGTCTATGGGGTCCTGTCTTAGGTGAAGGCAAAGCAAAGATCTTCCCGGTTGCTTTGGTTCCTTTATTCACATTGTTCTAAAGCATCATGAGCTTCTGTCAAGAACTAGTCGTGTGGTAGACTTTGCTACCCTCCTAGATAATCTTTTACAGGTAAAGGGAAATATTAAACTGAATTTATTTATTCTTTCCAAATATGTATGGATATATGTTCCCTACATCAAGCATATTAAAGTATAAATGAGTACTACCTTGCTCTTTTCTACTTGGGGAAACATATTAAAATACATAATTGCATTTAGTGTATGAAAATTTTAATATGAGTTATTCCATAAAGGATACAAGAGAGGGATGGAATTGAAAATAGCAAGGTGGTAAGTAAGGTGACACAGAATTAGCAACACTTGTTAATTATGTAGTCATATAAAGGTTTAAATTGATATAGAACAGAAAAAAAAAAACAGAAAAATATCTCTCCCCTTGCTGTTAGCTAACAACAACAACAACAAAAAACTGGGAAAAGTTCTGTAAGTTCTACACTTTTATTGGATTATATTTTTCATTCAAAAGAAACTAGTGTCCAAATAAACATGGCTTTGCATTTAAAATTCTTTAAGCCTGACTTCATCCATACGCTAATATGGGATTTTTATTACCATATGAGGAGATTCTTCTTTTATACTAATGAAGGCATATCATTTTTGCTAAAATCCTTATAAACCTAAGCCACAGTTTAACATACCAAAAAACAGTATGTATCATATATGTGTTGGATCTGGACCAAAATAGCGTCAGAAGACCTTTGCAAATTTGACAAATTAAGTCTGTTGAGAGTTAAATTGCTATATGGTATATGAATGTCTGGAATATTGTAATTTTTACGTTTTACAACATAAAAATGCACCTCTGCACTATATCTTAGAGGGTTTGATAGGTGAATATTTTTTCTAATTAATATGATATACATTTGCATTCTAATTGCACACACACAGACACAAAAAATACAATATGCTTGAATACAGTTGAAATTATGTTGACCATTATGTTGGATTGTTTAGAGAGTTGTTAGAGTCACCAATTTGGATTTTTGTATTAGTTTAAACATCATCATTATTATCTAAAAGTCACTATCTTCCAATGTTTTGAAGTTATGTCAGATTATGCTTTCCTTCTCTGTCCCCTTTTGATTTAAATGTTTCATGACTTGGCTTTATTATGTTACTAATTTTACATTATCTTCTGTGAAATTTTCTCACTTTTTAAAAATCATTAACTTAGGTTTCTGGGCCTGAAAAGGGCCATAGACATGACGAATTTGCACACTTGAAAGAGTCGGTGTGGCTGAGTGGAAAGAGCATGGGATTTATTATAGGATCTCACGTTTGGTCCTACTTTCTTCATTTATTAGCTTTATGACTTTGGGCAAGTCACAGTGGATATTGACCCCCACAATATAATGGTGAAGAGAATGTGATAATCAAGAATATGGGAAGTCATAGAGGGTGTTAAAATTCAAGGATATAAAAATGGAAAAGTGATTTTTCTATTAAATATTCACTACAGAGTTCAGAAGGCATTTTTCTTCTCATCTAGAAATAGGCAGGCAGTGAATAATTATGATTGATGAGAGTTACTTATATTGCCATAAGGATGGCCCACCTTAATTATAAGTCATTCTGAACTGCATAAAAACATTATTTTTTTTAGTTCTTAGTTTATACTATGTCTGAGCTCCTATTTCAAAAGCTGAATGCAATGAATGCAAATGCATAGAATGCATTGGTCAATATAGAAGATTCTAGAATCAGGCTGCCTGAGTTTGAATGCTGCATTAGCACCAACAAGCTTTGTAACCTTGGATGAAATACTGCATGCCTTGGATTATAATCAGTAAAAGGGGAATGATGATATGTTAGATAATATATGTAGAGTTTATGAATGTCTCTCATAGAGCAGCAGTTGATCCATTTTTGCCATAACTATTACCGTTGGTTTTGCTGCTGCTATTATCATTAAGAATATTGTTAAAGGACAAAAATGTAGACTTAAACATGACCTTCTTTGGAACTTTAGGAATAGTACTACGGCTTAGTAATTAATAAATACCTTTACAATTAACGAAATCCTTCCAAGTTACAACTGATTATCATGTTGAATTCTAAAGAGTAGCTTATAGTTTGGTAGTATATGACTAAATGTGAAACATTTTCCAAGTTTCGAGTGGATAATGGAGAACAAAAAGATATTTAGAGTCTTGGCATTTTATTTGAAGAAATAATTAATTCAATATTCATTTAGCTATGTCCAGAATTTAAAATACGTTGATCATTCTTGGGTTTAATGAGAGCTCATTTGTCTGCAATATATTGAACTATATTATGAAGTGAAATGTCTTTAAATTTCTAATTAGATAATAGTACAGATAATTAGCCTTTATAAGCTTATATAAATATAGAATATGAATACTTGATTTTAATTCTTAAGTATTCAAATCAAATTTTAGTATATGCATAATAGTCATTTACAAATAGACATAGCATTTTTTCCATTTAAATCTTATATCTCCCCTAGTTTATGTTGTGTCTGTCCCAGTTATGTTTTACATGAGACTGCTTTCTTAAAATGTGACTATTTAAATTAATATCTAAAGGAACATGTTTTGTATGCCATTTTTGTCATTGTATAAACTTTTATACCTCTATTTCATATACTAGTGAAGATGATATTAGCTAAAGGGAGTTGGTAATTTTAAGCCTGTTTATAAATTGAAGCTCGATTCTTTAAGTATATTTTGAGATGTGATGTCTTGGTTTAAAAATAAGGGAAAATAATACAATTTTTAAAGTAATAAAATATTTTTGATGCATTTTAATTTATACTAACTTTATAACACTAATATTAATAGCTTCATGTTTGTTAGTGAGAAGTTGCTGAGTTTCTACTGTGAACAAACTACTAAAGATTAAAGGATTAAATTTAATACTATCATTTAAATCTGAATCATGTGCACTGAGTTCAGTAGTGGCAAATAAATTTGTAACATAAACAGCTGGCAACTGAAGCCTAAAAAAGGAAAAGATGAAAATCTCTACTTGAACCCTGGATGAAGACACCTATAGGGGGTTGAGGAAAATTTATTAATTAAGAAACAGGACAAATGGAAGACAAGCAAGAAAGTGTTGGTCTAGAAAAATAAGTTTTACATAGAATTGGTTAATAGTGTCAAAGAATATTAAAAGACAAATTAGAATCAAGATAGGACTTTTGGATGTTGTCAGGTACTGGCAATGATGAGACATTATATTTACGATCATTAAGTACTGGACACATAAATTGGGCTGCAGAAGATATTAGTAGAAGATCTTGTATTGCTAACACAATAATACATGACAGAAATAACAGGGATAAGATGCTTCAGGAATAAATACTGTAAAGCTTTCTCAGTAGTAGAGGTTAGCTAAATCTACAGTAATTCAAATATTTGTTTTTCTTTTGTTGGCTTGCATGTACACATGGGTTAACTTTTAAATTCCTTTAAGATTTTTATGAATTTAAATGGCCTCATATAAAAGACCCAGATATCTACAGTGTCAGGAGGCATGCTAATTGTATGGGATCACTTACCCTGAAATATGACTTTCTAGAACACTATACAAGTGAGCTGTGTAGCCATTATATGGTGTCTTTCAAAGGAGTAAAACAGATAACATGGTGACTGAATCATGCTAAAAACCTACAAATAGAAAATTTAATGAAAACTTTATTTTGATTCAGTTTGATGATTTGTCAGTGATACACATGACATTAATTTTTGTTATGTTTCTTTTAAATTAAAATTGTTCTCTCTTTCTCACGCCTGTAATCCCAGCACTTTGGGAGGCCAAGGCGGGCAGATCACGAGGTCAGGAGATGGAGACCATCCTGGATAAGACGGTGAAACCCCGTCTCTACTAAAAATACAAAAACAAAATTAGCTGGGTGTGGTGGCGGGTGCCTGTAATCCCAGCTACTCAGGAGTCTGAGGCGGGAGAATGGCGTGAACCCGGGAGGCGGAGCTTGCAGTGAGCCCAGATCTCACCACCGCACTCCAACTCCTGGGCGATGGAGCGAGACTCCGTCTCAACAACAACAAACTGCCCTCTCTTTCTATCCCTGCCTGCCATTTTCTCTTCTAAGGGTTCTTTACTTGAAGAAATGTTATCTTTTGTCTAGTAGAATGCCCTATACTCTGGTTTAATGTTTTTCCTTGTGGTGTCAGCATATTCACCTATCTCCTGGACTTACTGCAAATTGCAAGTTAAATCTAAAGTCTCTATTAGATTTTGACTTAACTTACCCTCAAGAGTACTGCACAAGAAGTACCTTGTGCTTTATACTGTATCACATCAGGAGGCTACATAGCATCTCAATCATGGCCAAGTTAGGAGTCAACCGTGGGCTCAAGCGATGACATGATAATACCATTTAAAAGTTTCCCATCATCTTCATAGTCATTGATTTTTATAGGCTGGATAGATCACTTTATTTGAGATGGCAAAATGATTATTCTATTCTATTATTTTCTACATTTATTCACTTAAGTTGCTCTGTAAGGAATCAGCTAGGTTTATAAAATAAGAGAACCAAAGCAAACACTTAAATAGGTTTCCCTTTACTTACTAATTTTATAAGTGAGAATTTAGTGGCCTAGCTCTCATTAAAAGAAATCATTGAATTTTCACATTTTCTCCAGTTTGAAGATGGTTTCAAACACACATGATCCTCAACTTATGATATGGTTAAATGTTTTGATAAACCTTTCACAAGGCAAAAATGTCTGAAGTTGAAAATGCATTTAATAACCAATAAACTCTTCATAAAGTTGAAAAATCAGAAGTTTGAAATTGTCTGTAAATGGATATATATGTGTATATGTCTGTAAATGGATATATATGTGTATATATATTTATGTAATATAAATACACATAAATATGTGTATGTATATCCACATCTATATCCATTTATATCATTATGTGTGTGTGTATATATATAGTTTGTAAATGGATATATATGTGTATGTGTATATGTATTTATACACATATATATCTCCTTACAGACAATATATACATATACATACATGTTTGTTATATACATATACATATATACATATATATTTCATATTATTGTATGGTAATACAGTAATAAAAAAATTATGGTCCAGGTGCAGTGTCTCACACCTGTAATCCCAGCACTTTGGGGGGCCGAGGCAGGTGGATCATGAGTTCAGGAGTTCAAGACCAGCCTGACCAACGTAGTGAAACCCCATCTCTACTAAAAATACAAAATAAATTATCTGGGCATGGTGGTGGGCACCTGTTGTCCCAGCTACTTGGGAGGCTGGGGCAGAAAAATTACTTGAACCTGGAGGCGGAGGTTGCAGTGAGCCGAGATCGCGCCACTGCACCCCAGCCTGGGCGACACAGCGAGACTCTGTCTCAAAATGAATAAATATATATAGCAGTACATATTTCTAGTGTGTGTGTGTGCACACGTGCGTGTGTGGTGTGTGTGTGTGTGTACACAGTCATTTTGACCTGGCAGTTTTAAGCTTTCAGGAACAAATAGATATGTGCAATATGTTCATTCCATTCTCTACCCATAATGGTTCCAAGCCAAAAATCTACAAATGAAATGATGTATTGGGTAGAATTCTGATATTTACAATAGATGAAGCAAGTGGTTCTGATTAAGTGGAATCTGTGTCCATGTGGCCTTTTGATACCCACAAAGAGCCCCAAGAATCAGAAGAGCAAGAGTTTGACATTTTACTCCCATGGCATTATTAAGAGTTTGGAAATCAGGCAGTCTCAATTGTAGACCTGGATTTCATTTTTCTTCTCCTTCTCTTCCTCTTTCTCTTTCTTCTTTGTCATCCTTGTCATCTTTTTTTACTTATTTTACTTCTGTCAGCAGTTAGTCTTGTGATCTGCAAACTTTTCAACTTCTTTTCTGGGGAGGAGTTTTATTTGTTTTTGCCTCAGATTCTTCATATACTATATGGGAATCTAGCTTGTTCATCTCTGAAGTTGATTCTATGCCTCAAATTTTGTGATTCAAAGCTTCCTGCAGGGTTTTTCTGTTCCAGATTTTTCTGTTTGCTCAAAAGCATAGGTCTCTCTGCCAGTGTTGATAAGTATAAGGAGGAGTATAATGAAGAATTACTTAATCATTATAAAGTTTCATAATGTGATACTAAATATATAACATGCTAAATTTACTTTTTTGTTATTGGGATGCATATGATGAAAGTGTGTTTTTTCCCTCTTATTAATTTTAGGAAAGAATGGAATAGACTGGTTGTAGAAATGGATGGAGCCTGGGGAGACAGTATTACAGTGGTCGCCCCTTATCTGCAATTTTGCTTTCCATGATTTCAGTTATCTTTGGTCAACCATAGCCTGAAAATATTAAAGAAATACCAGAAATAAACAATTTCTAAGTTTTAAGTTGTACCTTGTTCTGAGTATTGTTATAATTATTCTATTTTAGTATTATTTATTGTCAATCTCATAGTGTGCTTAATTTATAAATTAAGCTTTTTTGTAGTTATGTATGTATAGGGAAAAACATAGTATTAATAAATACAGGGTTCAGTACTACTCGAGGTTTTAGGCATCCACTGGGAGGTCTTACAACGTATATCCTGTGGATAGGGGAAGACTACTGTATTCAGATAATTATAGTATGTTATGACTGGATCAATAAATTTGTAATGAATTTATTTTAAGTCTTAATTAATATTTCTCAGTTAACCTGAAATATATTATTTTAGCTATATACTTGGTAAGTTGTATTTCAGGGATGTTTTTGGAGTTAGTGTGAGATTTTATAAGTTAAGAAAAATACTATGATATCATATATTTTGGGAGTAATAAATCATTCAGTATGATTTACAGCTGTAAGGGGGAATAAAAATGCATCATAAAAATACTTATATAATTAGGATGCATTTGATTTGTCTATAGAAATTGATAATTCCAATTCTATTTCAGAAAACAACTTGATATTCTTATAACTTTTTAATGTACTTTTTTGCCCATCACACAACAAATAGGTTCTTCACTGGTAAATAGGGTGGTTCATATAAAAGAAAACATTTTAAATTTTAATTTTCATATCACTGAGAAAAATATATTTTGAGGTAATGGAGAGACACAAAGACCCTCACAAATGATTATTCTGTGTGTACATGTAGATAAAAATTTATAGTACAGACTATTTTTAAGCAACTCAAAGTACAGTAATACAGTAATATAAAAATCATAGCAGCACACATTTCTAGTATTACAATAAGCTGTAATTTCCTTGCTGTGGATGCCAAGATAAATTACATTGTTATTTAATTTGTAGAAATTCTCAAATCTGTAGAGGTAGTATGTTTATAGTACTGTCTTATAATTTTAAATCCCTTATGTAAATATTGTAGTCTCATTTTCTCTTTAAAAATTTTAATCATCTGTGCACTTTTTCTGAAGCATAATAGAAATACATTTTTACAAAGATGCAAAAAAGACATTTTACATACTTACATATACATACTGTGGAATATTTGCATATAAATATATATTAGCACTTAGCATATGAATTTATATATCAATATGTAATTTCACATAAAGTTTGATATATACTTAAATAATATCAAATAAGTACTTATAAATAAAATTAATATAAATGTAAACATTCATATAAATACCATCTTTACCTCTATAGTTAACTTCTAGCTATTGCTTGCCTATGAGCACATAGACTATTGTCACATATTAATATATAGGCATATAACATGCAATGTAAGATACAATTGCAATTGCAAGATGTTTGCCTCAAAATTCAAAATTTTATATAATTAGATTCATTTAGTTTACAAGAGCATCTGAATAAAAGCACTTTTAACACTAATAATTATCATGTAATCATATTACTATTAAAGTGAGATTTATATCCATAATTTTCCTTTAGACATGGAAAGATATTTTAACTTCAAGAGATATTAGAGTTTCAATTATATACAATTACTCATTGTATTTTTGAAACGTGTGATTATTCTCATTCATATATGTTGGTTATAGATATCTAGTAGAAAATCTCCTAACATTCACTTTTTTATTTTTTAGTGAAGTAGCCTGAAAGATGTAGGCTTGGCTGAGAATGCTCTATAAAAAATGAATAGATTTGGGGCTAGAAGTCTGATGTGGGCTGTAAAGAGATTACCAGAAATGGAAACAGGATAAATCAGATGGACCAACACATTATTTGAGGAAGCTGCTATGTGAACTCCCACAAAAAATATGTCACGCTGACTTTCTCTAAAGAAGTAAGCTGGGCTTTGTGGATGACAGTTGTGGTGGGTGGAGAGAGGAAACAATTTTCAAAATATTACATATTCTAGCAATAAAATTGTTCTGCAAGTGTTAAGGAATCCTTCTGGGTATGTTAATGTGACTTGACTATAAAAAATTATGGAGCATAGGAGCACATGCAAACACACTCACATAGTCCTTCCTTTAGTGTTATTTCCTTAGAAAGATGCACGAATTAGAATTTCTGAAAACATATATTCTCTATATCTGCAGTGCCATATGAGAAAACTTTCAAAACGTTAAAAATAAAGCCATATCACTCTATCCTGGCTCCCATCTGTGTGGCTGTTTCTTCACATGTCAATAGCAGAATTGTGCTTACAATAAGCATGTACAGTATAGTAATAGGATTTGGGTGACTAAATTTACCATTTTGCTGTCATTGCCAATGCTTTTGGTTGTGAAAATTTATAAAATTGCTATGTAAGCCACGTTTAATAAGTGAGTATTTTCGGTGGTTGCAACTTGTTTAAAGAAACTTTTAACATCATGTAGAAGCATATTCTGTTACTCTGTGAATCCTACTTTAAAGTGCCACACTTTTCACCTCTTCCTCCTTAATGTGCCTCTAAGCCTTTAGTAGCCCTACTAGCGAAAAGTACTCATTGCACTCGGTATATACAGACCAAGTGGAGAAGTTGTCAAATCTTCCTTGGCTCATAAATGGGAGGCGGAATAATGTCACCAAAACTCAGAATTAAGCACAAAAACATTTTTAAAAAATGGACCTTCCCCTACCCGCCAGCATATACACTTTTATATATTTTATAATGGTCTTAATAAGAGTTGCTCTAAAGGAGAAAGCTTTATAATTTATAAATTGTGGCAGTACAGGTATACTAGATGCACCTATCTTTTAAACATTAATGAAATGGGTCATAAAAACGTATATAAGTTACACACACAAGTAGTTTAGCAACAGAGATATACTTGGTAAAATGCAGAGCAAACATACATACACATCAAAAACCACATGATTATCTCAATAGATGCAGAAAAGGCCTTTGACAAAATTCAATAACCCTTCATGCTAAAAACTCTCAATAAATTAGGTATTGATGGGACGTATCTCAAAATAATAAGAGCTATCTATGACAAACCCACAGCCAATATCATACTGAATGGGCAAAAACTGGAAGCATTCCCTTTGAAAACTGGCACAAGACAGGGATGCCCTCTCTCACCACTCCTATTCAACATAGTGTTGGAAGTTCTGGCCAGGGCAATTAGGCAGGAGAAGGAAATAAAGGGTATTCAATTAGGAAAAGAGGAAATCAAATTGTCCCTGTTTGCAGATGACATGATTGTATATCTAGAAAACCCCATTGTCTCAGCCCAAAATCTCCTTAAGCTGATAAGCAACTTCAGTAAAGTCTCAGGATACAAAATCAATGTACAAAAATCACAAGCATTCTTATACACCAATAAGAGACAAACAGAGAGCCAAATCATGAGTGAACTCCCATTCACAATTGCTTCAAAGAGAATAAAATACCTAGGAATCCACCTTAGAAGGGATGTGAAGGAACTCTTCAAGGAGAACTACAAACCACTGCTCAAGGAAATAAAAGAGGATACAAACAAATGGAAGAACATTCCATGCTCATGGGTAGGAAGAATCAATATCGTGAAAATGGCCATAGTGCCCAAGGTAATTTATAGATTCAATGCCAGCCCCATCAAGCTACCAATGACTTTCTTCACAGAATTGGAAAAAACTACTTTAAAGTTCATATGGAACCAAAAAAGAGCCTGCATCGCCAAGTCAATCCTAAGCCAAAAGAACAAAGCCAGAGGCATCACGCTACCTGATTTCAAACTATACTACAAGGCTACAGTAACCAAAACAGCATGGTACTGGTACCAAAACAGAGATATAGATCAATGGAACAGAACAGAGCCCTCAGAAATAACGCCACATATCTACAACTATCTGATCTTTGACAAACCTAAGAAAAACAAGCAATGGGGAAAGGATTCCCTATTTAATCAATGGTGCTGGGAAAACTGGCTAGCCATATGTAGAAAGCTGAAACTGGATCCCTTCCTTACACCTTATACAAAAATCAATTCAAGATGGATTAAAGACTTAAACGTTAGACCTAAAACCATAAAAACCCTAGAAGAAAACCTAGGCATTACCATTGAGGACATAGGCATGGGCAAGGACTTCATGTCTAAAACACCAAAAGCAATGGCAACAAAAGCCAAAATTGACAAATGGGATCTAATTAAACGAAAGAGCTTCTGCACAGCAAAAGAAACTACCATCAGAGTGAACAGGCAACCTACAAAATGGGAGAAAATTTTTGCAACCTACTCATCTGACAAAGGGCTAATATCCAGAATCTACAATGAACTCAAACAAATTTACAAGAAAAAAAAAAAACAACCACATGAAAACGTGGGTGAAGGACATGAACAGACACTTCGCAAAAGAAGACATTTATGCAGCCAAAAAACACATGAAAAAATGCTCACCATCACTGGCCATCAGAGAAATGCAAATCAAAACCACAATGAGATATCGTCTCACACCAGGTAGAATGGCAATCATTAAAAAGTCAGGAAACAACAGGTGCTGGAGAGGATGTGGAGAAATAGGAACACTTTTACACTGTTGGGGGGTTGTAAACTAGTTCAACCATTGTGGAAGTCAGTGTGGCCACTCCTCAGGGATCTAGAACTAGAAATACCGTTTGACCCAGCCATCCCATTATTGGGTATATGCCCAAAGGACTATAAATCATGCTGCTATAAAGACACATGCACATGTATGTTTATTGTGGCATTATTCACAATAGCAAAGACTTGGAACCAACCCAAATGTCCAACAATGATAGACTGGATTAAGAAAATGTGGCACATATACACCATGGAATACTATGCAGCCATAAAAAATGATGAGTTCATGTCCTTTGTAGGGACAAGGATGAAATTGGAAATCATCATTCTCAGTAAACTATCACAAGAACAAAAAACCAAACACCGCATATTCTCACTCATAGGTGGGAATTGAATAATTAGAACACATGGACACATGAAGGGGGACATCACACTCTGGGGACTGTTGTGGGGTGGGGGGAGGGGAGAGGGATAGCATTGGGAGATATACCTAATACTAGATGACGAGTTAGTGGGTGCAGCGCACCAGCATGTCACATGTATACATATGTAACTAACCTGCACATTGTGCACATGTACCGTAAAACTTAAAGTATAATAATAATTAAAAAGAAGACAAATATGGCATAATGATGCTTAAATGAGGGACCTAAGATAATCTTATTTATAGAGAAAGTAGAGTGGTGGTTTCCATGGATTTACAGAGGAAAGAATGCGTTATTGTTTAATGGGTATGAAGTTTCAGTTGGGAAGCTGAAAAACAGTTCTAAAGATGAATGGTGGTGATGATTGTCCAACAATATTGGGCAATCATACTTAATACCACTGAAGTGTGCACTTAAAATGATTAAAATGATAATTTTTATGTTATGTATATTTTACTAAAATAAAAAATTATGTCCAAAAGTAAATATTAAATCATTACTAATCTTTGCTGAAAGAAAATGAAGAGGTAAAAAATTCTAAGTATTTTCTTAAGTGTAAGGCAAATTATTGTTAAAATCAAAGCACTGAACATACATGCTGTTATTCTGTATGACATAGTAAATGCTCTGTAAAATGTGGGTTTTTTTTACGAGATACCTGCTGTTATTTTTTATTATCCTTTCATCTAAAAATAATGACCTTAAAAAGTGAGTTCTTTGGGTTACGAATGCAGATGTCTAAACACAGAAAACAAGTTTATTGTTTCTTTTAACAAAAAGGATTATATATTATAGAGTAATCCGAAAACAAAGGTTAAAGAGAAGAATAAAAGGCATAAATTTCACCGGCATCAACACTGTTAGGAATACATCCCTCCCTTGAGTTCATGTCCTTTGTAGGGACATAGATGAAGCTGGAAACCATCATTCTGAGCAAACTAGCTCAAGGATAGAAAAACCAAACACCGCATGTTCTCACTCATAGGTGGGAATTGAACAATGAGAACACTTGGACACAGGGCAGGGAACATCACACACCGGGGTCTGTCGTGGGGTGGGGGGAGGGGGGAGGGGGGAAGGATAGCATTAGGAAAAATACCTAATGTAAATAATGAGTTAATGGGTGCAGCAAACCAACATGGCACATGTATACATATGTAACAAACCTGCACATTTTGCACATGTATCCTAGAACTTAAAGTATAATAAAATAAAAAGAATATATCCCTCCTTCTCATCTCTCTCTGTCTATTCCTCTCTGTATATATGTGTTTATATGTACCTCATAGATACACCTTTTATGTAACCACAAAAAATACAAAATATATATGTTCACATTTGTACATATATAACATATGTATAAACACAAAGAATTTCATATATATATAGAGAGAGAGAGAGAGGAAAAAAAAAAATCAGTATTGCAAGATGAAAAGAGTTCTGGCTGGGCTCAGTGGCTCCCATCTGTAATTCCAGCACTTTGGGAGGCCAAGGCAGATGGATCACTTGAGGTCAGGAGTTCGAGTCCAGACTGACCAACATAGTGAAGCCCTGTCTCTCTCTACTCAAAAAAAAAAAAAAAAAAAAAAAAAAAATTAGCTGGGCGTGCTGGTGTGTGCCTGAAGTCCCACTCCTCGGGAGGCTGAGGCAGGAGAATCTCTTGAACCCAGGAGGCGGAGGCTGCAGTGAGCAGAGACTGTGCCACTGCACTCCAGTCTAGGCAATAGAGTGAGACTCCCTCTCAAAAAAAAAAAAAAAAAAAAAAAAAAAAGGCCGGGCGCGGTGGCTCATGCCTGTAATACCAGCACTTTGGGAAGCCTAGGAGGGCTGATCACCTGAGGTCGGGAGTTCGAGACCAGCGTGACCAACATGGAGAAACCACATCTCTACTAAAAACAGCAAAAAAAAAAAAAAAAAAAAAAAATTAGCTGGGCGTGGTGGCACATGCCTGTAATCCCAGCTACTCAGGAGGCTGAGGCAGGAGAATTGCTTGAATCTGGGAGGTGGAGGTTGCGGTGAGCCGAAATCGCGCCATTGCACTCCAGCCTGGGCAACAAGAGCGAAATTCCGTCTCAAAAAAAAAAAAAAAAGGAAAAAAAAAGAGTTCTGGTGATTGGTTGCATAACAATGTGAATGTATTTGACACTACTGAAGGGTACACTTAACAACTGTTAAGATAGTAAATTTTATATTACACATATTTTATCATAATTTAAAATTTCAAAAAGCACATAATAAATATTTTTAAAAGATGCTGTCAACAGAAGATCAGTTTCAAAAATTATTGAGAAAAGTATTTGTGAATATATTACAAAATAAAAAATCAATGATAAATCTCGGAATTCCTATTAATATTACAAATTTCAATATAGAAATTAAAAAATTAGTTATTTCCTAAAGATAAATTTTATTATTTGTAAAGTCTATGTAATTATACCAAGCAAAAATAGTTATATAAAAGTTTTTCATTAGTTTCACTCAAGATAATTTTTGATAATATATTATAAATTAGCAGTATTTCATGTTACACATCATAGCATAGACTAAAGAGCATAAACACAAATTCAAGCAAGCTGAATTATTAATACTTAAAAGATCCCATTAATAGATCCAACTATAGAAACCTCACAAGCAGCTTATGGCATAAAAGTATGTGAGGATCTTGTTTCTTTAAAGATGTGAAACCTGACATTTAAAAAGTGCAATATGATTAGCAAACTATGTTAGGCTCTTCTAAAGTAAATAAACTTCTTATTTATCCTTAATAGTCAAACCCAAAAGATTAGAGCTCCAGAGCAGTTATCTATTCATGAATGATATTTCCATGAAAATAGAGTACTTATAAATGACTTGGGAAAATGTAATGCTAATCCTATTAGAACTGACATCTTTGATTCAAGAAAGTGGTATTTATAAACAATAAAATATTATCCCAGCACGTATTATTTTTAAAAATTATTAAACCACTTAAATGTATTTTCTAATTAATGTTAAGTCATTTATGAGGTAGGTAAACACAATTTAATAGATCACTTGAACTGCATCACTAAAAAGATACTCCTTTTGCAGGTAAAACAGGCTATGGAAGCACCACTTTAAAAAAATTATACACACACACATACATGCCATATATTTTATAATTTTATATATTATATATAATATACGTATATATAATAAAATATAATAAAAAGATACCAAGATCATGATCAAGGCCAAAAGACACACTTGAAATAATTTCCCATAATTATACAGAGGGCAGGAAGTCTTAGGAATATGCAAAGGTTTTTGTTCATGACACAGAGTGGGAACAAATCCTTTAAATTATATACCACTAGTAATACTGAATCTTATACTCGTGAGAAAGACAAATATGATAATCACAAAAACAATATATTCTACTGTTTGATAGAAAAAATAAGACCCAGTATTCAATAGAACAGTAGGGTTACTATAGTTTAGTATAATTTATTTATTGTATGTTTCATAAAGCTAGAAGAGAGTAACTTGAATGTTTCTAGCTTAAAGAAAAGACAAATATTTAAGATAATGAATATCCCAATTATGCTGATCTGATCTTTACAAATTATAGGAAAGTATTAAATTATCACATATACCCTCAAAATATGTACATCTCTTACATATCAATAAAAACTGAAATTAATTTAAAAGCAAACAATATATTCTTCCCTACTGCTAAATTATTGAGTGGAGAGCTTGTAGTAAACAATTTCAAAGTATTTTCCTTTTTTTCTTGCATATCTTTAGGCTTCAGTAGAATACAGAACATACATCTTTGAGGGGATGTTTGAAAATCATATACATTCAAATTTGTGAAAGAAACTTGAAGATTATATACATCAACCCCTATTTTTTTAATTGACTGATTTGCTGTCTTGCCCAAAGTCAGTGCCAGAAGATTTAGAACCAATATTTTTAATTTAGTAGTAACTTAATCATAGTGTATTATGCATTTATCTTCAGAAAAACCTGGGAATATTAATGTCTTCATAATCTTATTCACCACACACAAATTTTAATAATTACATTAAATCGCTGTATTAGTCATTCCAGGTAATAAAAAAATGAAGAAAAATAGTAACTATTCCTATGTTTCAAAAATTCAGTGGAAAACATAAAATCAGTCAAATGTGAAAGAAATTGAATGTAAGGCAAAATATGAGATGACATAGAGAGTTATAAACAAAGTTCAAGTGAGAATGCAAAGCAGGTATTTGGTAGTCATTAAATATATTGTGGAGCAGAAAATTTGATAAGAAAATAAAATTACTTCATAAAGATAGCTGGTCATACATATCCTACTTAAAGAGCAAGGAAGGTCAAACCTATTCTTCATCATCAGTGAAGTAAATATGCATTGTGTATTAGGGAAAGTCTCATTCAATTCCTTGAAAATAGACATGTAAAACACACAAGGGAAACAGAAACTATTAAAATGCTTCAACTTCGTCATATTTTCAAAATTCAGCAGGCTATGAACAATATAAGGCCTTTAGAAAGTCATCCAAAATTACCCAAATGTGAAATGCTAATTTCTAAATTACACAAATAAATACACCAATGATACCAGAAAACTTTGTGGAGTTTGCAAATTATTCGCTTTAAAGCATGTAGCTGGTTTAATGAAATATGTCAAATCTCAGATCACCAAATCAATTTCAAAAGATATGGAGAAAAACAGGGTGATTATCATACACATAGTTTATCCTCTTTGGTCAGGCTTTACACACCATCAGTCCTTCAGGACTATGCGTTTTGACTGTGAACACACTACTACCAAGTCATGAATCTAAATGTTTTAATATGTTTATGGGAAGTTTTAACTATTACTTCAATTATTTAAAATTAAAATTTGCTGGCAAAGACAGAAACCCTATGAATTAGTTGAAATTTTCCAAAAGATTCTATTTAGTAATATGATCTCAGGGATAAATAACATGATTAAATAAATAAATAAATGTAGCAACACTCATAGCAAGAAAACAGAAAATATTAACTCCTTCATGTAAGCAGAACACTGCTTCTCTGAAAACTCCAGCTCCAATTACAATAAATCCATCTCCCACCATCAACTATCCATTTACATAATCATTTAAATCTGTTACACAAGTACAGTGGTGTCAGAATTGTAAACAAATATCTCCTATAGAAAAAAACTTATTCAAAAGCTACCTTGTAGAAATGTACAGCATATGTATGTTGTTTAATTAATCTCAAACACACAGAAAAAAAATGGTATTAGAACTACCAAATTGTTTACATAATGTTATTGAAGCAGATGGCAAATTATGGTAAGCAGATCTTGGCTGTGATTCTCGGCATTCCCTTCCTTCCAGGTTTCAGGATGGCAATTTTGTCTGAAACTCAGTTATCCAATGGGTCAAATAAAATTTCTTTATTTTCAGGGTTTTTTTAGTTATTGTTATTTTTGTTGTAAAGACAGGAGTGACAATTATTAAGCTCTTTGTATATATTAGAGCTGAAACCAAAAGTCCTTTCTATTTTCTTTAAACTACAAGTCATTAAATTTCACATTTCAAATTTTAGAATGGTTGCTAGAATGCAACATCAGAATAAGATCGCTCTACTAAGATTTTGAAGAGCATGATGGAATATAAACAAGTGGATCATAAGAGGCTAAATGATAATGAAAAATAAGAGATAACAGACAAATTTTAGAATGTGGTTTAAATTTATACAAAAACTTATATGTGATGATTTGTCTATGCATTGTACTTATGATTTCTTAATGATAAACTCTTATTTCTGCTGTTTTATTTCTTCATATTAAGATAAATAATAGCCTATAGACAAAGATGAACATGAGTCTGTTAAGTGATTTTGGGGAATTTCCTTCATTTTTATACCGATCTTATTAAAATCTTCATTTATATATGTAATCCTACATATATACTATAAATATCTGCTAAACAAATTACATCAGATGCAAAAAAATCATGATTTTTTTTAAAAATACAGATAGAACTTCTAGATATGCATGTTCTCCACACTTAACTTCTAATCAAACCTTAGGAGGCAAAAGCACATACAGTATCAGACAGCAACACCAGCATAATACACTGTACGTGGTAAGTACATAGTATCCTAACGTACAGTTCTCTAAGATCCTAATTTCAGTTATCACCCTTATTACCAACTGTAAGAAGGGCACACCAAAGGCGCTCAAGAAATAAGATATCACTAAAATAAATTTCTTATGTCAATAATTTCCATTTAATGTAATAGATTATAATATGTCATATGACAAATATTAAAATATATTTTGAGTGACAACAACTATATTCCATGTATTGGGTTATGCAGAGATTGCAAGATGAAATAAGACAGAAATGGTGCCTGTTCGTGCAAAGCTTACCATTCAGTGTACACAAATGCTCTCATCAAATATTGCCCTGTTCTAATTACAGCAGTTTTTTCTTTTTGATGTATTTATGGAATTGAGTCATTCTGGGGAAGAAACGTGAGGATGAACATGTATCAACACTGACTGTATAGTCCACCTTTCTGTGAATGCGCATAAAGACTTTGGAGCAAGATACTTCATTCTTGAATGGCAAGGCAGAATGTAACAGAAGTCGTTATAGATATAAATAACCAAGCAATTTTGTTTCACAGTTAAAAAGATAATGTGCTAGTTAATAAGGATTCCCCTTGCCTAGCCCCCAAATAAAAAAGAAAATTCACTATAACATCAAAAGCAATTCTATTCTGTTTTTTTTTTTGTTTTTTTTTTTTTTGTCTTATTGCGTTCTACACATTAAAGGAATTTTGTGCGAATAGTCTGCTGGTGGCCTCCCAAGGCTTAAGTGGAATGTTGGGCCTAGTGCCTTGAAATAGCCATATTTTTGGAGAATGAAACTAAGAAGTAATTGCCAATGACAGCATTTAGTGGAATAATAGATTTGCACTAAAGAAAAAGAGAATTCCAACAGAACAAAATGAGAAGACTGGATTAAGATGTAAAGAGTTTCCAAGTGGAGAGAAATGCTAGCCTGCAGCAATTTCTTCTTATACTCTTGCCTGCCACCTCTACCTTGAATGTAGTTGAAAAGGAGTAAACATAAACTAATCCTCACGCATTTTTCCATACTCATCCTGAAGCAGCTGCATAATAATCTTTAAATCCTTGACATTACTTGATTACGCAGTTTAATTAGCACACCACTTATCACTGAATATTAGAGGTTTTTCATCTCACATCTCATACCACTTTTAAAAATCACATCTCTGAAGGCCAAAAGTTTTAATAACAATTAATTAAGCATAATGCTCACTTACATTGAGAAATATCAAGTCTTTATTTTTAAAAGTGTATTAAGTTTTTTAAAATATATTTTCACTGGAATCCTTGTTCAAAATTTGACACTGTGATGCTCATAAAAAAGACATTTGTTCAAGGTAAAAATAAAACTACCATATAATCCAGCAATCCCACTACTAAGTATGTATCCAAAGGTAAGGAAATTAGTATTTTGGAGGTATATCTGCCCTCCCATGTTTATCACAGCACTATTCACAATAGCCAAGGTAGGGAATCAACCAATGTGTCCATCATCAGACAAATGGATAAAGCAAACTTGCTGTATATGCATAATGGAATATCATTTAGCCTTAACAAAGAATGAAATGCTGTCATGGGGAAATAATGTTAAGTGAAATAAATCAGGCACAGAAAGATGCATATTATATGTTCTCATTCATATGTGGAGGCTAAAAAAGTTGATCTCATAGAAGTAGAGAGCAGAATAGTGATTACTAGAGGCTAGGAAGGGTAGGGGGACAGGGAGAGGTTGGTTAATGTATGCAATATTACAGCTAGATAGGAGGAATGAGCTCTGGTGTTCTATAGCGCTGTGGGGTAACTATAGTAAACAATAATTTATTTTAATTTTTCAAACAATTAGAAGAGTGGCTTTTCAATGTTACCCAACACAAGAGTTGGAGATGATGGGTATGCTAGTAACTCTGACTGGAACATGATTTCTAATTATGTTTTTTACTATCATGCCTGTAGCCACATTGAAGGGGTTTACTTACACATGCGAATAAAGCTAATTCTGAGTGTGTTACTTCAGCGATGCATTGTGAGTTGCTTTATTACAGTGAATTGAACTGTTTACCAATCAGCGAATTTTCCAGGCAAGTGTTTAGGACATATTTTAAAGGATGATTCTTAGAATTGTGTTTATAGCCTTTTTGTGAGGAGTTTTCATATATACTTTGTAAAGCTAAATCTCAGCATGTTCCTTCAGAGATGTATTATGAGGTGCTTTATTACAGTGAAGTGAAATGTTTACCCATAGTCAACTCTGTAATCAAGTGTTTAGGAATGCTTTTTAACAAAGTTATTTCATTACACATTGTATATATGCCTCAAAATATCACACTGTACTCCATAAATACGTACAATTACTATGTGTCATTTAAACATGTATATTTTAAAAAGTTTTTTTGATAAAATATATTTGAGCATATCAAGTTTAGTTTTATAAGATTATAACTTTATGTGAAAATTTTTCACAGCTCACAGGATTATGAAATTTCTTAAGTTTTAAGGTTACATTCTAGATAATAATTATAATTTTACTAAGTAATATATTTTAGTTATTAAAAGCTTGTGTTATACAGAATTGTATATTACTTGCATGAACGATAGTAACTATAAATATGTCTATGCAGTTGGGTATGCACATACCCCTCACATATGTATCAAATACACATACATATACATATGTGTAGGGACTATCAAATACACATACATATGCATATGTGTAGACATGTACATATACACATACATAATTATGTAATCAATTGAAATCAGCCTTTGACTTTAGTATTCATCCCTGACTATGTTTTTAATGAATTCTAAAGAAATTCTGTTTTCTAAGTGGGTAAATGTTCTGTTTTTTAAGTGGGTAAATATTTTTAAGTGTTTTTGTGTTCTCATAAACATCAGATTAATACCGAAAATTATTCTTATCTTCCATACTCCAGGTTTCTTAAAGGAACCTTCCTCAGAGACTATGTTACTTTTTCATCATTAATTTGAACCTGTATTTTAATCATTATACTCATGTCAAACCAATCTTTCTGTTTGTTTTTTTAGTTGTTGAGTTTATTTTAATAATTTGAGATTGGTTTATTAAATACATAATTAAACTAAAGAACCAAAATATCACTCTATGAAGAGAACAAAATTTGGCTCATATAGTTCATTAGTGGTAAAATATCTTCAAATTGGTTTGGAATTTTTTAGTAGAAACATATATGGATATTTTACACAAATAATTTTGGGTATGTTTGCTTATTTTGCCACTGTTTACATGTAAACAGTATATAAAATGTCCTTTTGATTTAGGAAATTCTAATATTAGATACTACAGAATTTAAATTTCTCTTTTTTTTTTCTATTGATTATTTTTCCACTAGACTCCTTTGTTTGAACTTGTGGACCTATCCAATTTTCAGCTGTACTTGATACAATTCCCAAACCCTGAAAAATTATTTTCCAGTTTCATGTCATCATGTGATATCAACTCAAAAAGTGTTAATATTTAACCTTACTTAAATTTTTGCATTGATTTCTAATTTCTTTGACTAACGTTTATAAAAATAGCATCAACTAGTGTAAGGTATTTTTATTACCTACCAACCAATCAACATACAAAAATTCAAAATCACTCTGAATGTGTTAGAAAAGAAACTGAAAGCTCCTTGAGGGAAATATAATAATACTGAGTTATTTATTAAATTATTGGGTGCTAACATTATGGTAGCCAGGTACTAAGTCCTTTAAATATCTTTTCTGTTTCCTACAAAAATGTGAGATTAATTTACAATCATCATTATGCAGGAGAAAAATGAGGTTTAAATAAATTAAGTAACTTGGCTGAGATCTCATGCTGATAATCCACAGTGTTAAGAACTGAACGAGCTCTGTTAAACTTTGAAGTCTATATTTTTAGCCAACATGTTACACTACTTCTCTAAGTCTGTTTCTTTCATTTCTATGGTCATTGTAACTTAGAAGCAGTAAGTACTCACAGAATGCTTATTACATGTTGAGAAACTTGATTCCTAACATTTTCTTTTTTTTATTATTATTATTGTTATTATACTTTAAGTTTTAGGGTACCTGTGCACAATGTGCAGGTTAGTTACATATGTATACATGTGCCATCCTGGTGTGCTGCACCCATTAACTCGTCATTTAGCATTAGGTATATCTCCTAATGCTATCCCTCCCCTCTACCCCCACCCCACAACAGTCCCCGGAGTGTGATGTTCCCCTTCCTGTGTCCATGTGTTCTCATTATTCAATTCCCATCTAAGAGTGAGAACATGCGGTGTTTGGTTTTTTGTCCTTGAGATACTTTACTGAGAATGATGATTTCCAATTTCATCCATGTCCCTACAAAGGACATGAACTCATCATTTTTTATGGCTGCTTAGTATTCCATGGTGTATATGTGCCATATTTTCTTAATCCAGTCTATCATTGTTGGACATTTGGGTTGGTTCCAAGTCTTTGCTATTGTGAATAGTGCCGCAATAAACATACATGTGCATGTGTCTTTATAGCAGCATGATTTATAGTCCTTTGGGTATATACCCAGTAATGGGATGGCTGGGTCAAATGGTATTTCTAGTTCTAGATCCCTGAGGAATCGCCACACTGACTTCCACAATGGTTGAACTAGTTTACAGTCCCACCAACAGTGGAAAAGTGTTCCTATTTCTCCACATCCTCTCCAGCACCTGTTGTTTCCTGACTTTTTAATGATCGCCATTCTACCTGGTGTGAGATGGTATCTCATTATGGTTTTCATTTGCATTTCTCTGATGGCCAGTGATGATCAGCATTTTTTCATGTGTTTTTTGGCTGCATAAATGTCTTCTTTTGAGAAGTGTCTGTTCATACCCTTTGCCCACTTTTTGATGGGGTTGTTTGTTTTTTTCTTGTAAATTTGTTTGAGTTCATTGTAGATTCTGGATATTAGCCCTTTGTCAGATGAGTAGGTTGCAAAAATTTTCTCCCATTTTGTATGTTGCCTGTTCACTCTGATGGTAGTTTCTTTTGCTGTGCAGAAGCTCTTTCGTTTAATTAGATCCCATTTGTCAATTTTGGCTTTTGTTGCCATTGCTTTTGGTGTTTTAGACATGAAGTCCTTGCCCATGCCTATGTCCTCAATGGTAATGCCTAGGTTTTCTTCTAGGGTTTTTATGGTTTTAGGTCTAACGTTTAAGTCTTTAATCCATCTTGAATTGATTTTTGTATAAGGTGTAAGGAAGGGATCCAGTTTCAGCTTTCTACATATGGCTAGCCAGTTTTCCCAGCACCATTTATTAAATAGGGAATCCTTTCCCCATTGCTTGTTTTTCTCAGGTTTGTCAAAGATCAGATAGCTGTAGATATGTGGCGTTATTTCTGAGGGCTCTATTCTGTTCCATTGATCTAATCTCTGTTTCGGTACCAGTACCATGTTGTTTTGGTTACTGTAGCCTTGTAGTATAGTTTGAAATCAGGTAGCGTGATGCCTCTGGCTTTGTTCTTTTGGCTTAGGATTGACTTGGCGATGCAGGCTCTTTTTTGGTTCCATATGAACTTTAAAGTAGTTTTTTCCAATTCTGTGAAGAAAGTCATTGGTAGCTTGATGGGGCTGGCATTGAATCTATAAATTACCTTGGGCACTATGGCCATTTTCACGATATTGATTCTTCCTACCCATGAGCATGGAATGTTCTTCCATTTGTTTGTATCCTCTTTTATTTCCTTGAGCAGTGGTTTGTAGTTCTCCTTGAAGAGTTCCTTCACATCCCTTCTAAGGTGGATTCCTAGGTATTTTATTCTCTTTGAAGCAATTGTGAATGGGAGTTCACTCATGATTTGGCTCTCTGTTTGTCTCTTATTGGTGTATAAGAATGCTTGTGATTTTTGTACATTGATTTTGTATCCTGAGACTTTACTGAAGTTGCTTATCAGCTTAAGGAGATTTTGGGCTGAGACAATGGGGTTTTCTAGATATACAATCATGTCATCTGCAAACAGGGACAATTTGATTTCCTCTTTTCCTAATTGAATACCCTTTATTTCCTTCTCCTGCCTAATTGCCCTGGCCAGAACTTCCAACACTATGTTGAATAGGAGTGGTGAGAGAGGGCATCCCTGTCTTGTGCCAGTTTTCAAAGGGAATGCTTCCAGTTTTTGCCCATTCAGTATGATATTGGCTGTGGGTTTGTCATAGATAGCTCTTATTATTTTGAGATACGTCCCATCAATACCTAATTTATTGAGAGTTTTTAGCATGAAGGGTTGTTGAATTTTGTCAAAGGCCTTTTCTGCATCTATTGAGATAATCATGTGGTTTTTGTCTTTGGTTCTGTTTATATGCTGGATTACATTTATTGATTTTCATATATTGAACCAGCCTTGCATCCCAGGGATGAAGCCCACTTGATCATGGTGGATAAGCTTTTTGATGTGCTGCTGGATTCGGTTTGCCAGTATTTTATTGATGATTTTTGCATCAATGTTCATCAAGGATATTGGTCTAAAATTCTCTTTTTTGGTTGTGTCTCTGCCCAGCTTTGGTATCAGGATGATGCTGGCCTCATAAAATGAGTTAGGGAGGATTCCCTCTTTTTCTATTGATTGGAATAGTTTCAGAAGGAATGGTACCAGCTCCTCCTTGTACCTCTGGTAGAATTTGGCTGTGAATCCATCTGGTCCTGGACTCTTTTTGGTTGGTAAGCTATTGATTATTGCCACAATTTCAGATCCTGTTATTGGTCTATTCAGAGATTCAACTTCTTCCTGGTTTAGTCTTCGGAGAGTGTATGTGTCGAGGAATTTATCCATTTCTTCTAGATTTTCTAGTTTATTTTCGTAGAGGTGTTTGTAGTATTCTCTGATGGTAGTTTGTAATTCTGTGGGATTGGTGGTGATATCCCCTTTATCATTTTTTATTGAGTCTATTTGATTCTTCTCTCTTTTTTTCTTTATTAGTCTTGCTAGCGGTCTATCAATTTTGTTGATCCTTTCAAAAAACCAGCTCCTGGATTCATTAATTTTTTGAAGGGTTTTTGTGTCTCTATTTCCTTCAGTTCTGCTCTGATTTTAGTTATTTCTTGCCTTCTGCTACCTTTTGAATGTGTTTGCTCTTGCTTTTCTAGTTCTTTTAATTGTGATGTTAGGGTGTCAATTTTGGATCTTTCCTGCTTTCTCTTGTGGGCATTTAGTGCTATAAATTTCCCTCTACACACTGCTTTGAATGTGTCCCAGAGATTCTGGTATGTTTGTCTTTGTTCTCATTGGTTTCAAAGAACATCTTTATTTCTGCCTTCATTTCGTTATGTACCCAGTAGTCATTCAGGAGCAGGTTGTTCAGTTTCCATGTAGTTGAGCAGTTTTGAGTGAGTTTCTTAATCCTGAGTTCTAGTTTGATTGCACTGTGGTCTGACAGATAGTTTGTTATAATTTCTGTTCTTTTACATTTGCTGAGGAGAGCTTTACTTCCAAGTATGTGGTCAATTTTGGAATAGGTGTGGTGTGGTGCTGAAAAAAATGTATATTCTGTTGATTTGGGGTGGAGAGTTCTGTAGATGTCTATTAGGTCCACTTGGCATATTTATCTTTTTGTGACTGGCCTATTTCACTTAGCATAATGGTCTTCAAGAACAATCTGTGTTGTAGGAAGTGTCAGGAATTTCTTTCTTTTTTAATGTTGAATAACATTCCATTGCACATATATGCCACCATTTGTTATTTGATGGGCATTTGTGTTGCTTGCACCTTTTGGCTATTGTGAATAATCCAGCTATGAAAATGGGTACACAAATATCTGTTTGATTCTCATTCTGTTGCATTTCTTTCCTTGGGGTATATACCCAAAAGTGGAATTTCTGAATCATATGTTGACTTTATTTTTAATATTTTGTGGAACTGCCATAACATTTTTTCATAGCATGTGTAATATTTAGCATTCCCAGCAACACTACACAAGGATTCAAAACTCTCCACATTTTTGCCAACACTTGCTATGTTTTGCTAATCTGATTGTACTCATCCTAATACATATGCAGTAACATCTCAATGTGGTTTTGATTTTCATTTCCGCAATAATTAGTAATAGAGAGTATATTTTAATGTGCTTATTAGCCATTTGTGTATCTGTCTGAAGAAATATCCAAAGACCTTTGCCCATTTCTTAATCTGGTTGTTTTGTTTCTGGCGTTGAGTTCATATATTCTGAATATTAACCTCTTATCAGAGACATGATGGCATATGTTTTCTCCTATTCTGAGTTGCCTTTTTTACTGTGTTGATTGTGTCTTTAGGTGCAAAGAAGTTTTTAATTTTGATGTAATTCAATATATCTTTTTTTCTTGAATATAATTTTGGTGTCATATCCAAGAAATCATTGTCAAATCAAATTTCAGGAAAAGTGTTTCCTGTTTTCCTCTAAGAGTTTTATAGTTGTAGCTGTTACATTGCGGTCTTTGATGCATTTTGAGTTAACTTTTATATATGATATGATGTCCAACTTTGTTCTTTCAGATGCAAATATCCAGTACTCCCAATACCATTTTTGAAAAGACTGTCCTTTTTTGGTTGAAGTCTTGGTATTCTTGTTGAAAATCATTTGACCATATACAAATTACCCCTGACTTACAATATTCAGACTTACAATTTTGTGACTCTGTGAAGGTACAAAATCAATATGCATTCAAGAGGAACTGTACTTTGAGTTCCCAACTACTGGTTTTTCAATTTCAGTATAGTGTTCAATAAATTACGTGAGATACTAAACACTTTATTATAAAATAGGCTTTGAGTTAGATGATTTTGTTTAACTCTACGCTAATGTAAGTGTCCCGAGCATTGGGGTTTTGATAAGTGTTCTGAGCATGTTATGGTAGGCTAAGCTGCAATGTTCAATAAGGTAGGTATATTAAATGCATTTTTGACTTACAGTATTTTCAACTTAACAATAGATTTATTGAGATGTAACCCCATCATAAGTTGAGGAGTATCAGTATGCAAGTGTTTTGGGTGGGGGGGCTCTCTATTCTATCCTATTGTTTTACATGTCAGTATTTATGCCAGTATCACACAGTTTTGATTGCTGTAGAATTGTATTAATGTTTTAAATGAGGAAGTGTGACATCTCCAACTTTGAATTTGTTTTCCAAGATTGTTTCAGCTATTTGAGATCCCTTAAGAATCTGTATGGATTTTTTTTTTATATTTCTGCAGAAAACACCAGTGGTATTTTGATAGTGGTGCATTGAATCTGTGGATTGCTTTGTTTAGTACTAACATCTTAACAACATTAAGTTTTGGAATCCATGTACGTGGGTTATCTTTCCATGTACTGTGTCTTTTTAAAATTATTTCGGTAATGTTTTATAGCTTTCAGCATACAAGTCTTTCAACTCCTTGATTAAGTATATTCTTATATTTAATGTAAGTCTATACTCCTCTTCATGCAATGCTTTCAGTTTACAAAGATGTTCTACATAAACTACCTTTATTAAAACTGTCGTAAATATTTCGTATCTTCTAGACTTACATCAATTTTATTTATGAGCAGGATGCCATGTCGATGTTTGTCTTATTATTCCTTAATTTGGCAACGTTGCAATTCCTCCTCATGTAGTCAAGTCAGTCTCCCCAATAATTTTTAAAGACAATGTTATTAAAAATAAAGAAATGTATACATGATGAAGTGATTTTGTTACAAAGCAAGCCAAATTTTTGTACTGCTACAGCTACTATAAAATCACCCCAAGAGTAAATAATTTTCTAAAATTATATATAATGAATAAATAAGTAAATTTTATTTATTATTGCTATTTAAATTGAGTGATAAAATTAATTGTGTTGTACTATTAAGACTTTCAATATTTTAGTTGAAACTGCAATTTGAAAAAGTATTTTACAAAAGAACTTGCAGAGATCTGTGAGTTTAGTAATAACAGAACATAAATATATTTTAATATATATATGTATATTATATGTAGACCTATACCACAACTACACAATGAAAATGAAATGCAATCCCTTTTTACAACTTAGGTCTTGCATGAAGTTAATTGAAGATAATATGAAATGGGAATGTACATTAATTGACGAAATATTTGAAGTGTTTTTCTAAAAGTTAGTAAGATAGTTTTATGATCTTTTGGGGAAAAAATAGTACATAGTTGGAGTAAAGAAAGAAGGAAGCAGAATGAAAACAACATTCTATAAATTTATGGTAAAATTTAATAATGTGGCTTACTAGTTTTCTTATGAAGTATCAATTTAAAAAGTTATACAGTCAGATCTTGCAGATCATTTTAAGGATTGGGAACATTAATTTCCAGGTGATAATGAGTAAATAAACTGTTGTGAGCAAGAGCATGATTATGCATATTTTAGAGAGAGAACTGGCAGCTATGTTAGAATTGATGGAGAAAATGACTCAAAATAGAAAGATGAAATAAAAGATTCTGGCCATCATATAAGTAAGAGATGATGAAAGCTAGAAATAATGAGAGAAATAGTATAACTACTAGGCATCTGGCTTGGCTAACTAGGTATGTGGTGATGCTTTTTAACTGGAGCATGGCATAAAAATTGATCTTTCTAAAATTCTCTATTTAAGAGCTCTCAGTGATTTCCAATTCAAAGATAAAGCCCAATCTCATTAAGAAAGTATAAAAGACTCATTTTCTCCCCAGACTCTTCTCTTTCCATGTCCTTCATACCTCACTCTGCAACCAAGCCATACTGAGCTGCTTTCACTTATGCAAATGTAATACGTATATTTCCCTTGGGATTTTGTTCCCACTGCCTAGAAATATTTCTCATCCTTTTAACTAAGGCTTACTTGGTCTATTTTAAAAAGTTACTTCCTACAAAAACAATTTTTTATGCTCCAAGAATAGTTTACCTATCACTCTAATGTAATTGCATGTGGTCCTGAATTCACCAATGGGTAATCATCATTGCAATATAGTGTTAGTAAAATTGGTAGATTCTAGGTGGAGATAGACATCTGAGACATCAAAAAAAAAAAAAAAAACTCATTACTGCTGTAGTTACTTATTATGTTAATTGAGGTACTCAATGCACATTAGTGCAATGCAGTTAGATATTCAGTCAACTGTCAATTATTAAATAGACTTTTATCTTTTTACATTTTTGTTTTTAATATCATAGGCGCTGAACACCATGGACATTTTAGAAATAGCATTTGAGGCCAATAAATAGTTTTGCTTGCTTGCTTCCTTTCTTTCTTTAATGGTCTTTTAAAATATGCTGGATAATTTTAGTTTCCAACTGAAATACTGAAGCTGCTTCTTTCCAATCTCCTTGTGTTTATTCAGAAATAGCTACAGTGATGCTACTTCTCAAGAGGTAGAAGGATTGGAGGCATCTTGCTGTGGCGTTTCGTTTTGTTTCTCCATTTTCTTTTCCTCTGTACCTCCTTGAGTGAAGTGGTCAGCTACAGTTATAGGGTGGGTAGAGAAAAAAGGGAAATTCTTGTTTACTTTTTTGTTGACTGTCAGGTGATTATATTGTTTTTGTTTCTCTCACAGTGTGGAAACCCCATTTTTGTCATGGAAGCAACAATTTGCTTAAATGTCAAATAGACATAGAGCATTACAGATCATCATGTTGAAAGCTATGGCAAGCATGAGATTGTTTTTATAGCCAGCAGGGATTTTTTAATGTACATATTCTCATGGACTATGATGCTTTTAAGTGTGCTTTTTGATTATGTGAAAATCGTTTTGTGTAACAAATACAAGTGAAGAAGTAGAATAAAACATTTTGATAAACTTTCAGTGTTTGTGTATTGCCAATACATCTATTACAGTGTATTTGTGTTATATCTCAAATCCAGAATATTATGAAAATGCTAAAAGAATTTTCTAACTTAGAGAAAAAACTGTCATATCGGCCGGGCGCGGTGGCTCACGCCTGTAATCCCAGCACTTTGGGAGGCTGAGGCGGGCGGATCACGAGGTCAGGAGATCGAGACCATCCTGGCTAACACGGTGAAACCCCGTCTCTACTAAAATACAAAAAATTAGCCGGGCGTGGTAGCGGGCGCCTGTAGTCCCAGCTACTCGGGAGGCTGAGGCAGGAGAATGGCGTGTACCCGGGAGGCGGAGCTTGCAGTGAGCCGAGATCGCGCCACTGCACTCCAGCCTGGGCGACAGAGCGAGACTCCGTCTCAAAAAAAAAAAAAAAAAAAAAAAAGAAAAGAAAAAACTGTCATATCACAACATGTCACTGAAATGAAATCAACAGAACTCAAAATGGCTCATTTTTATTTAGAAGAGAAATGATTTATGAACCTTAGTTTTATTTGGAACATCATATTTTCTTGAAGAGGATATTCAAAGAGTTAATATTCACTTCTGTGGTCACATATTATGATTAGAAATTCCTCTTTTCTATTTCTATATAACTTCTGCATTTTGACTGACATCTAAAAATGATAACTCTTCTCTGTGAATCTGCATTAAAATAAGTGATTGGTAATAAAAATGCAAGAATTCATATTGAGGTACTGCAACTTAAAATCTTCTGCATAATATAAAATACAATAAACTGTCTTTTGGACCCAAAGAGAAAATTTCCTATACATAGATGATTAATAAACTGAAAAAAAAGAGATATGATTTAATTTGTAAAGAGAAAACTTCAAATATTTCTGTCAGATAGAACTGTATATAGCCTGATAGTGTGGATTCTAGACTAGTTTGAAAGAAAGCAATAGTGAAAATGAATTTCATGCCAGCAGACACTTTAAAAACTAGATTTAGTAGCAGTCACATTAGCTTAGATAATGGGAGAATTTTTCTTCATTGAAAATGCTCTCTGTCGCTTAAGAAGAACTTACTGAGGCAGCCTGCCATCTAGCTTTTTCACAGAAAAACAGGCTTGCAGACTGCAGATGAGAGAGTCTGGAGCAGAGACAATTTTAACTTAGCCATTCCTAATTTATCTCAAGCGTTTTCAATTCATCTTCACTGCTCTATGCACACAGGAACACCAGATTGCCATCCCTGGGGAACAGAATGCAACCCGGGATCTAGAGAGCTGTCACATTCCAAGAAATATTTAAATTGTGCTGATTTTCTTCTGGAGAACTGAGCCCAGGGAATGAAACTCTCCATCAAGTCATGGCTTTGCGGGCAATAGATCAGAGGATATTGCCAGTTTTCTAATGGATTATTGTTATCGGGCAGGTTTTCTCTGAAGGTACGTAGTTATTTTCTCAATTCATTACCCTCTCTTCTTTATCAGGTAATAGTCTAATGAGCTAGGGATCCAAACCTGTAAAAAGAGAAAGATGTTAAGTAGTCTGTATGGACTGAAGAATGACACTTTATTGCTGCATGTTTATAGGTGAAATAATCTGCTCCCTTTACTGAAGATTAGTAGAATATAGTTTGAATTGCATTGTCAGCAAAAACAGAAAAAATCACAACAAAACCGTGCTGCAGGCTGCATTATCATAAGTTCATATTAATTCTCTTGAGGATTTTCCTTTTGTAGCTGCAATATATAATGAAGAAAAATATGTACTTTGGAAACTCACTTACCCATATGTATTTTTGAATCTTTTAAAACAATCATAGTATTTTATTTATATTTTCCAAAATACAAACTTTGTCTCAAATGCTTGTATTTATTTTGGTATCATGGATGCGTATGATACATAAATATTTGAATGATGAAAGTATTTAATTTAAAGAAACTTCAGTATAAGTCTTTTTGATAATATTATGTAGATATAATTGTTTGCCTTACAGATATCTATTTTTGAGTTTGAAAGGATTTTACTAAAATTGATTGCTACAGTTTCAGTTAATTATGCTACAAAATTATTATTTAACTTTGTTCTGTTAGTGAAAACCTCAATGCCTTTCATAGAAGTACAAGAAATGTTTAGCAAAGCAAAATGCTAAAAACTGAAAAACTTCTGAATATCAACAGAACCGATAAAATGGGAGAAAGCCTTATTCGAAACTGAAATTTATCCCATTATACTTATGATATCTTAGAACAGCAAAGGTGACTTCCGTGTCTGTTTCTGAAAAGTTAAAGGTGTGTGTGTGTATGTTCTGTATCAGAGAGAGAATGGGAGTGTAGAATAGAAAAGAAGCATATAGTAATCACAGTGATCTTATAAACATGTAGTATTAGGGCTCTTGAGCTTTTTTTAATGTTTTATTATTGTGTGAATAGGCTCAATGAAATCTATCATATTGTTGCTGTTTTTCTGTGTTAAAAATGACTATAAAAATGGTTAGAATAGCAGGTATATTTGACCTGGAGCATGGTGTATATTTGACCTGGAGCATGGTGTACCTGCTGCTGTATGGACTGGAACACAGAGTTTGTGTTCCCTTCAGTGGGTTAATACAGGCTCAAGAGAGGAAGTGGTGGCTAAGCTTCACAAGAGCACTTGTTAAGTGTATTCTAATTTCTTTGGAGCATTTGAAAGACTATTAGAACAAAGGAAAGAGGGAAGGATTGAGTCACCCAAATCGTAACTTTAAGTGCATTTTCTCTTTTCCTCACAGGGATTGTAAAAGGCAAAAAAATGGAAAAGAGAAAAGAGTATAAAGTCCTCAAAGAGACTTTTAAGTACTTCTTTTTTCATGAACTTTACAGGAATTGAGGAACAGGGCCTTAAATTAAAATTTCCCTACGGATTCCTCCATTTGGCAAGCTTTCTCTCCTTTGTGGAACCTTTTCCCTCCACTCACTTTAAAGCATTAAAAAAGTGAGATTGCTCCCAGTCTGGTTTCTCCCCCAATAACTCACAGCTCTAATTTAAACCTACAGAAGTGCACTCTCTGAAACTACATACACTCCTGAATGTCTTAGAGTTTTACAATTCGATGGCTTATGACTTTCAGAGGATACAGTGATTTAACATCCTCTCTCTCTCTTTTCTATTTTTAAAAATTACAACTGACTCTTCCGAAAATCTCAAACAATGTGCTAAAGGAGGCACAAGTAGGAAAAAAAGAAAGCATTTCAGGGAACATATTTCATGTTCTTCCAAAATCATACCAATGATGATACCAATGGATAATGAAATAGTCACTTCATGTTTGGGTATGGAGGAGCTAGAATAGAAGTTTAGCAATATATTCTTTAATTTGCCTTTTGAATGTTAGATGAATATAACATATATGAAAATCAGGAGGGGCAGCTCCAATTGTCAAAGTGCAATAAAAATTTTATATATCTGACCTCTTATTAACATTCTCTACCACAATCATGTTAGTGTCTCTTGCCTCCCCATAGGATTCATTCACCTACCCAGCCATTGAAATCTGCTCAACTTCCAGGTTTAGTACTAAAACTTACTTTGCCTCATCTTATGGTGAGTTCATTACAAAATATATTACCATAATTTCATTTTATTAGTTGTCGTTAAATAACATTTACTGAGTGCCCATGATATGTTTGTTGCTTCCAAGCAACATGTAGGACAAAAAAAAATGTAATGGTATTCTCTCCTAAATCAGCCAGTTTATTAATATTTCAGGACCTCTAATTGGTACACACAGAGGGAGGAAATGAAGCCTGACTCTTTAGTTGCTGCTTATGTGCATTATAGGTATGAAACATCCTATATTCAGTCAATGACTTGAATTTATCTTTACAGAGGATTCCAGACTGTTCATCAAGTTGTTTTCAAATTCTCCTTTAACTATATTTCACATGTCAAAGTGTTATAGTAGACAGAAAATAGGATTGGTGATAAGACAAACTAAGTTTAAATCCGTTAAGCTAGTTTGTTTAATTGATCTCTATACACCTCTGTCTCATTATATGTATAATGGCACTAGTGGTATCTACATTTTAGATTCTTGTTGGGAGTGGGATCACATGAATTAAATAATAAATACGTAGTTTGTGCACCGCATATGCTCAATAAATGGTACATATTTTTGCATATATTTTCTCACATATTTTCCCATAAGGATGTTCTAGTTGAAATTAATTTGACTCTTTAATGATGTTTGTGTGTGTGTTTGTGTGTGTGTGTGGAGGGGGGTTTTGGCTGTGTAAATGTATATTATCACATGTCTATTTTGCAGTTTCAGTAATAAAAATAATGCATTGAGCATGTGAGTACTGTTTGCAATTAAAGAACCTGTGGATACTTACGCATAGATAAAATTGAAAAGTGACTAGTTTGGGAAATCACTTGGCATATTCTATACGGTTATCTAATAGCTAAATTATCAACCATAATTTGCCAGAGAAAGCAGAGAGAACTATTCCTCATTTCCCACTTTTACATTTTCCCAAAGGATATGGAAATAGAAGACAAGACAATAAATCCTCTTGCTCATTATACCGTGCCCTTTGCCCTTTTCATTTGCATTTTATTTTGCTACGTGGATTATCTAGTGATATGGCCTTAAATTCTAACTGCACAGAGTAGTTCAAGCGTACCAATCCATCCCTCAAGGAACAAAGCAAATATATGAAGACCTTTATTAAAATAAAAGACAGCTTCTGCTTTGAAAAAATGCTAAACATTTTTTAATGAGAGTAAAACTGTCAAATGTGAATGTTAAATTCAGCCAGATGTTGACCTTAACTGTGAATTTAAATCTTTACAAAAATAGTATCTATGCTAGAAACTGTTTTTATTGGGTCTCAAGACTACTGAAAAATTCTACATCTGAATTCCTCAGATGCATCTCATATTAAGTTTAAAATATACAGAAAAACTCCTTAAGATTCTGAGTTATATGGGGAAATAAATTCAACATAACACATGTCTGTCTTTACTTTTTGTATTGATATTTGGAAACACATTGATATTTGGAAAATTTTGGAAACAAAATTTTGTACGTTTCCAAATATTAACACAAAAAGTAAAGGCAGACATGTGTTATATTGAATTTATCTGTGTACAAAAGGGAGCCACCAACTAATTGTTTTGAAGGTGCTTTACAGGAAAGTATCTAGCATATTCTAGCTAGGTCAAAATGTGGACACAAAAGCAAGTACTTGCTGATGAACCATTTGAGTTTGTTTTTGTTTTCTTTAGAGACAGTGTCTGTTGACAGTGCCAACCCAGTCTTAAACCTACAACCCGCCTACACACCAATGAGGAGACATGTTAGGCATCTGACTTCATTTATAAAAAGATTATTGAAGTTCTTGTATTATTTTTGGATATTTTGACCCAATGCTTAAGGAGATTAAAGCCTATGTTATAATTTCAGCTGTGTTTCCTAATCTGTAAAGGGGTGTGTGTGTGTGTGTGTGTGTGTGGTGGTTGGGGGAAGTAGACAGTAGGTAATCATCATATTCATTTGGTGATATGGATCAAATGACAAAATGTCACAAAATACTATTATATGGCCTTGTAAAGCAGTAAAAAATATTAATGGTTATTGTTGTTTCTGTCATAACATCACCACATCCAGGTCCACCCCGATGTTGAGTTTGCTGTTATTTACTTTGATTTTCAGACTTCCTTTGTGGTCACAGATTTGTGCTCACCTACTTTCTTCTTCTGTCCATGGCTAACTCCAGGCAAATATTTCCATAATATTAAACCCTGCCCCTTTGACCCAAAGTTAGAATTAAATGGTTTGGCTTGGCCACTAATTCCCTGAGGCATTTTTCCCTCAGCAAATTATCTATCTACCTATCTATAGATGGACCTATATCTATATCTATATCTATATCTATATCTATATCTATATCTATCTATCTCTATCTATAGATAGATCTGTAAGTATATAGACAGATAGAGATAGATATATTTAAATTTTAAGATTTGGAAGCAACCTAGGTATCCATCGTTGAATGAATGGATAAAGAAAATCTGGTATATATACACAATGAAATACTATTCAGCATTAAAAAAGAAAGAAATTTGGTCATTTATGACAATATGGGTGAACCTGGAGGACATTATGCTAAGTAAAATAAGCCAAACAAATTGGTAATGGGAAAGCAAATCTCTAAATTGAGTGATTCTCTCAATTTATATATAATGTCAGACAAATAGTAAAGGAGGCACTAGGAAACTACTGGTTCCCTTGTCAGGTGTACCCTTCTCAGGCTTCCAGAACACAGGCTGCTAACTACTTTTTGTAAAAACAAACAAAACAAACAAACAAAAAAACAGACAGAAAATGTGGTTTGAATTGCGTCTCCCTAAATTTCATATATTGAAGACTTAACCTCCAATATCTCAGAATGTGACTATATTTGTAGATGGGTTCATTAATGAGGGAATTAAATTGAAATGGAGTCATTAGAGTAGGCCCTCATCCAATAGGACTGGTATCCTAAGAAGAGGGAATTTGGACACAGACTTACACAGAGGAAAGACTGTGTGAAGACACAGGGAGAAGACGGACATCTACAAGCCAAGAAGTGAGGCCTCAGAAGCATACAACCCTGCTGACACCTTCATTTCAGACTTGCAACCTTTCAATTGTAAGAAAATAAACTTCTGTTATTTAAGCCACCCAGTCTGTAGTACATTGTTATGGCCGTCCTAGCAAAGTAATACAATAAATGTTTTGACTTTGTAGGCCACATAAGATTCTGTTGCATATTATTCTGTGTTCTCTTTCTCCTCCCTCTCTTTCACTGTTAAAAATTTAAAAATTATTCTTAGGCCAAATTTGGCCAAGGAACATAATTTATCCTCTCCTAGGATATCCAAGGACTTTCAAAGCCTTTCAAAGTTTGATCAAATTTCCTACTTTGGTAAGGTGTTTCCTAAATTTTCTAAACTTCCGTTTTATGGCACAAGATAGTCTAATATACAAATGTCAGCAGTTATTTTTAGCCTAAAAAATGTAACTAGACCAATTTCTTCTACCAATGTACATCCGACAATCTCAATTTGATGTAAATGTCTACCTCAATATTTTAAGTTCACTGTTAATGGACACTTAAAAGCTTCAGTGTTAAAACGATATATGAAAAAAAATCATAACATTTTTATGTTGAATACATTCTGTGGAGTAAAGACTATTACTAAACATGTGTTTTCTCATGTCCATTCTACTAGCAACCTTCCAGAGTACTTGCTATTATGATCATTTTACTAATGTGGAAATCAAGAAAGATGAAGCAACTGTCCATGATTACGTAGCATAAGTAGATTACGTGGTTAGCTAAGGTTTGGGTCAGAATCTTTGTCCCACAATATCACATTTAATCACCATACTATAATGGCTCTCAAACCATGGCACGGTTTTATATTTACTATGAGAAAAGCTATAAAAATGTAGAAAAATATCTATTACATAGCACTGTAAGTGAAAAAGAGGAGAGATAATATGGTGCTTATTTTAATCTTATTTACAGGTTTAGGTAAATCGCAGGTATGATGCTACTCTAGTTAATTATGTGATTTCTGTTTGTCTTTTCTCATAGAGTATGTGACTTATCTTTTTAGGACTTTTTTTCTTCAAAATATTTTGCTGAATGAGTATGGATAAATACGTCAGACTTATAGAAAATCTAAAGAACAAAATGGTATAATTTGAAAGTTACAAAAATTTTGTGCTTAATTTTGCAAGTAAATAAGTCCATGCTTAGTTTAATAATTCATATTATGTAGAGAAATAATGAATAAGCCAAACTGACAAATAGTTATAAATATTCTAATACACAGGGAGTAGACTTGAATGGTTTTGTGGCGGGACATGCTTGAGGGAAATCTTTGCCAGGTGGTAATTCTGCTTTGTTTCGAAGAAGTATATGATGTTGTGTAAATTCCTGGGTTTTCCTTTTTAAGTTCAGTGATGCATCTGATGTGCCTACAGTATTTTTTGTAGAACTGAGTTATATTTTATTGCCAAATTTGAATTTGTTAGAACATCCTTGAAAAGTAGGCCAGCACCCCCATGCAATGTTAAGTACAGTTGATCTACTTCATAAATTATTCTTCTATCACCTCATTTTCACAACAGAATCTTTGTGATATTGTCAGATTCCCATATACAATACAAGAAATATAATCATCATAAAGAGAAAGGTTGTCAATCACCTGCCCAAGTCAAGCAATGTAAATAAACAGGCTTAATAATTCCAGGTTTTAATTATAATATCTATCATGCAAGTAAAATATATGCTTGTGCCTATGTAGAACCTTAATACAACATTGTTATTATTTAGAAAATTCTTTTATTAGGCCCTATCATCTTAGTCTTTAGTAGACTCCTGGACACAGGAGAACAATACCAAAGCAAAATTTCTTTAGCTATTTTTATTTGGACACCTGGATAACTACGTACATTACATTGCATTGAAATTATTTTTATTTAATATGTCTTTAGATTTACTATCTCTAGAAAGATTTTATGTTCATATGAGTAGGGATGTAAATGTGTATATGTGAGAGTGTTTATATACACATTGGTGTCATGTGTGTTTGTATTTTTTCCAAGCCTTACTCGCAGGAGATTGAAAAGCAGATTTTTAGTCTACAGGAAGAATATTGAGAAGCATCTTCTTATCCCATCACAAATAGACCCTGAAGTGTATAGGATTTGTAACATTAAACACCCCTGTGGTTCATCTCGTAGCTCTCTGACACCCTCCCTCTACATAGTATTGTTCCTCCCAGAATGATTCGAGCTTCAGAAAATGATCTACCAGGGATTTTTCTTTCTTCTTTTCGATTATCATTGTGGGTTCAAGGTTGGGAATATTCAAGGAAAATGGATATCTTTATGAGAATAGGTAGAATTTACATGTAGAAATGAAGATTAACATGGCAAATTATTGAAAAAAGGTATACTCTTCATGGGTTTCCAATGGGGGTCGGCAGGGGGTGGGCTGGATCTTGAAAATCAAGTTGGAAAAGGAGAAATGCCCATAAAATAACTTTCTGAGCATTTGAGTTATTATATGTTCTCCTTTGACCTTGAGATCAGTTGTATTTAGCATTTGTTTCATGTCTTGTTTTTATTTTAAAACTCCTTCTAGTTATCTTTAAACCTTTAGTAAATGCCCACATAGGCCATGAGGTAGAGGTTCTTTGGAAATGTAGAGTGGGGCTACAATTGCACATAAAACCTTCACAGCTCCTCTTTAGGAGGAGGGTAACTAGAAAGCAGAGGCCTGAGGTGTAGATATCCACGTCTACCTGTGACAAGTTTGTTTGTTTGTTTGTTTGTTTGTTTGTTTGTTTGTTTCATTAGGAGCCATCTTGTAATATAGAGGCAGAATGCAATAGAGCATGGTCTTAAATAGGCTAAGAGAAGCTGACTTTCGAAAAACATGAGTAATCTCTAGGTCCTACCATTATGTAGATTGGACCTATAGAGTTGGCAGTTGCTTGGGAGATAGATACACACACAAACAATACTATACACACTCATCTCTTAAGAAACAATAATGATTTTTAAAGATAGTATTCACTAAATCTACATTAAAGGAAAAATCTTCACATATGTACACATAGAGTCATGGATAGACAGACACTTAAACAGATAAATACATACTTAGAGACCAATACATACAGCCTTACAGGTACCGAAACAGAGACAGGCTGATAAACACATGTGGTGACAGAATAACAGATAGAAATTAAAAATGGGATAGGAATAGTCAGACCCCATGACAGGGGCAGGCAAACTGAAAGACAGTGTGAAACATACCACAGAGAGAGATGGATGGATAGACAGGTAGAAAAGCACAAACGGGCATACAGGGGCAGAAAGAGATGGATGGACTGACAAGAGGGACAGTGAGACTCAGGCTCAAGCTCAAACATGGGCAGGCAGTTCCAGTCATTAATAGGCAACCCAACATAGATATAGACATGGACATATGTGTATATACTTGCATTGTTCTTACACAGGAATTTTACCCTATATGTTCATGAGGTAAAATTCAGTAACAAACCATTTTCTTTTGTTTATTAAGGATACTTCTAAAATATATCCAGCAATGCATTTTTTATTATATAAATGTAAAAAAAACATCGATATGTATGTAAACATGCCTTGTAATTTCCCTTCATTTTATCTAGTACTGCTGTCTTTGGGTAAGAAAAACAAATAAAATAGTCAAGTTATTGTGAGGTTGCTGTTGAAATGTTACCTTAAGGTCTTTTCAAGCTCTGTAATGTAAGAGACAAGTCAGAAAAGAAAATGATCAATTTTCTTTCTCCAGTATAAGTAACAACAATTATAAAAGAAACAAAAGAACAAAACACTTATGCCTCCAAAACATTATTAATGTCAAAACCATTATTGCAGTTCTTAGTCTTTTTGCTATAGGTCACTGAAATCATTTCTAAGTTATGAATACACTTGATTTTTTTTGTTTGAAATAAGATGAGGAAAACAAAAAATATAGAATACTCCTAAGATTGTATGAAATTTTAAAGCTTGAATGAATATATATTGGACCTTAAATTTTGTAGAAAGTTTTAAGTATTGCATTATATTTAGCTTTAGATTTACTTGAAATAGTTACTCAGTCTTCCAAATGTTTTACAGTTATAAGAATATTTATAGGATGACAAAGCCTAATGGTTGTTTAGGAGCTACTTTTAGAGGCTTGGAAGGATGTATAGACTATATAATTAAATGCATATGTTAAATAATATTATTAGAAAATATGTTGCAGGTAGTAACTACATGGTATTTGTAACTATCCTTTCTTTTCAATGATATGTGAACATAATCAGCCAGTATAAAACAATTTCTCATATTATTTTAAATCTACTATTGTGTATTATATATGATACTTGAAATTAAGGCAAACTAAGAATGGGGATTTGTGTTTTGCTATGAAATTACTCTTCGGTGAGGCAACAAACAAAGTTTTCCATTTTTTATTAATATCTGAAAAGTATAAATGTGTATATAATGCACCTTCCTTTAAATAGCTGTGTTGAGGTATAATTTATATACCATAGAATTCTTTAAGCATATAAGTCAACAACTTTTGGCAAATTTATATTGTGTACAACTATCACCGCAATCCAGGTTTAGAATATTTTCATCATCCCAGAAAGAATCCACGTGTCCACTTATAGTCCTCTCATTTGTCACCCAAGGCAACCACTAGTCTCCTTTTTTTCTCTCTATCTTTGCTTTTTTGGACGTTTCACATAAATAGAATCATGCAATATGTAGTCTTCTGTGTCTTGCTTCTTTTGCTTAGCATAATGTTTTTAGGATCATCATACTGTAGCATCATTTCTTTGCCCAATAGCATCCCATTCTTTGTACATACCAAATTTTCTTCATCCATTAACTAGTTCATGTACATATGGTTTGTTTTGGGGGTTACTTTTTGTGATTGTGCACTCTCAAAGAGTGAAGATGGTACTCATTTTCCTAGAATCTCTATTCACATTATGAATGTGTGTTTCAAAACCAACTAATGTTCAAATTAATTTACTCTGTCGGTATTTATAAAAGTCATTTTTAAAAGCTAAGAATACAGCACACAAAACAAATTTTTAAAAGTTTGTTATGAAAGTATATTAAGGTTATGCATAATGTTATACTCTAGCCTGATAAGATTAGATTACTTATTTTAGATATAAATTACCTTACTTGTTTAACATATCTCGGAGTAAAAATATAAATGATAAACATATAATATAGTTAAAATTATTTATTATTTTCCTTGTTTCCTGTTTTACATGAAAAAGTTATTTTCTCTTAAAAATGTGATGTTTTCTGATTGAATAAACTATTATAGACAAAAATCTACAAATAATTAGCTTTACCATAATATTTTATTCATAACAGATTTTACATTTTAAATGCATTTGATTCTATTTCTAAAAATTTTCTACATTTAATTTTTCCTACTACCATTAATTACTAAGTGAAAGCTCAAGTTAGTTTTCTAAGTTTTTATCTTTAGAGATTCCTAATCTAATGAAAAAAATGGGTATATATTTCCAAATCATGTAGACATCTGAGGCTAATTATAAGTTAGACTACTTATTGATAGGGTTTCTATCATGTTTTAAGTTACTGATTTCCCAGAAAGCATACGAACTTTTTTCAAGTTTATGCTTCATGATAATTTTTCCACTTATTTATTTACTTATGATTAATTAACATGGTATGATGCCTTTATACATATTTGACTTTGAAATTGTCAAGTTGTGTATAAAGCAAAACTTATTTGGCTTTTAAATGGCTTTTTTTCTGCCACATTTTTTGTCTGTATCAGACAATCAAACATATGATTTACTACAACACTTTCTTTCTATTTGTTTAAGTATGATAAATGCATGTCTTTCCAAGGCATTTTTCTTTCGTTGAACTCTTAAGTATACATTTCTCTAAGTGTCATTGTTTGCTTTTATTTTTCTATATTTGCTCTATCTGGACAGTTTCATTCATTGTCACATTTTCGACTCCATCTAAATCTACAAGTATACTCATGACTTTTTCCTTTTGATTCTGACCTGGTAGTTATTGTTCAATATCCAACAGATATTTTGTTTACAGAAAAATACTATTGAGAAAAACTCAGTAGGAAATATTCAGGAAAGTGTAAAGAAAAAATAGTGTCTACTTTGTTTGTTGAGAGAATACTAATATTTTTCCATTTTATAAGGTTTTTGACCATGTACATTTTTGCACCAGGAGCAAAAGGATTTTGCATTCTAATTAAATGCTCCATCTCCTATCTTTGTTCTCATGGATGCCATAAAATCAACATGGTCTCTCCCTGCTGCTAATATGGCCAGCCTTTACTTGGTTCAATTAAAATGATTTTAGATGGGGGATCTCATACTAAAGCAGTTTTACAGTAAATAGAAATAAATACCTTGTGTCTGAAATGTTTTTCTTGTGATCCTCTAAGTGATATCATTCAATTTTTCTGTGTGTCTATTAATATATGAATTGATTTTTCTAAAGAAAATTAAGTACCATGTTATTTCTGTTATGTTAGAAGTATAAGGGATTAGTAGCAGAGATGTCTAGAAAGCTTCTTTAATTGGCTTTACAATCATTCTTTTTGAACAAAAAAAATTTTATTTTTCTTTGTATTTTAGACAAATATACATAGACTAAAATTATAAAAGCACAAGTATAACATTATACTTGAGAATATTTGGTGGAACCTCCCCCCATTTCTTTTTTGTTTCAGTTTAACTAGATCGCTAATTCCTAGGAGGAGTAGAAGAGTGCTATAACATATTGGCCTAAGGAGAATCATATGCACTCAAGTACATGAACTCTCTCATTCCCAGTCATGCCTACCCCCAACGAACCATGATTTCTGTTGGATTTTTAAAATTATAACTGTTACATTCTTATGGATAAAAAATTCAATGAACTGTTTTGGGTAAAAAGACATTTGCTATCAGCTTTTGTTTTGCAAGGTGCATTTAAACAAAAATATTGTGATGGCATCATTGAAACATGGACATATCAATTAATACTTTGGGTATAATTTTTAAATTAACTTTAATAATGATTTAAATTACCATATTTGTAAAATGGGGTCAACACCTACACTAGACTTTTGAGAGTCCTCAATTGCAGCCAGTTTTTATAACCTAATCCTGCCCTGTCTCCTACCAGATCAGCATGAAATAAATGTGACCTCATGACATAAACTAAGCCCTGGAATCTGGAGTAGCATCATGAAAACTCTAATCAGTTTTATTTGGATGCCTATACTGGGGAGTCACATAACACAGGAAGTCGATAGCGATGAATGGCTTATGTGCAAATTAGGCAGGGCAAAACAGTTTAAAGAGAGCAATAGAGTAGAGGGAAGCTCAAGAAGGAGGTTGATGAGGTATCCCATAATTATGGAGCTGTAAGGTAGATGCAGTAATAATGTGAGGAGCTTGTTGGGTCCTGGATACACTCACTTTCTGCTGGATTCCTGGAGACATCTAGTACTCTGGTGTCACCCCAATTGATCTGAAGTAGGCTCTTAGCACTATTGCCAATCACAGTAACTGTCCTTATACTACAGTCTCTTTTGGAGAAAATTATTTTATTCTCTTTCCTTTTTAAATCTCCAAGACCCCTTATTTTCATGTGTTTCTTGTTTTAGTCAGAGGAGATATTTTTTATTTCACCTCCAAATATATAAATTTATGTTCACTTGCATCAGCCAAGGGGCACTGTAGTATCACACTGTTGTATGCTGGTAAAAAGCTTAGTTTCTAGAGCCAGTGATGATAAGTTTAAATCTAGCTCCATCATTTACTAGAACTATATATTTTATGTCTTTAAATATTCTGTCAATGACCTAGATAAGTAAAATTAAATATTCTTCATTAATGTGTTTCCATTTTTCCTTGTATTTCCTACAAATGTATCTGTGTATATCGAAGCTCTTATGTGATATATAGCCATTACTATTTTGTCTTCAATGTTATTGGTACCCATTAATGTTATAAAGATCTCTGATTTGTCTCAGTTAATAGTTTTGGCCTAAATATATACTTGTTTCTTATTGATACAGTAAACTCTGCTTCTTTATGTTTAAATTGTCTATATCTCTGCACATTAAAAAATTATATGAATCACTTTGCGTCAGGTTTATCTCGTATATAGCAAAGATTTAGGATGGTTTTGTAATATCTGAAAAGTTTTCTTTTTTAAAATTATCTTACTCACATTTATGGATTTGAGAAATGTTCATGAACTCCATCTTTTTTGGATATTGGTAATTATTAGAAAAGTCAGTATTCCACATACTTCCTGATTTCTTACCCTCTTTCCTCAAACCTTGGTGTTTATATCATTTCTATATTTAGGCATTAAGTACATACCTTCTATTTCTTCACCCGAAACCTCACATTAGTTTGAATCTTACATCTACAGATAAATGTATAAATTCCTTCCTACTCTAGCGGTTTTTCTAGTCATTTTTGATTGACTCGTGTTGACCTTTTCTACTTAGATCAGAAACAGTTCATGAAAATATTTCTTGTGTATTCAAAACCTTTTATTGCTTTTATTCTTAAAAGATTATTTAACTCAATATAAATTCTTTTGGTCATAATTCCTTCCCTTGAGCACTTTGAAGGTATTTTTCCATTTTAATCTAGCAGTAAAGGCTCTACAAAAGAATTCCAAGATTGGCTTTTTCCCCTCTTGTTAATTTCAATATAAAAAACTTGTATTTTTTCTTTTCTTCTCTCTCTCTCTCTTTTTTTTTTTTTTTTTTGGCCTGGCTGTCTAAAGCATTTTCTGAATAAGAATTCATGTTTGATATCAAGTAAACTTACTGAGATACCTTCAGTGTTGACAGTCTGGGACCATTTTTTTTCCTCTGGGACATGACACCATCTTTTCAAGATGCAGATTCAAGTCTTTTTTTGGATTACAGTAGTTCCATCTCATCTGCAGGGAATACTTTCCAAGACCCCCAGTAGATGCTTAAACTGCAGATAGCACTAAGCCCTATATACATGCCTTTTCCATCTTAACTATCATGTACTGTAGCCATAACTTTTGCAGTTTAAGAAAACTAGTACAAATTTATTTTTTTCCTTATTCACCATCTCCAAATAGAAGATTCATTCTTAACATAAATCTTAGCAACCTAAACATACAATTTATTTTTTTCTTATAAAGTAGATAACTTTGACATTTTCCCTTTAAAAATCACTTTACAGCTTCCTTTTGGCATAGCCAAATTACCAGCATCGCTACTCTTGTGCTTTGGGACTATTTTTAAACCAAGTGAGATTTACTTGAACACATGCACTGTAATATGCCAGGGTCAATCTGATAAGATTTGACTGCCACTGAGATGATCTGAGACAGCCACTCAGGGACTAATGGGCAGGTAGGCATAGGTACCTTGAACTAAGGGATGATTTATGCTCTGGGTAGGATGGTGCAGGACAGTGGAAGATTTCATCATGCTACTCAGAACAGTAGGTAATTTAAAACTTACACCTTGTTTATTTCTGGAACTTTCTATGTAATATGTTCAAACCGTGGTTGCAACTGAAAACCTGCATAAGGGAGGATTACTATATAAACTTTTTAAACCTATTAGTTTTGTTTTATTATTTCTGTTTTATTCCATGGGAATATACTTATACAAATGTTAGCTCTCCTTATCTATGTTTCACTTCTACTGTTTTCTGCATATCACTTACTAGCCTTTTTTAAAAAATGGATAAAATGTTTTCTTTCTTTCACCTGTATTTTATTTTCTGTGTTTCTTTTGACTATTTTTTGCTTCTCTTTTTTTATGTCTCATTTTCTCCTTAATCCCTTTTAACTCTCTTTAAAAATTGTCTTTTTTATTTTTTGCCCATTTTCTATCCTGGATATCTTTTTTTGATAGTTTTATGATTGTATTTTACTCTTTCCCTGAGCTTTGCCAGACAATGTGACAACTATCCTCATCGTTTTCTTATGTGTTCCTAGAGATGGTGAAATTCTGATTTGTGTTTATGCCCTGTAGACGTAATTATCTGTTAATTTTTTTTCCGTAAATTTAGATTTTTCTGTAAAAATTAACAGATAATTACATGAAATTCATGGAAATTATTTGGCAAATCTTTTTAAATCTAAGTATGTGCCAGTTTCCTTTATTTTTTCAAAAAGCCAAGACCCAATTTCATTAATTTTTTTCTACCTTTTGCGTTTCTATTTTACTTATTTCTGTTTGAATCTTTGTTATTTTCTTCCTTATGCTAACTTTGGGCTTTGTTTGTTCTTTTTTGTTCTTGTTCCTTGAAATGTGCAATTTGATTATCTAGTTGATCTATTTCCTTTTTTTAATGCAGGTATTTATCTCAATAAACTTTCTTGTAATACTTAGTTGGTGCATCTCATTAGTTTTACTGTGTTGTGTTTTTGTTTTTCTTGAAGCATTTTTCTAATTTCTTTTTTCTCTTACCCAGTGGTTGTTACAGTGTGTTGTTCAATTACTACCTATTTGGGAATTTCCAGTTTTCTTTCTAAAATTCTATTGTGATCAGAAAAGACTTGGTATAATTTCAGTCTTAATGAATTATTAAGACTTATTTTCTAACCTAACATAATTTGTCATGAAAAAAATTCTATGTGCACTGGTGAAGAATGTGTGTTCTGCTGCTCTTAGGTAGAATATTTAGTATATATCTGTTAGGTCCAGTTAGTTGATAGTGTTGTTCAAGTCATCTACTGATTTTTTGTGTGGTTACTACCCATTCCTGAGTGTGCGGTATTGAATTATTCCACTCTTATTGCATGACTCTGTTTATTGATGTTTGCTGAACATACTTAGGTGCTATGATGGTGGGTGCACATATATTTATAATTGTTATATTTTCCTGGCAACTCTTTTATCGTTATACACTGTCCTTTTTTGTATTTTGCTTCTGTTTTTGACTTGAAGTCTATTTTGTCTGATATAAGTATAGCTGTCCCTGCTTTCTTTTTGTTCCCATTTGCATGGAGTATCTTTTTTTCATCCACTTACCTTCAGCCTGCATGTGTCTAAAGAGAGATTTTTGTAGACAGCATTTAGATAGGTCTATTTTAAATATTCATTTGGTCACTCTGTATGTTTTGATTAGAGTTTAATTCATTTACATTCAAAATAACTTAGTAAGGGAAGATTTCCTACTGCCATTTTGTGATTTGTTTTGTTAGTCTTGCAGTCCTTTTGTTTCTTCCTTTTCCACTGTCTTCATGTGTGTTTTGTTGATTTGTTTTCAGTGATAAACTTTGATTCCTTCCTTTGACTTTTTTGTAACTTCTATAGGTATATGTATTTTTTTCTTTAATGTGTGTGGTGACCTTGGGGTCTACATCACATATGTTATAACATTATATTTTAAGCTGATAACAACTTAAATTCAATCACTATCACTTATAAAACTCTACACTTTAACACCCTCATAAACATTATATTATTGTTGTCATAATTTATACCTAGTCGTATTGTGTCTTTAAACATATTTCAGTTATCATTATTTTTAATACTTTTGTCTTTAACTTTTTTACTACAATTAAAATAATTTACCTACCACCGTTATAATAATATAGCTGTAGTGAGTAAGCAATGGCTAGATAAAGAATCACAAGCATGTGTCAGTTGTCTTTCTCATATTATCTCCAAACCAAAAAAGACAGTAATTTTAAACCTTTGTCAGGGTTTTATTGTAACTCTCCAAAAATTTTTGATTAGACACTACTAAACCTAAATGTCAAGTATCCAAACCGTGGCTGATATTTTTATTTTTTAACAACTGCAGCAAACAGACAGTTCTAACCTATAATGAAACCTCCCTGGTGCACTTGAAAAAGGCTTTAAGAAAGGATGATCAATGGGTACAAAAATACAATTAGATAGATGGAATAAGATATAGTGTTTGGTAGCACTATATGATAAGTATCATTAACAATAACTTACTGTATATTTCAAAATAACTAAAAGAGTGGAATTAAAATGTTCCTAACACAAAGAAATGATAACTGCTTCAGGTGATGGATATCCAATTACCCTGAGTTGATTATTACAAATTCTATGCTTGTATAATATCAAAATATTGCACATACTCCATAAGTATGCAAAATTATGCATCCATAAAAATTTAAAAAGATTAAACGTTGCTTAACTTTGTCCTCAATATTTTGTCTATTTTTTTCATTCACTTATCAGTGCAACCTATATACATTTATAAAGTACCTGGACAGGAACTTTTATAGTTGCTGCAGCTACATCACTGTGTAGAATACATTGCAAGGTCTCTAAGGGTTTATATTCTGTTAGGACATTTCTTACCTTCTAAAATTTCTCTGCATGTATTACATACACACTCATTCTTTAATGACTAAGCTAAATAAAAGTAATTTTCTTGAATGCCTTGTTTACACAAATTTTTAACTTCAGTTATGCTTTGCCAAAGAGATTACACACCTTAAATAAAGGCTTCCAGCATGGGCTAAGAATTGCTTTCTGTTTCTTATATACTAATACACTCCAACATGATTGAGGATATTCCACCATTGTATACTCTCATTAGTTTTACCTATTGCCCTAAATAGGGTGGAACTACATTTGACATGCTATGGATGCAAAATAGAGATACATGTAAGATAAGTATTTAAAAGTAGTAACCAAATAACTCCACTGTGACTTAATATTAGTTTTCAACATTATATATCTATTTCCTCAAATATATCCTTCACACTGAACTCAAAATCTAATCTTACTAAATTCAAGATATTGTATCTCTCTTTCATCTTCTTATAAACCAATCTGTAGTGGAACCTTTGAAAAATCTATGTATCACTTTATTATTAAATTCTTTAAAAAGTTAAAATTGAAATGACATATTAAAACTTTTATAAAATAGTTTCAAATAACTATTGATCATGATTATTAGGGCTATCCACATATACTGTGATTCTTCTTCTTACAGGCAAATTATTAGGTTGGAATTTACTACCACTTTAAGATAGAAAAGAATGCTAGATTTGTTTTAGCCCATGAAATTAAACTAAGTCTCATAAGTCAATCGAAAGTTAAAGGAATTGATTGATGGTGTCAAATTCCAACTTTTCTTTCCTTGTTGTAGAAATGTTATTTGTGTAGAAATGAAGTCTTTGTCATACTGAGTCACTGAAAAACCATTATAAATGGGGTCTTCCCACCAACCCATAGTGGACATATACAACAAGTAAGAAATAACCTTTGAAATATTGATCCAAATTTTGTGTTCTATGTTATAAAAGTAGAAAATTGCCCATTATAATAAAGGTAGAAAAAATACATATATTTATATTTGTTGAATTACAGACATTTCTTTTTATGATTTATACTTTATCTTAAATCTTGTTAGATGATGCTCAGATTAAAGGCATCTTTATTTTTTGTAATATTTGCTTTCCATATTGTAAACAAAAATAAAAAATAAAATATATTTCCTCAGAATTATCTATAGCAAATTATCCCATTATAGCCTAATCTTCACAACAAAGGATCATGCTTAAATAATGTTTTTTGTTTGTTTACTTTTTGAAGAATTTCTTCTTCATGGACAGCTTTACTTATTTGTTAAATACTCATTCTTATTAAGCATTACCCTCCATGTTTGGAACTAGACATTTTTGGTTTTTGTTAAATAACCTTTTAAAATCTAAGCCTTAATAGTGCAACTTTAATCATTATTATAATTATGATTTAGAGCAAACTGTTGAAGATATTCTAATTAACTCTAAGTTAGTCCTGCAAATTATTATACGAAAAAAGTTTTCTGTATTAAAATACATATAGGTATTGTTTACTACTGTACATTGTTTCAGAAATGTACATATTATTTGGCAAAATAAAAGTTTTAAACATTTTCCAATAAAGAAATAACTTTTATGCTTTTTATCTTAACTTTTCCCAAATGTATTTGACCACAGTACATATTTTTCATACACCACTTATTGACTGCCTCTGAAACTACTATTTTGCATTGGATAATTTAGGAAAAATCTATTATTACAAGTTTCTAGAGAAAGAATAAATTATGTACAATTTGCAGTATAGTTTTTTTCTTTTTTGCATTTGAATCCTTAGAAGACTGAAAATCTATGCAGCTGGCAAGAATTTGATTAAATATAGCAACCTATACTACACCACAGTTTAGAGAAAAAGGAAGATTCATATCATATATGAACCACTTACTAGCTGTGAGGGCTTAGACAAGTTATTTTAGCTTCAGTTTTTTATTTCTCATTTTAAGTAGTTGATGATGATGATACTTAAGAAACTGAGATATAATAATTGACTTCTTTCATGTAAATCTCTTATTTCAATGGCTGCCATGTGGAAAGTACTAAATAAAAATATGCAATTTCCTCATTTACTTAGAAAAGAGAAAATTACTGTAAATCTTACATTTTTGTTTTTCATAGTGGTTATACCATTTTGCATTTGCACCAGGAATGTGTGAGATTATATTCCCATCTCTGACTTTAAGATTTTTAAGTTGTCACCCTTCTAGTGGGTATATAGCTGAGATTTTAATTTGCATGCTGGTAGTCAGCATTTATTCATATGCTTATTTACCATTCATATAATTATTTTAGTGAAGTGGCTGTTTAAATATCTTGTCCATTCGTTAAGAATGTTGTTAGACTTCATGTTATTCTTATTATTGAGTTCTAAGAATTCATTACTGAAGTTCTTTATCATATGTGTTTCTGTTCTAGCACTTGAGATGACAAAGGAAATCCAATTGTCCTTGCTCTTAAAAAAGTACTATTGTCGTTTTTTCTTTAGAAGCTTCAAAATGTTTTATTTGAGTTTATTTTTTTCCCTGTTGAATGTATACATGTGGATTTATTCCACACGGGAGCCGTTGTGCTTCTTGAACTTGAATAGACAAGAATTCTATCAATTCTAGAATCACCTTAATTACCTATTTAAAGTCAGCTCTCTCCACTTTGTCTAATTCTGTATTGTTAGACATCTCACTACAGTTTCCATGCCTCTAACAATTCACTCTGATTTTCTATTACCTTATCCCTCTCTGCTTCTTTATAATTATTGAGTAGTTCACTAATTATCTTTTAATCTGTGCAAAAGAATGGTTTCACCTGTTCACTGATTTTTAATGTCTTTTTAATTTCTTCATGTTATCCAAATTTGTTATATTTATTCTGATTTGTTATTTTATAAATTTGCTTATTTTTAAGACTATTTTTTATGTTCTTGATGATTAATATTCTGTTATTGGTCTTGGAAATGCTAATTCTCTTATGTTTTGAATTCATGATGGAAATTTTGTCTTATGTTGCATAACTTAAAGAGTGTATCTTTATTGGCACATTTCTCCCCTGTGTAAATTTCATTCAGTTGCAGTTGTGGCAATATCTGGTCAAAGTAGTTTTACATTAATTTATTTAATAGACCTTTTGCTGTTAATATTCATTTCTCACCTTGTGCAAGTAGGGTACTAGGTTTATAGTTCTTCAGGTAAGTTATATTTATGTATTGTCTTGTTTGTTTTTTAAAATAAGAATTATGCCAGTGCCACTTCTGGAAGGAACCAGTTCAAATTCCTGCTTTAGGCAGTTTAAAAGGCCCACACTCTATCCTAGTGTACAGATTAAAATCAAAGCCAATGCATATTAAGACATATTTCCTCTCTCAAAATCTTTGCAAAGAGTACTACTGTGATTTTCAATTTTGGCTTTATTTCTGCCACAGTAATATTTCTATTAATTTTCTGAGATGACAAACTTTGCAGAAGAAGTCATTGTCAAGGATAAAAATGGACATTTCTAAATTATGGAAGGAGAAATTCACTGTGAATATAAAATGATTCTGAACTTTAATGCTTATAGCAACAAAGGTTCAAAATATTTACCAAACTAGTAGGCCTATTTCTCAATAAATGCTAGATTAAACAGAAAGAACAATTTTTAAAACCATAGAAAAAAATAAGTGAGACAACTTCATTTATAAGCTTGATTTGATGGACTTTTGTCTGTACCCAACAGATGTAGAAGAATACACGTGGAACATTCATCCAAATAGGAGGAAACAAAGCAAGTCTCCAAATTACTAAAGAAACAATATGAAACAAATATCAAGAAATAAATTACAATGTAAAAACAATACAAAAAGAAACAAAACAATTTTTAATAATTTTTGGATTATGTTAAAATAATAAACAATTTAAATATTCTATCAATCAAAAGTGAAGTGAATGTAAACTTAAATTAAAAATATGTAGAACTGAATGACAACAAAAGTATTAAATTCAACAATTGTGTTGTATGAATAAAGTAGTGTATAAATTAAAATATATATTCTATATTTTATATCATGAAAAAAGAATGTTTGAAAATAAGAATGCTTGAAAATTAATGTAACATGTATAATTCAATGGTTTAATAATAGGAAGGCAACTGAATATACTGAAAGAAAGAAAAAAAGGGGCATAAGAATAAGAATGTAAAAGAAAAATCAAGAAACCAAAAATGAAAGCAATATATTATACATCAAAATACTTGTAACAAAATAAGAAATAAAGTAATATCAAATTATTAGTGATATAGGATTATACAATAATAATAACAGTGAGAAACAATAAAATAATTAAAAATAAAAATAAGCAAAATAAATAATAACCACTGATTAGTTCGATCAAGACAAAATGTTTGGTACAAAAATAAAAGTGAAAAATGATTGCTAACAACAGATATTGCAGGGACATATCCACTCAATACACAGACACACACATTAACACACAAAAATATTCACACTAATACAAAACCCACTGTTGTTCTAAAAAAATTTTTAGTGGCACATGTTAGCAAATTCTCACATAAAAGATAATTTTTATCTTATCTAATTTTTTTTAACCAGAATGTATTAAAAAATGACAAATTTCTAGAACACTTAATTTTGCTGGTACGTAACCTTCATATTAAAGCTTGTTTAGGTCAGTGTGAGAAAGATTGAAGGTTAATGACATTTTCAAAGATTAAAAATTTTTTTAAAAAAATTTGAAACCTATACCAGCAATGTATACACAAAAGTAAAATATTCTGATAAAATATATGTTTTCTCAGAAATTAAGGGATAGCTTACCGTCAACTAATTTAAACAAACTTGTAACGTATTTTTAAAAAGTTATAAGTAGATACACAAGGTTTATCTAGTCAATTTTGACACACAATTATAAAAAGAAAATAAAAACATAAAAATATATTCCTTGTAACCTACAAATATAGGAGATATGAAAGAGAAATTCATTTACCTGATAAGACTATCTAATGAAAACCTGCAAAAATATATCATGTTTCATCATACAATCTTAAAAGCAGGCCCTTTAAAATTAAGATCAACAAATTTTCTACTCAAAATCTTATTGGGGGACATGGTCAGGAAAATAAAGAATAAAGATCAGAGAAACAATAAAATTATTTGTTCTTTTTTTCTCACCCTTAGGATTTTTTAAATAAGTTATTGGCATACAGGTGGTATTTGGTTACAAGAGTAAGTTCTTTAGTGGTGATTTGTGATATTTTGCTGCACCCATCGCCTAAGGAGTATACACTGCTCCATATTTGTAGTCTTTTTTCCCTTGCCCCCCCACCACTCTTCCCCCCAAGTCCATTGTATCATTCTTGCCTTTGTGTCCTCATAGCTTAGCTTTCACATGTCAGTGAGAACATATGATGTTTGGTTTTCCATTCTTGAGTTACTTAACTTAGAGTAATAGTCTCCAATCCCATCCAGGTCACTGCAAATGCTGTTAATTCATTCCTTTTTATGGCTGCATAGTATTCTATCATATAATATAAATTATATAATATTATATAATATCACAGTTTCCTTATCCACTTGTTGATTGAGTTGGTTCCACGATTTTGCTATTGTGAATTGTGTCACTATAAGCATGTGTGTACATGTATTTTTTTTTTTGAATAATGACTTATTTTCTTCTGGGTAGATACCCAGTAGTGGGATTGTTGGATCAAATGGTAGTTCTACTTTTAGTTCTTTAAGGAATCGCCACACTGTTTTCCACAGTGGCTGTATTAGTTTACATTCCCACCAGCAGTGTAGAAGTGTTGCCTGTTTACCACATCCATGCCACTGTCTACTGTTTTTTGTTTTTTGATTATGGTCATTCTTACAGGAGCAAGGCGGTATTGCGTTGTGGTTTTGATTTGCATTTCCCTGATCATTAGTGATGTTGAGCATTTTTTCATATGTTTGTTGGCAATTTGTATATCTTCTTTTGAGAATTGTCTATTTATGTCTTTAGCACACTTTTTGATGGGATTGTTTTTCTCTTACTGATTTGTTTGAGTTCGTTGTAGATTCTTGAGGAAGTCAAACTGTAACTATTTGCTAACAATATGATCGTTACCTTGAAAACCCTAAGGTCTCCTCCAGAAAGTTCCTAGAAATGTACATCTGACAAAAATTTTAAAGAGTCTCATTTTTTTCATTTTATAATTGATTTCTTAATTTACTCAGGATGCTATAACAAAATACCTTAGACTACATACTTTATAAACAATAAAAGTTTATTTCTCACTGTTCTGCGAGCTGGAAAGTCCAAGATCAAGTTCAAAATAAGCAGCAGATTCAGTGTCTAGTGAGGGCTTATTTCCTGGTTCATAGAGGCCACATTTTCTCTGTTCTTCAAATGGTGGAAAAGGTAAGGTGGCTCTCTGGGGCCTCTTTTATAAGGGCACTCATCCCATTCAAGAGGGCTTCTTCCTCATTACTTAATCACTTCCCAAAAGCTCGACCTTGGAATATCACCACATTGTGATTAGATTTCAACACATGAATTTCGGGGTAATACAAACATTCAGACCATAGAAACGATTTCAGAAAACATCTAAGTAATCTTCTTTGGAATTAATATAATTATAAGAGAATTGGAATTAATGTAATTGTAAGAGAATTGGAATTAATATAAGAGCATTGGAATTAATATAATTATAAGAGAATTGGAATTAATATAATTATGAGAATTCAGTAACTTTATTTGCTGAAAGAACATGCCTTTCATATATATATGTATATGTATATATATGTATATATATACGTATATGTATATATACGTATATATATACGTATATGTATATATATGTATATATATACGTATATGTATATATACGTATATATATACGTATATGTATATATATGTATATATATACGTATATGTATATATATGTGTATATATATACACGTATATGCCAAATAATTAGATAATAAAAGCTTAAAAAATAAATAATTTGCAAAAGCCATGGGAGATAACAGTGCTTAGAAATATATCTATCAGCCTGAGGTCAGGAGTTTGTGACCAGCCTGGGCAACACGGTGAAACCCTGTCTCTACTAAAATACAAAAAAATTTGCCAGGCGTGGCAGTGTGCACCTGTAGTCCCAGCTAATTGGAAGGCTGAGGCAGGAGAATTGCTTGAACCTGGGTGGCGGAGGTTGCAGTGAGCCAATATCGTGCCACTGCACTCTAGCCTAGGCAACAGAGCGAGACTCTGTTCCCCATCCCCCCCAAAAAAAAGAAAGAAAAAGGAATATTTATATCAAAATTATGCAAAACATTTACAGAGAAAATTTTAAAATTCTATAGGAATAGAATGTTTAAATAAATGGAGAAATACATTTTATGGAAGAGAAGATTTGTAAAATTGGAAAATCTGCCCAAATTAACCTGTAAAGTAAATGTAATTTCATTCAAATACACAACATAGTTTTGGATGAAACTGAACAAGGTGATTTTATAAAAGTGTAAAGTGTTAAAACCTAAGGCAATTTTTCAGAAATATGTAGTGACTCACTGTGTCAATTAAAAATGAATTATTATGGTTATAAAAAATATTGTCATATTATCAGGGTGATAAATAAATATATTACCATAAAATTATAGCCTAGAAACACATATACATTGCATATGCATTGAAACCTATATGAAAAAAATGTGTTTGAAAAGCATATGTTATATGGTACCAGGAAAATTCACTAGACTATGAGAAAATTTCAAAATTAGATTATTTCTTTAGAGTAAATTAAATCAGGTAGATTAAAGATCTTAATGTCTAAAGGTAAAAACGCACGAATTTTGACAGAAAATATGTAATATCATGTGACGTCAGTGTAGGGAAAGATTCTTGAACAAGACTTGAAATGTATAAATCATAAGGAAAAATAATGATAAAATTGATAGCTCTAAAATTACTATTTTCAAGATGTCCAAAAACAGCATCTTTTTCAGTCTGGATATGATATAGAACTATTTCTTCTTGCTTCTCCCTGCTAAGCACAACTATAAACTCTATAAACTACTCAAGAGGCAAGCAAAAGACAATGCTGACAACTGGTTTGGAACCCTGGATTTGAGAATGTGGCATCAGCAGTATATGTCTTGCATATACCCACAAAACAGAAGAAGCCTTGCAGGCATTTCTTGACCTGAAACCTAGTAAAAGTAGGCATCCTATCTAGGCTAATTTTTTCACCATGTTGAAATGAATACCCTCTGATATCAGGTGAGTGCAATACCAATGGCAAATGAATGATCAGAAATTCTGGCATCAGTTAGTGACCAGAAGAAGTGCTCTCCATCCCATTTAGGCCTGATATTTCCTTACTCCACTGGGATAGCCCAGTAAAGGTTGGCAAAACCAACAAAAGAGACCCAGTCTCAAGAGTCGTTCTTAGTAGACCTGAGACTCTTCCCCTAAGAAAAGTGAAGACATACACTTCACATTCAACAACATAGGTAGGCTGATAGTTAAAGGATGGAAAAGGAAATGCTATTTAAAACATTAAAGATAAAAAAGCATGTGTGACTTTATTAATATATAATATATACGGCCTAATAAAGTAGACATAAAATCCAAGAAAACTATTAGAGACAGAAAGAAGTTTAATAATGACAGAAGATCCATTTAACAAGATGACCTAACAATCCCAATTGTGTCCTCAGTAAACAAGAAAGCTTCAAAATTCATGAAGCAAAAATGTCTAGAACTGAAAAAAGTAAAAAACAAATCCACAAATATAATTGGAAACTGTATCTCCCACTTAACAACTGAGAGAATTACTAGATAGAAAATAACAAAGGATATAGAAAATCTGAACAGCACACTCAACCAGTAGGATCTAACTGACATTTATAGAACCCCTCACCAAACAATATCAGAATACACATTTTTCAACAATCAACAGAACATTAATTGAAATAGTCTGTATGCTAATTCATAAAATAAATCTCAATAAATTTAAAGTAAATGAAATCAGACAGAATGTGTCCCCTGCCAACAATGACATTGAAGCAGAAATCAATAATAGAATGACCACAGGAAAATCTCTAAACACATGAAAATTAAACACACACTCTTAAATAGTTTATGTCAAATATAAAATATTTTAAAAAATGTAGACTAGAATGAAAATACATATGGAGCATACAAAAATGCAAGAGATGCAGCTAAAGCAATGCTGAGAGAAAAATGTATAGCATGAAGTGCTTACATTGCTGACAAGGACTAGTCTCAAATCAAAAATCAAAGTTTCTACATCAAGAAACTAGAAAATAGAAGAGCAAATTAAACTCAGAGCAAAAAGCAGGAAGGAAATATTCAGAGCAAAAATCAATAAAATTGAAAATTGGAAAATGATAGAGAACATTGATGAACACTGGTTCTTCAAATTAAATTAATAAACTGGTAAGACTAGCAAAAATAATAAAAGAAAACACAAATTGTCAATATGAGAAATGAAATTGGGGATATAATATAAATTTTACAGCCATTAATAATAGAATACTGGCTGGGCACGTTGGGTCATGCCTGTAATCTCAGCACTTTGGGAGGCTGAGGCAGACAGATCACTTTAGGACGAGAGTTCAAGACCAGCCTGGCCAACATGGTGAAACCCAGTCTCCACTAAAAATACAAAAATTTGCTGGGCGTGGTGTCAGGTGCCTGTAATCCCAGCTACTCTGGAGGCTGAGGCAGGAAAATTACCTAACGTAGGAGGTGGAGATTGAAGTGAGCCGAGATCGTGCCACTACACTCCAGCCTGGGTGACAGAGTGAGACTCTGTCTCAAGAAAAAAAAAAAAAAAAAAAAATACTATGAGTGCCTTGGTGAACATCAATTAGAAAAAAATGGAACTGTTCTTCAGAAAGCACAAATCACTGAAACTCAAACATGATGCCTTATAGTCGATCATTTAAAAATGAAATTATTAATTTAAAAGCTCCCAGAAAAGAAATCACCAATCTAAAATTGTTTCACTAGAGAATCACAACAGAATGTGTCCCCTGCCAACAATGACATTGAAGCAGAAATCAATAATAGAATGACCACAGGAAAATCTCTAAACACATGAAAATTAAACACACACTCTTAAATAGTTTATGTCAAATATAAAATCTTTGACAAGGACTAGTCTCAAATCAAAAATCAAAGTTTCTACATCAAGAAACTAGAAAATAGAAGAGCAAATTAAACTCAGAGCAAAAAGCAGGAAGGAAATATTCAGAGCAATTGCTAATTGCAATTGCTAATTAGCAATTTTAGAAGAGGGAATATTCATTCATTAATCATTTCACTAGGCTAGTATTACCGTAATACCAAAATTGACAAAGATAGTACAAAATCAAAGAAAACTATAGACATATATCTCTCACAATTTTGCATGCAAAAAAGTTGATATATAAGGAATCTCAAAATATTAGAAGATCAACTACAATATATATGAAAATAATTATAGGCCATGATCAAGTGGGATTTATTTCTCGGTGCAAGGCTGGTTGAACACTCAAAAATCAATAATGTTATCTACCATATCCACTAACTAATGAAGAAAAATCTGTTGATCATATCCATTGACACAAGAGCATTTAACAAAATCCAATAACCATTCATGATAGAAGCTCTTAAAAAGTTAGAAATACAAGGGAATTACCTCAACTTGAAAAATAACATCACCCTAAGCTTATAACTGATATAATTCTTTATGGTGAAAGACTGAATGCTCTCCTATATGAGATTGGAAATAAGGAAAGTATATCTGTTCACCCTACTCTTATTCAACATAGTATTGAAAATTCTATTCAGTGTAATAAGGCAAGATAGAGAAATACAGATTGAAAAATAAAAAAGACAAAACTCACCATTTGTAGACTACATGATTATTTCTTATAACATAAGAAATCACAACAAGTCAAATTCCCCAAATGCCTAAATGTTTTAAGACTCAGGATCAATTTTAAAAAACACATTTCAATATAAAAAAATGAAAATGCAGAAATTTAATGGAAACACAATACTACATGCAATTACTCCAAATAATTTGCAATACTGAGGTAAACACTTAAAAGACTCTGTATGGATTTTTACAATGAAAGTTACAAAATGCTGATGAAGAAAATCAAGTAGGCTTAAATTAATGAAGAGACAACTTTTGTTCATGAATTGGAATCAATATAGTACGGATGCCATTTGTCTGCAGAATTATCTAAAGCTGTTTAATGCAATTTTAGTAAAGGTGCTAGAAAGAATTTTCATAGACATAGACAAGTTTATTCCATAATTTAAATAGAAATATATGGGCTCTGCCAAAGATCTATAAAGAAAATAAAAAGATTAACACCAGACAAAGCAAAAATATTTGCCAAACTCATATCTGGCAAAGTCCTGTGTCTAGAATACACAAAAAGAAAAATCAAAATTCAACAGCCAAACAAGCCAAAAAATCTAATTATAAAATGGCCCAAATTATGAAGAGGATATAAAAATGGCAAATAAGCACATGAAAAGCTATTCAACATTATTATGCAGCAGGAAAATATAAATCAAAACCACAATATCACTACAGCAGAATGGCAAATAAATTTTTTTTTAAAAAATAGGATACCAAATGCAGGGGAAGATGCAAAGAAACTGGGTCAATCATATATTGCTGGTGGGAAGGTAAAATGGTGGATATACTCTGGGAACCAATTTGTCAATTTCTTGTAAAAGTAAACATATAATTACTATACAAACTAAACTATCATTTGAAAACTTATCTTCTCAAAAAAACTTGAACAAAAATATTCATGGTAGTTTTTATCATTAGAGCTCAAACTGGAAATAGCTCAGATATCCAACAGGTGAACAACTAAACTAACTGTGTATATACATAGCATGGAATACTACTCTGAATGGAAAAGAACAAACTCTATACACATTCAATAACTCAGATGAATCTTGAAAGGATTATGCTAAATAAAAATCCACATTCATCCTATCCATGAACATGGGATGAATTTCCATTTCTTTGTGTCCTCTTTGATTTCCTTGAGCAGTGGTTTGTAGTTCTCTTTGAAGAGGTCCTTCATGTCCCATTTTAGCTGTATTCTTAGGTATTTTATTCTCTTTGTAGCAATTGTGAATGGCAGTTCATACATGATTTGGTTCTTGGCTTGCTGGTTGTTGGTGTATTGGAATGCTTGTGACTTTTGCACTTTGACTTTGTATCCTGAGACTTTGGTGAAGTTGCTTACCAGCTTAAGAAGCTTTTGGGCTGAGACGACAAGGTTTCCTAGACATAGGATCACAGTATCTGTATACAAAGACAATTTGACTTCCTCTCTTCCTATTTGAAAAGAGGAATTTTTATTTCTTTCTATTGCTTGATTGTGCTGGACAAAACTTCCAATGCTATGTTGCGTAGGAGGGGTGAGAGAGGGCATCCTTGTCTATTGCTAGTTTTCAGGAGGAATGCTTCCAGTTTTTGCCTATTCAGTATGATATTGGCTGTGGGTTTGTCATAAATGGCTATTATATTGAGGTATGTTTCTTAAATACCTAGTTTATTGAGAGTTTTTAACATGAAGGAATGTTGAATTTTATTGAAGTCCTTTTTTGCATCTAATTAAATAACCATGTGTTTCTTGTCTTTAGTTCTGTTTATGTGATGAATTACATTTATTGATTTGTGTATATTGAACCAGCCTTGCATCCTGGGGATGAAGCCAACTGGATTGTGGTGGACAAGCTTTTTGATGGGCTGCTAGATTTGGTTTTCCAGTATTTTATTGAGAATTTTTACACTAATGTTCATCAGGGATATTGGCCTGAAGTTTTCCTTTTTTGTTGTATATCTCTGCCAGATTTTGGTATCAAGATAATGCCAGCCTCATAGAATGAGTTAGAGAGGAGTCTCTCCTTTCAATTGCTTGGAATAGTTTCAGAAGGACGGATGTCTGCTCCTCTTTGTATTTCTGGTAGAATTCAGCTGTAAATCCATCTGGTTCTGGTCTTTTATTTGGTTGGTAGGCTATTACTGCCTCAATTTCAAAACTTGTTATTGGTCTATTCAGGGCTTTAACTTATTCTTAGTTCAGCCTTGGGAGGGTGTATGTGTCCAGGAATTTATCCGTTCATCAGAAAAGGTCTAATATCCAGAATCTACAAGGAAGTTAAACAAATTTATAAGAAAAAAAAACCATTAAAAAGTGGGCAAAGATATTAACAGACATTTCTCAAAAGAAGACATTCATGTGGCCAGCAAACATATGGAAAAAAAGCTCAACATCACTGATCATTAGAGAAATGCAAATCAAAATCACAATGAGATACCATATCATGCCAGTCAGAATGGCAATTATTAAAAAGTCAAGAAACAACAGATGCTGGGAAGGTTGCAGAGAAATAGGAAAATGGTTTAACACTGTTGGTGAGAATGTAAATTAGTTCAACCATTATGGACGACAGTGCGGGGATTCCCCAAAGATCTAGAACCAGAAATACCATTTGACCCAGCAATCCCATTAGTGGTTATATATGCAAAGGAATATAAATCATTCTTTTACAAAGATACATGCACACTTACTTTCATTGCAGCGCTATTCACAATAGCAAATACATGGAATCCATCCAAATGTCCATCAGTGATAGACTGGATAAAAAAAATGTGGTACATATACACTATGGAATACTATGCAGCCACAAAAAAGGAATAAAATCATGTCCTTGCAGGAACATAGATGGAGCTGGAGCCATTATCCTCAGCAAACCAACGTAGGAACAGAAAACCAAACACCGCATGTTCTCACTTATAAGTGGGAGCTAAACAATGAGAACACATGGACACACACTGGGGCGCAGCACACACTGGGGCCTGTCTGAGGGTGGAGTGGGGGAAGAGAGAGCATTAGGAAAAATAGCTAATGCATGTTGAGCTTAATACCTAGGCAATGTTTTGATAGGTGCAGCAAACCACCATGACACATGTTTACCTATGTAACAGACCTGCACATCCTGCACATGTACACCAGGATTAAAATAAAAATAAAAACTAAATAATATCCACATTCAAAAGGTGAGCAACTTATATATAGTTTCATATATAAGACGTTTTCTTTTTTTGATAATTTATTTATTTATTTTTTATTTATATATATACTTTTTATTTTACCTTAAGTTCTAGGGTACCTGTGCACAACGTGCAGGTTTGTTACGTATGTATACGTGTGCCATGTTGGTATGCTGCACCCATTAACTCGTTATTCACATTAGGTATATCTCTAGTGCTATCCCTCCCCCGCTACCCCCACCCCACAACAGGCCCCAGTGTGTGATGTTCTCCTTCCTGTGTCCAAGTGTTCTCGTTGTTCAATTCCCACCTATGAGTGAGAACATGTGGTGTTTGGTTTTTTTCCCTTGTGACAGTTTGCTGAGAATGATGGTTTCCAGCTCCAGAAAGGAAGACATTTTCAAATGGCAAAATTTTAGAAATGGAAACAGGTTAGTGCATGCTAGTGGTTAGGGACAGGGACTGAAGTGGAGGTGATCAGTGGCAGAGAATTGTCAGGAAGAGATGGGCGTGGTAATAGAAAGGTGACAGGAGGGATCCTTTTGGTAATGGAACTGTTCAGTAAATCTTGAGTGTAGTAGTGTATATATGAACTTACACACGTGGTAAAGTTATATAGAACTACATAAACACACATATACTCTCTCTCTCACACACACACACACACACAGATGTAAGTAAAGCTGGATAAATCTGAGTAAGATCCATGAATTGTACAAACACCAATGTTAGTTGTTGTTTTATAATATAGTTTGCAAAATTTTACCATTGTGAGAAACTGGATAAAGTGTACACAGGTCTTCTCTCTATTATTTCTTATAGTAGCATTTGAAACTACAATTTTATTGATAAAAATTCTAATAAAAGAGTACATAATAAATGCAATAAAATATATTTGCAACCCATATATTTGCAACAAAGCATTAGTATAGAGAATATATATATTCTATACATTGATAAATAAAAATAAGAAAATGAATAAAAAGGTTTTTTTTTACAAAAATAATTTTAAGGACAACTAAAGAGGTAGAAACCAGGATTCTTAACTGATAAAGCAAAAGTTGTTCAAGACACTTCTCAAAAGAAGAGATACAAGTGGCCAATAAATTTATGAAAAAATGTTTAACATCACTAAATCATCAGAGAATGCAAATCAAAACCATAATGAGATACCATCTCATACCAGTCATAATGGCTATTATTAAAAAATAAAAATAAAAGATGCTGGCAAGGCTGCAGGGAAAGGAATGCTTATACACTGCTGGTGGGAAGGTAAATTAGTTAAGCCACTGTGGAAATCAGTTCAGAGATTTCTTAAATAATTTAAACCAGAACTACCACTTGGTCCAGCAATCCCATTACTTGGTATCTATCCAAAAGAAAATAAATCATTCTACCAAAAACATATATGTACTGACATGTTCATTGAGGCAAAACACTATTCACAAAAGCAGAGACATGAAATCAACCTAGGTGCCTATCAATAGTTGATTAGATAAAGAAAATGTAGCACATATACACCATGGAATTCTATGCAGCCATAAAAAAGAAAAAAACTATGCCCTTTGCAGCAACATGAATGATGCTGGAGACCCTTTATCTTAAGCAAATTTACGCAGAAATAGAAAACCAAATACCACATGTTTCACTCATAAATGGGAGCTAAACACTGGGTACTCATAGACATAAAGGTGGCAAGAATACAAACTGGAGACTACTAGAGGGATTAAGGAGGGTAGGGAACAGGGGTTGAATACCTATCATATACTATGCTCAGTACCTGGGTGATATGATCATTAATATTCCAAACCTAAGCATCACACACTATACCCAGGTAACAAATCTGCACACATAACTGCTGAATCTAAAATAAAAGTAAAAAACAACAAAAAAAGAAAGAAATAGTTGTTCAATCCCACTAGTAATCAAGACAATTAACATTAAACAAACAATATCATATTATATCACAGTCATTGAAAACTAGTATTCATAAACAATATTAATATGGATACACAAAGGACAAATGTGCATTTCTGATAACAATATAATTGGCAACAAACACTTTGTAGAGAAATTTGGCAACTCCTATGAGTGTTGAAATGTGTATACCATAAATTCCAGTAATCTTACTTCTGCAAAAGTGAAGTTTATACATGTATCAGTTAAATGCTTAACCAAAATTTTAATCACATCCAAAACTTAGGACGCCACCTCCTGCATTACTTACCAAAGTTCGTCAAGTATAGGTTTTCTAAAGAAGTAAACATTGTGAATTTATTCTCAAAATTTTTCTTTAAAAATGTGCCATAAGTTTGCCTTTCTATATAGGTAAAATAGCTGAACTGTTGAGAAATGTGCAAATTTCTTTGATGGCTTAGATAATTTAGGGATCTGTCACTTAACAATTTGACTTAGAAATTACTGTAAATAAATTTAGTTGAAATCAGCATTGTCTTGTCAATGAAAAATACTTATGAAGTGTTATACATATAACTGAAGAATATATGTGTGCATATGAGGTATTATATTTTGTCACTGACAAAGACTTATTTCAATTACAATATAGCACTTATAATGAGAAATAGCCAAATATAATAAAATGATGTAGCTAATTCATAAAAGAAAAATATATATTTTTTTCTTCTTTCTTTCTTTATTTATTTATTTTATTTTTTTATTTTTTTATTATACTTTAAGTTTTAGGGTACATGTGCACATTGTGCAGCTTAGTTACATATGTATACATGTGCCGTGCTGGTGCGCTGCACCCACTAACTCGTCATCTAGCATTAGGTATATCTCCCAATGCTATCCCTCCCCCCTCCCCCCACCCCACTACAGTCCCCAGAGTGTGATATTCCCCTTCCTGTGTCCATGTGATCTCATTGTTCAATTCCCACCTATGAGTGAGAATATGCAGTGTTTGGTTTTTTGTTCTTGTGATAGTTTACTGAGAATTATGATTTCCAATTTCATCCATGTCCCTACAAAGGACGTGAACTCATCATTTTTTATGGCTGCATAGTATTCCATGGTGTATATGTGCCACATTTTCTTAATCCAGTCTATCATTGTTGGACATTTGGGTTGGTTCCAAGTCTTTGCTATTGTGAATAATGCCGCAATAAACATACGTGTGCATGTGTCTTTATAGCAGCATGATTTATAGTCATTTGGGTATATACCCAGTAATGGGATGGCTGGGTCAAATGGTATTTCTAGTTCTAGATCCCTGAGGAATCACCACACTGAATTCCACAATGGTTGAACTAGTTTACAGTCCCACCAACAGTGTAAAAGTGTTCCTATTTCTCCACATCCTCTCCAGCACCTGTTGTTTCCTGACTTTTTAATGATTGCCATTCTAACTGGTGTGAGATGGTATCTCATAGTGGTTTTGATTTGCATTTCTCCGATGGCCAGTGATGATGAGCATTTTTTCATGTGTTTTTTGGCTGCATAAATGTCTTCTTTTGAGAAGTGTCTGTTCATGTCCTTCGCCCACTTTTTGATGGGGTTGTTTGTTTTTTTCTTGTAAATTTGTTTGAGTTCATTGTAGATTCTGGATATTAGCCCTTTGTCAGATGAGTAGGTTGGGAAAATTTTCTTCCATGTTGTAGGTTGCCTGTTCACTCTGATGGTAGTTTCTTTTGCTGTGCAGAAGCTCTTTAGTTTAATTAGATCCCATTTGTCAATTTTGTCTTTTGTTGCCATTGCTTTTGGTGTTTTAGACATGAAGTCCTTTCCCATGCCTATGTCCTGAATGGTAATGCCTAGGTTTTCTTCTAGGGTTTTTATGGTTTTAGGTCTAACGTTTAAATCTTTAATCCATCTTGAATTGATTTTTGTATAAGGTGTAAGGGAGGGATCCAGTTTCAGCTTTCTACATATGGCTAGCCAGTTTTCTCAGCACCATTTATTAAATAGGGAATCCTTTCCCCATTGCTTGTTTTTCTCAGGTTTGTCAAAGATCAGATAGTTGTAGGTATGCGGCATTATTTATGAGGGCTCTGTTCTGTTCCATTGATCTATATCTCTGTTTTGGTACCAGTACCATGCTGTTTTGGTTACTGTAGCCTTGTAGTATAGTTTGAAGTCAGGTAGTGTGATGCCTCCAGCTTTGTTCTTTTGGCTTAGGATTGACTTGGCGATGCAGGCTCGTTTTTGGTTCCATATGAACTTTAAAGTAGTTTTTTCCAATTCTGTGAAGAAAGGCATTGGTAGCTTGATGGGGATGGCATTGAATCTGTAAATTACCTTGGGCAGTATGGCCATTTTCACGATATTGATTCTTCCTACCCATGAGCATGGAATGTTCTTCCATTTGTTTGTATCCTCTTTTATTTCTTTGAGCAGTGGTTTGTAGTTCTCCTTGAAGAGGTCCTTCACATCCCTTGTAAGTTGGATTCCTAGGTATTTTATTCTCTTTGAAGCAATTGTGAATGGGAGTTCACTCATGATTTGGCTCTCTGTTTGTCTGTTGTTGGTGTATAAGAATGCTTGTGATTTTTGCACACTGATTTTGTATCCTGAGACTTTGCTGAAGTTGCTTATTAAAATATAGAATAGCATTATTATTTTTGATGTATTATATATTCTGCTACCTTGCTAAGGACACAGAATGCTTGAAATAATTAGTGAATAAATTAATGAATGATCATTTTCAAACTGTAGGCCTAATACAGTACTATGTACAGAATTTTAAAAGCTTTAAAAACCATAACTAAAGCACCTCAAAAGGAACAGAATATTTAGTTATATTTTTGGACTTTGAGTATCTAACACAGTATGCATTCAGTAATCACAGACTGAATTAAATGAATCAAATAAAATCATACCTGAGTAGCAAATCTGCAGATATCCCATTTAACCCAGGTACTGACAAAAAGCTGGCAAGTTTAAGGTTATTAAAATACTCACTCTTCACTAATCTTTCAACAATTCTAAATATATGGCACCTTGTGTGGTATAAAGCTAATTATAAGTTTACACAGGTGTCAATTATACTTTAGAGAATAACTATTGACCATGATCCAGTGCCAGTCCTGAATTTCACCATGACAAGTTCCTAATAGTGGCTGACAGCATTTAGGAATGCAAAGAAATGAGGAAAACAATTGTAGTTAGTGGCTGGTAGAAAACAATGGGCCAGTTTGATATTTACATAAGGTTTAAAAAAATTCCCATGGCAAATCACTAAAATCTGCCACTCCATTAGGTGATAAAATAAAAATATTTCCCTTAACATTTTGTATTACCTATTTCTGGAAGAATTAGGGTTAGGTATGATGGACATTTCTGGCTTTTCTGGATAACTTGTAAGTATTAAGAAATTGATCCTGTGTGGGAATGGGAAAATAATTCCATTCGAAAGGTAATACATGTCAGATCACAACCAATGTAATACCTGGAAATTGAGAGGAAAAGAATGACTCATTCCAACTTTATAAGCAGGAGTAACATGTCCAGGAGTTCTTAGTCATCAGCTGCCCATCTGTACTCCCCTTCACCTTAGCCCTCATTATCATTCCAAGACATAATACTATCATCTGCCTTGTAACCAACAGAAAAAATCCCTACCTGCCTTCAACAAACTCAGAACTTTCTATTGATCTCCTATCCCCTGGATTCTTTTTCTATATGTCTATATATCTGCTTTTATCACTCATATTCATTACTGTTCCTAAATTTTGAATCTCTTCCACTGAGTCCTTGGGGATTCAGTCCATACATTGGTAAAATCACACACATTCTCAACACGCTCTCGATATTCTCCTCCCTTTTTTATTACTTAAAAAATGTTCTCCCTTGAGGACACTGCTTTTCTTGAAGCTCTCTCAAGTTGTGGTTGTTTTCTTTCCTGCAAATATATGACGTTTAGACAAGGAGAGCTGTCTTCTGTTCTTTCCATTGCCTTTTCTAGACCATTCTCTTCTTTCCTAAACAATGTCCTCCCTAATTTTAAATCAAATGCCTTTACACCACACGCTTATGTTGCAACCATAAGTGCAGCCATAAAGTCAGTGAATGAGAAACAGAAAATATCAAGGCTGGAGGTCAAGGTTCTAGTTAAACAGACCTAAGAGGATTTTTGCTGAAGGCAGGCCAGAGTGATAAGATATCACCTGAAGGATGGTAGGTGATGAGGATTTTAATCAGATATTGTGGACAATTAGATATAGAACATGGGGATTCTGGCTAAAACTGACTTAGCAGGATTTCTTCCTAAAATTGGGTAAGGCAAATATAGATAAAGAAATCCAGAGGTTGGGGCCTAGTGGAGAAAATTACTCAGAAAGCCTGACAAAATTTTGGTCATGGAGAAAGTCTTTGTCAGGCTCTTTTCAATACTCTGACCTCTCAGTTCTAATTTGTTTTCTCTTACAATGGCACTTTCCTCCCAGTATCTTGGACATTAATTTCTATGGTTAAACGTAGTTATTATTAATAATTGTAAATGCAATATCCATTTCAAATATCCTATTGTCTGACCAGTTCCTCTCCTCTGGTTTACTCCCTCTGATACCTAACTCCAACAATTCATCTGCATGAGCAGGACCTATATCCACTGATCCTGGTATTTCATTGTCTTTTCCTATATCTACCAGAGCTCAATATGAAAACAGAAACCATTCTGGGTACTTAAAACAGATGGAATTTAATTCAAGTATTGATTATAAAGTGATGGAGAAGGCAAGCAGGTCACAAATCAATTCAGAGATTACCAACAGCTGGAGGCTATGACCAGATGGAGGCACAAAAGAAAGAAGCTGCCTTACTTTTGTGATTAAAGACATCAGGATCCAGAATCACTCAGTGGAACCTGGTTTCATGAGGGAGTTTCTTTAGTGAGAGTTGGAGCCATATATGTAAACTAGCACTGTCAGAAATGCTGCCAGAGGCTCAGGAAAAGGAGAAATACTCTGCTTTCTTCCTTTATCAGTGACTGGTTGAACCAAGCCATAAGTCAGCTGAAATGGTAGTCTAAGGAACACATCTTCCAACGTTAATTGCCCTGAAGTAAATAGTAGGAAGGATGGAAAAGTCAATGGCTGCATCTGAGGGCAAATGGGCACTGAACCAAAGATTTTACATTTGTGTCACTCAGCACCCATTTTCATGTTTTGACTCATATTTAAACAACTCAATGCATCTGCCTAACATAAAACAATTATATATAACACAAAGGAAGATGCTCTCACTCTCAAATTCAAGAGAGACACAAAATCCATTTGGTCACAGTGTCTACCTCATGTCACTATCTACAGGCAATATATAGTCCTCTCCATTAGGTACAGATATGGTTCTTAATAGTCTGATGACCTGCAACATAAACTACAAAGATTAACACTACCCGCAATCCACAATAAAAATAGTAAGAGAAAAGGAAAGGAAAATAAATCATTAACAATCACGTATCTACATTAGGGTCAAACATTGAAGGCCATAAAAAAAGTCACATAGAACAAAATATGAGATATGATTTACTATTAAGTAGCTTCTAGTATTGTTCTCTCTTCTGACAAATTCCTTTCTTGAAATATAAAAGCTATTTGTGCATCATAAATAATGGTTTAAAAGAAAATTGACATAATGATAGCTTAAAGGAGAACAGCTGTGAGATAGAAAGTATTTGTAACTAAAACCTTTGCAGTATCCACATAGGAAATAATGCATGTCAGAGAATATTCTTCCTAAAACTGAGATTTTAAAGCACTATTTAAACCTGAAAATTTTTTTCTATTAATGTTCAAAGCAGTTTTCAACATGAAAACCTAGAGAAAATAGAAAACCAGAGAAATTATGCCTTAACTAATTAAGAAATATTTTGAGAGTTCAAAATGTCAATGTAGTTTATAACAAGCAGAAACCACTGGAAAAATATGTAAAGAGTAAGAGTCTTGGTGATTGTGCTGATGAGGGCAAAAGAAGGTAAGAAAATGTTGGGAGGAATAATTATCTCAAATAATTAGGTTAAATTTATGAAAATCAAATCCTTCTCTTCATATTGATTTTTGTATGCTGAATTTCACCTTAATATATAACAGACTTTGCTAATTTGTAACTGGTTCTTTTAACTGGTGGCCAGATGCTAGAAGGCAAATTAAATTATTTAAGCAAAGGTCCCTTCTATAAAGTGGCCCCAGTTTAGTAGCTTTTGCTCTTGAATGAAACTTATTTTTTAAGACATGGCAACTCTTACATCATTTGCTTCTTACAGAATAATAAAAGATGTTATATTTACCTTGATTTTTACAATATATTTTATTTTATTCATGTTGATATTTCTTCAAGACCTTACACACACTTTTTCATGGCAACCAATTGAAGTGGATAACAGTTATTCCATGTTTTAAACAACAATAAACAGCTGGTATTCTAAACTCCCAGCATTCAAGCATTATTACAATGGCATACTTCATTCATTTTTCACATATATTGTTTGGAATTAGAAGGCTGTAGGTATTGAGCACCTGCAAAATTGTATACAAAGACAAAGATTGATAAATAATATGGAATTACTGCCCCCAAAGGAATTTGGAGTATATTACAGAAGACTCTCTTATAATCAGATTGTTATAAAATAGAGAAGTGAATAAGAAAAAGAGATGCACATAATGAAGTTTGTGAATATCCAGGTTTATACAGTTGTGCATGTGCAGGGCGGGGACATGAAATGATTCCTGAGGTAGTAACACTCGTCCAGATATTAATCTAGAACATTAAGTCGAAAGTAGATTCATTAAAGAGGAAGATGGGAAGAACATTCCTGGCAGAGGAGACAAAACAAACTAAGAAAATGATGAACTACAAAGTGAATTATAAATAAAATTTTACAATACTAAACAAAATGAGTAAATTATGGTGAATGTAAGCAGTATATGCTGTTTGATCATAACGTGAACAAGGCTGGTTTCATGGGTGTGCAACCTGTGATGGCTTCACGTGTCATGGAAAGGATCTGGTCAGTTAATCTCACACACAGGGGAAGTCAACAAAGGGTTGTATGTAGGGAAAATATATTATGTGATATACACCTTGACAGCAACTGGTAAGATGGTTATGGATAGTTATAGGTAAGATATGTAAGTAGGTGTACACAGTTAAGATATAAAGAACACAAGTTAATGACATGATTATAAACATAAAGATTAGGAAATCAACTCAGGAGTATATAAACAGAAATGTATATGAATTTAACAATCAATCAATGAATTGTAAGATTAAAGAAAGGCAGACTTTATTCTAAGATGCTGGTATAGTGTCAGTAACTACAATAAAGAATATCAGAAGAAGAGAGGTTCAAATATCAAAGATTTCAGACTTGAACATATTATCAATAAAGTGCCTTATGCTATTTCAGGACAAGTTACAGGATTGATTTTCATTAGCTGAAATCAGGAGAACTGTTTAAATTACCCAAATAATTAGAAGATGGCTACATAAAGGATATAATGCTAAGGAAATGAAGATAAAACATAATTAAAGAGAAGCAGATAGAGCAGGAAGTAACAGCTGCCTGTGGTCTCCATGGTTGCAATGGGTCTACAAACAGATAGTAAAAACATGGCAAATCCTTCTGGGGTATTTTTAATAGTTGAATTGAAAAAAAATATCTGTTACATTTGGCAATTATTGACTTTCATATGTTTATATATAGTCATGTGGTGGATATAGAAGCCAGTGGTATTGAAATGACAGTTCAGTTGAATGTGAGGAAGTAGAAATAGCAATAAAAAGTAAAAAAAAAAACTTGAAAGAAAAATAGAAGAATAACATTGAATAATATCTCCAGAGATTGTAGGATCATGGCAATGGCTTTTATTGTTATTTATTTTTTTATAATGGGAAGGCGCTTGAAATTGCTTATGACTTCTGGAGAGAAGGCAATAAACAAAAGGGATAAAAATTATAGAACAGAGGAGATAAAAGTACAGCAGAATTTATAAGAATGATGGAGAAAGGAAAGCAGCAGTTTCAATGGCTGTAATTTTTCTCCAGCTGCTCTTAATTCTCCTTGTATTGGGAAGATGGAAATTAAATAATCATACTCATTCTGGATGAGATATTCACCCAGTGTATTAGTCAAAAAGATAAGCCATCCATCCCTACCACCTGGAGGCAGAGAACCTTTTCATTTCCTTATCATGTTCTTTTTAAAAATTTCAAATATTTTTAATGGACAGATACAATTGTATGTATTGTACTAAGTATGACATGATGTTTTGAAGTATATTTACATTTTGGAATGACTAAATCTAAGTAATTAACATATGCATTTCCTCAAATAGTTATCATTTTTGTGGTGAGAACACTTACATCCATGATGTTTTGAAGTATATATATATTGTGGAATGACTAAATCTAGGTAATTAACATATGCGTTTCCTCACATTGTTACCATTTTTGTGCTGACAACTGGTACACCCATTCTCTTAACATTTTTCAAGAATGCTATATATTGTTAACTATAGTCACCATGTTATACAATAGCTCTCTTGAATTTCTTCCTTCTATGTAACTGAAATTTTGTATCCTTTGACCAATGTCTTTCCAGCCCCTGGAAGTCATCAGTCTACTCTCTACTTCCATGAGACTTCACAAAGGAGTGAGGTTATGCTGTATATGTCTTTCCATTTCTGGCTTATTTCACTTAACATAATGTCCTCCAGGTTCATCCATGTTGTCAAAAATGACAAGACTTTCTTCTTTAGAATATGAACCTTGCTTTGGCAAACACTGCAAGGGCATGTTGTATGTTATTTCCCACTGTACATCTAGCACAAAGACTGACACTTAATAGGTGCTCAAGAAGCATTAGTAAAGAAATGGAAAAGGAAGGAGTAAAGAACATAATTGAAGCACAGTAGTAACACACAACCTGGCACGTGCAGAAGTAATATAGTGTGGCTGGTGACACATCAAGTGTGAGACAGCAGACATGAAAAAAAAAAAACAAGTCACAGAAATTCTTAAAGGTTAGGTCAAGTTCAGGTGCTAGAAACTTTTCTCTATATCAGAATTATTGTATTTTTTATGCTTAGGTTCAGCTCAGCAAAGGATATTTAAGAAAGCGTGTAAATTTTTTGAAGTTCATGTGAAAATATGTATTTCCATGCTCTTAAAAATCACCAGTCTTACGTTGCTCTCTTTCTAATTTTCCATATGGCAGCATATGATTTTGCTTTCAAACCTAATTCTGACACACTTTACAGGCATTCATAAAAAGATCTGCAGAAAGCAGTAGGATTCAAAATCTACTAATACATGAACAACTGTGCGATCCTGGAGTCAAAAATTTCAGAGCAAGTAGGCATCAAATTTTTCTAGACAAATAATTCCTGGAACAGGTTTGTGGGGAAGTAGATGGATAGAAGCAGGTTTATATCAAGCAATAATTGAAAATAATCAGAAACAGCTTAGATGTATCCATCTCTCTTCTTCTTCCTGTACCTCTCCCTCCATATTTCTCTCTCTCTCTCTTTCTCTCTCTCTCTCCTTTCTCTGTCTCTCATGTCCTATATTTCCAAATACATTGACTTCAATGCCGTTTTTAAGCTTGAGTACATATAAATAAATGAACAAAGCTGAATTTTAAAACCTGATGTCACTTGTGGAGGTTAAAGACAATGAAATGCTAAAGATGAAAGAAATTTTGCTACAATATGCCTAATATTGTAGATATCACTCAGGTATTTGGGAATGGCAATATGGGCAGAAATACTGGAAAGTCATTGAGAGCTACTGTCTTAAAATTTCACAAGTGTAACTACAGCAGTTGAACTAATCAATGGTACACAGGTTATTTTTCTCCACTCTTTCTTAATTATGACATGGGACAAAATTGTTATTTCTCCATTATTATTACACAAGAACCAGAACAATAAGATTGTAATTAGAATATAATAAATGCAGAGTTTCTAGTAGAAAATAATTTTGTCTTTAGTAATAAAGGAAAACACAGACTTAAAAATTAAATGGTTTATGTATTTTGAAAACAAATTCATATATTAAATGCTGTTAAACATGCAAATTATTATAATAAATTAGTTTTAAAATTGAACATTATGCTTATATCATTTTAAATATATTTCTATGATTTATTGTAAAGTAATTATCAGATCAAATATGTTTTTGAAACAAGTATTCAAACAGAATGGGGTGCAGTGGTTCCATTTTTATAGAATACTGCTGATTTTCACAATGATATTGGCTTTTGTGTGGCTAAAATATAGCTACAACCACAACAATGAAACTTTATAAATCTGAGTCATATTTTATTATATCAATAAGTCATATTTTATTGCATCAAACAAAAAAATTGATTTCTGTTTGTACTCAGTTAATTAATTTTGCTTTAACTTCTGAACAAATCACATTATGCTCTAGGAAAGCGAAAGAAGAGTACAAAGTTCCCTCAGAGAATACTTCCAAACATGTATTTAAGGAGGAATTTCTCAGATAATAATATTATTCCTCTTTGTGCTGCTTTATATTAAGAACATTTTTCTATCTTGATTTCTTTTCTTAACAGCAGTATTTTAAGGGGAGTAAAAATGATCAGTATCATAGTAATATATTCTAGATATTAACTAAATGCTAAACATTAATATTGAGTTGACTTCCTATTTTTAGAAAACAGATTGGAACTGAAGCATGAAATCTGTTGTGGAAATGAGTTAATCTCATCACTTTTACTTTTTCATAGAAAAGAAACATAAATAAAATAAAATATTTCTAAAAGTTAGTTTTATTAAAATTTCTGATGATATCCATGAATATATAAACTAATTTCTAGTTTATTTGAGCAAGATTATTAAACATATTTTAAAGCATCCATTTTTAATAAAATGTTAAAAAGAACATACAGTCACCCACAATATAAGCATTTTAATAAAAAATGTTTTGATGTCTGAATATATTTTTATAAAATCTATTATAACTCTAAATATTAAATAAATCATTGGTGATGTAACTATATTAATTCATCATTGTATTATGCACCATAAAGTCATAATTTCTAGTTACTTATCTGTAAAAATGTATATGTACTCCTTTATATATGTTTGAATTTAGAGGGCTGTATTTGTATAAAAATATTAACCCAAACATTCATGCATCTCTTACTTGCTTTCCAAATTCTTGGCCTATTTATTTATTTGTTCACATTTTTTATTAGTAATGTGTGGAAGAGTTATTCAAATTTTTGCAACATTTACCAATATCACTGTTTCAGTTTTTCAATTCAGCTTAATCTATAAAATATAATTGTCAACAACTAAGAGTTACAGATTGTGGCTGGTGGCAGGGGAATCTCTAATCATTTATTGTTCACAATTTAATGAGTAATGTTTGAACAATAAATAAGTAAATTTAATGAATACATTAATAATTATGAGAGAATTCTTATATGCTATATAGAAACAAATATACTATTACATAGGAAACATTGCCAGGTACATATATGTGTAATCAGAAATGTTTAACTGGAAACAAATGAGCGTGAGAGTATATGTGTGTAATTGTAACTCTATTTTATTCATAGTTTTAAAATCATCTAGGTTTTATCTGGCACTATTCCTAGTTTTAGTAAAAATGTTCATTCATTTTAGTATCTTTTACTTAGAAAAAATAAATATAAACAAAGTGAAAATTAAATAAAAATATTTCTAAAACCCAGGATTATTAAAATACTAATGGCAACAATAAATATTTTATGTTTAGAAAGAGTAGAGAGGTCAGACCAAGTGAGCATTCACTTACAATTTACACTTGGTTACTGAAGATTTCGTTTGCTTTAATTACTCCATAAATCACTTCTTTTCTGAGTAATGATGCCCTCCTGTGAACAAAAGTTGCATCTTTAATAGCACGAAGCAAGAATAAACTAAAAAAATGAATCCCTGCATAATTATCTTAAAATAATTGCTAATCAAATAAAAAAATCACTATCCAATTGAATGTCAGATATAAATGATTAAAAATGTAAAGACAAAATGTGAGATGAGATAGTATTTTCTAGCAAATAAGCTATAGGGTATTGTAAGGCGTGAAGAAACTGCACTATTTGAGGAATAGAATAGTCTCAAAATGTACCTATTAATTAGATTTCTTGGGTAATTAAATTTTAGCCAAAAGGATGTTATTTCAACTAGTTTTGTTTTCTTTTGTTTTGTTTTTTCACTCTGTTGTCCAGGCTGGAGTGCAGTGGCACGATCTCAGCTCACTGCAACCTCTGCCCTCCAGGTTCAAGCGATTCTCCTGCCTCAGCCTCCCGGGTAGTTGGGATTACAGGTGTCCGCCACCACACCTGGCTAATTTTGTATTTTTAGTGGAAATGGGGTTTCACCATGTTGTTTGCGCTGGTCTTGAACTCATGACCTCAGGTGATCCACCCGCCTCGGCCTCCCAAAGTGCTGGGATTACAGGTGTGAGCCACTGCGCCCGGCCACAACCAGGTTTTAAAATGCACAAGCTTGCACTAGTTTGTATGAGTCCATATATTTACTCAATAGTTTATTTTTTTTAACTGGGGCCTTAGCATTCTATCAATGACTCGAATTCCAGATATTGATATTTTTGGGGTAATATGTGTTTATGTGGATATACTAGGAGTATATGTTAGCTGGATATACCAGGAAATTTTCTCTTTTCTGATAAAATCCATGATAGCAGTGCTTTCTTTACCTGGGTAAAGGCTAAGGTGTATTGGCTCATCTTTCTAGGCAAGTGTCACCTTTCCCTCAGCCTCAAATTTTGGCTCAAGGATACATTTTCTTCTATATTTAACATTTTAAACAAGTATTGGTTATTGAATATCTTAATTACTGAATGTCTGTAAATTTAATCTATCAATTCAAAACTATCTTTTAGGTAGTAAGTATGAATAGTTTATTTAGGAGTACAATAAATTTGACGTAATTTTTCTTTAAATTGACCTAATTTTTGACTGGACTTTTGATTTTACCTGACTGTAAGAAAATACTGCCTTAGTTGTTTGTAGTGCCTTCATTAGGTTTGAAAGCATTATGCTATTTTTCTGTCAACGTTGTACACCTGTAAGTACAAATTGTTATCAAATGTTATTGTTAATAAAGAAAAAGTTAGGTGCACATGCACTGATTTCATTTGGGAATTTTGCCCCGTCTCCCCTCTGCTGCTGAGGACCCACAATGCCTGTGTCTCTCCTGCTTACAGGCTCACAATCACTGCGCTTTTCCCCAGCCATGAAGTTGGGTTCTTCTCTTGCTATTAGGCAAATTCCATCTGGATGTTTCTTTTCAGAGGTCTTCTTCTTTGCTTACAGTTTCCTCAGAGCACTCTGTAAAATTTCCTCAATGAGTTTACACTTCTGGAACTAATGCTGAGAAAGGGATGGTTCTAGGCAAATGCCTTCTTTCCAGTCACAAACCCGTCCAGAAGCAAAGATGCAGAGTAATTGCTGTTAGAATGAGAGAAGAAAAAGGTCAAAAAATGTAGGGAGAATAAAATAGGATATGTGAAATTAGAATTTGTGTGTCAAAAATGGGCATACTATCACCTAAATATGCAAAGGAAATAAAGCTTTTTATTCTGTATAATTTATGTACTTTTTCTCTTAAGTCCCACAACCTGCCCTCACTCTTTATCCTGATGTGGGTTAAGAGGAAAAAAAAAAAAAAAAAAAAACAGTTTAAAGCAGCATGTTTCTTTGCATTAAAAATTTTTTTTCTTCCGTGTAAATGCTCAAATACCAAACCTGTATGATATCTGGTCCTTTCCAAGATGGTGTTTGGATATATCATGGGAACCTCAAATACTTATGATATTCTAGTTGTTGTTGAGTAGCTCCTTTGTTTTTGAGCCTGCATTGGTGACTGGATACTTGTTCTTTCTGACTTTTCAGAGAGAATTTTTGGCACCTGTTTTTGGCATCTGTGGTCTTGGTCATATTTCTCATGTATAAAACCCCAAAATACAAAGGTCTCTTGGTCTTAACCATCACCCTTGAACCTCTCAGCACCTACATGTCCCCTTACTAGAGCACACCGAAATTTCTGAATTCATTGTTATCTATGTTTAGAGTTGGGAGAGTCAGAAGAGCTTCTTCAGGCTTATTTTTCTGGCAACTTCCCAATAACCCAGTGATGCTGTTGCCTACACAATGGGAGAATTGGTTATACAGTGCTTTTTTTTCTAGAGCAGTATTTTTCAACATTGTCTGAACATTAAAAACACTGGGTATTTGTTTAAAAATAGGGATGCCCAGGCCCTAGATTCCATTTTTTTATAACTGAACCTAGAGTTAGGATTAGGGTCAGAAAATTTGAACATTAACATTGACTCTCTGAACGCAGAGATTCAATTTTATTAGTCTATAATGGGGCCTTTGTACAGACAGTCTTGGGCTTGCCAATTTCTATTTCTCTGTGGCTTAGGTTTCTCAATACTGTATGAAACTTCTTTCTGTAGCTTAGCAATAATGGTTTCAGAGATATACCTTCAAAACTATGGGATATTATCTGTGATTCAGTCAACCAGGATTGGTTCCAGATATGTGAATGGAAGCTAATAGAAAATAGATTCTCATATCTATTTTTTGCAAAGCCTGAGTTTTAAGATGATTTCTTTTCGGTATGCTTTTAAGAAAGAAGCAAAACCCAAAATAAAACTTCTCATTGAAATTTAAATCTAGTTTTTTTTGAATTATTATTCCATGTAGCATTTGCCCTCCCTCTTCTCCTTAGGTTCAGAGCCTTATACTAGGTCTTTGATTATCAGCAAACATGATTCATGGGAAAAATAAAAATTCATCAAAGTAATAGACTCCAAATGCAATTGTGGCTACCATGTTTGTTTTCAAATATATCCAATAACAGTCATTTTATGCATTCATATATTCTAGTAGTTAGGACTTCCAGTTCTACCATCAAATAGGTAGTATTCTACCTTAGCCATTCACTAGTTTATTACCTCAGAGTAGCTACTTAATTCCTGTGCCTCAGTTTCTTTATCTTCTGGAGAAAAGCACTCTGCATTTTCTGTGATAGCATTCAAGTACTTTCAGTACATGTGGTTTGCAAGGGAATGGTCTCACTAACAGCTCAAAGAATGAATGACACCACATTATAATGGTTAGTTTGTACCCTTTAGGGCCAGATAATTTCTGATGGAACCCAAATTCTGCAACTTAACAGATGGTTGAAAAAGGTCAAGTGAATTAACCTCTCTGTGTGTACGTTTTCTCATCAATATAATGTAGATAGTAATAGCATATTATGTGTTGCAGTTATTGTAAAGTTATAAGTTAATCTATTCAAAGTTTTTAGAATTATGGAAGTACTGCAAGTGTTCACTGCTCTCATTATGTTTATCATCTTTATTACTACTATGCACACAATTATATTGTTATAAATAGTGCAAATCCTTTAACACATGTCATCTCGATTATTACAGGAACGAGTACCATTCAATTCAGTCAAGGAGAATCAAGCCAAGACTTTACCATGTTCACAGATAAAACATGTATTTATCTTTCCTCTGTATCTAGAGTTAGTTGAGTGTTCAACTGGGCTGAAATAGCTATCCTGTGATTGTGAGGAGTTAGGTACTGACAATTCATGAAAGAAAGGGGATTCAAGGTAGGGACTTGAAACTGTAAATATTGTTTACATGTTTTAAGCCCATGCATTAAACTGCCCTTTAAGACAACCCTCTTCCAGGAAGTTTTGTTTATGTGAGCCCATAAATTTCCTATTTGCTGAAGCAAATATAGATCGGGTTTGCTGTTCTTGTGTGATTAAAGAGTCCTAAGAATTACACAGCCTGTTCATATAGTAGTCTAGTGAAGGTTGAGTGAGATAATCTACACAGTGTTCAGCACAGAATTTGGCACTTAGTTCTAAATACATTTCAGCTATTATTAGTAGCAAAGTTATTGTTTAATGTTAGCAAGAAGTGTCGTGAATACCTAACATATAAGTCAGTTGACATTTTAAATCATAAAAATAAGTCCTTTGCTTGATATTGTTTGTATCCTGAGTCCTTCCTACTTTCACTTTGCTCTTAACCTTTTATACTATTTCAGGAAAATTACTTCACTATGAATACACTTCTTGTGAGCTACACATTTTCAAGTAATTGAAAATATGTTCTTCATGCTCTCCAGAAATAATCTAATCCTTGATTTCTCAATGTAAATTGTTGATTTTATACATTGGCTACAAAAGTATGAGAAACTTATTCTTTCCAAGAATCCTTTCCAAGCACAGTTACTTTGTACATTGACAAGATTTCCTTCAAAAGATAGCACAGCATTTTCTACATAATGATGTTTTGAAATAACATCTATTCTATAATAACATTTTCCACTGGACAGATCTTTTGAATTTTTATTCCATCTTTGAAAACTACATGTGAGAAATAGAATCTTGCTTTATTCTGACTCCTAACACCTATGTGAAAATGTCATAGAATGTAATTCTGTTGGTTTCTGAATAAAGTACTTTAGTTTTAAGCAACATAAATTGACTCTGGCCAAATTATGGAAAACAAAAGGAATTTTTTGACAGGATCCATGGCAACTCCTAGATTTAAAGGAAAAGAAAAACAGTCCTTGTATAGGACAGGAAGTAGAGAAGTTTGTAGAAATGAGAAAGAAATCTGTTGATGTCATTGTAATTGGTGCTTCAGCTCCTTCCATTTTTTTCTCCTTGGGTCAATGATTAAGGTTCAAATTTCTGAGAGACAAGATCAACATGATTTGCAGTGTCAAGGGATAGTTCAAAGATAATTCAGGATGTTTTACCAAAAAAAAAAAAAACCTAATAATGAATAAAATTAAAGCATATAAAAGATGCAGGCTAACTAAAAACAGATACCCACTGTAATTCCTAATCTAAACCCCTTAATTTGATATCCTATGTATTACATATATATATCCTATATAATACATATATATGTGTATATGTATATGTGGGTGTTATATATATATAGCACCCATAAATTTTAAAATATATATATAAGTAAATACATACATGAAAATGAAAACTGAAAAGAAGAGAACAAATCTCCCTACCTCATGAATCTGATCATTTTGTCATGTCTCTTCTTCTGTTATCTATCCATGACCTATTCTCTAGACAAAGTTCAAAGCTTTTTAAAATCTAAACACAGTCCACACTTTCCTAACTGCAGTCTTTTACTCTCCCTTGGCCAAAGGTATTCCTCTCTCTTTACTAAGGCTACTCAGGAGACTGAGGTGGAAGGATGGCTTAAGCCTGGAGGTGGAGGCTGCAGTGAGCTGTGATTATGCCATTGCACTCCAGCCTGGGCAATAGAGTGACATCCTGTCCTGAAAAACAATGTACAAAGTACATCATTCTACTATAAGTTCTTTATAGAAATCTCCATACTCCTTCCCAAAGAGGTTGCACTAATTTGCCTTCTCACCAACAGTGTATGACCAATCCCTTTTCTCCACATCCTTGCCAATAGCTGTTGTTTTTTGACTTTTTAATAATAGTCATTCTGGCTGGTATGAGATGGTATCTCATTGTGGTTTTAATTTGCATGTACCTGATGACTAGTGATGTTGGACTTTTTTTTTTCATTGAATCCAGCAATCTCACTACTGGATATCTACCCAAAGGAAAATGAATTATCATATAAAAAATATCCATGCTTGTATATTTATTGCAGCACTATTCACAATAGAAAAAATATGGAATCGACTCAATCAACAGACTATTTATGCATACACATATACAAAATTGAATACTACTCAGTCATAAAAATAATGAAATCATGTCTTTTGAGGCAATGTGGATGGAACTTGTCATTATCTTAAGTGAGATAAGTCAGAAACAGAATGTCAAATACTGCATATTCTCACTTATAAGTGAGAGCTAAACAATGTGTACACACGAACATAGAGAGTGAAGACTCAGACTAGTGGGAGGGTGTGAGGGGGGTAAGGGATGAGAAATTACATAATGTATGCAATGTGCATTACTTTGGTGATGCTTGCACTGAAAGCCCAAACTTTACCACTATGTAATATATCCATGTAACCAAACTTTACTTGTGCCCAATAAACCTATAAAAGTAAAAAATACAAAACATACATTGTTTGATGGGCCTGAAGCTTACAATTGAGGGGCATAATCAAAGGGTGAACTTATTGATTACCAAAGAAGATTTAATTCAGTTCAATACAATAAATATTTATTTTGAAAGTTGTGGAAAGTATTATAAACAAAATTAAAACATTGTTGGAGAAAATTTCCTGTTAAAATGTTTACTACCTAATTAAGGAGAGAATACAGAGAATAAGCTCAGCTGTATGTGAACAGGATTGACGTAAGTAATACAGAAGATTATTCCTTTAAAACTTCAAAGATAGAGCAATTGAGCTCAGACAAGAAGAGATGTCTTCAAAAGGGCACCAGCCCAGGCCAAGATATATTTTCAGCCATTGTAGTTTTCCTTGACACAGATATTTATCAAAGATAATAAATAGTATCCCAGAAAAAAAAAAAGTTTGAGCAGAAGTTTGGAGTTAAAAGCGAACCTAGGATATTCAGTGAAAAATGAAACCCCTGACCAACTGAGACAGATTGTTAGAATCTCACCAACATATTTAATTTCTTGACATCTTTGCTTTGTTCTTGCTTTCTTCTGAAACCAAAAAAAAGAAAAAATATTTTACTGACATCATTGGTTAATATATACTTATCTTTCAAAGCTCAATTTCTACTATTTCTTTTGTTAGAAACCTACAGATTCAACCATTTGTTAGAAACCTACAGATTTCTAACAGATTTCTAGCAGATTTCTTTTGTTAGAAACCTACAGATACAACCAACATTATCTGTGTTCACAAAGCACTTTATGCATAAATGTTCATAGTATCTACGACATTGCATTTTTGTCAGCTGTTTATCTGTTAGACTTCACCTGCTGCTTTTTTTAGTTTTTAGAATTCAATAATAATGTTTTAGTTCTCTTTGTTCTCCTAACATGTAACATTTACCTGCCATATAGCAGGAGTGAAAGTTGAATGATCGTAAACATAGAATTGCTGTAACGGGGAATTATAGTGTTGTAGACAAAGCAGGGGAGCAAAGTTGTGTCACATTTGGGGAATTTTTGCTTAACGACCCAAGAAGAATGAATAAATGGAAATTTAAGTTGCATACTGGTTTTTTACTTGGAATGTTTCTTTGGACATTTTGTAATAAACTCTAAATCAACAGAGAAAATGGGAAAATTTTGGGTACCTAAAAAATTCTGAGCTTTTTTCCAAAGATTATTATGTTATATTATATTACATTATATTATACATATACACATATATACAGTATATATAAAAAATAGTGTAACCCTATAGCAATGTTATACAAAATTATATTCTTCTTCCTTTAACAGATAACTTTAACATCAAAACACTGAAATGATAATACCTTTTAGTTAACTTTATCATAGTGAAACTGTATTTTATTGACTATTGTTATTTTTTATTGAATATAAAATATTTTTACTAAAACATAAAAAAGGTTTTAATTTGTTCCATATTCCAGAAAATTGTGCTTTGTGAGGTTTATCTAACCCAGATATAATTTTCATGACATTTGCACATTTCTGCATGGCATTTCACTTTTCCTTCAAGACAGGAATTTAATTTCTAAAAGTATTTAATTTTCAGGAAGAATTTACTAAATAGTTGTGCTTATACTTTAATTGTGTTAATATTTTTCATGTTTTACTTTTTGAAATACTGAAACATTTGTTCAATTTAGAAGTTAAGAAAAAAATACACAAAAATAAAGAATAGATATTTCGGTGTCAGAGCAAGGGAATATTGCTGTTCATTATCTTGGAATCAATATACTGAACTCAGTTTTCCAGCAAATAGAGGCAGACATTTGTGATAGCTTAGTTTTCTCATATTTGAATGATAAATAGTGCATGAAATAGCTCCATAATTTAGCGACTGTATTTATAGAGTTATTCCTGGCAGCTAATGGTGCCTTTCATTTGATGAAACCATGTAAAGGAAGATAATACAAAGAAGAATTTTTTTAGCAGTTAACAAATGTCCACTCTTCCAAGTTTATATCATGCATTGATCAGAAGGTCCAAATCTGTCTAATCCCAAGAGCATGATTACTGATATGAAACTGATATGGTTTCCCATATCAGTCCAAAGCTCCCTACAATCATTTCCCTTTCTCTGTATTGCTTGAGTTAGTTTTTCAGAACTGCATTTGATATTTTCCTTCCTCTAATAATCCTTACCCTTTAAGTAACAGGTATGAGCAAAGACATTGACCTTCAATGTCTTTTTCTTTTTCTAAGATTAAGATTAGCTAGGCTCTGTGTTATGTGATCAGTCTTTGCTTCCTTCAGGGCTACTCTTTGTTCCAGCTAATCTAGCCTCCTTTTTTTTTTTCTTTTACCTACTGAGATATTCATTCATTAATTCATTTAATGAAAGTTTTTGCCTATGTTCTGCCTCTATTTTATCTCTTGTCATGATTTTAACTTCACTCATCTAAGAGAGGTAATTAGCGTTAATGAGATCACAAGGATGGAGCCCTAATCCTCTAATTACCTTTTTCACATATGTGATCAGTTTTTGTTTTTCTGGTTCAATTGTAAACTTTATGAAGTAATACATGACATTCCCTTTTTGCTTGCCAATTTTGTATTCTCTATGCTAAACCCAATACTCAATTCATAGGAAAATACAAGAGTAATGAAGGAAGGAATGAATGTTTTGGTGGTCTGCATGCTAAGTTTACTGATTATGAGAGAAGGCTTTCTAATCTAGTCACAGAAATCATGCATCACTCCATATCTCTTTTTCCATCTCCTGTTGAAACTTCTCTAAAGACAGGCTTGTCAGTCTTTGGGTGGAAGAATAGTTGCAACAAATTCCCCTTCCTAATTACGTACTAGGGGAACGATAGCATTATTTAATTGCAATGAATATACTGGATAATCAGTTAGGCACCATCAGGAATATTGTAGATGAATATGGTAATGGAGGTGGAGGTGGAGTCATGGCAGACCAAAAGTTCAAGACCTTAATATACATGTACTTAACTCTGGTCACCTTATCACCACAATGCCCTCAAATTTAAGCTGTAGAATCAGCTCAATGAATGTTTTAGGGCATGTGAATTTTTCCTTCTGTATTATAAGGAAGATTGATAAAGTCTTCCACCCATAGTAAGCAGTCCTTGATGCCCAAAAGAAATAGTCGGCCAGTACTACTAATTTATTCCTTGCCAGTTTGAAGACTAAATTGATTTCCTTTATATTATATATTGTTTGAGATTGTAAGTGTACCAAAAATTTTTTTCACAGAAATGATTAGGGTATATGAAATTTGGTCCTATTATCATTTTTAAAAAAAGAAAATGAGTGAGGCTTTTTAGTTGGTCCTCCAAAATACAAAACTTCAGGATCAAGGTAGAAAGTGCATTTAGTCTTCAATTTTTAAAAGTTCAAAACAACTACATCAGGCACTGTACATATAATGAAAAGAGAAAACAAATATGGATCTTATAATCTAGTGGGAGAGACAAACAATAACCAAAGAATTACACAAATAAAAATAAAATTGTAATTGTGGTCATTTTCTTGAAGGGAAGATGGATAAGAAGCTCTATGAGTTCATAATATTTTTCTGTCCTCCTGTTCTGATCTTCTTCTGGGTTGTGAGAGATAATTGAAATGATGCATGTGAAATAACTTTTTAATTACATCAAACTGTGTAAATATATGACATTCATACTAATAAGTATTTCCCTTTGTCAATCAAACTTTCTTTAATTATGTAACTCCTTCTGGGTTTAATTTTTCATTTAATTCTTATGGCCTTTCGGTCTTTATGCATTTAATTTGTATGTATTATGACTATGACATCAGAATCCTCAAACCAGTGTTCTCAGTTTTGTGGAAAAAGTGAAAATGATGATGGAATCACACACTTTTCTGGCTCTCTGAATTATGAATATATTATCATTTTTCTTAAAATTATAACTGATGTCTTTACAGGGTGTAATGAAGCTATGAGATAATTTAGGAGGACATAACATAAAAACACAGTCCTTACTAGGTCTGTTATAAATTATATTAGTCTGCTGCAGCTGCTGTAACAAAATACTACAGACCGGTTTGGATTAAACAACAGAAATGTATTTTCTCTCAGTTCTAGAAGTTGGAAGTCCCCAAGATTAAGATGCTGGCGGGGTTGGTTTCTGAAACCTCTTTCTGGCTTGTACATACGCAGATATCCAATTTCTGACTGTGTCTTCACGTAGCTTTTCCTCTGGGCAAGAGATCATTGGTATCTCTTTCTTTTTTTAAAGGACACCAGTTCTACTGGATTAAGTTCCCATTCTTATGATCTCATTAACCATAATTATCTCCTTAAAGGCCTTATGTCTGAAAACAGTCACATTGGGAGTTAGGCCATAACAAATAAACTTTGAGGGAATATGATTCAGTTCAAAATATAAATCTTGCATTATTTTAAAAAACTCATTTACACTACTAATAACAACATTCGTGAGATATTTATATTAACCCTATTCCAAATAAATCCTAATTTTAAAATTGTCTATGACTAGGTCTGGGCGCGGTGGCTCACTCCTGTAATCCCAGCACTTTAGGAGGCCGAGGCGGGAGGATCACGAGGTCAGGAGATTGAGACCATCCTGGCTAACATGGTGAAACCCTGTCTCTATTAAAAATACAAAAAATTAGCCGGGCGTAGTGGCGGGCGCCTGTAGTCCCAGCTACTTGGGAGGCTGAGGCAGGAGAATGGCGTGAACCCGGGAGGCGGAGCTTGCAGTGAGCCGAGATCCCGCCACTGCACTCCAGCCTGGGCGACAGAGCGAGACTCCGTCTCAAAAAAAAAAAAAAAAAAAAAAAAAAAATACAAAAAACATTTAGCCAGGCGTGGTGGCGGATGGCTGTAGTCCCAGCTACTCAGAAGGCTGAGGCAGGAGAATGGTGTGAACCCGGGAAGCGGAGCTTGCAGTAAGCCGAGATCACGCCACTGCACTCCAGCCTGGGCAACAGAACGAGACGCCATCTCAAAAAATAAATAAATAAATAAAAAGTCTATGAATAAACTTTAATAAAAGTGTGGAGTTTTTTTCAAAATTAAGTTAGGTAAAATAGAAAAAACAATTCTGTTTTTAATTTTTGTATAAAAACACTTTAAGAGTGCTAGACACTAAGCAAACAATTCTATACAAACCTACACAACTTTAGGTTAAGGCATCCACAACTATGGAAATTATCCAGCTTTAAAAATAATTTTTGAATAATTTGTGTCAAATTCTAGATTTGTTATCTATAGGAAGTAAGAAATTTATGATGGAAAATGCTGAATATTGAGATTATTGTCTAAAATGGTATCACTGAATGGAATTTCTATGAGGACAGGGATGTTGTCATTTTTTTTTTCTGGCCACCGTAAGTGTCTAGAAAAGTGCCTTGTCCAAAATAAGTATTATAAAAATGTTTCTCAGTGAATAAATTTTAATATCATTTACTCAAATTAGCTTCATTTCTTATAGCACTTCACAATTCACCTGAATCTTAACTATATTACCATAATGTAGTTAAAAAGAGATGTGGTTTTAAGAATCTACACAGTTTTTGGTAGAATCTTCTATACTATCATTTTCTTTTGTTCTAAGTCAAGAGTGCTGAGTTCTCTCAATACTTATATCTACAATTTATACGAGTCAGAATGGCTATTACGAAAGTCAAAAAAAAAAGTTGTTGATGAGGATGAGGAGAAAAAAGAATGATTACAGACTGTTAGTGGGAATGTAAATTATTATAACCTCTAGGGAAAAGAGTATGAAGAGTTCTCAAAGAACTAAAAATGGAACTACCATTTGATCCAGCAATCCCACTACTGGGAATCTAACCAGTGTAAAATCAATTATTATATATAAAAAAAATCTTGTGCTTGTATGTTTATTGCAGCACTATTATATGGCATAGAGCTAAGTGTCTATTAACAGATGATAAGAAAAAGGAAATGTGACATACATACACACACACACACACACACACACAATACTCAGCCATAAAAAGGAATGAAATCGTGTCTTTTGCGGCAACATGAATGGAATTGGAGGCCATTACCTTAAGTGTAATAATTCAGAAACAGAAAGTCAAATAGCGCATATTCTCACTTATCAGTGGAAACTAAACAATGTATGGATATGTATGTAGAGTGTGGAATAACAGACATTGGAGACTCAGAAGGGTAGGAGAGTGAGAGGGGAGTGAGGGATGAGAAATTATGTAATGGGTACAGTGTGCATTATTTGGGTGATGTTTACACTAAAAGCCCATGTATTAGTTCTTTCTCACACTGCTATAATGAACTATCTGAGACTGGGTAATTTATGGAGAAACACCTTTTAACTGATTCGTAGAACTGTAGGCTGTACACGAAGCATGGCTGAGAGGCTCAGGAAACTTAACAATCATGGCAGAAGGCAAAGGGAATCCATGCACATCTTACGATGGTGGAGCAGGAGAAAGAGAGCAAAGGGGAAGTGCTACTCACTTTTAAACAATCAGATATCATGAGAACTCACTCACTATCATGAGAACAGCAAGGGAGAAATCTGCCCCCATGATCCAATCACCTCCCACCCGCCCCTCCTCTAACACTGAAGATCACAATTCAACAGGAGATTTGCATGGGAACGCAAAGGCAAACCATCTCAGCCCAGACTTCACTGCTATGCAATATATAACAAACATGGGATTTATATTACTTATGTAATAAAACCACACTTGTACCGCTTAAATTTATACAAATAAAAAAATTTCTAATGTTGACCAAAGATCTAAGATTCATGGCTTTTGAGTTAGAGAATTTAAATTATATAATTAATGCAGCCTAAATTCAACTTCAAAGTTAAGGTTAAAGTCTTAAACAACAAAAATTTAAAAAAATGTGATTATAAACGTTCTTTCAAGTTTTGAGGTTGAATATAAGTCTATAATTAAAAAATAAATGGGGAATTGGCAATTATATTATTTCATTTTATAGGAAAGCTGTATTGCATTAATTTTGGCCAACCTTCAAAAGTAGATATTACTATTTATTACAAGTGTATCTTTTTATTTTTATAATATTATTATTTTTTATTTTTATTTTTGAGACAAAGTCTCACACTGTCACCCAGGCTGGAGTACAGTGGCGCAATCTCTGCTCACAGCAAGCTCCACCTCCTGGGTTCACGCCATTCTCCTGCCTCAGCCTCCTGAGTAGCTGGGACTACAGGCGCCCGCCACCACGCCCGGCTAATTTTTTGTATTTTTAGTAGAGATGAGGTTTCACCGCGTTAGCCAGGATGGTCTCCATCTCCTGACCTCGTGATCCGCCCGCCTTGGCCTCCCAAAGTGATGGGATTACAGGAGTAAGCCACCGCTCCCGGCCTTTTATTATTATTATTATTATTATTATTTTGAGACAAGTTCTTGCTCTGGTGCCCAGGCTGTAGTGCAGTGTCGCCATCATGGCTCACTGCAGCCTCAAACTTCTGGGCTCAGGCAACCCTCTCACCTCCACTTCCCCAGTATCTGGGACTACAGGCGTACACTACCATGCCTGGCTAATTTTTTTTTCAATTATTTTTTGTAGAGATGGGGTCTCGCTATGCTGCTCAGGCTGGTCTCAAACTCCTGGGCTCAAGTGATCCTCCCACGTTGGCCTCCCAAAATGCTTGGTTTACAGATGTAAGCCACTATGCCCTTCCTTGATGATTTCTATTGACAGATAATAAATAGTTTTCACAAAATTCTCGAGAAAAACCTGGGCCATACCTCAATTGTTTATAATTTTTTACTCTGCCTTTTAACAATTTATATTTTGTCTTTTATATGGGGTAATTAGAATGAGAATGATGTAAGGGAAGAGTCCTAAGTTTAGAATTGAACACATCTACATCTACATTGTAATTCCTGACAGCTAAGCTGCTTACCAGCTGTGCGTTTTCTGGCAATTTATATATCCTTTGTTTTCCCTTCAAGAAAAATAACAGTTGTTTTTTTTTTTTTAGTGAAATTGTATGTATAATATGTATATATTTATATTATATAATTTAAAATACCAGGCACAATAAAATGGCTCTCATTATATTCTTTTAGTAGAGGTTTTGTTTGTTTTGTTTTGTTTTGCAGTAGTTTTGTTTTGTTTTATATGGAACCGGTTATTTAAACATTTAAGTATTTGTCTTTGTATTATATTAAAAGTGATTTAGAATTTCTTGACAGGAAAACTAGAGTAACTAATGTAAGTCTCTGTAAGTAATAGAATTCACTGCATTCTATGCAGGGGAATTTGAAAAGTTTTGAAAACATAAAAATCAATGTTACATGTTGGTAGAAAAGCTACGTCCTAGAGATACTGTTCTTAATATTGGTATATGTGCAATTTCAAAACAGGGATGAGTCAAATCACATAAGGCTATGACTTTTTCCTTATGTGTCATTTGCAAGCTTAGCAGTGGTGAGGATGTTGGAGATAAATGTAAGAAACTAGGCCATCTTTGCTCATTTTGAATATAGTGGATGCCTCTTTCCTTATACGATTGTTAAATTAACCCTTTTCAGGTTGCCAGGTCTACTGTTTTAAATTATGTACAGATAGATTTTTGTAAGAAAGGAAAAAAATTCTCAAAGAAGTGTGTACTTGTGTGTCTTTTGTAGAATGCATCTAAACAAGTTGTCTAAAATTATACATCTTCTCTTTATTTACGCAGCTTATTCTCCCTTTTTTGTTATCTCAGTTTTCTTTCTCTCTCCCTGCTCCACACACTTGAATGAAGATTGAAAACTACAAATTCTTTTCAGTATTAGGACCTCTGAAGTTGATCCTGATGTTCTAAATACATTATCCTTATCTTTCGTCTTGCTTACGAGAGTATTATCCTCATTTTTATATGATAGAAAGCTGCTTTGAAAGGAAAAGGCCTTGATGCAGGCCAAGCAATTTGTAAGCTATGGAGGTGAGATATGAATCATAGTTCATCTATATCTCTAGGCTGTATTTATCTCCTTACTTCTAGAGAAAAAGGAATAAGGAAATAAATGTTAATTCAATGATTTTAAAATATATTTATTATCATTATAAAGACTGAGCAGTATTATTCAAAATTCAAAGTTTTGAGTTCTGTATAGGTAGTTTGCGTATATATAGGAGATGGACATCCCTGCACAGCTACTTTTTCCTAAGTTTATCAATGTTTCTTTTAAGATTTAAGGTAATCCTTCTATTCCAAATATGCAGAAAGCATTTGAACACATACTTCAAAGAATTTCTGGAGACAGCCAGGAGTAGCCAATCAACTTAAATCCTTGTATGTCCTCCTGGGCTGAAATGCATGTTTCCTTCACTATATATTTCAGTTCTCCTGTTCCTCTATCTCAGCTCTCTAGTTTTCCAAAACTAACACCCTTGAATAAGAGAAACTCTGTGCCAAAGACTACTTGGTACATTTCCAACCACAAGATTCAGAGGGTCTGGCTGCCTCTAATTTAGTATTGCCAACATACCCATCGGTGACTCAAGCCAAACAGAGACCACGCCAGGACACTTTTTAATTTGCCAAAGCAACTTGTGAAAGAGGTAAACCAGTCCAATTCTGATAAATTATCTGCAAACAAATTAGATATTCTTACAGCAAGGAAGTGTCAATACTGTAACCAAGCAGAGGTGACAGAATTCATAACATGTTTCAACAGAATATATCAGAAAAATTATTTTGTAACCATGGTAAATATATTAAATCATTCTTCCAGCATTTTGTTAAGCTTGTATTTGGATTTAATAGCCATTCCACAATGAATATATACTTCAAAACATCATGTTGTGAAATATAAATACCTAAAATTTTATCTGTTGATTTAAAAAATACATTAAAAAAATTTAAAAGAATGGGCTATATCACTAAATATAACACACTGTTGTGATTTGGCAATTTGCCATTGAATTTTTTATATTAGTCTTGCCAAATTAGATAAGTTAAGCCTCTAAATTTATTTCACGAAGAAGTGGGTAAGTCCTAGATAGCTACTAGGTACAATTTTATTTGGCTATATTTTTAAATTAGTCAAATAGATGATTTTTAAATATACTTTTATGTTGCATTGATAATAGCCAGTCAAAAAAATTGAATCATTTAATAATTTATGTTTGTAGGTGCATTTTAGCAATCATCCTTTAAAAATTCTGATATTTATATGTCTCATTTGATTTGAATGTATTCAAAGTGTGAGAAGGAAGTAATCTAACGTGTACAAAACACTATACTAGATCGTTTCATACATTTTAGCCAATTATTACTCACAATAATTTTGCAAAACATTATGCATATTTTATAGATAGTAAAACTGAGGATTTTTAACATACAAGGTCATAAATCAGAAGGTAAGTATAATTCTATTTAGTACAGTAATTTGAATTCTCCACCAGCCCATACAAGACTTTGAGAAAGACATTGCTCTAAATGATCACTTAGAAAGTAGGGTATTCATCCTCTCAAAAGGCTGTTTAGTTATATTTGAGTAAGTTTTATTTCCCCTGTTAAGTTATAAAAAAGTTGAAGGGTAACATGATATCTTAAATTTATTCTTCATATCAACTTACAATTAACCTCATACATGGAAACATTTATACAAATTTAAGCCAAAAAGAAAAAAAAAACTGTTATAAGTGTTCTAATTCATCTTTAAGTTTTAGTAACATTAAATTAATATAATGTTTTATAAATACTCAAATGCAATATATTCAAAACTATTTTTTATCATTCCCATTTCTGCTCTCTGAAACAGACTCTTTTTCAAAGTGTCCTACCATGGCAAGTATTTCCATTATCAATGGTCCCTGAGCTAAAACACATTTAATCTTATATTGGCTTGTTTTAGCCAATTCCCACATCTACTCAATCATCAGGCTCTATAGATTTTATTCTATTATTAGTCCCAAATTCTCACTCTCACCACTTTAGTTCAGGTATTTATAAAATAAACAGAAACGTCATTGATTTTATATGCAAATTTCTGAAATTTTAAAAGTCATAAGTTATTCGTTCAGTCAAATTTTTATGTATTATTCTCGAATTGTTTTGCAAACAAATCTATTGTGCAATATAAAGGAAAAAAATAAAATCCTATGATTGATAATGACTCAAGTAATTACAAATATATTATATATATATATTTCAGGGTAAAAAAGAAGAAAATCAAAACTTTAAAAGTTTAGAAAAATAGAAATAAGTGAAGATTCAGAAATAGTAAATTATTTGGTCTAGCAAATGATAAGTTTGTGCATTTGAGCACCATTATCCTTTTTCTTTCAAAGGTTACTATCCATGTGGTAAATAAATAGCAGTGCTTCTGTGAGACCTTTTTTTTAACCCCCTTCAAAAATGTTAAGTTCCCCTTCCTCCTACCTGTAGCACTTTCACATACCATTTTGATAGCATTTATAAAAACTTTAGTTTATTTATTTGCTCATATGTCTGACATCTGCATGAGACCTTCACCTCCTGGCAAGCCAGGACAATGCCTTTGTGCATCTGTGTTTGTACTGGATACTCAGCAAGCATAATTTTTAAATAATTAAATAAGTATATATGTATTTATTTATAAATATTTTAATTATATATTAGATCATACATCATATATGCATTGCTTGTATAATACATAGCATTGTTATCTATGTTAAATATATATATATGAATTTAAAAATGGATGGATGTGCTTATGTTCATCCACATGGCTTTATCTTAAGTTTTAGAGTTTTATACTATGTTCAGTAGGATGGTAAATACTTTGTAAACATGTCCAAGTTAAAGACACAGAGAAGTGACTCACCAGTTTGCTAATTCACAGGAGACTGAGAGATTGTGTCTGTGCCTGTGTGCAAAGCATTTTAAACAATCAGTTGCAATGTCTATTTCATGGCTCTTTTTACTAAATAGAAAAATCCATTTACTAAAGGCCTGTTGCTTTTTATTATGCAATGTATATGTTTTTAAAAGACAAAGCTTTGGTATGTTTACAAAAGTTAGCCACTAAACAATTATTTCTGCTTAATAATACTTGACCTACGGATAATCTATTACATTGATTCTTTTCTCTCAGATAGTTCTCTTTTAAATTTGCAAGAATTGGTTGCCTTTGTGTGTTACTTTATCATGTAATGAAGTACTCATGAGACCTCATTATAGAACCAACTCTATTTTCAATCATTAAATTAGTGCTCTTATTAAGATGAAGTATGAAACTGCTTGAATTGCTGCTTTCTTCAAAATGCTTTTTAAAATATTTAAAATCCTTTTGAATGGTAAATTAAAATCTTTTATAGTAATAAAGAATCATATTAACAGGTTAAGGAAAGCTAATTGGAATTAAATTGATAAATGTGGTGAATTATTTTATATACAAACTGCACTGATGCAAACATGATTTCTTTTCTACAGGAGAAAAATATGAGAATAGAATAATTATAGTCATTTGAGAATGCAGTCAAGCCCAACAGTGAGACAGATAACTTTTCAAAGAAATATATCGAATATACCCGTATGAACTGATTTCCTTTCATCTATGTTTAGGTGCATGGCTAACAGAAAAGAAAGAAAGAAAGAGAGAGAGAGAGAGAGAGAGAGAGGAGAGAGAGAGAGAGACAGACAGAAAGAGAGAGAGAGAGAGGGGAGAGAGAGAGACAGAAAGAAAGAAAGAAAGAAAGAAAGAAAGAAAGAAAGAAAGAAAGAAAGAAAGAAAGAGCAAGCCTTAGAAGTTACTTTTTAAGGCTAGCTGGGTGTGGTGGCTCACACCTGTAATCCCAGCACTTTAGGAGGCCAGGTGGACAGATCACTCGAGGTCAGAAGTTCAAGACCAGCCTGGCCAACATAGTGAAATCCGATGTTTACTAAAAATACAAAAATTAGCAGAGCAGGATGGTGCACAGCTGTAGTCCCAGCTGCTTAGGAGGCTGAGATGAGAGGATTGCTTGAACCCAAAAGACAGAGGTCGCAGTAAGCCCAGGTCATGCCAGTGTATTCCAGCCTGGGTGACAAAGTGAGACTCCCACTCAAAAAAAAAAAAAAAAAAAAAAAAAAGAAGTTACTTTAAAAAAATGTGAACCTGTTAAACTGACATGTTTTAGTTAAATAAAATTAATGTAAAATAATCTATACTTAAGTATTTTACATAAACTTATACAATGTGGAAGCTTTACATAATATACATTATATGTAATTACAAAGAAGAGTTTAAAAAATCCTTTCCATGAAAGAGCTCAAAATTAAAAGTGTACAAATATATACACACACATGCACACACACATACATATATCACTTGTCTTATAAATAGTTAAGAGATATGAATATAAATTATTAGATTTATTATACAGTAGAATTATATGCCTTGTGGTAGCTATAAATATCAAATTTTCTATTTCCTTCCTACTCAGCAGTAGGAAAATAGTAAGATAGGAAAATATTAATTCCTCAGTAGGAAAATATTAAGAAGTTTTTGGTTTGTTTGTTTGTGTTGGTTGCCTTCTATATTAGTTTGCTAGGGTTGCCATAACAAAGTATCCCAGACCAGTGGCTTTAAAAGTATAAATTTATTTTCTCACATTTTTGAGGGTTGTAAGTTCAAGATCAAGGTGTCAACAGGGTAGGTTCTTTCTGAGGGCCAAAAGGGGAGGCTTTTTCCCTGGCTTACAGGTGGCTATCTTCTCCCTGTGTTTTCATATCCTCTTCCCTCTGTAGATGTTGGTATGTCTACATTTACTCTTCTAATAAGGACACCAGTCATAGTGGACTAGGTCCTACTTTAATGAGCTCATTTTAAGACATCAGTCATGTTGGATTAAGACCTACCCCAAGTAACTCATTTTAACTTAATTATATCTGTAAAGTGACCATCAAATATAGTCACATTCTGTGGTACTAGGGATTAAGCCTGCAATATATGAATTGGAAGGGGGAAATAATTCAGCCCAGCCCACAGCATGTCATGCTCTGCCCCCCACAAATGTATGCCTTTCTCACATGCAAAATACATTCACCCCATCCCAGCAGCCCCTAGTCTTAACTCATTCCAGAATCAACTCTAAGTCACAAATCTCATTTAAATGCCATTTGATCCACGTGTGGGTGAGACTCCAGGTATGATTCATCCTGAGGCAAAATTACTCTCCAGCTGTGAACTTGTGAAACCAGACAAGTTGTCTTCTTTGAAAATACAATGGTGGGATAGGAATTGGATATACGTTTCAATTTCAAAAGGAAGAAAACAGAAATAAAGAGGTTATGCATTCCAAGCAAGTCCAAAAGCTAGTAGGGAAAATTCTATCAGATTTTAAATCTTAAAAATTATCCTCTTTGACTGCTCTGGAGCCAAATCTTAAGTCCTCTGGACCATCATGGTAGCAGTCCTATTCTTTGGGCCCCCTCAGGGTGGCAGCCTCATCTCCTCAGCCTTAGGTGGCAATGGCCTGTTCCTTTGAAACTTTAGAGGAGGCCTTGCCATTTAGAACCAAGGAGGAGACAAACCTACTCGCGGGCCTGTTGTAGTGGCAGAAATGCCAACTTCTGCACTGCCTGCAAGGTCATTCAATCTTTTTATTAAGGGATAATGCACATTCACAGCCAATTAATCTGCTTTTCCCTCCTGTAGAATTTTGTTCCATCCGTTTATTTTGTTTCATCTTTATTTTCTTCAGTACAAGCTGGGTGTGTTTCAGCATGTATCGAATTCTCAAAAAACTTTTCTGGCCTACCATGCAATTCACAGACGTCCAAGCCATCAAACATGAGGACAGTCCAGGAGGATCCTTCACAGATCTTTCCTGGATAACCACATCTTCAATCCCAGCTTCTGGTGAGATGGTTGAATAGACCCATGAGCCATACATACAATCTCTTTAGCAAATGGTCATTCAGCCACAACCTTGATGTTTCCTCCAGAACAGGTTTTCTGATTTTTTGCAGTATGGATATGCTGAGGATTTTCCATATCTTCAGATACTGCTTCCTTTTTGTTTAGCAATTCTTTCTTCCACTTATCTCTCTCCTTTAGTATTTTGCCATAAGCAACAAGGAGAAGGAATACTATCAATACTTTTTATAAAAAATACAAATCTTATCAGCTAAATATCCAAATTTATAAAAGTTCTATTTTCCACAAAACACTAGAACACAATTTGGCTAAACTTTGCATTACTGTATAACAAAGGTCGTTTTTCCTCCAGTTTCAGTAATGTTTCTCTTTTCCCTCTAATACCTTACCAAAGCATCTTTAACATTCTACCAATATTCATACACACACACATACACACACACACACACACACACACACACACACACACATATATATTTATGTACTTTTTTTTACATAAACAAGTTGGTCTCAAACTCCTGGCTTCAAGTAATCCTCCCACCTTGGCCTCCCAAAGTCTGGGATTACAGGCATCAACCACCATGCCCATCCTTACTTACATTCTGTACACAATGACATATATATTTTTTAAGAGGATAGAGACTTTTTCTACAGCTATCTTTTTTTTTCTGAGTCCTTACCAGAGATTCCTTCAATGACCATATTTCTACCATCAATCTTTCCAAGGAAATCTAGACTCTTTGTAACATACATTTTACAACTCTTCCAGCCTCTACATAAAACCCAATTCCAAAGCCACTTTCATATTTTTCAATGTGTGTTATAGTAGCACCCCACTTCTCAGTACCAAAATCTGTATTAGTTTGGCTAGGGTTGCTTTGACAAAGTGCCTCAGAATGAGTGGCTTAAACATCAGAAATTTGTGTACAATTCTGTAGGCTAGGAGTCTGAGATCATGGTGGTGACAGGGATGGTTTATTCAGAGGCCCATGAGGAAAGGATATGTTCCAGGCCTCTTTCCTTAGCTTGAATATGGCTGTCTTATCTCCATGTCTTCATATCATCTCTCTATAGATCTGTACCTGAATTACCTCTTCTTATAAGGACACCAGTCATATTGAATTAGGACTCACCCTAATGACCTCATTTTAACTTAATGATCTCTGTAAAGACCCTATCTCCAAATACAATTACATTCTGAGGTATTGACAGTTATGAACTCAACATATGAGTTTGGGGAAGGAGACACAATTCAACCCACACCACCTTCCTTCAAGCTCATGTCATATTTATAATAATATATCTTATAACTAAAGATTTCTAGAAAAACAACTTAAAATTTATACACTTAATTCCAAAATTATTATTTTTTCCCTTTTTCTAATTTGACACCTAAATTTCAAATAGGGAAGATTAAGATTATTAACTATATTCAAGAATAAAACTTTGGTCCTCATATTGAAAGAATTCATACATAAGTTGATGCTTATGGTGTTTAACATATATTCCTGAATCATCTGAAATTCATTACCATTTTCTATGATTACTACATTATCTATGCAAAAACACAGCCAACAATTATTTTTAAATTGTCTTTTAACTTCCTTCTGCAATTCTACTTCTATGGATCATGTATAATATTTAATATGTTTTGAGAGGCCTAAAATATATATAAAGCAGAAATCATGGGAAACCATTATATAATGTTTCTTGAAACATTTGATTATTTAACAAAATGCAAACAACAGAATGGTATTGATTAGATAATATTTAGTAGTCACTACTCTCTAGTATTGTACTAACACTGGGAAATAAAAAGATTAATATAAATAATACATATATTTTCAAACAGTTTAAAGTCTGCATTCATATAAATTTGGTAGACCAGGTATATAAATACAGTCACTGCTCCATATCTACACTATTGTTGCCACCATAAATGGATATTTATATTAAAACTGCTTTTTCCACCTAATTGTTCATAGAATACTAACGTTCTATGAAAAAAAATAGTCTCTGTTTCTGAATATAGGCTAAATCATCCTCATCAGATCATAAGAATTAACATCATATACTAATCTATTGATTATAAAATTTTTAATGGAATAAAGCTAATAATGTCATTCTTTTTTTATTTTATTATTATTATACTTTCAGTTTTAGGGTACATGTGCACAATATGCAGGTTAGTTACATATGTATACGTGTGCCATGCTGGTGTGCTGCACCCATTAACTTGTCATTTAGCATTAGGTATATCTCCTAATGCTATCCCTCCCCCACTCCACACCACAACAGTCCCCAGAGTGTGATGTTCCCCTTCCTGTGTCCATGTGTTCTCACTGTTCAGTTCTCACCTATGAGTGAGAACATGCGGTGTTTGGTTTTTTGTCCTTGCGATAGTTTACTGAGAATGATGATTTCCAATTTCATCCATGTCCCTACAAAGGACATGAACTCATCATTTTTTATGGCTGCATAGTATTCCATGGTGTATATGTGCCACATTTTCTTAATCCAGTCTATCATTGTTGGATATTTGGGTTGGTTCCAAGTCTTTGCTATTGTGAATAGTGCTGCAATAAACATACGTGTGCATATGTCTTTATAGCAGCATGATTTATAATCCTTTGGGTATATACCCAATAACGGGATGGCTGGGTCAAATGGTATTTCTAGTTCTAGATCCCTGAGGAATCGCCACACTGACTTCCACAATGGTTGAACTAGTTTACAATCCCACCAACAGTGTAAAAGTGTTCCTATGTCTCCACATCCTCTCCAGCACCTGTTTCCAGACTTTTTAATGATTGCCATTCTAACTGGTGTGAGATGGTATCTCATTGTGGTTTTGATTTGCATTTCTCTGATGGCCAGTGATGGTGAGCATTTTTTCATGTGTCTTTTGGCTGCATAAATGTCTTCTTTTGAGAAGTGTCTGTTCATGTCCTTGGCCAATTTTTTATGGGGTTTTTTGTTTTTCTCTTGTAAATTTGTTTGAGTTCTTTGTAGATTCTGGATATTAGCCCTTTGTCAGATAGGTAGGTTGCAGAAATGTTCTCCCATTTTGTAGGTTGCCTGTTCACTCTGATGGTAGTTTCTTTTGCTGTGCAGAAGCTCTTTCGTTTAATTAGATCCCATTTGTCAATTTTGTCTTTTGTTGCCATTGCTTTTGGTGTTTTAGACATGAAGTCCTTGCCCATGCCTATGTCCTGCATGGTAATGCCTAGGTTTTCTTCTAGGGTTTTTATGGTTTTAGGTCTAATGTTTAAGTCTTTAATCCATCTTGAATTAATTTTTGTATAAGGTGTAAGGAAGGGATCCAGTTTCAGCTTTCTACATATGGCTAGCCAGTTTTCCCAGCACCATTGATTAAATAGGGAATCCTTTCCCCATTGCTCGTTTTTCTCAGGTTTGTCAAAGATCAGATAGTTGTAGATATGCGGCGTTATTTCTGAGGGCTCTATTCTGTTCCATTGATCTATATCTCTGTTTTGGTACCAGTACCATGCTGTTTTGGTTACTGTAGCCTTGTAGTATAGTTTGAAGTCAGGTAGCGTGATGCCTCCAGCTTTGTTCTTTTGGCTTAGGATTGACTTGGCGATGCAGGCTCTTTTTTGGTTCCATATGAACTTTAAAGTAGTTTTTTCCAATTCTGTGAAGAAAGTCATTGGTAGCTTGATGGGGATGGCATTGAATCTGTAAATTACCTTGGGTAGTATGGCCATTTTCACGATATTGATTCTTCCTACCCATGAGCATGGAATGTTCTTCCATTTGTTTGTATCCTCTTTTATTTCATTGAGCAGTGGTTTGTTGTTCTCCTTGAAGAGGTCCTTCACATCCCTCGTAAGTTGGATTCCTAAGTATTTTATTCTCTGTGAAGCAATTGTGAATGGGAATTCACTCATGATTTAGCTCTCTGTTTGTCTGCTATTGGTGTATAAGAATTCTTGTGATTTTTGTACATTGATTTTGTATCCTGAGACTTTGCTGAAGTTGCTTATCAGCTTAAGGAGATTTTGGGCTGAGACAATGGGGTTTTCTAGATATACAATCATGTCATCTGCAAACAGGGATAATTTGACTTCCTCTTTTCCTAATTGAATACTCTTTATTTCCTTCTCCTGCCTAATTGCCCTAGCCAGAACTTCCAACACTATGTTGAATAGGAGTGGTGAGAGAGGGCATCCCTGTCTTGTGCCAGTTTTCAAAGGGAATGCTTCCAGTTTTTGCCCATTCAATATGATATTGGCTGTGGGTTTGTCATAGATAGCTCTTATTATTTTGAGATACGTCCCATCAATACTTAATTTACTGAGAGTTTTTAGCATGAAGGGTTGTTGAATTTTGTCAAAGGCCTTTTCTGCATCTATTGAGATAATCATGTGGTTTTTGTCTTTGGTTCTGTTTATATGCTGGATTACATTTATTGATTTTCATATATTGAACCAGCCTTGCATCCCAGGGATGAAGCCCACTTGATCATGGTAGATAAGCTTTTTGATGTGCTGCTGGATTCGGTTTGCCAGTATTTTATAGAGGATTTTTGCATCAGTGTTCATCAAGGATATTGGTCTCAAATTCTCTTTTTTGGTTGTGTCTCTGCCCAGCTTTGGTATCAGGATGATGCTGGCCTCATAAAATGAGTTAGGGAGGATTCCCTCTTTTTCTATTGATTGGAATAGTTTCAGAAGGAATGGTGCCAGTTCCTCCTTGTACCTCTCTGGTAGAATTCAGCTGTGAATCCATCTGGTCCTGGACTCTTTTTGGTTGGTAAGCTATTGATTATTGCCACAATTTCAGAGCCTGTTTTGGTCTATTCAGAGATTCAACTTCTTCCTGGTTTAGTCTTGGGAGGGTTTATGTGTCGAGGAATTTATCCATTTCTTCTAGATTTTCTAGTTTATTTGTGTAGAGGTGTTTGTAGTATTCTCTGATGGTAGTTTGTATTTCTGTGGGATCAGTGGTGATAACCCCTTTATCATTTTTTATTGTGTCTATTTGATTCTTCTTTTTTTCTTTATTAATCTTGCTAGCAGTCCATCAATTTTGTTGATCTTTTCAAAAAACCAGCTTCTGGATTCATTAATTTTTTGAAGGGTTTTTTGTGTCTTTATTTCCTTCACTTCTGCTCTGATTTTAGTTATTTCTTGCCTTCTGCTACCTTTTGAATGTGTTTGCTCTTGCTTTTCTAGTTCTTTTAATTGTGATGTTAGGGTGTCAATTTTCTATCTTTCCTGCTTTCTCTTGTGGGCATTTAGTGCTATAAATTTCCCTCTACACACTGCTTTGAATGTGTCCCAGGGATTCTGGTATGTTGTGTCTTTGTTCTCGTTGGTTTCAAAGAACATCTTTATTTCTGCCTTCATTTTGTTATGTACCCAGTAGTCATTCAGGAGCAGGTTGTTCAGTTTCCATGTAGTTGAGCGGTTTTGAGTGAGTTTCTTAATCTTGAGTTCTAGTTTGATTGCACTGTGGTCTGAGAGATAGTTTGTTATAATTTCTGTTCTTTTACATTTGCTGAGGAGAGCTTTACTTCCAACTATGTGGTCAATTGTGGAATAGGTGTGGTGTGGTGCTGAAAAAAATGTATATTCTGTTTATTTGGGGTGGAGAGTTCTGTAGATGTCTATTAGGTCTGCTTGGTGCAGAGCTGAGTTCAATTCCCGGGTATCCTTGTTAACTTTCTGTCTCGTTGATCTTTCTAATGTTGACAGTGGGGTGTTAAAGTCTCCCATTATTAATGTATGGGAGTCTAAGTCTCTTTGTAAGTCACTCAGGACTTGCTTTATGAATCTGGGTGCTCCTGTATTGGGTGCATATATATTTAGGATAGTTAGCTCTTCTTATTGAATTGATCCCTTTACCATTATGTAATGGCCTTCTTTGTCTCTTTTGATCTTTGTTGGTTTAAAGTCTGTTTTATCAGAGACTAGGATTGCAACCCCTGCCTTTTTTTGTTTTCCATTTGCTTGGTTGATCTTCCTCCATCCTTTTATTTTGAGCCTATGTGTGTCTCTGCACGTGAGATGGGTTTCCTGAATACAGCACACTGATGGGTTTTGACTCTTTATCCAATTTGCCAGTCTGTGTCTTTTAATTGGAGCATTTAGTCCATTTACATTTAAGGTTAATATTGTTATGTGTGAATTTGATCCTGTCATTATGATGTTAGCTGGTTATTTTACTCATTAGTTGATGCAGTTTCTTCCTAGTCTTGATGGTCTTTACATTTTGGCATGATTTTGCAGCAGCTGGTACCAGTTGTTCCTTTCCATGTTTATTGCTTCCTTCAGGAGCTCTTTTAGGGCAGGCCTGGTGGTGACAAAAATCTCTCAGCATTTGCTTGTCTGTAAAGTATTTTATTTCTCCTTCACTTATGAAGCTTAGTTTGGCTGGATATGAAATTCTGGGTTGAATATTCTTTTCTTTAAGAATGTTGAATATTGGCCCCCACTCTCTTCTGGCTTGTAGAGTTTCTGCCGAGAGATCCGCTGTTAGTCTGATGGGCTTCTCTTTGTGGGTAACCCGACCTTTCTCTCTGGCTGCCCTTTACATTTTTTCCTTCATTTCAACTTTGGTGAATCTGACAATTATGTGTCTTGGAGTTGCTCTTCTCAAGGGGTATCTTTGTGGCGTTCTCTATATTTCCTGATTCTGAATGTTGGCCTGCCTTGCTGGATTGGGGAATTTCTCCTGGATAATATCCTGCAGAGTGTTTTCCAACTTGGTTCCATTCTACCCGTCACTTTCAGGTACACAAATCAGACGTAGATTTGGTCTTTTCACATAGTCCCATATTTCTTGGAGGCTTTGTTCATTTCTTTTTATTCTTTTTTCTCTACACTTCCCTTCTTGCTTCATTTCATTCATTTGATCTTACATCACTGGTACCCTTTCTTCCAGTTGATTGCATTAGCTCCTGAGGCTTCTGCATTCTTCACGTAGTTCTCGAGCCTTGGCTTTCAGCTCCATCAGCTCCTTTAAGCACTTCTCTGTATTGGTTATTCTAGTTATACATTCGTCTAATTTTTTTTTAAAGTTTTTAACTTCTTTGCCTTTGGTTTGAATTTCTTCCTGTAGCTCAGAGTAGTTTGATCATCTGAAGCCTTCTTCTCTCAACTTGTCAAAGTCATTCTCCGTCCAGCTTTGTTCCATTGCTGGTGAGGAACTGCGTTCCTTTGGAGTAGGAGAGGCGCTCTGCTTTTTAGAGTTTCCAGTTTTTCTGCTCTGTTTTTTCCCCATCTTTGTGGTTTTATCTACTTTTGGTCTTTGATGATGGTGATGTACAGATGGGTTTTTGGTGTGGATGTCCTTTCTGTTTGTTAGTTTTCCTTCTAACAGACAGGACCGTCAGCTGCATGTCTGTTGGAGTTTGCTAGAGGTCCACTCCAGACCCTGTTTGCCTGGGTATCAGCAGTGGTGGCTGCAGAACAGCGGATTTTCCTGAACTGCGAATGCTGCTGTCTGATTGTTCCTCTGGAAGTTTTGTCTCAGAGGAGTACCCGGCCGTGTGAGGTGTCAGTCTGCCCCTACTGGGGGGTGCCTCCCAGTTAGGCTGCTCAGGGGTCAGGGGTCAGGGACCCACTTGAGGAGGCAGTCTGCCCGTTCTCAGATCTCCAGCTGCGTGCTGGGAGAACCACTGCTCTCTTCAAAGCTGTCAGACAGGGACATTTAAGTCTGCAGAGGTTACTGCTGTCTTTTTGTTTGTCTGTGCCCTGCCCCCAGAGGTGGAGCCTACAGAGGCCGGCAGGCCTCCTTGAGCTGTGGTGGGCTCCACCCAGTTCGAGCTTCCCAGCTGCTTTGTTTACCTAATCAAGCCTGGGCAATGGCGGGCACCCCTCCCCCAGCCTCGCTGCCGCCTTGCAGTTTGATCTCAGACTGCTGTGCTAGCAATCAGCGAGACTCCGTGGGCATAGGACCCTCCAAGCCAGGTGCGGGATATAATCTCCTGGTGCACCGTTTTTTAAGCCTCTCAGAAAAGCACAGTATTCGGGTGGGAATGACCTGATTTTCCAGGTGCCATCTGTCACCCCTTTCTTTGACTAGGAAAGGGAACTCCCTGACCCCTTGCGCTTCTGGAGTGAGGCAATGCCTCACCCTGCTTCGGCTCATGCACGGTGCACCCACCCACTGCCCCGCACCAACTGTCTGGCACTCCCTAGTGATATGAACCCGGTACCTCAGATGGAAATGCAGAAATCACCCGTCTTCTGCGTTGCTCATGCTGGGAGCTGTAGACAGGAGCTGTTCCTATTCGGCCGTCTTGGCTGCCCTCTAATAATGTCATTCTTAACTGTATTCTAGGTATAGAGAGCTTAGCTAAATCCTAGGTGAAATGATCTATAAGTGTAATTTTAACTACCAATTATAGAACAACTATTATGTGTCAGGAATTCTGCAGTTATACCATATACAACACACACACATTTGTGTGTGTGTTATTGAGTTCAGTTGTGTATGTTTGTCCCTATACCAATAAAAAATTAATCCAAAGATTACAAAATGCTCAAAATAATGTGCAATATTGTAATTGGTTTTATTGAAATTGTCTACAGAATCATTATGAATTATTTTTGTATAGTATTCAAAGCATAGATATGGACATTGGTGATACAAAGATGTATAAAATGATTTCTGCTTTCTAGTTGTTTATAAATTGAGTACATAATATAAATGAAGAAAACTAATTAAAATCCAGTGAAACACATTAATATGATATCAAATGAGCACTGTATTCCACAGTATACATAGGTTTAGGTACGGTTGCAGTAACATGAAAAAAAATACTGCATATGAATGCAGACCTGAAAGGAGTAAAGTGGGGGAAGTTTTACCCTACCTAGTTTTCAATATACCCTTGTAAAGGCAAAATGAATTAGGAATAGCAGAATAGATTCATAATTTTGTTTATAAGCCAGAGAGATAATTCACACTTTTGCCATTCCGCTTGTCACTTACATACAATTTGTTTTGAGTCACACTTAACATTTTTCTCTTGATAATTTCTCTTTATGATTTCAAGTAAAATAAAACAGGAACATGAACTTGTACTTCATTATGTTCTTTCTACACCAGTGACAAAGCCCTAAGATATGCTTATTGTGTTAGATTTTGTTCCTTCTCAAAATATCAGAAAATGCAATAAGGTACATTTTGTAACAAAATGTCTTGAAGAAGCATAAATCCCATGGAGAACAGAAACATGTGTCATAACGTGATATCTGATTTATATTGAACACCTGTAGACTAGAGTTTCTTGTATTTGCTTTTCATTTGAAAATGGCAGAATGGAGCATTGAGCATCATCAATATGGCTCTTTTATTTGTCTGTTTTGAACCTGCTACTGCTTTATGATGACATGTTTCTCTACTTTCAAAATGTGTTTATTATTTGTTAACAAGTGATAAGTAGAGCCTTTAAAATAGGACAAAATGTTTTGAAATGTCAAAAATATATTCAAAGGGCTTCTGCTTTTTCTTAAAACATGTAATGAAAATATTCAATGGGTTTTTCATTGCTTACTTAACCAGGGGAAAATGCTGAGGGACACAGAATTAAGGTTATTTAAGATACCAGCATAATGATGCGAGAAATTGTCCCTTGTTGGTCTGAAAGTTTGAGTGGCTATGTGAGAGAGCCATATTACCTGGTCCTGAAGACAGCTTCTAACAATGAACAGTGGCTTTCTCACCCCACAGCCAGTAAGAAATGAGACCTCAGTTGCATAGTCTTAATTCTGTCAACTACATGAATGAGTTTGGAAAAGGACCCTAAGCCCCATATAAGAGTGTAGCCTTAGGGCCAGGCAGGGTGGCTCACTCCTGTAATCCCAGAGTTTTGGGAGGCTGAGGCTAGCAGATTGCTTGAGTTCAGGAGTATGAGACAAGCCTGGGAAACATAGTGAAACCCCATGTCTACAAAAAATACAAAAATTAGCAGGTGTGGTGGCTTATACCTGCAGTCCCAGCTACTAGGGAGGCTGAAGTGGGAGGAATGCTTAAGTCCAGGGGGTTAAGACTGCAGTGAGCCATGATCATGCCACTGCACTCCAGCCTGGGCAACAAAGCAAGACCCTGTCTAAGAAAAAAAAAAAAAGTGCAGCCTATCCCTCACCATTATTTCAGCCTGTTAAGACCCTGAGCAGAGGACTCAGCTAACCCATTGTGGCAGGCTAAATAATGCCCCCCTGACAAAGATAACATGTCCTAATCCCAAGAAACTATGAATATTATTCTATATGCCACAGAGACTTTGCAGAGGTATTTTAAGAATTTTAGGAAGATATATTATTTTGAATTATTTTGTGGGGCACTAGATTCTATCACAAAGGTCCTTAAGAAAGAGAAGCAAAAAGTTCAAGAGAATAGCCATCAATATGAAGATGGAAGCAGAGGTTGGAGGGATGCACTCTAAAAATGGAGGAAGTAGCCACAAGCCAAGGAATACAGGTGGCCACTAGAAGTTACCACTAAAAAGTCAAGAAAATTAATTCTCCCATGAGAGCATCCGAAAGGAACCAGCCTTCTCCTGACCAGCTTGACTCCTGATATCTTTAACTCAACTTAATAAAACTGATTTTAGACTTCTGATCTCCAGAAATATAAGAGGATAGATTTGTGTTGTTTTAAGCAACTAAGTTTGTGGTTATTTGTTACAGTGGTAATAGGAAATTAATACATCCATACCTGGGCTCCAGATCTATGGAAACCACAAAATAATAAATTTGCATTGTATTATTCCACTACTTTTGTGGCAATAGGAAAAAATACAATGTCTTTGTAAATAATTACACTTAACCCATAATAATATTTAGCCTCAAACTACCTCAGTACTCTCACAATGACCCAAATTAACCAATATTCAAGCCAAAGGCATCAAGTTACAGTCCTCCCAAAACCCTTAGCTTACTTCCCTGGTATTTAGAGTATTCATCAAAGAAAGGCTGGCCTTTTATTTCATTTTTTTTACTAAGTGCCATCATTCCATGGAGGCCAACCACAAAACTCAACTTTCCAAAACATTATGCCCAAATCAGCAATTTCTTAGTTTTGTTGAGGTATAATTGAATTCTATAAAATATACATATTTCAAATGTACAATATATGTTTTGGCACATTTATACACCTGTGAAACTGAACAAAATTAAGATAGTGAACATACCCATCACCTCCAAAAGTTACCTTGTATCTTTGAGTTATCTCTTCCTACAAATCTTGCCACAATGTGATCACTGATATGTTATCAGTACAAATGAGTTTGCATTTTCTAGTTTTATACAAGTGGAATTATACACCACATACACTTTTTATCTGGCTTCTTTCATTCCACATAATTACTTTGAGATTCATTTGTGTTGTTGTAGATGCAGTTCTCTCCCCTGAGCTGAGAGTACTCTCAGCAAAGTCTTTTTAACTAAGGGCATTTTTGGAACTTCAATTGAATTCCCCTTTTCTTTTCTATGCCCTGGACATTCTACTAAGGCAGTGAGCTGGAACATTGTGGAACTCACCATATTGTTTCTTATTTCTCTGGGATCACTATCCTTTCTTGCCCGGTGTCCCTAAAGCTGTTTCATTGCATATTGTGTATACATTTTTTGTTTGTTTGTTCTTTTCTTAGGTTGTTTCAGGCAATAAGATCATTTTTTACTCCATCTTGAATGAAGTGGAAGCCTGTAACAGTTCTGCATTCTCATTGAATTTGAATCACTCATTTTACATTTGGTGTTTGCTACTTGGAAAAGCTACTTATCCAAAAAAAAACAAAAACAAAAACAAAAACAAAAATCCGTGCCTAAGTCAGTGTCATGGAGCTTTCTTCTAGTTTTTTCTAGTGATTTGATAGTTTTAAGACTTACATTGAGGTCTTTAATCCATTCTGAGTTATTTTTTTGCATATGGTGAGAGATAAGGGTCTACTTTCATTCTTCTGCTGTGTATATACAGTTTTCCCAGCACCGTTTTTTGAAGAGGCTGTCTTTTCCCCACTGTGAGTGCTTGGTACCTTTGTCAAAATTGATTGACTGTAGATGTGTGGGTTTATTTGTGGGCTTTATATTACTCCTAGTCTATGTATCTGTTTTTATTCCAGTACCATGCTGTTTTCATCATTATGACTTTGTAGCATGTTTTGAAGATAGGTGATGTGGTAACATCAGTTTTGTTATTTTTGCTCAAAATTGTTTTGGCTATTTGGGGTCTTTTGTGCTTCCATTGAATTCCAGCAAACAAAAGTAAATATTCACATATGAGATTCCATAAAACTGAAACATTTTAAAAATCAAAGGAAATAATCAACAGAGAAAAGAGGCAACCTACACAATGAGAGAATATATTTATTTGCAAACTCTACATTTGATAAAATATTAACATTCAATATATAAGGAAGTCAAATAATTCAACAGCAACACACATACAAAAAAACCTGTTTCTTAATGAGCAAAATACCTGAATAGACATTTCTCTGAAGAAGAAATACACATGGCCAACAGGTATAGGAAAACATGCTCAACATCACTAATCATCAGGGGAATGCAAATCAAATTAAAATGAGATATAACCTTACTCCAGTAATAATAGCTACTATTCAAAAATAAAAGATAGCAAGTGTTAGTAAGGATGTGGAGAAAAGGGAACTTTATGTACTTCTTGTGGTAACCTAAATTAGTACACCTATTCTGAAAAACAGTAAGGAGGTTCCTCAGATAATTAAAAGTAGAACTACAGTGTGATCCAGCAATCATACAATTTGATATATATCCAAAGGAAATAAAATCAGTGTGTTGAAGAGATGGCTGCACTCCTGTCTTTGTTGCAGCACTATTCACAACAGCCAAATAGGAAACAACCTGGATGTTCCTCCACAAATGAGTGGATAAAAAACACCATGGTATATATACACAATGGAATACTATTCAGCCATAAAAATAATGAAATTATGACAGTTGCAGCATCATGAATGAAGCTGAGGGCCATTTATGTTAAATTAAATAAGCTAGGCACAGAAAGACAAATACCACATGATCTTACTCATATGTAGAATCTAAAAGTTGTTCTCATAGAAGTAGGCAAAATAACAGTGGTTACCAGAGGTAGGGAACAGAGCGGGGAGGGAGGATGATGAGAGATTGTCAACAAGTGCAAAGCTACAGTTAGGTAGGAAGAATAGGCCATGATGTTCTACTGAATAGTAGGATGAGTAGAGTTAACAGTAATGCAGTATATATTTCAAAACAGGCAGAAGAGAGGTTTTTAATATTCTCATATAAATAAATGACAAACGTTCAAGTTGATGAATACTCTAATTGCCCCAATTCGATCATTACACAATGCATCCGTGTATCAAAACAGCATGTTTTACTCCATATTTGTGTTTGTGGAAGTTTGTGAGGTGTTCCTTAGAGATACCAATTTTGCATAACAAAATAACCACCATATATAAATTTTAATATAATTCAACTTTTTTGTTCATGACTCACTATATTCATTTGAATATGAATATACTTACATGCAGAAACCTATGAAGCCAGAGTGACTGTGTTTGAATTTTGATTTTGGCACTTATCTGAATAATATAAGAAATTTACTAAGTGTTTTGTGCCTTAGTTTTCTTATCTATAAAGGGAAGAGAAAGTTAATACATGTATCTTTCTCAAAAAGTTAGGCAACGACTTAATGAGTTAATAAAAACATGCAGTAATAAGAATTATACCTAAGAATTGTGCTAAGTAAATACTAATTAATGTTAGTTTCTTTTTTTTAAAAAAAAAAAAAAAGGATTCGGACATAAAAATATGTTCCCTAGCTTTATTTTCTAACATTTTGCAGCTTATCAAAATTCCTTTGATTCATCTTTATCCAAATATGTGCTTCTGTGATAACCTGCCAACTTGGTCTAGTAAAACCTTTAGTGGTATATGATTGCAAAGTTTTATAGCAATTTATTTTTGTGACACCAGTGTAAGGCCAAAGAAACTTTGGGTAATTGAAATGCAGTTTGTTGAGTTTCAGTAGAAGCTCATGATGTAAGATCTCAATCAACAGCTGTCACCTATCATCAGAAAAATGTAAAGTGTCCCATGGATTGTGCTCAATATAATATGTTCTTTGGAAAATTTTGAAAAGAAGCTATTAGAGAAAGGCATTTTCTGACTTACTTTTTCAGCTCACCCTCAGGATACTATATGTGATATCCATTGGTTCCATGGTAACTGAATTTAAGAGGTTTTAAAAGTGACCAGATGTGACCCAGAGAGGACATAAGAATTTCAACTGTTAAAATTGAGGTGAGGCTATGGTTTTAGCTGAACTGGAAACTGAATTACTACTTACTGTTAGACAAAATGGTTATCTTTCAGTGCCTTGAGGTCAAAGTCAGTGGGAAGGCACAAATCTAGGGTTTCTACTGTATTGTTGGGAGCTGTCTCTACTGTGGTAGGCATACAGTCCCATTGTGACAACCCTTTACATTTTTAAGCATAAATATCTATTCTAAGAAGAACAAAAATCCACATATTGAAAATATTAAACTCTATGCAGGTATCACCTGGAACAAACATTTTCAAATCACTCTGGTAGCATGAAAAGACTAAGCTTTCCATGGGGATATCTCAGGGAGAAATGGATGAAGTGAATACAAATCCAGACCCCAGCATTTACACACACGCATCTCTGCTTTACAGTATTGTCTTTACTTCAGGTGAAAAAAACATAGGCTATTTAATGCAATGCACAAAGTAAGTTTTTGGCTATTTTTTAATATAGTAATTTATATAGAATTTTTTGTTTTATACTTTCAGTTCTGGGGTACATATGCAGAACGTGCAGTTTTGTTACATAGGTATACACGTGGCATGATGGTTTGCTGCACCCATCAACCTGTCACCTACATTAGGTCTTTCTCCTAATGTCATCCCTCCCCTAGCCCCCCAACCCCCAACAGGCCCCGGTGTGTGATGTTCCCCTCCCTGTGTCCATGTGTTCTCGTTGTTCTACTCCCACTTATGAGTGAGAACATGCAGTGTTTGGTTTTCTGTTCTTATGATAGTTTGCTGAGAATGATGGTTTCCAGCTTCATCCATGTCCCTGCAAAGGACCTGAACTCATCAGTTTTTTATGGCTGTAATTTATATAGAATTTTAAAGATATAGTATAATTATAACTTTTAAATAAACAGCAACAATTTTAATGTAATTTAATTTGATTTGAGAAAGGCTTATTATGATTTTGTTATACATTTGAAGCAAAGTAATGTTTTTTCCCATTGGAAACCTAGCTGCTGCTTAGATTTAGGAAGTTATCTTTCAGGGTTTTGAGGGCAAAGTCAGTAGACATGCCAGAACCAAGGACCTTATATTGCACCTGCCTTTATACTCTGTACTCCATACAGCTATATCATCATTTTATGGATTTGAAGATGTTTTTAGGGAATGTGGTGTGGCGAAATAAGAATAGTGCAACAACTTAGAAAGAAATAGTTCTTGTATCTGTTATTACAGTTGTGCTGGGGAAGTCATTTAACTTTTTTAGTTTTAGTTTATTTCCCTCCTATGAAATATAGTGATATGCTATTCAGTTTATACTTGATAGAGTGGCCGTTAAAATCAAATGAGACAAAATATGCAAGACTATTTTAAGAAATGTAGAATTCCTAGGAAAATCAGTTATTAGTGTTATTTAGAGGGGAGCATATCTCTGTGGATTGAATTATGCCCCCAACTCAAAAAAAAAAATCGTATGTTGCAGGCCTAATTCACCAGGTTGTGATATTAGAAGACAGAGGCCTTTGGTTGGTAACCATGGTTAGATGAGGTTGTGTAGGCGGGACTCACATGATGGGATCAGTTCCTTTATAAGAAGAGATACCAGAGAACTTTATCCTGCTCTCTCTCTGTATGAACTCACCAAGGAAAAACCTTTTGAACACACAGAAAAAAGGTGGCTATTCATAAGCTTCAACAAGAACACTTTGAAACAATGGCCAGCCTTGATCTTTCACTTCTGGGCTCTGGAACTGTGAGAAATAAATTTCTGTGTTTAAACTGCCCAGCCTATGGTATTTTGTTATGGCAACCCAAACTGACTAATACATGTATTTTCAGATAAGATGAAATAAAACATTTAAAAAACTTTAAAAATTATATATATATTTTAAAATATTAATGATTATGATTATCTTAAAATAATCATGAAAATAGTTTACTAGACCTGGTGTGGTGACTCACATCTGTAACTCCAACATTTTAGGAGCCCAAAGCTGGCCAATTGCTTGAGTCCAGGAGTTTGTGACTAGACTGGGCAACATGATGAAACTCCATCTCTACAAAAACTACAAAAAACTAGCAGGGCATGGTGGCACATGCACTTAGTCCCAGCTACTCAGAGGCTGTGGCTGGAGAGTCACCTGAGCTGGGGAGGTTGAGGCTGTAGTGACCAGTGATGGCACTATTGCACTCCAGCCTGGGTAACCAGAGTGAGACCCTGAAAAGAAAAGAAAGGAAGGTAGGAAAGAAGGAAGGAAGGAAGGAGAGAGAGAAAGAAAGAGAGAGAGAGAAAGAGAGAAAGAAAAGAAAAAAAAAGAAAGAAAGAAAAAGAGAAAAGAAAAGAAAAAATAATTCACTATGTGTTAATTAAGATCTTATTAGCACTGGGGTGAGAAAATTAGAGTGCCACAGTTCAGGAAATCAGGAAAGATATTCCTCTGCATAGTAAATCTATGAAATCAGTGCATATTATATTACTAATGTTATCAGTCAGAATTCTCCAGAAAACCATAATCAGTGTAATACAGATGTATAGAAATGTTGATGTAGATATAGACATATTACAATATTTATTGTAAGGAGGTGGCTCATATGGTTGTGGGGCTAACAACTCCAAAATTTGTGAGGCAAGCCATTCAGCAGAAAACTCATGCAGGAATGATGTTATAGATTTGAGGCAAAATTATTTGTCTAGAAAACCCATATTTACTCTTCAGGCTTTCAGTGATTGCATGAGGCCATCCACATTATTGAAAGTAATCTGCTCTACTAAAACCATGTTAAAGTCAACTGATTGTAGGTTTTAGCCACATCTGCACAATGCCTTCACAGCAACATACAGATTAGTATTTTATTACATTATTGACTACTATAGCCTAACCCAGGTTGATATATATATATATAACTAGTCATCATTGTGTTGTGAAGAAATTATTTGAGAGACTCACCATGAATTAAAAACTAAAGTCTGATTGAATACGTTAACATAGGTAAAGGAAAAAAAATGACCATTATGTTTCAGACCATCATGGAAGCAAAGAAGGTGAGTAACAGAGGAAAATATTGACAAAACTCTTCTCAGCTCTGTCCAGGGGACAGAAAGTTTGATCAAAACATCACTAATTTTTAATTATCTGTGGAAGTCTGTCCTAAAACAGAGATGGATATATTGGGAATATATAGCCTAATTCCATTATACAGTCAATTTGTCTATCTTTTCTTGTTCTAACTTCTTACTCTACAATAAATATAGTTATTTGGTTTCCTAAATAGACTATTTTCAGGGAAAAATATCTCTTCTCAGGCTGCAATCCATGTGGCAGTTTTATTTTTCATGTCCCTTTACAAAATTGCCATTCTGATTGTGTGCATTCATCTTTTAAACAGCTTTATTGAGATATAATTGAACTATAATATTGCTACACATATTTAAAGTCTACAATTTGATTAGTTTTGCCATATGTATACACCCATAAAACTAACATCACAATCAAGATAATGAATATGCATCTCACCCCATTTGTAATGCCCCTATGCAATCCTTCCCTCCCTTCACTCCTGCTTGCTAGCAACCACTTAGCTGCTGTTTGTCTAAAGATCAGTTTGCCTTTTGTAGAATTTTTATATGACATTATCAAGTACATTCTCTTTTGATCTGTCTTCTTTTATTCAATACAATTATTTTGAGATTTGTTTATGCTATTGCATATAACAAGGATCCATTATATTTTACTGAGGAGTCAAATTCCATTGCATGGAAATATCACAAATTATGTATTCTTTCATCTGCTAATGGATATTTTGGTTGTTTTGGTTCAGGGCTATTATAAGTAGAGCTACTACGAATGCTTACATACAAGTCTCTCTATATAAATATGCTTTCAGTGCCCTCAGGTAAATATTTAGGAGTAGTACTTATTTGTTTACATTTTTTTAAAACTGTCAAATTATTCTCCAAAGTTGTGTGATTTTTACATCCACACCAACAGTATATGAGTGGTCCAGTTGCTTCACATTCTTTTCAACACTTAGTATGGTCAATCTTTTTAAATCTTAGGCAGTCTAAATTTATAGTACTTTCTCTCTGTGGTTTAATTTGCATTTTCTTAATGACTGATGATATCAAGCATCTTTTCATCCACCTATTTTCTATTCATATCTTTTTGTAAAGTGTTCAAACCATTTGCCTACCTTTTAAATTGAGGTTTTTTTTAATATTGAAGTTTGAAAGTCCTTTATATGTATATATTTTACAAGTCCTTTTTCAGATGTATGCTTTGAAATAGTCTCCCATTGCGTGACTGCCGAGACCATCTCGGGCTGGTGACCCTAACCCAGTGGTGCTAGAGGAATTAAAGACACACACACAGAAATACAGAGGTGTGAAGTGGGAAATCAGGGGTCTTACAGCCTTCAGAGCTGACAGCCCCAAACAGAGATTTACCCACATATTTATTAACAGCAAAGCAGTCATTAGCATTGTTTCTATAGATATTAAATTAACTAAAAGTATCCCTTAAGGGAAATGAAGGGATGAGCCAAATTAATTGCAGCAAGAACACACCCTTAAGACAGAGATTGCTCAGGCTTTTCTTTGTAGCTTAAGAATGCCTTTAAGCGGTTTTCCACCCTGGGCAGGCCGGGTGTTCCTTGCCCTCATTCCTGTAAACCCACAACCTTCCAGCTTGGGCGTTATGGCCATTATGGACATGTTACCTTGCTGGAGAGATTTTATTTATGGCCAGTTTTGGGGCCAGTTTATGGCCAGACTTTGGGGGGCTTTTCAGTCTCTCAACATTGTTTTTTATAGGTCACGAATTTTAACATTAAAGAAGTCTAGTTTATAGATTTGGTCTTTGTAAATCATGCTTTTGGTAACGTATTTCTGAAATCTTTGTCTAACTCAAGGTTATAGAAGTTCTTTCCCATGTTTCCTCTAGAAGTTTTATTGTTTCAGGTTTGACATTTAGGTCTATGATCCATTTGAAATAAATTTTTGTGTATGGTGAGAAGTATGAAATGAAGTTTTACTTTTTGCATATGGATAGGCAATTGTTCCAGCAAGATATTTTAAAAAGGGTATATTTGTTCAATGAAGTGCCTTCATACCTTTGTCAAAAATCTGTTGTCTAGATATGCATGGGTCTACTTCTGGACTTTCTATTCTGTTATCTTTAATGGTCATTCTATCTTAACAATTTGGCTATCTTGAATGCTGAAAGAAATTAAGGAAAAGCTAAATAAATTGAGAGATATCCTATGTTCATGTGTTGGAAGATTAAATATTGTTAAGATATTGATATTCACTAAATGAATCTATAAATTCATTCATGTGTTCCAATCACAGTTCTCACAAAGGAATTTTATGGAAATTGACAAGCTAATTCTAGAACTATTATGAAAATCTAAAAGACCTAAAATAGCCAAGGCAGTTATTAGTGGCAACTTGCTTGCTTTGACTATTCTAGATAACACTAGACGATTAGTGTTATCTGATTTTAAGTCATTTTAAAACTGGAATAATCAAGAGAGTGTGGTATTTGTGTATGTATTCACTTTTTATGAAATTTTGTGTTTAAAATTCCTAATCTAATAAACTGTGGAACATTCATGAGACTAAATGTCACTAACTGAATGATTGAACACTAGACACAGGATTTAATTAACTCAACAATATAAGCTTTATCTCACAGAGACAAATTATAAGTCCAACAGGCCAGAAATATCTCTTTAGAGCACAAAATAACTTTTCTATATAAAATACATAGAAGCTTTTACTTGGCGAGCATTACAATTTAATTATCTCATTCAATCTGGTGATACATCATTATTATATTTGATATGCTTTTATAAGTCTCTGTGTCTCATTGTGCTCCAAGACATATGAAAATAATATAAATAGCATTTATTCTTCATATCTTAAAACATGTTATTGAATATATGGTTTATATCAGTTAAATGCTGAATTAAGCCTGGTCCTAACAAAACTTTTGAGATTTTATAAGCCTAATTTTGCAATATACTCTTCTATTTCCTTATTATAATAGTATTATCACATTTTATAGCAATTTACATAACAAAAGCTGAAGGAGGATAGGCTTGTGTTGATATTTTGCCTTTCTTAAGGCTTTAATTTGCTTATTGACATGGTGTAATTTACTACAAATCATCAATAAATTAAGCAATGTGCTTTGAATTTTCTAAGAAACCACCATCTGTAATTTGTATTTCTATAAAGAAGTTCATGGAAAATAGCAGTTATGCTAAAGCTATTAATTAGAGTGGTAGAAATAAGAAACTCAGGATATAAATATAAGTCACTTTAAATTCAAAGCTAGTCTGTCTTGAGATGTCCATTACTTAGCTGAGTGCAGGGGCTGGATTCAGGGAGTGGGAAGGAAAAGCTAAAATTTCAATAGTTTTTACTTGTTCTTAATCTTCTTTGATTTTGTTCTAATTTTACATCTTCATAGGATATTGGATTTTTACATCTGCACACTTACCTGGTTAATGTTCGTTAAAAGTACAGCAGTATTCTCACAAGTTGATAGACATAAGAAATCAAGAAAAAATGTAGAGTACAAGAAAATTTCTACGACCACATGGCTCTATATTTTTTTGGATTGCTTTAGTGTGTTATAACTGAAACACTGCAGTAACCTAAGTTTCTAGAATGTTCCTCAGTGAATATTCTCTAGTAGATTGTCTACCCTGACATTTTGCATACCAGTGGATTTTGTTGGAACTATTTTTCAAACCAGTGATGAACCCATTCCCTCCATTGGTTCCTCTCCTGGCACTGGTGTTCTAAGTTCTTAATCTGTAAGATCTCCTTACTGTGTTCTCATCCCCTTGGTTTATGATGTGCAAGGCTCTTACGGTATGAGCTATTGAGGTAACTTACAACCCTCTCACAGCACTTTAAACAAACACAAGCTCTCGTAGATGCTGGCTGACCAGGCCATACTCCTTAAAGTTTACCCTTCAGGTGCATTTCTAACTGTTAAAGTCTAGCCTACATGTCTGGCCTGAAGTTTCTGAAAATTAATGCCTCCCAATTCTGCCCTATTAGCCTTCAACAATTGTTGACTAGAGTTGGTAAAATAAAATATATACTACCTCTTTTATCCCTAGGTTAGGATGTCCTTGTTCTATATCGACTTGCAAAGCTCCCCAGAGAATTGAGGTCAAGTTACCTATATTAGTAACTAGCATAACAACACAACTTGCATCAGCTCTTTTTCTCTTGTATTTCTTTCTTATTCCCTTAGTAGATTTTACTATAATATCTTCCCAAATGTAATATTTTCGTTTGAATTGTTATCTGGGATCTTTTTCTGGGCAAAACTGAAAGACTACCATGGACAAGTTTGTTTTGTTGTGTTTTTGTTTGTTTGTTTGTCTAGGCAAGCATCTCACACTCAAATGCCTTGGAGGTGAGTCAAAAAATAATGAAGGTAAAGCAGATCTAGTTTAAAATGATTGGGAATAGTGGGTAGAAAGTATAGCCCGTGACTAATGATATTCAAGTTCACTTTTAAGACACCATACAGTACAAACAAGAACATGTCTTCAGGCTGAATTCAGCCTCATCTATGTAGGGACTTTTCTGATAAGAGTGATTGGTAGTTTTAGCTTTTTCAGCTGAGCTATAACCTTCCTTGCACATATGTTCCTGCCTATGATACTCCACTTTAGTTCTTATGAAAGGATTGGCCACATTTGAATAAAGTTACCAGAGGCTTACTTAAACCAAATTATTTCTTCTCTCTCTTAATAGACTCTTCTCAAGAATCTTCCCATTTGTCTAAATTTTGACAAGATATACCTCATTTCAGTTCAGTCATATGGGAACTAGGGAGATAAAATCAACAATCCAACAAATACATTGATTCCTACTATGCTCAAACCATATGCGAGATATTCTTTCAGAGATTCAAGGTGACCAAAGTTGCTCCTATAATCAAACTGAATAAACCTTAATCCTCACCATTCAACCCAGGCAAATCTATATTCTCAGTGCCTATTAACATACATGTAACTTGGCTACTGACATCAGTTAGAATATGTGCCCTAGCTAAATGGGACTCTATTTACTGAAGAAAAGCCTTCCCTCAAAAAGGTAGAAGTCATTAAAATTTATGCAGTGATAGTCATAAGTTTTTATTTTCACACTGCACAATCTCCAAAATTGGCAGCATTCTTTGCCATCTGATGCAATGTTTTCCATCTACTTAGAATTAAGTTGTTTAACATAAAAGCCAGATTTGTCTTTAATTATTTAGTAGGGGGAGGAAAGTTGTAAAATTGACATTTTTAAAAATTAAGAGAAAATTTTAAAATCTGATACATTGTTTGGTTTTCTTTCTGTTACCTAATTTATAATATTTTGAGGGCAATGAACTGTCTTTTAAAAGGAAAAATCATATCAAAGTAAGATCAATGACATACTATTTCCTCATAAAACAATTGAATGAAGGTATAGGGTTTACATTAGACATCTTACAGATGCAAAAGTTTCTATGTATTTTATGCAAATTAATGCAATATAATACAATTAACAAGACACAAGACTGGTCATCTGTTGAAGTACTCAAGAGGTTGCATATTGTCTTAATTTATTTCTATAAGATACTAAATATTGAATAAAATATTTAAAGTGCATCTATTGTTTAGAAGAATGGAAAGTTAGCAAATAAATATTTAACTACTGAGAAAAACCACGATTCAATTATGTCTGATTACTCTTAACATTACTTTAAACATGTTTGTTTGCAGCTATTTTTGCTGACTAGAAGATAATTGCTGAAATAAGAGTAGTTTAGGCAGGTTTACGATATGTAAACCAGATGGGGTGAGTACCAGAATGAGTGGGTAGACAAAAAGAAAACAATGTGTCAGCTACTTTTTAAATAAGCTTGGATGTAATTGAAAAAAAAAAAAGGTTAAAAGAAAATATATTCCTTTCAGCTTAAATTTAAAATTAAGCACTCAACACTTTTAAATATTAATAACTATTGTGAACACCTACTAGCTTCTTTGGCTGAATTACCTACTAATATACTAAATTTTTTAAATTTTCTTTATTTCTTGATAATTTTCTTAAGATATGGCTTTGTAAATGTTTAAAAAAAATCCAACTCTAGCAAGATAGTCAAATTCACATCTTATACAGTTAAAGTCTCTATGGATACTCAATTATTGATTACCATCTCCCTCTGATATGTTTCTTTGCTTTACATGATATTACACACTCTGTATTTCTGACCCTGACTACTCATTCTCCTACTCTGATTTCCAAAATTCAGCATGGCCTCCAGTTCTGTTCTTGGGGCTCCCCCTCCTCTTCTTATACATGGCTCTTGACCTCATGTAGTATTTTTATCACGTATTTCCTAAATGTTAAAGTCAATTATCCTTGAATAGGTTTGCATGTTAGGTACATGAGCCAAAATTCTTAGAGATTCAACTTTCATTGAGGAGTAGACTTGGAAATAAAATGTTTAATTTCTGGCTCTTCGCCAGGCTTCCAGTTTCTATAATCATAAATTCTTGATATTATTCAGAGGCCAGAGGCAGATTTTAAGGTAATTATACAATTAGAACTGTTTGTTACAGTTCTCATTGCCAATATTATATGAAAATGAGTTGATGACACTGTCCTAATGACTAGATTAGTGTGCCTTAGTAGTCAACTACTTAGTATGACTCTTTAGCCTATTAATAGGTCAAAGCTTAGCACCTTTTCTTTGAGCTACACATGGCTTGGTCAAAGGAATTTTGCAGGTATTTACATCTCTCTAATCAGATATCCACTGATAAATTGATAAATAATAATGCAGTGAGTTAAACAGGGCTTGGTTCCTAATTGCTTATAAATTTAGTATTGATGCTAATCAAATTAGCTTTCTTGACATTAATTGTGATGGGTAACTTATGTGCTACAGAGCTAACTGTTAAAGACTTTAGCATCCCACATTCATTGTGTGGATAGTTTCTCTTCTGCATTTGTCACAGTACTTTGGGTCATTCCTTCCTCATACGCACAACTCAGGTCTATCGTCTTTCAAATTGCACGTATCAGCCAGTTATTACCAGCTTTTTTTTAAAAAAAAAAATTTCCTTCCAGCTACCACTGAACATAAAAGACTATTGGCAGTTTTTAATTTTACTTTAGACAGCGAAAGACATGTCTGCATGTTTAGAATGCCAAGTAGCTCTATAACTGTTATCAATTATATTAACTAAGAGAAAACTATAGTGAAATTTGCTCTGAAAAAGAAAAAGATCATTGCCCTAAAACCTTTGTTAACACATAGCTGTCCATATGCTATTGTATTTTTCATAATTTAGCTATGTTTCATCCAATTTAGGACAAAATTTTAGAGGACTTAGAAAAAATACAATTTTAAAGAGAAATAATTGTGAAATTATTCGTGAGTAGCTAGTTTAATATGAATTATAACAACCTCCACACAAGTACAGGCTGATTAAATAGTTGAATTGAGTAATTGTTTTGAAATACACGCCTAGTTGGACAGCCATTTAAATTCTCTAACAAGCTGCACAGTCCAGAAAGTTTGTAAGCCATTTAGGAAAATGCAACTTACGGCTCAACGGCATTTCTACTAACATTTAGAAAATTATAGTTTGAATTGAAAATGATTTTAAGTATAAATCAGTGTTTAAAGAGATTTTACATACATTAACTCATTTAATCCTCACTGAAATCCTGCAGGATAAGGAGCACTGGAGGATGCTCTGAGTTTATCAGAGATTTGTCCAAGATTACACAAATAGTATTGAAGTACAGATTCAAACTCAGTTCATCAGGTTCCAAGTTTAGTGCCACCCTCATCACTTCATTTATATTTAAGCACCTAGTATGAGTCATTACCTGGTAAGTACATCAGAGGATGGAAACCAAGAACGCAATTCTGAATAGGACAATATTTTTGCTTTCAAATGGCTTTAAATGTAGCAAGCGAAACAAACAAGTAATTAGATCCTACTATTTTGTTAAATTATCACATCCAGGGTAAGTATAAGGTGTCTCTACGGCAACTCAGAAGGAGACATTACCTATATTTGGAGGGGGCTCAGAAAAGATACCTAAGGTGATATTTGTTGATCTTCCTGTAATTAGTCAGGTCTATGGAGGTGAAGGACTGTTCCAGAAGAGAAGAGCGAGGAGCATGTAGAAGGATCAGAGGTAAGAGAAAATGATTATTGTAAGAGAAAATGATTATTGTTGTTTGTTAAGTGAACTGTGAATAATTCACTGTATTTGAAGTTTAGTATTTCAGTGAATAATAGTCCTAACTGAACAGGTTCTCCAGCCTTCTCAGGAACATTTGGGGGTCTCTGGAGATGTTTTTGTATGTCAGAATGACAGAGAAGTGGTATTACCAAGATTTAGTGAGTGTGAGGATTTCATTACAAGGGTAGTCCAGTACAGTGGGTAATTTTCCCACCCTTAAATTATACTTGTGGTCTCCTGAGCAACATAAATAACAGATCACCAAAAGCTTTGGAGGATAAATCAGTACATTTGAACTGTCTTCAGAGGCATTTAAAGGGTTTTAAGGCCCCTGGGCCCCTAAAGGTTTTTAAACAGAGGTTTAACACAACAAAATTTCTGCTTTAAAAGGATCCTTCTAGCTGCCTTGTGGAGAATGGGTTAGAAGAAATGAAAATAGACAGACAATACCACAAGTGTTTGCTCTGCCTTGAATAGGAAAGTCTAAGAGAGCAAGAGAGATTTAGCCAGCACTAAGAGAATTTCACTGCATTGACTACTCACTGGGAAATGTGGATGCCAGCTTTCTGTGAGCAGAGTGAATGAGAGGGGATGAAATGTTCTAGAAGAACAAACTCCAGTAATAGTCCTCACTGAGGCTGGAGCAAACACCACTTCAGAGAATGGTGATGTTCCCTTTTTTAGAGATAGACAGCTGTATAATTCTGCCTCATTAAAACAAATGCCTGAAATCTTTGTTTGGCTTAAGTTCCTGAAGCTGAATTTCTATTTCTACAGCTGAAAGAAATCTTTATTGATTCATGTGGGGGTATTCAGTCATTCCATATCTTGATTCTGACACAAATTCATTACCAGAGACAGGGACTCTCAGTTTAAATTTTTGTAGTTTTATTAAAAAGAAGATACTTTAATGGAGCCAGATTTACTCATTCATTCATTCATGCACCATTAATCAAAACATGATTATTATGGGCATTGAGTTAAGCATTCAACAGATACAAATCATGCTAAAAATTTGGTTTTCTAGGCCAATGTTTCTGGCATTCATATATTTTCCCCTCTATTTCCAAGGGTTACTATTATCTTGCTGTTTAACTTCCTTTGAAACTTAACCACACTGTAAAAACCCATGCATGCTATATTGTAAAGTTGGACTCCAGAATAAGAAGTAGAAATGCAAAGTCAACATTATATTCAAGAAGTATGTGCATATCTTCTGAAATTGGTACTTCCTTTATACCAAATGTGTCTTTAGTTCTTCAAAGTAAAAAATACTTTGATTACACAGAAATTTGTTCATTCTCCAGATGCGAACTCCTTCATTTACATGACCATTTTGAATCTAAATATATATGCCTTTCTTGGTATCATTCAGTTATTCCAGACCTTCCATATCATTTTAAAAGATGAAATGTCTTTCAGTAGATGGTGAAGAGCCCATTTTTTAAAAAAAAAACTTTATTTTGCACAGGTGTAACACAGGTGGTACACCCTTTCCTCTCTGCCCCATAGGGTGTAGCTCTAACTACCCTCTAGGGAAGAGAAGGTTGGGTGAACAGCCTTACTATTTCTCCAGCTCAGTCATTACCTGCAGGCACATTCTCTTCTCTGTCCAGGAGTGCTTAAGGAAATTGCAGGCTGATGCATGCAGAACGGATTTGCATCATGGTTCTTCTTCCACAAGTCACTTCAGCCTCTTCCCCAGAACCAATACACATTTTAAGCTTATTATGTTTCAATTTTTTTAATTGTCGGGTTTGGATCCTTGTCATAAAATTGTTCATACTGTGGTGGAGGGCCCTCAGATGTGGTGCAGCTATTTTTTAAGTGACACACTTGAAGGAGAGCTTTTACCACACAGAATCTCAGAGTGTGTTCTACAAAGACACACCCACATCCATACTCATAGACTCCTAACTCTGGATTTGTTATGCTAAGAATGTCCTGGATTTCATAATAAAGCACCTTGAAATAGTGAATAATGAATAATGGAGAATCTAAATCACTTGTGATTTTTTTTTTACCTCATTATGAGAAGTGCTGAGAGCTGGCATTTATCACCAGTGGTTGCTTCAATCCATTAAACCAATCCACGGAGAGGCAGAGTTCCACTGGAGTTTTAGATGAACCAAAATGTACTATGAACTTGGATGGAGTGAAGGAGGAGAGATTTTGAAAGATTCTTCTGTTTCTTTCTTGAAACACTGTACAAGTGTGCTACATACACTCTGTTTACCATTCTAGGTTTCCCGTTTATTCTTCCCCACCCTGCTTTGGCACCAGAAAACAAACCTTTACTGTCTTTGTCAATCATATTTTTTTTTTCCTTAGCAACCTATTGAGTCTGGGTAATGGAAGCTATCCTCAGGAGAGAATATGGTAGAGTAGAAAGAAGTTGAGTTATTTAGTTCCGTGGTTGTCTCCCTAACTGGCCATAAATTAGCCCTTGCTGAGTTTCTCTACCAAATTTTACAGCTCTTGTGGAGCAGTACTCTCTTGTAGTTGCAGCTACAGCACCAGCTTCAGCCCGCTGTAAATTTCAGTACATGTTCCTTCCCACTGCCTCAAGCCAAGTAATATTCATATCTCCTGCTGTTGCTCAGCTCAGGGTGCTTCCATATGCCTTGTTGGTTTCTTTGAACTTGTCCTTATACTTTGAAACTGCCCTTGCATTAAAGTCTCCTAAATCACTACATTTTGAGTGTGCCACTTTTTCCTGCTGATACCAACGTTCATACTACTTAATACTTAATAACAATTTAATTGAGTAAGAAAAAAAGCCACACTTAACTGTGAAAAATAAAAGTAAATTTAATTTTACAGCTGTCAAATTTCAAATGCCTGACTAGTATTTCAGGAGTCAGCTGTCTAAGTAGTAATCCTATAGAGATGGAAGACCAAAGAGGTATCTGGGATGGACATTGATTTGCAGTTTAATAAAATTTATGAACCTGGAAAAACCTGGGCTTTGTTTAACAATCTGTAAAATTAAGGAAATGTATTCATTATTTCCTCTGTGCTTTCATCCCTGTGAGTCTTTATTTCATACTATCCGGCTAATTAGCAAAGCAGAAACTTTAGGGACCCAGAAATCTATCATAGCCAGAAAACTTATGTGAAAGCTGTAATGTCTTATTTTGTGCCAATACTTTCTAAACATTTACATCAAGTGTAAAATAATCTCTTCAGGAGAAAGCTGGTTTTCCCCTGGGATACATTATCTTTTAAAATATAAAATGTATATGTACCATAAGTTATTAAATCACTGAAGTATGCATTGCAATTTTCAACAATATATAATTGAGAATATATTTTCTTTGTATATAATCTATCTCTAATGTTAAAAAAGTTTTAAAGTTACACAGTATGGCCATTTCCCTAGTTCTTTGTGAAGAAATGCTTATATTAACTCTGCCGTACTTATTGTGTCTGAATGGAAGCCAGAGAGTAACCTGAGACTGACCCCGAAATGACACTTCTATACACACACACACACACACACACACACACACATGCATACACACATACATACACACACATACACACATACACACATGCATACACACATACACATACACACATGCAAAACACACATACACATACACACATGCATACACACATACACATACACACATACACACACACATATATACATAAACACATTTTTCTTGGAATAATGAAAGTGTTACATATTTTGCTCTTTGAAATATTATGCAAATGTATGTACAGTGTAATAGCTTTAGTTTGGGAATAACAAATCAACTGTGAACACTATTTAATCAAGATGGAAGATTTAAGATATGTTAGTATTATTTTTTTATTATTGATTACATGCCAAGATGGTTCCTATCTTTTCATATTTATTTACAATTATATTAAGAGGCTCTGAATATATACTAATTTACTATGCTAAGGAGTGTTTGCCATTTTTCTACCAGGATAATGCTGCATAACAAACCTCCAGAAACTCAATGGCTCAATAATTATTCATTTAATCTCAGTAGTCTTCAGGTCCACTAATCTCATTTAGGCTAAACAGACTAAACCGGATCACAGGGTTTGGTTCATGTGTATTCATTCTGGGAATCTGACTACAGCAAAAATGGCAAACTGAGGCATGTCATACTCATGGAGCAAGGTGGAAGCAGAAACACATAAATGCAACATCTTTTAAGGCACTATTAAGCAGAAACAGATAAATGCAACTTTTTATTAACTCTGAAGTTTCACCTGCCCCTTCTTTAATGGTTAAAGCAAGTTAAAGAGCCATGCTTAATATTAATCAATTAAGGAAGTATACTCTACAAATACTGAACATGCAGCAAGCACTTGAGAAAAAGGAAGAATTTTTACAAACAACAAAATATTCCAAATAGGGAGTGCAAAGATATATTTATTCTCAGTTGGTTTTAGTTAATCAGCAAATATTCACTATGCTTTTCTTCAGAAACTTGTATCAGGGAGTGTACAGTGTGAGGTAAATAATATATGAAATATGAATCTCTGATAACCCTAAACCCAGAAGGTGACCCAAGAAACCATAGAAATAAGAATAAATATATAAATTAACTACAAAGAACCATAGACTAACTCCACCTTATTAATTTTCAATGTCTAAATAAACAAATAAGCCTTACAAGTTAAAGGTACATAATCAAATATGTGAAAATAATGTTGTTTAAATACAATACAGAAAACAATTTTGTAAACTGTTTTGCTTGTTTACTTTTAAATATGTAGTCTAAAACTATGGAGGAGTTAAATAAATTCTACTGTTCATGATAGTTCTTTATTATATTTAGTATTCTAAAGGGAGATCCTATTCAAAAGTACCATCTCAGGATTAGAAGAGTCCTTAGATGACATGAAAATCTCAGGCAGTTGGGTAGGAATAAGAGGAAGATGAATCATTGTGCACAAGCAAAACTATTCTTGCATGAAATTTCTGAAATCTTTGGGGGTGCTTTCTATGAGTAGTGTCAGAGACTGATTCTGCGTAGTCATTTTGTATTCTGAGTTAAAAGTAAATTTTATTTTGCTTCTTGACAATTATATAAAACAATTTTCAAGCATTACTTACACTTCAGATAACTAAAATGCCACCAAACAAAACACGTTGGTTTTCCAATTTTTAAATTAATATTTCTAAGCCACTTTTTTGTTTAGTTACTGTTATGCAAAAAGTGAGGAAATTACTACATTCAGTGTGTTATTTTAACAATAATATGCATTATAGTTTCAAAAGAGGATCATATAAAAATATTATACAGCAATTTCTACGTTTGATAACTTGGAACAACTGAAAATAAAACCAAATAATTTAAAGTATAATCTAAAACCATTTTAAATGTCTTTATTTTAAATTGTTTTTATCCCATCCACCAATGATGGGCCCTTAGGTCTTTGCTATTGTCAACAGTACTGTGATGAACATACGAGTGCATGTGTCTTTTTGGTAAAACAATTTATTTTCTTTTGGGTATGGAGAACATAATCCTAAGTGAATAAACCAGGAACAGAAAACCAAGTACTGCATGTTCTCACTTACAAGCGGGAGCTAAACATTGAGTACACATGAACATAATGATGAGAACAATAGACAATGTGGACTACTAGATAAGGGAGGGAGAGAGGTGGGTGTGGGTTCAAAAACTACTTATTAGATATTATGCTCACTACCTGGGTGACGGAATTTGTATTCCAAACCTCAATATCACATCATATACCCATGTAACAAACCTGCAAATGTACTCTCTGTATATAAAAGTTGAAATTACTTTTTAAAAAGTGGATGCAATAATTTTTACTAAAGAACTGTGTGCATTCAAATAACAAATCCCTAGCATTTGTATCTAAATTACTTGTTTTGACTTAATGTCATTAAGAATAAGACCAGACCGATATTTATTTTACAAGAATTGCTCTATTGAAGGCCATGAGGACTTTGAGGCTTTTCTGAAATCCTGTGAATTCTGAGAAACCTATTATAGAAGTGTTACTAAAACATACATTGACATTCTACTGTACAAACAACTCTAAAAGATGTACTGTGCAGAAATGGTTTTATGCATAAAAACTACAAAATCAGAAGTGGCATTAAATTTCAAAAATATATTTTTATTTGTTCTAATTTAATATTCTAATTAAATGCACCCTCTATTATCTTTTTGGTTAATAAAAGCTTACATTTAGTCTTTCAATTTTATTTCAGTGTTATAAACACACTTCTACAAACTTCTTCAATTTGGCTTTAAAATTTTCTACTGAACAAAATCTACAAAAGAAAGCAAAAAGCATTATAAAAATATAATGAATCCTATCCTTATGACCATGATTATTTTTACAACTTTTGAACCATCACAAAAGTAGTATTTTTTCAAAGAAAAAAAGATTCTAAAACTCCACATTTCTCATAATAATCTGAAACAAAATTAATTCTATTGTCTTCATAAAAAGAGAACATAGCTTTCAACATTGTCTGCAAAGAATTTGGAAAAGGATTGAAATAATGAAGGGTTCTTGCTAAAATGAAAATGAACATTTTGCTTCAAGTATCTTTGTAATTTCAAAAATAATGATTGTGAATCAGCAACAGTTATGGACTTGGGGATAAAAATGGAGTACTCAGCATCCTTGGAGAAGCTTTTTAGCTATGAATAGCTCATAAGGAATATTATATTATAAATAGACTCTCAATTTACAGAAACATATATATATATAATATGCCTTAGGACTTATGTGTGTGTGTATATATATGTGTGTGTGTGTGTGTTTGTGTGCATACATAAATAAATATATATACACACACACGCACACACACAAAAATAATTGTTCCTCAGTATCCAAGGGGGATTTGTTCCAGGACCACCAGGCAGATAACAAAATCCATAGATGCTCAAGTTCCTTATATAAAATAGTGTAGTATTTGCATATAACCTGTGCATATCCTCATTTATAGTATAAATAATCTCTAGATTACTTATAATATCTAATTCAATGTAAATGCTATGTAAATTGTTATTATTCTGTATTGTTTAGAGAATAATGATAAGAAAAGTCTGTGCATGTTCAGTACAAATGCAACCATCCTTTTTTTTTCCCCCAAATATTTTACATCTGCAGTTGCTGAACCTACGATTGTAGAACCCATGTATATGGAGGGCTAACTGTATATACATATTCTTCCTAAGTGAGAATATATGCTTTATTTAGTTTGGATGTTATTAAAAGAGTAAATGACTAAAAATGATTTATATCTGAATATATAAATTTTAAAGTTGAATAAACATGTATTTGAATTTGGAAATTTACTCTTTATGAATAAAATATAGACTTGTAAATATAACAGCATATCTTTAGGACAGGTACTACAAACATTGAAAAATGTTTGCTTTGACTTAAGTTTATATCATTTGTAGCTTATTTGTTTGCTTTCCAAAAAGCTTTTGTCTCAATTATAACATAGATTTTTTTTTTTTTTTTTTTTTTTTTTTTTTGCACAGGGAAACATAGCTGAATTAAAAATCTGCTTTACCCATCTTAAGGAGAGTAATAAGACAAAAATTGGAATGACAATAATAAATAAAAGTGGATACCCTAACGACAATCATTTAATGGCATTTATTCAATGCTTACTACACCAAAAATCTTCCTTTTGTCCCTTTCTGCTATAGCTATGAATAGGTATTTAATAAAATTTTATGATAAAAGAGCTTTTTCCCAGTAATAGCATGGACACCATAAAAAAATATAAACGGGCTTTTGTGTTCAACCTCTTCAGTTTTAGAGATTCACAGGACCAGCTAATTTTGTGGCAAGGTTGGAAATTCAACCCCAAAGTCCTAATTAATAAGCCCAGTCTTGGACTTAATTTATTTTTACAATTGAAATGCATAGACATATGTGTCATATTCTTAACATTTTCTATTAATAATCAGTCCTGAAATTGTATTGATACAGAGGCTGACTTCCAAAAGCAGTAATAAAATCGAACAATATGTAACGCACTCCTCGTATGAGTTGGATGAATGTAAACTGAATTTCATACTTGCAACTGACTATAAAATTGAATGAATGGCATGATTCATTTAACAAATATTAATTGAGTACCTGCTCTGTGTATCAGCTTTGTGGATCCATTATTGAACAAAGCAGTCAAAAATCCTCACCTGTATGAAGATATTTATTCTAGAAGGAAAACAAATTAACCAAGGAACTATATAAAGTATCCATATATTGAATAGTAGCAAGTGATACAATTTTTTAAAAAGTTAAGGACATGTTAAGTCTAAGAATTAAAATAACAATTTTAATTGGGGTAGTTTGGCTGGAATACCTCACTAAAAACATTATTTAAAAAATTAAGATATGAAGGAAAACAAATATGTGTGAGAAGAGAATCCAGAAAAAGGGAACAACCAGATCAAAGACCTTCAGGTGGTGTGTGACCTTAATGCAGTTTTGAAATTATAAAGGCGGAGTAGGCAATGACTGAGTACAAATGTTGTGGTAGATGAGGTCCATGAGGAGAAGAAAGTCAGATTATAAGTAAGTTTACAGAACAAATAGAATGCCCTAGCATTCACTTTGAAAAGGAAAACAGTGATCAATTAAAGCCTTTTCAGTAGTGTGGTATTGTGATCTGTCCTAAGTTTAACCAGGGTCACTCTGGCTTCTTTTTAAAATAGACTAAAAAGTAAAAGAAAAAGCAGAGAAATAGGTAGAAGTTTATTCTAAAATTTAGGTAAGAGACTTGGACTAGTGTGCAAGCAAGAATTGCTGAGATATATTTTGAAAGAAATGCCAGTAGTATTTACTCAAGTTGTGTATGTGAGAGAAAAATAAAAGACTAAAGGAAGTCTGTTTTTTTTTTAACTGGGAAACTGGAAGGAAAGAATTGTTATTGACTGTGTTGGTGAAGACAAAACAGGAAATTTTAGGGGTGGATGTGAAGGTCTCTGTTCTTGACTTATTAAATTTTATATAACTAGCTTATGTAGTTGTACAAGTAAGTTTGGAGTTCAGAAAGTATTAGGAGCTGGAGACATAAATTTGAAAGGCATCGGTACTGGCATGGAATTTGTCTTCGAAACTGGATGAAATCACTTAGGGGAATCAATATAGAGATACAGTTCAAAGATTGAATCTTGAGGTAGCTTAAAATTTAGAGGTTTTCTAGATTATTTAAGAAAAAAGTAGACTGAGGAAAAGTAGTCAGCAAAATAGAAGGAAAACCAGGCCCGTGTGTTATTAGGAAAGAGGCCAAGTTAAAAAAAAAAAAAAAAAAAGTATTTTAGTTGGCTAGACTCATCAATGGTGCCAATTGCTTCTGATAGGCCAAAAAAGGTGAGTACTGAAAATTGACCATTGGACTTAGCACTGTAGAAACTAATTTTAACAACAAAATGAGCAGTTATGCTGGAGCTGTGGGGATAAAAATTTGATGATAGTTGACCCAAAAGAAAATAGGTAGAAAAATATTTAAGGAATCAAGCGAAGCAGCCATTTCAATGAGTTTTACTTTATTGATAGAAGAGAAATGAGATAATAGCTGGAAGAGAAAGTGGGCCAAGATAATTTGTCTTTATAAAATTGGCAGGTTTTTTTTTTTTTTTTATAGAATTGCAAGTTAGCTTGATGTTGATGGATATGATCCAGTTGATGGGAAAATTTGATGGTTCAAGAGAGAGATGGGAAAATTACTAGAGCAATGCCCACGAGAAGGAAAGGGATAAGGTTATGTACACAATAGAAGGACTGTATTTACTTAGGGTCCAGTCCATGCTAATAAAATAAATTAGAATATTCAAGTATAAATGTGGGAAAATGGATGTGAAGAGACAGTTTTTGTAATTTGTCTTTTAAATGATTTTCTTTCTTCTGTGAAGTAGAAAAAGTGGTCACAGCAGACAGTGGATAATTTTGAGGCAAGAGGACATAGTACAGAAGACTTCTATATAGGTACAGTAAAAAAGTGAATGAATTAGGATGATACAATGTGAGTTAGTGCTCATGATCTTAAAGGAGAGTCAGTCCTGGGTGTTTGGTTTTCCCTCCAGGCTCGTTCACTGGTGGAGGTGCAGATGAATAGTATGTGGAGAACTGTTTTCAATCATTGTTGGGGTGATTTAGTTAATATACTATACAAATAAGATAGGAAACAATGTTGCATTTAAGGAAGTGATTTTATAGTGATTAGCAATAAAATTTAAGCCGGATAATAAGGGAAGTATGAATGTTGGGTGAGGAAGGAGACATAAAGAAAAGTGGTAAGGTTTCAGTGGCTTCAAAAGATTCTTGGAGCTGGGTTCTAAGAGGGATTGAGCTGAAAAAATAGAAAATTATAAGACATATTTGAAATTGAGGTGTTAGGATAATAGTAATTGTTAGTAAGCCAACAGTGTGGCTTACTGTAAAGTCATGGATACAATCACAGAAGTTAGTTTTGGAGTTAAAATGGGGACCAAGATGATTGAGAAGAAGAATGGAGAAGCTAGGTCTTCAACTGTGAATTAATTACCACAGAAGTAGTTTTGGAGAGAATTACAATGAGTAAAGAACTAAGATTATCAAAGAACAAAGGAAGGGGACTTTTGATGACAGCAACAGAGAGAGGCTTTTTATAGAAAAGGTAAAGACAGTTGTATGAATATCTCTTCAGGGTGGTTAATACAAAAATACACTTACCCACTTTGGGTAAAAACATATAAAGTATGCAGAAGAAAGGTTATCATTGGAAAATAGCCAGGTTTAAGTTAGAGCAAGTCAGTGTGACAGACATTCAAGGAAGAGATTAAGGATATAGTCGATTTTGCTAATAACTGAACTTAAGAGAAAAACATGTAGGTGGTGGGAGGATGAACAGTCAGTTTCAGAAGAGATGTTGGAGTAGGATGAGATTTCAAAGATTATATGATCTAATCTTTTGTATCTGAAGATACAAAATAACTTCTTCACAGTATAACTAATATTTAGTCTTTATTTGAGTATTTCCTGTGACTGCCTTCTTAGAAGGCAGCCCATTCAAAGAAATGACACATTTTTCCATGTTCACAAATACTTCCATTGACCCCAAAATGAAATAGAAATCTATCCATCACAGATTCTTCACGATTATGATTCTCCCTTGCTTCCTTGTGCTGCTTCCAGGCAATTATTTCTGCTAAGCTTTAACCATCAGATTTGAACTGCCTGGCTTCCGTGTCTACCTCCCCCTTTCCTTTCTGATGTGGAGTGTTTACAAATTTTCCAGTTACTTCTTTCAAATCATTGATGATTTCATCAACTGAAATCATCACCTTAACAGCTACCATCATCACAAATGATTTCTACAAGGAGGGGCCCAACTCACTGACCCTCTCTCGGGATTAGTCATCTCCCTAATACTTTCACACTCTTCACACCCAGCTTCTCTTCATTTTTGCATAATACTTACTATTACTGTGTTTAAAATATTCTTGACTCCCTTGTTCTAATCTCGCACTCATTAGGCGAGATGGAAACTCTGGACAAAATCCCTGAATAGCAAAGCATCCTAAGTAGATTGGATTCTCTACAGTTTATGTAGAGAACCAAACTCAAGTGGGCTTTCCACAAAACACACAAAAAATCATGTTTCTTCAGCAAGTTTACTCGGCCAAGTTCCGCAATTAAATAACATCTTATACACACTATTTAAATGTTTTCCTACTCCTTTCCTCCCTCTCTTAATCTCAGTATATTATTTCACTTCTTACCAGAACAAATACAGCAGATGGTAACTACATAATCTTTTTGCTACCATATGTAAGAACTGACCTGCTGCCTCTCTGTCCCATCAGTTCAGGCTACTGTATAATAGAATACTACATATTTGGTGACTTCAACAACAATCATTTATTTCTCACAATTCCAGTGGCTGGAACATCCAAGATCAAGGCTCTGACAGATCTGGTTTGCGGTGAGGGCACTCCTCCTGATTTGTAGACGGTGGTCTTCTTTTGTATCCTCATGTGCTACAGGGCAGAGAGAGAAGAAGCAAGCTCTCTTGGGTCTCTTTCTATGGGGGTTATTAATCTTATTCTAGTGGGCACCACCTGAAGACATAATCACTTATCAAAGGCTCTACCTCCTACTGCCATTACATTGGGGCTGAGGATTTGTATATATGAATTTTGAGAGGAGGGCACAAATATTCAGCTCATACTATGCCCCTTTCCATTAGAATGAAGGACACGCTGCTCCGATTCAAGTTCAGCCCCTGCACATGCATTCCCCTCTACTCCCACTGTTTTTAGCTGTTTTTGTTCCTGAGTCTTCAACATCTTAATTTCTGTCACAGTCTCCTTCTGATCAAACATGACCTCATATCCCTAATCTTAAATAAAACATGGCATGCTTTGTCTCGACCTAATATCTCTTGTTAGCAATTATTTTTAATTTGTCTTTTTATTTCAATCTCCCTTCATAACTAGCTTTTAACAACAGTTTTTATTTTCTCTTTTATAAAGGCAACTTAAACTTTCTCAACTTTCATTTAATTTTGCCACACTAGAGTTCTGATTCTATGTCACCAATTAATAACTTGTTGCCAGATCCTACATATTCCCATCCTACCTTAGCTGTCGGCAGTATTTTACAGAATTGACCACGACATTTTTCTTGAGAGACTAGCCTCTTGATCTCCACATGTAGTGGATACATATTTTGTAAAATTCAAGTGAACACAATATGTAATTCGCTTTATTTTAATTTCATTATTTTTTTCATAAACAGAATTGTCTTCTAATTACATTCCCATTTTGCTTAGAGGCAGAAAAACTTAACTGAATCAATTCCAAGTAAGTTCAGAGGTTTTAAAGGATTCTCAGGCATTTTGGGTTTTAATTCAGTTAAATCAAAATTGTCTCCCCCCCTTCTTCCTTGCTTTTTGGATTGGTTTAACTTCTGGAAAGTTCATACAGTACAATTATATTAGATGGTGAGGCATCTGGGAATCAGCCTTCCATTGTCCTATACTGACATCTATTGTGATGTACAATCATGTCTCACATACCCACCACATTGGCATCTGTTGAGGTTTCTGTATTTCCACCTGGTTTCTTGACATACATTTTACACTACTCTTTGTTATAATGTCTTCTTATCACAATCACAGACCCTTTCAACATCTGCTTGCTTTCTCTCAGCCAAACTTTGTGTTTGTTTGTTTGTTTGTTTGTTTGTTTTGCTCTTCTTGTTACTCGGGGATCATAGGATACTTGCTATGGCTGCCTTGTGCCTTCCCCTTCTTAAGCAACAAAAATACATCTTAACCCTTTTCATTGGGTTATTAGGGAATTCTAAAAGCATAATTCTTTACACTGTTCCAGAAATAATTAAGGGAAAATGTGGTATTTTTAGAATTCCAAACTGTTCTGTGGGTTCTGTCAAAATCTCATGTACTTCTCAATGATAGCAGAAAATACAATGAAAAGAGTCTTCTTAGATCCCATCAGTTTTTAAGTATTTCTCTCTAATGCATTTTTCAACCTTTCTTTATACTGGATAGAGTAATTATCCTTTAGTTATAATGAGAGGGAAGACTGATTTAATTTTTCATTCTTCCAAATCTTCGTCTATTATGTCAGTAATATAGCTTTTATTAAAATGAAAAAGAGTTCACATCTCTGCTCTGTACTTTCACTTAATTACAGCTGGCTGGGCTGGGGGAAAAGGACCACATGTTAAAAATGAAGCAATTTGATGACTGTTACTGGGAGAAACACCTTTCTGCAGTATGGCTGAATGGTTAATCTGCTCATCCTTTTTTTTTTTTTTTTTTGCTGGAGAAAACAAACAAAACATAAATGCTGAATATGTTAAAACAGGGGTCTCCAAACCCTGGGCCACAGATCAATACTGGTCCATGGCCTGTTAGGAACCAGGCCACACAACAGGACCTGAGTGGCCAGAGAGCAAGAGAAGCTTATCTGTATTTACAGCTGCTCCCCATCAATGCATTACCACCTGAGCTCCACCTCCTGTCAGATCTGTCTTGGCATTAGAGTCTCACAGGAGTCCGAACTCTAGTGAACTGCACATGCAAGGGATATAGGTTGCACACGCCTTATGAGAATCTAATGCCTGATGATCTGTCACTGTCTTCCATCACCCCCAGATGGGACTATCTATTTGCAGGAAAAAAAGCTCAGGGCTCCCACTGATTCTACATTATGGTGAGTTACATAATTATTTCATTATGTATTACAATGTAATAATAATAGAAATAAAGTGTGCAATAAATGTAATGCACTTGAAACATCCTGAAACCGTATGCCCCCACCCCGGTCTGTGAAAAAATTGTTTTCCACGAAACCAGTCCCTAGTGCCAAAAAGATTGGTACTGTTGTATTAAAACATTCAAATGCATTGATGAACTAAATAGAAAGTAAAGAGTATCCAAGGCATAAGTAAATGAAAGGATAAAATGAAAGTGACAAGCAGAATGCTGATACTGGTTTCCACCTTGAAAGCCATTGCACATTCTAGTAAACTTGAGTTTTTGTTTTCATATATTTTCAAAGCACAAGGTATAGAGAGAAAATGTCCAGTGGTGGCTGAAAATAGAAAATCGAAAGCATAATCCCTGCATAAACCTAGGCCCAGCAAATGGCCTAGCCCCTCCTTTAAGCATAAAACAGGAATAAATGTCCACTCATTCAGGGTTTTATAAGGAGCTATACCTATCTTGACTTCTAGTGCTGAATGAAGGGGGAAAAAAGTAATGCTTCTAGCTAAAAAACAGCCTTTATGTTGGATTGCAGCCTGAATTTCCTCAAATTGTGTGATGCGAAAACCTTAATGCAATACTACAGTTTAAAGTGCATCTAGGTTGGTATAGCCCCCAATCCGTAGCAGAAACAATTGCATTTTTTTTCCCAGAAGAACTTGTCTTCAGTCACTACAAGCAATTATCACAAATAAAAATTTAGAAATATAAATTTATACTAAAGAAAAATCACAAAACACCTAAGGAAACAAAGTGCCACAAGCTGGAGCCTCCTAATATGGGAACAGAATAACATAACTAAAAAACAAATATACTTCATAGGTTACAACAATAAACGAAGGTACTGAAAAAAAATAAGAAAAGGGCAAAAGAATTTTAAAGAGACTAAGATGATTCAACAAAAGACTCAAGAGAATGGCTTGATTTTGAAAAATTACTATTTTAGGTCAGTGTCCCTGGAAATAGACTCTTAAATATGGATTAACATACAAGAAATTTATTTGGGTATTATTCTTAGAGAAAACCACTGTGAAAGAAGTAAGAGAAGCTGGATTGGGCAGAAGGCAAGGGAGATGCAATTGCAATAGAATCTTCAGTTGATAATATCATAAGCTCTGAAGTTAATCACTCCTAGAACTACTACTAAAAACCAGATATATTTTTAGTGTCTCTATTATACAGAACAGCTACCACCCCACAGACTGAATATAATAGTTACAAGTGAAAAATTAGATAAGAGGCTTAAAATTTCTTTAAGAACTCTCAAAGTTCTATACAAATGGGTTATTTTGACATCTACACAGGAATCAAAAGAACAGCCACTGGAATCAGATAATCTTACTTCACTTCTGCCTTTGACACTCACTAACTAGTTGACCAAAAGCAAATTACTGTCTCTCTGTGACCAGTTTTTTCATTTCTAGAGTGGCATTAATGATAGCTGCTTCATAGAAGTGCTGTGGAGGATTAAATAAAGTGAACACATCTGAAGAATAAGCACAACATCTATTATATAACAATAGTTGTTAATAGCGGTTATAATAAAAATATTTTTTAAAAGGAAGAGGAGGATCATAATCCTTAATTTAGATTCTGCGTTAAATTGTCTTATATTTACTTAGATATCCTCTTTAACCCACGTCATGTGCAGAACCTAATTTCTACTCCAAAAACACAGCAGTATTTTACTGGAAATTTACCTTTAATGAAATATTCTGCAATAGCAGGAGATCCTTGACTCTTTTTCTGGCTCTTTGTATGAATTTATGGTAGAAAAAAAATTGCTCATCTGATCTTTTTATGTCAATATATCACATATTTGCACAGAGACACTATTTCTGGGTATTTTAGAATACGTTCAAGCTGATTCCTTTTATCCTACAAGTACGCTGACAAAACAACAGCTTATAGCATTGAGATTTGTATTGGCAGAAGCATTTCCTGTTAATCAAATACTCTGTAGCATGTTTGTACATGTTTTTTCTTCTGTGCCTTGAAAAAGATGATATGACTTTATTCCTGTGTTTACTTTTTATTTCCTACCCTTAAAACAAATTGAGGTGCAGTTTCTTAATTTAATAAATTCCCTTTTCTCTGGCCCTTTCAAAACAACAAAATTACTGCTAATTTTAATCTATCAAGTAGCAGTTGACATAAATATTATATGGAATTCAATCTACAAGTTGATTTCTTTACAGTGATAAACAAATATTTTGTTTTATTTATGTTCGACCAGATTTATTTGGTTCTTCTTTAATGAAAATCTGGGGCTATTTGGCTCCTACGATAAGCTGTCAAGATGAAAAATCTATGCTGTAATGTCAATTTGCAATGCTTGTGGTTCAAAGGGTATTCACAGCACATGATTTATTTTTCCATCACCTAAGATTTAAAAAAGAAACTATGCCATGATTAATATCAAAAAAATGAGAAGTGATTTATTTTTACAAATTTGTCTTGAACAGTATAAAGCATGTTATTTCTGATGGTGCCTATTAGGAACAAGAGCAATTGAAGTCTGTATAAACATTTTAAATCTCCCATTAAAAAGTCAACAACTTAGAAAAAACTGGAACAGATACTCTACTCCCATCTAGGGGAATGATTTCTTAGATATTAGATGAAGTGTTGTACAACATTTTTTCAGGGCTTTTGTTATGAGAATAAGTGTCCATTCTTCAAATGCATATCATCCTTTTAATACATGATTGTTTCCACAGTTTTTTTTGTTTTTATATTTAATATATATGCATATAAATTTGACAAAAATAAGTTAGTTGAAATAAAAATTAAACAATATTTAAATAGCTCCTAAGTTTCAAATGCCCTCTCAATTTTGGAAAATAACTTATAGCAGTTCTTAGCATCAACCTAGGAAAATCTTTAGAATTAATCTCCCAGTAATCTCACACTATTCTATTCAGAATCAAATCTTTTACACCTGCCTTCAGTGAAGGAAGTGTTTGGCTTTATTAGTTATAAAAGTTTATTTCCTTTTTTTAAAAATTTTTATTTTTTTAAATTTTTGTGGATACATAGTAGGTGTATATATTTGTGGGTTACGTGAGATATTTTGATACAGGCAGGCAATGCATAATAATCACACCAGGGTAACTGGGGTATCCATCACCTCAAGCATTTATCCTTTGTGTTACAAACAATTCAATGATACTCTTCTACTTATTTTAAATGTACAATTAAATGATTTTTGACTATACTTACCCTGTGGTGCTAGCAAATATAATAGCATCTATCATTGAAATTTGCACAGAACATCAATTCTCCTTACCATCTTTTATGTGTCTTCTTGCAAAATCACTTTAGTCTTGTTATGTTTTAACTATAAAACCTTATTTAATAATCAAGAGTTATAGTTAAGTGCAGAATTATTCTATTACTAGAAAGCTACATGTGAATTAATCCTTCTTATTCTTTTATTACAAGTATATGATCATTAAATAAGTAGGTGTATTTGAATTGATATCGAAAGGCATCTAAGATATAATGCTAAGACAAAAAGTAAGTGAGAAAACAGTGTATTTTCATAATTATGTAGTGGTATCTATACATATATTTGTACACTAGACAATAATGTTAAAACACATTGGTATGTACGGAGAAAAAAGTGTGGCCTAATATGCAGCAAACTCAACAGTAGTGAGCGGGAGTATAATAAATATTCATTTCTTTTGAGACGGAGTCTCACTCTGTCACCCAGGCTGGAGGGCAGTGACGAGATCTCAGCTCACTGTAACCTCTGCCTCCCGGGTTCAAGCGATTCTCCTGCCTCGGTTTCCCGAGCAGCTGGGACTACAGGTGCTCGCCACTATGCCAGGCTAATTTTTGTATTTTCAGTAGAGACGAGGTTTCACCATCTTGGCCAGGCTGGTCTCAAACCGCTGACCTCCGGTAATTCACCAGCCTCAGACTCCTAAAGTGCTGGGATTACAGGCGTGAGCCACTGCAACCAGCCAAACATTCATTTTTTACATCTTTGTATCTTACATATCTTTGTGTTTTTCTTTAATAGCCAACATTTCTATAATAAGACAGGGGAAGAAGACAGGCATGTAGACTCAAATATTAATAATGAATAACTCCACAAGGTAGAATTAAAATGACCTTAATTTTCTTACTTCTTGACTACATTTTAAAATCTATGTTCATAACAAGAGTTATTAATTTATGTAATACAAGGTAGAATCATTTTAGTGGACTGATATTAAAAAACTTTTCTCATTTATTGCGTAAACACATCTCACTCCTCATAGACTTTTTCTATGGAAATATGATTTTATAAATATAGTTAACTTTTATCTGAATAAAACTTATTTATCAATAAAGAACATTAATTGCATGAGCATTGTTAAATCACCAAAGTAAATCTAGTACATCACAACTAAGTTATTACTTGGCCTTCTCAAGAGCTTCTTCAGTTAAATTGCATGAGGATTGAGAATTAAGTGAGTTTTTTGTTTGTTTCTTTTTTTTGTTCTGGTGGTCATATCACTACTTTTGTGTAAAGTTACAAGTAATGGCTGTGAATAACAACATAGATCTTTTCATATATAATATTATAGAAATACATTATGAACAATGATTTCCATGTATATAAAATAATGAAAATAATAAAAAGTTTTAAAAAGTATTCTGTAAGCCCTTGTTTTAGATCACTTCTCCCTTTGTTTCAATAACATGCTTTAATAATCACTCTTTCTTAAGAACTATGTGAACATTTAGATTTTACTGTTTTAAAATTTTTGTATCATTAAGTATGCATGCTTTATTTCCTAACTTTTTTACTATTAATATCTTTTTTTTTAACTTCTGGCTTTCCTTTGCCTCTTCGATCCTCTCTAGCAATATTTAAGATCTCTGATAGCTAATGGTAAATCTGAGAACATTTCCTGGATTCAAGCCAATCATAACATCTTTAAATAATGTTTATATATTGCAAGCTTGCCAGCTACTTACCAGGGCATAACAAAAGATAAATATACACTCCTCTACTACCACCACTAAAAGAAGCCAAGTCATCTGACTGCCAGTGACCTAATTTTTACATAGCTGTTTATAATTCTCATCATCATGTTATAGCAATATGATTTATTAATCCTTCTGGCATTTTTCTCCTTGACAGCTTCTCAGCTGCTGTTACATTCTACTTGGATGGGTAAGTACTATATACTATTTTAAAAGTGCACATCAAGTTTTATATGTTGAGACTTTATTTGCTTTAAACACTTAGTGTCAACTAGGGTGGAATAATTTGGATTTAACAGTATAAATGATAACAATTATTGTTAAGGGTTCAACATAGATGAGAATGAAGAAAACATACATTTGAAGATGTGATTACAATAGAGCCTTTCAATATGTTTAACTTAGGGTGGGTTAAAATATAATTCACGTCTTAGTTTTTAAAGGCCATAGGATTTTACTTCAAATGGAAAATATACTTTTAAGTCCTCTGCAGACTCTTAGGTATGTTCAAATACTTGTGTACAGAAGAAATATTTTTGCTATAATATCTAAAAATTTACACCTTTGTGGACAACATCTCTACGTTTTCAAATTAATTTTAGATTGTCAATAATTAGCTATAATCACCAATACAGGTGGTACTTATTTATCTTTATATGTAACTACCACACTTTTTTTAATAACAATAAAATTCGACTTGATGTTGCATGCATATTAAACAAAAACAATAAGAACAGGACAAAAATATTAGAAAGGAATATGCACATATTAACAAACATCCAATTAATAATTCACTACAGTTGTACTCTAACCAAGGTTGTGTTACTAGAACGTATGGCAAAAATAGGAGAAACATTTAGATTGTATAGTTCCCTTTGTCCAGTAAAAAAATCAACCATTTTTGCTTAATGTGAATAGACACATTTCTTCATGCCAGTGAATAAGAAGGAGTTTAGGCATATAAAATATATTAGGTAATATCGTATTGTCAACCACAGATTTACACAGCAGTGTTATTCAAATGGACAATTTACATTTTTGGATCTCTATCAGACCTGTCACCTGCATATTGACGTTCCATCTCTATAAATTTATGCCTTAAGTTAGAGAAACATTTTTGTAGGAAATAAAGATAATGTGTATTCATGTGACTTCCTGATGACCTGATTTAATAAACTTTTTCTTAAATGTTAGGAGGAAGACATAGCTATATTTATGACATTATCTTGCTCAAATTTCCAATGTTTTAAACTGTCTTTTGTCAAATGATAGATGATGTTTCTGTTGTAATTATCTGAATTTTTGAGATGAGCATTTGAAGGAGCTCCAGTTTCAATTGGAAACGATCCATAGTCTTTAGACACTGGACATTCTTTTGTGAAGGATTTGAAGTGTGATTGTATATTTTCTCTAATATTCATAAGTATTCTATCATATTTATTCTAGAGGTAAAGCAGTTAATTCCTAAAAGTCTAGGAAAAATGCAACCATAATGCAACTTTCCACATTTGGAAAGGTTGTTTGAAAAGCCAGAATTCTTCAGCATCTTACTATAAAGTCGTAATTTGTGTCTACTGTATTTTAATCACAAATGTGACAACAGCATGGTTGTATACAAAATAAAAAGGGGGCGCTGGGCCGGGCGCGGTGGCTCACGCCTGTAATCCTAGCCCTTTGAGAGTCCAAGGCGGGCAGATTTCCTGAGCTCAGGAGTTTTAGACCAGCCTGGACAACACGGTGAAATCCCATCTCTACTGAAATACAAAAGAAATTAGCCGGGCGAGGCAGCGTGCGCCTGTAATCCCAGCTACTCGGGAGGCTGAGGCAGGAGAATTGCTTGAACTCAGGAGGCGGAGGTTGCAGTGAGCCGAGATCGCCCACTATACTCCCTGCCTGGGTGACAGAGAAGGTCTCGGTCTCTACCAAAAAAACAAAACAAAACAAAAATGTCAGGGGGCGCTGATGTTTTAGCCTCCGTGTTTATCCCATTTTTGTGGAGTCTTTAATGTTGTCTGGTCTGACTCAAAATCATTGTCACTTTCACCCAAGTTGTTTAAGGCTAAGGATGTGATATTCTTCACTGAGATTCAGAGAACTGGTACGTAACTAACAGAGAACAAATTAAGTAACAATTTTCACACAGCTCCCTGGTCATTAAAAAATAGGGAAAAGGAGGAAAATCTGGTGTACTCTAGCTTCTAAGGAAGTCAGTTCCTCAGTTTAAGTACTTTCTTTTACAGCATATAATAAAGCAAATAAAATGCTAGGCAATTCCATAATATTCAGATGTTTTGACTTTCAAAACACTAGTTGTTAAGCTATTAATCACTGTGAGAGATCCTATTAAATTCAGGTGATGCTGATTATTTTAAATGGACAGATAAAGTTTTATGTATTGTGTAAAACATGATGTTTCAAAGAACTTATACATTGTGAAATGGTTGAATCTAGCTAGTTAAAAAAATGCATTACCTCATATAGTTATCATTTTTGTGGTAAGAACACTTAACATCCGCTTTCAGCACAGAAGTACAGAGTAGAATGGTGGTTACTAGAGGCTGGCCTGCTTTGGGTGCAGTAATGTTGGGAAAATGTTAGTCAAAGGATGAAAAGTTAGAGTTGGATAGGAAGAATAAGTTCAAGAGATAATGTTGATTTTTAAGCTTTCAGTAAATTAACAAATAACTTATGTTGACATTATAACATGACATTTCACCAAAATCAAAGGCTGTCTTTCAAACATAGCACATCTTATTTTCATTTTGAATGTCACATGAATGAACCAATATGTCACTCCAGCTACTGCATCTATTATGTAGAAGCTCAGGTAGTTATTAATAGTTATTATTAGTGAAAAAATATCATAATCAACCTACACATAATGCTGCTGTTTAAATACCCCATATAATATGGTAGGCCAGAGGAGGTAGGGGTCCCAAAAGATGGCTCTGCAAGTAATAACAACAAATTTAAAGCATTGGATGACCCAGTTTTTGAAACACTTGTTATTGAGCAAAAATCAGTTTCAGAAAATTATTAGAGATGCCTATAATTTTATCAAAGACCAATTGCATCATTAAAGCATTACAATTTGGGGAGACACAACAGTGCTGAGGAGATCATTAAATAGGTGTATGCATCCTGAAGTCAAGAATTTAAAAGAATCATTGGGTGTTGGAGTGCTCATTTGCCATAAACTATTTTGAACCATAATTAATAATGAATTTTAAATCATAAAGGCAACATTTCATACTTAAAAGATATATACATTATATATATGGTAAAATCTATGAAAATGTTTTTTTATACAGGTTTGAAGTTTTTCAGTATGTTATAAAAGTTAAATTTATAATGCATGGGTATTGTATCGAACAAATACATGTTCAAATTAAGGAAAAACTTTGCTTTCCTATTTTAATTGTTATCTAAACAAGACTTACACATACACAATTTGTGAACACACAATTTCAGAAATCTTTTCAGAGAGAAACAGTTTAATTACATGCTTTTTGCCTATTTACCAATGAAATTTAAGGCAGTTGTTACATTTTATTTGTATTACAATCTCCAGAGAACTGAAAAATGTTACAATAGCACTTTAACATTTTAATTGAAATACTTTAAAAATTAAACTGTTAGAAAAAATGATAAGGAAAAGGAGACTGTCCTTCAGGGATTGACTTGTGTCCCCCCCAAACTCATGTATTTGTTCCCCAATGCCATAGAATGTGACCTTATTTGGAAATAGTGCCTTTACAGAGGTATTCATGTTAAAATGAGGTCACTAGAGTGAGCCCTTGTTCAATATAATAGGTACTTATTAAAAGGGGAAATTCAGATATGCAGACTTACTCAGAGGGAAAACAATGTGAAGAAACACAGCAAGAAGATGGCCAGCGACAGACAAAGAGCCCCCGAGGCTGCCAAAACCAGGAGACAGGCCTGAAACAGATCCTTTCCTGGAACCTTCAAAGGGCCATCTTGATTTCAAACTTCTGGCCTCCAGAATTGTGAGACAATAAATTTCTGATGTTCTTAGCCAATCAGTTTGTGGCACTATGTTTTGGCAGCCCTAGAAAACTAACACATTATCTTAACAAATGTTTCTTGTCTAAGATAGACATTTTATTTCCATAACATCCACAGTGGCTTAGGGAATTTATGTAGGAAGTCATACACTGTAATTATTTATTTATAAATTTCTGAGGAACAACGATGAAACTAGCAACATTAGTTGTTTGATATTCTTAAAATTCAGAGTAGTAAGAGACAATGTTGTTAGTCAATTGATATAAACAATACTGAATAAATGTTGTGTGATGTGGCTATCATGTATAAAATAGTTGTACAGATTTGAACATGAATTCAATGCCAGTATTGCACATATGTCTCTGTATTCTTCTCAAGAAACACAAATAATTAATAGGACGACACCTGGGTTTAACACCAGCATATGGTGGACCTATATTTTCCATATGCATACCATATGCTCCCTACTAAAATGTATCAGACAATTTTATGTATACCAACTAGTAAGGACCCAGTTTCCATCCCTTTATAACCTCCAAAGCCAGAATGAGGAATAGACATTTGACCTAGAGTTAATTTTTGAGGTGTGTGAATAAACCAAATTAGGTAACTGCTTTTGTTTTTATTTGCTACTCTGAGGGAACAGAGTAAAGCAATGCTGAGATATGAATAGAGATGTAGAATCTTTTAGTAACAACAGCCAATATATTCTGTTTTAACAAAAGCTCTGTTATTATTTTATGGTTGACTGTTGATAAATCCCTTAAAAACTATTGACTTGGTAGGATATGATACTTTGGGACCTCCAGGTCAGTCTTTGAGGTGGTCTTGATAGTGTGCTATGTGTTCACAAAATGTATTAAGATATGGGAAAATAAAGCATTTCAATATATATATTTTATAATGTGTGTGTGTGTTTACTTTTTCAGCAAGTTAGTTCATTACCAAGAAAAGGCCCCACAATAGAATTATAAATCTTCAATCTTTTGTTGGCATCTACAGGATGGGCCTCAACTTCAGATGTTTAACTGCTGTAAGGACACTGGCTCAGTTTTACTCTGTCCTTTAGGATCTTTGGGAAAAGATGCATGCTCAGAGTCTTCTCTGGCCTGTAGCAATGCTACAGTTCCCTCTTTCGGTTTGCTCCATGCTTGCTTCCTGTCATGCACAGTTAACAGTGCCCTCCCTCCTGCTGTCATCCTCATTTCTCTAGTTCTTGAGCTCACTGCTGGGAGAACAGAACCATTACTAAAATATGACTGAAAAGTGCTGAAGTGCTCACCCAGCCATAACATTCTTCTATTTACTGTCCTTGTTATTTATGTTGATATTTGCTTAATCTAGGATGTAAGAGCTTGACATATGGGGTGATTTAGCAACACCAGGGAAATAAATATTATCCACAGTTCTATCATTGAATGACATGAGATTAATAATATCTGGGCTAACCATTCTACCTGCATCAAATGTCGCAATCACAGATTTGAATATTTTCCTTTAAAACATACAGTATTAGATTTCATTGAAGCATGGCGTGCTACATAAATAGACTTAAACAATCAGGGACCCAGCTTGGACCCTCTGGCAAACTGCGTGTGTTTTTTTGTTCAATCTTACGTTATATAAAGCCTTATGGTCACTTTAAGGCAAAAACAGTCCCAATTCTGCAAAATTTGAATAAACCACCCCATAGAATAATCAAATTCTGAACCTGATTTGAAGTGTTTTCCTCCTCCTCACTAAGGGACTTTGTAATGTAAGGCAGATAAATGATAGTTCAGTCTTCCCTAGCTCCCCAATCCATGCTAAACTTGCTAGCCAAAGATTCTTCTGAATCTACGGTCAAGGTAGGGGAAAGAAGAGAGGAAAGTGGATAAGAACATTTTAAAGGTGAATCCAAGCCTTCTGAGCCAGATGAATTGCGCTAGTCTACTTTTTTTTTTCTTATGGTGCATTTCTATGGCTGTCTCAAATTTCTCAGATTCCCTCTCTCTTGGTGTGCGCAGGGCCTCTCTTAATTATGTTTCTTCTAATTAATCCTCAAATGTTGACGTAATGCACCCAAGCCTTGACTAAAATCTTCAGGTCCTGCAAGGTCATTCTTTTTGACAAGATTCTTTTTTAAATGATTACAGGCCAGTGTGCTTCCTGCTAGATCCACACATGGTGCATCACATTCTTGCACGTTTGACACATCACTGGGGCAAAACTGATTATTTCACACTTGCCACCTTCTCTGTTTCCCCTTTAGTTTTTCAAGCATGAGTCAATAACCATTCTACATTGGCCCCATACCTATCAGCAAACACATATGAGATTCTTGATTGGTCAAAGTTTCTCTCACCAACTTGGGATTAATTTTACCCTCCATTTTTTCATGTGAGTATGTAAGTGGGAGTATGAGGAAGGGCAGAGTATACAACTTATTGCTCAGCTCTCTCCAAAGACATCTTCCTTAAATATTATGGTTTATTATTTCCCAACTCTCAACCACCATGTATCTTTGATGTGAGTGAGAGGATTCATTTTAATTATCTTCTTGAATTTCTATAAACAATGCCTCTACTTTATAATGACTAAATCCAAATTTCATTTTTAACATGCTATTATATCAGTTGATAGTCTAGAATTGTGTTTCATATTTTAGAATTTTCTTCAACTAACTTATGAGTGCCTTAAGGTCGTAAATCATGTCCTGTATTTAATTTTTTTCTTATTGCTCCTGATCCAGGTAAGCCATCTTTAATAATTTTTGTTGGATGATTGAGTGAGACTTTAAAAGGAGATATAGGGAGTAAGGAGCTAGATCATGATGGGAAAAACTTGAATCATGAACAGATGATATAGATGTTAATATTAATAGGACCTAATTGGGGTAGTACTTTAAAATAAACATAACATATAGAACATTGCAGTAGTTTAAAATGTCACCAGCTCTTTGACTCTCCTTCCCATTAGGAGGTCAAGTCTGTTTCCACCACCTTGAACCTGAGGGCTTTGTAGGACTGTCTCAATAAATACATTGAAGAATAATTGATATTGCATAACTTTGAGGCTAGATTATAAAAGGTCATGCAGCTTCTGTAGGTCTCTCTTGGAACACATGATTTCGGAGACTTTAGCTACCAAGAAATCCAGCAACCCTGAGGATGCCATGTAGAGAGATAACAAAGCAAGAAAGTTGGAAAAGTTTACATTTAATCTTAAGTCATATTTAGAGAAAATGGAAAGAAATCAGAATTTCTTTGTTCCTTTCCCCCACCTGTCCACCACCACAATATTTCTCAGTCCAAGGCTCTCTCATTTGCAAAATATTTTTAAATTAAGACATGTTTTATAATGAAAGATCAAATTCAAGATAGCCCTCTGTTAAGGATCCCAAAAGACCTAAGGTTAAGTTTTGTAGACTCTCTCAAAGAGTCAAGAAGTCTTTTAATGATGCCAAGGTTGTTCCTCACAGATAATCTCTGTAAAATAACAGGAGATCTAATAACTTCAAAGACTTTCCCCACAACATCCTTGAGATCTGTGAGTGTGTATTTTTTCTAATAGAAAGAATTGCACATTAATTCATTGAAAACCCACATAGTTTTAAAGAAATTTTATCAGGTGGGAATGCAAGAACAGGGACAGTATAAATTTAAAAGGAAGTTGGATTTCAGGATTTCTGTGAGCAGAAAGCTAGCTGCGAACACTCAGCTGCAAACACCAGTCACTTCTTATGTAAAAGGAAGGATGATTCAGACAACAAAATCAAGACCCAGAAGGCAGACCAAAGAGGTATGATAAATCATTCCTAGGCAATAAGACTGAGCCATCATCAAGAAACTGGCAACATGTACTCAGCTGGATTTCAGAATTGCTATGAATCAGTGACTCTGATTGCCTCCCATCTTACCTATTTTGAATGGAATTGTATCAGTTCTTCTATATGTGAGCCATCATTGTATGTTAGCTATATGGTGGGCAGATAACTTGTCTCTTTAGATCATAGATCTACAGGTTGAGAGAAACAGCACTGAAGGAGCTGTACTGAAACAACCACAGGCACAGAGCTTCTTACGTGCATGGATCTCATTTAGATAACAGGATACTAAAACCTCAAACCTGAGTGTGATATTACAATATATGAGACATTTGAAAGTCTTGAGAGGGAGTGAGTGTATTTTGCACGTAGTGAAAGTATAAGTACTTGTGATACGAAGGTGGACCATGCCCTCAAGTTCTTGACAATCTTCATTCATTTAAGAGGTAGGGGCTATGTTAACTTTCCTTGAACCTGGACAGGATATTGTGACTAACTTGAAGAACAGAATATGGTAGAAAAATACTGTGCAACTTTAGAGAAACATTTGTTCAGCTTGTGCCAGTCTTTTTGAGGACATTGTCTCTTTAAGAACGTAACCATCATGTAAAGAAACCCAGGTACCCTAAGGCCACCGTGTAGAGCAGTGGTCCCCAAACTTTTTGACACCAGGGACTAGTTTCATAGAAAAGAATTTTTCCATGGAGGGGGTGGGATGGTTTGGGGATGAAACTGACCCACCTCAGATAAACAGACATTAGTTAGACACTCATAAGGAGCATGCAGCCTAGATTTCTTACCTGCACAGTTCACAATAGGGTTCTGGTTCTTGCTCCTATAAGAATCTAATGACCCCGCTGATCTGACAGGAGGTGAAGCTTAGGTGGTAATGGTCCCTTGCCTGCTGTTCACCTCCTGCTGTGCAGCCTGGTTCCTAGCAGACCACAGATGGGTAGTGGTCCATGGTCAGGGGATTGGGGACCCCTGATGTAGAGAGATCAAGTAAAGAAACCATATACAGAGAGGAGATGTCCATGCAGCCTCTACTGTTTCAGCACTAGTTGTTTAATTCTTTCTAGCCCAGGCCCTGGCTATGCAAGTGATAGGCCTTTTAAGATAACCCCATCCTCAGACATTGTGTGACTGCTGCTGCATGAAAGACACAGGTGAGACAAACACTCACATGCTGAGCCCACTCAACTGCTGAGTTCATGAACAAAATAATTGATTGCTACTGTTTTAAGCTACTGTTTGGGGCTTTTATACCACAACAGGTAACCAACACAAGAACTATTGAAATACTGAGAACATTTGTTTGTTTGTTTAGAAAAAAACATAAACAATGGGTCAGTTACAGAGTTTATTTTACCATCATGGTTTAGATCAGGGTTTCTCAACAATGGTGTTAGGCATTTAAAGCCCGGCAATTTTGTTGTGGGGGGCTTGCCTATGCATTGTAGGCTATTTAACAGCATCATTAGTTTGTATCAATAGAGAATACAACCTTCCCATCCCCCATTATGACCAACAAAAACGTCTACAGACACTGCCAGATGTCTTCTGGGGATGAAATTCCTCCTGATTAAAATAACTGGTTAACATAAATTTTCAGAAAGGATAGTAAGGGAAAAAGAAACCTGGAAGAGAAGAGTATAAAACTTAGCCAAAAATTTATATCAAATTTCCTAATAATAAACTGTGAAGTAGAAACAGTATTGAAACAAGAACGTTCTAGAATTAGACACTGCAAAATCATCAAAATATTCATGCTACCCATACATATATAAGTATGTAAAATTAGGTTTCCATTAAGTTATGGATTTGTTGAGGCTCACCTTGAGTGTTTATTTCTTGCACTTTTTTCCTCTTATTTCATGTTTCAGCTGATTTTTATGTTATCTTCCATTGTTTGAATAAAAACAATTTATAAAGTAATGACTTTCCAAGAGATGAGTTTTTATTTTCTCTCAGAAAACCTCACAACTTAGCATTTTAGGCTTTTGAAATACTTATCAGGAAAAAATCACTAATCAAGACTAACAAAATATGCTATGTATTTCTGACAGCATAATCTACTTCTTCAAATTTTGAAGATAATTGCAAGGCAACCTACAATTCAGAAAGGAAATAATATCAGAACTGTTAGTCATGGAAAAGGAACAAAGGGGTTAGGACTAAAGGTGAGGGAAAACTAAGTTTTAATACAAAATTCTTGCTTTCTCTTGTAGTATCAATGTTTTAAATTATTGACATGATATTTCTATTTTTTCAAATTTTATTGAATTTATATTCTTATATAAGGTGTTTAAGAATGAACTCTGTGTAGTTTGTTGTAATTTGTTATATTTGCTTCAAATTTGTCTTTCTGAGCTTTTTTTTTTGTAATAATTATAATTACAAGTTTTCTTCTTGATGTCTGTTTTTTAAAAAAATTGTGCTCTAAGGCAGAGGAAGTCCTTTGGCCAAAAAAAGAGCACAACATTTGATTATTTTTTCCCATTCTGAGGTCAGTTTCAATTGCAGGTTGTCACAAACCATGAGAAACCATGATTGGGTTAAAGCAAATTCATTTTCATTATTAGAGCAAATCTATCACTACTACAATGACAACAGCTTAGATTATAGTATATAGTGCTAGGAGGTAGGAAGAATCAACTGCATATTTCAAGGGCAGGGAATACCCGAACTCTCCCAAAACTAGCATACTTTTGTTTACAGTGGAAGTCTAGGTAAACTAGTGTCTTATCCCCATCTCAACTTAACTTTCAAATATATGAAACATTATCTTTCACTTGGTAACTGGCATCTCCCTATTATAAGGCATGTATCTGTCATCAGTTGACAGCTACCACTTATCAGAGGAATAGGACATTTGTTGCACAGAGCATTCAAATATATTAAAGCCATTTTTCTCCTTTCTACAAATTTTGTATAGTGCAATGACATATGAATCAATTGGCAAACTATTAATAACTTCTCAATGAGTTTACCCCCTTCATTTTTCAGAAGGGAAAGGAATTGAAGAGCTGAATAGATCCAGCATGCCAGTACATTTACCCTTTTACTGCTTTTCATTTTAAAGTTACTATCTTTTTTGCAAGGGCAAGATACTAAATGAGATGATTTATATTTTTTCATGTTTGCTTTCAAAGATTAATGAACACCACCAAAAGGAATAAAAAAAGATAATATTAGGTAGGGCCAACATATGAAGCAGAGGCAGTAGTTAATATATAAACTAAAATTGCACTGTTGTCCACCAAAATGGTTTATTTCTTAATTTTTATGTTTATTTGAATTAATTTGGCACAAATTCAGTAGTTTTAATTAATAGTAAATTAATAGTTTGTCCTGTTTAATGTTTATATGTACCTCCTGTATGGGATGACTGATGGTTTATAAACACCTTTGGCAATTAGTGGGCAGTTTACTGTATCTTTTGGAAAACCAGTGGGACTATTTTTCACAATAGTAACAAACAAAATACAACATACCAACATATTATATAGTTATCTGCCTGAAACAACACATCTTACATTATGAGTAGATTAACTAATCTCAGGTGGATAAATTGAAGCAAATAATAGCACAATTTCTAGTTTTGTTTGCTCTTTCCTTTTCAGTAGCACAATTTCTAGTTTTGTTTGCTCTTTCCTTTTCAGAAACACAACAAAACTACTTGATTTGAAAGTACATTTTTGTAAAAGCCCAATATTTTCCCTTTTGAAATTTAGGTAACATGATTACTAAACTTTAACCATTCATACACAGAATAATAATCTAAAACTGATGCTGATCTAAGACATCAAATAAGTCTAGCTAAAGCATATTATAGTGACAGAGTAAAAGGAGTAGACTTCCTTAGCTGTGTGTACAGTAAATATTGCTTAGGACAAGAAAAGAGCACAAGAATAATGCTTAAGAGCCTAAGTGTAGAAATCTGTCAGCTTTGCGATTGAAGCTTGGGTCTTAAATTTTTTTGTTCTGTGATTATGCCTTGATGTTTGCACAAACCACAACATGGAGCAAGATTGACTCTCTAAAAGTTTAAACTTTTTACTCAAGTATAATATACATACAGAAAAACATACAGCTTGGTAGTTTGCACAAACACCAAACAATAATATAATCAGCACCCAGATCAAGAAACAGAGCATAACCAACAGCCAGAATCTTCCCTTATGCTCCTCACCCATCAGCTACTGCCACTCCCTCTCCAAGAATAGCTTCTACTTTAATTTCTAAGTGTACAAATTAGCATGCTTGCTTTTTTGTTTCTGTTTTCTTGGTATGGTAGTTTACTTTAAGAAAAAAATTACAAAGTATGTTTAAGTAATAGAAAAGACAGCTGTTATAACTGAAATTCAGATTCTTGAAAACTTGTTTAAAAGATTTTGTGTGGGGATAAACATGCCTGAATAAATTAGTTTTATTGTTATATCATTACCCACTTTTAAAAGTAAAGGGCTATTTAGGAATTATATATAATTATACAAAGTTTGAATTAAACATAACGAGATAAGTTTCCATGTGACATGGTGAAATTATCACAACTTCTAATTATTTCTCAAATATGCTGTATGTTATGAAGTGAACTTAAGAAAAGTTTCTGTTCATTTATGGTTAAAGCCCTCTTTTTCTAACTCCTCATATAATAGCTATTATTGTTTTAATATCTTCTTAAATAATTTCTCTCTTATTCTCGTTACATCTTTCTTCTACCCTTTCTTCCTTCCTACTTTAATTCTTTCCTTCCTTCCTTCCTTCCTTCCTTCCTTCCTTCCTTCCTTTTTCCCTTCCACCTCTTTCCTCACTCCTTCTCTGTATTATTCCATTTTCACACTACTGATAAAGACATACTGGAGACTGGGTAATTTATAAAGAAAAAGAGGTTTAATGGACTCACAGTTCTGCATGGCTGGGAAGGCCTCACAGTCATGGTGGAAGGCGAAAGGTATGTCTTACATGGTGGCAGGCAAAGAGCAAATGAAGAGCCAAGTGAAAGGAGTTTCCCCTTATAAAATCATCAGATTTTGTGAGACCTATTCACTACCACAGGAACAGTATGGAGGAAACCACCCTCATGATTCAATTATCTCCCACCGGGTCCCTCCCACAACACGTGGGAATTACAGGAGCTACAATTCAAGATGAGATTTGGGTGGGGACACAGCCAAACAATATCATTCTCTGCCTCCCTGCTTTGTATGTATTTACTGTAAATTAACCACATGTCAAATACTGAGGTAGACACTGAGAACATAACACAAGAACATTAGTATACTTGTCTTCAAAGTGCAACTTATATATGGAGGTAGAAGAGACTTAAGCCAACAAAAAAGTGAAATGCTAACCTGCATTTTGGTAAAAATACTGAAGTATTTTCTCTCTGTCTTTATTTTGTCCCTTAATTTCCATAATTGGAATAGATGTCCTTTATCCATTCAATGGATGCCTATCAGATTTAGCTTTCTATAAAAATTTCAAGTTAAATTTTTGTTAAGATGATAATAAAATTTAGTGCTGTTGCTTCCTATATGAAATTTCTGCAATGCTCGTGAGGACTCACATGATGCAATAAAACATACTATGTGCAAACCATTTTCTAATATGCTTCTAGCATACCTGTCTACATCACAGGCCAATATAATAAATGTTTAAAATATGAATTAATAACTAAAGGGGGCTCTGAATTACATAATAATGTAATACATAAGTCCGTAGGTGCTGAGGCCTAAAGTCAAATCTTTTCTCCTTCACTTTCAAGCTATGGGACTTTGGAAAAGTTACTAAAATTATTCAAGCCTCAGATTCCTCATCCTTAAAATAGAGATATCAATGGTGCTGACTTCATAGGAGTTTTTAAGAAAATAAAATGAACTCATATATATAAAACTACTAATACATTGTAAAAGCTCAGAAAATAGTTTAGCTAATGTTTTTGCATTCATAACTATTCATTTCCTAACTTTACTCAATATTTTCATGAAACTATCCTTTCTTGTAGCATATAGTCTTCAAAAAGTTAAAAATACATATCTTTACTATAGAGGTAGAAGCCCTTATAATTCCACAAATATTAATTTTATAATATTAATTTATAACAGATGCATTCATTATGATGTGAGAACCCAAAAAGATGAATGAATATTTTCAGAATAAGATGATACATCCTCAGAGGGTAGGGTCACCCTAATAGTTGTTGGTTGAATGTTCAACAGCTGTTTGAACATATTGTCATTTGGGAGAAAAAAGAACCAATTCATCAAAATCAACAGTACTCACAGAGGGAGTTGTACAGTCTCATAGCTACCTTTATATCAAATCTACTCTTTAAAAAACAACATGTAAACCATCTGTTATACATAAGAAGACACAAGTTAACAGTAACACTGTTATTTTCAACATAAGTGGAATCCCTTAATGTAATTGTATAAATAGCATGGTGTGTGTGTGTGTGTGTATGTGTGTGCAGCCTTATGTATTTGAGTGGAACAATTCCATAACGATTAAATAGAATCAAAACTGGGTCTACAGACAGTTTCAGAATAAATAGTAGAAAATTGCAGATGGACTAAAATGTCACAATGCTAAACTTTTAACAAAATTTCTATCCATGAAATGATTTTATCAATGCTTATTACTCGTCTTATAGGGGAAGGATGGCTTTTTGTTTTCTGGCTTAATGTTATAAATCGATAGGTATTGGGTGGTGGAAAAATATAGACTCTGTTAGAGAATGGAGCCAGAGGAGGCAAAATTGTCTACAATCGGCAGCTACCTTTTATGTGTGAACTCAGTAGAGCTTTTCCTTCCTGGTACCTGACTTGAGACTATAAGCACCCTGGCTACTCGATTCTCACCTTCCTCAAAATTAATTTTGTTTCTACTGTGGCTAGAAGATGAACATATTTTTAAAAACTCAAGTTAGTGATTCATGCTAAAGAAAACAAGCCAGTTTTCAAAAATAATAGTTTCGTCATGAGTCACAGTGACATCAGATGGCATAAATGCTTTGTCAAGTGGATCTTACTCAAGAGATTCCAGCATCCCCTAAATGACTCATTGCTCTTGTGCTGATAAAACACAGCCCAGCATATTTCTTTCCCCACGTTTTTTGAGTTTCTCCTGTTGACTTATACAAACTGTCTGAAGTTTTTCTTATTTTTTATGGTTAGTCATTGATTATGTTATTCATGGATCGAGAACTGATAAACATCTTAATTTCAGAAAACACTTTCTTGCTCCCTATGCCATCCTTTTATATATTTTTTTGAGTTGGAATGTTGTATTTTATTGTTGCAGGGTAAAGAAGCATAAATTCTGTATGTATACATTCCAAAAATATTTCAACTTTTAAAAATTGTGGATATCTTTTAAATATAAGTTTATAAGTTATTTATTCTCCAAACGTATCTTTTATTACAATATTAAATTTATTATCTTCTCATTTAATAAATAAATGAAATGGGAAACTGCCACAAATTTAGAATCTAAAGGGTTTATTGTATATGCAGGTACTTATCTAACATAAGAAATCATCACCAGCACATGGCAATATATCAAAATTGAAATCCTCTCCATTTAAAATTGTAGTCTGCTCCCAGGGCAGGACAGATTTTGTGGGCATATGATCTGTGCAGTTAAACAGTCCCCACAGTTAAAAGGTCATCATGGTTTATGGCTCTGCTGTTGCTGTTTTGAAATTCTTAATAATTGTTAACAAGGGGTTTCACATTTTCATTTTGCACTGGGTCATTCAAATTGTGTGTCTGGCTCTGATACAAAACAACACAAATATGAGACATATTAAATTCTTCGTTTTTGTGTAATTTAATATATTAGCAATTTAATTTAAAAATATCAGCTTAATAACTAAATTTGTGAGATGAAAGTCTATCTTGTTTTCATATTTTTTTCTTCCATTTATCCTTTATTCCAAATTAATAGAGATCTTATACTACTGAACTAAAAAAGTTGTACTACTTAAAAGAAAAAACAATATAAGAACCAAAAACCAATTTTTAATTAGTGTTAACAGTGTAGTGACCATCTATACACAAAATCTTAAGTACACATTTGTGATTATTTCCAAAACTATGCGGTAGATCTGTTTTGGTATACTGACTGAATCCTCTTTATTGGGCCAATGTGCCCATCTCCCCGTAAATATGAGTGTTGGTTCCTAATGTTCAACTTTAGCCCTTCCCCAGCTCCTGGTACTGGCAGCTAAGATGGCATCTCAGGAGCGCCAGGTACAGACTTTACCTTAGATGAATCTTTACCCCCTTTTGGCTCTTTCTCTATTCCCATACTGTTTCTCTTCCTACATTGAGTCAATAAATTATTAGTATTATTTTATAACTAATTTATATTTTTATTTCAAATTTTTGGGGGGTACACGTGGGTTTTGGACACATGGATGTTCTTTCGTGGTGATTTCTGAGATTTTGGTGTACCTGTCACCCGACCAGTGTACACTGTACTCTATATGTAGTCTTTTATCCCTCAATCCCCTCCCACCCTTCCGCATCTAAGTCCTCGAAGTCCATTATATCATTCTTATGCATTTGCATCCTTATAACTTTGCTCCCATTTGTAAGTGAGAACATATGATATTTGGTTTTCCGTTCCTGAGTTACTTCAGTTAGAATAATGGTCTTGAGGTCCATCCAAGTTGCTGCAAAAGACATTAGTTTATTCCTTTTTATGGCTAAGTAGTATTTCATGGTGTATATATACCACATGTTCTTCATCCACTCGTTCGTTGATGGGCAGTTAAGTTGGTTCCATATTTGCAATTGCGAATTGTGCTGCTATAAACATTTGTGTGCATGTGTCTTTTTCATATAATGACTTTTTTTCCTTTGGGTAGATACCCAGTAGTGGGATTGCTGGATCGAGTGATAGTTCTACTTTTAGTTCTTTAAGGAATCTCCATATTGTTTTCCCTAGTGGTTGTATTAGTTTACACATTCCCACCAGCAGTGTAAATTGTTCCCGTTTCACCACATCCAGATGAAAATTAAGTCCACAATGAGATGCCACCTTACTCTTGAAGAATGGCCATAATTAAAAAGTCAAAAGAGTCAATAAATTATTACAACCAAATCTCTTCTCAGGCTTGATTTCTAATTTAAGTCAAACATGCACTTAAGAAAATGTAAGTGTTATGGAAGCTGATGTAAGACAACTCATATCCCTGGAAGTGGAACCAGAGACAATGATGAATAACTTTAAAGAAATTGCTTACTAGAAAGGTTGCACAATAATATCATACTTCCCACCTCAGAGGTTCAAGGGTATTTACTACATCTTTATCAGCATTGACTGTGAATGTGCAAAAAAAGAAGAGGGGTGGCCATTTTGATAGTGAAAACAGACATCTTGCTTTCAGTGTAATTTACTATACTTCAATGACTAGTGAAGTTGGAAGGTTTCTAATATGTCTATTGACAATTCTTATGAGTTCTTCAGATTTTTATGGGGATAGAAGTAGAAATTAGTATTATTTATTCCATCATAAAAATAATGATCTCATAATCACCTTTATTTGAAGGACAATATTATGAAGGTTAGTGATTAATAACTCTTAGTTGTCTCTGAGAACAGAAAAAAGTAACTGGCCTCAACTCGAAGAACAAAGACATTTTTGTGTGTATACAAGAATTTTATGCCATCCAAGAGTATTAGCACAAATAAATAAAGGCAATTTGTAAATTTTTTCCCTGAAAATCTAAAAAACAAGAAAACTATCTCTTCAGGGTGATTATAATTAGGTCTATGAGACTCTCAAGGTCCCTTTAGTGATTCAGAATCTATAGTTAGAAATACTTATTTTAAAATGTTCAGGCAGAGAGGGAAGGTTCCTGCTTTTAATCCCAGCACTTTGAGAGGCCAAGGTGGGGGGATCACTTGAGACCAGGAGTTTGAGACCAGCCTCAAATATAATATCTATAAAACATACATACATACATACATACATATGTAAAATAAAAGTTTTCAAAACATAATCACAAATCTTCTATATATGCTTACAGTAAAAAAAATGTTTCTTAGGTATATAAATTTCAAGATTTTTTTCTAATACTTTGAGTCTAAGTACAAAAGTGACCTGATTGTGATAATTTTATTACATAAATGCTAGAAATACAAAATAAATAATAAAGATTTGTATTAGTACATTTTTACACTGCTGATAAAGACATACCTGAGACTGGGCAATTTACAAAAGAAAGAGGTTTAATGGACTTACAGTTCCACGTGGCTGGGGAAGCCTGACAATCATGGTGAAAGGTAAAGAGGAGCAAGTTACGTCTTACATGGATGGCAACAGGCAGGAGAGAACTTGTGCAGGGAAACTTCCCTTATAAAACCATCAGATCTCGTGAGACTTATTCACTATCACAGGAACAGAATGGGAAAGACCTGTCCCCATGATTCAATTACCTCCCACTGGGTCCCTCTCAAAATTCAAGATGAGATTTGGGTGGGGACACAGCCAATTCATATTATTCTGCCCCTGGCCCCTCCCAAATCTCATGTCCTCACATTTCAAAACTAATCATGCCTTCCCAACAGTTCCCCAAATCTTAACTCATTTCAGCATTAACTCAAAAGTCCACAGTCCAATGTCTCTCATCTGAGATAAGGCAAGTCCCTTCTGCCTATGAGCCAGTAAAATCAAAAGCAAGTTACTTACTTCATAGATAAAATGGGGATACAGGTGTGGGGAAACACAGCCATTCTAAATGGGAGATAATGGCCAAAACAAAGAGGTTTCAGGCCCCATGAAAGTCCAAAATCTGGTGGGGCTATCAGATCTTTAGGCTCCAAAATGATCTCCTTTGACTCCTTGTCTCATATACAGCTCATGCTGATGCAAGAGCTTAGTTCCCATGGTCTTGGGCAGCTTCAACCCTGTGGTTACGCAGGGTGCAGCCTCCCTCCTGGCTGCTTTCAAAGGCTAGCGCTGAGTGTCTGTGGCTTTTCTGGGTGCACCATGCAAGCTGTCAGTGGATCTACCATTATGGGGTCTGAAGGACAGTGACTGTCTTCTCACAGCTACACTAGGCAGTGCCCCAGAGGGATTCTGTGTGGGAGCTCCAACCCCACATTTCCCTTCTGCACTGCCCAGCAGGCATTCTCCATGAGGGCCCCACCCTTGCAGCAAACTTCTGTCTGGACCCCCAGGCATTTCCATAAATCTTCTGAAATCTAAGCAGAGGTTCCCAAATCCCAATTCTTGACTTCTGTGCTCCTGCAGGCTCCACACCACTTGGAAGCTGCCAAGGCTTGAGGCTTGCACTCTCTGAAGCCGTGGTCCAAGCTGTACTTTTGCCTCTTTTAGTCATGGCTTGAACAACTGGGATGCAGGGCACCAAGTCCCTAGACTGCAAACAGCATGGGGACCCTGGGCCTGGCCCATGAAACCACTTTTCCCTCCTAGGCCTCTGGGCCTGTGATGGAAGCGGCTTCTGTGAAGACCTCTGAGATGTCCTGGAGATATTTCTCCCATGGTCTTGGGGATTAGCATTCAGCTCCTTGTTACTTATGCAAATTTCTGCAGCTGGCTTGAATTTCTCCTCTAAAAATGGGATTTTCTTTTCTATCACATTGTCAGGCTGCAAATTTTCTGAACTTTTCTGCTCTGCTTCCCTTATAAAACTGAAAGCATTTATCAGCACCCAAGTCACATCTTGAATGTTTTGCTGCTTAAAAACTTCTCCTGCCAAGTCAGGCATGGAGGCTCATGCCTGTAATCCCAGCATTTTGGGAGGCTGAGGTATGTAGATTGCCTGAGCTCAGGAGTTTAAGACCAGCCTGGGCAACATAGTGAAATCCCATCTCTACTAAAATACAAAAAATTAGCATGGTACGGCAGCATGTGCCTGTAACCCCAGCTACTTGGGAGGCCGAGGCAGGAGAATCACTTGAATCTGGGAGGCGGAGGTTGCAGTGAGCTGTGATTGTGCCACTGCACTTCAGCATGTGTGACAGAGCAATACTCCACCTCAATTAAAAAAAAAAAAAAAAGAAAAGAAAAATTCCTCCGCCAGATACCCTAAACCATCTCTCTCAAGTTCAAAGTTTCACAAATCTCCAGGACAGAGCCAAAATGCTGTCAGTGTCTTTTCTAAAACATAACTAGAATCACCTTTGCTCCAGTTCCCAACAAGTTCCTCTTTTCCGTCTGAGACCACCTCAGCCTATACTTTATTTTCCATATTGCTATCAGCATTTTGGGCAAAGCCATTCAACAATCTCTAGGAAGTTCCAAACTTTCCCACATTTTCCTGTCTTCTTCTGAGCCCTCCAAACTGTTTCAACCTCTGCCTGTTACTTAGTTCCAAAGTCACTACCACAATTTTGGGTATCTTTTTAGCAGTTCCCACTTTACTGGTACCAATTTACCATATTAGTCAGTTTTCACACTGCTGATAAAGACATACCCAAGACTGGGCAATTTACAAAGGAGAGAGGTTTAAAGGACTTACAGTTTTACATGACTGCAGAAGCCCCACCATCATGGCAGAAGGCAAGGAGGAGCAAGTCACATCTTACATGGATGGCAGCAGGCAAAGAGAGATAGCTTGTGCAGGGAAACTTCCTCTTATAAAACCATGACATCTCATGAGACTTATTCACTATCACGAGAACAGCATGGGAAAGACCTGCCCCCATGATTCAATTACCTCCTACCAGGTCCCTCCCACAACATGTGGGAATTCAAGATGAGATTTGGGCAGGGACACAGCCAAATCATATCAAGAGTATTTCAATCAAATGAAACACTTTAAAAGGATGACATGGTCTAGTGGTTGTTGTTTTTGTTTTTGTTTTTCCCTTGTGCCATTTGGGGATTCTAGGGCAATTCATAATTTAGGGAATAATAATGTCATTCCTTGAAATAACAGACTATATTGAGGACTCTGTCTTGCTTCTATGGGGGCTAAAGAATGTACTATAAATGGGAAATTAATATTTTATTATAAAAACTAGTATAAGGCTGGGTGTGGTGGCTCATGCCTGTAAACCTAGCCCTTTGGAAGGCTAAGGCAGGAGGATTTCTTGAGCCCTGGAGTTTGCAACCAGCTGGGCAAAATAGAGAGACCCTATCCCTATTTAAAAAATAAAGAATAAAAACAATTTTTAAACCTAGCATGAAATAAATGAAAGTTATTTTCTTATTATTTGTTGAACATTCCAATTAAAATAGCCCTAAAAAATCCAATTCTCAGAATTGATATTCTTATGTTAAAATTTACAATCTTCATGCAAATTAATTCTCTCCCTCAAATTCCCTGTCTTGCAATAAAATCATATTTTAATTTATCCAGTAAGACAAAAAATGTAGGTTTCTCCTTACATTACCTTCTTCTTAATCCTTCTGTATCTATCCTTGTCTAAGATCATCACAGCAAGCACATATTTGTTTTGTTTTTCATCATACAAATCCTCTTTCTAAGAGTATTCAGTCTTCCCATTTTGTGTATCAATGGAAAGTAAGGCCTACTTATGGACCTTGTTGTAGGATCATTACAACAAACACAGTGATGAATTGAATGACTCTTGCCTCTACTTATATCCATTTATTCTATTGTACTAATCTTCCTTTAAGAGAACTTCAATCACAGCATCATACATTGAAAAGGAATTCTAGATTGTGTTACATGACATCCTCTTTTCTCAGATAAGGATATAATAGCTCACATAAGTGGAACTACTGTCCCATGACTTCTGTAATACTTAGTATGATCTTAAAAACTCCCGATCCCCATTAATTATTTGTTACACTACATTGTATCTCCTCTTATATTTTGTCAAGCTCTCTAAAGTTAACTTTGTACTTCATAAATATCAATGCTAAATTTTCTTTCCTAGAGTCTCCCAAATTTGTTTATATTTCATTTATTAAGCTTAATTCTAGATTATACTTTACACTGATCCTTATGATTTTTATTTAGGCACATTTGCTTATACATTAATTATAAAAATTTTACATTTTTGCTTTTCATAATATTTTCTTTACCTGGGATCCATTTTTTTTCTTTACCTGGGATCCATCCTAAACTCCACCAGTTTTTCAGAGATCCAGTAAATTTTCAATTCTGTTGTGAAACCTCCCCTAACATTTCACTTTCCCTTCAGGTTTGGCAATTCTTAGTAGTGTGCATCATGAAGTTTAGCACTCAATTATGTGCTTTCCCTTGACTAACCCAGCCTCTTAGTAGCAAATATTATAACCAATTGTATTTCATTTAAGCATTTGAGGGAAATGGATAGGTGGACAAATTAGATAGATAGATAGATAGATAGATAGATAGATAGATAGATAGATAGATAGAGATAATAGACAGATAGATAGATAATTAGAGAGTTTAGAAAACCTTGGAAGACCAAAGTGTCTGTTTTGAAGTCTATGCTGACAGGGACAATGTTTTAAAAACATTGAGGCTATTCTGGAAAAGGCAATGCTTACTTGCCCTGAACAAATCCCAGAATCAAAACAAAGGTCTCACTTATTTGAATATGATAGGTGGGGCCCGGATAACATGCCTCCACCTTTTTCCAAGAAAAGGCTACAAAGATGAATTCTTTATAATTTGAAAAGGTGGGAGAAAAATATGGAAAGTTAACTAAAACAAGCTGCTGCTAATGTTAATGAAGAACAAGATATGAAAAATATTTATGACAGTGACATGGTTGGCATTGCAGGTGTGTGTATCTTGTTATCACAAGAAGCATTTAAGTCTTAGTAGTAATATATCATGTGTTACACTCCTTCATACAGACTTGCTGGATTCAAAATTCTGCCCTATAGTGACTTGAGGCAAGAAAATTAATTTTACTACATGTTGCCAATCATGTTTACTGTCAACAAATGTTGGATAATAAATTTGCCTTATAAGTTGATTGTTATAACTGAAGGAAATAGCTGAAGTGCCCTGTGTAAATAATAGGTGCTTCAAGACCTTGACTTTTTGTCCTTCTTTCTCCCTCATATGTTATTCTATAGATATTTATTAATACAGTGATGAGCACATAAAGTTAACCGAGACATTTCCTCTACTTTCTGATCAATAGATTTATTAATAAAAATTATAAAATAACTTGAAAGTTAATTATAGTAAACATGTATATGTTTTTTTTTCCATCGTAAAAAGACCTCTTTCCAATAGTATTTACTCATCCCATTTTGTATTTTGGTCAAAGGTAAGGTCTGTATCACATAATAGAAGCCAGAGAGGACAGTTTCTATCATTCTCTATCCAAGCATAGCCAACGGGCTGACCCATAGCTTAAATTAGGAGTAACTTTTTTCTTCCAAGGTGGTAAAACTTGATACCCAAGAATACAGATAATTTATTCATGGGATAATAACCTTTTCATACATTCTTTAAAAAGTAAATGAAATAATTCACGGAGAGTATTTAGAGTGTTGAATATAGTAAAATATAATTATAATTAGCTCTTATTATTTTGATTATTTCCTTGTCCTAATTATTACTATTACATATTTGCTATAAAAGTCATACTGTCCTTGGTTACTTTAAGCAAATTGTGGTCTAAAACAGTTGTGTCTATATGGAAAGAAAGTAACAATAAAAGTAGGACTGTTGCTTCTGGAGCTTCCTTGGTACCTGTTTGTTCTGTCTCCCATAAATCCTGAGAACTTATGATAGATTCCGAATATTTAAGCCCTTTTTATGAAGTTAGCCAGAGTTATAACCATTGCTTATATACCAAAACCTCTAAGTGATTAAAAATGTGAAATAAGTTTGTCTTTGAAATTTTAAGTAGAGGCATACATAGGAGATAATGTGGGTTAGGCTCCAGACAACAACAATAAAGTGAATATCACAATAAAGATAACCACACATTTTTTAATTTCCCTGTGTATATAAAAGTTATGTTTTCTACTACACTGTAGTCTATTATGTGTGCAATAGCATTACATTTAAAAAACCAATATACCTACTTTAATTAAAAAATACTTTATTGCTAAAAATGCTACCAATCATTTGGGCCTTCAGTGAGTTGAATTTTTTTTGTTGGTGGAAGGTCTTGCCTCAATGTTGATGTCTGCTGACTGATCAGGGTGGTGGCTGCTGAAAGCTGGAGTGGCTATGGTAATTTCTTAAAATCAAAAAACAATGAAGTTTGCCACATCTATTTACTCTTCCTTTTACAACAGATTTCTCTATAGCATGTGATGATGTTATATAGCATTTTACCCACAATAGAACTTTCAAAATTGGAACCAATCCTCTCCAATCCTGCCACAGCTTTATCAATTATGTTTATTCTAAATTTTTTGTTGTCAATTTGAAACTGTTCATAGCATCTTTACCAGCAGTTTGTTTCATCTCAAAAAAGCACTTTCTTTGTTCATCCGTAAGAAGCAATTCCTCATCTATTTACGTGTGATCATGAGATTTCAACAATTCAGTCAAATCTTCTAGCTCTAGTTCCCTTGCCATTTTTACCACATCCACGATTACTTCCTCCACTGCCGACTTGAAAGTCTCAAAATTGTCTATGAGGGTTGGAATCAACTTATTTCAAACTCCTATTCATACTTATATTTTGACCTCCATTCACAAATCATAAATGTTCTTAGTGCCATTTATAAAAATGAATTCTTTCTAGAAGGTTTTCAATATACTTTGCCTTGATCTATCAGTGGATTCTCTCTCTATAGAAGATATAGTCTTAAAATTATATTTCTTAAATAATAAGACTTGAAAGTCTTGATCAATGGGCTGCAGAGCGAATGTGTCAGCAGGCATGAAAATAACATTAATCTCTTTGTACATCACCATCAGAGCTCTTGGGTGACCAGGAACATTGTCAATGAGCAGTAATATTTTGAAAGGAATCTCTTTTTCTGAGCAGTAGGTCTCAATGGTGGACTTTAAATATTCAATAAACCACACTGTAAACAGGTGTGCTGTTATCCAGGTTTTGTTTTCCATTTATACAGCACATGCAGAGTACATTTAGCATTATTTTTAAGAGCTATAGGATTTCCAGAATGGTAAATGAGCAATGACTTAAACTTAAAATCGTTAGCTGCATTAGCCCTTAACAAGAGAGTCAGCCCAGCCTGTCCTTTGAAGCTTTGAATTCAGGCATTGACTTTTCCTTCATAGATATGACAGTCCTGGATGGCATCTTCTTTTAAGATAAGGCTATTTCTTCTACATTAAAAATCTGGCCCAGGCCTGATGGTGCACACCCATAATCCCAGCATTTTGGGAGGCCAAAGTGGGAGGACTGCTTGAGCGCAGAAATTCAAGACCAGCCTGGGCAACAACATAGTAATACTACATCTCTGAAAAAAAAAAAAAAATAGCTGGGTGTGTGGGTGTGGTGGCATGCACTTGCAAGACTCAGCTAGCTACTTGAGTGACTGAGAGACTGAGGTGGGAGGATCTCTTAAGCCCAGGGGGTTGAGGCTGTATGAGCTGTGGTCATGCCACTGTACTCTTCCCTGTGCGAAAGAGAAAGACCTTATTTGAGAGAAAAAAATATGTTGTTTAGTGTAGCTATCTTCATCAATGATCTTAGATCTTCTGGATAACTTGCTGCAGCTTCTACATCAGAACTTGCTGATTCCACTTTCAATTTTATGTTATGGAGATGACTTTTTCTTAAACTTCATGAGCCAACCTCTAACCCAGACCACTAAAACTTTCTTCATATCACCAATAAGGCTGTTTAATGTTCTTATTATTAATGCATTCATTGGAGTAGCCCTTTTCATTCCCTTCAAAAAGTTTTACCTTCTATTCACATATTGGCTATTTGTCACAAGAGGCCTACCTTTCAGCCTGTTTTGGGTTTTGGTGTGTTTTCCTTACTAAGCTTACTCATGTCTAGCTTTGACTTAAAGTGAGAAATGTGAAAATCTTTCTTTTACTTCAACCCTTAGAGATCATTATAGGGTTGCTAATTGGCCTAATTTCAATATTGTTGTATGTCAAGTACTAGGGAAGCCCAAGAGAAAGAGAGATTGGGAAACAGCTGGTTGATGGAGCAGTGAGAACAAATATTAATAAAGTTTTACTTGTTCTCAAAGTTTACTGTCTTATATGGGTACGGCTCATGTCACCCTAAAACGATTACAAAAATAACATCGAAGATCAAAGATCATTGATCAGAGATCACCATAACAGATATAATAATAACAAAAAAGTTGGAAATATTGTGAGAATTACCAAAATGTGACAGAGACATAAAGTGAGCACATGCTGTTGGAAAAACGGCATCATAGAATTGTTCAATGGAGGGTTGCAACAAACTCTTCAATTTGTAAAAAAAAAAGTAACATCTACAAGTGAAGTGAAGTGTGATAAAATTATGTATGACTGTAATACAAAGCCTTGGGTTTATTTAATCATTAGTTGAATGTATCAATTTTGTATTTTAAAGCATTTAATATTTCCATGATTCTCAAAATGGATAGCAGACATGAAAGAATACTATGGCAAGGCTAGGTTTCTATTTAAGATCTTGAAAAAATAGAGTAGTCTTATATCCTGTTGTTAACTTTTTAATATATTTTTTCTTATTGCATTTATATTTCTTGGAAAAGTTTACATTATATTTTGATAAAATTCACTTTCTCATTTGCCAGTTCTACAAGATTGAGGAAATTCTCTACTATCAATAAAGCTTAATTTTCTTACTGTGAAAAAGAAATGTAATACTATTTTCTTCCTGGTGTATTTGTTTTTGGAACGAATCACATGAAGTATTATGTACAATGTACTAAGCAATATTGGTCTTTTAAATAAAAATATTTGCAAGAATCAATACTTAGAATAACAAAGAAGTCTTAGTTTTAATTATTGAGGCATTCCACAGGAAAGTTATGGTCATTTAGTCTCCAATTTAACCAAAACATTTCTTTTATTTCTGTTTCAGTAGATATAGATGTAACTCTATATGCACCCACTATAATACATACGTAACCTTTTCTTGACCTTACTGAAAAATAATACCATTAGAAGGGCACTTCATTTAAGTTATATCCACTATTTCCTTTGAGAGTTATTAGGTTAAGGCACAATCACAAGGCTGTAAAAAGCTTAACTTGCTTTACATGAAGTCCAACTGTATAAGTACCTTACACTTTAATGTATCAAGGGGCAGGTAGTAATATTTGTGAACAATTTCACTTCTGTATGTTTATGTCTGAGCTTACACACACACACACACACAGTCTCTCTCTCTAAAATTAACTCTGTTCTAGTCAATATATTAAGCGACTTCAAACTAATATGTATGGCTTGATGACCTAGGCTGCCAGAAAAATTATGCATCAGTTTATGCTAAAGCCTAATCTATCTATCTATCTATCTATCTATCTATCTATCTGTCTGTCTGTCTGTCTGTCTGTCTGTCTGTCTGTCTGTCTATCTATCTACATTATCTATCTACCTATCTATCATCTATCTATCTATCATCTATCTACATTATCTATCTATCTTATCTATCTATCTATCTATCTATCTATCTATTTATCTAAATTTGACCCCTGAACAACATAGATTTGAACTGCATAGGCCCAATTATACACATCCTTTTTTCAATAACGATTACATCAAGTGCTCCTACCTCTCTTGCCTCCCATTCCACCTCCTCCACCTCTTTTGCCTCTGCCACCTGTGACACAGCAAGACCTCTTTTTTCTCCTCCTCTTCAGTCTACTCAATGTGAAGACAATGAGGATGAATACCTTTATGGTGATCCACTTCCACATGGTAAATAAATTTTCTACTTTTTATGATTTCCTTAATGACATTTTTTTCTCTACCTTATTTTGTTGTAAGAATATAGTATATAACATGATATAATATAAAATATGAGTTAATCCATTTTCTATGATATCAGGCTTCCAGTCAACAGTAGGCTATTAATAATTAAGTTTATGGGGTATCAAAACTTACATGCAGTTTTTTTGGCTGCACTGGGGTTAACAGCTCCTACCCCCATGTTGTTCAAGGGTCAATCTCATGCGCGTGCACACACAAACACACACAATCTAAACTTAACTCTGTTCTGGTCCTATATTAAGTGACTTCAAATTAATATATACACTCTGATGACCTAAATTGACAAAAGTTATGTATCGGTTTATCATCAAAATCTGATCTAAAATTATGTGAATAAATCAAAATACGTATATTTTTTCTTCTTCAAAGACATGGAACTAATTGTCTCTTGCACAGCAGAAAGAGTCTAAGTGCTTATATTGCTAAAGCATATTGATTTTCTGACTGTAGGATTCATCATAATTGGATAGTAAAATATCCTGTTTAATTTGTGTCAGTATTGTCAGAAATATGTAATTTAGAAGTATACATTAAGTGAATTTAAATAAGTCCCTTGGATGTATTTATTTATCTACCTCATTTGAATTAAAATGTCCTTCTGTATGGTAATAAGAAGACATAGAATTCCTATTTAATGATGAAGAATGATTAGAATTTTAACATTTCTTTTGCAATATAAATTAATCCTCTAGTTAGTAAAAAATGGAGAAGAATATGCCTTGTTGCTCTAAAGCACTTAACACAGAATGCTATCTTGCCCATTAACTATGAGCTTACTGCCTCTTTTTCCTTGCATGTTTTTCTAATCAAGGACATACTTTCTCCCCTGAGGCACGTGGGAGTTTAGCAATTACTTGCAGCTCTAACACTAGGCAATTTCTTCTGGGACTGCAATCTGTTAGAGTTCAATTTTCTCAACCACAGACAAAATGATCAGAATGAATTCATTCCTTCAGAATGAAACCAAGTGAATAAACTGAATGTGATTGAAATGAACTTATGCGGCACTCATACATAAATCAACAGAATACCCACCCCCCCCACAGCTCAGCTGTACATACTTATGACATGAGTTTCATATTCCAGCAATTTTTTGACAGTTTTTTGTCCTAATCCTCCAAAAAGCATATTTAAAGTCCCAGTAAAGTTTAATATAAATGTACTAATTGTAATTTCATATAGATATTGCTGTCATGTAAAGAGATTGCATTACATTGCCTGCCCTCCAACATTAGAGATGTAAGACAGCTGCTGTGACAAGACTTTACTAATTCTGTGTGGTAACAAATGTTTTTGTATTTGCCAATCTGTTAAGTTCACACACATGCATACACACACACACACATAGACACACACACAAACACACATACACAAACACAATTTTTTAAAAAATTTTCACTTATTTAAAGATGAGAAAGGCTGAGTATTTTTTACTTGTATATTGGTCATTTATTTAGGATTTTTTGGTGAATCTATTAATACTCCTTTACGATATTTCAGTTGAGTTTTTTTTTCATTTTCTTTGTTCTTTGTAGCAGCTTATCCTCATTTAAAGTATTGAGTCTCTTGTCATATGTGTTGCAAGTATTTCTCAAGATTCAGTTACAACACAGACATACTACTCAAAAAATGATATAACAAATACACAGGTTTATAAAACCATATTTTTCGCATTATTGCCACATGCTGGGAACTATAATTCACACAAATATGGTGAACAGAGTACTGATTGGGTAAATATAATACATCTATTTAAGAGAATATGAGGTTATTAAAAAGAATGAAGCAGATCTATTTGTGATATACAAGATACATTATAGGAGAAAGATAATTCTGAAAAGTGATTTTAGGTGATAAGTAGACATTAGAGGCAGGAATGAGAGTTTCATGTTTTATTATATAACCTTCAGTATTTTTTAAAATTTATTACAATATACTTGCATTACCTTTGTCACTGTCATCATCATTGTCATCAGCTTTATCAACATCATTATTGCAGTTGTCATTGTGGTCATCATTATTCAAGTACAGAATCATTCTTGTTTAGCTTTTAGTAACAAATTTATATTTAAATATAATTTATCATGTAACTTTTCTAGTTTTGGTTCCTCCAAAGAAAAACATCTGAAACAGCAATAAGTTCTAAAGGGTAAGAGTGAGTGGGAGACCCTTTGGGTGATTACATTTTGTGTAACACCTTGGATAAATTTTATTCTGATTTTTCTAGGAGTGACTTTTTTTTTGTCATGGAAATCTTTTATTTTCAAGAGTCTCAATCATACTGTACATATAAAATGAGAAATTTAGACTTAGAAAAATTTAGGTTACAACTGTATCCAGCTATCTACGATTCCCTAGCTGTTCCACTTTAATATCATCAATTAGTCAAGATTGCAGAAACACTCAGCATATATGAATGGTAAAATGGCCAGATCACAAAGCAACTGTGTGAGTTTATGAGACTACAAACAGGGAGAAATATTGCATGTAATCTCTACTTTAGCGAATATATTTAGGAAATTTTATGTATATATACCTATATTATACATAAGGTCATGATCTTTGGATTACCAATCACCTATGTAGAACTCATGAAGCTTATGAAAGGACTGACTGAATTGACAACCAAAGGAAATATTCCTTATCAGATATAGGATTTACTACATTTATCTATGCATATTTCAGTTCTATAAAATAAGGGTTTATCAACTACACACTATAAAATTTGAGGAAGTTAGATAATGAATCAGAGAGAGAAAGACAGAGGGAGAGCACTTGTTAGGAACGGGTTGTCTTCTAATGTTTATTTGTCTGGTGATTTTCCATAGTTCAGAATATAGCTTTCTTACTTATAGATTTGAAATCTGATTTTGTCTTCACACTAAAAGCAGATTTCTTTTTGTTTAGTGGGCTCATATTAAAAAAAAACTCATGAGAATGATGCTAATTAATCATAATGCCACATGACCAGTGTTATTTTGATCTAGACAGACACATAAGGGAAGCTAAATCAAAATCTGAAGCTTGTATGGATATCACAGCTTTGGAATATAGAAAGTAAATTTAAGATTAATGCAAAAACTAAAATAACCTGTTGCATTCCTTTCCTCCAAATGAGATGGTCATAAAAAATGGCACTGGCATTTGCAGAATTCGTTCAATGAATATTTTGCATCCACCTCCAAAAACGGATGGACTTGCCAACAGAATCATATTTCTCAAAGGCCTTTGCTTAAAGCGTACTTAAGTGAAACTGTGCTTGAGATGACTGTTCTGACTTTTACTTAATTATTTATTTATTGTAAAGAAATTGGTTAGCTATTCTCATCTTTTGACTAACCACTTTTTTTTAGTTTTTAATTTTTGTGGGTATGTGGTAGGTGTTCATGAGATATTTTGATACAGGCATGCAATGTGTAATAATCACACTACATAAAATGAGGTATCCATTACCTCAGGTATTTATTCTTTGTGCTACAAACAATCCAATTATACTTTTTTTTTTTCTGAGTCTCACTCTGTTGCCAGGCTGGAAGGCTGGAATGCAGTGGTGTGATCTCGGCTCACTGCAACCTCTGCCTTCCAGGTTCAAGCAACTCTCCTGCCTTAGCCTCCCCAGTAGTTGGGAATACAGGTGCGCACCACCACGCCCAGCTAATTTTTTTGTATTTTTAGTAGAAACGGGGTTTCACCATGTTGGCCAGGATGGTCTTGATCTCCTGACCTCATGATCTGCCCTCTTCAGCCTCCCAAAGTGCTGAGATTACAAGCATGAGCCACCACGCCCGGCCTATATTCTTTCAGCTATTTTAAAATGTACAATTAAATTCTTATTGATGATAGTCACCCTGTTGTGCTATCAAATACTAGATTTTATTCATTTTTTCTATTTTTTTGTACCTATTAACTATACCCACCTTCACTCTCCCACCCCCTAACTACCCTTCCTAGCCTCTGGTAACCATCATTCTACTCTCTGTGTCGATGAGTTCGATTGTTTTGATTTTTAGATCCCACAAATAAGTGAGAACATGTGATGTTTGTCTTTCTGTGCCTGGCCTTTTCACTTAACATAATGATTCTCAGTTTTTTCATCCATGTTGTTGCAAATGACAGAATCTCATTCTTTCTTATGGATGAATAGTACTCCATTGCGTACATGCACCACATTTTCTTTATTCATTCATACGTTGATGGACATTTAGGTTACTTTGAAATTTTTGCTATTGTGAACAGTGCAACAACAAATATTGGAGTGCAGATATCTCTCCATATTCTGACTTCCCTTCTTTAGAGTATATACTCAGCAGTGGGATTGCTGGATCATATGTTAGCTCTACTTTTAGTTTTTTGAGGAATCTCCAAACTGTTCTCTATAGTTGTTGTAATAATTTACCTTTTTACCAACAGTGTACAAGGGTTCCTTTTTATCTATTTCCTCGACAGCATTTTTTATTGCCTGTCTTTTGGACAAAAGCCATTTTAACCGGGATGAGATGATAACTTACTGTAGTTTTGGTTTGCATTTTGCTGATAATCAATGATGTTAAACACCTTTTCATATGTATGTTTGCCATTTGCATGTCTTCTTTTGAGAAATGTCTGTTCAAATCTTCTGCCCAGTTTTTAATCAGACTACTTGATTTTTTCCTGTAGAGTTGCTTGAGCTGCTTATATATTCTGTTTATTAATCCTTTGTCAGATAGGTAGTTTGCAAATATTTCCCACCATTCTGTGAGTTGCCTCTTCACTTTGTTAATTGTTTCGTTTGCTGCTTAGAAGCCTTTTAATTTGATGTGATCCCATTTGTCCATTTTTGCTTTGATTGCCTGTGATTTGGAGGCATTACTCGGGAAATTTTTTGCCCAGACCAATGTTCCAGAGAGCTGCCCAGAGGTTTTCTCGTTGTAGTTTCAAAGTCTGAGGTCTTAGATTTCAGTCTTTAATCTTTAATCCATTTCTATTTGATTTTTGTACATGGTGAAAGACAGGAGTCTAGTTTCATTATTCTGCTTATATACAACAATTTCTTTCTGATGTATAAATAACCTTGATAATTCAAATCCTACTGTAATGAGAAGATTGCGGTCACTTCTAAAGTGACCCTGACATGACATATTTTTATTATTTTCAAATAATTCTGAAAGATATATCTCATTTGAATTACATCAATCAAGGAAAAAATACATCAAATTATATAAATACTAGTAATGTACTAATTCTGCAATTGTTACAAGAAAATTCAATTCCTGTACTCTAATAGCTCATTCTAAATATTTTTGCAGCTCTGGTTCTCTAATGTCAAGATAGACATAATAATCACAAAATTATTGTAAAATTAAAACTTAATTTAAAAAGTTATTTTAAGGGAAACAGATTTAATGATAGCCTTTCACATTTTGTCATGTTTAGAATTTATTTTGGACATATAAAAAAGCCATTTACAGAAAGTACAATAGAAGAAGAAAAACGACTAGCTTACAAAGGGTAATTGATGTAGAGGTGGTAACTAGGGCAGAGAAAAGAAGATCTGAAATATTTGAGTTAAGATTCACTAAGAAAGAGCTGGAAAGACACATCAGTTAGAGTTTTGGTCATGATAATGTATTTGGAAATTTATCATAATTCATTCCTAAACAGTACATGTGGCAGAATAATTTAGAAGCTACATGTTAAAAGTGTATTCCTCCTTATTTTGCTTTGGATTTATAATAGTAATAAAACATGTATTTTTAAAGTTCAAGTTTTATAAAAGAAGCTGACGGGTAATGAATGTCATTATTGGCGAAAGCTCTCAGACATTTAGACAACAGTATTTGTTGGCAAAAGAAAAACTAACTGATGAGTTTTCAAAACAGAATGAAGAAGACTTCTAGGCATTGTATGCTAGACATGAGGCATACAATTATATCTCCTAATGAGACATAAATAAAAATATTTTATTATTGAAATAATCCAAATTGAAAATTTCTCTCCATTACTTAGAATTTTTAGTTAAATGTGACTAGCTAGAGAATGACAGTAAAATAAAACTAATTATATTTCTTTAATCTTAATTGTTACATTTTCTTTGCTTCTAAAAATTACAACTGTCATCTAATTGTTTTTCAAGAATAACTTGTTTATTCTCTATCATATACCAAATGAAGTATTTGCACCAAAAAAGAATAACTTAGGAGCCCAAAGCTAATTAGCTAATACTTATCAGAGCTGAATATTAAATTTAGATAAGACTGATATCAAAAATATCAGAATTAACTAGATACTGACACATTTTTATCAATAATTACAATACACTTCATAGTTTGGCCTCCAATTTTCCACCCTCATTTGTTTAAAAATATTTGTGGAACACTAGTTTTTGTAAAATATATTATTAGAGAAAAAATAACCAAGAGAAGAATTCCTTGCCGTTATCAAGTTACTGGTCAATGAATGAATTAATCAGTGTATACATGACATAATAATAAATCATATTTTTAGAATAAAATGGAGTGAAGTAGATACTCTAACGCACCTTCCAGGTCTGCCTTCAGAAACTGCTGCACCTGCTGAGGGTGCTATCTGAATATGGCCTTCAGCTATCAATCCCTTCAGATATTAACTCAGCTGAAGAGTGTCAACTCACCCTAAATTATCTCTCTCTTCCAAGGGTGGCTCATATCTAATGGCGATCCAATCAGTAGTATAGAGGTTTGGCTACCTTAGCCCAGTGAAGGACCACTCCGTCAGGCCACTCTAGTTACAGAAGGTCCATGGGATCATTCAAAACGGTTGTTGGGCCTGAATCACAACTTCATATTCCCCTCTGCTTGATATTCTTCCATGCCATACATGATCCCAAGCACATTCCGTAACAAACAATTTGTGTGGTACACTCGTCTCAGGTAGACAACCAATCCAGCACTCTTCATCAAAAAGACTATCCTCTTCTCAGGGTCAAGTAGGGCTACCTTTTCATAAACCAAGACTGTATAGGTGGATCTGATTCTGTATACTCTATTCTACTTTTAAAAATCCTTACACCACTATTATTCTCCTTATTATTGTGGCTTAATAGTAAATCTTGGTATGTAGAATGGTAATCTCATTTTGTTCTTCTTCAGGATGGTCATATACCTCTGTGACTATTTTCATCTCCATAAGTATTAAATTTCCCATCAAATTGAGCTTGGGTTTTATTAGCATTGTGTTGAATTTTAAACAAATTGGAGAGAAATAAACTCTTTACAAAATTGAGTCTTTGAGTTTACATTTTCCATTTATTTATGTGTTAAATTTATCAATAATGATTGTTTTTTGAGTAGACACCTTACACATTTTGTATTACATTTCTTTCTAAGTAGTTGGTGGTTTTGATAATTTCAATATAATTCTATGTGTGTATACATGTGATAACATGTAATTATACTATGTACGTACTGTGATATTTTTTGTAATTACACTGTTTGCATCATAGGCTTAATGTATTTTTCACATTTAAAGATTTTCAAATAGTCTGTCTTTAAGTATTGCTTATGTCCCATTCTCTCTTTCCTCTTTTCTTGAAACTGCACTTGCAAATATGTTTCAGCTTGTTACCATGATCACATACCTTTAATAATCTTTTCTGCATTTCCATTTTTTAAAAAATTTCTCTTCATGCTTTTGTTGAAATCTTTTGATCTGACTCATCTTTTAGTGTAACAATTTCCTCTTCAACTGTGACTAATATGATATTCAACCAATTCACCAATATCTTAATTAAAGTAATTATATTTATCAGTTCTTAATTGTCACATAATTATCTGTATATACTCAGAAGTAGAACTATCAATTGAAATTTCATTTTGTCTTGTAAATACTTTAATGCAGATATTTTAAAATATATATAATCACTCTATTATCTAGATTTCCTATAAATATATTTCTATCATTTAGATTTCCTATAAATATGTTTATATTGTATATATTTTTATGTGGGTGTGTGTTTGGATACGTTGTATGTCTTATATATAATACTGAATGCCAGATATAAATATGTGAAAAGTGGAAATAATTGAAAAATCTGTATAATATTATATTTCCTAATAGATGATTTATTTTGCATCTGGTGATGGCTAGTATATAGAATGTCTATCTTAATTCAATTTAGAATTGAGCTGGTTGGTAACTGGTCTTCAGTCTCAGTGTGAACTGGCTATTCCATTTCGCTCACATTTGTAGGGTATAGCCCTTTGGATTCCAACTCAAAGCTTAAGATATTTACCAGGTTGTCTTTTTCTTCTCTCTATCTCGTCAACAATTTTTGTGTCTTCAGCTTAGTGACATTGCTCAAGCTCTGTTCATACATCTCAAAATATCACCTGGTGCTTTTGGAATCCACAGCTCAAAGGGAAAAGAACTTTTATACTCTGAGATTATTTCTCTTGGGAGTATTGCTTTTGGTTTCTCTCTTATACTGAATCTTGACTCTGCAAATTCTCACTGCTGGCTCCACTATGCTTTAAACATACATTATTTTATCAAATATTCTAGTTGTTCTCAAGATAATTGTTCCAAAACATACTAGTCCTTTATTGCCAGTAAACGGAAGTAGTAAGACTTAAAGATGGATTGAATATAGACAGATCATAGGAGAAATATCAAGGAAGCCTCAAAAGTTTAGGTGTTGAATAACTGAGTAAACTATCGTGCCATTTATTCCAGTAAAAATAGTAAACAAAGAGCAGGTGCAGAAGTTGATGAGATCAAGGTTTATGGTAAAGAATATCAAATTTGAGATATAATGTGGACAGAAATATACAAGTCTAAAACTTATGCAAACAGGTTAAAAATATGAATTTCAGAGTCATTAGTCTAAACTGTAATATAAAGCTATTGCACTACATAAGATGACGGACCATTAAAGCTAGAAAAGGAAAGTGATGAAAATATTGAGTCCTGAGAACATCAACATTAAAAGTTGAGATTGGTCTTTCCAGGGCAAGATGGCCAAATAGGAACAGCTCCGGTCTGCAGTTCCTAGTGAGACCAAAGCAGAAGGCGGGTGATTTCTGCATTTCCAACTAAGGTACCCGGCTCATCTCACTGGGACTTCTGCAGCCCACAGAGGGCAAGCAGAAGCAGGGTGGGATGTCGCCTCACTCAGGAAGTGCAAGGGGTCAGGGAACTCCCTCCCCTAGCCAAGGGAACCCTTGAGGGACTGTGCCTTGAAGGACGTTGCTATCTGGCCCAGACACTATGCTTTTCCCATGGTTTTCGCCACCAGCAGACCAGGAGATTCTCTCGGGTGCCTACACCACCAGGGCCCTGGGTTTCAAGCACAAAACTGGCGGCTGTTTGGTCAGACATCCAGCTAGCTGCAGGAGTCTTTTTCGTACCCCAGTGGTGCCTGGATTGCCAGTGAGACAGAATCATTCACTGCCCTGGAGAGAGGACTGAAGCCAGGGAGCCAAGTGGTCTTGCTTAGTGGATCCCACTTCCATTGAACCAAGCAAGCTAAGATCTACTGGCTTGAAATTCCCGCTGCCAGCACAGCAGTCTGAAGTCGACCTGGGACTCTGGTGCTTGGTAGGGGGAGGGGCATCAGCCATTACTGAGGCTTCAGTAGGCGGTTTTCCCCTAATAGTGTAAACAAAGCCACTGGGAAGTTCGAATTGGGTGGAACCTACCACAGTGAGGCAAAGCTGCTGTAGCCAGACTGCCTCTCTAGAGTCCTCTTCTCTGGGCATGGCATCTCTGAAAGAAAGGCAGCAGCCTCAATCAGGGGCTTGTAGATAAAACTCCCATCCCCCTGGGACAGAGCACCTGGGGAGAGGGGTTGTTGTGGGCTAAGCTTCAGCAGACTTAAACATTCCTGCCTGCCAGCTCTGAAGAGAGAAGTGGATCTCCCAGCACAGTGGTTGAGCTCTGCTATGGGACAGACTGCCTGCTCAAGTGGGTCCCTGACCCCTGTGCCTCCTGACTGGGAGACACATCCCAGCCAGGGTCGACAGACACCTCCTACAGGAGAGCTCTGGCTGGCATCTGGCGGGTGCCCCTCTGGGACAAAGCTTTCAGAGGAAGAAGAAGGCAGCGATCTTTGCTGTTCTGCAGCCCCTGCTGGTGATACCCAGGCAAAAAGGGTCTGCAATGGATGTCCAGCAAACTCCAACAGACCTGCACAAGAGAAGCCTGACTGTTAGAAGGAAAACTAACAAACAGAAAGCAATAATATCAACATCAACAAAAAGGACGCCCATGCAAAAACCCCATCCAAAGATCACCATCCTCAAATATCAAAGGTAGATAAATAAACATAGATGAGGAAAAAACAAGAATGCCCCTTCTCCAAAGAATCACAACTCTTCGCCAGCCAGGGAAAAAAACTGGATGGAGAATGAATTTGATAAATTGACAGAGTAGTCTTCAGAAGGTGGGTAATAACAAAATCCTCCAAGCTAAAGGAGCGTGTTCTAACCCAGGGCAAGGAAGCTAAGAACCTTGACAAAAGGTTACAGGAACTGCTAACTAGAATAACCAGTTTACAGAAGAATATAAATGACTTGACGGAGCTGAGAAACACAGCATGAGAACTTCGTGAAGTATACACAGGTATCAACAGATGAATCGATCAAGTGAAATAAAGGATATCAGAGATTGAAGATCAACTTAACAAAATAAGGTGTGAAGACAAGATTAGAGAGAAATGAAAAAGAATGACCAAAGCCTCCAAAAAGTATGGAACTATGTGAAAAGACCAAACCTATGTTTGATTGGTGTACCTGAAAGTGACAAGGAGAATGGAACCAAGTTGGCAAACACACTTCAGGATATTATCCAGGAGAACTTCCCCAACCTAGCAAGGCAGGCCAACATTCAAATTCAGGAAATATAGAGAGCACCGCTAAGATACTCCTTGAGAAGAATAACCCCCAGACACATAATTGTCAGATTCACTAAGGTTGAACTGAAGGAAAAAATGTTAAGGGCAACCAGAGAGAAAGGTCAGGTTACCCATAAAGGGGAGCCCATTAGAATAACAGCAGATCTCTCTGTAGAAACCCTGCAAGCTAGAAGAGAGTGGGGGCCAAAATACAACATTCTTGAAGAAAAGAATTTTCAACCCAGAATTTCATATCCAGCCAAACTCAGCTTCAAACACAAAGGAGAAATAAAATCTTCACAGACAAGCAACTGCTGAGGGATTTTGTTGCCACCAGGCCTAGCTTACAGGATCTCCTGAAAGAAACCCTAAATATGGAAAGGAAAAACTGGTACCAGCCACTGCAAAAATGTACCAAATTGTAAAGACCATCAACACTATGAAGAAGCTACATCAACTAATGTGCAAAATCACCAGCTGGCATCATAATGACAGGATCAAATTAACCCATAACAATATTGACCTTAAATGTAAATGAGCTAAATGCCCCAATTAAAAGACACAGACTGGCAAATTGGATAAAGAGACAAGACCCATCGGTGTGCTGTATTCAGGAGACCCATTTCATGTGCAAAGACACACATAAGCTCAAGATAAAGGGATGGAGGAATATTTACCAAGCAAATGGAAAGCAAAAAAAAAAAAAAAAAAAAAAAAGCAGGGGTTGCATTCCTAGTCTCTGATAAAATGGACTTTCAACCAACAAAGATCAAAAAAGACAAGAGCATTACATAGTGGTAAAGGGATCAATGCAAAAAGAAGAACTAACTATCCTAAATAAATATGCACCCAGTACAGGAGCACCCAGATTCATAAACCAAGTTCTTAGAGACCTGCAAACAGACGTAAACTCCCACACAATAATAGTGGGAGACTTTAACATCCCAGTGTCAATATTAGACAGATCAACAATACAGAAAATTAACAAGGATCTTCAGGATTTGAACTCAGCACTGGACCAAACAGACCTAATAGAAATCTACAGAACACTCCACCCCAAATCAACGGAATATACATTCTTCTCCGCACCACATCACACCCATTCTAAAATTGACCACATAATTCGAAGTAAAACACTTCTCAACAAATGCAAAAGAACAGAAATCATAACAGTCTCTCAGACCACAGTGCAATCAAATGAGAACTCAGTATTAAGAAACTCACTTAAAACTGCACAACTACATGGAAACTGAACAACCTGCTCCTGAATGACTACTGCGTAAATAACAAAATAAAGTCAGAAATAAATAAGTTGTTTGAAACCAATGAGAACAAAGACACAACATACCAGAATTTCTGGGAAACAGCTAAAGCAGTGTTAAGAGGGAAATTGATAGCACTAACTGCCCACATGAGAAAGTGGGAAAGATCTAAAATTGACACCCTAACATCACACTTAAAAGAACTAGAGAAGCAAGAGCAAAGAAATTCAAAAGCTAGCAGAAGACAAGAAATAACGAAGATCACAGCAGAACTGAAGGAGATAGAGACACGAAAAACCCTTCAAAAAATCAATGAATCCAGGAGCTGGTTTTTTGAAAAGACTAACAAAGTAGGTGGACCACTAGCCAGACAAATAAAGAAGAAAAGAAAGAAGAATAGAAAATAAAAAATGAAAAAGGGGATATCAACACTGATCCCACAGAAATACAAAAGACCATCAAAGAATACTGTAAACACCTCTACACAAATAAACTATAAAATCTAGAAGAAATGGATAAATTCCTGGACACATGCATCATCCAAAGACTAAACCAGGAAGAAGTCAAATCCCTGAATAGGGCAATAACAAGTTCTGACACTGAGGCAGTAATTAATAGCCTACCAACAACAACAACAACAAAAAGCCCAGGACCAGACGGATTCACAGCCAAATTCTACCAGAGGTACAAAGAGGAGCTGGTACCATCCTTCTGAAAATATTCTCAACAACAGAAAAAGAGGGACTCCTCCCTAACACATTGTATGAGGACAGTATCATCATGATGCCAAAACCTGGCAGAGACATAACAAAAAGAGAAAAATTCAGGCCAGTATCTCCGATGAAGATCAATGTGAAAATTCTCAATAAAATATTGGCAAACTGAATCCAGCAGCACATCACAAAGCTTATCCACCATGATCAAGTTGACTTCATCCCTGGGATGCAAGGCTGGTTCAACATATGAAAATCAATAAACATAGTCCATCACGGACACAGAACCAATGACAAAAAACACATGATTATCTCAATAGATGCAGAAAAGGCCTTTGATAAAATTCAACAACACTTCATGCTAAAAACACTCAAAAACTAGGTATTGATGGAGCACATCTCAAAACAATAAGAGCTATTTATGACAAACCCAGAGCAAATATCATAGTGAATGGGCAAAAACTGGAAGGAGTCACTTTGAAAACTGGCACAAGATAAGGATGCCCTCTTCCTTACTCCTATTCAACATAGTATTGGAAGTTCTTCCCAGGCAATCAGGCAAGAGAAAGAAATAAAGGATATTCAAATAGGAAGAGAGGAAGTTAAACTGTCTCTGTTTGCAGAAAACCCCATTGTCTCAGCCCCCAAACTCCTTAAGCTGATAAGCAACTTCAGCAAAGTCTCAGAATACAAAATCAATGTGCAAAAATCACAAGCATTCAGCCGGGTGCAGTGGCTCACCCCTGTAATCCCAGCACTTTGGGAGGCTGAGACGGGCAGATCATGAGGTCAGGAGATCGAGACCATCCTGACTAACACGGTGAAACATGTTCTCTACTAAAAATACAAAAAAAAAAAATTAAAATAAAATTAGCCAGGCATGGTGGCAGGTGCCTGTAGTCCCAGATACTCAGGAGGCTGAGGCAGGAGAATGGCGTGAACCTGGGAGGCAGAGCTTGCAGTGAGCTGAGAGTGTGCCACTGCGCTCCAGCCTGGGCAACAGAGCAAGACTCTGTCTCCAAAAAAAAAAAAAAAATCACAAGCATTCCTATACACCAATAATAGAAAAACAGAGAGCCAAATAATGAGTGAACTCCCATTCACAATTGCTACAAAGAGAATAAAATACCTAAGAATACAACTTACAAGCGGTGTGAAGAACCTTTTCAAGGAGAACTACAAACCACTGCTCAAAGAAATAAGAGAGGGCACAAACAAATGGAAAAACCTTTCATGCTCATGGAGAGAAAGAATCAATATTGTGAAAATGGCCATGCTGCCCAAAGTCATTTATAGATTCAATGTTATCCCCATCAAGCTACCATTGACTTTCTTCACAGAATTAGAAACAACTACCTTAAATTTCATATGGAACCAAAAAAGAGCCTGTGTAGCCAAGGCAATCCTAAGCAAAAAGAACAAATTTGGAGGCACTGTCTGACTTCAAACTATACTACAAGGCTACAGTTACCAAAATAGCATGGCACTGGTACCAAAACAGATATATAGACCAATGGAACAGAACGGAGGCCTCAGAAATAACATCACACCTCTACAACCATCTGAACTTTGACAAACCTGATAAAAACAAGAAATGGGGAAAGGATTCCCTATTTAATAAATGGTGTTGGGAAAACTGGCTAGCCATATGCAGAAATCTGAACCTGGACCCCTTCTTTACACCTCATGTAAAAATTAACTCAAGATGGATTAAAGACTTAAGCATAAGATCTAGGACCATAAAAACCACAGAAGAAAACCTAGGCAATACCATTCAGGACATAGATATGTGCAAAGACTTCAGGACTAAAACACCAAAAGCAATTGCAACAAAAGCCGAAATTGACAAATGGGATCTTATTAAACTAAAAAGCTTCTGCACAGCAAAATATACTATCCTCAGGGTGAACAGGCAACATACAGAATAGGAGAAAATTTTTGCAATCTATCCATCTGACAAAGAGCTCATATCCAGAATCTAAAAGGAACTTAAACAAATTCACCAGAAAAAAACAAAAAACCCATCAAAAAGTTGGTGAATGATATGAACAGACACTTCTCAAAAGAAGCCATTTATGTGGCCAACAAACATATGAAAAAAAAAAAGCTCATCATCATCGGTCATTAGAGAAATGAAAATCAGAACCACAATGAGATACCATCTCATGCCAGTTAGAATGGCGATCATTAAAAAGTCAGGAAACAACAGATCCTGGAGAGGATGTGGAGAAATATGAATGCTTTTACACTGTTGGTGGAAGTGTAAATTAGTTCAACCATTGTGGAAGACAGTGTGGCAATTCCTCAAGGATCTACAACCAGAAATACCATTTGACATACCAATCCCATTACTGGGTATATACCCAAGGGATTATAAATCATTCTGTTATAAAGACACATACACACATATGTTTATTCCAGCACTATTTACCTGAGCAAAGACTTGAAACCAACCCAAATGCCCATCAATGATAGACTGGATAAAGAAAATGTGGCACATATATACCATGGAATACTATGCTGCCATAAAAATTAATGAGTTTATGTCTTTTGCAGGGACATGGATGAAGCTGGAAACCATCATTCTCAGCAAATTAACACAGGAACAGAAAACCAAACACCACATGTTTTCACTCATAAGTGGGGTTGAACAATGAGAACACATGGACACAGGGAGGGGAACATCACACATCAGGGCCTGTTAAGGGGTGAGGAGCAAGGGGAGGTAATGCATGACCTCAAGTGATCTGCCCGCCTCGGCCTCCCAAAGTGCTGGGGTTACAGGCGTGAGCCACCCAGCCTGGCCCAGACAACATTTTTGAGTAATTTCCTGAAAAGGGTAATGAATAATTGGGTGTAGATAGAAAGAAATTAGGAAATTGTTTAAAAATAATTCCACTCAAAGGAAAAAGCAGATGATATGAGAAAGAAAGGGGAATCGTTGCATGAGGTCATTCACAACTAGGGAGAGGATATCCAATACAGGGCACAAGAGCATGTTGAAATTAGATAAGACAGCAGACAGCTCATCAGCTGCAACAAGAAGGAAGGCAGCATATGAGTGCAGATGCAGAGGTTACTGGTGCTGAGTTCTTGTGATCTGTTGAGGACACAAACGTTTATCATGAGAAGAAAAGGAAAATGATTTTAAGCTTTAGGAGAAAAAAACGTGGGGAGAAATTCTCAAGGGATTGGGAGAGTGAGTTAACTAAAGAAATATAGGAAGATTTTGTCAGGGCTGTGGGTTCACTCTATGTCTGTTTTTAACATAAGACAAATTAGCATAGTGGTGAGTCATGGTGAGGATTTTTTTGGTTTTTTTTTCATAGTAGTGAGTTTTTTTCCAGCCTCATTCATATCCAAACATAATTTAGTTTGGATTGAACAAGTATTTGTCAAATGGCAGGGCAATATTTTAGGTAAGATGGGAAGAAGTAGTTGAAAGGATAGACAATAAAATTTAAACTAAGCAAACCCAGAGATGAAGACATGAGGATGCTCATTAACTATGTAAAGTTCAGAAGTTTTGACTTATTTCTTGGAATCTGTTTTATGATTTAAAAAACAAAAGTAAATAGATGATAGATAAAAAGATAGATTATAGATAGGTAGGTAGATAGATAGATGATAGATAGTTAAATAAATTTCCTTTTATTGAATCTTTCTTTTGTGCCAAATAGAGTTCCGTTTCTTCATATTTTTAGTCATTTAATACTTTTAACCCCACCCTATGAGGTATTTTATGTCAATTTCATAGAGAAACTGAGGCACAGGGATATCATATGTTTCTCCTAAGTCACAAAGCTAGCAGTGCCAGAGTCAGGCTTCAAATCCAAAGACATCCTGCTCAGGATCCTAGTTTATTGAACTTCATATTGTTATTTCAATCCAGTGAAATATCTGTCACTTTATAAAGTTTCAGAAGAAAACTGGAGCAGTCTAAGTTGACATACCTACATAATAAAGGGAAATAGATAAAAACAATGTTTTAAATACAGGAGATGGTGATAGTGTTGTTCAGACAAGCACATCATTCTTTATATCTCCTAAAATTGTAGTTAGAGAGAAGAGTGAATCCAAATCAAAGTTTTTAACTGGAGGTTACTTTGTTATAAAATATATTTACTAAATATTTGTCCTTGAAGGCCATGGGCTGTGGAATCATTTATTCTCTGTGGTGTCTGCAAGTGCATTTTGTACTAGTTCATTTAATAGCAAGCTCAGAAATTTCTTAATGAAATAAATGCATAGTATTGCAGGTTATAATGTGACAAGAAACTTTTTTTCCCTAGTTTGGGCTTCCACATTTAGTTGTCATGGTAGTTGATGAAAATTAAAGGAGCTTAAATTACCAGTGTTTAATTATGATATGCATAGCTATAGCCAAATAATACCACCTACCAATGCAAAGGATCAAGACTACATTTAAATATAGATCTTATTAAATGGTTCAGAGAAGATAAAAACTACATATGGTTTATTAAGAAGAGTAAGAAACATGCCTTTCATTGGAATTATTGTGTAATTAGTAAACTGCTTAGCTTATTTCTTAAACATGTTACCTCTTCACTCTGAACCTCAACCAAGAATTTTGTTAAGATTCAATAAAATATTGCATCTAATAAAATTAAATTTTATACTATTTAATAAATATTAACTCCTATCTACTGCCTGGTTTTACTGCTATTAAAATGTAAAATTAATAAGTAAACATGCCTACAAAACTTGCTCATAATGGTTGTTTCAGAATTGTTAGAACTATATATGAAACTATCAAGATTTTTCATTCTGTTTCACACAACCATGCACCTGCATTCAGATTTAAATTAAGATGCAAAAATCTGTTCACAATCCACTGGAGATTACTTTGGGGTGCTCTAATGGCCATTTTGTGCATGCTGTCTTTCAAAGCTATATTGTCTCTATAGGTTAATTGTGCACTAAGAGAAGGTGAATTGGAATACCAGTGTTGGCAGAGAAAGCTGCCTGGGTTTCAAGTCATTTTTGTTCAGTAAATTTCTACTTTCCAGGTTCTAGAAATCTCTCTGAAAGCTCAGAAATTAGCTTTTACTTCCAATCTAATGGGGAATAGATATTTCATGTTTGAGCTTATGTTAACCTTGTGAAAATTTTCTATGTATATCAGAACTGCAATGTATTAATTTATAATAAAAATTATAATAAAAACAAACTGTAATATAACTCCAATACCAGTAGCTGTTAGGTGTATAGAAAACTACATGATAATTGCTAATTTCTTTGCTTGTATCATTAGGATATAGATTTCTTTAGAAGATTGAAAATTTCCTATTCTTTTTTTTTCTTTTTGCTCTAAGCAACTAGCATAGTACTCAATAACTATAAAACTGCTTGATGAATAAGTGAGTGAGTGGGTGGATGAAATTTATTGGCATTATCTTTAACCATCATTTATAATTAAAAGAAAATCTGATTAATTGAATTGTGAAGGAACAATGTAGGTAAGCTTTCAATACAAATATACTATGAAGAGGGAAAATCTCATAGTCCACCATGGTTGCAAATGTTATAGCCTATAAAGTAATTGTCATAAGAGACCAGCCTCCTTTAAATAAAGTTTTATAATTTATTATATATGGTGTGTATTTTTAAAAATCACCTCATCAGCAAATTAGTTAGTCCTAACATGGTTACTTCAGAGGCTATTTCTATTGAATTCACAATGAAATCTAAATTCTTAAATATATGATGCTAGAGGATTACATGGATAATAAATATAGCATCCATACATAGAGAGAATCACATATATCACAGAAATTACTAAGTAATATATATTTTATTTTCCACGAGTAATAGATCCTTTCTCATAATTTTTATTTAAGTAAGTATGCTAAGGAGGTTTTGAAATAAATTACCATCATCTTGGAAACAGAATGCACAATAGTCCCATGAGCATGATGTATCACATACCAGAAAAAAATGCTTGCAAATTTATAATAAATAAGATTGTTTTCTTTTTGTTTGTTCCTGATTATTGGATTCAAACAGCTCTAAATTCACAACTATAGAAAGAAGAAATGAGAAGAAACATAATATAGAAGCCTAAATTTATAAATTATATATAATGATTTTCCTATCACATTCAGTAATATCAATCTTATTCTGGCTCAAGTGCATGGTTATGGATTTACCTTCGGAGCACTGTAACAAGGAATGCAATTTCTTCCACATCGGAAAAATTAGATAGGTTAATTGCTATTTTATGTCTAAGCCTTTGTTTACTTAGAAGATAATTTATTTGAAGAATTTACTTTTTAAAAATGCAGTCGTGTCTGTGAAACTATGCAACCCTATGGCCAGAATTTATGCTCTATGTATCTTTTAGACTACATTAAACGAAACAACTGCACATTAGTCCTGAAGCTTAGCTCTGTAGGAAGAAGTCCATCAGATCTGGGATTCCCCCAGACTCTAACAATTCAATACATGTGGGACCTGGGAAAAGTCATTTTTTTCTCTCTCTTAGCCCCATTCTCCTCATTTGTAAAGTGAGGATATATAAATCTGCCTAGATTATGATAATCTTATGAGATAACCTGTGAATGTAAAATAAAATAAATTGTAAAATTTTCAGTTAGTTTACATACTATAATTCAACCACCTAGATGTTACTAAAAGTATATTAGCAATCTTCAAATACAATGTGTCTGCATGCATTTAAAATTATGGGTTCATTCATCTCATAATATGAATAGATCATCTACTGTGTGTCAAATAATCTTTAACATAGTGGGGATTTGGCCAAATTCTCTGTTTATTGGAGACTATGTTTTAGGAGGCAAAATAAACATACACAAGGAAATTACACAACCAGAAAAGGGGATAGAAAGAGGTAGCAAGAGGGAAGACCTGTGTGATCAGTGACATTTTATCAAGGCCGTGAATGAGGTGAGGATACTCTAAGGCAAGGAAACATTAATTGCCAAAGACCATCCTAGAGAATAGGTACTGACTTCTCTTTATATGGCAGATCCAAACTAGTCTTGGACCTTTCTGGCTACGATAACAAAATACTCTAAACTGGTAGCTTATAAACAGCAGAAATGTATTCCTTACAGTTGTGGAGGCTGAGAAGATCAAGATGAAGACTACAGCTAATTTGACATCTTTAGAGGTTCCACTTCTTGGTTTATATAACAGAAAAGTAGCTTTTTGCTGTGTCCTCACATGGTAGAAGGAGCTAGATAGCTCTCTGAGATCTCTTTTATAAGGACACTAATCACATTCCTGAAGGCTCTGCTCATGACTTAATCACCTCCAAATGGCCCCACCTCCTAATATTATCATCTTGGGGGACAGGATTTTAACATATAAATTTTGGGGTGCACATTCAAACTATTGCAGTCCCTAAAGAAAGAACAATCTTGTCATATTTCAAGAACCATGAAAAGGCCACAAAATAGTACACTGTAGCTCATGGTTAAGAGTTTGCCTTTGATGCTAAGTGTGACAGAAAACCACTATAGGATTTTGAACAAGAAGACATGATCTATGATCTGGTCTGTATCTTAAAGAAGATCTTGATGGTTAGTGTGTTAAGAAAAGAATCTACAATGAACTCAAACAAATTTACAAGAAAAAAACAAACCCATCAAAAAGTGGGTGAAGGATATGAACAGACACTTCTCAAAAGAAGACATTTATGCAGCCAAAAAACACATGAAAAAATGCTCACCATCACTGGCTATCAGAAAAATGCAAATCAAAACCACAATGAGATACCATCTCACACCAGTTAGAATGGCGATCATTAAAAAGTCAGGAAACAACAGGTACTGGAGAGGATGTGGAGACATAGGAACACTTTTACACTGTTGGTGGGACTGTAAACTAGTTCAACCATTGTGGAAGTCAGTGTGGCGATTCCTCAGGGATCTAGAGCTAGAAATACCATTTGACCCAGCCATCCCATTACTGGGTATATACCCAAAGGACTATAAATCATGCTGCTATAAAGACACATGCACACGTATGTTTACTGCAGCACTATTAACAATAGCAAAGACTTGGAACCAACCCAAATATCCAACAATGATAGACTGGATTAAGAAAATGTGGCACATATACACCATGGAATACTATGCAGCCATAAAAAATGATGAGTTCACATCCTTTGTAGGGACATGGATGAAATTGGAAATCATCATTCTCAGTAAACTATCGCAAGAACAAAAAACCAAACACCACATATTCTCACTCATAGGTGGGAATTGAACAATGAGAACACATGGACACAGGAAGGGGAACATCATACTCTGGGGACTGTTGTGTGGTGGGGGGAGGGGGGAGGGATAGCTTTAGGAGATATACCTAATGCTAAATGACGAGTTAATGGGTGCAGCACACCAGCATGGCACATGTATACATATGTAACTAACCTGCACATTGTGCACATGTACCCTAAAACTTAAAGTATAATAATAATAAAATAAAAAAAAAAGAGGAAACAGAGTGGTTTGGAAGTTCTTACAGTAGGTAGGTTATGAATAGTGCAACCAAAATAGGCGATGAAGGTAGAAATGACAAATCAAAAGGCCTACTGAGCCATCACATGTAGGGGTGGAATAAGGTAAGTTGAGGAATAAAGGATAAGTCTTAGGCTCATGTAGGATGGTGGCGCCATTGACTGAAACGGCTAAACTAAATGGAGGAACAGCTTGTTTATTGTTTTGCTTTGCTCCCCACTTTGGTGAGGGGTGAAAATTAGGGTTTCAGCTCTGGATATTTGAGATTCTCATCAGAGATATCCAAATAGAGAAATGAAGTTGGTGGTTGTATCAGCAAATCTGGAAATCAGGGTGCGTTCAGAACTGGAAATATAAATTTGAGACTCATCAGCATACATTTGGTGTTTAAGCCATGGGACTGGATGTTATTTTCTAGGAAGCGAGTGTAAAGGTAGAAGAAAAAGATCCAAGAGCTGAACACTAGAGAATGTCTATCTTTAGAGGTTAGGAAAAAGAAGACCAATAGTCTTTCGTTTAACAGTTTTAGTCGTTTGCTTTCTGAAGTATGAAGAAAGGTTAATTGAAAATTAACATGGCTAAATTAATAACTGCATTTGTATTGCACCATCCTATTTCATATTTTTACATTTGACCAACATTTCCCTCAGCTATTTAGTCTCAAATGGATTTTATGTGAAACCCATTAACTCGTTTTACCATGGTATATTTATAGAAGATTGATTATTTAAGAATAATTAATTAAAGAATATTTATTTTTCTATTCCCTTTGAATACTGAGATCTGTATTAACTTTCAACATTCCTCAGTAAATTCTCTGTAAAGAAAAATATTAATGTTTTAAAAGTTTCTGTTTCCAAATGCTTACATTATCAATGATGTTTAAAATGATGATTCTGAATGGCATGAAATTAAGAAGATGTAACCTCATTCCCTGATTGCTTAACTAAGCAGAAGAGTAAATCTAGCAAGCACATTTTTGAGTAGCCATTGTGTACATAGCTCTATAGCCATTGGTTGAAATGTTACCAAAGTGAAAGATGAAGTTAGTACTAACTCCTAATTTGGGAATTTGCAGTCTAATAGCCATCAAGAGATTGGTGAAAGAACATCAAATATGGTTGAAATTTCTGTAACTGAAGAGGGATGGGGTTAATTAATATGAAATAAGGTAACATTTTACTTAATTCAGGAAGGCCTTTATGATTTCCCACGTGGTTTCTCAAATAATAAATTAGGTAATTAAGTATTGGTTAAAAAAGTTGCAACTAGGTGCATGTAGGGATTTTTTTTTCTAAAGAAGAAAAATACCTCCTCACATCTCAACACTCTGCAATCTGGCTTCTAACCTCCGCCACTTAAATGTGAACAGTCCTTTCACAGTTCTACAACACTGGACACTCCTGACTACACAGGTCCTTCAATAGGAGGATGTCTAGAAATATTTAAAAGACTGATGGCTGTTTTTCCATCTACCTTTTAAATATTTATGTTTCTGAGAGTTCTGTTCTTGAATCTCAATTTCTATCATCATTTTATGAATCATAGTTTTAAATATCTTATAAACTTATTTCACCATACTTATATGCTCTGCCTTGTTCTCTTCTGGCTCAGATCTTTCTTATGTAGATATGGAGAATGTTCAATTAACTGTCTCCTGGGTACCATAGCACTGACAAGTCAAAATGAAAGTTACTTTTTTAATCCTCCTAACTCCTGGCATTAGAGTTTGTGAATGACAAACTCATCTACACAGGTTACCTAAAAAGATAGCCAATTACTAATTACTCTTAATTATTGCAGTGACTTCTAAACTGACTGTTCATCTCCAAACAAGATATAGCATCAGTATTTCCTTAAAATCCACAAGTATATGTATTGCTAAAGGACAATTATGTTCTAATGTTTCTATCCTGAGTGTGGAATGTAGATTATGTGTATGTTTTTGTTTTGCTAATTCAGATTATTTAATTCCTACCTATTGCCTTTAGAGAAAAAATGTAAAATCCTTGGCAGGAAATAAAGAAGGTTTCCCCCTGTGAATTCGCTCAAAGCTAATTATTTAAAATTAAGCTTTCCATGCTTTCCACCATGTTCTCTACAGGGCACTCATATTGAACTGCGTACTTGAAATTTCCCTAAATATCCTACATTGTTACATCTTTTTAACTTTGCATATATTTTCTCCTGATTGGTATTCTTTCCTCTTTCACCTAGAGGAGTTTTCAGGACAAAACTCAATCCTCACTTCCTCTAGAAATCATATCACCTTCTCCCACAGGTTGGTTTGGTTGCCCCTATCTGTGCTGCTATAACAATGAATTTACATATGTCTCTATCATATGGGTTACAACTGTCTGTTCAGTGGTTAATTTTTTCGTATTTATTTATAAACTTCATTGAAATGAATGTTTTTTTTTTTTGCTTTTTTATCTTTGTGATTAATGAGTAGAAAAATAAAGTTAGATAGAACTAAGACCTAATTTGATAGACTGGTTAGGGTGACTATATTTTAAAATAGTCTATTGTGTATTTCACATTAGCTAGATGCAAATAATTCAAATTTTCCCAGTATGAACAAAAGACAAATATTTAAGGTGATGGATATCTCCATTATCCTCATCTCATTATGACATATTATATGAATGTATAAAAATATTACATGCATCCCCAACATATGTACATCTATTTTGTATCAATGGAAATAAAAAGCAAAACACTTCAGGATCATTTAAAAAAAGATCAGTGGCAAAGCCCCATTTCAGACCAATTGTATCCTAGAATGGTGTGTGAGCACAGTGCTTCAAATATGCAGCCAGAGTTGAGAACCACTGGTCTGGTATAGCAACCTCATTTTACAGTTGAAAAAACAGACAATCTTTACATACAATCTTTAAAAGCCTTGGTCATCTGGTTCCCTGACCCTAAATGATTGAGAGGAATCAGAGCAGAGGCTGTTAGAGGCAAACGGGATGATCACAGACATGACAGCTGACAGCTTGACAGGCACTGCATCACCACAGGATGTGAAAATGGATGTTCATGATGAAGGCTGGGAGTCATCACGATAAGAGTCAATTCCCTGTAGTGGCCTCTTTTTACGAAGAGAGAGTAGTCTTCTAGAAGATTTCTATCAACATATGATTAAAATAAATGTTTCCATGGGACCAAAAATCAGTTTCCACTTTTGGAACAATCAGTAAGTGCATTCCCTTTTACTGGGGGTCATCTCTTGGGTACTAGGAAGAGAACTAGGCTAGCATTAAAACCTGCATTCAAATTTTGACGATGACATGTATTTGCAGCACAATCTTGAAGACATGATATAATTTTTCTGAGTGTTGTAAGTTTTCTCACTTAAGGACAAAAAAACGAATGAAGTATATGTTATAATGAAGGTAAAATGAGGTTAATTGTGTTTGGGGAAAATATTTATATATATCCCTGTCCTAAAAAGAATGCAAAGAGCCTGGACCAAATCATATGCAGAGTAAATACTTCAACTGATACGAATTAAATAAACAAGAGATTCAGTAATATTCAGTGTATATTTTATGTTCAAATAAAAGTGGTTACTATTTACTAGTCTTAATTACTTGTTATTACAATCTATAAAATAAACATGTGTGTACTACTTGCATTGGATGATTAGACCAGAATTATATTTAGCTTTAAAATTATTATTATTTTTATTTTTTTGAGACAGAGTTGAGCTCTTGTTGCCCAGGCTAGAGTGCAATGGCATGATCTCGGCTCACTGCAACTCCGCCTCCCAGGTTCAAGAGTTTCTCCTGCCTCAGCCTCCCAAGTGGCTGGGATTACACGTGCCTGACACCATACTTGGATAGTTTCTTGTATTTTTAGTAAAGACGGGGTTTCACCATACTGGCCAGGCAGGTCTCGAACTCTCGACCTCTGGTGATTCTCCCATCTCGCCCTCACAAAGTGCTGGGATTACAGGCGTGATATGATCCCTGAAAAAGTCTGTATTGATTTACTGAAAAACTATCTTATGGTGCACATGTAAATAGGAAGAAAATGCATAGTAAAAATTTGAAATGTATTTTATCTTTACCCAAGAATTTCTGGAAGAAAAAATGTTATAAAAAGTTTTGAAAATCATAAGCCATGTGTAATTTGATAATATTAGAAAATATAATCTAGATCATTGAAAAAGTACATATTTTGATCTGTAAGTGAAAAATTAAAAAGTTAATAGCTCATCAATTTTTGTATTTGTATATTTAGCATTTTATACATAATCTCTCTGGATATTTGACTGTAGTTTTGGTTTTGTGGTTGTTTAATTGTCTCAAAATTTGGGTTTTTTATGATGCTAAACTTGTAAACGTTTATTTTATAATTTATTCTTTAAATGTAATAAAGGCAAGGAGATAGAATATATTACACTTTAGTGCAATGCCATCATTTATCATTTATAATGTTCAATTAGAGGTACAGAGTGATTTAAATAAGATGAAGAGTAACCTTTCAATTGAATACCATTATTTTATTCCCTTCATAAAAAATGTTCATATAATTAAAGGTAGCTAATTGATAATGTTTTTTTTTCTCAGATCCATATACGTCAAACAGTCATTTAAGTATCTATTTAGTGTAAGACATAACTTTGCCTCTTGTTGTACTTGTGTATTTTGAAATAAGATGTATTTTATGTTTGAAATGAGGATTATAACTAGGAAATAAGTTATTGAACATATTGAATATATTGAAAGTTGATCAAGATGTGTTAAAGTTTATCTAAAGCAAGTTTATATTAATCACCTAACATGAGTAGCAAAATTACGCGATTAGTTATTATCATAATAAAATATTATTATGTTATGCATATATTAAAATGCATATTACTATGTATTTTCTTCTTATATCTTTAATTATGTGGTTGTGTGTGTGGTTGTATGTGTGTGTGCATGTGTGTGTGTGCGCTTGCGCATGTGTGTTATGCTTACTCAGGGAGTTGTGAGAATGAGGGAATGATATATGATACGGGTGCTTTCTCACAATGATAAACAAAACAACTCTAAAAGGCTTACTTTGTGTTAGTATATATTCTAAGTATTTAATTTACATAGCTTAACTCAAAGTTACCCTATGGAATATCTCCATTTTAAAGATGAATAAACTGAGGGTTTAGGTAACTTGCCCAAAATTATACAGTAATAAATAGCAAAACTCTGATTTGTCTCCAGACAGCGTTTTTCTATAGAACGGTTCCCGTAAGCCCTGTCAATAGTACCTTGAAAATGTGAACGTAATTTTTAAAATTAGATATCATAGTTATCACTTTGGCACTGAATCCTGAAATTCAAGGAACTATTATGAGATAAATTAGACATGTTGCTATATTTAGATATATATTACATCTATGTGTCTTTTAGATAAGAAAAGCTAATTATTTTAATATATCCCCCAAGAACCTAAGATTGCTTTATTTTTCTTTCTTTTTAAATCTAAATAATATATTTTTTTCAACTTTTAGATTCAGAGGGTACATATATAGGTTTGTTACCGGGTACATTGCATGATGCTGAAGTCTGCGGTAAAAATGACTCCATTACCCAGGTAGTAAGCATAGTATTTAACAGCTTTTCAACATTTTCCCTGCCTGCCAACCTCCCTATTACTTTCTAGTTTCTATTGTTGCCATTTTTATGTCCTCGAGTACCCAATGTTTAGTTTACACTTATACATGAGAACAAGCAGTATTTGGTTTTAATTTATTGGTATATAGTCGCTCATAGTATCCACTAATGGTCCTTTGAATTTCTGTAGTATCAGATGTATTGTCTCCTTTTTCATCTCTGATTTTGTTTATTTGGATCCTCTTGTTTTTTCTTTGAATGGGTAAAGGTTTGTCAATTTCGTTTATCTTTTCAAAAAAACTCATTTCATTTTGTTGGTGTTTTGCATTGTTTTCTTCACTTCAATTTCATTTATTTGTGCTCTGATCTTCAATTAATTCTTTTATTCTACTAATTTTGGGTTTGATTTTCTTATTCTTTAGGATGATGCATTGTTAGGGTTTTTATTAGAAGTTTTTCCTTCTTTTTTGTTGCAGACACGTATAGCCCTAAATTTCCCTGTTAATACTGCTTTCTCTGTATCCTATTGATTTTGGTATGTGTGTTTCCATTATCATTTGTTTCAAAATGTTCTCAATTTTCTTCCTAATTCCTTCATTGTCCCACTGGTCATTCAAGAGCATCTAGTTTAATTTCCATATACTTGTATAGTTTTCAAAATTCCTTGTGATTTTAATTTCTAGTTTTGTTCCATTGTGGTCAGAGAAGTTTCTTGATATTATTTCAAGGTTCTGAATGTTTTAACACTTCTTTTACCACCTAACATATGATCTATTCTGGAAAATGACCCATGTGCTCACTAGAAAAATGTGTATTCTGCAGCCATTGGATGAAATGTTCTCAAAATATTTATTATTTTTTATACAAGTTAATTTCCATTTTTTGGTTGATTTTCTGCCTACATCATCTGTCCAATACTGAAAGTGGGATGTTAAAGTCTCCTGCTTTTATTGTATTGAGATTTAGCTCTTTATCTCCAATAATATTTCTTTCATATATCTTGGTGCTCCATTTTTGAGTGCATATACATTTACAATTGTCACATCCTCTCGCTGAGTTCTCCACTTAATAATTTTATAATGACCTCCTTTCTCTCTTCTTACAGTTTTTGTCATGAAAGGTGTTTTGTCTGATATAAATATAGCTACTCCTGCTCTTTTTGGTCTCCCTTAGTATAGACTACCTTTTTTCATCCCATTGTTTTCAGTCTATGGGTATCTTTATAGATCAAATGTGTTTCTTATAGGCAACAGATAATTGGGCCTCACTTTTCTTCTCTGTGTTATCTTGAAATCATTGGTTGAAGTATCCTTTCATTAAGAATGCTGAAAATAGGCCCCCACTCTCTCCTGGCATGTAAGATTTCTGCTGAGAAATTCATTATAAACTTCATGGGGTTCCCTTTGTATGTGACTTGACCTTTTTCTCTAGCTGCCTTTAACCCTTTTCCCATTTAGAAAAAAAAGTGCAGCTCGCTGCCAGCACTCATTTAATTTTATATAAACAGACTCTGAGGCTAAAGCAAATCTGACTGATTTTAAATGTGAAAATAGAGTATAAAAACTGTTCTTGGAGTTATTTCTAAACATAACTAACATGAGAATTGTCTGAATCATCAGAATCGCCTATTTCAGAAAACTCATTAAATAAATCTTTGTCCAAAAACCATTCAAGAACGATGTTAACATCATGCGTAGCAATGCTACATTTTCTAGCATTTGACATTTTCAGCAATTGAGAATGACTATATTTTGTAAATGGAAATACCACTACAAGAAAATAGAATGGTATAAATAGAATGAAGTCTTTTGTTTCTGAAGTTGACAAAAAAATAGAATGGTATAAATAGAATGAAGTCTTTTGTTTCATTCGTTGATAGAGTGATGCGAAAATAATCATAAAAGCGAGATATTTTGTTGCAAAGTTATCTAGGGGCAAATGCTGCAGCTGCAAGTGCCACTGGGGAGCACTCTGGAAAAATGGGAAAAGGGTTAAGATTTTTTCTTTAGCATTGGCCTTGGACAGTCTGGTGACCATATGCCTTGGTGATGCTCATTTTTTATAGTATCTTTCAGGTGTTCTCAGGATTTCTTTTATTTGGATACTTAAGTCTCTAGCAAGATTAGAGAAATTTTCTTGAATTTTTCCCTCAAGTAGTTTTTCTAGGTTCTCTCTCATGAATGCGAACAACTTATAGGATTGGTGGTGTATATAATCCCATATTTCTCAAAGATTTGTTCATTTTTTTTAATTCTTTTTTTCTTTATTTTTGTCTGACTAGTTTGAGACACAGGTCCTCAAGCTCTGAAATTCTTTCTTTTGCTTGGTTTAGTCTACTGATAAAACTTTCAATTTTATTTTGAAATTACTTAAATGAGTTTTTTTGTTTATTTGTTTGTTTGTTTGTTTTAAATTCCAGAAGTTCTGATTGATTTCTTCTTAGGATGTGTATCTCTTCCTTCATTTCCTGGATTGTTTTAAAACTTTCTTTGTGTTGATTTTCAAACTTGAGTTGGAATTCATTGAGCTTCCTTGAAATCCATTTGTTGAATTTTTCATCTTTCATTTCTGATTTTCCATTTTGGTTATGGACCATTACTGGAGAGCTAGGGCCATCCTTTGGTGATGTCACTACACTCAGTTTTTTAATGATGACAATTCTTGTGTTGGTTCATTCTCATTTGGAAACACTAGAACTTCTAATTTTTGTATTTATTTTCTTTCAGGTGTTTTTTTTTCTTTTTCTTTTTTCCCCAATAATTTTATTGATTTTCTTTTTTCTTTCCCTTTCCCTTGCCCTCTCCCCTCCTTAGGGGTTGTCACCCTAGATAATGCTGGGCAGGGCTTTCTGGCTTTGATTCCATGTCCTTATGCACATCTGATACCAAATTTTGTGTTAGGCAGTGTAGTTCAACCTACAAACCAGTAGATGAAACTTATAGGTAAGAGCCAGCTGTGGCCAACATGGCTGGGCATATTCTTGATCTTTGTTTACTGTAAGCAGTTCTTTGCTGCCTAGGCAATGGGCTATTCTGTGGAGTGCAAAGTGGTCTTATCTCCCTGCTTGCCCACCCCTGTCCCTCAACCCAAGAAGCAGGTGCTGGGGCAAAGATAGGCAGGGCCAAACTGGCCAGGTCTGCCTACAGGTCCCCCAGTGGCAGACATGAGCACCAGCTCCAATGAATAATCCAGTGGATGGCCACTAAGTGCCCAGAGGTGTGTTTAGTCATGGAGTTGGGAAAACTCCCTGACCCAATTCTCTGCATGGGGATGGGGGACAGCCTAAAACCCTAATCCAGGAGAATGGGTCCTCCAAATGCTTGGAGATCTGCCTGGACATGGAGCAGGGAGGGACCCTCTGCACCAACATTTCTGCACAGGAGAGGGGTGGCAACTCAGGCTGCTGAACGAGGCAAACAGGTGCTCTGAATGCCTGGAGATATGACTGGGCTTATGACAGAGAGGGCCCCCTGCACCTGGATCTCTGCACAGGAAAGGTGGGGCTGTTCATTCTGCTGTTCCAGGTGAGCAAGTGCTTCAAATGCCTGAGAATCTTCCTAGGCATGCAGCAGAGAAGGCCCTGTTGCACTAAGATCTGGGTCCAGGAAGGGTGGGGCAACTCAAGTGGTTGAACCAGATGAATGGGTTTTCTGAATGCCTGGAGATCTACCTGGGCATAGAGCAGAAAGTGTCTTCCTGTACCACAATCTCTGCACAGGAAAGGTGGTGTGGCTCGGGTTGTTGGTCCGGGCAAGCAAGTGCTCCAAATACCTGGAGTTCTGCCTGTGTGTGAAGATCTGTGCCATGATCTATGTTAGAAAGGGTGAGGCAGCTCAGGCTGCTGGTCCAGAAGAGTAGGTGCTCCAAATGCCTGGATTTCTGTCTGGGGGTGGAGCAGAGAGGGCCCTGCTTAAACACAGTCTAAGGGGAGCAGCCTTGAGCACCAAGCAATGGCACACACAGACTAGCTCTAATTCGCTAAGCTGGATCTGGCAGCAAGTCCACCACCCAGGAGAAACTGCAGCTGTAGCAGCTCTTCTCCTGCTCCAGGCTTGTGACGGGAGAGCACAATTCCACCATCTACTGCTGAGGCACCTTCCACAGTTCTGGCTGTGGAGGCCCCTATCCTGCTCCAGAGCAGGCACTCTAATCTCTGGCTTGAAACTAAAATGCCTGTGCAGCCACTCTTCCGAGTCACACAAAATAATGGCTGACAGTGTATGTGCACAGATTAAAAATGGTGTGCTGCTCTTGGTCCACGGTCTGGGAAAATGTCTGCAGCTGTTCCCAGTGTCTTTGCCTTATAATGTCTCCATCCCTCTCCCAAGTTACCTTCAGGGCTTGGGAGAAACAAAGAGCTCTTCCTCCTCGTGGATTGCCCAAATCCCAGGTGGAAAGGTGAATCACAGGGGGATGCTCTCTTCCTCTCTCATGTACTGGGACTTCACTAACTTTTATCTGCCAGACGCCATCACAGGGGCTGTTTGCCAGCATCTTCCTTCCTGAAATCTGGGGTGTCCATCATGATTCTGGTAGATTCCTGATTTCCTTCTTGAATTAAAGCTCACAGAGTTGATCTTTATGTGCTATCTTGCTATTTCCAAGTGGCTGAGGCATGTTAAAAGCCCCTAATATGCCATCTTGGGAACAAAATTAAGATAGCTTTATAATAGTACTTGGATCATGATACAAAGATATAGAAGTAATATTATGCACAATCTATCAATGTAATTTAAGCTCTTTTATTTGTCACTAAATTAAGCCATAGGCTATTGTGTCAAAAGAATTGAATTAGAATATAGCAAGTTGCTGATGCTATTTATTCTTAGAAACAAATTTCAGACCAGAAAATCCATGTGCAAACAATCAACCTTGCTTCCACATATTTCTAGCATCAGAAAAGCAGCCTCACTTGCTACACATATTTTATATTTTAGACTATGGGTTACTAAACTACAATCCACAGGTCAAAGTCAACTCATATATTGTTTGTCCAACCTGCAAACTAAGAAAGACTTTTACACAGTTTTTAAATGTTGGAAATATAATCATAAGAAAATCATATTTTGGATCATGCAAAAATTCAAATTTTAGTATTCATAAATACATTTGTATTGGAATATAGCCATACTCATTTGTTTACATATGGTCTGTGGTTTCATTCCCATTGCAAGGAAAGATTTGAGTAGTATTAAGTCAGTGCAAAAGTAAATGCGGTTTTTGCCATTATGTTTAATAGTAACAGAGACTGAATGGCTTATGAAACTGATGCTATTTACACATTGAAATCTTTCCTTTGCTTAAGTCACAGTCTGATTTGCTTGCTTGTTCAGATAATAGGAGTACGAATTCTAGTGATTTGCAGGATTTTCCATCTAGGTCTGTATTTCTGACCATTTGTCCTACTGTCTCGAAATTAAAACTGAAACGTTTACATGTTAGCCTGCATTTGTACTTGGCTAATGTGTGAATTCTGCCTAATCTAGCATGTGTCTGCTAGGTGACAAGCATGTTCCAAATCCTCTTCTCCTACTGCAAGACTTTTCTGTGTCTTCACAGTGATTTCATTCTTAGTTAATCTACCTGATTTTATTCTCAGTCTTCACACTTCCTCCTCCTCTTAATATTTTACCTTATATTTTGCAACAAAATTTCTTCCATGAATATTTTATAGACTATATGTAAATGCCCTGATCTGTTTTGTACCATGAAAGTTTCATATAAGAAATAGGCAGCAGCAGTGGTATAGAGCAATTTATGCATGTCACATGGTCAAAGTGCTTGTAAAATACATACCTTGTATAATCCCTTCCAACTAAGTAACCAATCATTCAGCACAAGTTTCTATTGATTCTGATGACAGCATTGGGCTTCAGTACTATAAAAGTAAATTTGAATAAAGATGTTTTCATCTTTATGGTATGATCTGTTTACTACTTATTAGATTGATAAATGTTTACCAAATATCAGTTTCAGGGAAAAACTGCTGCTTCACTGTTTAAGGACATCTGATTTGAAGTATGTCAGAAAGATTGGTCGGTGTGCTAAACTCATAATACCTCAGGAAAAAAACTTGAAATCTTTTTCTCAAAGGTATTCTTAAAGCACAAAGCTATGTTGATGTTTCTAATTGGCAAAAACATTTGTGGGGAAACAAGGGAATTCTTTGTTATGATTCTTCTTGTTTTCATGAAATAATTTTTTTGTGACTCACATCAGAGCAGATGACATTTTGTGAAAAAAAAGATTAATAAAGTAATAATTCTCAGCAAACTTAGATCCTATTTTTCTGCATTTTTTTTCAAAAGAGCAAGTGATGAAATGCCAGAAGATGTTAAGGAAAGAGTGTTGTGGACACATAGAATTTTTTTTTAATGCAGTATGACACATCAACAATATTTTAAGGCTGAATGGAGGACTAGATTACATTAGAAGAGGAGTTACATGGTTGAGGATTAAACAAAGTTCATTCTTAGTTATGAGGCTTAAATGACAATGGTGATCTTAGAGCTATAGAAAAGTCTTAGGGTAATGGTGCCAGAGTGCAGGTCTTAAGTAGAATAGCTAAAAATTAGAGGTTTGTAACCAGCTACGAATCTAATGGTACCTTTGTGACATTGTCTGCAAAAATAGAGGACAGTATGAAGAAGCACGCCTCATATTTTTTAAGTGCTTTAATCAAAATTGCATCAAGCTTGTTTTAAGAATTGCAGTTTTGATTACTACTTTTCCAGTTTCATTGGCCAAGTGAAAAAGGAAGACAATTTTGAACAATATGCCTTTAAAAAATGTAGTTATTTTCTTGAATTGAAATATTATGGAGGCTTAAAAAACCCCACATATATAATGGTTTATTTTTCTGTTATTTTTGTGCTTCTTGAAACTATTTCAATAGTTTTCTTTTAGATAAAGATGCAAGCAAAAATAGTCTCAACTTTAGGCAGTATAATTAGTCATCTCCAATTTTGCCTGAGGAAAACGATCAGTTTCTTTAACATTACTCTTTTTGACACTCTTAAATCCTCTCCTCATTATGATTCCAAACAAGAAGAATCGAAATTGCATTAAATTGTATAATTTAAAAATATTGTATATTTTGTATAAAAGTTGTATAACTTTTCCGGCTGGGAGCGGTGGCTCACGCCTGTAATCCCCGTACTTTGGGAGGCCGAGGTGGGTGGATCACGAGGTCAGGAGAACATCCTGGCTAACACGGTGAAACCCCATCTCTACTAAAAATACAAAAAAATTAGCTGGGCATGGTGGCGGGCACCTGTAGTCCCAGCTGCTGGGGAGGCTGAGGCAGGAGAATGCCCTGAACCCAGGAAGCGGAACTTGCAGTGAGCCGAGATCACGCCACTGCACTCCAGCCGAGGTGACAGAGCAAGGCTCCGTCTCAAAAAAAAAAGAAAAAAAGTTGTATAACTTTTCCAACACAATCATGTGTCTATAATGGGTTTCAATTGTCTCAGCATTTTCCCAGAATCAGTCAGAAGAAAATTGTAGAGAAGAAAAGGACTGCTTTTCAAACCCATTAATGTTTTCCACCTCACTTGGGGCTGGCCTTCCACTGAATACTGTATCCCCTATGTCGATTACACTACTTATGCTGTGGGCTGATCCTATTGTTAACTTCGCTGCTTGAGTGTTAACTGAAATATCATCTTCTTAAAGACAGTTTGTCTAATTTTAATAAAGTTAAAGTACAACATGGACCAGATAGAACAAGGTGGTGGGGGGAGGGGGCTAGATTATTGATTATTCTACTCTACGTGACTGAAGGCAACTTACATTGCTTCAATGATCATCAAGCATAAAATGAGGGATACTGATACATGAAATGATGTAATAACCTTATTCAGATATTATGACACAACTAATTAGATGACCTATGATAGTTGAATAATGTGTCTGATTCTATCCAAAAAAAAGTTAGTTTATATTAATGTTGGCATTTACAGTTAACTAAAATGTCAAAGCAGAAACCGGAATTGTTTTTTTCTATAGTAAATATATTTAATGGGATTCGTTAGAACACATAACTACAGATTTGTAGTAATTTGAATAATAAGATTTTTTAATCTTCTTTAGGTTAATAACTTGTCCAGATAATAGGCACCTTTTTTTTGTCTCTTTAACCTTTTCTTCTTTCAGGCAGTAATCAACGTCTGGAAATCAAATTTTTATATGGAGCTGGAAAAAAAATCAATATAGCATTCTTAACTACAGATGGTCCCTAACTTATGATGCTTCTACACAAACTAAAATCATAAATCATTGATATAGTATATATTCACACATTTACAGAATTGTCTTTGCAATTTCACTTTGTTTTGCTCAAAATTTGATACAAATAAAATAATAAATTCTATTTTCTGACAAATCCCTTTTGCACAAATATTGAAATTTCAAATTAAGTCATTTTTTTGAGCTTTCAAATTTAAATGAAAAGAGACAGAAGGAATCCTGCAAAGGGGAAGAAGGAAAGGAAAAGAAAGGAGAGAGTAAGGAAGAAGAAAGGAAGGGGAGGACAGAGTGAGAGAGAAAGTAGTATAAAAGAGAAAGAAAAAATGAGAAAGGGAAATAAAGACATTGTCTCCGGATGTTACACCTGAGTAGCAGTGTAGAAGTAGTTCATTGAAGTACAAAAAAAAAAAAAATTGACTGTGCAATGCCAGATGATAAACAGTGTTCAGAATCCCAGCAGTTTGTTGTTATTGTTTGTTTTTTATACTGACTGAATAAATGCATTTCCAAATGTTTGAATGCCAAGTCCCAAAAGGTAATAAAATAGAACTGACTAATGACAGCTGTGAAAAACAAAGCCTGATTAAAAGAAATACAGAAACTCAAGCAACTTACCCCTCCAAATAATTTGAACTTCAGTGTTGGCAGAAATCCAAGAATTCTTTGCCCACAAGCATAGGAGCTTTGAAATAGCAAATTGAGTTGCATAGATTTTTCTGTTTAACTCACCACACAGCTTCACTCAAAAAAACTAAAAACCTTGTATTTCCCCATCAGAAGTAAGTAGAACTGAAATAATATCAAACATGGTGCATAGGGGAGGGGGCTATTAGGTAGTATTTTTTGAAACCTCACTTTCCCCTTTCTCCACCAGTGACCATCACATTTCTGTTCCTGAGTTTTCTATGGTTGTCAATATAGACAAGAATAGTTTACTAAAAGCCATAGTTAAGGGTCTAGATGGCAAAAATCAGTAGGACACCTTTTTCAAGTAAAAATCAATAACACTTAAAACAACTTTTCTTACCTTGGAGGCAAATCCTATTGTGATAAATGACTAAGTTTCACACGTACTCTGGCACTGTCATGTTTGAGTTACCATCTCCCCTTCATTTCTTTCTTTCTTTTCTTTCTTTTACTTTTTCTTTTGGTTTCTTTCTTTATTTCCTCTTTTTTTTTTTTTTTTTTTTTTGAGACAGAGGAGGTATCACTTTTTCACTCAGGCTAGTGTGCTCACGGCTCACTGCAGCCTGTAACTCCAGGGCTCAGGTAATCCTCCCACCTCACCCTCCTAAGTGTCTGGGACTACAGACATGCACTACTGTGTCCAACTAATTTTTCGTATTTTCTGTAGAGACAGAGTTTTGCCATGTTACCCAGGCTGGTCACTCCTGGGCTCAAGCAATCCACCTTCCACTTTCTTTCAAAGTGCTGAGATTACAACAGTAAGCCACAGTTCCTGGCCCTTATTTTTATGTGAATGGTCATCTAATCAATTAATTCTGACAAAACTAGCTACTGAATAAGAATTTACTAATGTCAAAGACACTTGGATTAATGGGTTAGTCAGCATGGAAATTACTTTAACTGCAATTAACAAATATGTATTTTATTAACTAATGACTTTCAGGTGATTTGAAGGGAAAGTAACTGAAATTTCTAGAAAGAGTAATAGTGTTCATTTTTTGACACGAATTAATGAAGTTAATTGGCTTACTTGTGGCCTTTCAAAACCTTACTAGTGATCAAATTAGTTTATGATTAAAGAGTAATGCTGATTTAGAGCAGTGCAAACTCAGTAGCTACAAGTATAACAACTCAAATGAGAGCTACCATCCACTCTGTCATACACTATGCCAGATGTTTTGTATCCATTTTTAATCTTCTGAATAGCCCTACAAGTTGCAGCCTGTTATCATTTACATATTAGAGGTTTGAGGATCTGAGACATGAAAAAAAATCACAATCAGTAAGGAATAGAACTGAGATTCAAACCTGCAACTTTGTAATTACAAAATTATTTGTTTCATTCTATATTACAAATGCTCCTAGGATTTATTAAGTAATGGCAGAAATATGAACCAAAGGTTGATAACACACATAGGTCATTGCCTAAACTTCTGTGTCTATAATCTTCATAGGGAGATTATTCTTCAAGTTATTCTGAGATAAATAGATAATAAACACATATGAATTTTTCACCCCAAGCCATGCCAAGACTATGTGCTAAGATTTTAGATTTTTAAATTCAAGTTTTAATTCTTTTTTCCTCCAAATATAATTTTGTGATTGTATTCGGTATAAAACAATGACTTATGGGATACATGAGTTAATCTCATATTGCTCTGATTTTCTGAGCATGCTGACGTTTCTGAGAGCCTTGGGCTCATTAATGCCTAAGTATTAGTAGGTCACTGGGAGTAGGGGTCTTCATGTCTTCCTGACTCAAAATGAAGGCTAGAATTAAAAGTAGATTAGATGCCATTCTTCAGTGTAATTAGGGTAGGTTAGTCCAATGTGGTGGACTGCACATTAGAAACTAAATATACAGAAGAGTACATATCCCTGCCCTGCTTCTGTTTTTGGTTTATTTATTATTAAGATTTTTTTAGATGGAGTCTTCCTCTGTTGCCCTGGCTGGAGCACAGTGACAATCTCGGCTCACTACAACCTACACCTCCCAGGTTCAAGCAATTCTCATGCCTCAGCCTCCTGAGTAGCTGGAACTACAGGCACACACCACCACGCCCGGCTAATTTTTGCATTTTTAGTAGAGACAAGGTTTCACTATGTTGGCTGGTCTCGAACCTGACCTCAAGTGATCCACCAACCTCAGCCTCTCAAAGTGCTGGGATTACAGACATGAGCATCATGCCCAGTCCCTTCTTATGTTTGATTGCTTCAGTTGTACCCAGACAACCTCCCATTCAAAGATACTTTATTAACTCACCTTGGACTACCTTCTACGTCCTTAGTATTTATTTCATCAACTAATGTTTTCTATTCTCATTAAAAAATTAATTTTATGTTTTACTAGCTTTAAAAAACATACAGTTTTATATTTTGTAGTTATTTGGTTATTAATTTGATAGGTTCATATTTATATTTTACCTTATGACATTAAGATGATTTTTTTACATTTTAAATATGTATCTTATTTATTGTAATATTTACTTTAAATCTCATTGCTTTAACTTTTATCTTGGATTATATATTTTTATTTGTTTACTCATAAAATTATTTGCTTTAATATTTCTTTTTTATTTTACTTTGAAAATTGTGATTTTTTAAAATCTAATCTTTTTTATACTGATTTTTTTATTTGGCTTTTTCCTTTTCCTTTCTTTTTGTTTTCTTTACATTTTTTTCCTTTATAAATATCAACACAACTGTGACTACAGTGATGGTAATATAGAAAGAACCCAAGCTATCAAGGGGAGACTGTAGGTCTTCTTACCCATAAACTTTTTAACCATAGCTCTCTGACTTCCCCAGAGGGTGTACTAACTCATTTAAGAATGTTTACCCAAGAAACTTCACCCTTAGAGAGCCAGTTTATTCTACCCAGGGCTATGAATCACCATGCAGATGTCACTCTTGATTTATTGAGATGATGTTGCTTCCTGACAGCTTACATCATTCACTCATTGTATGAGAAATTGCTTTTAAAATTCATGGTCTACATATGGATAAGGCATGCATGTTATGGTTTGCTATAAATCAGAAAAAGATGGTATATAGAATGTCCCAACTAGGAACAAACCCTCCCTGTGCTACATAAGGGCTGACCCTGCTAAGAGTATAAATGGAATTAAACATCCTAACTGACAGAAGCCAAGGGAATAAAAGGGTACCGTTAAATATTAGTGTCCTCTAGGGTACCTGTCCTTAGCAGCCTTCACTGCACTTTTGCTAATATCATCCAGTTTCTATTATGTTACCTAGCAATTCTCTGCTAGCATCTATATGAAATATTTAATAATTATGTTGTAGAAAATTTAAAAATCTGTATCCCAGGTTAGATCTCTTTCCTGAACTCCAGATCTTTATATTCAATTACCCAGAGGACACTTCCATATAGATATTTAATGCATATCTTTAATTTGATGTATTGAATTAAATGTTACTCACTAACTTCATTCCCTGAAAATCTCTTTGAATCTTTTTGTTTGTTTGTTTTTGTAGTATCAAAGAAGGAGATTGCTTTCTTTCTGAATTCCACATTCCAAGGCATCAATCATCCACAGTACAATCTAGGGGTTCTTGACTTCTCCTTCTTCTTCAATCACATACACAATCTGTTATCAAATCCCGTCAATCTACTTTGTTAATGGCTCTACATCTATCAAAAGTATTACACTCCCTTTTCACTTCTTTGGAATGATCATCAAGGTCTCTTGTCCGGTATGTCAGTTATCAACTTACTGCTTTTAGGCTCCAACTTCATAATGCATTGTCTGATCTGTTAAAGTAAATCTAAGATCTACAAGTTATTTTATTTTGTTATCATGACTTCAAGCTGTGTAAATAGAGGGTGCTGGACAGACACTGGAAGAGGAAAGAGTTTTTGCTTCCTCGTTCTGACATGCTAATGTAGGTAGCTTTTTTTTTTTTTTAATCACCCTGCTCTTGCAGTTTATAGAGACCAGCATTTAATTCCCCCAGCAAACCTTCTTGGATGGTTTTGTAGTAGAATGCCACAGTAAGACACTATTTAGTCAACATATTTCTGTTAAAGGACATATTTTCAGCAAGTTCCACAGGTGCAGAACCACAGTGACTTCTCTGCCAGGCAGGGAGTCAGAACCATAACCTCCAATGAGTTCTAAATGTCAGCCATGGATGGGGAAAAAGAGAGGAGCTAAGTCTCTTTTCTGATCTTCCTATCTCAACCCTAGTTCTTTTTGTTATTGTTTTGTACTTCTGGCTGCTTCTTACATTTGTTATTTAGTTTTCCTCTTACTATCCTACCCTTCATTACTCCAACCCTATTTAATATTTAATGTTTCTATATATTAAACTTGCCCTGTTCGAATTACTTATAGTTTCCCTGTCCTGATTGGATCAAGACTACACAAGTGCAGTAAGCTAGTCCTCCAATTTACTGTCGTTCCCATTTTGATTCATTTCTTTTCCCTCCAGCTAAAAAAATTAATTGAAGTTGATCTAATTCAGCAGCTTGTATCTCTTCTCTGGCATTTTGGGAGAATTTCCACCTTAGTTTGAGATGTTCTTCCTGCAACTTCCATCTGAATAATAATTACTAGAATAACTGAACTAGACACTGGGGATTCACAAATGAAAATATGGAGCTTAGATTCCCATGGATGAAGAAAGATAATAAATATATAAATATACATGTTAAGTGAAAAAAAAGTGCTATAAAAAATGAAACACATTAGAGGAAGCGTATCTGCTGTTTTATATAAGGTAATAATCCCTGAAAATAAGCTAGGTTATACTATAACAATCAAACCCCAAATCTCAGAAGTTTAAGACAATAAACATTTAATTATTGCTAATATTACACATTAATCATAGGTCAAACATGGCACTTTTCCATGTTGTCTTCCCTCTGGTGTTCAGGTTGACAGGACGGCTTTTATTCAGAATATTAGAAGGCATCCTGGCAGAGGGAAGATGTGAACTCGGCAACAATGTGAAGATGCTTAAGCCTTATGCATAGAAGAACACAAGTGCCTTTGCATCACATACTATTGGAAAACACAAGTCACATGGCCAAACCTAAAGTCAACTGGACAAGAAAGTATAATTTTCCCGGAGGAGTGAATAATTGTGAACAACAATACAATTTAACACAAGTGGTAAAAAAAATACTTTTTGAAAAAATGACATTTGATCAGTGAAATCTGAAGCTCATAAAGTAGAAGAGAGAGTTTGTGAGGCTGTTTCAGAGCAGATCATTCCATAATAGGCACCTAATGACTACTTTTATTCTTTTTGTTTTAAGTGAAAACACTTTACAGAGAAAATAATTCTTTTAATAGTAATCCTCTTGACAGTAATTACTGTGATATGTCAGGCCTCATATAGTAAGCATGTGAAGAAAATGAATCAGGCATATTTCCTAGTAATGATTATTCTAGTAAATAATGATTCAAATAGACAAGAGGATAAGAATGTCCTTAAATGCTTGTCTCTCTTGAAACTTAATGGAAGTTTTGTGTTTTAAACAAAGTATCTTCAAAGATGTTTTTTGCTAAACACTTTGTCAGATCCATCTGATTTTGCCATTGAGAAATTCTTACTTAAACCTCTGCTATTCAATTGATTGCTTTATAAAATAATTGTTTTCTGAGCATGTAGAGACTGAATTTATGAATTGGTCCAAGTTATATTTGATTTAACACCTGATGCTAACAGTACATTTTGTATAAATGCCTTCATAAAAGTTAACTATATCTATCTGCATGCATATATCTCATATTTGACCTAATAGCATTTAACTTTGGGTGCATTAATTGTTGTGATCATTAATTCACCTAAGTATGTTGCTTTCCAACTTTTAAAGGCAGAAATAATTCTTAATAAGCTTTCTTCATGATTATTAAAGTAGGCTATGTTCTTTATAGAATATTTAAAAAGTACTGAATAATTTATAAAATTCTGCAATCATAGTAATCTATAAGCCTGGGGAACCACTGTTTTTAGGTTATTGTGTGCTTTAATTTTCAAAGAACATCTTGAATATGGTGCCTTTTCAGTGAAAATATTTCACTGTATTTTAATTTGCTTTGCTGGTTTAAGCATTAGAATGCTTCTAAGATTTATGCTTTTCAGCCACATTTTTAATAAAATCCTCCAGCATATTTACTAGTATAGTATTGCTCATAACATTCTCATATTTTTAATTGCTCCCATGCTAGTTATAATTGTTTTCATTCCAAGTTTCTTTAACTTTTTTCTGTGTTGATTAGACTTGCCAGAAATTTATGAATTCAGTATATTTTAATGAAATAAAACACTGTTACTTTTGAATGCTATAGTTATCCGGTTTTCTTATCACCTAATTTCTGCTTTTACTTTTCTAATTTTCCTGTATTTCTTTTTTTCTATAATCTGAAGTTAAATTCTTGAGAGTGCTATCTAAGGCTCTTAAGGCCTTTTTTACTTCTTTCATTCCCTTCTTTACTTCCTCTTTTTAAATATATCCTACTGAAGAAAGAGCATTTCTCCCTATGGTCATGAGGACATTCTATAATGAAGGATTTCAGCATAAGAATTATGATACAAGAAAAAGCCCATTACTTTTTGCCCCACTTACATTGTTTTCACTCAAAGCTTTATATGTTTTTTCTTACAGATTCCTTTTAGACTTTTCCACTTACTGACTTGTATGCCAGATTTTGCTTTTATTTAATATTTGCTTGCCCTCTTTTCTGGTAATTTTTTGAAATTAGAATATAATGGAAGATATGGCAAGTGAATTCTAACTTTCTGCTTCTCACTTTTAGGATGCAAAAGTTGGTTGATGTGATTCTTCTTAGAAGTCAATTCACATATAAACAAAATGCACACATAGTTCTTATACCCATGTAAGTGACATTTCTGGTATTATGGGCTTTCAAAATTGTTAGAATCAAAATGTTTGAACATATTTCAAGTAGCTAAATTTAAACAAAAATTAAGAAAAACATAATTTCAAATGTAATCCTAAACCTCTACTGAAGCTCTATTTATGAGGAAGTCAATTAATTAGAAATGTGTTAGTTAAATTCTCAGGTATCAGATTTCAAAAGCAAAGACACACTTGGCTGAGAGCATATTTATCTTAGTACCAAAAGATGTTTGTGTTCTATTACTCCACAAAAAAAACACAAGGTTTCAGAATATTTCCAGCTCACGAAGCATTTTTCACACTCAGTGTACTCCTTAAGATGTTTTCTGCAACTGTTATATCAATTTTGGAGAGTAAATCAAGGAAATGGTAAATGCTGTGAAAAGTTCCAGCACACATGTTTGAAATATTCCAGTTCAGAAACCTGGTCCTCATATGGATTGTTTTAATACATTTTCTGAGTCAGCCAAGAATATTGATTCAGAAATAAAGCATAGGGGTTTGAGAAGTGGAGTCATACTTGTTAGCCTACCATGTCTCCAGTATCTCTTCTTTGTTGACAAGCTGATTTACCATTTTTTGATATTGATCATAAACCCTCTAAAATACACAAATTAGGTGTATACTTGTTTTTTTCAAAATGTTTTTATTGTTAAATATACTCATTTTCTTCATGTTGAAATACTCTTTCAACTTATTTCCAAAAGTATATATACATATATACATACACAAATAAATTTATCAGTAACATAATATGCTATGATTTACCACGGAAAGATCAATTATTACTTTTTACTATGGTACTAAATTTTTCTAACATATTTTTAGGCAGCTTAAATTTTAAAAAATAACATAATTTCAAATGTAGTCCTAAGCCTTTACTGAAGCTCTACTTATGAGAAAGTCAATTAATTTGATAATTAATTAATTTGATAGTCAATTAATTTGATAAACTTATCAGGCAAAGTAATGATTTGCCTGTCCCATCAGTATGGATTCTAGATAAACTTATCAGGCAAACTCAACCAACTCACACAACTCGTGAGCATCAGACCCAGAATTCAAATTCAACCCTCCTCGTGTGAGCTTTTCTGCCATTCTCTGCTTCTAAAACTTTTTAATTCAAGTACCAGTAATAACAGGGGACACTTATTTTACTCCACTGTGTAATGATAAGTGACAGACAGGATTTGAAACGAAGAAGCATGGTTCTAGGATTTGTTCTAATAGCCAATCTTTTTAAATGCAGAGGGAGAATGTAAGCATACATAGTTTATTAAAAGCAGGTTATGTAATATTTTGTATTAGGATGAACTGAGCCATACATTCTTTTACTTCAGTGGCAGCATGCTTGAGGAATAATAGACAAAAAATACATTTGGCTGGACAAATAAAATTTTTTTTCATTGAATATGGCATTCAAGTTGTGGAAATAAAGCTAAATTGTGTTGCATAGTATTTGTGTAAAGGAAAGAATGATAAGAAAGCCCAGGACTGAGTGCTGGTGAAATACATTGATGAGGGAGAAAATTAGAAGGCAAAAAGAAATATCAAAATACTTGTAGTGTCCAGTGACTTTTCTCTATGCATGAAATGTACAGTGAAACACACATTATTCAACAAAGTTTTCAGAGTTGAATGGAGTTGAAGGGGAACAGGGAAAAGAAGCAATTAAGAACCGCATAGTATTTCTTGTTCTAGATCCTTGAGGAATTACCACACTGCCTTCCACAACAGGGCAGGGAACATCACACACCCGGGCCGATTGGGGGCTGGGGGACAGGGGGAGGGACAACATTAGAGAAATACTGAATGTAAATGACTAGCTGATGGGTGCAGCAAACCAACATGGCACATATATACCTATGCAACAAACCTGCATGCTGTGCACATGTACCCTAGAACTTAAAGTATAAAAAAAAAGAACTGCATAGTATTCAAGACACGTATAAGTCAAGAGCAAAAGATTCAAAAATGAACACAATCACATATTTATTACCTCACCTTAATGCAAATTTTTACTCATGTTCTATAATTTATTTATTTTCATATATCAATAATGGTCCTTCCTTCCACAAAAAGTTCTAGTAATTGATGATCTTGAAAGATGCTTCCTGTTTATCCCCCGCATTTTCCTATCTTCACCGCAATACACAACAGCAATATGATGCAGTTTCTTTAATAAGCGTCCCAGAGAAAAATTCAAAGAGTTTTCATATATAACTTTAAGAGAAAAAAAAAAAAAGGTACAGGGAAAAGAAGGCCTTGCCCTAAATCATATAACTATGACATTGTTTGTTGAGATTCTGGGACTTTTGATTCTAAGCCTATTTTCTTACAGCTAAACTAAAGAAAGATTCCATAAAGAGGCCAGGTTGAATGGATATTAAACACACTAACTTGAAGAGGTAATTCTGGTTGGATATTGTCCCGAAAATCCACATAGAAAATTTGATTTTTCTTTTAAACCTCTGATGTTTTGAAGTAAAACTTTTTCTTGGAATGAAAGAAGACGTGGTTGCTGATCGTGCATGTTTCCCTATATTAATGCCTTTTATATCATTCTATTTTTCTACCACTTTGATAAGAAAGCTGATTTCGATTGTTGTCAGGAAAAAAAAAAACCCCACAAACTTATTTTCTATTAGTTTCTAACTTCTATATTAAGTTATTTCTAACTTTCTCACATTAGCTATAATTTGTAGACTTTACCCTCCTTGTCTGATGCAATCAGTGTAAATTAAACGGAGAATCAAAAGGTCAATACCTTTCTAATCCATGAAACACCTTTTCATTTTTACTTTCTCCAGTTTCTCCTAAGCCATAAGGCTTGTTCATCAGTGATTAAAATTGTGGAAGTGTAGTGATTTTAAGAATATAGACTTTTTTGTTTAGTGCTTTCTTACCTCATCACAATTTTTCTTAGAACGTTATGGCAAAAATGGCAATGTATTCTACTTTGTGTAACATTTGCTTGTTTTTATTTTTCCCTTCTGAAACCACATTTCTTATTCAATTTCTTATTAGCACTTGCAATATTTCTAATAAGTTATTTCTAATAAGAAAAACTTTGTAATGAGAAAAATGTCCTTTAAAATTGATATTTAATTTAATCCACATTTAATTTTATTTAATACTACATATTTTGTTGTATTAAAATATATTTCTTCTTCCAAATAAGTTTTATGCATATATATATATCCTGAATAGAATCTTTAAATGAGTGAAAACTCATTCCATTGATAATTGACAAAGTCTCTACCTCCATCAACCTATGATTTCTAAGTATTACTATTGTTATACAAGAAAGATACATACAAAATAAGTGAGAGGATTGTTCATTGGCAGAGATTCTAATTTCTCACCAATAGTTATGTCTTTTTTCCTTTTACTAATAAACCGTCCACATCCAAATTTTAGCAGGTCTGAAGGCTAAAGCTAAAAAAACTCCTTATACAGCTAGGTATGAGCATTCGGATAAAGCCCTACTATAGCAATATGAGCAGATGGCATGCATGCACCTTCATGATATTTCCATAGAATAAAGCTCTGTCATTAATTTCCCCTTTATTCCTTTCTACTGGTTGTGGAATGGACAGTTTTGTAACTACTACATTGGACAAACAGTAGAAAAAAAGCTTTTTGAGGTGAGCGGAAGTTATTGCCAACCTGAGTATCCAGATAAAGACATGAAATACAGCTGCCCTGGACCACTTGTCTACTTGGAAAATTGTATGTGAGAGAAATAAACTTCTGTATTACTTAATCTGACTACACTGAAAACTCAATGATACAAATGAATATAATTATATTGCAAATGACAAAATTAAACATCATAATAGTTTATTGTATCTAAAATAATTCTACAGCATACTCCACAAGCAAAATATCAATTAACTTCTCATTTAAAATTAAAACAAAATATTAGTTTAATAATGTTGAAAGTAAAAAGCCCCTATAGCTTTAATTTCTCTAGAAAAGAATAATTCTGTTGTGAGTACTAAAAAAATGACAAATTTTGGTATGATTATCTTTGTTAATACAGAATCATAATCAAGGATGTTTTTATTATAAAATAATGCCCATTCAAATGAGTTTAAGTGAAATAGGAATAAAAAATATGAAGGAATTAATTACAAGGAATATAATGTGGCCACATTAGAAATGTACATTTGCAGAGCACCTTCATTTATTTGCAGGGCTGCAAGATTTTTCATCTCTCTATGCATTTAAATTTTCCTCTCTGAAGAGTGGCTACTTAGGCGTGGTATTTCATTTTTTTGTTTTTCACAATTTTCATTTGACCATTGTTTAAGCTGTCATTGTCAGCAACAATAGTGCCAAATATATGGACACTTGAAACTGTTGTTTATGCCTACCTAATTCAGTCTATCAGCATTCCAAACTCCTCAAAGAAACACAAAATTATTTGCCCAGCTAGAATCAGGTATTCATTCTCAGGCTTCCCAATCTCTTGCTTCATGTAAACAGCTGTATTGGAGGTTGGGTGTGGATGTGTTAACAAGAAAGAGAGTAACTGAGATCTCCAGCAACAAATCAAACAGAAATTTAAAAATCGTTCATGAGCTAAATGCATTTATTATATATTTTGGATTTCCGTCATAGGGGACGTAGGCAATTACTTCTTTTTAGCTGGACTTTAGGTGTCCAAAGTGTAAAATATGTCTATGGGGAAAGGTAATACACATGTGGGTTTAGTTATTCTATCCATAATCATCATTGAGAATAAAAATTAGGTTTGTATTTCTCCTACATCCATTGTCATTATATTAATTATGATTATGATTATTTCAAGTTTGAAAGATAATGTTCTGGAGGAGGACATAGTGGTTGCTATAAACATAAGCAATGCAAGTAAGTTGCAAAAAAACTACTTATTATGAAGTTATGACCATCTAAAAATATTTCAAAAGTAATCATGTATGTCTTCAAACAGAGACTGGTCTGGTTTGGTGTCTGTAAAAAGCATATCTTCAGATGTTTTCACCCAGTCATTACGTCACAGTCTCAAATAGACAATATCTTGTAAATTTGACTTGATTTATTGTTTCTAATTAAAAATAATCCTTAACATATTTTCTGTAATTCTCACAGTTGTCTATGAATATAAATTATTAGCCTGTTTTAACATCCTGTTTCATAAGTAAGCATTCATCTACTCATAGATTACAGTGTTAGTCTAAATGAAATCCAGTGATTTCATTTATTTTAATCACCCATCCACCTTTTTTAAAAAAGTGATATTATTAGAAAATACAATTGTTGGAAGCTACGCTAGAAAGATTCATTTATGGGCTATTTTCAAAAGTTTTCAATGTTAGGCATCTTGTGGGGAAGAAAAGTGATCATTAGGTCATAGCAGAATTTTATTTTTTAGTTATTGTATTTACTTGTAATTAATAAGCAAACTCATATTTAACATGAATTCTAGATTGCCAATTAAAAAATAATACTCAAAATATTAATGGAGTTAGGTATTACACAGATCTTTAACACAATATAATTTTATGAGAACATTAATGACAAAACTTCTAATTTGAAACTTAAATTGTTGGATTTTAAAATTTATATCACTTGCTGCTCTGTGGCTACCTGACATATTTAGCTGTTTGTTCATGCCAGGCATATCAATGATTTTTTTCAATAAATAGATTTATAATTACTTGGATTCAGGCTTCAATTACCCTAATATTTCATATGGTTAATATACCATGAAGAAGAATCTGTGCTTCTCTAATAGATCACAGTAGTATAAATGGATTAGAACTTTTGTAAAAGGTGGATAGCACACACAATATATTACCATTTAACGTATCTTATTACATATAATTAGAACGTTAAATGCCACCAACTACACTTTATAAATTATAGCTAATGCACCTCTCACCAAAGACTTGCTCACCTACTGAGCAGCCATCATATTTAAAGCCCTTTTTTAAGTGTTCTTATGCCCTCAAGGATAAGACAGGCTAAAGTAATGATACTTTTGGAACTGCACATAATCAGCTCCTATAAAAACATCTAGTCCTGATTCCAATTATGTTACTTCATTGCAGCAGGACTGTACATTTCAATCACCAAAAGGTTCAGTGCTTTTCTGAAGCCCCTTGGCAACACACAGCAGTCCCTATGAAAGTATTTAGCAAATCCCTTTGTGATACATGAGGGGTTTAAAGCAGTAATAAACCAATCCCTTTACATTGATAAATTCCTCTTAAGTCAATGAGGGCTTTGCAGGGACTGAAGTCTAAGGATTTTTCTTCTCCAGTTCAATCTCTACAAGAATCACAGATAATATATAGTAATACAGACATCTATTTTCAACTTCTAGACCCACTAGAGGGCAAGAGAATCATAAGTCAAATTAAAACCACAGTTTAAATCTGGGCTGCCCAATTTCAGTCCCTTGGAAAAGCTAGTGGCACTTTTCTGCAGCACTTGGTATTTAAATGTGTCACTGCTGTGTTCCTGTGCACCTAATGGAGCTCTCAATACACATTTCTGGCGCTGTAGACAGGGTTACATTGCAATATGCTAGCTTTACCTATAGAACTCCTTTTGTAATAATGGGGTTCCTCTTTGAGCCCATAACAGAGTTTCTAGCATAATATTCTACTGATGCAGAAGCACAACTATGTTTGAAGGCACATAAGAAATATACTTGGTAGAACTCTAAGCTTATTATGAGTATTAACATGCTCTCTGATGTAACTCTTTGTTGTAGGATATGTGGAGATTTTCCTTATAATTTTTTTCTTTTTCCAAATATGAAGCTATGTATTAGTGACTAATATGCCCAATGTTGTCAGAGGATATATATTCTGAGAGGAGCAGCTATTGTAAAATATAGAATGCCATGAAAAAGTATATTAAAGTTTATAACTCCAAAAGCATGACTTAATTAAGAATTGTGTTCTGCAACAGCTATTTAGCAAACCTTGACTTTTTTCAATTTTCCAGACTGATGGTGCATTGCAGGAGGGGAAGTCTAGCAAGGGTTGTCCTACTGACTTTGAAATTCTTTTTAACATTTTTAATATTTTCAAATGTTTTAAATGTTCTAATTTATAAAATAGTATAGGTATTTTAAATATATGACTCAAAATCTACTCAGCAGAAGTTTTGATGTTGCAAATTATCAATACCCTACAGATATATTATTAAGATCTTGATATTTTACAGGATTTTGGGTTCAAAGTTTTAAAAGAATACATAAAATAACGGCCTTTAGATTTAAATAAGACCATATCTTCAGTTAAATGGTACATTTTCCTTCAATCTGGCTCTTGGCCAGGGATAAGCTTAAAAACACCCAACTTAGTTTTATATAAAAAGTACATGTTGTCAAGTGGGCTTACAACAGCATCGACCTGCTTTACTCTCTTCTTATAACAGAATAATATTTGGCTTTTATATCTGCATAAAGAACGTATATCTGTGTCTCTGCATAATCCTTATTCTATTAAGATTTTAAATTATTTCTTATATTATAAATTAGAAATTATTGTCTAATACCTAAAGCTGATCGAGTTCAAAGTATTCCTTAAACATCTACTACATTAAAGATCCTGTGTTAATAACTAGAAATAAAAAGCTCAACAATATTTTGCCTCACTCATCAAGGAGCTTATAGCCTACTGAATGAAAAGAACCTGTATATAGATCATTTCAATGGGTACAAAACTATTATAATAATGAAATTCCCTGAAGCTTATAGATTCAGGGAAGGGCATTCAGAGTGGTCTGAAGTACAGAGGTTTTTGGAAGAAGTAACACTTTTGTAGGTTCTCAAAAAATGCTTAGGTGTAAATATTAATATATGAGAGCAAACAGAAATCTGGAAAAAATCACCTATTGTTATTACTATAATCATTGAAACAAAATTACATGTGTTTAAATTCCTGAATAAATATAGCAGGGCTTACTATATGAAGCCCCTAAATAAAATTGTTATAATGGATTAAAATAAACAAACAACAAAAATGCATTGAAATTAAGAACTCCAATTTCAGAGTATACATAGGAAAAAAATCTATAGAGAGAACAATTTTAAAACACAAGAAATTAGTATTACTTGCAATTACATACGAATTTTGAGGAGTGACATTCATCACTACCAAAACTAGTCTAACAATTATATAAACAATTTACCTTGTACACTACAATATGATCATAATTAGATTAAAATGCTGTCTTAGCCAGTTCTAGCTGCTATGACAAAATACCATAAACTGGGTGGCTTAAACGGCAAGCACTTATTTATCACAGTTCAGGAGTCCGGGACGTTCAAGATCAAGGTGCCTATCTATTCAACTCCCTCAGTGAATTTCAATTTTTGGTGAGGGCTCTCTTCCTGGTTGGTAGATGTCTATCTTCTCATTATTTTCTCACATAGCCTTTCCTTGGTGTCTACACTGGGAATGCGATATACAGATCTTGTGACTCCTCCTCTTTTTCACAAGGGTATTAATTTCACCATGAAAGCCCCACCCTCATGACCTAATCTTACTCTAATAACCTCCCAAAGGCCCCATCACCAAATAATATTACATTGTAGACTAGGTTTCAACAGATGAATATGCTCACCATATTTTCTGACAACAAAACCACATCAAAATTATGTGAATTATAACATTAAAATATTAACATTGTCAAGTGAAGTTGGTAGGTAATTAGAGTATGCAAATGAATACTCAACAACAGTGTTGGATTCAAAACAATATTTTTTCTCCACAATAACTTATGGCCTTTATGTTTCTAGACTAAATTTACATCTTTTAATATAATACAAATAATTGAATAAATAACCCTAAACATAAACCTAGATTGAACCTTCTTGTGTTCAACAGAGCCTGAAATTTGGAAACAGTTAAATTTACTCTTTATTCATTGAATAAGGATTTATTTGGCAATCACATTGCTAGACCCTGAAGTCACAATAGTAAACAAGAAAAATATGTCCTTTGCCCTCATGGGTCTACTGGCAATGGACGAAAAACAATTGACTAAGTTTATTTAAACAAACAAACGTTAAAAGAAACAGGAACATATAACTTGAGGCCCTAAACCTGGTACAGGGAATTAGGAAGACTTCTGGGAGAAAATGACACTAAAATTCAGATACTCATGTAGTTTATCATAATGCTGATAAACGTTCATTAGGGAGTCAACTAACTTATCATATAGTGAATACCTGGTGTTCTTGACATGTAGAATTTAGTCGCCCTTCATTCCACAAAATACTTGTTATCATTCTGAGTAATTTTATATATCAGATGGGGGCAGTAAGCCAGCTAAGAATTGTAACATGTGATCTAGAGTAAAGACAATTAGTGTATTTGAGGTCAATAAAACCCAAGAAGAATTTCCTAGGAATCATAAAAATACACCCATTTTAAGACAGGCAATGATTTAATTCAAAAGTAATATATAATGACAGAGTGCAGAACTGAGAAAAGAGAAAAATCAGGCTCTCTTCATCAGTATCATTTGAAACCTTGATCAATTTACATAAACACCTGAAACTGTGTCTCTAGATTTCAGACTTAGGTGAAGCAAAATATTTTCTAACTTCTTGAGCAAGTTTGGCTTAGGTTAGATTTATTTTGAATGCAAAAGAAAAACCCTAATTGATGATACATGCAATAATCAAAGTAATTGTATTTTTTTCTGCATAAAATCCACGCCAAATTTAATGACTCAAAACAAGAACAATATATAATTCCTCATGATTCTTTGAGTGGCTGTATATTTTCTCTCTGCTCTCATGTGGGATAACTCATGGGACTGCAGTCAGCTTGTAGGTCAGCAGGGGACCAGTCTCTCTTGGAACAGGTGAGAAGCTTAGCTCAGTTGGGCCGATGTTTCCATGTCTCTCATCTTCCATGAGGCTGTTTTGGGCTTCATTACGTGATAGTCCAACGTTGTCAACAGCAAGACTGGCCAAGCACTGATGAGCAACCACTTTGAAAGCCTCTGCTGTGTCACCTTGGCTAATGTCACTTTGGCCAAACCAATTTGCACGGTACAAACTAAATTTAGCCTGGCTTGATCATTCCACAATACATACATGTATCAAAACATAATATTCTACCCCATACATATATGCAATTATTATATGTCAGTTAAAATAAAATAAAACAATACATAAATAAATTTGAGACATAGAGATATAAATTCCTCTTGATTGCAGGAGTCATATTGTGAAGAGTGTACACACTGGTATGAGAGAAACATGTAACCATTTTGGCCATATACTAAAATGAGGCTTTAGACAGAAGTGAACTTGTAACAGAAGTGAACACAAGAAAATATTTACAGAGAGAAAAATAAAGTAGAAAATAAAATAGCCAGGGCCGCATAAAATGTGACATTTCCTAGACAGAATACATTGAAATAATATGATCAACTTAGATTTTCTTTTCTCTAGAGAACTTGTAGTCTATACTCAGCTTGAATTATAATAGTGTTTCTGGATTTTTGAAATCTCAAAGAAACTAAGTTTCACAATCATGTTCTCATAATACAAGCAGCCATACAACATTATACATCTTATTTTCACAACACTTTATTTTGTATCTAGAATACAGTATATGTTCAATGAATATTTATTGAATAAATTAGGTGAATTTTTATGCTTGGCAATATGAAAGAACTCAAAAACAATAATTTGTATAGAAGAAAAGCCACTTATCCTGGTCTTTAACCATAGCCATTTTACCACCTTTCTAACCAATGCTGCTTCGCTAATAGATTTTATATAAATGTTGCCCATCCTCACTTTTTTCCAAATTTGCTGTCATTTTGACAGACTTGATGGATTTTTTCTATTATTCCAATTATTTTACAGACAAATCTTAGAAATATGCTGCACTCAATGAAAAGAAATACTTCTTTCCTCCTTCAGTCTTGCTTCTAAATTTATCACTTGAGACTTTGAAAAAATATTTTTATTCATTTTGCTTTAAATAAAACTGATTGGAACAATACTGAATATATAGATTAATTAAAAGTATTCTTTTATTTTACAGGGGGTGGGAAACTTCAATAATTACAGAATAGTGCCAAGGAGCATGTTAAGCATAGGCATTACCTATATTGAGTAGAAAAATAATAACTAGAATCTCACTAAATAATGCTGTTTTTAATTTCCTGGTGTGGTTACATTCTACTTTTGAAAACAAGGGTAAAAGGCCACTGCTGTCAAGAAGAATGAAATGTAGAAAGTATCTGCCATATAGATTTGGCATAGGATCATAAAATATTGAATTGTAAAATTTTAAAACAGATTTATGAGAGAAATGCTTCCACATAATTCCACTGCCCTGAATACCTTAAAAACTTGCTAAGATTTTAAACTTTGCAGATTTAAGAAAGTGTAGAGTATAGGGATAGAAATTATTGCCAAGATTGTACTTTATTGCTTGCTAAATATTGTTCCCTGTCTGAAAATGCCTTGACACAGGTGACTGATTTTTACCACCGAGCATTTCTTCTGTAATGGTCCCACGCTATACTGAGATGATTTAAATTTTATAATTCTGAAAACATTAATGAGAAAAAATGTATTTAATGTTGCTTATCATTTTGTATTAAAATTCATATATGTAATACATGAGTGATCTCAGTAGAATAAAATTTTAATTTTTCAGAAGGAAATACTGAGTGTCCCTGCTAGCCTCTTCCATCCCAGGCCAATACCCAGAAATATGCACTGCTAAAGGTTGTGTTTCATTCAATTAGAACTTTTTCTTGGTATTTATAAATGCTATATTTTTTACATCATATACATGTAATGCATTTTTCAGCTATGAACACAGACTATTTTAAATATAATGTATTTATAAATAATATATAGATATGATTTTGTACAGAAGTATTCATATATATGAGATCACATATGTATATAAGTTGTTAACTTAAATTTTAAATAACATTTGCATGGAAGCACAACATACAAAAGAATGCAGAAATCACAATGGGTCTGCTCAGTGGTTACGTAACCGTACCTAACTCAAAATATAGAACATTACCAGCATGTTAGAAGTTCCTATGTTCTCTTCTAGTAAATAAATGCTCTTGTCTTCCTAAACTTCATCAAAATCGTGACTTTTTATACCATATATTAGGTTTGCATGTATTTTTAATTAAATTAATAACATGTCTGGTTACATTATATAGATAAAATTAAATTTTATTTTTATATGCTATTCATATATTTTCATTGTTGATGAAAATCTAATATAATCTATTCGTTGATCTATTCGTCAGTCTACAATTGATGGACTTTGGGCTAAAACAGCAATGCAATGAAGCTTCTTGTATACATACAGGCATTTTGCATTTGGCTCGTTGATACTTCGGGTAGAATTGCTAGGTTACAGGGTATGTATATGTCTATTTTTAGTAGATAATGCCTAAGAGTTTTCTAATACAATTATACAAATTTGAACTTCCATCAGCAATATGGTGGATATACTAATACCTTACATTGTTGCCAACACTTGTTATTACTATTCTTAAAATTCTATTTATTCTGATTTGTTTGCAATAATACATAGTTTTCATCTTAACTTGCTAAGGATAAATGAGCATTTTCTAATGTGACTGACCATTTTAAAATATATCTGACATTTGAATATCCTCTTTGAGAATTCCTGTTCGAGTCTGTTTATCAATTTTAAGTAAGATTCTTAGTTTATTCTTATTGATTTAAGTGAGCTTTAGTGTATTGTGAATATAAACTCTTTGTCAGTTGTATCTTTTTCCAAACTTGAAATTATTTTCCATTCACACACAGTCTATGTTAATTAATAAAGCATTATAATTCTAATATAATCAAAGTGATTATAAAAAGCTTAAGAAATAGTAAATTTGTTGTTCTAAGTTAACTTTCTCTAGTCAAAATTCATAAATAAAACTATAAAAATGTAGAACCTGAATTATTTTTTACAGTTAACCTTAAATTCCACCTATAATGTATTAAATTTTATTATTCTTATTGAGATTAATTCACAAAACAACAAATTCACCTTTTAAAGTATACAATTTAGTGTATTTTACTATATTCATAAAAGTTTTACAATAATCACTTTATGCCTATTGAGATTAATTCACAAAACAACAAATTCACCTTTTAAAGTATACAATTTAGTGTATTATCACATATTCATATAGTTTTACAATAATCACTCTAATTCCAGAATATCTTCATTAACCCAAAAGAAACCAGATACCCATTAGAAGTCACATCTCATTTTCCCCTCCAGGCCTCCTTGTAAACCTACTTTCTGTTTCTATGAATTTGTCTATTTTGGACACTTCATAAAAATATAATCATAAAATGATTAGCCTTTTGTGTGTAGCTTGTTTCATTTAGTATAATGATTTCAAGATTCACCTATGTTGTAGCATGAGTCAGTATTTCGTTCATTTTTATAGATCAATATTACTCCTATGAGTGGGTATGTCACATTTTGTTTATTGTGTATCAATTAATGAATATTCAGTCTATTTCCACTTTGGGCTATTATGAACAATGTGGTTATGGCTATTCATGAAAATGTTTTGTGTTTGCATATGTTTTCAATTATTTTGAGCATTGCTATGATTTGAATGTGTCCCCCAAATTTCATATGTTGGAATCCTAATCCCCAGTGCAATAGTGTTGAGAAGTGGGACCTAACGGCAGGTGTATAGGTCATGGCGGCTCTGCCCTCATGAATAAATTAATGCTGTTATTGTGGGTTCATTATCACAGCAGTGGGCTTGTTATAAAAGCGAGTTTGGCCATCTCTATCTCCCTTGCTATTTCTCGAGCTCTCTTGCCCTCCTGCCTTCCACCGTGAGATGATTTTATTTTCTTTATAAATTACCTAGTATATAGTATTCTGCTGTAACAGCACAGAACAGACTCAGAAAAGTATATGCCTAACAGTGGAATTGCTAGGTACTATGGTAACTCTAAGTTTAATTTTTTGAAGACTGTTAAGGCATTTTTCTAAGCAGTTACATCATTTTACATCCCCGAAATCATGTACGAAGGTTTCATTTTTGCCATATCCTCATCAAAACTTATCTTCTGTCTTTTTTATTATAGGTTTCCTAATGTATATGTGGTATCACATAGATATACATATAAAATATATATATACATATAAAATGTTTTATGAAAAACATAAAAATATATATTCTCAAAACATGTTAATATAATGAGCAATGTAATCTAATTAGGAAAATGAAAGAAATAAAGACAAAACCTTACAGGTGAATGTCCAATGAGTTTGAATGATTTCTCTAATGTCAAATTTTTAGTATCTGGCATAACCTAGTCTCGTGACTCCTTTACATGCTCCTGCCAGGACACCATTAATTCAAATTTAATTTGCAAACTCCTCTCAGTCTTTTGGCAAATGCTGGAGCTTGAAGCCCTTTACTTAGCAACATTAATAATAGTATTCTATCATGTATAACATAACACAGGGTATTCTATTATGTTATACTTACCAAAAATATTTCAATATTGATGGATTATGAATTCTCCTAACTTGTTCATAACTTGTTCTAACCCTCTCCTGTAGAGTTTCTTTCCATGAAGTGTTGCCAATGGAAAAGAATGAAAAGCCATGTAGATTTATGCACACTTGGTCATTTAAACTGATCAGGAACATATTAGCAGGATAAATGGCAAGAGAGAGAAACTTCCAAGATATTATTTAGCTAATAGGTTGAACAAATGTGTTTTTATACGTATCTCAAATTCTTGTCTATATAATCTCAGTCTTTGTTCACAGCATTAATTCCTTCTTATCTCCATATCAATTACTCCTCCAATTTGTAGGAACAATAATGCCACAACTACACACTCTCTTTCTATTTGTCATTCCTATTTCGTTCTTGCATTTTTAAGTAGCATGTAAAATAAGATATGGTCCTCCTGACTCAAACATGGTCCTATTGACAAAATATTTTACTAAATGAATACATAACACTTTATCAAAATTATTTCTTAGGAAAAACAGGTAATATATTTCCAAGCAAACATGAGCATTTATAGAACAATTGGCATGTTTCTTTCTCCATACATTATTTCACTTAATGATATATCTTTAGTTAAATACTAATGTTCCTTCCCAATCAGGACTATATTTGAATTGTATATTATACTCCTTTTTTGCGGAGGTTATGTTTTCCTTTGCTTTCATCAGATGTTCTCTGTTAATTTGCTGTTATCACACAATCCTATTTCAGCTAAACATAGTTGCCTATATATCTCTGCAGTAATTCTTCAGTCTGTTTGTTCAGTAAGCTGGAGAAAAGCAATCAAAATCGGCACCGTCACCTTCTCTCCACATTCATTCTTATCAGGGATCAGTACCTCTCCTTAGAATTCTTTTATTTTTATTTTTATTTTTTTATTTTATTATTATTATACTTTAAGTTTTAGGGTACATGTGCACAATGTGCAGATTAGTTACATATGTATACATGTGCCATGCTGGTGTGCTGCACCCATTAACTGGTCATTTAGCATTAGGTATATCTCCTAAAGCTATCCCTCCCCTCTCCCCCCACCCCACAACAGTCCCCAGAGTGTAATGTTCCCCTTCCTGTGTCCATGTGTTGTCATTGTTCAATTCCCACCTATGAGTGAGAATATGTGGTGTTTGGTTTTTTGTTCTTGCAATAGTTTACTGAGAATGATTATTTCCAATTTCATCCATGTCCCTACAAAGGACATGAACTCATCATTTTTTATGGCTGCATAGTATTCCATGGTGTATAAGTGCCACATTTTCTTAATCCAGTCTATCATTGTTGGACATTTGGGTTGGTTCCAAGTCTTTGCTATTGTGAATAGTGCCGCAATAAACATACATTTTTTTCCGCACCACACCACACGTATTCCAAAATTGACCACATACTTGGAAGTAAAGCTCTCCTCAGCAAATGTACAAGAACAGAAATTATAACAAACTGTCTCTCAGATCACAGTGCAATCAAACTAGAACTTAGGATTAAGAAACTCACTCAAAACCGCTCAACTACATGGAAACTGAACAACCTGCTTCTGAATGACTACTGGGTACATAACGAAATGAAGGCAGAAATAAAGGTGTTCTTTGAAACCAACGAGAACAAAGACACAACATACCAGAATCTCTGGGACACATTCAAAGCAGTGTGTAGAAGGAAATTTATAGCACTGAATGCCCACAAGAGAAAGCAGGAAAGATCCAAAATTGACACCCTAACATCACAATTAAAAGAACTAGAAAAGCAAGAGCAAACACATTCAAAAGCTAGCAGAAGGCAAGAAATAACTAAAATCAGAGTAGAACTGAAGGAAATAGAGACTCAAAAAACCCTTCAAAAAATTAACGAATCCAGGAGCTGGTTTTTTGAAAGGATCAACTAAATTGATAGACCACTAGCAAGACTAATAAAGAAGAAAAGAGAGAAGAATCAAATAGATGCAATAAAAAATGATAAAGGGGATATCACCACCGATCCCACAGAATTCTTAAAACTTATGGACAGGTTGAAATAACTTTCCATTTGTATTAGGAGTTCTGCTTTTAAAAATTTGACATATTTCTATCTAAACTTTATTCAATCAAAATAACTCAAGTACTTATTACCATAGCAAACTATACTATTGTAGCATTTAAGTTGAGAATAAATAGTGAATACAGTAGTGGTTATTCAAAACAGTCCTCCTAGAATGTAAAATACTTATATATGGTGGGTAAAGCTATCTTTTTAATTAATATGCTAACTTGTTTTTATTCTAAAATATTTCTTCTTAGATATATTTATGGGGTGCAATGTGAGGTTTATGTTTATATTAATTTGTTAAAAGTCTTCTTTTTGAATAATTAGAAAATGAAACAAAATTGAGCATAAATAAGTATGGGTTAGTTTAAAATCAAATTTATTTGAAAAAATAAGTGTAACTATATATATATGATGTTTCATAATTTAGAAGTTTAGGAAATTTATATCTGATTGGGCCTGTTACTAGCTGATTAAGTAGCCAGCACAGGAAGCCAATCAGAGGAGGAAAGTAATCAAAGAAACCTTATAATCTTGATGTTGCTAAATTTTCTGTTTCAGATTTGGGAGGTTTGAGTTGTTGATTCCAATCAAAACTAAAGTTAAATCATTGAAAATATCAACAGCTATTGGATATCTATTATACAGCATTTAAATGATTTTCTCCATTCCTATTGGGAGATTTTATCTGACACATAAGATACATTATGAGCAACCATTATGCCAGATAATTGTAAAATGATAATTTTGCTCAACTTCAACTAATATAGGCATAAACTATTCTTGGCAATCAAAGAACTTAGACACTTTTTAATATTTTATTTTATAAAATCAAATAAATGTATTTTTTCTTATGGTTCTGGCTGCCTCCATTTGTATTCTTCTAAATATTTGATAGGTTGACTTTGCATTTCCTCACTTTTTGTTTCACCTAAATTTACCTTGTAATTCAGGCAAAATATATATTTTTTATGTTCATTAAGAATGTCCCAAAAACCAATAATAGAAAATACTTATACAAAGTTCTCTTATTGATAGACTACTTCAGATGACTGTTTGAGAATTTGTGATGAAATAGAATTAGTATTAAAATAAAGAATAGATTGCCTGATGTAAAATGTAAATCAATACACAGAGACAAATAAGTCTACTTTGTTTTGAAATGTATCTTCATTATCAGATGGATTTTTACAAGAAACAAAAATATCATTGTGCCCAAGGTAAAGCAAAATAATTTTGGTAAATGACATTGTGCAACAGAGAGCAGAGTGTCCCAAAAGGTGAAGAGGCTGGAATTTAAACTGAGTATAAAAAGGGCCAAAGTGATTATTGAGATTTTCAAATTGTTATTTTTCAAGATAATATTTATATCTGCAAAACCAATAGATAGAAATATTATTTTTTAAAATGACATTTTTTACATCATATTGCACTATAATGGAAAGATATTAGGGCTCTCAAGTTTACTATGAAGAACTTGAAATAGAAACCAATAATTGAATTCCATGTAATGAATGCTATTATAAAAGTTTCACAGCAGTGCAGAAATAAAATGGATAATGGGTTCCAGGCCTGAGAAGAAAGCAGAGTTTCATAGTACACAGCTGTTTGAGGAAAAATTAATATGGTCAGAGTATTTATTTATAATAAAATATTGTTCATGCTCACCTTTGGCTTCTATAGTCAGATTTCTTGTATATCAGTCACTAGTCTTACAGAGCTGTTACCTGGCACAAGTAAATTAAACTTGGCAGTTCTTTTATCTGAAACATGGAGACCCAAATTTTACTTAACTCAGAGAATTGTGGCTATTGATTACAATAATATATAAAAAGCATAGAGAATAAAAGCAAGCTCTGGTTTCTTTTCTTATAAAGGTACTAATCCCATCATGAAGGTCCCATATTTATTACCTCATCTTATCCTAATTACATCCCCAAAGCCCAATTTCCAAATACTACCATATAGGTAGATAGAACTTCAAAATGTGAATTTGAATAGAGCACAGACATTCAGTCCATAACAGGGCCTCTAGATGTGCTGAGTTATCACTTTGTGGTCAGCTGTCCAGGGTAATGTCTAAAAGCCTTTCTCATAGGAAAGTGCCTGCTCAACAAAGCTCCTCAAAAGCAATTAAATTGAACTGGTATTTTCAGGAAGATATTAGGGGGCAAAGAATAAGTCTACTACATGTACTAAGAACACAGTTCTAGTTCCCTTAGAGATTTAATTTCTGCCATATTATATGCAGTAAGTCCAACATTTGATTTTTTTGTTAGATAAAAATTAACAGGTAAATTGTTTACGGATAAAATTAATACAATAATTTTTAAAGACAAAGAGGGCACAAAACAATTTAACAAGGAGGAAGTCTGCGTACAGGGTCTAACTACATGCTGCTTGGCCATGTTCTCTGAAGTATTAAAATAATCATGCACAAATAGTATAAAATGTCTGAGTAATTTGGTTTCAGCAAAAATAGCTGTACATAAAAAGAATGCATTATCTAAAGCCTCATGATATAGTTAGAGGAAATATGAAAATTTGTACAGTCCTATCAGACTAAGATGTATGTAGATAACGTGGGTATGATCTGTCTTCTCCTGAAGAAGGAAGTGCTACTGATTGAAATATTTTGAAGAGGTTCTGAGTTAATATGATTTATGGGAAAAATGAGATTTAAAATGCATTGACTCGATAATCATAGGAAATGAAATCTCGGTGCCATTTTAACTGGCCTGAGGAGCTTTAACAAGTTATACCTAGCATATTTGAAACGAAGTAGTGGGAAGTGAGAATATCCTCCTAAGTCAAAGAGAAGCACTGGAACAGTTTTTACTTCAGAAATAAAGTTAAGGACAGGAATTCCAGAAAGTGGAGGAGAAGCTTTATAAATCTGGCCTGATTATAACCTTAACATATTTGGCTACTAGGCTAAAACTCAAACATTAAAATAATCCTGGGTATTCACTCAGGGAGAGAATTTTGTTACATTAATTGAAATGGAATCAGAATTGTGTAGTCTGAAATCCTAGAATACCAAGCTAAAATTTTAAAAAGTTGTGAAAAAGATATGCAACTCAGAGTACCTGAATATATAAAATGAAAATGTAGCTTATAGCACAGCTTCCTAACTGCTTATTACCATGAACAAATATTTATGTTCAATATATAATCAGTAGGAATGCTCCAGATAGTAGAAGATTAGAGGCTATTGCCCATGGGAATCAAAAACTGTAATCAATGAATGCTACTTTGGAACTCATTTCTGTACAGAATTGTCCTGTTATAATCAGTCAGTGGCTATGACTCCAGAAAAATTTGGAATATAAGCTCTAAAGGTGATGTATAATCCTCCTTCTACTTGCTACAGGGGACAAAAAACAGGATATGTCTGGGAAGGAAATACCCTTAATAATGACCAACACTTAATACAAACAAATTACTATGTTGAAATATGCTGATAAAGATGTAATTATGGAATTATTATAGGGTACAGCAAATAAGTGTGAAATAAATATTTTTATAATATTGACCATGTAAATGATTTACTTTGATAATTTAAAAGGATAATCTCTAGTACTCTTTAAAATATATAAAACAACTGCCAAATTTACACAAGATTGACAATAAAGTCACAAATTAGCAATTCAGTCTACTTGCTAAAAGCAATATATTATTTTATAAAGGTTATTCAGTTGTTAAACAACATGAAAATTTCTCTCTGTGAAAAAGTGTCATTTACTTACCTGAAAATATCTTTCCCAATCCAGTTAACCCCTTGGATATTTGAATTATTTGATGACAATAATATATGAAAAGCATAGAGAGAAAAAGCAAGCTCTGGTTTCTTTTCTTATAAAGGTACTAATCCCATCATGATGGCCCTGCCTTTATGACCTCATCTTATCCTAACTACATCCCCAAAGCCCAGTCTCCAAATACTAACATATAGGTAGATCGAACTTCAAAATGTGAATTTGAATAGAGCACAAACATCCTAGAGTACTATTGACACAGTAGTAAGATATTTTGAGGGAACTTACTGGGGATATAATCATTACTGTGGAAGGTTTATAATTTTAAAAAAGCTAATGAGTTAATAAGGTGACTCTACAAAAACACAAGCCAAGAAGTGTATTTCAGTACAGTCACGTGTTGCTTAATAAAGGGGTTAGATTCTCAGAAATTTGTCCTTAGGCAATGTCCTCATGCAAACATTATAGAGTACAATTACACAAAGCTAGCTGGTCTACTAGTACTAGCCTGCTACACACCAAGGCTATATGGTTTAGCCTATTGCTCCTAGGCTACAAACCTGTGCAGCACGTTACTGTACTGAATACTGTAGGCAATTGTAACACAATGGCAAGTATTTTTGTATCTACACATATCTAAATATAGAAAAGGAACAGGGTATGGTGGCTCACTCCTGTAATCTCAGCACACTGGGAGGCCAATGCAGGAAGATCTCTTGAGCCCAGGAGTTCAAGACCAGCCTTGGAAAGAGTGGAAACTCATCTCTACTAAAAATTACAAAAAAAAAAAATTACCTGAACATGGTTGCATGCTGAGTAGTCCTAGCTACTCAGGAGACCAAGGTGGGAGCATCCCTGGAGCCCAGGAGTTCAAGGTTGCAGTGAGCTATGATTGCACCACCGTGGAACTCCAGCCTGGGCAAAAGTGCAAGATCCTATCTTAACATACATACACACACACACACACACACACACAATGTATATAGAAAAGGTACAGTAAAAATGTGGTATTATAATCTTATGGAACTACCATGGTATATCTGGTCCATTTTTTACTGAAACATAATTATGTGACACATGATTATATTGGATTTCAGGAGAGAATGAGACATAATTCTACTTATGAAACACTGAGGAGAAGCATTCGGGCACTCACCCACAATACACCTGGCCTACATTAATATCTGCTAATAATGGTGCTAGTACTGTTTCTATACTATGTAATTGATGTGTGACTGAGACCTTATTGCACTAACTGAACAGGCCAACATCAGCTGGAATTTATGCCCTCACTTGTTTGAGAATGGTCACAGGTTTAATTAACTTTTCTTACCCCAGCAACCAAAGAATCTGACTGGTTCTTCACCTTCATGAGGTTATAAAATTGGCATTTGACTTTCTGACAATGCAAAAACCGGAGAATCACATCACTAACTTGGCAGTTTAGATGCATAAAGACAGAGCCTGTGATCAGTGGTGCAGAAAAAGAAAGAGAGAAAATACTATAAGGAAACTTGTAAGATGACCTAACAGTGGAAGCAACTGAATTCATAAAGCAATAGGAGGCACAAAGATACTAGAAAATTTTTCTAAGTAAAAAGCTCAGTAAGACGTAAGAGCTACAATTACTGAGGATGTGTTTATGCCAACAGGATTATAAATGTTTTACCTGGATTTCTTGATTTAATCTTTGTGTGTGGGACACACCCTGAGCTGACCACCAATGAGTCACATGTTTACATAATCTCCTTCTTTTCATGAAGGCTGAACCTATGACTTGCTGCTAGTCAAGAGAATATGGTAAAGAATATGGAAATCACTGTCGTGACTATTTTAGCTTATATAAGATTCCATTTTGCAGACAGGAATAAGACAGTCTCCAGCTGGTCCTGAAGAGGCAAGTTGTCTTATTAATAGAAGACCCGTGAGATGGCCTGACAAGGCTTCATGGCAGGGAATTATAGGATGTTTTTTGTAGCTGAGAGCAGCTCCAGGATGGTAGCCAGCAAGAAAATAGGAACACCAGTCACACAAAACAAGACACTGAATTCAGCTAACCATCACATGGAGCTTCAAAGAGAGCTCTGAGCTCCAAAAGGAATGCAGCCAAAACAATTGCCTTGTGAAACCCTGAGCAGATCTTGATAAACTGTGCTAGACTCTTGACTTACAGGAACTATAATAATTGTATCTTGTTTTAACCAGCTAAACTTGTGGCAATTTGTTACAAAACAATAGATAATCAACACACCTTAAAACAACTCCATAAATTCAGTCCTGTTATTCTAAATGTGGTAACTGAAGTATAGATGGATTAAATAACCTCATGAAGTTTACACAATTGGTAAATCTTTGAACTAGTATCTGAATCCAGGTAACACCTGGCAGATTAAAAGGCAATGACTTTCTGCAGTCATGATTTCAAGTATAGAAAATTAGAAAATTCACTGTTAAATAATCAGAACTGCTTTTAGTCTACTAATCTGTATGTCCTCTAATTGACTGTGAATTATTTTCTAAATTTCAACAAACCTGTTGGGAAAGTTTTAATTTTTATATCCTCATATCTTCAGTATATACTTACAATAAGCTCCATTTAATTATATTAACCAGAGCATGTTTCTGTTTCCCCGTTGATTTCTTCACATCAGAGTTAGAAACACCCATGGGAAGGTGTATTTATGTTTCACCTGTTGCCCATTGCGATAATAAAAAAAAAACTCGAGCAAAATAAAGTAATTTACACAATTCATATACAAGTATGGAGGAGGCAACTTAATGATCTAAGAATCTCATTTCATCCCTGAGTTTCTCAGATGAACTCCTAGAATTATGGCTAAAAAACAAAATATGATTAAATCTTATCGTCTAGTTTACCCATTAGGTTTTACATAAAGCAAACATTTTACCGTAAGTGCAATAAGAATGGCAACAACTATTTCAGTTTTAGGGATCAAATTAAATATTTTAAATGCAACTGAACTGGCACATTTTTCTACAACTGCAAAGCTGAAATGTTAGGGATTTTGCCATAATTTATTGCATCTAATTATTTTTGAGATTACTGGCATTTTTTGCATCCTAATAGGTATAGTCAGATTAAATTGTATTATTTTCTTAGTAATGAGTATTGGAAAGGATGGTTGTCACAGTCTCTTACTATGGCCTGCAAAGTATGCCACCAAGTTTGAGATATAGAAGATGTTGGGGAAATAATATTTAAGCATTACTGTAAGTCTAAAAACAAAAGGCAGTTTCTCATGACAAATTCTTAAATGACCTTTGATACCTAAATGACAAAAATGATAGTAAATACAGCCTAATTATGTGTTTTATAATTAGGTAATATTAGAATATCTTTGTCACATACATCTAAAAATATTTTAAAACAATAATATAGATTAGAATGGAAATAAGTGCATATTTTATCTCTAATCTTCTATTATGTTCTCAGACTTCCTGCCTTAAAACTTGCAATAATCGGTTATTTTAAAGGTATTTATTACTTCAATTATGGTCGTATGTGGCAGAATATAAAATGTGATCTATAATATACACATTATCCCTTCAAATATATAATATATATTTGGTATATATGTATAAAATAAGAAAACACACTTATGCTATGCAATATAGTACCCATAATAAAACTTTTTATGTGTAAATATTGTACCTTTGACATTAAATCCCAATAGTTATTTCTCCCACACAAATTTCCAATTTTTTTATTATACTTTAAATTCTAGTGTACATTTGCACAACATGCAGGTTTGTTACACATGTATACATGTGCCATGTTGGTTTGCTGCACCCATTAACTCATCATTTACATTAGGTATTTCTCCTAATGTTATCCCTCCCCCATCCCCCCACCCCACAACAGGCCCCAGTGTGTGATGTTCCACACCCTGTGTCCAACTGTTCTCATTGTTCAGTTCCCACCTATGAGCGAGAAACTGCAGTGTTTGGTTTTCTGTCCTTGCGATAGTTTGCTCAGAATGATGGTTTCCAGCTTCATCCATGTCCCTACAAAGGGCATGAACTCATCCTTTTTTATGGCTGCATAGTATTCCATAGTGTATATATGTGCCCATTTTCTTAATCCAGTCTATCATTGATGGACATTTGGGCTGGTTCCAAGTCTTTGCTATTGTGAATAGTGCCACAACAAATATATGTGTGCATGACTCTTTATAGTAGCATGATTTATAATACTTTGGGTATATACCCAGTAATGGGATGGCTGGTTCAAATGGTATTTCTAGTTCTCGATCCTTGAGGAATCGCCACACTGTCTTCCACAATGGTTGAACTAGTTTACAGTCCCCCCAACAGTGTAAAAGCATTCCTATTTCTCTACATCCTATCCAGCACCTGTTGTTTCCTGACTTTTTAATGATCCCCATTCTAACTGGTATGAGATGCTATCTCATTGTGATTTTGATTTCCATTTCTCTGATGACCAGTGATGATGAGCATTTTTTCATGTGTCTGCTGGCTGCATAAATGTCTTCTTTTGAGAAGTATCTGTTCATATCCTTTGCCCACTTTTTGATGGGGTTGTTTGATTTTTTCTTATAAATTTGTTTAAGTTCTTTGTAGATTCTGGACACTAGCCCTTTGTCAGATGGGTAGATTGCAAAAATTTTCTCCCATTCTGTAGGTTGCCTGTTCACTCTGATGGTCGATTCTGTTGCTGTGCAGAAGCTCTTTAGTTTAATTAGATCCCATTTGTCAATTTTAGCTTTTGTTGCCATTGCTTTTGGTGTTTTAGACATGAAGTCCTTGCCCATGCCTATGTCCTGAATGGTATTGCCTAAGTTTTCTTCTAGGGTTTTTATAGTTTTAGGTCTAACATTTAAGTCTTTAATCCATCTTGAATTAATTTTTGTATAAGGTGTAAGGAAGGGATCCAGTTTCAGCTTTCTACATATGGCTAGCCAGTTTTCCCAGCACCATTTATTAAATAGGGAATCCTTTCCCCATTTCTTGTTTTTGTCAGGTTTGTCAAAGATCAGATGGTTGTAGAAGTGTGGTGTTATTTCTGAGGGCTCTGTTCTGTTCCATTGGTCTATATGTCTGTTTTGGTACCAGTACCATTCTGTTTTGGTTACTGTAGCCTTGTAGTATAGTTTGAAGTCAGGTAGCATGATGCCTCCAGCTTTGCTCTTTTGGCTTAGGATTGACTTGGCAATGCGGGCTCTTTTTTGGTTCCATATGAACTTCAAAGTAGTTTTTTCTAATTCTGTGAAGAAAGCCATTGGTAGCTTCATGGGGATGGCATTGAACCTAGAAATTACCTTGGACAGTATGGCCATATTCACGATTTTGATTCTTCCTATCCATGAGCATGGAATGTTTTTCCATTTGTTTGTGTCCTCCTTTATTTCATTGAGCAGTGGTTTGTAGTTCTCCTTGAAGAGGTCCTTCACATCCTTTGTAAGTTGGATTCCTAGGTATTTTATTCTCTTTGTAGCAATTGTGAATGGGAGTTCATTCATGATTTGGCTCTCTGTTTGTCTGTTGTTGGTGTATAAGAATGCTTGTGATTTTTGCACATTGATTTTGTATCCTGAGACTTTGCTAAAGTTGCTTATCAGCTTAAGGAGATTTTGGGCTGAGACGATGGGGTTTTCTAAATATACCATCATGTCTTCTGCAAACAGGGACAATTTGACTTCCTCTTTTCCTAATTGAATACGCTTTATTTCTTTCTCTTGCCTGATTGCCCCGGCCTGAACTTCCAACACTATGTTGAATAGGAATGGTGAAAGACGGCATCCCTGTCTTGTGCCAGTTTTCAAAGGGAATGCTTCCATTTTTTTGCCCATTCAGTATGATACTGGCTGTGGGCTTGTCATAAGCAGTTCTTATTATTTTGAGATACAATCCATCAATACCTAGTTTATTGAGAGTTTTTAGCATGAAGTGTTGTTGAATTTTGTCAAAGGCCTCCTCTGCATCTATTGAGATAATCATGTAGTTTTTATCATTGGTTCTGTTTATGTGATGGTTTACTTTTATTGATTTGCATATGTTGAACCAGCCTTGCATCCCAGGGATGAAACCAACTTGATCTTGGTGGATAAGCTTTTTGATATGCTGCTGGATTCAGTTTGCGAGTATTTTATTGAGGATTTTTGCATCGATGTTCATCAGGAATATTGGTCTAAAATTCTCTTTTTTTGTGTGTCTCTGCCAGGCTTTGGTATCACAGTGATACTGGCCTCATCAAATGAGTTAGGGAGGATTCCCTCTTTTTCTGTTGATTGGGATAGTTTCAGAAGGAATGGTACCAGCTCCTCTTTTTACCTCTGGTAGAATCCGGCTGTGAATCTGTCTGGTCCTGGACTTTTTTTGGTTGGTAGGCTACTAATTATTGCCTCAATTTCAGAGCCTGTTATTGGCCTATTCAGGGGGTCAACTTCTTCCTGGTTTAGTCTTGGGAGGGTGTATGTGTCGAGGAATTTATCCATTTCTTCTAGATTTTCTAGTCTATTTGCGTAGAGGTGTTTATAGTATTCTCTGATGGAAGTTTGTATTTCTGTGGGATTGGTGGTGATATCCCTTTTATCATTTTTTATTGTATCTATTTGATTCTTCTCTCTTTTCTTCTTTATTAGTTTTGCTAGTGGTCTATCAATTTTGTTGATCTTTTCAAAAAACCGGCTCCTGGATTCATTGATTTTTGAATGGTTTTTTGTGCCTCTGTCTGCTTCAGTTCTGCTCTGATCTTAATTATTTCTTGCCTTCTGCTAGCTTTTGAATGTGTTTGCTCTTGCTTCTCTAGTTCTTTTAATTGTGATGTTAGGGTGTCGATTTTAGATCTTTCTTGCTTTCTCTTGTGGGCATTTAGTGTTGTAAATTTCCCTCTACACACTGCTTTAAATGTGTCCCAGGGATTCTGGTATGTTGTGTCTTTGTTCTCATTGGTTTCAAAGAACATCTTTATTTCTGCCTTCATTTCGTTATGTACCCAGTAGTCCTTCAGGAGCAGGTTGTTCAGTTTCCATGTAGTTGGGCGGTTTTGAGTGAGTTCCTTAATCCTGAGTTGTAAGTTGATTGCACTGTGGTCTGAGAGACAGTTTGTTGTGATTTCTGTTCTTTTTCATTTTCTGAGGAGAGCTTTACTTCCAACTATGTGGTCAATTTTGGAATAAGTGCAATGTGGTGCTGAGAAGAATGTATACTCTCTTGATTTGGGGTGGACAGTTCTGTAGATGTCTATTAGGTCTGCTTGTTGCAGACCTGAGTTCAAGTCCTGGATATCCTTGTTAACCTTCTGTCTCATTGATCTGTCTGATATTTACAGTGGGGTGTTAAATTCTCCCTATACTATTTTGTGGGAGTCTAAGTCTCTTTGCAGGTCTCTAAGGACTGCTTTATGAATCTGGGTGCTCCTGTATTGGGCACATGTATATTTAAGACAGTTAGCTCTTCTTGTTGAATTGATCCTTTACCATTATGTAATGCCCTTCTTTGTCTCTTTTGACCTTTGTTTTTTTAATGTCTGTTTAATCAGAGACTAGGATTGCAACCCCTGGTTTTTTTTTCTTTCCATTTGCTTGGTAGATCTTCCTCCATCCCTTTATTTTGAGCCTATGTGTGTCTCTGCATATGAAATGGGTCTCCTGAATACAGCGCACTAATAGCGCTGATGGGTCTTCACTCTTTATCCAGTTTGCCAGTCTGTGTCTTTTAATTGGGGAATTTAGTCCATTTACATTTAAGGTTAATATGTTATGTGTGAATTTGTTCCTGTCATTATGATGTTAGCTGGTTATTTTGCCCTTTAGTTGATGCAGTTTCTTCCTAGCGTCAATGGTGTTTACAATTTGGCATGTTTTTGCAGTGGCTTGCACTGGTTTTTCCTTTCCGTGTTTAGTGCTTCCTTCAGTAGCTCTTGTAAGGCGGGCCTGGTGGTGACAAAACCTCTCAGCATTTGCTTGTCTGTAAAGGATTTTATTTCTCCTTCACTTATGAAGCTTAGTTTGGGTGTATATGAAATTCTGGGTTGAAAATTATTTTCTTTAGGAATGTTGAATATTGGCTCTCACTCTCTTCTGACCTGTAGAGTTTCTGCCGACAGATCTGCTATTAGTCTGATGGGCTTCCCTTTGTGTGTAACCCGACCTTTCTCTCTGACTACCCTTAACATTTTTTCCTTCATTTCAACCTTGGTTAATCTGACAATTATGTGTCTTGGGGTTGCTCTTCTCGAGGAGTATCTTTGTGGTGTTCTCTGTATTTCCTGAATTTGAATGTGGCCTGACTTGCTAGGTTGGGGAAGTTCTCCCGGATAATATACTGAAGAGTGTTTTCCAGCTTAGTTCCATTCTCCCCGTCACTTTCAGGTACACCAATCAAATGTAGATTCGGTCTTTTCACATAGTCCCATATTTCTTGGAGGCTTTGTTTGTTTCTTTTTACTCTTTTTTCCTCTAAACTTCTCTTCTAGCTTCATTTCATTCATTTGATCTTCAATCACTGATACCCTTTCTTCCACTTGATCGAATCAGCTACTGAAGCTTGTGCATGTGTCACATAGTTCTCCTGCCATGGTTTTCAGCTCCATCATGTCATTTAACGTCTTCTCTACACTGTTTATTCTAGTTTGCCATACATCTAATCTTTTTTCAAGGTTTTTAGCTTCCTTGTGATGGGTTTGAACATCCTCCTTTAGCTCAGGGAAGTTTGTTATTACTGACTTTCTGAAGCCTACTTCTGTCAACTCCTCAAAGTCATTCTCCATCCAGCTTTGTTCCATTGCTGGCAAGGAGCTGCAATCCTTTGGAGGAGAAGGCGCACTCTGGTTTTTAGAATTTTCAGCTTTTCTGCTCTTGTTTCTCCCCATCTGTGTGGTTTTATCTACCTTTGGTCTTTGATGATCATGACCTACAGATGGGGTTTTGGTGTGAATGTCCTTTTTGTTGATGTTAGTGGTATTCCTTTCTGTTTGATAGTTTTCCTCCTAACAGTCAGGTCCCTCAGCTGCAAGTCTGTTGGAGTTTGCTGGAGCTCCACTCCAGATGCTGTTTGCCTGGGTATCACCAGCAGAGGCTGCAGAACAGCAAATATTGCAGAACAGCAAATATTGCTGCCTGATCCTTCCTCTGGATGCTTCATCTCAGAGGGGCACCAGCTGTATGAAGTGTCAGTCAGCCCTTACTTGGAGGTGTCTCCAAGTTAGGCTACACGGGGTCAGGGTCCCACTTGAGGAGGCAGTCTATCCATTCTCAGAGCTCAAACACCATGCTGCAAGAACCACTGCTCTCTTCAGAGCTGTCAGAGAGGGATGTTTAAGTCTGCAGAAGTTTCTACTGCCTTTGTTCAGCTATGCCCTGCCCCCAGAGGTGGAGTCTACAGAGGCAGGTGAGCCTCGCTGAGCTGTGGTGGGCTCCACCGAGTTCAAGATTCCTGGTCACCTTGTTTGCCTACTCAAGCCTCAGCAATGGTGGATGCCCCTCCCCAGCCAGGCTTGCTGCTTGGCAGTTCGATCTTGGACTGCTGAGCTAGCAAGTGAGCAAGGCTCTGTGGGCATGGGACCAGCTGAGCCATGCATGGGATATAATCTCCTGCTGTCCCATTTGCTAAGACCATTGGAAAAGTGCAGTATTTAGGTGGCAGTGTCCCGATATTCCTGGTACAGCCTGTCACGGCTTCCCTTGGCTAGGAAAGGGAAATCCCCCAACCCCTTGCACTTCCCAGGTGAGGTGATGACCCACCCTGCTTTGGCTCACCCTCTGTGGGTTGCACCCACTGTCCAACCAGTCCTAATGAGTTGAACCAGGTACCTCAGTTGGAAATGCAGAAATCACCTGTCTTCTGTGTCAATCACACTGGGAGCTGCAGACTAGAGCTATTCCTATTCTGCCACCTTGGAACAGAACAATTTCCAATGTTTTAGGGAATAATTCTATTACCATTTATTTAGTAATGTGTCTCAAGTACTTTGCTAGTTATTTAGTATCCATAATCTTAATAATAACACTAGAAAATAATGGAAAGTTTCAAAAATTTGCCTAAATAAATACATTTTATAGCAGAAATTCATATTCTGGCTTGGATTACTTCAGATCCATTCTCTTTTATCTTAATCTGTACTGCCTTATAGAGTAACTTTCTCTTTAATAGTTTAAAAACAACCACAACTACAACAGCATAAGTTGTTTAATAAAATCAGAACATATTAAGGTTGTCTGATTTGGAGAGAGTAAAAAGTACTTTGCTCAATTTTATTTCATCCGCTCGGTTATAATTATTTTATCCAGAAAAGTACTTTAAAATAAGATTCTACTGTTTGTTTTAAATTTCAGACAGTTCAGGAAGAGAATTAGGTCATTTGTTTTATATGCACACATTGATTAGAGTCATCTCTTTTGTGTATGACTCCTGTGTACTTACTCAATTTTTATATTCCTAGCTAGAAAAAAAATCTTCTTCACAGCAGGAATTGTGTAAAAATTTTAATTCAAATCTTCTTCACAGCAAGAATTGTGTAAAAATTTTAATTCAAAACTTTATCTAGCATAGAGCCTGGCTTGCATTAATATAGCCACTTCCCCATTCTTTTAATTCACATTTGCATCCTTTTCATCCTTTTGTTTTTAATTATTCATATTTTTAGGTTTAAAGTATGTTTCTTGAAGGCAGCATATAGGTGGGTCTTGGTTTTTTATTCTGTCTAACATTCTCTGCCTCTTAATTGAGACATTTGGTCCATTTACATTTAATGTCATTATTGTATGGATATATTTACTATGTTTCTATTAATTTTATATGTTTCTGATTTCTTTTCTATTTTTATCCATTTTTAGATTGAGGATTATTTATATAATTCCATTTCCATTTTACTTTTCCTATTTCTCAGTAGATATAATTCATTGTTTTATTTCTAGTGTTTGTTTTAGGACTTATAAAATACATATTAACTTACTATAGTCAACTTAGAGTAATTCTTACTAGTCTTCTTACAGGACTCCCAATATATCTGTTAGTATGCTTTCCAGTGCCCCAGAGGTCTCTGAGGATGTGTTCATTCTCTTTATTCATTTTCTTATGTTCCTTTGATTTCATCTCAACTGACCTATCTTAGGGTTTGCTGATTCTTTCTTCTACCAGCTCATAGCTATTGTTGATCCCCTCTAGTGAATTTTTAGTTTCTGTTATGTTCCTTTTCAAATCCAACATTTTTACTTTATTGTTTTTAATAACTTCTATATCTCTATTGATATTTTCCAATGTGCACAATATTGTTCTCATATATTCCTATAATTCTTTATACCTAGTGTATTAGTCCATTGTCACACTGCAATAAAAATACTACTCAAGACTGGGTAATTTATAAGCAAAGGAGGTTTAATTGACTTACAGTTCTGCACGGCTAGGGATGCTTCAGGAAACCTGCAATTATGGTGGAAAGGAACCAGGCACCTTCTTCACAAGGTGGCAGGAGAGAGAGCAGAGAGAGCAAAGAGGGAAGAGCCCCTTTAAAAAGCCCCCTAAAAAGAGCCACTTATGAATAGCCCATTAAAATCCCCTTATAAAGGGCCCCTTTTGAAGAGCCCTTTATAATTAGCTCTCATGAGAACTCACTCACTATCACGAGACCAGCATGGGGAAAACCGCCCTCATGATCCAGTCACCTCCCACCAGATCCCTCCCTGGACACGTGGGGATTATCAGGATTACAATTTGAGATGAGATTTGGGTGTGGAGACATGGAACCAAAATTTTTTATTTTATAAAAATAAAAAATATTTATAATAGCTGATTTACATTATTCTAAAAATTAACCCAACATTTGTCTTTCTTAATGGACAACTTTTATTGAGTGCTTTTTTCCCCATACATAGACCATACCTTTCTCTGTCTGTGCTTTTCTTATGATTGTTGTTGCTGCTGAAAACTGCACATTTAAAATAATATAATGTGGCACCTCTATGTGGGGAAACTAAAGATTCCTCCCTTCCCCTTCTTCCTCCACTGTCCAGGATTTATTTTGTTGCTATCTTTGCTTTTGCTGCTGCTGTTTGATTGTGTAGGGACTTTCATGGCCTAATTTCTTAAAGTCACTGTTTTATGTTGTCTGTGACCATTGACGTTTCCACTTCATTAGGTTAGTGGTCAGCTAATGATTCAATAAAGATTCTCTTAAATGCTTTAAGCCAATAAGTCTCTCATTCTCTGTTAAGGGTCTCTGTTTGTATGTTGGGGCAAGTTTTCAATACTTGGGCAGTTTACAATTCTGCCTTAACCATTACTTCCTGCTTGTGAAAAACCTCAGGATCAACCAGAATTGAGAGAACAGTGCTTCTCAGGTTATTTTTCTGGGTACACACAATGCTCCCTGTATGTGTCAACTTTAGATTCCCTTGTATATGTTGGGGTACTCAGAGTCCCCTGTGGACATCTCATTTTGTAAAATGTAGTTTTAAATTTGTGGGTAGGCCCTTGCCTCAGTTGGTATCACTGCCCCCAGATAACTGCCATTTTAAATAATTACCACTAATTATTTTCAACTTATATATGACATATGTCCAAACACCAACATATGTCTGGTGGTGTTTACCCTGAGTGAGCTCTGAGTGAAGTCATAAATGGGACATTTGTAGGGAGCTAACAGACAGGTCAAATAGTGAAAATTCTCTGGTGACAAGAATTTTAGTAGAACTTGAATCTTATTTGGATGCCTCCATTTTCTGCTAGGTTGCTTGTATTCAAAGCTACAATGATTGAAAGACTGCTGATTTTCAATGTTTCACATAGCTGGGGAGAAATGGATGGAGATGGGCTAAATTAAAACACCACAAAGCTCAATCTTCCTAAATATATTAATCTAATTTTGTTTGACAAATGTTTCATACATTGTTCTCAGACTGGTGTTAACTTTTAGAGTTCTGAAATAGCTGGCTTTTAACAATTTTGCCAATGTTCTTTTTGCTTTTATGGACAAACAAATTTTCAGATGATCATATTCTGTCATTGTGGAAGCATTTATGTCCATATGTATTTTTGAAAGATATTTTTGACTTGATATAGAATTCTAGATGAAATTCTTAAAAAAATTAATACTAGTAGTTTTCTGTCAGTTCTTTAAAATATTGGCCCATTGTCTTTTCAACTTGCATTGTTTCCATCAAGAAGTCTGCTGTCATTTATATCTTTGTTCATTGATACATTTTAAAAAAAACTGATAACTTTTAATGCTTACTGTAAATATAACCCGTTTTAAGTCAGATGGACCTGTTGTTAGTTACTATTCTTTATGTTACCTATGCTTGAGTTTGTTTTGGATCTTAGAAAATGTAGGAAATTCTAGTAATTTTCCTAAACAAAGACATTGCATAGCAGAAATAGAAACTCTGGCTTAGATTACTGCATATCCATATTCTTGGTCCTGATCTATGATGTTTATATTCATGTTTTTATTAATTTTGAACAGGTTTGGTTGTTTTCTCAAGTATATGTATTTTTCTGCTTTCCCCTTCTTCAGAGACTCTACACAATTATTAGGCCAATTGAAGCTGTTCCATGGAGTTCACTAATGCTCTGCTTCATAACTTTTGTTTCTATGAACCAGGTTCACTAATCTTTTGTTCTGAAGTGTCTAATTTGTTGTTAATCCTATCAAAAGTAGTTTTCACTTGAGACATTGTAGTTTTGGCTCTGGGAGTTTTGTTTTTTATAGCTTTCTTGTTTATGTTTAATTTTCTCACTCTTTTCTGTCAGTTTTTGATGAAGTGAAATATAATAATAATAGCTGGTTTAATATACTTGTCTACTAATTCTCTCATTCCTGTCATTTTTAGATTTGTTTCTATTAATTTTTCTTCTCGTTATAGTTGCATTTTATTGCTTTCTTGAATTTCTAGAAATATTTTATTGGGTGCAAGATATTGTAATTTTTTAAACTTGTTTATGCTACATGTTTTGTATTCTCATTAATATTCTTGAGCTTTGTCCCAGAATATTGTTAAATTATTTTAAACACTTTTATTATTGTGAGTCTTGCTTTTAAGGTTTGTTACATGGTGCTGGTACAGCTTTTAGTCATGGGCTAATTTTGTCACACTACTGAGGCATAATATTTGTTAGTGTTTTACCTGGTGCTCCCTCAATTACCATTTTTTAAATATTATTATTAATGGCAAATAAATTATTTCTAGACCTGTGTGAACTCTTAGGTTTTTTTCACTCTAAATATTTCACATGAGACTTTCTATGACCTAGTGTAGTTTCCTCAAATAGATGGGTTACTCTGAAATTAGTAGTGACTTGAGGAAATCCTCTGCTTGAATACAGAGCTCTCTATACAGGCTTATCATCACTAGTACTCTTTCCTGAAGACTTTTGCTGCCTATACTCCTTGGATTCCTGCATTGATCTCTTAACCTTAGTCCATGTCTTCGCCTTATTTCACTTTCCCTGAATGTTGGTGTGTATATACAGATACTTCCCCATTTACCAATAAAATTACGTCACAATAAACCACTCATAAGTTGATAATGTAAAATAAAAATGTATTCAATACACCTAAACTACCAAACATTGCAGCTAAGCCTAGCCTACCTTAAAAGCATACAGAACACTTACATTAGCCTACAGTTGAGTAAAATCACATGGCAACACAGTACACTTTAGAATCTGTAGAGTATTAGTTGTTTACCTTTATAATCACATGGCTGACTGTGAGCTGCATCCTGCCACCACTGCCAAACATTGCAAGAAAGTATCATACTGCATATCACCAGCCTGAGAAAAAATCAAAATTCAAAATTTAAAATGTGGTTTCTAAAATGCATATGGCTTTTCCATCACTGCAAAGTTGAAAAATTGTTAAGTCAACTTAGTTGCAGCTGGGCACAGTGGCTCATGCCTGGAATCCTCATATTTTTGGAGACTGAGGTAGGAGGATCACTTGAGCCCAGGAGTTCAAGAGCAGCCTGGACAACATAGTGAGACCTGTCTGTACAAAACTATAAAAAATTAGCCAGCCATGGTGGTGTGCACCTGTAGTCCCAGCTACTCAGGAGGCTGAAGTGGGAGGATCACATGAGTCCAAGAAATCAAGGATGCAGTGAGCTTTGATCATGCCACTGCACTCCAGCCTGGGCAACAGAGTGAGACTCTATCTCAAAACCAACCAACCAGCCAACCGATCAAACAAACAAAAAAGCAAACATTATAATTCAGGAACCATCTATACTCTCAATATAGTAAGTTGTGGTCACTCATAGAGTTCATCTCTTTTATTTCCACTCTCTCAGGAATCAGTGTCCTGTGCAGCCTTTTGTTTCAATATGCAAAAACAATTATTTCAAGTATTTTGTCCAGATGTCTATTTGTTTCAAGTAGGAGGATACATTCACCCTATGTTATAGCACTTTCTCCAGAAGCAAACATCACTTCATTATATTTATATCTATTTTTTAATTTAAAAAATTTGAATGTGTACTATTTTTTTATTTCACAAATAAATACCATTGAAAAATGATTGGGTACTATATAAAATTATAATTTTTTAAATTTTATTTTTGTAGATTTAGAGGGTATAGTGTAGTTTTGTTACATGGACATATTAGTTCATTCTCACGTTGATATGAAGACATACCATACCTGAGACTGGGTAATTTATAAAGAAGCTATATTTAATATAGCAGCAGTCTGTACAGGCTTTTGCTTCTGGGGAAGCCTTAGGAAACTTACAATCACAGTAGAAGCCGAAGGGGAAGCAAGTGTGTCTTACATGGTGGGAGCAGGAGGAAGAGAGAGAGAAAGGGGAGTTTCTGTACACTTTTAAACAATCAGATCTCATGAGAACTCATTCATTACCACAAGAAGAATAAGGGAAAAATCTGCCTCCATGATTCAATCACCTCCCACAAGACTCCTCCTTCAACACTGGGGATTAGAATTCAGCTTGAGATTCTGGTGGGAACACATAGCCAAATCATATCAATGGATGTACTATGTAGTGTTGAAGTATGGGCTTGTAGCGTTATCCATCATACAACTAGTGAATATTGTACCCAATAGGTAATTTTTTAACCACCATCCCCCTCCCACCTTATAGAATCTCCAATGTCTCCTATTCCATTTTCCATATCCATGTGTACACATTGTTTATTTCCATCTAATAAGTAAGAACATGCAGTATTTGGTAATCAGTTTCTAAATTATTTCTTATAAGATAATGGCCTCCAATTCCATTCATGTTGTTGCAAAAGACATAATTTTATTATTTTTATGGCTGAATAGTATTCCAGGATATGTGTGTGTGTGTGTGTGTGATATTTTATCTAATTCTCGACTGATGGACACTTAGGTTGATTCCATAACTTTGCATTGTAAATAGTGTTGCCATAAACATAATAGCACAGGTGTATTTTTAATACAATAATTTATTTTCCTATGAGTAATTACCCAGCAGTGGGATTTCCAGATCAGAGGGTAGTTCTATTTTTAGTATTTGAGAAATCTCCATACTGTTTTCCATAGAGGTTGTAGTAATTTACATTCTCACTAACAGTGTATAAGTGTTCCTTTTTCTTTGCATCCTCACCAACATCTGTTGATTTTTTAATAATAGTCATTCTGACTTGTGTATGATTAGTGATTAGTGATGTTGAGCATTTTATTCACGTTTCTTGGCAACTCATTTTAATTCATTTATTTCTTCAACAATTACATATCACTTTTCTAAATTTAGGTTTATTCTAAAGTAACTATCAGAGGATTTTTACAAGGTTTTTTCCCTTAATAAGTTTGCAAGCTAGTGGAAAAACCAGACAAGTATATCAAGAAATATTTTTAGGTTATTCCTGCCAGGGGAAACAGAATAAGTATATGCTATAATGTTGATGTTTTATTTTCCCTTTCACTAGCTAGTAGTATTTTTTAACAGATGAAATATATTATACTAAGAGTATCTTTCAAAAGAATAAACTAAGCTGTATAAAAAAAGGCCAAAAAAGAAAAGAGCATATATGGGCACAGGAGACAGAGTGAGGCAGTATGAAAAATAACCTTATGTTACTGTTGTATAGAATATTTGAAGGACAGTATAAGGAAACAAAGCTTCAGGAGAAAGGAAAATAATATTGAGAAGCATAATATCACTTTTTGGTGTTGAGAGTACATTTGTGAACAGTGAAGACCATGAAAAGAGGGAGAGAATCAGAATTATGTGGAGGTGCAAGTATTTTGTCAAGCTGGTGTAGTATGAGATATACCCACAGTAGGGAGACCAACTGACATGTAATGTAACTAAGATTTCTTGAAGATCTCATCCTGAGATACTATGAGAGAATGACATTATCAATAAAATAAAAGATTAAGGAGTTGAAGAAAGTTTAAAAGGGAAAATTTAGTTTAGTTATATTGAAAACAAGACATATATATCTAGATATAGAGATATAGTTGTTCTGTTATATCCACGGAAGATTGGTTCCAAGACTCCTGTAGATACCAAAACCCATAAATGTTCAAGTTCCTTATATGAAATGATGTAGTATTTGCATACAACCTATGCATATCCTCTCATGTACATTAAGTCATCTCTAGATTACTTATAATACCTAATACAACTCTATGTAAATAGTTGTTAGATGCATTATTTTTATTTGTATTATATTTTATTGTTACTTTTATTATTTTTCTAATTATTTTATTGTTATATAATATTTGTACATATTTATGTGGTACATGTGATATTTTGGTACATGCATAGAAAGTGTAATGATCAAGTCAGGGTATTTAGGTTATCTATCATTGCAAACATTTGCCATTTCTTTGTGTGGGGAACATTTCAAATTTCTTTTAGCTGTCTTCAAATATACAATATATTGTCAACTATAGTCACTCTACTGTGCTATTTAATATTAAAACTTATTCTATCTAACTGTATGTTTGTGCCCATTAATCTACCTCTTTTTATCCCCCACCACAGACGCACACCCTCCCCAGCCTCTGGTAACCACCATTCTACTCACTATTTCCATGAGATCAATTTTTTAACTCTCATGTATGAGTGAGAACATGATATATTTATCTTTCTGTTCCTGGCTTAATTCACTTAACATAATCACCTCCAGTTCCATCTATGTTGCTCGAAATGACAAAATTTCATTCACTGTTATGACCAAATAGTATTCAGTTGTGTATTTATACACCACATTTTCTTTACCTATTCATCTGTTGATGAACAGATTGTTGTATATTTTTGCTATTTTGAATGGTGTGGCAATAAACATGGAGGTGCAAGTATCCTTCTGATATACTGATTTACTTTCCTTTGGATAAAATACCCAGTAGTGAGATTGTTCTATCTTGTGCTAGTTTTAATTTTTAATTTTTGGGGAAATCGCCATACTATTTTCCAGAATGGCTATACTAATTTTCATTCCCACTAACAGTGTATAAGAATTCTTTCTTTTCATCTTTGCCACCATTAGTTATTTTTTGTCATTTGGATAATAGCAATTCTAACTTGGATAAGATGATATCTCATTGTGGTTTTGATTTGCATTTCCCTGAAGTTAGTGATATTGAGTATTTTTAAATATACCTGTTGACCACTTGTATGTATTCCTTTGAGAAATGTCCATTCAGATCCTTTGCCCACTTTTTAATGGGATTATTTGTTTTTTTGCTATTATGTGAGTTCCTTACATATTCTGGGTATTAGTTCTTTGCCAAATGAATAGTTTGCAAGTATTTCCTTTCATTCACCACGTTTTCTCTTCACATTGTCGATTGTTTCATTTGCTATGCAGAAATTTTTTGCTTTAATATAGTTCCATTTGTCTATTTGGGGTTTTGTTGCTTGTACTTTGAGTGTTAGCCATAAAATCTTTGCCTAGAGCAAAGTACTGGAGCATTTCCCCTAGGTCTTCTTCTAATATTTTATTGTTTTAGTTTTTTTTTTTTTCAATTATTTTTTTGTGAGACGGAGTCTAGCTCTGTCTTCCAGGCTGGAGTGCAGCGGCAGGATCTCCGCGCACTGCAAGCTCCGCCTCCCGGGTTCATGCCATTCTCCTGCCTCAGCCTCCAGCATAGCTGGGACTACAGGCATCTGCCACCACGCCTGGCTAATTTTTTGTATTTTTAGTAGAAACGGGGTTTCACCGTGTTAGCCAGGATGGTCTTAATCTCTTGATGTTTTAGGTCTTATTTTTAAGTGGTTTATCCATTTTGTGTTTTTTAGTGGTGAGACTCGAGATGTCCAATTTCATTCTTCTGCATATTAATGAACACTTTCAATTTGGAGTTGGTTGAATCTGTGGATGGTTGAATCTGTGGATGCAGATCGCAATGATAAAGCAAGTTACTCAAATACATAGCTACTATGAAGACAACGTTAGATTGTTAAAATTGCACAAATACTAAATCTATCTAAAAAATTACGTGAAACTATTACAAAACTAATCAAGATTAGGTCAGTTTGTAGAGAAAAAATGACTACTAACTTGCTCTCAGTGTTTGCTTTGACCTCAGTTTAATTTTTAGCGAACTAACCAACCTGTTTCAGTCCATGAGGAGAGTGACTTAAGGGAATAGTAAATATTTTTAAAATACAGTCCATTGCTGTAGTTATGTAATCAATGTATTTTAATTGCTAAAATTATTTTTTTTTGCTAGATACGATTTTCTCCAGTGTCATGTTCTTGTTAGTCAAACACAACAAATAACAGGTTTTTGAGAAGTAAGATTTGTGTAGGTGGACTAAAAGTGAAAGGCTTCTGTCCCTCTACTACTCTTCTAAACATTTATTCCCCTGTCTAAATGGTTTGCAATATCAAAAGATTGATAGATATGTGGATACATATGTTTACTTTTCTCTCTCTGGGCTTTTGTTTGTCCAAAGGTTGTGACAAACATTTTGAGAGAAAACTGTTTTCGTTGAACTTGGAGAAGAAAAAAAAAAAAAGAAACCCTGTTAACTTTGATGAAAGTCAGTTTATACAAACAGCATACAGCATACAGAAATAAATGAGTAGCATGTACTGTGTAAAATGTTGATATTTTTGAAGAAGATTTATATTGTTTTCAGTATTTCAAGAATATCAAAACTGACATGATACATTTTCTGCTCATGATATAGCAACTCTTACATGAACTACACTTGTGAAATATCCTCACAAATGTCAACGTTCACTATTGCACTTTCTTCTTGCTCTCATTCTTACAAGGGTTTTAATTTAATGTTACTTACGGTTACCTATGTTTACTTATGCTTATTCTGCTATTGCTTTTAACAAAAGATTGATTTAAGGGTTGTTCTAGTAGATTATTAATTTGTCTAATCTAGAATTATTCTTTTTGCAAAACACAGATATCTACTCAACAATCACAAGTATAAAGGGAAAGAAGCCATTGTTGCAAGTACAGCAGGGGTTTTATAACTACATGTAGAAATTGTAAAGCTTGTAAGTTTCCAAAGCTGCTAGCAACAAATATGGATGCTATACTCTAAATGATATCAGATCATTACTTAAGTTCTCAATGAATACTGGTTGCAGAACAAAATAATCACCACTCAAGGCATTGTGTACATAGCTCTATTCTGGAAGCAAATAAAGTTTATGAGCTTGAATACTACAACTGACTAGAATTTTGTAGACATTCTACAACTTTCTTACTGGAGCCTTGCTTAAAAGATCAAGCTAAATTAAATACTCTATTGGTAATAAATGCTTCTCCAGTTTTGCAAGAGTCTCTCACAATAGTGGGTTTCATCATTCATTGATTCTCTTGCTGTGGTATCTGACCAGACTGAGCCTGATCTATTCTAGTTTTGATTAGAGTGTGTCCATAAATTTATGGAAAAAATGTTGAGATTAGATAAGTTTGGGAAAATACTAAAATGTCATCTCTCCAGGATTTCACAGGGTCATGGATTTGATGTGATTTGTTATTCTCATTTTTTTATGTTCCCAATTTGCAGAATATCTCATAGGATTAGCGTTCTTTGGAATGCATTTTGGTCAATGATGCTCCAGCTCTGTTTAAAAGAGTTAACCTTATTTCTCCCAAATTATGGTATTAGTTTATTAGCCATTCCTCCCACACTCAAGCATATCAAACTGTTTTTTTCTTAACAAAATATGAGGCTAGATTTCTTGGGAAACTTGGTAGAAAATGAGCAATTGAGTTTAATACCGGGTTTCCATTGTTAGTTACTTTTATCACCTCAGAGATATTTGCTGTTTCAAGGTGTTAAGTTTTGGGACAATTTATTACACAACAATAAATCACTAATGTACCTGTCTTCTTAAGCACCCTCCAACCCCTTAAACTACAGTAAACTGCTTTAATATTTTTTCAGTCAAATATTTTCATAGCCTTTTAGTATAGAGTTCTGGGATATGTTGCTGCTTCAGAATCCCAGTCATTTTTTTGAGTGATATATCAATTAGAAGTGACTTGATTATCCTTTTCAGTATATTGCCCTAGTATATTGTTCACTGTAATGAGAGAAAGTAAACCCTTCTTTTTGCTCACTGGACTGTCAAAATAATGGATCTATCCTCAATTAACCATATATAATACCTATATTCTAGATACAGCAATTTCAGTAATACTGCCAATTGTTTTTTTCTTTTTAGATACATTTTATATAAACAAGATGATATACTCTAATACACCTTATGAATCTAAGTAATAAAATAATACCCATAATCCCAATACCAAAAGAAATAGAATATTACTTCATAAGATTACAAGTTTCGATGGGTCTGACTCTTATACAACTTAGGGGAAATTTTCTAAGAAAAGTGTACACAATTTCCAAAATTAAATTAGATAGAAGGATCTTGAAGGAAATGATCCAAGTGAGGAACTTCATAAACTCCACAGTGAATCTACCTATGGACCTATGGACTGCATCAATACTATTTAATGAGCCTCAGGGTTTTTCTTTACAGTGGAAATTTTGTTTACCTTTTCCTAATTAACTTCATAATTTAAACATATATATATATATTTTTGCAAATATATTGTTTAACTTCACTTGTTTTCAGGTAATCAGTGCTTAAAAATGGTATTTAAATTTATACAGTTTTCTGTTATTTGCTTCCCCCCACCTAATATTATATTTATAAAATTGACATGTTACCACACAATTGTAAACTAAATGATATATAACTAAGAATTATTTTTAAATATTATCATTTGCAGAGATTACCTAAAGCATATATTATCCATAATCCCTTTAATTATTCTGGCTTTTATCCCACACTCACTGCATCGTCAGAGGACACAGTTTGAAAATGTCCTGCTTTCACCTCTCAAAGTGCTATGTTCTATTGAAACAAATGTCATGCTGCACAGCCTTCGGTGATTCTGTACTCTTCTGAAACTCACATGATATTTATTTTAGGTATTCTCTGGAGGATGTAATCTGCTTGTTACAGAGCAGCCTATCATAAAAACACACTGGATAGAACCAGAAGTTATTGCCTGACTTCTAATAATCTGGTCTACATTTTATATGATGGGCACACTAAATATTTTATCTAATTACTTTTCTTTATACTCCCCATTAAGAAGTCCAAAGTCCAATTTACATTCCATTTTTAGCAATTATAGAGGATGTTGTGGCATAAATTTTGTGTACTAAAATCAGCTTGATTCCCATTGATTGCTCTGCTCATGTATCTCTTTGTCCCTATCTCCTCATGTATCTTTTGATAGTGTGTTTTTATGTCTTTCAATTTATGTATAAACTATGTGTGAGAGCTAGAAAAGAAAAATAAATAAAATATGTTTTAAATGTACTTCCTGTTTTGTTCAACCCTTAGATTTGTCTTTGTTGTAATTTTGTAATCTTACTTTCTGTGTTCCATTTGACATTTATGAAAAGCTGTATGGTATATATTGAACCTAAAATATATAATTTTTATTATGTTGAAAATCATATAAAATATATTTTGGTTTATTCCTCTCTATTTAGGGTGCTTGCAGTTATAGTATTCCTAGGATCCTAAAATATTATTAGTTAAAATGTTGAGAAAGTTTTTAAGTACATACTTTAAAAAGTCATATTTCAAGATTATGCTTTTTGACAGCTGTGAAATAACAATGTAATTGCATCATAACTGTGAAATATGACTTCCTCTTGCTTGTAGAAAGTGGATATTTTGCCAATTCTGACATGTATACAACAGCCTCAGGGCATCCCATTCTTCCTGACTAATTAAGTCCCAATACTTACTTTGTCGGATTGATTGCCACTTTATCTAAAAGTTGAGATAAACAGATTAAATACATAAAATAAAAGCAGGTATTTTGAATAATACAAGTGTAATTTTTCTTGTAATTACATGTTGAGAGAACCTATATAGAGAAAATTCATATTAAGTAATTTTAAGCTAATAAGTCACTTTGCTATTTTTTTAAATTTTTCTTTATTGACAGTTGTGGTAGACAACAGAGATTTCATATAAATTGGTAGAATCATCCTCATATATTAATTTAATCGTTTTCATTTAGCCCCAAGTTGGTGTTTTAATTTAGATATATAATTGTAGAAGTTTAAATCATTAACTTACATATCATTTACAGGAAAATAGATTATGTAATTAATCCTTTTAGAGAAAAATGAATTTTAGATACAATCATTCAGTAACAAGTTTGGTCATGTTATCATCAAAAGAGTGTAAATGCCATTGATTCACATTTTCTAATTCTTCTGATGAACACTTCAGATTAGAAAGTAGAACATTAATTGCAGCAGTTTTGCAGTTACATGAGAGCTTTTTACAATGATAACACAAGATCATAATTTATGTAGGAATAATTTATTTTACAATGAAAGTTTTCTTTCTGAAAAACAGCTTAATTTGGTGCAGGGGCGGTATGTAACATCTACTTTTTTTTTTTTTTTTTTTTTTGAGACAGAGTCTCACTCTGTTGCCCAGGCTGGAGTGCAGTGGCATGATCTCCTCTCACTGCAGCCTTCGCTTCCCGGATTCAAGCGATTCTCTTGTCTCAGCCTCCTGAGAGCTGGTACTACAGATGCCCTCTAATTTTTTTGTGTGTTTTTAGTAAAGACGGGGTTTCACCATGTTGGCCAGGCTGGTCTCAAACTCCTGACTTCAGATGATCTGCTTGCCTTGGCCTCCCAAAGTGCTGGGATTACAGGCTTGAGCCACCGCGCCTGGCCCACATCTACTTTTTAAATTGTCTTTTTCTTCTTTAAAAGATGAGTAAACCCTCATTCTTGACCTGAAAATCTATGTGATAAGATGAATGTATAACAGGCATCTATGGAAGATGAAGAACAGAGAAAGATGTACAGCTAGCTAATAGAAATGATAGTTAGGCCAAGACTTTAAGCATGCATATGATTTTAGTAGGTTGAGAAAATAAGTATATGGGGATCATTCACATATAGAAAATATTATAATAAAATAAATGCAAATCTCAAGTAGCATAATGCATTCAAGTATCATGCATGCAAGTTCTTTGTTATCATTAGAGTATAAAGTGTGAGGTGTGGAATAGTAGAAGATGAGGCTGATTGGACAAATAGGTAGAGGTCCCAGGATGAAATGCTCAAAAATTTGAATTATATTCTGAGCCCAGAGGTTGATTAAACTTAGAGATCCTCCAAGTTGTGATAAACCTTCAAACAAATAGTGGCTTTTGCTTTTTCCTGATGTTTCCACATAAATTCAAATCTCAAATTAATTTCTTAAAATGTATTTAAAGTATTAAAACATTTATATGTATCAAACTATTATAATAAAATATAAAGTACTTAAAATATTACTAAACAGTTAACATGGTTGCTAACAAACAGTTGCATTCTAAATGGTAAAATCTACAGGTTGCCTGCTGTGACATAAATTTCACATTGAAAATAAACACCATAAATAAAGTATAACAATAAATAAATTTGTTATAAAAAGATTTAGAAAAATGCAGTTAAAAACAAAGCAATTTTCTATATTGAACTATTACTATTTTACCAAGTATGATTAAATTGACATTGAAGAAAACTGAGATGCGAGGAGATAAGGAGTGCAAAAGCAGTACTACAAATTGCTGAAGGAGACGTGCAGAGGAGTTGTTCAGTTATGAAGGGTAATTTCAGGTAAACTGTCCAGAGGAACTGCCATACAAACATGTATCTATCTATCTATCTATCTATCTATCTATCTATCTATCTATCATCTATCTATCTATCTATCTGTCATCTATCTATCTACCTACCTACCTACCTACCTACCTACCTACCTATCTATGGGACCTCTATCTGTTTGTCTGTCTGCCTGTCTATCTATCATACGTGTGTGTGTGTGTGTCTGCACGTCTTTGCGTATCTGCTGTAGAGATTCCAGAACAGCAGGCTTCAGGGAAGGTGCACAAAATTTTGGAATAACAATTATTTCAAAATGTTTCAATTTGTTTCAATTAACACCATTTCTATCCTTTAAAATTTTTGTATCGTTCTCTAAATTTGGCAGCCATGGAAATGTATCCATCAGATATCCCTTCATCAGCAAATACTTCCAAGGAGTCGTTAGCTGACAGCCTCCAAGTGCTGTACATTCAGGATCTATGTTCACACCGAGACTATACACCTTCTGGTTGTCTCCAGCCTATGACTGAGCACAGCGAGAGAACTTACCAGAGTCAGCCATTTCTGACCCACATGTAATTCCTCTAATGGGGAATCTCTGCTCTGAATTTCCAAGGTTTTCTTATAGCCTGAGGCTCTGCATTCTTTCTTCTTTCTCCTCTCTTCATTCACTGATATCAGACCTGCATTGTGGTCTGAAGGTGGACCCCACGTACTACTTTCCCGTCTCTCATTTACTTTTACAGGTATTTTTCTCAAGGAAGGGGAACATCACACACCGGGGACTGCTGTGGGGTGGGGTAGGGGGAGGGGGGTGGGATGGCATTAGGAGATATACCTAATGCTAAATGACGAGTTAATGGGTGCAGCACACCAGCATGGCACATGTATACATATGTAACAAACCTGCACGTTGTGCACATGTACCCTAAAACTTGAAGTATAATAATAATAATAAACAAAAAGAAAGAAAATGAAAAAAAAACAAAAAACAAAAAAACTGTTGCCCTTTTACCTCTTCCTTGGTGTCTGCTTCCAGGAGAATGACGCAATGAGATACATCAGGCAATATTAAAATGAGGGCTTTTCATCAGATGGCTGATACATGGGAGGATAATGTTTAGCTTTATATTTGCATGGCGCATACATTCCTTCAAAGTAGATGGCACCTGTGGTTTGACTACGCATCTCTTGTAGCTATCTCCATCTTCTTCAAGCCAGGGTTATATATCCTCCTGAGCAAGTATAGTAGTTAATTTATCAGCATGGGAGTTCAAGAACTCTTCAGCATTTTTAAATTAACCTCTTCAAAGTTAACATCCCTCTCAAGAAAAATTTTCACGCTATCCTCGACCACCTTTACAAAACCTTTTAAATCAATCACAAATTGTGGCATTTGTTCTTTATTATATATCCCTTGATGTTGATGGAGAAAAAAAAATTGCCATGCATGGTCAGTGAATTCCAAAGCCTTTCTAAATGTTAAATAGTTCAAAAAATTTTTAGCAAAGCTTCTTGTTTGACAAACCTAGACCATGACCAGGTTTTGAATAAGTAATTGAGAATAATAAGTCTTGACAACTGTGAAGACTTATAATGTGATGAACTATAAAATCATGGTTCATGGATTGCAAAAGCAGTGTCAAAGTTGGAGGGAAGACAATCACCTGGATGTTAGGGGTATATTCTACATCCCTCTTTAAATGTTAAGGCATCAAAAATGTCTACGGCCTTGTTTGCAAGTTTTTTTTTTTTCTGGTAGTGCCTTATTTAGCATAGGAGGTAAAACTGTACATATTTCTCAAAAAAAAAAATCTTACTTTTTAAGTAGGGTTTGAGGGCCTCCACGCAACTCGTAATTTCCTTTGGACATTCCTTTAAGTAAACAGAGTTTTCAGAAAAACAGATTATTTTGGATTTTAACATAATATTTTTAGCCCAAGTACCAAGATCAGTAAAATTATCCTGTTAACTTCATAACCAGACACTTTATTCTTCTGAGGAATAAACCCACAGGACAATATCTGTTTCTTAACCCTATCTGATCTACAATCAATTTTGTTTATCAGTAGTCTTTTTTTTTACTTTTTAAAAAATACTTAGGACAGAAAAGTAACAGTCTTCTCATGAAGAGTTAATGCAGCTTCCACGGTTATTTTGTTGATATAAGCATAACAAATATTGATTCTGTTGAATTTCTAAGGCTTGCTTTGAAAGTCAACTTCATTGACAACTCCTTTCCCCCTGTCATGGTCTTCACGTTTAACTTTGCAAACAGTCATGTCCTTATTCTGAGTCAATTTGGTAGATAATCTGAGTCTTTGATTATCCTGTCTCTCCATTTATTTTCCCAATAATTTTGCATGTTTTTTCTAACAAATAATGCTGTATTCTTGTCACATAGTGCATAGGAATGCTAATTTATAAATTTATTTATTTTACTATTTATAATTGCAATGTGTACCCTAATAATGCATTTTTAGCATGCCTACAATTTCTTTGGCATGCTCTTTTTTGTCAAAATATCTTAGTTTTACTCTATTATTTTTTTATTCTCTATGCTTTCATCTCTACATTTTCTTCAAAAGAGTTTCAACTGGTTGTTGACTCATACAACAGTATGCAAAAGCAGGAGGCAAATATAAAATACAGTGTGAAAAAGTGTTTGAGACAAGACTAGAAAGACCAAGAAAGTCTAACACTATGTATAATATTGTGATGCCTTTCTTCTTTCTGTCAACATCATACATAGACATCTTATGCACATTTCAAGTGATTTCCATGTACAAAATACATTTATAGTAGGAGATGTAGATCAAGTTGGTTATTTTTTTTTTTTACATACTGGTTTATTTAAAATATTGCAGTACATTTTATGAAAATAAGTCTATTTTTTCCACATGAAATTCAGTCAAGGGTTTTGAGCAATATGTATGTATTATAAAGTACTAGCACATTGAAAGAGGTCATTATTAGAGACAGCATCTCACTCTGGCACCCAAGTTGCAGTATAGTCCCATGATCATGGCTCACCATAAACTCCTGGGCTCAAGCAATTCTTCCAAATCAGCCTCCTAAGAGGTGACTACAGATGTGCACCACCATGCCTTGTTATTTTTTTAAATTTTTTTGTAGTGACAGAGTCTTTCTATATTGCCCAGGCTGGTCTCGAACTTCTGGCTTTAAGTGATCTCCCTTTCTAAGCCTCCCAAAGTGCTGGGATTATAGGTGTGAGTCACCATGCTGGCCGAATCTTTTCATTTTTCCTGTGATATAAGATATTTTGTGGAGAATTCTTTTATGCTTTATGTGATACATCTATTTTGAGCTCTTTCCATTATGGACTTTATCATATGGTATGATAATTAGGTTTATATATTTGTCTTTCTTATCAGATTACTAACTTCTTGAAGGCAGGAACTATGTACTAGTTTGTATTATATATTTCAGTTTTTGTCATAGTAAATTATGGTAACATATTAACCTCAAATTAATATTTATTAAAGTGAATATAGGGTGCACATTAAAATATTGATGTTTCTCGGCTTTTTGGAAGGCTGAGGGAGAAGGATTGCTTGAGCCCAGGGAAGACCTGGCAACATAGTGAATTCCTGTCTCAATCAATCAACTAATCAATCAATCAAATAATGATGGCATAAAGATATCCAACAGGTGACATGTGTTTCTCCCCCAACCCTGCACCCCGCCAGGTGCCATGACTCTTAATTTATTTTACTAAGTTTTACAAATCAGGCAAACCTCATGGATTGAGAAGGAGCATTCAAAGAAAGTGCAAATGATAGATCATGTCAAATTATTTTTTAAAAATGGACTGAAGTGGATTTTTAAAGGCTAATCCTATCTATGATTTCACCTTTTTAAAATGTATTATTTGTGTAACAGAGAGTATAGATGATAACAGCATAGATGATATGCAGCATAACACAAGAGACCACTATTCACATTGTTTTCTGTGAATGTAAATAAAATTCTGCAAATAAACAGCCCTGTGATGGAGAATAATGTCTCATGTTAGTAAAAATTTTGTTATTGACAAAACAAAAATGGATACAAACACCAAAGAGACATAAGGCATAATTACTATACATTTTTTATACAGGAGTAACTTTAATTCTGTTATGTTGTATGTACATTGAAAGGAAATTTTAATGATGAAATCAGAAAATACAAGTACTAACATTGAGCACTATTTTTATACTTATTTTTACAATCACTGTCTAACTCATGGGTCAAATATTAGTATTAATAAGTTAATAATAAATGTAGTTTTAAAATATTAGTTTCTTCCATTTTTCAAAAATCAATATATACATTATGAGTGGTAGGAATTTTAATTTCAGTGTTTTTTACTTTCTAGAAGAGCTAAATAGCATGTGTTTCTAATGAAAAGGGAAAAAAGTATGAGAATTTCTCTTTTTCTCAAGTATTACTCTTTTAAAATATTCTTATGGAAAAATTTAGCATATTTTCAGTTATAGTTCATCATATACTTTCCAAGTTCATCATATACTTTCCAAAAAATAGAAGATAAATTTTATACACAGGAATAATGTTAAAATATTCAGTGTATTTACTGTTAAATCATTTTATGAATTATTGAACCATCTAAATACCAATAGGTAAATTTCAAATTAAGAAATATCCTAAATCTAATGTGTCACTCTGCCATGTAATGTAGAGATAATTTGAACAAAAACCAAACATCCAAGTGGTCTCCAAGAGAGTAGAGATTTAGGGATGAAATATTTGTTTTACCTGTAATAATGCAGCCTTTTTTTTTATCCAGCAATCTTGGTAGTTGTTTGCTTTGATACATAACACTGAATTTGAACGAAGACAATGACTGTTAAAAATGCATCTTTTTGAGGTGGGCATTCAGAGGTAACATGCACAGCTGTGTTTTCTGAGTGAGTTAACAGGAACTAGGGCTATGAAATTCCCAATCAGGAGAGCAAGCTGCTTATTCTCTGCTCTAGCTCACAAAGGGAGTCACACAAGCTAAATGACATCCCAAATGTCTGGTACTTTATGTAGTTCATTGCTAATTACAGAGGAGTGATAGAAGAATATGGCAATCTGTATTTTTGTTATTTTACATATTTGCATGCCAGATGGCATTTAAGAGGATATGAAAGCAAAATAATTACTTAAGTTAAAAATATTTATCCACGTCCACACCGCAATAACATTTTGGTGGTATAGAAATATATGAAATAGGTTACATAACCTTAGTCAGAGTTTATATTTCACTAGTGTCTACATTTAGTATATAGTTGCTGATACGGTTAAGCTTTGCATCCCCACCCAAATCTCATCACGAATTGTAATTCCCATAATCCCCATGCGTCAAAAAATAGACCAGGTGAAGGTAACTGAATCATGGGGGTGGTTTCCCCCATGCTGTTCTCATGATAGTGAGTTTTCACGAGATCTAATGGTTTTATAAGAGGCTCTTTCCCCTTCACTTAGCACTTCTCCTTCCTGCAGCCTTGTAAAGAAGGTGTCTTGCTTACCCTTCGCCTTCTGACATAATGGTAAGCTTTCTAAGGCCTCTCCAGCAATGCTGAACAGTGAGTCAATTAAACTTCTTTCCTTTACAAATTACCCAGTGTCAGGCAGTTCTTTATAACAGTATAACTGACTAATACAGTTACCTATGCCTGCTACATTTGCATTTTCTCTTAGCCTATAAACTGTGATCTCAGGGGATACTATCTGGCCAATGAAAGTGAAAAAAATAACTGCTTGAGATTGACATTGATTCTCTATGTTAATACCAGTGCTTGCTGGGAATGGAATGCTACACAGTTTCACTCAAAATGGAAATCTTCCAAGTGGTCAGAGCTTCCAGAAGTACTCACCATTGCTCAGCTTTCCTGAATGGATAGCCTTAATGAAAGATCCATATCACTTTCAAAGTAATGATTGTTTAAAATAGTAAATGACTTAGATAATGAGGTTGTTCCAATGGAAAATCGAGAGTTAGTTATGGAAATGGACCTCTCAGAAAAATATGGAGACTAGAAATATTTTTGATTGATTACCAGAAAATTATCATTACTATTAGCACTACTATTATTATTATTCTGAACAGGCTGCCGAGTTGATCTACATATGCCAGTGGTCATGTTTACTCATCGAAAAATCTACTCAGTAAACGGGTGAAAGAACAATGATCATAATTCCAAAGATGAAGGAAATTCATGGAGCAGCATGAAACTCCCATCCCTGAAACTGACTAATATATATATATCTGGCAAGAATAATTAGGAAGCAATTATACAAGAATTTACCCTTCTTGAAAAGTACCTTTATATCCCAAAGCATCTAGACCCATAAAACAAAATACTGCCATATTAAAAATTCAGTTATGTGGTCAGTTATAATGAGACCACACCCTGTGAGGATTGGCAAGCATTTTTCAGGATTCAAAACATTCCCTGAAGCACTGTTCCCTAATCATGACAAATAGATCAGAATTATGTAGTAACATTTCTCTGTATCCCACTTAATAGTCCATAAATATTAACTTCCTGTATTCTGTGGTCTTTGAAAGGAATTCCCAAAGGAGAATTCTTCTGCCCCAGTCAGCTAGAATAAAAGGTGAAGGCGAAGATGTTGAGAAGAGACATGGTACATGCTCCCTAGAGTCTTATGACCTTCAAAGATGAGAACCGAAGCTTTTTTCTTGTTTGCTGCATGGAATAATTTTTTATTTTTAATTCTATCTTTAAGTATGTATTTTATGTGTTTCTTTTGTTCTTCAGTATATAATATAGACAAGGCATTAAATTTCCATTTGTTTCTAAAGTATTTGAATATTGAGATGGAATTATAAAACAACTGTCAGTATTGAACACTCTAAAGAATACGGACTAAAATATCTGAAAGTGACTTCCAGTTTTTTCTTTTGTGAAAGAAGAATGAGTGTGTAGTTTATGTGGATCATGTTAGATACGTACATTTGGATAGAGGGGAATAACTTTATGTGTATCTATATGTCTGTGCATGTGTGTGCATGCCTGAAAACAGCCATAAGGTAGAGTCTAAAATATGCCATTTTGGTTTAGCTTCTGGCATACAGAAATGTTCTGTTCCCTGGAAAGCCCTCAGTTAAAAAAAAAACTGAGCCCTTTTGGGGGTCTTACATCTGCAGCTCTAGCTGATTGATCCAGAGGTAAATCAAAGCTGGGTCATCAGATCATCCTTCCTGAGAATTTTAGCCTAGAATAGAGAGACCTAGAAAATAAAAATCACTAGCATTGAACTTTGGTAAAGTCATTTCAAAAGAAGTTCTCCCAAGCCCAACTTCTGCAGTTTCTTTAGCTGCCATTATTTCCATTCTCCCAGGTGGAGCACATTTTCTTAGCTGTTCTTGGCATCCTGTCAACAACCAGGCTATCCGTTGATTAAAGCCTCTTTGTAATTTAGTTAGGCAGAATCCCCTTCTGTTCACAACTACAGCAACTCTTCTTTCCCTCAGCTTTATTGAGGTTTAATTGACAAAAAATTATATATGTTTATAATAGTTGTAATGTATAATATCATGTTCTGATATCTGTGTACATTGTGAAATGTAACTATATCAGGTTAATTAAGATATCCAGCACCTCAAATAGTTATCTTTTGTGTGTCCCATAAGTACTTAAGATATACTCTCTTCGCAAATTTCAAATATGCAATATAGTATTCTTCTATATTTACTATTATTATATACTATATAATATATATACTATATATTATATAGTATATATAATTATACTATATATTATATATAATATATAGTATATATAATTATATAGTATATAGTCTATAGACTATAGATAATATATAGTCTATATATAGTATATATACTATATATAATATAGACTATATAATATATACTATATATAGTCTATAGACTATATAATATATATTATCTATAGTCTATAGACTATATGACTATATATTATCTATAGTCTATAGACTATATATTATCTATAGTCTATAGACTATATATAGTCTATAGACTATAGACTATATATAGTATATATTATATAGTCTATAGACTATATATAGTATATATTATATAGTCTATAGACTATATATAGTATATATACTATATACTATATATACTAATATATAATATATATTATATAGTATAGTATATATAGTATATAGCATATACTATACTATATAATTATATACTATACTATATAATTTTATATATATACTATATAATTATATGCTATACTATATATAATTAATTATAATTATATTATAGTTATATAGTATATATACCATTATATAATATATTATATTATATTATACTATATAGTATTATTCTATATAGAATATAGTATAGTCATCATGCTATACATTATTCATCCTGCCCGATTAAAACTTTGTACGCTTTTGCTAACATCTCCCAATTTCTCTCATATCCTGGAAACCACCATCCTACTGTCTGCTTCTGTGAATTTCACTGGTTTAGATTCCTCCAATAAGTGACATTGTGCCATATTTTGTTTTTCGTGCCTGGCTTCTTTCACGTAGCGTAATATGCTTCATATTCATCAGTGTTGTCTCAAATGACACAATTTCCTTCTTTTTAAGGCTAAATGATACATTTTACACACACACACACACACACACACACACACGCAGATGGGCAGGTGTTTGAGATACTGATTTCATCTGCTTTACATACAGATGGCGAGATTGTTGCATCGTATGGTAATTCTACTTTTAAGTTTTTAAGGATCCTTCATTCAGTAATCTTAATTAAATCAACTCATTACAGGTGGTAAAAGTAATACCACATAATTACATCTCTTGAACAAACATTTGTAAGGGAGACCTCGAATCAGAGGTTCAGAAAACATTTAAAAAAGTAATTCCTGCAGAGTTTAAATAACTTTTAGGGTTGGAAATTGCTTTTCAGATTTGTAAATATAACATACTGGTATATCAGTATTAAAATAACATTACTGGTCTATTAACAATTTTCTTATGTTAGATTTCGGTTTCTCCAAGCCAGGTTTCTATTCATGGATGTAGAACAAGGAAATTTTGGAAGGATGACATTGTGCTCTTTGATATTATTTCCAGTGCTTAGAGCACACCTCAAAATGTGCAGCCCACATTCCTTGGGCATATACATGATCACTTTAGGAAGTTGATTTTCATTCTTTAACAAGAAGTACCACCTTATTGTCACAGGATCCTTAGGGTATGGCTTCGCCAGCCACAAACCTCTGTGGCCACTGGCGCCTCTGCTTGAGTTTTGTCCGTGCCTGCTGGGCTTGTTTCACCCACTTGGCCCGGCAGGCTGTGCTCGGCTCATGCTACCAGCCCGGATCCCACACCTGCCAAGGGTCAGCCAGGCGAGGAACAGCAAGGGAGAAAATGAACACGGGTCTGGCCACTGTGCACAGCCAGGCATGCTGGCTGCTGCCTCGGGGTGGGCAGCTCCAGGTGCCAGCACAGGCTCCGGCTTCATGCGAGGCTGCTACTGGACCAGACGTACCGCGGCTTCCGCTGCAGGCGCCAGTTTCTGGACAACGGGAACGCGGTGGCACCCCAAAGCTCGGAGACACCAGGAACCACAGAGCCCCAAAGAGGGTATTACAGCATGTTACAGCCCTGGGTCAGAGAGCCTGAAGGCATGGACTCCCAGAAAGGCTTCAGACCTTCTCTCCTTGTCGCCCACAGCAAGTGGATGAGGGTGGGGTGTGTGTGTTTAGCCTGTTTGTGTTACAGCTCTTTCAGTCCCTCTGCCCCGCTCCGGCCCCACCACTTCTTCCCGGTTGGGTGGGGTGGCCGCTGGCAAAGGGTGTGAGGGTTAATAGTGGTACAGGCCTTTTAGCTCCAGCCCACAGCTCAGTGAGCCAGCAGGGAAATGTTACAGCTTCTTTCGCTCCCGCAGTCTGGGGGTCCTGAGTTCCTGGCCTGCTTCAGGAAAAATGAGATTACTCAGACAATTGGAGGGTGAGCAAGGTGGGGAAGAGCTTTATTAGGTGACCATACAGCTCTCAAAGGAGATGAGACCGGACACAGGTAACCGCTATCCACAGGCAGTAGTCCCCAGGGGCTTGAGTGCAAGGTTTTTATGGGGCTCAGGATGGAGGAAGTTCATGCTAATTGGTTCACGGGTAGGATGAAGTGAGTGCTGATTGGTTACAGGTGGCCATGGGAGGGCTTGAAAAAAACACCATTCCATTGGCCAAAAGCTATCAAAAAAAATTCTCACTCCCGGTTGTGGTCTCCATCCGGAAATGGCCGTCTCGCCGCCAGGCCTGAAGGTCAGGACCTGCCAGGTACACACCCCTTCCCACCTAGGAAACTGTCTGCTCCCGCTGCCATCAACAGGCCGTTCATGGCCCCCAGGCTGACTGCTCCCAGGGGTGCCTGTAGGCCCGCACCGAGCCACCGTCAGCCCCCAGCCTCTCTTCCATGCTCATCAGCACCCAACATTTCAGCCTCAGAAGCAGTTTCTGGAGGGGGCCGAGACAGCGGGGAGCTGGCGTGTCAGCACTACCGCGAGTGTGCACACACCTGGCTGGGTCGCTACAGCGCCTGGGCTCGGCTATCAGGACATAGTCGCAACTTTGCTCCACTGCAGAGCAGGCACTGGGAGCAGGGAGGGGCCAGGGAGTGGGAACAGGAACTTCTGAGCCTGTGGAGGCGGGGGCTTTCCCGGCCCCGAGAGTACAGGGATGCCGGAGTCCAAAGCCATGGCTGGGCGGCTGCAGCGGGAACGCAAGCTCCTGTCCCACCAACTCAGTAGGGCACAGGGCTCCCCTGGGATCACCTGTTTCCAGCACCCACTGGCTCCGCAGAGTGCGCAGCCCTGGCCGAGCCTTCCTCACTGGAGCTGTGTCTTCACAGCGGCTGCTCCAACCGGGCCACTGCTGCCATCATTATGATGAAAATGCTTCTTTAGATGGGCCATACTTTGTGCTGGCTAAGAGCCCAGTCTCCAGAGATAGGCTGCTGAAGATCACAGCCCAGTGCACACCTCACGAGATTTGTGACATCCTAATTAATTTCCCTGCTGACATTCTTCCACAACTCAAATATGTTCTCTTCCAAATGACCTTTTATACTATAAATGAGATCATGAGATCACATCATGTCCTTGTTTAAAACCATTAACGAGCCTCCATCTAATATAAAACAAAATGTAAGTTCTTATGAACAGCTACCGATGCACGTCCCACCTATACCCACAGGCTCAACCTGGGCCTTTCTTTCTTATTTCATTGTGCTCCAGTCACACTAATAGGCTTTCAGTTTTTCACAACTGACCAACTTATATCCCACCACAAAGCATCTGTCATAACTGTCCTTCTTTGTCTGAAATGTTTTCCCTGCTTGTCACTTTTACTCTTCATGGCTTCTAGAGAGTAAATATAACCTGTAGAAGGTGACGTTCCCTTAGCATTCTTTCTAGATTTAGAGAAAGTACCCCAAAAGTGTTTCTTTTCTTTTAGCACCCTGTTTGCTACTTTCATGGAACTTGTCACCTGTGAAATTGTTTACTTTGTTTCTGGTTTTTTTGTTTATTTTCAATATCCTTCCCTGGACTGCAAGCTCAAGAAGGAAACAAAACAAAACAAAACAAAAAAAAACCACTGTGTACTTCATGGAGGTACCTGAGTCCATAGAACATGGTCCAGGTTTGATAAATATTTTTGAATAAATAACTATAGTAGACAGTATGTAAAACTATACACTTTTTATTTCTCCCAAAAGTTACCTCCTAATGCCTTTAATTATACATTTCTAAGAATGTTTCACAAAGTTATGCGATATAAACACTATATTCTACTTCTGTGAATTTAGAGAGGAATTTAACATCCTTTTGCTCCATTTTTTTTCAGCTGTAAAATGGGATAATGTTCACCCCACCACCCTGCTGTGAGCTCAGATATGTGATACTTTAGACTGTAAAGCACTATAACAATGTAAGTCTCCATTATTTGGCAACAAGTAGCAACCATACTTATTTCTCACTTAGCACTATTGTTTTGCAGTCTAAATCAAATGAAGTACATTCATAATGCTTTAAAATGTTTTAAAATGTTGATCTTATTTGGGTTGTGTTATCTTGCGTTTGTAGACAGGTATTTATTTCTGCCAATGGCTATTTTTTCATCAATAAGCTAGAAGTTAAATTGTAATATTTACAGATAACGTAATGAAAATGATAATAATGATTGGAATTTTTAATGCATCTAATCTGCCAGGAAAATGTGAATAAATATATATGTCTTACTTTTTTAATCTAATCAACCAGATTGTGCAGTATATACATTTATTATTCATATCTGACATATGAAGAAATAGGCTTACAGGCTCTATGGGTTTTGTCTAAGCTTCTAAGGTTGATAAATATAATAATTGGATTTCAAGACTAGACATATAGACAGAAATGGAGAAATAACACTCTCCCCATTCTACCTTTAGCAGTTTATATGCAGTGAAGAAGGAATGGTGTACTTATACTATTTTTGTATATTGTGTATTCCTCAAAGGAAACATCTCTTCTTTCTTCTCCATCCATAAATCCCTTAGTTCTGTTAGCTTCAGTATTTATTTACTTATTTCAGTGTGTAAAGTCTTCCCTTGCTAAACAAAATGGTGTAGACAGAATGTCTATTATTTATTTTACTATGTGAATATATGTGAATATCAGCAAATAAAGCAAAAGAAGTAAGCAGAAGACTTTTGCCTCCAAGAAGTTTAAACCTTTTCCATTAGGTACTGTGAAGGCACTGAAGTGTTTTAGTATCGTGAATAATACAAGTAGATTTAAATTTTAGAAAAATTACTATAATAATACCTTTTAGGGTAGTTTAGAGAGAGCTGAAGACAATGAATTTCCCTGATGAGCTTATATGATAATTGTTGAAACAGATGTGTAAATAATTACACTACATGTTTAGGTTTTGTGATGAAGGGAATTTTTGCTAACTTTTATCAACACAATTAGAAAGTAGAGTAGCTTTCCTTTGAAGTTTTAAAGACTAGCTTTTCCTAATCTTATAAGAAACCACAGCTCACAGTAAATTTATACCAAATATACTATTTGTTTCTATACTCTGCTTCTAAATAGGTGGAAGAAGTATTATTATATACTTAAATGTGATGTATAAATACATATATCTCTATACACAAACATATATATGAAGGTTTTAATGTTTTCTTTATTTTTCAATGAAAGGAATAAGTATACTTTGAGTTTATTTTATGATAGTTTTACAATTATATATAAATTATACATTGTGAATCACTACTAAATGAGTTATAAAAGACTTCAAATAACTTGCATACAAATAAGTAAAAATCTTTAAAGAAAATAGTTTTCTACGAACATGTATAAATTGGCAATTGTAACACAATGGTGTTTGTGTATCTAAACATATATAAACATAGAAAAGTAAAAGTATGGTAAAGTAAAAAGAAAAGTTACTTTTCTTTACATAGAAAAGTAAAGTATAAAGGATAAAAATGGTACACTTGTATAAGACACTTACCATGAATGGAGCTTGCAGGACCTGAAGTTGCTCTAGGTGAGTCAGTGTTATAGGACCAACAAGTTCGAATGCCCACTGCACAGTAACAGCCCCATTACAATGAGATGGCAGGGTTTGCAGCAGAGGAAGAGTTTAGTTATCACAGGGTGCCAAGGGAGGAGGTGGGAGAAGTCCCTCAAATCCATCTCCCACAGGACTTTTTAAAGGGATTGTGGATGGAAGGGGGCTGGGAAATTGGGGTGATTGATTGAGAGGGGAATAGGGGATGAAATCATCAGGATATAGAGACTGTACTCTTTGGTAAGTCAGCTCCTGTGTGGTCCTTCAGATCAGCTGGCATCTGTGGGGATTGTTCAAACCAGCTGAGTCAGTAGTTTCATCAGTATGCAGGACCTGAAAGAACATCAGAAAGGAAAAACTTAACATTATGTAATGTTCAAATTATTATCTATACAAAAGTTAAAGAGAACTATAATCTTTTAACAGAGTCTACATGATTCTGAGGCAATAGGGACAACACAACTGTGGGAAATCCAGTCAGACAACAACCTGGCCTAATGATTAATGCTGCATGAGCTGCAAGCTTGGTTTATTTTCATTTCTCCCTCTTCCTTTTTCCCTGATTAATTTTATAAAGTTTACAGGGATGGTTTCGGTTCCCCCTGGGCTTTATCATATGTCAATCTGGAGGCAAGAGCTAATATGGTGGGAATTGGGTGAAGAGCACTCTAGCTTTTTCTTGCTGGCAAGGACAAGAGTTAGGGTAAGAGTCAGAATTACAGGAATGAAACTGCCGGGCAGTAACCTACAAGTATTTACCAGTTCCTGGTCCAGGATTTCAGGCATGTAGCATGAATATATTAGGACTGCTGTCCACTGTATAGATTAGAATTCCTGTTGTCAGAATCATGAGCCAAAATTTTAAGAGTAGTTTTAAAATAAACTGAAAACTTTATGGTGTTTGTAAGATCTTATTGCCACAAAGAGTCTGTTCTGTCCATCTTATGATATCTGTTTTAACATTAATGATGCTCAGTTGTGTCTAGACCCTAAAAGAAGAAGTTTGTATGACTTTCCATGCTGTTATGGTCAGGAATTTAGTTTTAAGCTTTTTTGGGGCCTCTAAGCCACAAGGGGATCTGTTCAGTCAGTTCAGTAGAGGGCTTAGGATTTATCATCTTTAATTCACATTCCCCCATTTTGGTCAAAATATGCCAAAAGTAGCATCAATAGCCAAGCTCTTATTTCATTCCATATTATTACCAGGTGGTGTGGCTATCTATCTCAGATATATTCTGTTCTTCAATGGGACCCATATAGCCAAGGGACTTATAGCCAAAAGACTTACAGCCAATTAAACATTCTAGGACAAAAGGGAATGGAGGTGGGAAGGCATTCATTATTCCTTAAAAACCTTTTGAGCAATATAAGAGCCACAAACCAAAAGCCAAAAAGTAAGCTTACAAAACCGATTTATCTATAAGTTCTATGTGTTGGGCCATCGGCTCTTAGGCATCTGTGAGCCCATCTTTTTTGGAGGATCTGAACTAATTCTATCCCTCAAACCTGGCCTTACAATTTCACGTGGCCATCTCTTTAACGATAGTCCCCGGGCCTAAAGGGATTGAATAGTTTTAATTTCTGGCCCTGTGTTTCACAAAAGCAGTTTATTTTGATTGTCACCTTTTTCTGGGTCTGAAGATGAGGCTTTGGTTAACTTGAGTTTGATGTCAGATACTGGTGTCAACATTCATGATTGAGCAAGAGTTGGTACTTGTTTTATTTATTTATTTATTTATTTATTTTAATCCGTGATTTTATTTATCTCATAATTATAAAACATAAAAAAGTTAATAAATGTAACAAACCTGCACGTTGTGCACATGTACCCTAGAACTTAAAGTATAATAATTAAAAAAAAAAGAGTTGGTACTTGTTTTAGATGAGATATATGTATCCAGGAGTCAAAGCCCTGTAAATTAATAGTACAAGGATTAGTTAATAGCGTCTGATAAGGGACCCTTTCAAGGGGGGACGGGGTGGGAAGAGTCATTTAACTGATGCCTCTCCCAGTATATGTAACTGTTAGACTGGAGGTGGTGATACTGGAGTTCATGGTCTGACCGGAAGCTGTAAAAATATTTTATAACTTTGTGGTGACTAATTGTGTAGCTTTAATAAGGCCCACCAATAAGTCTAAGTCAGAAACTTAATTTAGAATTTGATTTTAAGGATGTTTGTCAAAAATGTTAAAAGGCTCAAAAAATTTGATCAAAGCAGAATCACAGTCTTTGTTAAAATACTTGTTATTCATTTAACCAGGAGTAATAATCAAAATATTTGATGGCCATACAGTAAGTTACAAGGATGTAAAATTCTTAATATGCAGTCTATCATAGACTGATGTTTGGTCAAAGAATGATGATATATACTTTAGAATGGGTTTATTTAATAGTTGATTTTTTTTTTTTTTTTGAGACAGAGTTTCACTCTGTCACCCAGGCTGGAGTGCAGTGGTACAATCTCTGCTCACTGCAACCTCCGCCTCACGGATTCAAGCGATTCTCCTGCCTCAGCCTCCCGAGTAGCTGGGACTACAGGCGTGTGCCACCACATCCTGCTAATTTTTGTATTTTTAGTAGAGATGGTGTTTCAGCATGTTGGCCAGGCTGGTCTCGAACTCCTGACCTCAGGTTATCCTCCCAAAGTGCTGGGATTACAGGCATGAGCCACCGAACCTGGCCAATAGATGATCAGTTTTAAAAGAACGGTTATTTAGGTTTTTAAGGATGAACCAAACCTTGCTACTTAAAGAGTAATCCACAGACCAGCAGCATCAGTGTCACATGGAGATTAGTAAAAATATAACAATCTTAGGCCCAGCATGACTCCCTAAATTAGAACCTATTTTAACAAGATCTTAAAGTTTGTTGTGCATACCTAATCTTTGAGAAGCACTGGAATAGAATGTACTAAATCATAAGGAAATAACCTTAATGATGACCCCATAATACGGGGCTCTGAGGACCGTGTGTGTAGAACAAAGTTAGACAGTAGAGTTAAATAAAATTTACAGGAGGCCACAGATTTAGACTGGGCTCCTGCACTGGACCCAACAGACCAAACCAATATAAAGTTTAATCACAGTAGCTGAGCTTTAGGTAATTGCAGGAAGCTCTGTAACCAAATAACCAATTTTGTTGTAACCAATTTAGTTGTCTCTATGTCTCAGTTATGTTTTCTATAAATGCTGTCAGGTCACATAGTTAGCTGGAGTTCTCTGAACCTGATTTGGATCTGAGAGTGGTCTGCTTCATGAATCATTTTTATTTTGTTCCATTTTGCTTTTAATTGCTCAAATAAACCCCATTGAATTTAATTGGCGAAATAATTTCTCTCCTTGAACGGTAGCAAAATAATGGGAATGTACTGTTCTTCTCAGCAGTTTTTCTTAGAATTTACCTAATATAAAAACATAATGTATTTTGTAACAAGTGGATTTTAAAAGTCAAGAAAGGAGAATTCCACTTTTAGCATGATAGCCTGAGGAGCTCTAGGGATTCACTCCCAGCGAAACTGGTGAGTATTATAAAATAACCACCATTTCAAGTCAATGGCCCTGAGAACATACAGTAAATGAAGAAACACTTATTTTTTTAAATATACTAAAATTGATAAACAACTCCTCCCAGCTTAGTGAAATGAAAATTGCACTCCAGACTGATACAGACACTATATGGAGTTCCCTTTCCCTCAAGTTCCCAGTCAGAGAAGTATTCTTTCAGGAGGGTAAGATATCAGCAATTCTCACACTACTCCTAGCTACATATCGCTGAAGCTGAGTTCCTGGTGAAAACAGTTCAATAGTGGAAGCACCGTTGTTCTTCTCACTCCCTACTTAAGAGGCAGACGATCTACCTTGGACACAGTACTGCGGAGTATACTGGAACCCTAACCGCCATTGTCCTGGCTTTTGTGGCAGAGGTTCCATGCTAGGAGAAGCAAGCCGAGGAATCTTGGGGCTGCTGCCTTCGTTATCTATCAGATTTTCAGTTCCTAAAGTGGAGGTGTCACCATGAGAAAAGCATGACATTGTCTCTACTCCCACCACCAGAGGTATGGTTCAGAGATTTTGCCTGGAGAAGCATGACGTAGAACAGAGACTCTAAATCCCTACCAACTACATTTAATGGAAATCTGTGGAGTACCTCACCCAACACTAGGGTAGACAAATATGCAGCCGAAAAAAATCTCAGTCTATTTAAAAGAATAGAAATAATAAAAAGTGCATTTTCCAATAATCATAAAATGAAATTAGAAATCAATATAGGAAACTTACAAGTATATGGAAGTTAAACATCATGCTAAGTAAGGAATGATTCAAAGAAGAAATCACCAGGGGAATTAGAAAATGTTTTGAAATGAATAAAAATGAAGTCACATCATACCAAAATTTATGGAATGAAGCTACAGCAGTGCTTAGAGGGAAATTTATAGCTGCAGATGCATATATTGAAAAAGAAGGATCTCAAATCCACAACCTAAACTTCAACCCTTGGCATTGGAAAAAAAGAGCAAATTAATCCTAAAGCTAGCAGAGAGTAGAAAATATTGAAAATTAGAGCAGAAATTAATGAAATAGACAATGGAAAAACAGTAGAGAAAATCAATGAAACCAAAAGCTGATTCTTTGAAACAATTAACAAAATCAACATTTAGCTACCTTGACCAAAAAAAAAATACTTAAATTCCTAGAATCATAAATAAAAGAAGGGACATTGCTCTGAACTTCCTGAAATACATGAGATTATTTTACAAATAAATATTATGAACAATTGTATGTCAGTAAGTTATACAACTTTGGTGAAATGGACAACTTCCTATAAAAAATCAAGGAAACCAGAGAAACACAATCTAGAAAGAAAAAAAAAAGTACAAATGTTGAGAATTAAAGGAAGACAAGGCAAAAGATAGCTTCAAAGTGAAAAGTTTATAAACAGTGCCAATATTAAGTATGATATTATATAACCAAAAACCTCTTGATACTACTGATTACTTTGTGTTCACAAATGACTGCTATGCAACTTTTCAATCCAACAGTTGATATAGACAATAAAGGTAAATGTTGATATATCATTAAGGGTTTGGCTAGGAGAACAGAAGTCATTCAATACATATTTAGGTGAAAATATTTAATATCAGGTAAAAAGAGACTACACAATAATTGGAAAATTTAGAGAAGCAAAAACCATGGAGAGATTAGTTAAACTTGGAGGTATCATAAGCAAAAGACCCCAGTCTAAAGAATAGAGGCCAGTGACTCACTAGAGTGGTTCACTAGCTGGGAATTTCACCTCTGCACATACACCTAGCTAAAGCTGCCTCTCCCTACAGATTTAATGGTATATCCCTTTCAGCCGCCTAAAATTGGGCATGTGCCTCGCATTGACAAATCTGATTAGAAACCTATAGGAAGTGGATTCTGGAAGATGTACAGAGACTTTGGAATTTGATGATACTTTTTTTTAAAAAATGTGAAACTTAACGTTTTTACCAATTATACAGTTTGATAACACTTTTATATAAATTATATAAGTAAATTTTCACAGCCGTTTTTGAAGAAAAAGATAATACTCATTCTAGTACTGAGTCTCAATGGGGCCAAATGACGTGTTCAAAATCACACAGTAAGTAGATAAAGTAGAAAGAAATTCATGTCTTCTAATCAAAATATATGGATTATGTTCTATCACAGCTGCTTCCATCACACTAATGATATCTTCTATGTTGTATTTTCTACAAAGAGCCAAGTCCATACTTGATTTGGTTCAATCAACTTCTGATAAAATAAATATTAGACCTTTAGTTACAAAATGAAATGGTATTAATTTGCTTCCTAACTTAAGATTCCTTAAGAACTGAATTTCTGCCATGTCTTTTCCATGCTACTATAAATTGATGAATACAATTTCATTTTTAAAATATGTACACTTATTTAATGAAAGACTTAAATAACAAAGACTTCATAATTTTTTCCAGAAATAAGATACTATTAATTTGCTGACAACATTTTGTCTTTGCTGGTTTTTAACAATAGATCAGTAAACATCTAAACAGGTAAAAAGGTAATATAGTAATTTACCATTTGAGAAACTATAGATAAGTAAACAATTTGGATCACCAGAAAAAATGAGATGATTCTTTGAATTTCATTTGAATAATTAATGCTTTTATATAATTAAATTTGCAAAAGGTAATATATTAATAACCTGGGATGATTTAAATTCTGGAACATTTGTATATCTATTGCTTAAAATGTATTGAACTAAAGGTATAAATATTACAAGTTTATGTGTATTAGTTTAAATATATCATCTTCATAAAAACATACTTTTCAACATAATGAGTTCTTAAGTATTCTCTTTAATTTTGATATTTGTTTTGGGACCTTAGTAATTTATTACATTTTATATCCCTTTTAGTTAGTATGTAAAAATCAATTAAAAAATAACAAAGCAGATTGCAAAATTTGTAATCATTCAAATACTAGGTGGAAAACTAAAATGTATTTTATTCAATATGGCAGAGGTATTACATTGAAAATGATTTAATTTCATAATTGCCATAAATTTTAAAAGTGAATAAATAGTATCCTCTAAATAGTAACATTAAAATCTCCTCACTTATTCTATTAATATCATAGATCTGATGCCCTACTTAATTTCCAGGGACTGGATGTATGCTGATCAAGTCCTATTTGATCTTAAGGAGGCTATAGTAGATGGAAGTTACTATTTGCTAACTACTTTGTTATTAAGACTAACATTTTAGGTAAATGATTATTAAATTGAATGACAAAACCCAACTCCTTTTAAAATGAGTTAATTCTAATAAAAATAATTTTTGAGTATGAAACCACCTCTCCATCCCTATTTTGAAAGGATTATGCACAGCTACTAATAAAACAGCTGACACCTCTGTCCATGTAACATATACTCCCAAGAAATAGATATAAAGTTAAAATATGCACCATATTTTACTTGATTGGCCATAAACTTTCTGATGCATTTCCAAGTGCTGAAAATAGGCCTTCTTGATGCATTTCAGGAATAAATCATTTGTATCTGATTAAAATGCAGATGAGCATCATAAACTATTGTAATTTGAAAGGACTGAACTCATAATGCAATCTGCCTCCATCTGCTTTCAGGTGTAAAGCAGGAGGGAGTTCTGCTGAAAGTACCACTGAATTCAATCTAGGTTAAAATTCAGGGAATTAAACATTCCAGTCTGATCTCTCAATTTTTTTTTGTTTCTGTATTTATGTCATTTTGTTGTATGCCTGTGTAAGCTTAAGCCATCTGCATAATCACATTGCTGTTAATTATGACAAAATATGTTTTTAATATATTTTTTGAAAATAGGGAGCCATATGTATACAAGAAACAGCAGCTAAGATTACTGGCAGGGTTTTGAAAGAGCTTTGGAATTAAATTGACTGCCATAGGCTCATTTTGTCAATAAGTTGTTTGCCTTTTCTAACATTTTTCAGCAAATATAAGAGCAGTGAAATGAAGCCATATGTAGTGAGCAGGAACCAGTTAAATAGCAGACACTCAGCTGAAAGTTATTGCTTCAGGGTTGAAAGCAGAAAGACAGGGGCTTTGAAAGAGACACACTTAGGTATGAAAACTAAGTCTCATGCCTAATAATTGTGTGGTTCAGGGAAATTCTTAAAATTTCTCTGAGCTTCAATTTCATCCTTGGTAAATGGTCATGATTAATGTTCATACACAGGGTTTATTAGAGAATCGCGGCTGTAGAGCACCTAGGGAAGTATCTACATTTTACTGGTGTGAAATGCATGTATTCTGTTTTTACTGTTTTGTTTTGTTTTGTTTTGTTTTAATTCACACAGCTGTACTCCTCTCCCTTTGTTAAAGGGAAACAGAGAGAGGTGCATCCATCAGCATCCTACGAAGTGTTCCCTGGACTTAATTTTATGCTTCTAGAAGTTCTCTACAATAATGTTTACATTTTGTATTTTGTATTGTTTTAATTTGAATAATGAAACGCAGAAGCATATTTTGAATCATTGGATAGCCATCTGATTTAGGCCTTGTGCTTTTGTTTGTGCTTGGGAACATTTTACTTCCAAGTAATATTGCTTTAAAACATGGAGCCTATTGAGATAATCATGTGGTTTTTGTCTTGGGTTCTGTTTATATGCTGGAGTACACTTAGTGATTTGCGTATATTGAACCAGCCTTGCATCCCAGGGATGAAGCCCACTTGATCATGGTGGATAAGCTTTTTGATGTGCTGCTGGATTCGGTTTGCCAGTATTTTATTGAGGATTTTTTGCGTCAATGTTCATCAAGGATATTGGTCTAAAATTCTCTTTTTTGGTTGTGTCTCTGCCCGGCTTTGGTATCAGGATGATGCTGGCCTCATAAAATGAGTTAGGGAGGATTCCCTCTTTTTCTATTGATTGGAATAGTTTCAGAAGGAATGGTACCAGTTCCTCCTTGTACCTCTGGTAGAATTCGGCTGTGAATCCATCTGGTCCTGGACTCTTTTTGGTTGGTAAGGTATTGATTATTGCCACAATTTCAGCTCCTGTTATTGGTCAATTCAGAGATTCAACTTCTTCCTGGTTTAGTCTTGGGAGAGTGTATGTGTCAAGGAATTTATCCATTTCTTCTAGATTTTCTAGTTTATTTGCGTAGAGGTGTTTGTAGTAATCTCTGATGGTAGTTTGTATTTCTGTGGGATTGGTGGTGATATCCCCTTTATCATTTTTTATTGCGTCTATTTGATTTTTCTCTCTTTTTTTCTTTATTAGTCTTGCCAGCGGTCTATCAATTTTGTTGATCCTTTCAGAAAACCAGCTCCTGGATTCATTAATTTTTTGAAGGGTTTTTTGTGTCTCTATTTCCTTCAGTTCTGCTCTGATTTTAGTTATTTCTTGCCTTCTGCTAGCTTTTGAATGTGTTTGCTCTTGCTTTTCTAGTTCTTTTAATTGTGACGTTAGGGTGTCAATTTTGGATCTTTTCTGCTTTCTCTTGTGGGCATTTAGTGCTATAAATTTCCCTCTACTCACTGCTTTGAATGTGTCCCAGAGATTCTGGTATGTTGTGTCTTTGTTCTCGTTGGTTTCAAAGAACATCTTTATTTCTGCCTTCATTTCGTTATGTACCCAGTAGTCATTCAGGAGCAGGTTGTTCAGCTTCCATGTAGTTGAGCGGTTTTGAGTGAGTTTCTTAATCCTGAGTTCTAGTTTGATTGCACTGCGGTCTGAGAGACAGTTTGTTATAATTTCTGTTCTTTTACATTTACTGAGGAGAGCTTTACTTCCAAGTATGTGGTCAGTTTTGGAATAGGTGTGGTGTGGTGCTGAAAAAATCTATATTCTGTTGATTTGGGGTGGAGAGTTCTGTAGATGTCTATTAGGTCCACTTGGTGCCGAGCTGAGTTCAATTCCTGGGTGTCCTTGTTAACTTTCTGTCTTGTTGATCTGTCTAATGTTGACAGTGGGGTGTTAAAGTCTCCCATTATTAATGTGTGTTAGTCTAAGTCTCTTTGTAGGTCACTCAGGACTTGCTTTATGAATCTGGGTGCTCCTGTATTGGGTGCATATATATTTAGGATAGTTAGCTCTTCTTGTTGAATTGATTCCTTTACCATTATGTAATGGCCTTCTTTGTCTCTTTTGATCTTTTTTGGTTTAAAGTCTGTTTTATCAGAGACTAGGATTGCAAATCCTGCCTTTTTTTGTTTTCCATTTGCTTGGTAGATCTTCCTCTCAATAGATGCAGAAAAGGCCTTTGACAAAATTCAACAATGCTTCATGCTAAAAACTCTCAATAAATTAGGTATTGATGGGACGTATCTCAAAATAGTAAGAGCTGTCTATGACAGACCCACAGCCAATATCATACTGAATGGGCACAAACTGGAAGGATTCCCTTTGAAAACTGGCACAAGACAGGGATGCCCTCTCTCACCACTCCTATTCAACATAGTGTTGGAAGTTCTGGCCAGGGCAATCAGTCAGGAGAAGGAAATAAAGGGTATTCAATTAGGAAAAGAGGAAGTCAAATTGTCCCTGTTTGCACATGACATGATTGTATATCTAGAAAACCCCATTGTCTCAGCCCAAAATCTCCTAAAGCTGATAAGCAACTTCAGCAAAGTCTCAGGATACAAAATCAATGTACAAAAACCACAAGCATTCTTATACACCAATAAGAGACAAACAGAGAGCCAAATCATGAGTGAACTCCCATTCACAATTGCTTCAAAGAGAATAAAATACCTAGGAATCCACCTTACAAGGGACATGAAGGACCTCTTCAAGGAGAACTACAAACCACTGCTCAAGGAAATAAAAGAGGACAAACAAATGGAAGAACATTCCATGCTCATGGGTAGGAAGAATGAATATCGTGAAAATGGCCATACTGCCCAAGGTAATTTATAGATTCAATGCCATCCCCATCAAGCTACCAATGACTTTCTTCACAGAATTGGAAAAAACAACTTTAAAGTTCATATGGAACCAAACAGTCCGCATTGCCAAGTCAATCCTAAGCCAAAAGAACAAAGCTGGAGGCATCACACTACCTGACTTCAAACTATACTACAAGGCTACAGTAACCAAAACAGCATGGTACTGGTACTAAAACAGAGATATAGATCAATGGAACAGAACAGAGTCCTCAGAAATAATGCCGCATATCTACAACTATCTGATCTTTGACAAACCTGAGAAAAACAAGCAATGGGGAAAGGATTCCCTATTTAATAAATGGTGCTGGGAAAACTGGCTAGCCATATGTAGAAAGCTGAAACTGGATCCCTTCCTTACACCTTATACAAAAATCAATTCAAGATGGATTAAAGACTTAAATGTTAGACCTAAAACCATAAAAACCCTAAAAGAAAACCTAGGCAATACCATTCAGGACATAGGCATGGACAAGGACTTCATGACTAAAACACCAAAAGCAATGGCAACAAAAGCCAACATTGACAAATGAGATCTAATTAAACTAAAGAGCTTCTGCACAGCAAAAGAAACTACCCTCAGAGTGAACAGGCAACCCACAAAATGGGAGAAAATTTTCGCAACCTACTCATCTGACAAAGGGCTAATATCCAGAATCTACAATGAACTCCAACAAATTTACAAGAAAAAAAACAAACAACCCCATCAAAAAGTGGGCGAAGGATATAAACAGGCACTTCTCAAAAGAAGACATTTATGCAGCCAAACAACACATGAAAAAATGCTCACCATCACTGGCCATCAGAGAAATGCAAATCAAAACCACAATGAGATATCATCTCACACCAGTTAGAATGGCAATCATTAAAAAGTCAGGAAACAACAGGTGCTGGAGAGGATGTGGAGAAATAGGAACACTTTTACACTGTTGGTGGGACTGTAAACTAGTTCAACCATTGTGGAAGTCAGTGTGGCGATTCCTCAGGGATCTAGAACTAGAAATACCATTTGACCCTGCCATCCCATTACTGGATATATACCCAAAGGACTATAAATCATGCTGCTATAAAGATACATGCACACGTATGTTTATTGCGGCACTATTCACAATAGCAAAGACTTGGAACCAACCCAAATGTCCAACAATGATAGACTGGATTAAGAAAATGTGGCACATATACACCATGGAATACTATGCAGCCATAAAAAATGATGAGTTCATGTCCTTTGTAGGTACATAGATGAAATTGGAAATCATTGTTCTCAGTAAACTATCGCAAGAACAAAAAACCAAACACCACATATTCTCACTCATAGGTGGGAATTAAACAATGAGAACACATGGACACAGGAAGGGGAACATCACACTCTGGGGACTGTTGTGGGGTGGGGGGAGGGGGGAGGGATAGCTTTAGGAGATATACCTAATGCTAAATGAGGAGTTAATGGGTGCAGCACACCAGCATGGCACATGTATACCTATGTAACTAACCTGCACATTGTGCACATGTACCCTAAAACTTAAAGTATAATAATAATAATTAAAAAAAGGGAAAAAAAAAGTGCCTACCTTGTAGTGTTGTGAGAAATTCAAGAAGATGTATGTTGCATGAAAGGGCTTAAAAAGTATTAGTCATAATCATCACCTTCAGTTAAAAGGTGATCAGCTCTTCCTCAAGCTGCAGCCTGTCATCTGTTGAGTGAAAATTGTTTCAATAAAGTGGGGGAATGAAAAAAAAAAAGAAAAATTAAAAAAAAAATTAAAAAAAATAAAACATGGAGCCTATTTGGGAAAGTATGGAGATAGTCTTCATGATGCCTTAAAGAAAAATGAAGACAAGTGATAATACAATATCCTGTAGACAGCAAAGGTTTCAGAAGCCAAAAAGGCTGAGAACTTCAAGTCATCACATGGTTCATTAAATTATTAATATGTCAATCTCATAAGAAATTATAGCCATCAATAACATTTTCCCATTGCAAATAGCATTTTACCTTTAGGCAAAATTTTTCATTTTTAATTAATGTAATATGTTTTTATAGTATCATTTTGTAAAATTTAAATTCATTTTGATCATTTTACATTTCACGTTATTTAGGAGTCATAGACAAAAAGAATGTCTAGTTCAATGCATTACACATAATTAAACAATAATTAAACTGTTACATTAACTCTGAAAGGCTGTAGGAATTTTAGTTTGGAATCATTTTTCCAGTCCTACAAATAAGTGGAAATTTATTAATAATGAATTAATTTTGAAATACTAAAAGCAGCTATTACTTGGAAAGAAAGGAGAGTCCCATTTTATGCTATGTACAAAGCTATAAAACTATAATATTTAAGTATAACATAAAGGAATATAGGTACAGTACAAATTACATTAAATTAAAATTTTAGTTTTTAAAGAAGTGATAAGCAATTCAAATAACAAATAATAGACTGAGATAAAATAATGGTTGAACCATACTCTAATGTCATTCATGTAGAACAAAAATTTTCACTAATTGACAAATACACATGGCTCAACCTGCTATATGAGATATTTAACAGATAAGAAGTTAATATTGCTGCTTTACATAAAAACATATATGTTAATAAAATGAAGAGAAAATGCAAATGACTATCAATGAAAATAGCTCCACTTCACAAGCCATCGTGGACATGATGATTGAAATAATGAAATCTATTTAAACAATCAAGTTGACAGAAATCTGAGATTGATGATATTCAGTGTTGCAATCATAACCTTTCCAATAAAATTGGACTTCACTCAAAACTTTGTGAAATTCGTTTAGCAGCATCTTTAAACATTAAAGTATATATACGCATTGAATGAGCAACTTATTTTCTAGGCCTTGATCCAATAGAAATTGAAGTTTAATCACATAGAAATACTGTGCTAAAAGGATTTTTATTATACTTTATTTGAAATACAAAATAGGTAAAAGAAATATTAAATTCTGGTAAGTCAATACTCTGGGATCAAATGTAAATATTTAGGTTGAGCAACATATATTGTTAAGTTAAAAGAGCAAATTACAGAATAATATATTCATATATTATTGTTTTCTTAGGAAAACTTGTAATTAACTTCACAGGAAGAATTCCTTAGAGACTGTGGCATCAATGAGGACATAATTTTAATGTTTGATAATATGACCAAATCCCATTAAAAATATTATATTATTTTATAAATTAATTTTGTTTGAGACATCCTAAATTCTCTATGAACTCATCAATGTAGCGCTATCTTTTAAAAATCTATTTTTCTAATAGGCAAAACTTTATTTCTGTATCTCTCATTTGTGTTTCACAGTGTTTGAAATATACATAGCACTCAATGTATATGTGGATATTCACTGAATTATCAGTGAGTTTTAAACTCACTGATAAAACTCACTGATAAAAATTTTATAAAATATTTGACTTTTATATATCGTCCTTGTTATTCCTTATCTATGAGCCAATTATCTTCTGATAATGTTTGACTTGTATTTTTAAATATGTCAAAATAATATACATTAAATGTATCATAGTAACTTATTTTATTAGTAGTATAAGGTAAAGGAAGAGACAGTCTAAAATTTAGCTGCCAAATAATTTTTAAAAGATTTCCCAATATTCAAGATTGCAAAACGTTAAGAAAGATTCTTTTTCTAGGGATACAATAAATACTTTAAAATATATTTCCCACACTGAAGGACAGTTTACAATTTTATGCAAATAATTTTAATTTAATTTTCATTTTTGACATTTTAAACTATTAATGAAGGATTATTGAACTCATTATGTATAGAATATATTTTCACCAGAAGACTGCTTAAATAAGCTGTAATGGCAGTGATACATATAGTTTATTTATATTTTCAAAATGGAATAAAGGAATAGTTAAACTTTGTGGTACCATTTAAATACAGTATTAAACTTGGAAATGCAAGGCTTGAAAGCTAATGTTGGTATTTATTAGCAGATGTGTTGACCCTGATAAATAGAGTTCAGTTATTTGTTGGCAGATAATGCCACTGAAATATAGAGAGGAAAAATAAAGCACTAAGTCTGAAAGGACTTTTGCCTTTAAAATAGGTTACTGTTGCTAATGGTTTTCTTTATTACTTTTGTTATTTTGAGAAAAGTCATTGAATATTTCATTCACTTTCTTTTCAGTAGATATTTTGATAGCCTGAATGTCCCTTTGTAGGAAACTCATTTCCTCAAAAAACATTTTAAAGTAAATCTGTGAGATTTGAAATCCCTAGGGGTCTTTTACTTTGTTTTCTGCTTTCTTAGTGTTTCATGTGAAATATGTAGTCCTGAAGGCGTAAAGCTATTTAACACACAAACTTTCTGAAAACTTCTTTCAGAGAAAATATTCTGATTTTAATTTTCTAAAATTTTATGTGAAAGAGGTCATTGCATCCTTAAAATAGTTTGTGTAAGCCGGAGGCAATATAATATAATTTTACTGTCCTTATTTTCTCTTTTATATTATTTCCCAGTTTGTGCCATTTTCTTATCTGTGTTTATATGCTGGGTAAAGTAGTGATGTTTTATTTATTTATGTAGTCTTTACTGTAAGAAAATTATATTCTTAAATACCTCATCTTGATTTGTTTGGTTAACCCGAAGGAGTTTGAATGTTGACAGGGTTAGATTCATTCCTTTATTGCCATTACTGGATACAGTCTGGGAGTCACTTGGTCGACATAAGTCCCAATGTCCTTGGGACTCTACTTCTCCATTTCTAATTTAAGCATAATTGAACCAGCCTATTCAATATCACCAGGATACTTGACCAGACTGTGTATCAGATTCAGATATCACCATGATAAATTGTGGGATAAAATGCTAGACAGAAATTTAATTCATTATATTTCTATGTGTTTATCATACCAATAACCTGAAAGTAAAATTAAAATATTCCAAATCCTACTAAACTATCAAATCAACTACAGTAACACTTCTGTTCCCTTCCAACTGTTACCCATTTGCATTCATGAATTTTACATATTTATTATCACAGTGTAGGCATAATTGGATTTCATTCAATTTCAAGCAAACAAATTGGCTCTAAACAGCTTTGTTCTTCTGACTGTGAGGTCTAAACATACTCCATGTAAGTTCTCATTGACTCAGCTTCACCTAAGGCTAAAATATTTTACTCTAATATTGAATTATTAAAAGGAGGTACTCATCATTTCACATTCAAAGTTATAACATTCTAAAAAAATTATAAACAGTCTCCTGAAGACTTTGTTGTTGTTATCAGCAGATGCAACAATTGTCTCAACACAAACATCTGAAAAGATTGCATTGGTCTTTGTATATACATGATCATCTTGTACTATCATTAATAATAATGCTTTCTAGGAAGCTTCAGAAAAATAAATACTAATGCATTTATACTCTTTTACAAGAATGCCTTAACTCATGTGCATTATGCCAACCCAAAAACTTGTGAATGAAGTCAAAAACTTGTACTTATCATAGATACTTACACCAGAATATCCCAGAAAATCTATAAGACACGGACTGTATCTTTGCTTATTAATAAAAGAGGAAGCCAGCAGATGTTAACCTAAGTCAACTACTAATTAAAGATTAATCATAAAAGGTGAGCATAGTTTTATCTAGACAGCACAGCACATTCCTTAATTGTTAAAAACTTGACTTAATTTGTGGTTATGTATTTTCACTATCAGAAGAACTGAGATTAGATAAGAGTGTTAGTGAACATGTGTGGCTTTTCCATGCAATCCAAGAAAACTTATCCCAGAAATATTGATCCATAACAGACATATTTAAGATAAAACTTCCAGAGAAGCAACCAATTAGAAAGAGTGATAGTTCTTCTATATTCTTGACTAAAATGAAGATGTATTTCAAAATTTGTTAGTATGCTGTTTAAGCAGACTGGCCAAGACTACTCACTCACTTATGAAAAGATCATATTAGCACTAAGTGGAGAAGCAGTGCTGTGAATTAGGAGGCTCTGTTAGTATATCTTGTATGTTCGTTAACTCTCAGCTGCAGGAAACAGTACCATCCCTAGCAGCAAGCATTTAATATGGGAATGCAAATGCTTACAAATCACTTGAAGGTCTTTTGGCCTAATATTCAGAATCACTCCATGAAGAACTGGCTTGCCAGTGAGCTGCTGTCTTTTTCGGACTTTAATAAAATACCACTGTGGCTATTATCTAGGCACAAGGAAGACACCACTATCAAAACTGTCTCTCAACAACCACTAAGGTAGTGGCTAGACATTAGTCTCTGTTATAGAAAATCTCAACATCACTGTACTTGTCTGCAGCAACAGCTAAAGCAAAGGAAGTATGCCCTTTCCTATGCTTATACCCTCTGAATCTCATATTAAGCATTACACTGGAAAAACCTAATTAATACTAAGAAAACTTGTGCAAGGGCGTCTTGAGAAATGTTTTTAGATACCCAACCTCTGAAAATGATGCAAATGATACTAAGTGCCAACCCACTATGCCAGCACACTGGTATGCTTTTAATTCTTTTCAATATCTGAATTTGTGTGTGCTTATTAGGTAGGCTAACCATACGTTCTGGTTTACTTGTGACAGACCTGATGTACATCTGTTGTCCCAATATAATTATAAATATTACCCTTTTTTGCTCTTAAATGAGTTCTGGTTTGAAAGATAAATTACACTTTCACTTTACCTTCATGTATGTTTATCTTATCCTACAGCATATAGAGAAGAAAATGGAAGAAAGTGTTATTAACTGGTATATGTCTTCTTATTCAATACCGAAAATAAGGCTATGAAGAAATTATTAACATTTTACATTAAAAGATGCAAGGTTTGAAGAAAGTGCTAATTACACCCATCACATAGTAAATAAGTGAGCAAGGATGAATTTAAGTTTAAGCCTGTGTGACTATCGGACATAATTTTAGTTAATTATGTAGATTATAGCTATAATCAATTCTGTGCTGATAAATGTTTCTGTCAAATTTATTATGGATTTCAGGCATTTTTTCATGCATTATTATTTCATTCATTGGTATATTCCACAACCATTAATTGAGTACCTACTATGAACCAGACTATAATCTATACCTTAGGGATAGATATAGTGTTAGACTAAAGAGAGAAAATTCTTATCCCTGTCAAGCTAGCAATCTAGAGAGAGGGAATATATTACAAAGAAGAGAGACAAAATGTGTTAAATGATTTAAAAAGTGCCTAGAGAAAATATAGCATGTAGGTATGATAGGGAGAGGTGTAGGTGAGAGTTGCTATTTAAATTTGAGCAGTCACTGATTAATAGAAATTACACTGGAGATATTACAGAGGTCAAGTTATCATTAAGAGCACTTAGGCAGAAAAATAGAAAATGTAAACTAGGGGTAGAAATAAGTTTTAATCCCAAACCTAGAGAAAGATATCAATATCCAAGTACAAGAAGATTATAGACCACCAAGCAAATTTGGCCCAAAGAAGACTACCTCAAGCATTTAATAATCAAACTCCCAAATGTCAAGGATTAAGAAAGGATCCTAAAAGCAGCAAGAGAAAACAAATAACAGATAATGGGGCTTCAATACATTTGACAGCAGTCTTTTCAGTGGAAACCTTAGAGGCCAGGAAAGAATGGCATGACACATTTAAAATGCTGAAGGAAAAATCTTTTAACCTATAATCGTATACCTGGCAAAAATATTCTTCAAACATGAAAGAGAAATACTTCCCCAGACAAACAAACCTGCTAGATTTCATCAATACCAGACTTGTCCTACAAGAAATGCTAAAGGGAATACTCAATTAGAAAGAAAGGGACATTAATGAGCAATAATGAGTCCTGAAGGTACAAGACTCACAGCTAATAGTAAGTACACAGAAAAACACAGACTATTACAACATTGTAACTATGGTGTGTAAACAACTCTTATCCTAAGTAAAAAGACTAAATGATAAGTCAGGAAAAATAATTACCGCAACAACTTTTCAAGACGCACTCAGTACAATAAATAGAAACAATGAGAAGTTAAAAAGCATTTTTAACTTCTTAAAATTTAGGTGTAGAGTTTTTATTAGTTTTGTTTTTGCTTGTTTATGCAAATAGTATTTATATCAGGTTAAAATTATGGCTTATAAGATAGTATTTGCAAGCCTTATAGTAACCACAAACCAAGAAACTTACAATGGATACACAAAAAATAAAAAGCAAAAACCTGAATTATATCACCAGAGAAAAATCACCTTCATTAGAGGAAGACAGGAAGAAAAGAAAGGAGGAAGAGAAGACCACAAAACAATCAGAAAACCAATAACAAAATGACCAGAGTCCCTACTTATCAATAATAACATTGAATGTAAATAGACTCTCCGATCAATAAACATAGACTATCTGAATAGTTATATAAACAATTGATCTGTAGCCTACAAGAAACACACTTCACCTATAAGGACACACATAGACTGAAAATAAAATATGAAAAAATGTATTCAATGCCAATGAAAACCAATAAAAAGCAGGAATCACTATACTTATATCAGAAAAAATAGATTTCAAAACAAAAACTATAATAAGAGACAAGGTCACTATATAACTAGAAAAGCAACAGCAAAGCAAAACCAAAAACATTAGAAGAAAAAAATAAAGATCAGAGCAGAAATAGATGAAATAAAAAATACAAAAGATCAATGAAACAAAAAGTTTTCTGAAAATTTAAACAAAATTGACAAACGTTTAGCCAGATTAAGAAAAAACAAGGGAAGGTCCAAATATTAAAATGAGAAATGAAAAAGGAAACATTACAACTGATACTGCAGAAATTCAAAGTATCATTAGTGGCTAATATCAGCAACTATATGCCAATAAATTGAAAAATCTAGAATAAATGTTACTAAATACATACAACCTACTAAAATTGAATCAGGAAGAAATCTAAAACCTGAACAGGCCAATAACAAGTAACAAGGTCAAAGCTGTAATAAAAAGTTTCCCTGCAAAGAAAAGCCCGGGACCTGATGCCTTCACTTCTGAATTCTACCAAACATGTAAAGAACTACTACCAATCCTACTTAAACAATTCCCAAAAATAGAGAAGGAAATACTTCCAAATTCATTCTATGAGGCCAGTGTTACCCTGATACCAAAGCCAGAGAAAGACACATGATTGTTATGTAGCTACAGATAAATAATACAGAAGGTAGGTGAAGTCTATATTTCTGATGTCACCACATGTCCTTCTGAGAAAGGAAGAGGAGGGAGAGAGGGAGGCACAAGGTCCAGGGCCTGTGAGAGCAATTCTGCCTATGCATTAGCATTCACCCTCCTATTCGACTATCTTGGACCCAGACTCTCTTTTCCTCCCTTACCACACAGATAGGTCCTCCTCATCCTATTCTTGCCATTTGGAGGATATAATGAAACATACTGGCCACAGAAATAACAATCTTATAAACCATTATAAGAGGTAATCAGGTTACAGGTTTCCTGGCTGGCCCTCAAAAGGTACTCAATATGCCAAACACGGACATGTTTAGACAGCAAGAGAACTGTGACCATTGTATGAGCTGTCTTATGACCCTACCCATAATAAAATAATTTTAATGAAGAAGTATTTAAAATCTGATATATTGGACTTAAACAATGAATAAAAAAACATATTTGAAGAGATAAGTTGGAGACTTGTATTAGTGGTTTTGAGAACTTAATAAAAATTAAAACACCCTCCCCAAAAAGAAATAAAATGACAGGTCAATATATCTGATTAATATTTATGCAAAAATCCTCAATAAAATAGTAGCAAACAAAATTCAACAAAATTCAAACATTAGAAAATTCAAAATTAGAAAGATCATTAATCATGACCAAGTGAGATTTATCTGTGGAATGCGAGGATGGCTGAACATATGCTAATAAAACATGAAACATTATATCAACAGAATAAAGGGTAAAAACTATATGACCATTTCAGTTGATGCTGAAGAATGTCCCTTTATGATAAAAATTCTCAGAAAGCTGGATATAGAAGAAAACGTACCTTAACATAATAAAAGCCATATACGACAGACCCAAAACTAGTATTATACTGAAAGGGGAAAAACTGAAAGCTTTTCCTCTAAGTTCTGGAGCATGACAAGGATGTCCACTCTAACCACTGTTATTCAACATAGTACTGGAAGTCCTAGGTAGAACAATCAGACAAGATAAATATTTAAAGAACATCCAAATTGGAAAGGCATAAGTTAAATTATTCTTATTTGCTGATAATATGATCTTATATTTGGAAAAAACTAAAGACTACACAAGAAAACTATTAGAACGGATAAATTCAGTAAAGTTGCAGGATACAAAATCATTGTACAAAAATCAGTAGCATTTCTATATGCCAACAGTGAAAATGTGAAAAAGAAATAAAAAGGAAATCCTGTTCACAATAGTCACACATAAAATTAAATAACTAGGAATTAACATAACAAAAGAAGAGCTCTATAATGAAAACCATAAAACACTGATGAAATAAAGAGGACACCAAAAAATAGAAAAATATTCCATTTGCATAGATTGGAAGAATCAATATCGTTACAATGTCCATAGTATCCAAAACAATCTACAGATTCAATGCAATCCCTATGAAAATACCAATGATATTCTTTATAGAAATAGAAAATAAGATCCTAAAATGAATATGGAAGTAAAGAAAACTCAGAATAGCCAAAGCTATTCTACGCAAAAAAGAACAAAACTGGAAGAATCACATTAACTTACTTCAAATTATACTACAGATCTATAGTAACCAAAACAGCATGGTACTGGCATAAAAACAGACACATAGACCAGTGGAACAGAACAGAGAACTCAAACACAAATCCAGATACCTACAGTGAACTCATTTTTGACAAAGCTGGCAAGAACATACACTGGGGAAATGACAGTCTCTTCAATAAATGGTGCTGGAAAAACTTGATATCCATATGCAAAAGAATGAAACTAGACTTCTTTCTCTCACCATATACAAAAATTAAAGTGGATTAAAGGCTAAAATCTAAGACCTCAAACTATCTGACAACTGCATGAAAACACTGGGGGAAGTCTCAGGACACTGGTCTGGGCAAAGATTTCTGGAGCAGTACCCCACAAGAAAACCAAAGCAAACGTGAACAAATGGAATCACACCAGATTAAAAAGCTTTTGCACAGCAAAGGATATAATCAACAAAGTGAAGAGACAACCCACAAAATGGGAGAAAATATTTGCAAACTACCTCTCTGACAAGGGATTAATAATGATAATATATAAGAAGCTCAAACAAATTTAGAGGAAAAAAATCTAATAATCCAATCAAAAAACATACAAAAGATTTGAATAGACATTTCTCAAAAGGAAACATAAAAGTGGCAGACAGGCATATAAAAAGATGCTTAGCATCAATGGTCATCAAAGAAATGCTAATCAAAGCTACAATGAGATATCATCTCATCCCAGTTAAAATGGCTTACATCTAAAAACAGGCAATAACAAATGATGATAAGGATGTGGGTAAATGGGGACATTGTACGTTGTTGGTGGGAATGTAAATTAGTAAAATCACTATGGAGAACAGTTTAGAGGTTCCTCAATTAAATAAAAATTGAACAGTCAATAACAAATGACAAGGATTGGAGAAATGGGGACATTGTGCATTGTTGGTGGGAATGTAAATTAATACAATCACTAGGGAGAATAGTTGAGAGGTTCCTCAATTAACTAAAAATTGAGCTACTATATTATCCAGCAATCCCACTGCTGGGTATATACTCAAAATAAAGGAAATCAGCATATCAATGAGATACCTGGACTCTTGTGTTTGTTGTAGCACTGTTTACAATAGCTAAGATTTGGAAGCAACCTAAGTGTCCATCAACAGATGAATAAATCAGAAAAATACGATACATATACACAATGGAGTACTATTTAGCCATAAAAATGAGATCCAATCATTTGCAACAACATGGATAGAACTGGAGCTCATTATGTTGCAATAAGCCAGGCACAGAATGACAAATATCACATGTTCTCATTTATTTGTGGGATCTAAAAATCAAAACAATTGACCTCATTAACATAGAAAGCAGAAGGATAGTTACCAGAGGCTGTGAAGGGTATTGGGGTTTGGGGATGGGAAGTAAGGATGTTTAATGGGTGCCAAAAATTAAAAAGAATGAATAAGACTGACTGTTTGATAGCACAACAAGATGACTACAGTCATTAATAACTTGTGTATTTTAAAATAAAGAATGCAATTGGATTGTAACTCAAAGGATAAATGCTTGAGGGGATGGCTTAAGAAAAATAATTTTGAAGAAGGGCAAGGAAGCTAATTCTGGTGACATGAATGAATGAGGGCATAAATGAGAAGAGATGAGTCTAGAGAGATTATTTGTGTTTATGTTTATAGTGTGTACATGTGGTTTGTGTGTGAGTGTGTTCCTACAGGGAATGTAACATAGACCTGGAAAACCTAAGGTTTTGATTTTGAAGTGAAATAGAAAGTGATCTTACTGATTTAGCATACTGGTATATTTCAGCCAGTGATAGATGTAGATACTCACTGTATCAACTTGGTAAAAGAGCATTAATCAAATATGAACTTTAGGATAAAAATCAGGGGGTTAATATCATGCATATTGTCTAATTAATTTAATGCTCAAATTCATCACCAATATAAATAGGTTAATAAAAATATTATAGTAGGGATTCAAATAATTCATAAATATACTTGCCTGGCACACACTAAATTGCTCAATCAATGAAGGCAGTTATTACTAGCTTAAATGAGGAATAATTTTTAATCAAGTAAGCAGCATACATTGCTAATTGCATTCACTTTGCTGTTTATGAACCAAATAACTAGATTATTAAATATTATACAATATTTAATCATGCATCCATATATGAACATCACTAATCTTAAACATTTTAACATGCTCAAGAGAAGAATCCAGCTGGTTCCAAATATAATGACTAAAACTAATATAATTATAAGATTGAGAGGATTACTTAATTGTAAAATAAATTAGGAAATTGGTGCTAGGGTTAGAAAATGCATTCTAATATTCAGGTGAAGAAATAACTATTGAGTATCTGTGATGTCTGGGGCCCTATGTCAGGTGCTGACACTGCAAATATAAATATTTCATCTTAATATGGAAAGTGATGAACTTGAAGTTTTCACTGGACACTGTGAGCAGAAAAATGTCATCCCTACTTGAATATGGAACTGAAGGCTCTTTGATAGAAGTTTTCTGAGGAGGTGGATCCCAACTCATACTCTCTCTTTTTCTCTCAATATCCTAATGCATAGATATCCATACCATAATTATGGCTGAGAAAAGAAAGAAAGAAAATGGGGTCATTTAGAGGGGTAGGGGAATAGAAAATAGCTAATTTTCATACAGGTTTTTTTTTAGGAAATGAAAAAAAAGTATCTCTAAAGCATAGTTTCTATTCCAAGATTATTCAACGTACCTTGTGTAAGAGTATATAAAGTCTGGTGTCAGTGTAGTTTCTTAAGAGTTTTATCTAAGACAAGTTTGTTGCTTTGAAGATATCTGTTCAAGTTACAGATTCAAGGAAATGTATCTTATGAAATGTGATTAACTTTAGAAGAATATGCAATCAATGAGTTCTGGAATTTGAAAATGATAGCTAATATTCTGAGAGAAAATTATGTCAAAGTCAAGCTATTAGAAAGTTATATAATAAATTCTAACAAGCCAATTTAAACATGCACTTGAGGAACTCTTTTCCAGAACACCTAAATTAAAACAGATATTGCTTCTACCACATTTAGTGAACACATACTAATTGCCAAGGAGCTCTTTACAGAATAGTAAAGAAAGTTCACATTATTGTTGCCCTCATGGAGCCATATTCTAGAATGGTAATGGTGGTGATGTTGGTGGTAGGGAAGTTCTACACGTACAATAAAAATGGGTTACATGTCAGCATCAAAATTACGTCACTAACTAAAATCAAACAGTAAGCATGTTTTGAATGTGTGGGAGTTTATAAAATGAAAAGATTAGTCAGTAAAATGGACTCAATTTCTTTCTCTTTTATAACACTGAACTGTAGGATCATTTACTTCTCTGTCTTAATTTTCTTATAGATACAATTAGAGGAATACACAGCTTTCAGATAACCCCTTTAGTTCAATTGCCTCTCGTATTTTCTAATTGTATTCTGTGTTTAAAAATGCATGTGTTATTATGATCACAAGTAAAACCTTAAATAATTATTTCAAAAATATTAAAATGGCTAAAATTTCTTGTATACTTACCATGAGACAGGATTTATGTTGTTTTCTTTATACATTTCAACAATCTGACAAGTGAGATACTGTTAGGTACTAAAAAGGAAACAGGTGTCGAAGTAACAGGTGACTGCCTTTGCTTTAATAGGGTTTGAAAGTACGCTGGAGGAAAAAAAAACAGACATGTTTTATCTACACAAATTTAAAAAACTAACATCCTAGATTGGATGCAGTTACAAGTATCTATAATTTTGAAAAATCATGCTTTGATTGGTTAAATTAAGAAATACAAAAGCCCCTTGCCCTCAAGGTGTCCGCTATTCTTAGGAAAAAGGGGAAGGAAGGGAAGAAAAGAGAGAAGGGCAGAGTGAGACAGAGAGAGAGAGAGATGATTTGATAATTGATGTGTGCTTCAGGCTCCGTGAAAAAGAGGACAGAACACTGCCTGATTAAGGTTGGGAGAGCCAGTGTTGATGTAACAGAGTGGGCAGATTTTGAGCTGGTTTGTTTAATCATGTGTAATTGAGGCAGACCAGTTAGAAAAAGATTATTGTAGATTAAGAGGACTGTGCATAAAAATACAAAGGTCATATGCAACAGCAGGACACATTTAGAGAAGAGTAAGTAGTTCAGTATGTCTACACAGACATAGGATCCATGTGAGCTAGATGTGGGTGATGCAGATACAAAGATAGGCAGACATGATAGTAAAGAGTGTGTCCTTCAATAGCATCCTTAAAAGATTTTTAGCAATGGAGTGATAAAATCAGGGTTATGTATATTAATAAAATTGTAAGGGAGTAAAGCAGAATTTGAGAGACATATTGGTTATAGAAACCACAGGATTGTATGACTGATTGAGTACAAAAGGAATAGGATGTGAGGGAAAGAAGGGGATGAAGGTTATTCCCAGAATTTGTGGAAGTATTTTCTGAGCAGACACTGCCTGGTTGTGTTGATTTATATATTTTTATTTGTAAACTAAGAATGTTTATACTATTTTGAAATGTATTCCCATTTTTAGTTTAATCTCACACACTCTTCCAGTGCACAAAGCTAATCTTAAAACAATTCTTCAAGTTAAGAAATTCTCTCCATTTTCATGTGAGCAATATGGCAAATTATCCATCCTTGTCCAATGCATATCTAAGTTCAAATGAGTAAAGATAAGATGTGGTTCAAATGCCATCATAAACTACCACAAATTATCGCTTTAAGTTGTTGGAAGGGGCATAATTTTATTGATAAAAGTAAAAGAAATTCTAGACCTAAAATAAAACATGAAGTGAGTTATTTTAAATGGGATTTATAACCATGCATTTAATGTGAACTGCCTTCTTAAAAGGGCTTCTGAAAATTCAGGTAGAAATCTAAGTGCCTAATCTACATTTCATGTCTTTGACCTTAAACTCATAGAAGAACATTTAGCATTCAGCAGTGTGGGGATTGTCTTTGAGTTTTCCTATTCAGATAAAATTAAAACATTTTACAGTTAACTCTCCATTATCCATGCTAAGGTAGGATTAAAGCTTATAATCTATACAATGCATGTGTCCACATGTACATATATAAATACACACATATGCACGTGCACACACATACACACACACAGACACTCACGCATACTGTATTCATAAAGAGTATCCCCTTTATTTCCACTCTATTAAGGATTTTGTTAAAGACTGTATAAGCAATGCTACTGAAACAATTGCAGTACTTTAAATTTCAGTTTTGCCACCTATACAAGGTTTTCTTTAATGCATATTTTAGTGTATGTGTATATATACATTTTTTTCATATATATATACACACTTATGTATACCTCTTTCTTCCTATATATAGTATACTGCTGACAAAAGAGCTTTCATGTTTTATATTCATCTTTGAAATTATCTTATGCCCAGTAGAGTAAATTAATTGTTTACACCAAAACTGGTTTCCTCAATATACCAGTGTAGAAAATATCACTACTATAAAATGTATTTCTACATTAAAAGTATTTTAGAAGAAATGTATTAAAAAATAATGAGCATTAAAACTCAAGGATAAATGGGTATTATTATTCAAATAAAGCTAAGAAAGAGTGATTAAAGTTAAAAGAGGGCAGGCACCGGTAGCTCACTCCTGTAATCCCAGCACTTTGGGAAGCCGAGGTGGGTGGATCACTTGAGGTCAGGAGTTCGAAACCAGCCTGGGCAATATGGGGAAACCCAATCTCTGCTAAAAAATACAAAAGTTAGCTGGGTGTGATGGCATATACCTGTAATTCCAGGTACTTGGGAGTTTGAGGCATGAGAATCGCTTAAACCCAGGAGTTGGAGGATGCGGTGAGCCAAGGTCACGCCACTGCATTCCAGCCTGGATGACAGAGTGAGATTCTGTCTCTGAATAAATAAATAAATTTAAAAGAAAATATTAAGTAAATAACATGGGGGTAATAGATGGACACGGCTATAATTGAAGTAGTTGTATATGAATTAATATTTTGGGGCTTTTACCCTGTGAATCTGATGTCTTAGTCATAAAACCCCATTTGCCTAGACCATTGTCCTGAAGCATACATGTATATTCTTCTAATTCACCAACATAGGTGTCTTTCCATTTGTTTTATTCCCCCGCCACTTTTTCACCTCCTTGATTAAAGTTATTCATTACATATTTTTGAGCCATTTTAAATGGATGCGCTTTTTTAGTTTAATTTTTCAGCTAGTTTTTAACTCATTTTGAGCTGATTTTTGTACAAGGTGAGGAGTCGGGGTCCATGTTCATTCTTAGGACATTTGAAATAGTACATTTGAACAAGTCTTATTAGACAAAAAAATTGAATCTAAAAGGATTTGAGACTCTCATACCTTTCTGAATGTCTAAAATACGTAAAATTTTTAAAATTTATTTTTAATTGACAAATATTATATATTTGTGTTGTGCAGCATGACATTTAAATATATGTATACATTGTCAAATGACCTAAAGCTAATTACATATGCACTACTTCACTACTTGTCTTTTTTGTGGTGAGAACACATAAAATCTACTCTTTTAGCTATTTTCAATTGTACAACGTATTAACTATTGTCATTGTTAGTTACAATAGGTCTCTTGAATGTATTCATCCTGTTTCATTGAAATTTTATGACTTTTGGTCAGCATTTCCCCAGCCTTTGCTTGCACCCTCAACTTCTAATAATCACCATCATACTCTCTGCTACAATGAGTTCAACTTTTTTAGATTCTATATATAAGTGAGATAATGTATTTATCTTTTTATGCTTTGTTTATTTTACTTAACAGAATGCCCTCCAGGTTCATCCATATTGTCTTAGATAGTCTTAGGTAGTAGGATTTCTATCTTTCTTAAAGCTGAATAGTATTCCATTGTGTATGTTTACACCACGTTTTTGTAATCCCTTCATCGATTGCCAGTCATGTAAGTTAATTTTCTATTTTGGATATTATAAATAGTGCTGCAATAAAAATAGAGCTTCACATATCTCTTTGATATACTGGTTTTCTTTTCTTTGGATAAATACCCAGAAGTAGAATTGCCCAATTTTTGGTACTTCTATTTTTAGTGTTTTGAGAAATATCAGTACTGTTTTTCCGTAATGGCTGTGATAATTAACACTCATAGCAACAGAGTCTAAGAGTTCCCTTTACATCTTCACCAACATTTAATTTGGGGTATTTTTGTCTTTTTGATAAAAGACAATTCCCCAGCCATTCTAACTGGGGAGAGATGATATCATATCAAGGTTTTGATTTGCATTTCTCTGATGATAAGTGATGTCAAACTTTTTAAATATACCCATTGACAATTTGTATTGAGAAAGCTCTACGGATATCCTTTGCCAACTTTTTAATGGGGTTATTTGGTTTTCTGCTGTGGAGATGTTAAATTCCCTGTAAATTTTGGATATTAGTTCTTTGTCAGAAGAATACTTTGCAAATATTTTCTCCCATTCAACCAATTGTTTCTTTAATCTGTTTAATGTTTTCTTTTGCTGTGCAAAGGTTTTCAGTATAATATAGTGTTATTTTTCTATTTGGAGGCTTTTACCCTATGAATCTGATGTCTTAGTCATAAAACCTTTGCCTAGACTATTCTCCTGAAGAATATATATATATATTCTTCTAATTCACAAACAAAGGTGTCTTTCTATTTGTTTTATTCCCCCCGCCCATTTTTTCACCTCCTTGGTTAAATTTATTCATGTACATATTTTTGAGCTATTTTAAATGGAAGCGCCTTTTTAGTTTAATTTTTTTCAGCTAGTTTTTAATTCATTTTGAGCTGATTTTTGTATAAGCTGAGGAGTTGGGTTCTATGTTAATTCTTCCACATATGGATTTCCCGTTTTCCCAGCACAGTTTATTGAAAAGGGCATCTTTCTCCCAATGAATGTTCTTGGTGCCTTTGTTAAAAATCAGTTGTCTGTATATACGTAAATTTATTTCCAAGTTCTCTATGCTTTTTCATCAGTCTATGTTTCTGTTTTTATACCAATACCATGCTGTTTTGGTTACCATAGCTTTGTAGTATCTTCTGAAGTCAAGTAGTGTGATACTTTGAGCTTTGTTCTTTCTGTTCAGGATTGCTTTGGCTATTTAGAGTCTGTATTAGGGTTCTCTAGAGGGAGAGAACTAACAGGATATATATATATATATATATATGAAGGGGAGTTTAAGGAATATTGACTCACATGATCACAAAGTGAAGTCCCACAATAGGCCATCTGCAAGCTGAGGAGCAAGGAAGCCAATCTGTGTCTCAAAACCTCAAAAGTAGGGAATCGAACAGGGCAGCTTTCAGTCTGTGAGCCTCTGGCAGACCACTAGTGTAAGTCCAAGAGTGCATAAGGGGAATAACTTGGAGTCTGATGTTCGAGGGCAGAAGCATCCAGTATAGGAGAAAGATAAAGGCCAGAAAACTCAGCAAATCTGCTCTTTCCACCTTCCTCTACCTGCTTTATTCTAATCAAGCTGGCAGCTTATTAGATGGTGCCCACTCAGATTGAGGGTGGGTCTGCCTCTCCCAGTCCACTGACTCAAATGTTAATCTCCTTTGGCAACACCCTCACAGACAAACCCAGGAACAATGCTTTGTATTCTTCAATCCAATCAAATTGACAACTAGTATTCATCATCACAAGTCCACCCCTTGTCAACGTGAACCCATATACATCTCCTGACATCAAGCATAATCTTCAAATAAAGAGAATAATAAGTTCTTAATTACACCTAACATAATACAGCTATCCTTTGTCGACCAGAAGCACACTAATCTTTAACCTAAGTGCTGTTACATAAAGTTAACAACACTGAAATGCTGATATGAAGTCAATAAATCAGAAAAAGAAAGGAAATAAAATGAAGACATTTTCCTTGTACAAGTGTGTACATGCACAAACATGTCCTTAACAAAATAAGGAAGAAATACTCATGACAATCACAGTCCTCATTTCTGCAACTGGTCACGTGGTTGTAGCTGGTATTGATGACCACCTTCTTCTACCCATTCTGTATTCCCATTGCCTTCAGCAAGCACCTCAGCACATCGTGGTTTTTACCTGGTGGAGTGACCCAACCCTTCATTTCTGAAGTGTCTGGGTCATCTGTAGTCCTGCCTGGAGTGGGCTGTTGTAATTTCCCATTGACCTTAATCACAGGGCATGGTAATTCTAAGAGATGCCCTAAGGGATCTCCTGTATTCCACTGATACTCTTCCTTATCCTAATTGTTGAGTAGTAGACTGATTTCATCTTGATAATCCAGGTCAGTCATCCTAGCCAACACTGTAACTCTTTTCTTAGCCTATTGACTTAGAGGTGAGAGGAGCCCAAAGTGGCCAGGTGGCAATCTTAACTTCCTGTTTAATGAAGTCATTGTTGTGTCTCCTGGTGTCAGCATTTCTTCCTCTGATAACATGACTTCTAGGCCAGCAGAACGTAATGTCACAGGAACAGGAAACAAAAAAATTGCTACTGAGTCACCAGGGGTGATGGTGATTGGTGTCACTTCGACTTCTACCCCTTGATTCATGGACCTGTGAATCCTGGCTATGGGAGAAACAGTACCATATATTGGATACTGATTCAGAACACACACAGCCTCCTGGAGTACTTTGCCACAGCCCTGCAAAGTATTGTTACCTAGTTGACATTGTAATTTGATTTCAAAAGGGTATTCCACTCTTGTATTAATCCAGCTGCTTCAGGATGATAGGGAACATGGTAAGACCAGTGAATTCCATGAGCGTGAGCCCACTGCCACACTTCTTTAGCCATAAAGTAATTGCTTTGGTCAGAGTCAATGCTATGTGAAATACCATGATGGAGGATAAAGCATTCTGTGATTCCATGGATGGTAGTCTTGGAAGAAACATTGCTTGCAGGATAGGTGTATTAGTTAGGGTTCTCTAGAGGGCCAGAACTAGTGGAATATATATATATATATATACACACACACACAGATACATTGTATACATATGTATGTATATATACATATAATACATATATAATACATATAATATATACATATATGTATTATACATACATATACATACCTATATACATTTATGTATATATAATACATATATACATATATAATACAATAATACATATAATACATATATATACATATACATATATATATATATATATATATATATATATATATATATATATATGTATATGAGTTTACTAAGTATTAACTCACATGATCACAAAGTCCCACAAGAGGCCATCTGCAGGCTGAGGAGCAAGGAGAGCCAGTCTGAGTTCCAAAACTGAAGAACTTGGAGTCCAATGTTCAAGGGCAGGGAGCATCCACCACGGGAGAAAGATGTAGGCTGGGAGGCCAGTCCAAGTCTCTCTTTTCATATTTTGCTGCTTGCTTTTATACTCTAGCTGTGCTGGCAGCGGATTAGATTGTGCCCACCCAGGTTAAGGGTGGGTCTCCCTTTCCCAGCCCACTGACTAAAATGTTAATCTCCTTTGGCAACACCATCACAGACACACCCACAATCAATACTTTGTATCCTTCAATCCAATCAAGTTGACACTCAGTATTAACCATCACAATAGACAAACCCAAATCCGAAGTAACTGTCTATTCAGGTGAGGACAAACTGCTGCCCTTTCCGTGATAGAAGAGATCCAATATAATCAACTTGTCGCCAAGTAGCTGGCTGATCACCCCAAGATAGGGTGCCATATTGAGGGCTCAGTGCTGCTGTCTGCTGCTGGCAAATTGGGCACTCAGCGGTAGCTGTAGCCAGGTCAGCCTTGGTGAGTGGAAGTCCATGTTGCTGACCCCATGAGTAACCTCTACCCCTGCCCCCATGGCCACTTTGTTCTTGGGCCCACTGGGCAATGACAAGGGTGGCTGGGAAAGAGGCTAAGTGGTGTCCACAGAACAAGTCATCCTATCCATTTGATTATTAAAATTCTCCTCTGCTGAGGTCACTGTTGGTGAGCACTCACATGGGATACAAATGTCTTCACAGTTTTTGACCACTCAGAGAGGTCCATCCACATCCCTCTTCCCCAAATTTATTTGTCACCAATTCTCTAATCATGCTTTTTCTAAGTCCCTGGGCATCCAGCCACGCCATTGGGTACAGCCCATAAATCAGTATATAATCACACATCTGGCCATTTCTCCATCCATGCAAAGTGCACAACCAGGTGCACTGCTTGAAGTTCTCCCCACTGGAAAGACTTCTCTTTGCCACTGACCTTCAGGGATGTCCTAGAAATGGGCTGTAGTGCTGCAGCTGCCCACTTTCAGGTAATGCCTGCATACCTTGCAGAACCATCTGTAAACCAGGCCCTAGTCTTTCCTTCCTCTGTCAACTGATCATAGGGAACTTCCCATGAGGCCATCAGTGCAGGCTGGGAGAGAGAAGGCAGGGTGGTAGGAGTGGGGACCATGGGCATTTGAGCCACTTCTTCATGTAATTTGTGACGTCAGGACCTGCTTGAGCCTGATCACATATATACCACTTCAACTTGATGATGAAATGCTGCTGTGCACACCCAACTTTATGGCTAGATGGGACAGAAAGCACCCACTTAATGATAGGCAGTTCAGGTCACATGGTGACTTTGATGACCCATATTCATATGTTCAGTTTCTACCAAAGCGCAGTAACAGGCCAAGAGCTGTCTCTCAAGAAGAGAGTAGTTATCTGCAGAAGATAGTAGGACCTTGTTCCAAAATCCCAGAGGCCTCTGCTGTAATTCACCTATGGGGGCCTGCCAAAGGCTACAAACAGCATCCCTCTCTGCCCCTGACACCTCAAGAACCATTGGATCTGCTGAGTCATATGGCCCAAGTGGCAGAGCAGCTTGCACAGCAGCCTGGACCTGTTGCAGAGCCTTCTCCTGTTCTAGACCCAACTCAAAACTGGCAGCCTTTCAGGTCACTGGATAAATGGGCCAGAATAACACACACAAATGAGGCATGTGTTGCCTCCAAAATTCAAACAGGCCCACTAGGCATTGTGAATCTTTCTTGATTGTACGAGGGGCAAATACAGCAACTTATCTTTCACCTTAGAAGGAATATCTCAACAGGCCCTACACCACTGGATCCCCAGAAATTTTACTAAGGTAGAAGTTCCCCGAATTTTAGTCGGATTTATTTTCCATCCCATTGCATGCAAATGTATCACCAATAAGTCCAGTGTGTTTGCTACTTATTGTTACTGGACCCAATCAGCATAATGCCATCAATGTAATGGACCAGTGTGATATCTTGTGGAAGGGAAGAATGACCAAGGTCACTCCAAACAAGATTATGACACAAAGCCAGAGAGTTGATATACCCCTGAGGTACAACAGTGAAGGTATATTGCTGGCCTTGCCAGCTGAAGGAAAATTGCTTCTGGTGGGCTTTATAGACAGGAATAGAAAAAAAAAAAGGGATTTGCCAAATCAATGGTTGCATACCAGAAAATGTGTTAATTTGATCAAAAATGAAACTACTGCTACAGCAGCTGCAATTGGAGTTACTACCTGGTTAAGCTTACTATAATCCACTGTCATTCTCCAAGATTCATCTTTCTTCTGCACAGGCCAAATAGGAGAGTTGAATGGGGATATGGCGGGAATCACCACCCCTGCATCTTTCAAGTCTTTGATGGTGGCACTAATCTCTTCAATCTCTCCACAGATATGATACTATTTTTGATTTACTATTTTTCTAGGTAGAGGCAGCTCTACTGGATTCCATTTGGCCTTTCCCACCATAATAGTCCTCACTCTACCAGCCAGGGAACCAATGTGGGGATTCTGCCAGCTGCTAAGTATGTCAGTGCCAATTATGCATTCTGGCACTGGGGAAATGACCACAGGATGAGTCCAGGAACACACTGGACCCACTGTAAGTCAGACCTCAGCTAAAACTCCATTAATTACCTGACCTCCATAAGCCCCTACTTTAACTGGAGGACCACAATAACCTTTTGGGTCCCCTGGAGTCAATAACTTAGAGCCAGTGTCCAGTAGTTCCCAAAAGGTCTGATCATTCCCCTATCCCCAAAGCACAGTTACCCTGGTAAAAGACCAGAGGTCTCCTTGGGGAAGGATGGGAGAAAGATTAACAGAATAACTTTTCAGTAGTGTAATTGGGTCCTTCCTCAAGGGGACCCAGCCTCCCCTTTATTTAAGGTTCTGGGCCTGTAAACTGGTTCAAGTTTGAAAATTGATTTAGGAGCCATGATTCTCTATTTTTATAATTCAAATTAGTCTTTGGTCCACTCAACCTGGAATTTTTCTGCTTATACAAATTCTGTAAGAATGCAGTAGGCTTCTTATCAATTTCACTTCTAGGAACACTGTGATTAATTAGCCCATGCCAGAGCTCTACATTCTGATTGCTGCTTTGCCTCTGCTGTCCATTAGGGTAAGTGTGCCCACCTTGCCTTTGACAGTTGAGTGTCACCAGTTGGCTCCTGCCACTTTGGGATCCAATTATTCCCATTGCATTTAAATTTTCCAATTGAGTGACTATGGTTCCCACTGTTAGATCTGGCATGCAGAGAACAGAAATCACAGAACTCTTCAGGGATGCAAGTGTTCCCCTCACAAATCTGTTTCACAAGGTATTGGTGAAGGGTATGTCTTCTGGACCATCCCAGTTGGGATGAGTAGGTCTAAAGTGACTAATCCTCTCCAGCACCCCAATCTCCCTAAGCCTTTGGATCCCTCCCTCTACTGTAAACCAAGGGAGATCAGGCATTTCCAGCTCACTCAAAATGGGCCATCTTTTTATCCATGTTTCAGCCAACCAAGTATATAAACTATTAGGACCTTTTTAAACTCCCCTAGCTGGAACATTAAATGCAGAATCCCTGGTTAGGCCCATATCAATAAATTCAATTTGATGCAACTTTATGTTCTTTCTACCATTATCCCACACCCTTAATATCCATTCCTATGGGTGTTCTCCAGATTTCTGCTTATATAAATTAGAAAACTCAAGCAGTTGTTTTGGAGTGTAGTGCACCTCCTCATGGGTCACACTCTGAACCTCACCTCTAGGGGCCTGCAGGACTTTAGTTATAGGTCTAGAAGCAAACAGAGGTGTTGGGGATGGGTTCTGAGGAGAATCAGCATTGTCTTGCCTGGAAATTGCCTCTGGGGAGGTCATTTGCCCCAGACAAATCAGGGTTAATCTCCTCAGACAAAGGTGTAAAGGCTGGTGGTAGCATGGGTAGGGGAGGGGATGTTGCCACTACTAGGAGTGAGGAGGCTTTTTCCTCTGGCAAAAAAAGCCTCCTCAGAATTTAGGAGCTCAGCGCCCCCAGCATCATCAGCATCCTCCCACCTGTCCCAATTCCAAGTGGCAGGGTCCCATTCTTTTCCAACCAGTGCCCTCACTTTAACAGTAGACACCTGGCAAGGCTGAGAGTGCACCTTTCCTTGCAGGACAGCCACTCACATAAGAGCTTGTGTCTGATTTTCTGCAATTTCAGCCTTTTGTCTACAGGAGATAAAATTCCCACTCAGAACAGTCTTAGAAGATTTGAGGCTCAGAGTGTGCTTCTGAAGCTGAGAGTTAGAAACCCTGAGAATTTCATTTTCTTTCATCACTTTGTCCAGTGAACTTAGAGCAGCCAACCAATGTCATTATATTCGTTGGTTCTCCACATGTGGTGAAAGGTATATGTATAGAGTCACTAAACTCCTTGCCTCTCAAGAGCAGTGAATCAGGAGTATCAAATGTGTATTTATTTTGCACAACTCTCTAAACAGTTCATGCCCAGGACTATCAGTGTTCTCTATACTTTTAGAAGTAGAGTCCTTAGCATTTTGGAGTCTAGTAAGATAAAGCAGCCAACTCCAGAAATGCCAAAGCAACTAAAGAAATCCATATTTAAAAGTTGGTTTCTCTAGAAACACGCCTGGTACCAAAATCTGTATTAGTCAGGGTTTTCTAGAGGGACAGATCTAATAGGATAGATGTATATATGAAGGGGAATTTATTGAGGAGCATTGACTCACAGGATCACAAGGTGAAGTCCCACAATAGGCCACCTACAATCTGAGTATCAAGCAAGCCAGCCTCAGTCCCAAAATCTCAAAATTAGAAATACTATGAGTGGAGCCTTCAATCTGGGTCTGAAGACCTGAGAGCCCCTGGAAAACCACTGGTATAAGTTCAAGAGTCCAAAAGGTGAATAACTTGGAGTCTGATGTACAAGGGCAGGAAACATCCAGCATGGGGGAAAGATGAAGGCTGGAAAACTCAGCATGTCTGCTCTTTCCACCTTCTTCTGCCTGCTTTATTCTAATTATGCTGGCAGCTGATTAGACTGAGGGTGGGTCTGCCTCTCTCAGTTCACTGACTCTATTTTAATCTCCTTTGGCAACAACCTCTCAGACACACCCAGGAACAATACTTTGCATCCTTCAATTCAGTCAAGTTGACACTCAGTATTAACGATCACAGGGTCTTTTGTGGTTCCATATGAGTTATAGGATAATTTTTTTTATTTCTGATAAAAATGTCATGAGTATTTTGACAGAAATCTCATTTACTCTGTTGATTGTTTTGTGTAATATGTTTTTTAACAATATATATTCTTCCAGTTCATGAGCATGAGGTATCTCTGATTTCTTTCACCTCCTTGGTTAAATTTATTCATAAGCATATTTTTGAACTACTTTAAATGAAAGTGCTTTTTTAGTTTCTTTTTCAGCTACTTATTGGTGTATAGAAATGCTACTGATTTTTGTATGTTGGTTTTGTATCCTGAAACTTTACTGTATTCACTGATCCATTCTAATAGTTTGTGTTTTCTTTAGTAGAGTCTTCAGGTTTATCTTTATATAAGATTTTGTTTTCTGCAAAGAAGTACAATTTTACTTCCTTTTTTCCAGTTTTGTTATGTTTTATTTCTTTCTCTGATCTAATTGCTCTGAATAGTACTTTCAGTAAGTAATATGTTTAATACAACTGGTGAAATTGGGATTTCTTTTCTTGTTCCAGTTATTATAAAAAATGTGTTCAGCTTTTCCCAGTTCAGTATAATATTAGCTGTGGGCTTGTCATACATGACTTTTTGGATGTAGAGGCATGCATCTTCTATGCTGAATTTGCCCAGAAACTTTATCATGAAAGAATATTGAGGTTTATCAAATGTTTTGTCTACATCTATTGAGATGGTCATATGGCTTTGTGGTTTTGTCCTTTATTAATGTGATATATTACGTTTGTTGATTTGTGTATGTTGAACCATCCTTGAATTCGTGGAACCAACCTCACTTGATCATGGTGTATTTTTTTTTGATGTGTTATTGGACTAAACTTGCTAGTATTTTGTTGAGGATTTTGGCATCTATGTTCATGAGGGTCATTGGCTTGTAATTTTCATTTTTATTACTGTATCTTTGTCTAGTTTTGGTATCATGGTAATGCCAGCCTCATAGATGAGACAGAAAGAATTCTCTCATCTTCAATTTGTTGGCAAAGTCTGAAAAAAATTGATGTTATCTCTCCTTTATAAGCTTGGTACAATTTATCAAGCTATTTAGTACTATAATTTTGTTTTTTGAAGATGTTGTCAATGTTGTAATTTATTATTTATCTGTTCAATTTTTTTTTAATTCTCCCTGATTTAATCTTGGTAGGTTTTATGTGTCCAGCAACTTGTCCATTTTCTCTTTTGGTCTTCCCATTTGTTAGTTTGTAGCTGTTCATAACAGTTTCTATTGACCCTTGGGATATCTGTGATTTAAAGTCTCTTTATTTCTGATTTTATTTACTTGGGCCTTCTCCCTTATTTTCTTGGTTAGTCTAGCTAGAAGTTTCTTGGTTTCATTTATCTTAAAAACACACACACAACAACAACAACTATTTATTTCACTGATTCTTTGTATGTTTCTTTATTCTCTAATTTAGTTTTGCTCTGATATTTTTTAAATCTTTCCTTCTAACAATTTTGGTTTTGTTTTGTTCTTGCTTTTCTTGTTTTTTGAGATACATCATTAGATTGTTTATTTAAAATTTATCCTTTTTGATGTAGGCATTTATTCTTATAAAAGTCCCTTTGAGCACTGCTTTTGCTATATGCCATAGGTTTTTGGTATGCTGTGTTTTCATTTTTTATTTGTTTTGGTTTTGGTTTTTCATCTTAATTTCTTCATTAACCCATTGGTTGTTCAAGAGCATGTTGTTGAATTTCTATGTATTTCTACAGTTTTTAAAGTTTTTCTTGTTATTGATTTCTAGTTTCATTCCATTGTGATCTGGGAAGATTATTTGATATGATTTTGGTATCTTTATGTTTTTTTGTGGACTAATATGTGGTCTATCCTAGAGAATGTTCCGTGTGCTAATAAGAATATGTCTTCTGTGGCTGTTGAATTAAATCTTCTCTAAATGTCTGTTAGATCCATTTGTTGTAAAATGCAGTTTAAAGCTGATGTTTCTGCATTAATATTTTGCATACCTAATCTGTTCAATGCTGAGAGAAGAGTGTTGAAGTTCTGAGTATTGTAGTATTAGATTCTCTCTCTCCCTTTAGATCTAACAATATTTGTTTTGTATATCTGGGTGCTCCAGTATTATATTCTATTCCTGAATTGATTCCATTATTATTATATGATAATCTTTTTCTTTTTTTTCTACAGTTTTTGACTTAAAGTCTGTTCTGTCTGACACAAATATAGGTATGCCTGCTCACATTTGGTTTCCAATTGCATAGACTGTCTGTAGTCTTTTATTTTTAGTGAAGTGAGTTTCTTATAGTTGACATGTAGTTGGCGCATTGTTTTTTATCCATTCTGTTTATATTTTTAAGTGAAAAATTGGATTTGTTTACAGTCTACATTATTACTGATAAATGAGAATTATTTATATTATTTTGTTAATTGTTTTCTCATTGTTTTGTGTAGCTTTTGTTACTTTCTAATTATCATCATGGTTTGATATTTTTCTGTAGTGGTAATGTTTGACTCCTTTCTATTTCTCATTTGTGTATCTGCTCTATGAGTGAGTTTTACACTTCCATGTGTTTTGATAATTGTAGATACTGTCATTTAACTTTCAGATATAGGACTCACTTATGCATTTCCTATAGGACTGGTTTAGTGATGATGACTTTTCTGTTTTTGTTTGTCTGGGAAAAATTTTATTTCTTCTTGATTTTTGAAGGACGGCTTTTCTTTGCTATGTAAAATATGCTTGGCTGACATTTAGTTTAGTTTTGTTTGTTTGTGTTTTGCTTGGTTATATGTGACTTCATGCTTTTCTCTTGCTGTTATTATAACTTTTTCTTTGTCCTTGACTTTTCTCCATTTGACTATAATGTGCTTTGGGGATTACTTTTTGTGTTAAATCTATTTGGGAATCTTTGAGCTTCATAAATGTAGATATCAATATCACTTGTAAGACTTGAAATGTTTTTAAACTATTATTCTGTTAAATGAACTTTCCATGTTTTTGCCTATCTCCTCGCTCTGAAACTCCCAGACTCAAATATTTTATCACTTTATGATGTCATATATGTCATATAAGCAGGCTTCATCTTTCTTTTATTTTCTTTTGTCTGATGGTGTTATTAAAAAACTTTTCAAGTTCAGAATTTTTTTGTGATTGATCTAGTTTATTGTTGTAGCTCTTCATTGTATTTTTAAATTTTCATTTAATAAATTCTTAATTTCCAGGATTTCTATTTGGTTGCTTTTTATTACATCTATATCTTTATTTAATTTTTTATTCAGCTTAGAATTTTTTTCTGATTTCTTTGTATGGTTTATCTGTGTTCTTTTGTAACTCACTGAGTTTCCTTAATATGATTATTATTTTTCAGGTAATTCATATATTTCCTTTCCATTAGGATCTGTTACTGAAGCACTATTATGTTTCTTTGGAGTTGTCATGTTTCCTTGCTTTTTCATGTTCCTGTGTCCTTATGTTGATACCAATGGTGAAATAGTCACTGTTTCCCAATTTAATGGATTGGCCTTCTTAGAGAAACACTTTTTCATACAGATATATTTATAGTGTTTGTTTACTACAGTGTTTTGGCTTTGATTCTGAGCAGGTACTGTTATGTAGTCTCCATATAATTATTTGTTGGTAATCAGCATCAGTGGTGTCCATGACTTCCTCATGACTTAGGCTGTGGTTTTTAGTGAAGGATTGGTGAAGCTTTTCTAAGAATAGGGACATCAGGTGGGCCAGTCCTCAGGCACCATGGTGGTGGTATTCATTGGAGCATACTTATCCAGAGGGCCCAGATAATGTGCATGGGTATCAGCAGTTCTGGGAATAGCAGGCTTGTCCTCAGACCACTAGATGTTATCTGCAGGCATCACTGGTGACTGGCAGGGTTGGCTGAACCCCAGGACCCCAAGCGACTTGTACAGGCACCAATGGTGGGTGAGGCAGGCCTTTCCCAAAAATATTTTATTATTGTGGTCAACAGAAATTCATGGATCAAAGTTATTATTTATTTATTTCTCCTGAGGATAACTCTGCTGCTTTTAGATACAAAATGTTTATAGCAAGATACTCTAACTTCCAAATTTTTAACATGAAATAATTTACTGAGAAATATCTAGAGAACAAAAATAGATAAATATCAAAAGTGTATACCTTATTTCTATAAAAACAATGAAGAAAATTGCCTAAAAATTAATGGAAATATTCTTACTGAATCTCTCAAAACTGATGTTTTTACATTTTTTCCTCCTTTCACTCTTCTTATATTTTCATGAGTCTTTCTTCAGTTTTCTCTTTATCTATCAACATAATAGCTTTCTTCTTAAAAAAATAGTCGAATAAAATCAACTGAAAATTTGGAAATAATAAAGGTCTTATAATATTAATGTAACGTGCAACATTTGTAACTGAATAGTTGAGCTTTACTTATTTTTCTGCAGTATTCATTCATTAGGAAATGGCCAGGTAGTTCAGAAAATGCCATCTTCATTAAGAGTATAAATATTGTTTCTAGTACATGCAGTGACTTAAAAGAAAAACAATGGGTTTATTTAACATTTTAAAATTATGACAAACTAAAACCCTATACTTAATGCATATTAAAGGAAAAAATATCAGCAATAATTACTGCATGCATTACGGCTTTTTAAAAATTCAGATATGTAAGCCTCATTTTGGGTATAGATAAAACAAAAACAGTAAAAATGCCATCTAGTAATGTCAAGGGAATCCTGGAAGAATATTTACACAAAAACCCTAAACATTGACTATCTTTCCAGTCTTTAGGATGCTGTTGTTTGCTGCAGCTCTTTTGGTAGAGCAAAAATGTAAAAGATCAGGTAACAGGTAAAATCACCTGTTAACATATTTTAGTTAAGTATATGTGAAGTAAGTTATAGGTCTCCATGTTGAAAAGTTTCTTGAAAGCAAGACTATAGTTTTTATAAATAAATGTTTAACTTAAAACAAATATTAAGTTTTATTCTTGCAGTTCTATATCATACCTTCCTTCCTTCATTAAAAAATACTATACATTACTTATATTTACCCCTCATCTTTAAGTATTTTTAAAGTCTAATTATTTAACAATGGTCACTCAAGTCTCGCTAAGTGGTTAGCAGAGCAACATCCACATTTAAAAATGCAATAATAAAAATGCAATAATAATTTCTTGAAGAGCAAGTTTGTTGTCTTTATATGTAACAAAAAGAATTATAGACTTGAGAAAATATCAGTTCTACATATTACATGCATAGGCATCGTGTATATCTCCGCTGAAATATATCTTCCAGTAGTTCAAATATCCCATTTATATTTATATTGTTGAAGTGATCAGACCCAACACCAGGTCATGGGGGTGATGAAGTCAGGGGGAGTCAAAGGAATCAGAAAAGACAGTTTGAGAGAGAAAAGCAGGTCCAGGGGGCCATCATGAGTGTGGAGGCTGCGAAGGCCCCAAGCTCTGGAAGCCCAGACTATTTATTGGTGATCAAACAAAGAAACAGGTGGTGAGAATGTGGGGGTCAAAAGGGCGCTCTGCATTAAGCATATGATTTACAGCTGTGATGGTTTAGCATTTGCTCTGTTACTTGAGATAATGGAGAGCAGGTTCTTTTAACTCAAGATACAATCGATCCTGGGACAGCAAGGAGCAAGGATTCCATTCCAGAGCCACGAGCCCTGGATTCTATCCAAGCCATGAGGGGTTTTATGCCCTGGGCTTAGATTATGGTGCGTCAGGGTAGCCTTCCACCCTTTAGCACAGAGCTTGGTGTTCCAAAGTCCACAAAGGGTTTTAGACCCTGGACCCCGGACATGTTCCAAGACTCTTTTACATTATGTCAGACATGAAAGCCCTGCCTCAGCTTCTCCCAATACTCAGCTTTTCCCAACATATATAAAATGTCCCATTTGTATTTAATTCTAATTGATTGAAACAATAATCTTTAAAATTAATACAGTATCATTTCAGGACAATTACTGTCTTTTTTTGGACACTGTGGTATACAGAAAAATGGTACACTAAATATGTCCCCATTCCAGTCTCCTGAACTGTGAATATGTTACTTTAAATACCAAAAGGTACTTTGCAGAGATCATAAAATTAAAGATCCTGAAATGGGGGTGTTTATCTAGTATTATCCATATAGGCCCAATTAAGTCACCAAGCCCCTTAAAAGGAAAAGGAGGCAGGAGTGTCAGATGAAAATATGGCTATCTAAGTACAGGTCAGAGAGAGAAAGAAAATAAATAAAAGATTTAAAGTTGTTATGCTGCTGGCTTTGAAGACAGAGGAGGGGGCCATAAGCTAAGGAATTCGGGTTACCTCCAGAAGCAGGAAAAAGCAAAGAAATGAATTCTCCTCTAGAACTTCCAGAAGGAATACAGCCCTGTGGAAACCTAGATTTCCAACATAGTAAGACTCATTTCAGACTCCTGATCTCCAAAATGTAAGATAACAAATTTATGTTGTTTTAAACCAGAGTTTCTGGCAATTTGTTATAGCAGCAATAGAAAGCTAATATAGAAATGGTGAGTTTCAGTTGGAGGCCTAATAGAGATATCTGGCAGTAAGAAAGAGAAAATGAGTCTAGTGATATGATTTGGTGGTTGCAATAACATAGTGATTGTTGAAACTACATGTATTGATGAGATCTTTCTTATGAATAATATGTAAGTTGAAGACAAAATAGGAGCACCTGGAAGTCCTGGAAGTATCCACAATTAACAGAAGAAGGATCTTGGGGAAACAGAAGAGGATCTTGTGAAAAGGATACACAGACTAGTATGGTAGTGAAAAGCAGCAAAGCTGGGCAATATGGTAGACAAAAAATGAGTTAATTTCAAATAGAAGGAAGTAGCAAATAATGACAAGTGTACCTAAAAGTGAATCAGGGTTTGAAGATGGTTTATTTTATTTAATAATAGAGCACTAGTGACCTCATTCAGAGAAATTTCAGTGGCATGTCAGGGATAGAGAGCATGCAGCAGTGGGTCAAGTGGTGAACTAAAGATCAGTGGTGAAGACCAAGTGTTTTTGACTTTTAAGAAATATGAGAAATGTAAATACTTAACAGAAAGGGACATGAGAGTGCCTGAACACGTGTGTGTGTGTGTGTGTGTGTGTGTATGTATGTGTATGTGTTTACGTGCTGTGTGTTTTTAATATAGGAGAACTTTGGGCATATTGAAGGTAAAGAGAGGTTGAAAACTATGAAAAAAAAGGAAGAAACAAACATAAGGTCTCTGAGATATGAGTTTCATTAAATAGGAGGACTATTTCTATGATGAAATGGAAGGAAGAGATAAAGCATGGTTATAAATTGGAAGCATTTATAAATGGGTAGGAGACCAAGAAGTTCTGGAAATTTCTGACTTTCTCAATTAATTTGTAAACTCAGAGGCAGGTATTCATATATTTATGCTTAGATGAGTGAAGTAGTAAAGGATGGCACAACTGAAAGTCAAGCTTCCAATTACAATTTCTAAAAATGGGCCTAATAGCAATGATTTAGCATTTGAGAGAGCTAGCTTTATGTCACTGTATTCTTAAAGTCTTTGTGCTATATGGGAAGAGAAAAAACGTGTAGTCATGTGTTCAAGCAAGCTATAGGTAAACTGGTGTCATCAGGAAGAAGCATGTTTTCAGGTAAAACAAATGATTGGAGGGTGCAAATTTAAAGATAAACGATTATAGAACAAGTTTCTAGGGCAGTATGAAGCTGATTCAATGGGAGTGATAACATAATAGTGAGGAGGGTGGCAAGAAGTAGTTATGAACAAAACTGGATTTACTTAGTTATGGGCTTTAAAAGTCTAGGGTAAACTTATTGTGAAGCTTTATTGATTCAGGATAATTTTGTTTATTCAGTTTTCTTTTGCTTAGAATTTAGAGTAGGTGTGAGTTTAAATATTTAAAGTTAAAAATGACTCTTATACCTTTACTAGTGACATGACCACCCCTAAAAAGAAATGGCCCAAGGTCAATATAGAATATTGAATCACACTTTCATTAAGCCAGCAACAATTAGAATTAATAGAATTTTCTGAACAGAATAAAGGTTATGCCAAGGTTTTGCTGACTGGACTGCAACTTTATTGCCATGTATTAGATATAAAATTGACCTTAAGTGATTTGCTTGATAATTATGTGCCGGTACACAAGCTCTGAAATTACTTTAAGAAATACTTACCTAGGTAGTATGATATCTAGAAAAAGCAAATGATTATTATTTCTGTATTCTTCATCACTAAGAAAAAATATTATGGCTAATATCAAACTAGAATGTGACTTGTACTTATATTAGCTTGGTGCAAAAGTAATTGTGGTTTTGCCATTACAAGTAATAACAAATTAAAAAATAATGGCATTAAAAGTAATGGTAAAACCACAATTACATCAGCCTAAAACATATTTTTGATGCAAGTCATTAAAATTGAGAGATATAGTTATGCAATTTACTTCACAAGAGTTACTGAGCTACCCTCAGAAAATTAATAGCTTATTTCACAGACATTAATTTATAACTGTTTTTATTTTTTCACATTCTCTACCTTCCTAATTCTATTTATTTTGTATGTATTGATTGTATATTTTTAAATTGGCACATAATAATTGTACATATTTATGAAGTACATAGTGATATTTGATACATATAATGTATAATGATCAGATCAAGGTAATTAGAATAACTATTCATCTCAAACATTTATTATTTCTTTGTGTTCAGAAAATTTAATATATTCCCTTTAGCTATTTGAAATTATATGATATATTATTGTTAACTGTAGTCAATCTACAATGGCATAGAACACTAGAACTTATTTTTTCTGTGTAGCTATAATTTTATATTCTTTGAAAAATCTCTGTATCTTCCTCTTCCCCTTGCCCTTCCTAACCTGTATTATCCTCTGTTCTCCTTTATACTTCTAGGAAATCACCTTTTTTGCTTCCACAAATGAGTAAGAACATGCACTGATTAACTTTCAATTTCTCACTAACTTCACTTAACATAATATCCTACGTTAAGTGAGTAATAAAAATAATAGTGAATTATTTTCATAATTTTGTTGAATTTTCTGTCTATATTTTTCTGTGTCTCAGTGAGTGTTCTTCAGATTATTACAATAAATTCTTTTCCTTGAATTTTGTATTTTTCCTTATGATTGAGGTCTATTACTGGATAATTTTTTGTTATTTTAGAAGTGTCTGTTTTTTGGTTTTTTTTTTTTTTTTGCTTTTTTTAATGTTTAATGTGTGCCTACACATCTGGTAAAACAGTTACCTCTTCCAACTTTATGGAGGGGGTTTTCTAGGGGAAGGCTTATTTGTATAGGTGGAGCTTGGTGTATCCATTAGGTGGGATGCACTGGCTTTGGTTCTAGTTGGACACAATAGTGTAATCTCTGTGTAGTTTCTTCAGATGTAATCCATGCTAGTGACATTTGCAAGCATCTCAGTGGCCTAAGTTGAGAGAATTTATGGCAGTGGTGGTGCAGCTTTGCCTGGTGTTGCCTTATTAGGCTGTTTCTCAGGTTGGGGGTACGTGTGTCCACACAGTGGGTTTGCCATCATAAGGTCTGTTTCACTGGGGTTAGAGCCATAAGGCTGTTACTCTGGGTGGGGGCACAGCCACCTAGTTACTCAGCTGGCCTGCGTGCATGTCTGCTGGCAGTGAACCACAGGGCTGTTTATCAGGCTTTGGATGTAGGCACAAGGCTACTTGGCCAATGTGGGGGTGTTTCAACCAGGAGCAGCCCATGGGACTGTTTCTGAGGCCTGGAACATGGGCACACAGCTGTTTGGCTGGCCTGGAGGAATGTCTGCCAGAGATGTCCCATGAGGCTGTTTCTACCAGTCTGGCCTGGAGATAAGTCAGCTGGGAACAGTCCACAGGGCTGTTTCTAAGGCCCAGGACACATGTGCAAGGCTGCTTGGCTGCCTTGGCTATGTGCCTGCCCGGTCTGGCCCAAAAGACTGTTTATCAGGCCTGGGATATGGTCATAAGTCTGTTTGGCCAGCCTCAGGGCTTGACCACCAGGGGAACCTTAAAGGGTTGTTTCTTAGGCTGATAACATTGGCATATAGCTATTTGGCTGGCCTGGGGGCATGCTCACCAAAGGCAGTCCCTAGGGCTATTTTTCTAGCCTGGATACAGGCACAAAGCTGCTCAGTAGCCCTGGGTGTGTTCCCTTAAAGAGTGTCAATTGGTGCTCTGTCTTGGGCTTGAGATGTGGGCACGTGACTGATCAGCTGGCCTGGGGGCATGTCTGCCAGGGGTGACCCACAGGCACGGCTGTTTCCCCGGCCCTGATTATAGGCACCCACATTGGGCCCGGCAGAGAAATGTCCATGGAGAGTGGGGAAGCAATGTAGGGCTGTAGGGCTATTTGTCAGGCCCCAGGCGTGGGCATGTATTTATGCTGCCAGCCAGGGTGCATGTCAACTGCTTGGTAACTCAGAGACTTTTCCCACTAGGGAGGGGTGTACAGTGGTTTGGCTAGCTTATGGGCAGGTTTGCACTGAGTGAGAGTGCCAGACTGTTTCTCCAGCTGGGAGTGTTGATCGTGGGTGTTAGTTTCCCTGCTCTGCAGGACCACAGTCATAGCGGATACTGGGCCAAGCTTAGCACAGTGATATTGTGGTGTTAAGCCACCTTTGTGGACTTGGTGGAATGAAAATGAAGCCCCAGTGCTGGAGAGGTGCAGTGCCTACTGGCCTCAAAGCAGGGCACACTCCAGAGGTGGCACTCATTTCCAGATGACCCTGTGCTGAAGCAGTTTGGTCACAGTAGATGAAGGGTGGAGATTGTCCACCTTGTGCTTCTAATGCATGGCAATGCAGCTGTGTGAATTCCCAGCAGCTATTCAAAGTGGCCTCAGGGCTTTCAAGGACTGTGGGATTTCCCTATAGTACAGACTGTAAGTGTTTGGAGTGGCAATGGGACTGGTGAGGTTCCTCTGTGTATTAGTCCATTCTCACACTGCTGTAAAGAATACCTGAGACAGGGTAGTTTATAAAGGAAAGAGGTTTAATTGACTCACAGTTCCACATGGCTGGAAAAGCCCCAGGAAACTTACGATCATGGCAGAAGGTGAAGAAGAAACAAGTACCTATTTCTTCACGAGGCAGCAGGAAAGAGAGGGAAAGTGAAGGGGGAAAAGCCCCATATAAAACCATCAGATCTCATGAGAAGTCACTCACTATCATCAAAACAGCTTGGGGGAAACTGCCCCATGATCCAATCACCTTGCTCCCTGGACAGGTGGGGATTACAGGTTCCTCCCTGGACATGTGGGGATTACATTTCAAGATGAGATTTGGGTGGGGACACAGAACCAAATCCTATCAGTCTGCTTCTCTTTCCCCACAACAGGAACTCACTCCCGACTCTGGGTCAATCTAAGTGGGGGAGAGTGTCTGCAGAGGCTGGGTGTCTCCATATGTCCTCCTATGCTTCCAATCACCATAGGTGCGTTTCCACTTTCCCATTGTTTTCAGCACTCTCCCTCCAGTCAAATCTTAGCTGTCTATGGGTTGTCGTGGTTCATTTTGTGGTGGTGGTGAGCATCAAGCATCTCTTCTGAGGCGTCTTGCTGACGTTACTCAGCTACCCACAAAATAATACTAGTTTAAACTTGTCATTCCTCATTTAACACTCTAAGTAGAAGCATTATTAAAATGTTTGGGGATGAGAAACAAAACAGTCTTTCCAATAGGAAATAAAGCATCATTAAACCTAAAATGAGAAAAGCCTAGTCTGTAAATTATCATCTTCAAATTAAAAAGAAAATCACATTATATTTCCAACTGTAAGTCAATAGGTATAACAAGCAATTAAACTCCTCAGATGACTTAATAATTAAATGCCTTTGACAGAAATATAGTAATATGCATTAGTGAGCAACTTTATAGAATCTTTCTGATGAAACATTGGCAGTCAGATGAACTTCATGTTCAAAAAGCACTAATATTTCTTGTATTTATTTATTTAAAAATTATATACAATATATTTTAAGTATGTATACAATTTTTTAAAAAGCTGCCAGAAATCTTATGATAGTACTCTTAATATTTTGGCATATATCTTGGATACCTTTGTAAGATCATCACAGTCAATGTTAAAATCATTAACAAAATAAAATAGTTCACTTTTTATAGAGTGCTACTATATACCTTATCTGGTTTTAAGGATTTTCCATATTGTAACTCAAAAAATCCCTGTGAAGTAGGCAGGCAGTATTACCCTGTGAAGTAGGCAGGAAGTATTGCCTTCACAGATGAAAGAATTAATAAAGCCAGTTAGCAGTAGAGCCAGGTTACAAAATAAATCTCCTTTGGAATTAGCTTCTTCCATCCTTTTCGAGAAGTTTCCTTCTTACATATTTAAAAATAATAAATAAAACACATTGATTATAGCATTCTATACACAGTTCTAAATTCTTCACATACAGTGAGTTATCTAATCTTCACAAAATATGTATGAGTAGTTTTTATTACATTTTACAGATAAAGAGACTATGGCCCAGCTAGTAATCATGTACATTTCTCAAAAATCACACACTCAATAATGAAAAGAGCTGGGATTTGAAACAAACTCAGTGTGTCTGCAGACTCTGTGCTCTGTGCTCTTAATCACTACTCTATTCTTTATCTTAGATTTTGCCTAAAATGTTCATCTGGCTGATGTCCCTTTGTTTTGTATGCTACACAGTAGACCATTAAGATAGTTCACAATTTATTCCGTGTATCCAAGCCTGCGTAAACGGGAATTTGCTAAAGCAAATTGGGAATTGGGGATTAACTAAAGGGAATTGTGAGAAAGAGAAAGAACAACTTTTAAGAAGTATGTTAACTGTCATATTTTCACTTAAGGGGAATATATTAAATAAATTAACCTTGAGAGATTATTCTATTGTGGACATCTTAAGTTCTCAAATATTAAATGAGCACCTCATGTTTTCCCAGTATTAAAAAAAATCAAGAAAAATGCCCTCCCAGTGTGGATCATCTTTTAACACAAGGAAATATCTTCAGTTTCTTACTTTGACTTATTTTTGCCATGCATATTCCTATTGATCCTGAGTATACAACTGGAATAAACAGAAGGTTATCCTGTTCTCCACCCTCCATGAATTTAGCTTCTAATGTGGGAGACAGACAACTATAAAATACACATACAGTCATGTATATGCATGTGCATATGTATGTATCATGATCTGAAGATCCTAAGAGCTACAGAATTACCGGAGGTGGGAAGACTTCTTCAGATAACCTAATGGGAATACATTTCTCACAAAGTTGACATTTGAACTGAGATCTGAAATACAAGAAAAAGCCAACCAAAGTGTTGAATAGGAACTTTTAGGGCAGAAAAACATGCCTACCCTGTAAAGTGAATTCATGTCTTCTGAAAACTTCCAGAAATTTTGCATCTTCACAAATAGGGAATATGTTTGTCTGTCTCTTTTTGTGGTTGGTTTGCCTAATCAGACAAGACTTAGCAAAATTCATGATGTTTTGACCCAATGATTTAATTCCACCACTTTGTGTTCTGACTGCATCGTATATTCAGATCATTTAACTCTACTCTAAATTAGTTTTCTTTTTCTTCCAAGTAATAAACAAAATTTACCAAATATTTATTTAATTTTCTGAGCAAATAACATCTAACAGATACAAGCTTAAATTGGACATTGTCATATGTGTTAACCAAAATTTCTCTTGGTATCTTTGAGTACATGCTATGAACCAGGCATTTTTAGATGCACAGGTAAGATATCAATGAGATAAACAGTCAAAAATGCCTGTCTACATGAATATTATATTTTTTAAAAACATTTAGATGTGCTAAAAATGATTAGAAATATTGGACTTCATAAGAATAAAGGAAGATAAGAGGATAAAGAAAGAAGAGAAGGAGGAGCAAAAGGAAGAGCAGGAAGAGGAAGGGGGGAGGAAAGAAAACAAGGGGAGAAGAAGAGGATGAGGAAGCAGAGGAAGAAGAAGAAAAACAAGCTTCACTTTGGCAAAGGCCACAATTACTAAAACTTTGCATAAGCAAAAAAGAAAGTATTAATATGTCAAACTTTATTCTAAAATTTACAGAAAACATTAACCCTGGTGAAAATTCTTATAGCAAAATAAAAATAAAACATGGGAAAATAAAAGCAACTTCAATATATGGACATTAATCAATAAATTTTACTATCTGATTTACCCTGGAAAAAAATTTTTACATAATATATCTGTGTTGCCATAATAATAAATAAATTCTTTTTATTTATTAAAATATATTTAAAATGTCCTCGAAGTCAAAATTTTAGAAATAACACCATGGGCTCAACCCACTCTGTTTTTCTCCTACATTTTCCCCTAGCATTTCTGTTTTTACCATGACGCTTTTAGGCGGCATCTAGACAGTGGTGTTTTTTGGGGGATGCCTTCTCAGTTATGACTATCCCCACACATTATTTTAGAAGGGTTTTATGACATTTCAGCTTCCCAATTCAGTATATTTTCAGATAAATGTATTTCTATTTGTGTCCATGTACTTACAGCTTAGAAAAAAATACAATTTTTAAAGTGTTGGAGTAAATACACTTTCACAGCAGGTAAAATTTAATTCTATAAACTATTCCACCAAAAGCATTTTTAAAATTTGCCTCTGCTTAACTTTGTGAACTTTAAGTCAAAGTTTAGTTTTACTTGATGCCTATAAAGGAAGTCTTTTGTGAATTTAAAGATGTTTGGAGACATATGGTTTCATTTTATCCTCAGTAATCAGTAGAAAATTTTTTTCCTACCAAGTTTTTCACCTACCAAGTTTCAGAAGTGTCCATGCAGAGATGCAATAGAAAAACTGAGCTTCTTTTTCTTCCATATCCTATGTTGACGGCTATTTAGTATATAGAATAATATATAATTATTTAATCATTTTATAAATTTCAGTTTTGAATGCAGTAATAAATAGAGATAGAACTTTATAATCCTAGAAAAAGTAAAGAGTTTCTGAAGGTCAATGATGAAAATTGTTTTCTGAATGTTTGATACTACAATATGAAAGAATAAAGCAAAATACATAAACAAGCTTAAGGCCTTTCAGTCTGTAATTCAGTTATACAGATTTATACACTTCCATAATTATCTAGTTCAGATGTGATCGAAAGAGAACTATGACCATAATTCAAAAACGTCAACGTTTTGAGCATTGGGATCTATTTATTTTATTAATTTAATTGTAGGAAACATAGCAAATAACCTTTAAAATGTTTCTGGTAATTTTATATCATGATAAGAAAAAATATAATCTTTTGAAAATGTTTTATAATAGCAGTTTAAAGCTTCAAGTAGTGTTGTTATTCACTGACACATTCATAAAAGAAATAGAACTTTGCTTCTATGACAGTATTCTTACTACCTTTATTTTTTGGTGTTGTGAGCCTGACTGGTTTTTTGAGTTAATTTCAGTTTTTGTTTTTTTTTCTAGGCCAAAATACCATAATTCCCTTCTATCAAGCCGAGAGTTAAAGTTCATTTGTCTTCTCTTTCCACTATTTATACTTTCAAATATTACCAAAATAAAGGCTTATTTTATTTTATTGCTTGAGAGAAAAAAGCACACTGTTTCTAAAATCCTAAACAAACATTTAGAAACATATGGTAATTGAAAATCATAATCTGACACTATAGTAACAGTCTGTTTATACAAGAGGATTTTTTGATTTGAATATTGCTTGTCATCTAATCTGGCAACGAGATGTAATATCAAATATGTGCTATATTTAGAAGAGACATAGCCTGTGGTTATGTAAAATTATTCAACCTATATTGAACTATAGACTGAGTTTGTTCTATTTGAAATAAATATTTTGTGACATAGTATCTACTTGAGGTTATCAAAATTACCATTTCATATTAAGCATTTTAGAAAAAAGTGTACTATATTATCTAATTGCTATTGCATCTATTTTAGAAAAATGGATTCATATTTGAAAACTTTTACAAGCAATCTTCATGTCAATAAGTTGCATTACTCTCTCAGCAAGTGTATAAGTCATCATTTAAGTCATCATTTATAAATTGATTTACATTTTAATATGCCAGAGGGTGGCTGTTGAAAGGAATACTGTAACAAATTGACTTGTAAGTTGAATGATCATCACCTAATTTATCCCTTTAGATCCATAGCGAGAAATATTTATGAATGTTTCTGAGTTCAAGGCACACTTTGGACATAGAATTTTTGGAGGCTAACTTATAAAAAATAAAAGACTAAAAATGTTAAGTAGGTTAACAGTGAGTATAAAACAATCACTATTAAATTTAAAGAGTTGCATGGTGAACATAAAAGCAGACTCAGTTATCTTTTTTTCATTTCATATCTCTAAGAATAATGTATCTATTGAGTATAACAGTTTAGTTCCCTGACTACATGCTACAATTCACTACTAAGGTACTATATTTCTAAGTTCCAGGAAATAAGCATTTGTATCTGCTTTTCTTTAATCCTATGCTATGTCTTTCTTTCTTATTTATAGCAAGCCATTCCCTGTTCCACAGTACAATGATTTGATTGGCCAAGCAGTGCTATATTTAATAGACAACATTCTAACTGTATGTATACTGTACTTAATTGTAGCAAAAACACATTGTGTACACTTGAGATAAAGCATGTTAATTGAGGATCAGTAACTAAAATGTTTGTATAGACCATGTGTTTTAATCAACAAATTCCTTTGAGGTTGGAGTGGCTTCTACTTCTTGATCACTATCCAACTAAAATTAACTTTCAGAAACATTAGATAATTATAGAAATAAACATCAAAATGTTACACACAAATAAACTGAGGATACAAATAAATCCACCAAGAACATATATATTGCTTTGCAAATTAGTATTAAAATATAATTGAATTGATTAAACATATTTCTGAGCAATTGTATATGTTTTCCAAAAAATAATAATCAAACTTTTAGTCACCTTCCATGAAAATATTAGATGTCTTCTCAAATATGTATGCAGGAATATGATTTTATCTAAAGTATGTACAGTTTAGATTATTTGGAAAACACACAATTCAGATCTTGTTCTAAAAATTGCATTGTGGAAAGCTTCTCCTCTCTTTGAATCCAGGCTTGGCTATGTGACTTGTTTGGCCACTGAGACATTAGTTGATATGGAAGCAGAATCAACTAATGATTCTGAAGTGTGAAACAGCTTCTGAAATGGGGCTCACTATCTAGCTGAATGTAGTATCCTTATATCATCGTGTGAATAGCCTGAGCCCCCCTGATGAGGAGTCCATGTAGAAAATAACATGTGGCACTGTGGCTGAGAGTGGGCCAGCTGCGTGGTATGTGAATAAGGACCTCCCAGACTGTCAGGCCCCAGTAAAGCCACCACCTGACCAGAGGAATCAGCTAAACGCATAGACTAAAAGAACCATTAGCCATCCACAGAATTGTAGAAAATAATAAAGATTCATTGTTTTAAGTCACTAGATTTTGGATTATCTTTTGCACAGCAAGAGTTGACTGATGTATTATTGGAATCAAATAGACTTAAGTATAATTCTTGGGTAAAATACTAGTAATGTTTCCCTACAGAAATGCTGACATTATCTGAAAGTTTTCTATTCTGAAAAATAAAGAGGCAAAAAATTATGTTAGAATTTTTCTATATAAATTAATGCAATTGTGGAAAAAGTACTTAGTACTATACCTGGAACATAGTAGATATGTAATTCCAACACTTCTATTTAAAAAAACCCTCAAAGATAGCTAAATACCATGTCTTAAAAAAGAGAAACAGAATAATCTAAGGAATTTTTTAAATTTTTATAATTTATATATTTTTACTGTCAGAGACTGTCCTTTCTGGGTGTTAATCTGGAATGTTTCAAGGTTTAAAAAAAGAAATGTGGAATTTGTTAGTGAATTTTCCAATAAGGTATATAAAATTAATAATATATGATTATTATACTATTAATGTAAATATAAAAATTGCCATATGATTAATAAGGTAGGAATATAAAACTAATAATGCTATGTAATTTCTTTATCATTTTATCCTTTTTGAACTCTTCTGTATATGTGTGTGAAAAATTTACTCATCAACGCTCTTAATCATATAAAACAGAACCCACTCAGTTTGGTTATTTCATTGACTAATCCTAAGTAAACAAAATAAAATTTCTTTAAACAGAAGTAGGGATTAGCAAAATAAAAGTAACATATGTCTAGTTAGACTTAGGAATATATTAATGGGAGGCTTTAATGATTAGAATTATGGAGAGAAATCCCCCAAAAAGACAAAAACTATATTTGAATATATAAAATCAAAAAATATTTGTAAGTTTAAAATGTTTTTAAGTTTAAAGGCAAAGCGCAAGTTGGGAAAATAGTTTTGATGCATTAGTAAATTTATTAATTGACCAAATATTTATTATGTGCTTGCCCTGTGCCAGTTACAATAATAGTTCAGAAGAATCCAGTGAAAACTGATACAGACATGACAGTTTATAGTGCAGCATTCATTCACTTTGTCATTAATCCATTAATTCCATGCTTATTTAGCATATTTATTAAGTTTCTACAGCATATCAGGTACTGATATAGTTGCTGGACATTCAGTGGCAAAAAAAGAAAAGGCATGGCCACTACTCTCAAGGTACTATGAGAGGAAAAGATATGTATTAAATAATAAAAACACACAAAAATGCCATGAAAGAAGTAGGAAAAATTAAATGGCCCACAACATAATGGTTGAGAGCTAAGGTAGGAGAAAAACAGCTCTCCCACAGTTCCTCAGATGGTGGTGTCTACACAGTTAGAGTGGATACTTCCTTTGGTTTGGTTTTTATTTTGGTTGAGTAACAGATTCTGTATTTCTGAACTAGGAATTGTTGTTGGAGCTGAGTAGAACCTCTTCCTACTTATTTCCTGAATGTGAAATGTTTTGTTTTTGCAAATAGGTGTGCATAGTCCACATCATGAATATCAGTCCAATTTCTTCTACATTCTAATTGTTCCTCAATCTTTAGCATGTCTTAGAATCACAAAGGGCTTGTTAAAATATCACTGAGCCCTATTTCCCCAGCGTTTCAGATTCAGCATGTCTAAGGTGGGATCCTACAAGTTTTCATGTGTAACATGTTTTCAGGTGTTACTGGTGCTTCTCACTCGGAGTCCACAGGTTGAGAACCACTGTTCTAGTTAGTGACAAGTCCTCTCAGACACTTATAAAGGCTCAAATGTCATGTTTTTGTTAAAGAATATTAATTTTGCTTTCCTTTATCAACATCATTGGGAACATTTTAATAAATACTTGGATGAACTACAAGGAAAGGGTACCTGACATAAGCCTAAACCAGAAGTGAGTACAGAAATAGAATTTATTTGGCATGCCTGTATTGATTTGCTTATACAAAGCTAAAGATGACATGAAGCTTAAGGTGGGAGTGAAAATCAGGTTGGAGATGAATCAATGTTGACATCCATGGTTGAAACATTTTTATAAATCATTAAAAATGAATAAAAGTGATTAAGTTCCTATCATTTGTAATAGCTTTAGACTAAGTAACATTTAACTTAAAATACAATTTCACTTCTAAAATTATCTACTTGTATAACTTGGTTGAGTTTTTCATAATTCTTTAGTTATAAAATCTAGACTTGTCAAGCAATTGATTAATGCATTTTAATTTGCCATTTTCAGCTGCTTATTTTGTAAATTTTAAATGTGGTAGTGTGTAAATTTGGACTGCTTTTGGTTAAATCAATAACAAGTCAATGCCATTTTGGGTGAAATCATTTTGAACTTTTAAATCAGTATTTTGAACTTTTGCATAATCTACCATCTCGTATTTACCAGTCATTGATAGATTTTCAACAGATCGTAGTCCACAAATTTTATGTTGCTCTGACTTCTGGTTGACTTTCATAAATTTAGTCTGATTTTATACAAAGTAATTTTGATATCTAAAACATATTTTCACTAGCTAAAGTGCATTTAATAATGTTGCAATTGAAGACTTTGTTGGAAGCATTTCTTTTCTCAGTCTATATTGGATTATGTCTCCCTATAGAGAACAACATGAAGGATAGGAAAGGTGTTGTATATTTATCTTACTTTACAAAACCTTACGTTTGGGCTCCTTTAACTTAGACCTTTAGTGTTACCATAGGTAACTTCAATGAACAATGTCTTCAAAATCAACTCTTTGAAACAACCTTCCTGTTTCAATCTGAAAATCTTGCTTTGAGTATGTATGGTAAGGATAGGCCAAGTAAAAATATGACTGCTTAAATATTTGAGATACCTCACCCACCCTTGTGTACCTCTAGATGGATGTTTTGTTCATTGCCTATTGCTGCCTAATAAGTTGCCTCAAATTCAGTGGCTTAAAAGGAAAACGAACATTTATTATCTCAAAATCATTCAAAATTTAAAAATATGAATTCCCAAATTCAAACTGAGTGGTTTCAGCTTAGAATTTCTCTCTCTCTCTCTCTCTCTCTTTCTGGAGATGGAGTCTCACTCTGTCACTCAGGCTGGAGTGCAGTGGTGCAATCTCGGCTCACTGCAACCTCCGCCTCCCGGCTTCAAGAGATTCTTCTGCCTCAGCCTCCTGAGTAGCTGGGACTACAGGCTCGTGCCACCACGCCCAGCTAATTTTTGTATTTTTAGTAGAGACAGGGTTTCACTATATTGGCCAGGCTGGTCTCAAACTCCTGACCTCGTGATCTGCATGTCTCGGCCTCACAAAGTGCTGGAATTACCGGCATGAGCCACCGCGCCCAGCCAAGCTTAGAATTTCTCATGAGGTTTCATCCAAGATGTTGACCCTGATACAGTCACATTGAGGCTTAACCTGGGCTGCTATACCTGCTTTCAACATGGCTCAAATTTAATTGCCTGAGAAATGATTGTTAGTTGTTTTTGGGAATCCTCAGTCTCTCAACATTTTGAGCTGTTTTTAGGGCTGCTGGCTTTCTCCAGAATAAGTCATCCAGCAGAAGCTATGGTGGAAGCCACCATGACTTTAAATACCTAGCTTCAGTAGTCACACTTAATCAAGATGGATTAAAGGCTTAAATGTTAGACCTAAAACCATAAAAACCCTAGAAGAAAACCTAGGCATTACCATTCAGGACATAGGCATGGGCAAGGACTTCATGACTAAAACACCAAAAGCAATGGCAACAAAAGCCAACATTGACAAATGGGATCTAATTAAACTAAAGAGCTTCTGCACAGCAAAAGAAACTACCATCAGAATGAAAAGGCAACCTACAGAATGGGAGAAAATTTTTACAATCTACCAATCTGACAAAGGGCTAATACTGGAACTACAAAGAACTTAAACAAATTTACAAGAAAAAAAATCAAACAACCTCATCAAAAAGTGGGCAAAGGATATGAACAGACACTTCTCAAAAGAAGACATTTATGCAGCCAACAGATACATGAAAAAATGCTCATCATAACTGGCCATCAGAGAAATGCAAATCAAAACCACAATGAGATACCATCTCACACCAGTTAGAATGGCTATCATTAAAAAGTCAGGAAACAGGTGCTGGAGAGGATGTGGAGAAATAGAAACACTTTTACACTGTTGGTGGGAGTGTAAACTAGTTCAACCATTGTGGAAGACAGTGTGGCGATTCCTCAAGTATCTAGAACTAGAAATACCATTTGACCCAGCCATCCCATTACTGGGTACATACCCAAAGGATTATAAATCATGCTGCTATAAAGACACATGCACACGTATGTTTATTGCGGCACTATTCACAATGGCAAAGACTTGGAACCAACCCAAATGTCCATCAATGATAGATTGGATTAAGAAATGTGGCACATGTACACCATGGAATACTATGTAGCCATAAAAAATGATGAGTTCATGTCCTTTGTAGGGACATGGATGAAGCTGGAAACCATCATTCTCAGCAAACTATTGCAAGGACAGAAAACCAAACACTGCATGTTCTCATTCATAGGTGGGAATTGAACAATGAGAACACTTGGACACGGGAAGGGGAACGTCATACACCGGAGCCTGTAGTGGGGTCGGGGGAGGGGGAAGGGATAGCATTAGGAGATATACCTAATGTAAATGATGAGTTAATGGGTGCAGCACACCAACATGGCACATGTATACATATGTAACAAACCTGCATGTTGTGCACATGTACCCTAGAACTTAAAGTATAATAATAATTAAAAAAAAGTTTTTAGAATATATGAAAAATATAAATAAAAATGAAATAACCTATTAAATTATGCATATGCAGTAGTTATGAGAAACAAAACATTTATTTCCTTATATAAATGTATTCCACTTTGGGCCAGGCACAGTGGCTCATGCCTGTAATCCCAGTACTTTGGGAGACCGAGGCGGGCAGATCAGGAGGTCAGAAGATCGAGACCATCCTGGCTAACACGGTGAAACCCCACCTCTACTAAAAATATAAAAAATTAGCCAGGCGTGGTGGCGGGCGCCTGTAGTCCCAGCTACTCCGGAGGCTGAGGCAGGAGAATGGCATGAACCTGGGAGGTGGAGCTTGCAGTGAGCCAAGATAGTGCCACTGTACTCCAGCCTGGGCGACAGAGCAAGACTCTTGTCTCAAAAAAAAAAAAAAAAGAAGTATTACACTTTGAGCACAGACACCATAACGTTAATATGAAATATTTTATCAGTAAAAGAATATGAGTTAAGCCCTAGATTTCAGCTTCTGGTGACCCCAGCTGATAACACCTTACCTATTCCAAAACAGGTATGTTTAAACTCATCAGGCATTACTGAAAGATCCAATCCCTCCATGTAAACTCCATCATGAGATCCTCTGGACTGTAGTGCCTGGTGTCCAGCCATTGCAGTCCTCACAGACTCTCATGAAGCTATTCTTTCCTTGGATCCCTGCCAACTTGAGAATAATGTTTCTCAAAATGCTTATGTTTCTCCTGTTGAATATCTAATTCCTCTCTTCTTAACTCTGAAAAATCAATGCCATCCTGGCTGTCTATACAGTACTTTGGCCAGTTCCCTAATCATATCGCCTCATGTGCCTTCTCATCTCAGACTCTGATTTAAGACTTTTTAAAAATTAGGCTTTCAAATACAAATAAATTTTTTATTATTTATTTATTTGTTTATTTATTTATTGAGATGGAGTCTTGCTCTGTTGCCCAGGCTGGAGTGCACTGGCATGATCTTGGCTCACTGCCACCTCCACCTCCCAGGTTCAAGTGATTCTCCTACCTCAGCCTCCCGAGTAGCTGGGATTACAGGCGCCCACCACCACGCCTGGCTAATTTTTGTATTTTTAGTAGAGACGGGGTTTTGCCATGTTGGCCAGCCTGGTCTTGAACTCCTGAGCTGAGGTGATCCACCCACCTTGGCCTCCCAAAGTGTTGGGATTACAGGCATGAGCCACCACACCTGGCCCAAAAAAAATTATTTGTATCAACCAATGTTCACCTTTAAGTATGGATGTATATTCATGTACATGGCTCTAGAATCATCAATGTCAAGAATAAAATAGTATTTATTCATTGTCCCCAAATTAGAGGCGTTCACTCAACAAATATTAATTAAAGTTCTACTGTGTGCCAGAAATTGTTCTGGACAGGAGAAATATAAGGACAATCAAGTGAGAAATGACTCCTGACCGCACAGGGCATGCAAAACTGAAATTAAGCACCATTATTATTATTTATTTCTTCACTTTTTTTTCCTTTTTGGTTGAAAATATATATAATTTTATATGGTAATCTACTGAGTTACTATCAATACTGTGTATCATTTACTATTAAAGAGACATTTACTTTTATAACTAAGTTAACAAGTATGAAAAAGCCTTAACTGTTGTTTTTTTTTTGTTATACTTTAAGTTTTAGGATGCATGAGCACAACGTGCAGGTTTGTTACATATGTATACATGTGCCATGTTGGTGTGCTGCACCCATTAACTCGTCATTTAATGTTAGGTGTATCTCCTAATGCTATCCCTCCCCTCTCCCCACACCCCACAACAGGCCCTGATGTGTGATGTTCCCCTTCCTGTGTCCATGTGTTCTCATTGTTCAATTCCCACCTATGAGTGAGAACATGCGGTGTTTGGTTTTTTGTCCTTGCGATAGTTTGCTGAGAGTGATGGTTTCCAGCTTCATCCATGTCCTCCCTACAAAGGACATGAACTCATCATTTTTTATGGCTGCATAGTATTCCATGTTGTATATGTGCCACATTTTCTTAATCCCATCTGTCATTGTTGGACATTTGGGTTGGTTCCAAGTCTTTGCTATTGTGAATAGTGCCTCAATAAACATATATGTGCATGTGTCTTTATAGCAGCATGATTTATAATCCTTTGGGTATATACCCAGTAATGGGATGGCTGGGTCAAATGGTATTTCTAGTTCTAGATCCCTGAGGAATCGCCACACTGACTTCCACAATAACTGTTGATTTTTAAATTTTAATTTTATTCTCAAGAAAGAACACATGGGTGGTATATTTTCTACAAATTTGTCTGTGTATGGCAGGTCTCTGCTGGATAGAAAATTATTGAATCACAATCTTTTCTGCTTAAAACTCTCTAGAAAGTGTACTATTGTCCTCAACTAAATTTTTGTTTCTCTATTGATAACCATTTTTTACTACCTGAATGCTTAAAGAGGTTTTATTTTATTTATAATTTTCAGCATAAATTATTCATGACTTCTGGATTTTGTTTGATTATACAATGAATCCCCTTAACTGAAGACTCATTTTAAGTTTAGTAAAGTTTTAAATTATCATATCTCTTAAAATATGATTTTATTTCCTTTTTTCAAAATTTTTATTAAGAACCTACCTATTAGCAAATGACTATGCTTCCATCAAGGATCCATGTCTTAACAGGAATACATGACACTTACACTTCCAAAGGTTAGATTGCAAATCTATGTCCTTTATGAACTGTGGAATTCATATTATGTAAATAATGATTATAGGTGACTGTTATAGTATCCAGATATGTGTTTTCTTTTTCCTTTGTCTAACAAAGTCTCTTTAGTGGAAGACAGTGATGAGGTTATAATAATGAAAAAATTAAAGGTTAGCTGGAGGTGTATGCTGCCATATCCACAAGACTGTGTATTAACATGGATGGTTCTTTAAAGTAGTCATAGAACTTTTGCATTTTATATGCATTGTACTCATTATTATCTTTTAAATTTCTAATGTTTCATTATAGTTGTATACAAATGAATTACATTTAATTAAGTAGATAATCGTATCAGTATTTCATCAACAAAATACTGACAAGATTAAGAAAACACATAATGAAAATATCTACAATAATTTTATGTATGTTTTGTTTACACATCTCTTTTGAATTCAAACTTTCATACAAATAAAGGCTTGAAGAGTATAATTACTAACAAAACTAACTGTTCTCCAGGATAGGGCAAAAACAAATGTGATAATCCCAAACTCCAAATTCACATAGGAACAATTTATGTAGGTATTTGCATTTCTGGATGCCTTATTAGTGATTTCATTGGAATGCTCCAGGAGGATTAATTGTTTAGATTTGTACAAGTTCTTTTTAAAAGTCCTGTTGAAGGAGGTTTCTCATTATATAATGTATCACTAACTAAAACTCCCTTTTTGGCAAGCTGATAAAAAAGTACCTTAGCTGTTATGCTGTCTAATTACAGGACTCAAACCTAACAATTGGAAGGGGAAGCTGAGTGAATCAGCTGTTAACTCTCTTTAAATGAGATTTATCTATACTTACAGACAGTGAACACAGGGTTTAAAAAACTTTAATACATAATGTATTGTTAAGATTGTACTGAAAATCAGACATGACATTGCATTACTCTATTCTGAAGAAATAATTTCATTTAAAAAATTGTAGACAAATATAATCTGTTTATCTTAATTGTTAAGAATTATAAAACAAAAATTATGATGTGTGAAAATTAATATTGGTAAAACGTGTAATGTTTCATGTTGCTTTAATTGAGTTAAATTAGGTCATCCATTTTATGCGTGAAATACACGGGTCATTGGCAAATAATATTAGTTTAAATAAATATGTTAAAGATGCTTTTCAAGCAACATAATTACTATGATATCAATAATTAGACTGCAAATGCTTTCACTCTAAATTATGTATTCACAGTATTTCATTTGTTGTTTGCTTTGTCTTCACAAATGAACTTCTAGTTAAAGATGAGCTTATATTTAGAGTATTTTGCATGAAATTTTTTCCTAGATATTACCTCTGTATTTTTCTTTTGAAGATAAGAAGAAAGGGAATCAGTTGGATTGGAACCATTATTTGAATAGGTGTATTTCAGTCTAGGAGTCAGGGAGGCCTTGCTTTATTTATTTGCAAACATAAAGCAGCATACAAAACCCAGAGCTCCTACACTTCATAACAAAACAGGGGCAGAATAAACAGAAATGAAAAGTAAGTGAGAGTTATAATTACATCTATTATGAAGCAAAAACCATTGAATTGTAAATTTGTAAGATTGATTCTCTAGGGCAAAATGAATTTGAAGTCAAAAGACATAGTTACTATCCATGGTTATTTGTTCTGTAACTATGGGCAATTATTCAATTTCTCCTGGCCTATTTAAAGGAAATGACAAAAATCTACTTCATAAATATATGGTGAGAGTTAAATGAGGTAACATATTGTAAAATATTTAAAGAGATTTATTCTGAGATGACTGTGTGAACCATGAACACCAAGAAGTACTGAGAACATGTTCCTAAGGTGGTTGGTGTACAGTTTGATTTCATACATTTTATGGGGACAGAAGTTACAGGCAGACATCAATCAATACATGTAAGGTATACATTAGTTCAGTTCAGAAAGGCAGGACAACTCAAAGCTTATATAGGTCAGGGGTAGATTCAAAGACTTTTCTGATTGGCAAGTGATTTAAAGTGTTAAGTTATTATCTAAAGACCTGAAATCAGTAGAAAGAAGTGTGGGGTTAAAAGAAGAGGTTGTAAAGACCAAGGTTTTGATTATGCAGATGAAGCTTCCAGGTAGCAAGCTTCAGAGTTCTTATCAGACCTAAAACGGTGGCAAACTCTCTTGGTGAATTGTCTCTGGATCAGGAATGGACCTGAAAGGGAAAGGGGATTCTCTACAGAATGTAGATTTTACCCACAAGTGACAGCTTTGTGAGGCCATTTCAATATATATCAATGAAATATATTTTGAAGTAAAATACCTCAACTTCCTTCAGGGCCTACTATCTGTCATGAGATACTATTCAAGAATGAAATTGGAATTTGGTATCTTATTGCTACAAAGAGTCTGCTTTGTCAGTCTTAAGATCTCTGTTTTAACATTTATGCTGGTCAGTTGTGCCTGAATTCCAAAGGAAGAATATATAATGAGAAATGTTGGGGGTGGGTGGTGGGGGTGCTTCCCATCATGACCTGAACTAGTTTCTCAGGTGTACTTTGGAATACCCTTGGCCTAAAGGGGGGTCCATCAGTCAATTGTGTGGCTTAGAATTTTATTTTTGTTTATATATATAGATATATAAAGTTATAATTATGTAATTTAATTAATGTGTGTATATACAATAATGTGTGTATATAGTAGTATATAGTACATAGTGTGTATAAATAATTATAATTTAATTAATTATGTATATACATACACGCACACACACATATAAATGCCTATCTAGTACATTTTAGATATTCAATATGACTGTTAAAAGGATCTGAGATACTGGAAAATTTCAGTGTCAGAGTAGAAGAGCCAAACTAGAATTCTTGGGAAAAAGGTACAAGCAGGCCCAAAATGACCTTATGAGAAATAACTTTTGAACAATCCAAGTGACTCCTTCTCCACAGAATGGGCTATATTTTAAGCTACCAAGAGCTTCAGTAGAAAGTTGTTTGAAAAATGGGTGACAACGTTTCTGAGATTATAGAAAGGAAACTATTAGATGAACTACCAGACTGGAAGAGTAGCTCATCAAGATTCCTCCATTTGTAGATTTGATGGTTTCTGAACGGTTTGTGGCTGACTACTTTGCAGTTAAACATTTATTCTACTATAAAAAATGTTGCTGTATCGCTAAAAGTTGGGGTTCTGGAATCCAAATTAACTGTGTTTACATTCTGACATGGCCAGTTTATGATTATGTGAATCTGTAGAAATTATATAACCTATCTGAGGCTTAGTTTTCTTATCTGATATGTGGAAAATAACAATTTTTTTCAAATGGTTAATGTGAAGATAAAATAGTGCATGTTAAAGACTTAGCAGAATGCCTAGAATATAATAAATCGTCTCTGTAATTGTCAGAGTTTTATTATTATTAATCTATCAGCTTGGTATAACTGAGAGGTCAAATCTAACTCTATCCAAATCTCTATGTGAGTAAACATGATAAAGCAAAGTGTAAAAATATCATGACTAAAAATGACAAAAGATTGAGCAATAAGTTACCTATCAAAAAATAAATACATAAAATGGCATTCATATTAAAATGTAGTTGTCCCCAGATTGCCAGCCTTTAAGATGCAATCTTATCAGAACCATATTTAATAGGTTGTTTCTAAATCCATACTATTGCCTTAATTTACAGCTAGTTAAACTAAATTTAATACATGAGGCAGTAACAGCTTGGCAAATACAATTGGACTATTCAAAATTATTCTTTGAATGCCTTTTTGCCTTTTAACTCACCAACATTGTCTTTGGCCTTTGACCTGCATTAATTTATGCTCCCAGAAAAATTACTGTGGTGTACAAATTTTCTACATTGTTAAAATCCATTTCTATTCTATATTAAGAAAAACCTACTTTGTCTTTAGTTAAAAATTTCTTAGAGCATTTTATTCTGGAAGATTTACACTGTAGATAACTAAATTTATTTGAATTCATTTTTCTTAGATCTAACAATAATTTTGAGTTACCTATCAAAAGATAAACCTTATTAGGTATTTATAACTGAATAAGTGTTATATGTATGAATCCACAGATTGTCTAATAATAGTACAATCAATTATCACTACTAGTAGTTACAGTTCTGTTCACTGAAATACAGCTTATAGCTTATTGTCCCACTTAACGTCATTTAAAGTATAGGAATTTCAGTCACTTAATTTAATGCCCCCAAAATTATCCTATTCCTAAGTTAAAGAATCTATAAAAATGACTATGATAACTTGACTGATATTCTTATTTTAAAATAGAAGTTTGAGTATTTAGAAAATTAGTGTAAATTTGCAATTTACCAATTAGATGATTCCATAGAGTTGACTAATCCATTAGCCAATTTGTAAAGCCAGTTGTTTAAGTTTCATTAATTAGCATGCCAATATACTAGGGATTTCATGTTTATTAAAAAAGTATTTTTTAATTTTAAAGTTAAAATTGTTACCAAAACCTATATAACAAACTCAAAATATTAACAGTTAAGTATAATTAAAATAAAATATTAAATGATGAAAAGTAAATAGAGCATTTTGTTTGTAATGCTACCTAACAAAAAATCTGCAAACATGAAATAAAATAATAAAATAAAATAAATTGCATCTGGCTTGAGTCTACAAATCATGTGTTGTGGAGAGTGATTTCATAACTGAATGGATGTAAAGTCTGAAAAAAAGTGGCTTCAATATAATATTGTAAACTTGAGAAGTTTGAGAGTTAAATTTTAAATATGCAATTTGCTGTCTTCATTGTTTTGACTGCTAATGAAGGAAAGGGCAATCAGTAAACAAGTGAAGCCCTTTACCAAATATGGCTTTAGTGACCACAGGCAATACCTAGCATCAAACAGGGAAGCAAATTGGTAGTCATAGGAGACTGCTGTGCATTGATGTGATATTCATTGAGGCTAAAACCAATCAGCAACCAAGCCATTCTGTACCCCGTGAAGTCTATAAGTGGTTTCCAGGGGTAAGCTCTTTGAGTGCACATTTGAATAATCTAATTTGGATTTTCAAAAGTAGAGGAAATGATGGACAGATCACATGCTAACTGGCACTGTTCCATAAATTGCAACACAAAGACTGTCATATCTGAAATAGTTTATGATGCATTTTTTAAAAATGAATGTTGCATAAGCTATTTGTTATGGTACAAAGATAAAATTTGTTGTCAATGCTCTACTATTTTATCTAAAAACAAGTTTACATCATCCATGAGTAGTTGGCCAATGCCCCTTTCTTTTTGAGAATAATAGAGGGGGCTGCTATCCTTACCCTCAATTAAGCATGTGTATTATTTTGAAAGACTGAAAATTTACAGATTCTCATGTATTATGCATTGAACTTGGCTATTTCTATCTATGTAAGATATATGTATATAACATTTGCTGTACATAGTGTATATATGGTACATAATAGACATGGTCTTATTCCTAATGGAGTATATATTATTTCTTCAAATGGATTGGAAAAGAAGCTATATTGAAGCCTTTAGCAGGACAGTTTCTTCTTTCATTGGATTCCTAGGATGGCATTCTTGATTGAGAAATAGTGAACAAATTGTTTATGTTATATGGATTTGTTCAGGCTACTATATTGCTTTTTGAAACATGAGTACTTTGTTGAACTAATGTGTGTCTACATTAAGTACTAACATAAATATCAAACATGTAAATCTTCTGGAAAAGTAGGAGACCTTAGAAAATTAAAGAGTACAACAAATAAGGTATGATTTAGTTTGCTAAGTTACCTGCAAGAGTTAGTGTTGCTTTTAAAAGCATACTATTTATTTTTAGGGAATATATTCATTTTATTTATTTCTAAGGAGTACATAATATGTCTTTGCTTCATCTTTAAGGAAAGGAGAATGGTTAGCAGCATCTACTAGAAAAGAAGTGGGATAGAAATAAGATTCAGAGGCTATCTTCCTAGGGGATAGATGAAATATTTATTCAGTTTAGATGTTTGAAAGAAAATAAGCAAAAATCAAATATATAGAAGTCTGGAGAATTAGGTAAAAGTGAGAACTAGTTGCTAATGCCAAGGATTATAAGGGGTTTAGGTTTCAAGGCAGGACTCTAGTTATAAGGAACAAAGAAGATTGCATAACAACGACCAGTCCTAAGTAAAGAATAAATTTTAATAGACAGCTATATAAGTTAATACATTCAGTCGTCCATATCCACAGTTCTGCATCTGAATATTCACCCAATTAAAGATTGACAATATTTTTAAAACTAAATAAATTAAAAAAGATACGAAAATGTGAAATAATATAAAATTTTAAATACATTACCACAACCATCTACACAGCATTTACATTTTATTTGGCATTTTAAGTAGTCTGGAGATAATTTAAGGTATGTGAGAGGATGTATGTAGACAATATACAAATACTATGCCATTTTATATGAGACTTGAACATGTACAGATTTTTGGTATCCATGAAGGACTCCTGGAATGAATCCCTCATGGATACCAAGAGACTACCATATATATTCTAAGGAAAATTCCAGACATTGTGTACACAATAAAAAAACTAAAAAATAATAATAATCTGTAGCCTTTACTTTGGAAGCTTCTGCTATGGAAACATAAAAAAAAGGAAATCAAAAACCAAAACAAATTACTAGACCTAGAAGGCAAGTTGGTGGAATGATTGCAGGCAATAAAATCAATGATGGGACTTATAACAGAGATATCATTTAAAATAAGTTTGGCAGTGCAGTTAATAAGAGATGATAAACGATTTGTTCATAGCTCCTTAAATCTTCCCTTAAAGAAAAAAAAATTGCCTGCCACTGAAGCAAGTGTGAATGTCTGGGTTTGTGGTTTAAATAGACAAAGAACTAGTTGTCAAGAGTGTATTACATTTCCTACAGTGTCCACAGAGGGAAAAGAGAAGGTGGAATGCTCATACTGGTGCTTACTCACATTACTGTAATAATGGTATGGTCTTCAGGTGCAGTGAATTGCCTCATACCCAAAGATAAGAGTGACATTTAATCAAAATGTATACTTTATTCAATTACACATGAACTTTATGAGTGGAGATACTTCTCGCCAAGCACATAATCTAGAAATGAAAAAAGTTATTTTATAGGCCAAGAGCAAGTTTGGTATAGTTAATGCACTTGCCCCTTTGGATCATGACCAAGGCTAGAATACCAAAGAAAGGAAAAGGAAAACCATTCCCATTTTTGTTGTTGTTGTTTTTACCCTAACACCTATCTGGTTGTCTGTGTCAAACTGGAGAAGTGAGTTTTAATGTATTTTACTTTGAATATTCTTTTAGTGGTTTTTTTTTCAACTTTTATTTTAAGTTCAGGGGTACATGTGCAGGATGTGCAAGTTTGTTATATAGGTAAATGTGTGCCACGGTGGCTTTTTAGTGTTAATTAATGTTTTTTGCATCACTTTGATGTGATAGCTTCAATTATCAACTGTCAAAAGCTGATTATCAGTCAGAAGAAAGGAAAGAGTTAAATGAGGAGTGAAAGGAAAATAAATATATGAACAAAAGGGCTGAATCATACACTAAAGTCTTAAATCATTAAGAATATCTTACAAAAAAGTGAAGGACTTATGATTATATTTTTCTAAAACAGAAACACAAAATTTTCACATTAACATTTGTATTTTGTTTAATTTTTGCATAAGTTCATATTGTTCATGAAATTAATTTTCTACCAGTCATCAGCAAAATATACAACACTTTAATATTAATAGGATGCATTATGATATATTTCTAACTTTCTATACTAAAGAAAAATTACATTTATATACAGTATATTTTTATTTGGCCTAAGTACATAGGAAGAAGAAAGATAATATTTAAATCTGTCTATTGAATATTTTTGTTTTCTAGAAAAGCAAATATAACTTATATGAGGATTTTAAAACACTTAAAGATATAAAATCCCTTGTCTCTGAGAAATAGAGTGAAACTGTGAGTACATTGAGTCCATCTCTGTTTTAAATTAATGGTTATTTTGTGGCCATGCAAGCTTGAGACCAACATTATAATTACTTCACTCACAACATCATAGCAATAATCTTCTTTACTTTTGATTATATAAAAATACATAAATTATTTCATTTTAAAATGTTTTCAAATGTATTTATGCAGCATTATTCTCCTAGAAAGTTAATGTTTTATAGAAAATGAAATGAAATTATATTATGTGAGATCATGTTATCTTTAATCAGCTTTAATGAACTATAATTCACACATGATAAGATATATACTTTTTATGATTTTTAACATTTATTTTTATTTTACCATCTTTACCACATTTAAGTGTACAGTTCAGTGGTGATAAATACATTTACATTTTTTTCTTCATCACCTGCCTCACTTTCAGCCTTGTAACCACCAGTCTACTCTATTTTTATGAAGTCCACTTTTTAGCTACCACATATGAGTGAGAACATGTGATATTTGTCTTTCTATATCAGTAGCGTTTATAAATACAAATAGCAAACAATTTGAAAAAGAAATCAAGAAAGCAATCCCATTTATAATAGCTACAAACAATATAAAATAACTAGAAATTAATCCAACAAAAGAAGTGGAAGATATGTATAAGAAAAACTAGACAACTCTGATGAAAGAAATAAAAGAGGACACACCAAAAATGGAAAGATATTCAATGCTTATGGATTGGAAGAATTAATATTGTTAAAATGACAATAGTAACCCAAAGCAATTCACAGATTCAATGCAAGCCCTATCAAATCACTGGTGACATTCTTCACAGAAATAGAAAAAAAATTCTAAAGTTTATATGAAACCACAAAATACCCCAAATAGACAAAGCAGGCCTGAGCAAAAAGAACAAAGCTGTAGGCATTACATTACCTGACTTCAAATATATGACAAAGATACAGTAATAAAAATGGTGTTGTACTTGCATAAAAACAGACACATAGGCCAATGGAAAAGAGATACAAATTCATGTATTTACAACCAAATCATTGCTGACAAGATGCCAAGAACATACAATAGAGAAAGAACAGTATTTTCAATAAATGTTGCTGGAGAAACTGGATAATTATATGCAAAGGAATGAAACTAGACCCTTATCTCTCATTATGTACAAAAATCAAATTAAAATTAACATCTGGCAAGATGGCCAGGTGCCACTAGATCCAGCCAGGTGAAACAGCTGCCACCAAAGGACCCAGATGACTTGTGCACTCATAACAAATATTCAGAAGGAATGCACCAAGAGTGGACAGAGGGAAGACACAGAAGTTGGACTGAAGGAGGAGGAAGCTGGGAACCCTGCACAGGGCTACCACACACTGGGACTCGTTCCTGGCCCCCAACAACTCCAGGACAATGGGTGAATTGAACTGGCAAGGAGGAACCCACTCTCGCCACAGGCCTCTAGAATTCCAGCAGGAGGAGACCCCTGCACCACCATGGACACTCGAGTTGGCAGGGAGAGCTGCTTAGAGAAGTTGTAGGGGCAGCAAGCAAGCTGATATGGAACCCAAACGGTTTGGTGTGTGAACATCTGTAGTGGTGCATGGCCAGCGATGGCCCTCCCCCTAGGCTTAACTTGCTCTCTTAGGAGACTTTAGTCCTAGGGAAACTGTCAGACCTGAACTCTGCAGGGCATTCTTGCCCATAGGTGAGGTCAGTTAGCCTGAGTGGTCCTTGATCTGCACACCTCTCCTGGGGCTCCAGCCTTGCCACTCCTGCATGCAGGGCAGCCTTGGGTTCCCTGGGGGCCTCCATCATAGATTCTGAACTACTAGACCATTCCTGACCAGCAGAGAGCTCCAGCAGGGCAGCCCTCATGGCCACACACCAGCTGACCTGCTCTGTCCTCACACTGCAGCTTCCCAGGGGCCCATGGAAACCCTCCATATCACTTTGTGTGTGTGTGTTGCTTTTCTTGCTCCACCAGTGTGCATGTGTACATGCACGCTGCCCTGCCACTGCTGCAGCAGGAGTGCAGTTTACTCCCCGCCAACCCTCCTCCCCCTACCAACCAATGGCAGTTGGAACCTTGGTGGGCACAGAGCCGGCCAACCCTGCTCCTGCCAGCACCCTGCCCTTGTACCAACACTGCCATGGGAGTGAAACTAGGCACAGAGAACAGCAGACCCTCCCCCATCCTGAGCAACCACCCTTGCCCAACAGCACCGTCCCTGTGCCAACACCACCTGACTCCATGCACAGTTACCAGCAGGAACTCCCCTCCCTCTGCCAATCCAGCCACATTTATTGTATCCACCACTGTTTTGAATAACTGCATGGAGGCAGGCACCCCAGCACCTGCTGGCCCCCTGCCATAGCCAACAAGTGTACATGCTGCTGCATTGCCACTGCTGCTGGCACATGCGAATGAGGACGGATCCCACTGTCACTACAGTATGAAATCCTTTGGCTGACACTACCCATCAGAGCATAGTGGCCAGCAGTCTAGGAGACTCTCAGTCCCAAACCTTCCAACAGTGCAGTGGATTCCTAACCTCAATGATCCAGTGAACAAAGTCAGGGCCCAATACAAGCTCCCTAGAGTTAGAGCACACAGTCCAGGAGTTGGGAGCTGAGTGTTGGTCCCATAAAATCTTCCAGAAATAAAGCCAGTCAGCTGAATCCACCTTATACCACAATCAAATCCTTAATGTTGTCAAATACGATTAAAAAAGAAAAAAACATGCAAAGGTCAGCAACTTCAAAGATTGAAAGAACATAAGCCCTCGAAGATGAGAAAGAACCAATCCAAGAACCCTGACAACTCAGAAAGTCAGAATATCTTTTTTCCTCCAAACAACCACACTACCTCTCCAGCAAGTGTTCTGAACTGGGCTGAGATAGCTTGTAGTAGTCCATTTTTACAATGCTATAAAGAATGACCTGAGACTGGGTAATTTATAAAGGAAAGAGGTTTAATCAACTTCCAGTTCCATGTGACTGGGGAGGCCTCAGGAAACTTACAATCATGGTGGAAGGCAAGGGGGAAGCAACCACCTTCTTCACAGGCAGTAGGAGAGAGAGGATGGTGGGAGGGAAACTGCCAAACACTTTTAAACCATCAGATTTTGTGAGAACTCACTCAGTATAATGAGAACAGCATGGAGGAAACTGCGTCCATGATTCAGTTACTTCTCACCAGGTCCCTCCTCTGACATGTGGAGATTACAATTCAAGATGAGGTTTGAGTGGGTCCACAGAGCCAAACCATATTATAGTTGAAATAACAGAAACAGAATTCAGAATATCAATATAATCGAATATCATTAAGATGTAAAAGTATGTTGAAACCCACTCCAAGTAAGTTAAGAATCATAATAAAACAATGTAGAAGCTGAAGGACAAAATAACCATTATAGAAAACAATGTAACTGATCTGATAGAGCTGAAAACACACTATAAGAGTTTCATAATGCAATCACAAGTATTAATAGCAAAATAGATGAAGCAAAGGAAAGAATCTCAGAGCCTGAATACTGGCTTTCTGAAATAAGACAGGCAAAAAAGAATAAAGAAAAAAATAAGGGAATACACGAAACTTCTGGGAAATGTGGAATTATATAAAGATACCAAATGTAAGACTCATTGGTGTCCCTGAAAAAGAAGGGGAGAGTATAAGCAATTTGGATAGCATACTTCAGGATATCATCCATGAGAAATTTCCCAATGAAACTAGAGAGACCAATATTCAAATTCAGAAAATCCAGAGAACCCCAGTAAGATACTCCATGAGAAGACTAACCCTAAGACACATAATCTTCAGATTCTCCAAGGTCAAAATGAAAGAAAAAGTGTTCAAGGCAGCTAGATAGAAAGGTCAGGCCACCTAGAAAGGGAAGCTCATCAGACTAACAGTAGCCAGAGTAGATTGGGGGCCAATATTCAACATTTTTAGAGGAAAGCAATTCCAACCCAGAATTTCATATCTGGCCAAACTAAGCTTCAAGAGTGAAGGAAAAATAAGGTCCTTTTCAGCCAAGTAAATGCTGAGGACATTTGTTAGCACCAGACCTGCCTTACTAGAGCTCCTGAAGGAAGCACATAAATATGAGAAAGAAAGAACATTATCAGCCACTACAAAAACAGGCTGAAGTACATAGACGTGTGACACGATAAAACAATTACATAAACAAGTCGGCAGAATCACCAGCCAACATCATGATGACAGGATCAAATTCACACATATCCATACCAACCTGGAATGTAAGTGAGCTAGCTATATGACCCAATTAAAAGGCACAGAATGGGAAGCTGGATAAAGAACCAAGATCTCTTTGTATGCTGTCTTCAAGAGACTCATCTCACATACAATAACACACATAGTCTCAAAATAAAGGGATGAAGAAAAATCTACCAAGCAAATGAAAACAGAAGAAAGCAGGGATTGCCACCCTAGTTTCAGACAAAAGTGACTTTAGAGCAACAAATATGAAAAAAGACAAAAAGGGGCATTAAATAATGATAAAGGGTTAAATTCTACAAGAACACCTAACTATCCTAAATATATATGCATCCAACACAGTAGCACCTATGTTCATAAAGCAAGCTCTTAGAGACCTTCAAAGAGACTTAAACTCCTGCACAATAATAGTGAGATGCTTTACAACCCCACTGACAGAATTAGATCATTGAGGCAAAAAATTAACAAAGATATTCAGAACCTGAACTGAGCACTGCATCTTACATGGACCTGATTGAAATATGTGGAACTCTCCCCACTCCCAAAACAGAATATGCATTCTTCTCATTGCCACATGTAACATAATATAAAGTTCATCACGTGGTTGGAAGTAAAACCTTCAGCAAATGCAGAAGTACTGAAATCAGAACAGCCAATCTTTCAGATCACAGCGTGATCAAATTATAAATCAAGACTAATGAACTCACTCAAAACCATATGTTTACATGGAAATTGAATAACCTGCTCCTGAATGACTTTTGGGAACATAATGAAATTAAGGCAGAAATCAAGAAGTTATTTGAAACTAATGAGAACAAAGATACAAGACACTAGAATCTCTGAGAAACAGCAAAGGCAGTATTAAGAGGGAAATTTATAGCACCGAATGCCAACATCAAAAAGTTAGAAAGATCTCAATTTAGCAACCTAACATCACACACAACACAAAGCACAACACACAACATCACACACAAAACTAGAAGACAATAAATACCGGAAATCAGAGCTGAACTGAAGGAGATTGAGACACAGAAAACCATTCAAAAGATCAACTAATCCAGGAATTGTTTTTTTAAATTAATGAAACAGATAGAATACCAGCTAGACTAATAAAGAAGAAAAGAGAGATCCAGATAAACACAATTAGAAATGAAAAAGAGAATATTACCAGTGACCTAACTGAAATACAAATAACCCTCAAACAATATTATGAATGCCTCTATGAACATAAACTTGAAAATCTAGAATAAATGATTAAATTCCTGGACACAGACATCCCCAGCCTCCTAAGACTGAGCCAGGAAGAAGTTGAATCTTGAACACACCGATAATGAGCTCCAAAATTGAATCAGTAAAAAATAGCATACCAACCAACAAAAGTCCAGGACCAGATGGATTCACTACTGAATTTTACCAGATGTACAAAGAGGAGCTGGTACCGTTCCTGCTGAAACTATTCCAAAAAATTGAGGAGGAGAAATACTTCCTTAACACATTCCATAAGACCAGCGTCTTCCTGATACCAAAACCTGGCCAAGATACAACAAAAAAAGAAAACTTCAGACTGACACCCTTGATGAATATTGATGCAAACATCCTCAGATTCTGGCAAACCTAATCCAGCAGCACATCAAAAATCTTATCTACCATGATCAAGTAGACTTTATCTCTGGGATGCAAAGTTGGTTCAACATATGCAAATCAATAAATGTGATTCATTACATAAACAGAACTAAAGACAAAATCACATGATTATCTCAATAGATGTGGAGAAGAATTTTAATAAATTTCAACACTCTTTATGTTAAAAACTCTCAACAAACTGGGTACTGAAGGAACATACCCCAAAATAATAAGAGCCATATATGATAAGCCCACAGCCAACATCATAATGAATGGACAAGAGCTGAAAGCATTCCTCTTGAAACCTGTCACAGGACAAAGATATCCTCTCTCACCACTCCTATTCAACATAGTATTAGAAGTCCTGAGCAGAGTAATTAGGCAACAGAAAGAGATAAAGGGCATCCAAATTGGAAAAGAGGAAGTGAAACTATCCCGGTTTGCAGATGACATGATGCTTTGTCTAGAAAACCCCATAGTCTCAGCCCCAAATCTCCTTCAGCTAATAAATAACTTTAACAAACTCTCAGGATACCAAATCAATGTACAAAATCACTAGCATTCCTACACTACAACAACAATCTAGCCAATAGCCAAATCAGGAAGGCAATCCCATTCACAATCACCACAAAAAGAATGAAATGACTGGGAATACAGCTAACCAAGGAGGTGAAATATCTCTACATGGAGAACTACAAAACACTGCCCAAAGGAAAAAAAGGAATGACAACCAAATGGGAAAACATTCCATGCTCATGAATAGGAAGAATCAATGTTGTTAAAATGGCCATACTGCCCAAAGCAATTTATAGATTAAATATTTATATATTAAATATTATTCTTATTAAAGTACCAATGATGCTCTTCACAGACTAGAAAAAAAATTAAAAATTCATATGGAACCAAAAAGACAAACAAACAAACAAATACGAAGCCTGAATAGCCAAGGCAATCCTAAGCAAAAAGAACAAGTGTGGAGAAATCACATTACCCAACTTCAAACTATACTACAGGGCTACAGTAAACAGAGCAGCATAGTACTGCTACAAAAACAGACATATAGACCAATGGAACAGAATAGAGAACTCAGAAATACGGCCACATACCTAGCACTATCTGATCCTTGACAAGGCTGACAAAAACAAGCAATGGGTAAAGGACACCCTATTCAATAAATGGTGCTAGAATAACTGGTTAGCAAAACGAGGAAGATTGAAAGTCGGCCCCTTTCTTACACCATATACAAAACTCAACTCAGGATGGATTAAAGACTTAAATGTAAAATCTAAAACTATAAAAACCCTTGAAGACAACCTAGGCAATACCATTTTGGGCACAGGAACAAGCATGTATTTTATGACAAAGTTGCCAAAAACAATTGCAACAAAAGCAAAAATTGACAAATGGGATCTAATTTAACTAAAGAGCTTCTGCACAGCAAAAGAAACTATCTACAGAGTGAACACACAACCTACAGGATGGGAGAAAATATTGTCAAACTATATATCTGGCAAGTGTCTAATATCCAGCATCTATAAGGAACTTAAACAAATTTCGATAAAAAACAATTTCTTTAAAAAGTGGACAGAGGACAAGAACAGACATATTTTAAAAGACATACATGAAGCAAACAAGCATGTGAAAAAAGTTCAATGTCAGTGATTATTTGAGAAATGCAAACTTAAATCACAATGAGATACCATCTCACACCAGTCAGAATGGCTATTAATAAACAGTGAAAAAAATAACAGGTGCTTGTGAGGTTCCAGAGAAAAAGGAATGCTTATACACTGTTGATGGGAATATAAATTAGTTCAACCATTGTGGAAGACAGTGGTTGGTAATTCCTCAAAGACCTAAAAACAGAACTACCATTCCACTTAGTAATCCAATTACTGAGTATATGCCCAAAGAAATATAAATTATTCTGTCATAAACATACATGCACACATATGTTCATTGCAGCACTATTCACAATTGCAATGATAAGGAGTCAACCTAAATGCCCATCAAAGGTAGACTGGAAAAAGAAAATGTGGTAGATATACATCATGAGTTAGATACTATGCAGCCATAAAAAAGAATGAGATCGTGTCCTTTGCAAGAACATGGATGGAGCTGGAGGCCATCATCCTTAGCAAACAGATGCAAGAACAGAAATCTGAACACCACATATTCTCACTTATAAGTGGGAGCTAAATGATGAGAACATATGGGCACATAGAAGAGTATGAAGCACACTGGGACCTATTGGAGGGTGGATGACAGGAGGAGGGAGAGGATCAGGAAAAAATAACTAATGATTACTAACCAGGCTTAATACATGAGTGATGAAATAATCTGTACAACATACCCCCATGACACAAGTTTACCCATAGAACAAATCTGCACATGTACTCTGCACTTAAAATAAATGTTAAATTAAAAAGAAATACATTAAAGACTTAAACATAAGATCAAAAATGATAAAACTACTAGAAAAAAACATTGGGGGAAAATCCCAGGACATTGATCTGCACAAATATTTTTTGTGTAAGACCTCAAAAACACAGGCAACAAAAGCAAAATTAGACAATTGGGATTACATCAAGCTAAAAAATCTTATGCACAAAGAAGAAAAGAAGTAAAGTAATAACCCACAGAATGGGAGAAAATATTTACAAACTATCTGTTGGATATGGGATTAATAACCAGAATATATAAAGGGCTCAAATAGCAAAAGAAAACAATGCAGATAGTCTGATTTAAAAATAGGTAAAATATTTGAACATACATTTCTCAAAAGAAGATACACAAATGGCCAATAGGTAAGTTAAAAAATAATCAACATCACTAATCATCAAAGAATCACAAATCAAAACCAAAATGAGATATCATTACACCCCAGTTAAAATGGCTTGTATTTAAAAAGACAGGCAATAACAGATGCTGGGAAGGATGTAGAGAAAAGGGAACCCTCATACACGGTTGGTAGGAATGTAAATTAGTACAACCACTGTGGAGAACAGTATGGAGGTCCTCAAAAACTAAAGGTAGAACTGCCACATGATCCAGCAATCTCACTACTGGGTATATATCCAAAATAAATGAAATCAGTATTTCAAAGAGATATCTGCACTCCCATATTTATTGCAGCACTATTCACAATAGCCAAAATATGGAATCAACCAAAGTTCTCATCAATGTATACACTGAAAAAGAAAATGTATTATGTATACACAATGGAATGTTATTCAATCATTAGAAAAGAAAGAAATCCTGTCATTTGCAGCAACATAGAACTGGAGGTAATTATGTTAAGTGAAAATAAACACATTTTCAGTAAACATTTTGATAATGTCTGATGAATTTTATGCACTTGAGCAATTACCACAATCTAGTCATAAAAATTTCGATCTCACCAAAAATTTCCTTGTATTTCTTTTCAGACAATCTCCGCCTTCCATTCAGACTTAGGACTAGGCACTACTCACCTGGTGTTTTTCTGAATTAAATTTGTCTTTTCTAGAATGGCATATAAGGTAGAATAATGCAATCTGTATTCCTTTATGTTTGGTTTCTTTTCAGTGGCACACTATTTTATTGATTCATCCATTTTATGTGTGTCAATAGATTTTTTTTTTAATTTTTACTGCTGAGTAGGATTTCATTGAACAGATAAGCTACAATGAGTTGGGAATTTTCCTCCTGACAGATGTTTGACAGATGTTTGCTTCCAGATGTGACTTTACTGAATATGCCTGATAGAAGTAGTAGTGTGCAAGTCTTTTTGAGCAATTATACTTTCTTTTTTCATATGGAAAGGCCTAGGAATGGGTAGGATGAGCCATACTATAAGCATATGTTAAACTTTCTAAAAGCTCCCAAACTGTTTGCCAGAGTGGCTGTATCATTTTGTATTTCTGTCAGCAATATTTAAGTATTCTGGTTTCTTTCTATCCTCTTCAATATTTGCTATTGAATTTTATGAGTTTAGCTATTATAATGGGTAGAGGTATCTCACTGATGTGCTAATTTGCATTTCATGTATGAGAAATAAGTTTGAACATATTTTCATGTGATTAGTGATGATTTATATAGCTTATTTTGCAAAGAGACTTTAAATATTTTGCCTATTTCTTTACTTTGTCTTATTATTTACTTTCAAGTTATATATGTATATTTTGTACAAAGGTCAAATATACAGAATCCTAGGCTGTGACTTGATTTGTATTTTCTTAGTAGTTTCTTTCGGAGAACAAAAGTGGTTAAGTTTTATGAAGTCAACTCTATTCATTTTTTTGTTGTTGTTGTTCATGCAGTTGGTGATCTACCTAAGAAATCTTCAAGTATTCCAAATGTAATGAACAGTCTGACTCATTATTTTAATGGTTTATTTGACAGTTTTTAGGATTCACTTCTCATCTTGCCCCATATTTCTGCAGGTTGATAAGAAAGCTTGCATGTTTTCTTCTTTAACACGGGGAAAGTTCAAAGCAGGCCTGAAAGGGACCCCTATCCTTTACCCCACTGTCTCACCACCATAAAAAAACACAAAGTCGGCCGGGCACGGTGGCTCACGCCTGTAATCCCAGCACTTTGGGAGGTCGAGGCAGGCAGATCACGAGGTCAGGAGATCGAGACCATCTGGCTAATACGGTGAAACCCCGTTACTACTAAAAATACAAAAACAAAATTAGCCGGGCGTGGTGGCGGGCGCCTGTCGTCCCAGCTACTCGGGAGGCTGAGGCAGGAGAATGGCGTGAACCCGGGAGGCGGAACTTGCAGTGAGCCGAGATCACGCCACTGCATTCCAGCCTGGGGACAGAGCAAGACTCCATCTCTAAATAAATAAACAAACAAACAAACAAACAAACAAATAAATAAATAAAAAGTCACTTTGCTCTGCTCTCAAAACCTATTTTGGAACCATAGTGCTAAGTTTGTCCTGGTTTTCCCAGGAGCCTCATTATATGAGTAATAAACCTTTCATAGTCCAGGGATATGTGTGGTATTGTTAGACATTTGAACCAAATTTTAGGTGAGGGTCAGTTCTGATTCTTGAGTGGTTACAGCACCAAAGATAGTAATATTTTTTTTTGTATTTTTTTCTGAAAGTTTTAATAGTTCTAACTTTATGTTTGAATTGATGGTCCATTTTGTGTTCAGTATATATGTGACATGAACTAAGTGTATATGTTCATTTTTATTGAGATATAATTCACATGTCATAAAACTCACTCTTTTAAAATGTACAATTCAATGGTCTTTAGTATATTCACAAAACTGTGTGGCCATCACCACTATCTAATTCCAGAACATTTTCATCAACATCAAAAACATTATATGGTAACTCTACCTTTAACATTTTGAGAACTACCAAGTTATTTTCCATAATTGCTGTACCATTTTAGACTCCTGCTTGCAATGTATGAGGGTTATAATTTATCCACATCCTTGCTAACACTTGTGCATCTTTTTTATTATAGTTATCCTCGTAGGTGTGAAATGGTATCTCATTGTGGTTTGATTTGTATCTCTCAAATGACTAATGATGCTGCTCTTTTGTCTTGTGCTTATTGACATTTGTGTATAATGTTTGTCTTTTGAATGTTAAGTTGAAGTAGTTGTTTATATACGTCTTTGATTTTTAAGCTATTATAATGGGTAGACAGAGGTATCTCATTGTTGTGCTAATTTGCACTTCATATATGAGAAATAAGGTTGAACATATTTTCATGTGATTTTTGATTAAATTGCAGCAGTTGTTTATATAAGTCTTTTAACAGATACAGGATTTGCAAACATTTTCTCCTATTTTGTGGCTTGTTGTTTTACTTTTTTGATGGGATTTTTCAAGGCAGAAAATTTTATAATTTTTATAAAGTACAGTTTGTCTATTTTTCCTTTTATTGTTTGTGCTTTTGGTCTCATATTAGAAAAAAAATTGCTTAAATCAAGGTCAAGAAAATGGACTCATTTTTCTAAAAAAGTTTTAGAGTTTTAGCACTTACATTTTGGAATCTTATCTATTTTGAGTTTTTGTTTGTTTGCTTATTTGTTGTTTTGTTTTTGGATATGTTGTGAGTTAGAGGTCAAGCTTGGTATTTTGCCATGGATAACTAGTTGTTCCAGTACTATTTGTTGAAAAGACTATTCTTTCCTCCGCTGAATTATCTTGGCATGCTTATCAAAAATTAATTATTATAAGTTCAAGGATTTATACTTGGAATCTCAATTATACTTCATAGTTTTATGTCTATCCTAATGCAAGCACCATGTCATCTTGATTACTGTAGCTCTCAGTTTTTAAATCATGTAGTATGAATTTTTCTATCTTTTATTTTCAAGATTGTTTTGAATATTCTGGGTCCCTTGTGTTTCTATGTGAATTTTAGAATCTGCTTTTCAGTTTCTGGGAAAAAAAAATGTTGGCTAGGATTTTGATAAGAATTGCTTTAAATGGGCCGGGCGCGATGGCTCACACCTGTAATCCCAGCACTTTGGGAGGTCGAGGTGGGCGGATCACGAGGTCAGGAGCTCGAGAACATCCTGGCTAACATGGTGAAACCCCGTCTCTACTAAAAATACAAAAAAAATTAGCTGGGCGTGGTGGTGGGCATCTGTAGTCCCAGCTACTCGGGAGGCTGAGGCAGGAGAATGGTATGAACCCGGGAGGCGGAGCTTGCAGTGAGCTGAGATCGCGCCACTGCACTCCAGCCTGGGCGACAGACAGAGCGAGACTCCGTCTCAAAAAAAAAAAAAAAAAAGAATTGCTTTAAATGTTTATAACAATTTAGGAGTATTGCCACTTTTAAATCTTCTGATCCATGAAATAAAATGCTGTTTTCTTTATGTCTTCCTTAACTTTTTCAGTGATGTTTTGTAGCTTTCAGTGTACAGGTTTTGCGTAGTTATTTCTAAGTATTTTATTTTTGATTCTATTTACATTGATTGTTTTCTTGTTACTTTTCAATTTTTAAAATAGAAATTTTAAAAATTCCATTTTTAAGTTGTTCTTTGCTAGTGTATAAAAATATAATTAATTTCTGTAAGTTGATTTTGTATTGTGCAACCTTGCTGAATTTGTTTATAAGTTATTATATGCTTTTTAAATTCTGTAGAATTTTTTTGTATACCAGATTGTGTCTTCTGGGAAGAGAAATAGTTTTGCTTCTTTCTTTTCGATTTTTCATTTCATTTTCTTGCAAGTGGCTCTGGCTAGAATTTCTAGTACAATGTTCAATAAATTGAGTGAGAAATGAATTATTTTGTCCTATTGCTAATCTTAAGAGGAAAGTTTTCAGTCTTTTATCATTAAGTATCATGCTAGCTGCCAGATGTTTGTAGACAGCCTTTATGAGAATGAAGATAATTCTGTGGGAGGCTGAATAATTGTCCCCAAATATCCACATCCTGATTCCCAGAACTCGTGAATATGCTTCATTTCATTTCATTTCTGCTCAAAGAACCTCCTTTGTATGTCTTTTAACACAAATTTGCTAATAATATATTCTCTCTGTTCTCATTTAATGCATGTTTTAATTTCTCCTTCATATTTGCAAAATAATTTTGCTGAAAGTAGAATTTTTGGTTGATAATCTTTCAGCACCAAATGTCATCTCACTGCCTTCTGACTACTAGAGATTATGATGAGGTATTAGGTTTTAATTTTCTTAAATGTGATAGGCACAATAATGGATCTCCAACAATGTTCACATTCTAATCTCTGGAACCAATGATTACATGAAGTTTCATGAGAAAGAACAGTTAAAGATACAGATAGAATTAAGAATGCTCATCAGCTGACCTTGAAATGGAGAGATTATCCAGCATTATCAGAGTGTGTCCAATGTAGTCACAGGGTTCTTTTATCTGGAAGAGAAAGGCAGAAGATAGAGAGTCAGAGAGATTTAGCAGCATGAGAAAAACTGAAACATATTTTGCTGGTTTTAGTAATGGAAGAATGAGGCACTGAGTGAAGTAATGCAGGGGGCCTCTAAAAACTGAAAAGGGAAAACATGCAGATTATCCCATAGAGCCTCAGGAAGGAATACAGGCCTACTGACACCTTGATTTTAGCCAATGAGACCAATTTTAGATCTCTGACCTTTAGACATATAATAAACTCGTGTCATTTTAAGCCACGTAGTTCATGGCATTTTTTAAATTAAAGCAGTAGAAAAATGATACAGATCCCCCTCTGGCAAGGTTTGTTGTTGTTGTTGATTGTTTCCTTAGTGACTTTACTGAACTAATTCTGTTAACTTTGTATTTTTTGTCCTGTATGGCTACAGAAATTTCTGCTCAGTTAACTAAATTGTAAGCTACTAATTGGACAGAGATTTCTTAAAATGCTTTTATACAGTAATTCTCCAAATCTCTACTAAGCCGGGGTTGTGTGTGTGTGTGTGTGTGTGTGTGTGTGTGTGTGTGTGTGTTGGTGCATGGCTTCATTCAACACTTAGGCAGCTGACAACTCTGCTTTCACTTTCTGCTTGCACTTCCTGCTTGTCAGATGATGACAATTCTCTAGGGATTTGGCTTTTGAGGGCTTCAAATCCTTTATGCCCCCTTTCGTAACTGCTAGGCTGCTGATTTTCACAGCTACCTTGTTTGTGGAACTGTTGTTTTCTAAATCTAATGCACAGCTGAAGAGAGGGGATAAAGGCAAGTTAAAATGCCATATAACTCACTTTTCTTACAAAGATTCTGTTATTGTCTTCCTTAAGTAAATATTCCAAGACTTTGGCTCATTTCCAGAGTTCTGAAAAAGTTGATTTTGGCCATTTTTGCTAGTGTTGTCATTGCTGTTATGAAGGTACAGATACTTGAAAGTCTCTACCATTCCCATTGATACCACCCTAGGTTCATTTTTTTCCCATACAGACATTCAGTTGTTCTGGCACTATATGTTCAAAAAACTATCCTTTCTTCATTTGCTTTCCTCAGTTCATTGATTGAAATGAATGGATTATATATGTATGGCTTTATGTTTGGACTCTGTTCTGCCAGCATCCATAAAACTACAGCAGGCTAACTTATTAGCGTGCAAGAAGAGAAGCTTTCAGACCAGTCATGAAAAGTCTGAAATGGAGACCATCTGGAACCATTCAGACATGAAGAAATCATTTTAGGTACATCATCTGCTTGTCGTCCTTCAGATGAACCCTACCATTAACCTTATATTTAACATGAATTTGAGTCATGTGGTATTGAATGGATAGTAACTATTTGTTGCTACTTGCCATATTTTCCTGTAAATATATTTAAAATCCAAGAACTTTTAAATGAATATCTCATGATTTTTAAGTATAATAGTTGCTGTTTTACTTCTTGGTTTTGTAGTTAATCTTACTTCGTAACTATTAAAATGCAAAGTATTATAAGAATTGTGGGGATACATACATACACATTGCAACTTTAATTGGCTCTCTCAAGTTAATATTCTGCTGAGAGAAATAAGAATAAATATAAATAACTAGTGTGTAGCATTATGTGGCAAATGTCACAGGTTTACCATTCCCAGTCAGCTAACTCAATTCTGTTTTTCTCATTATTTTTTATTAGAGTAGGAACATTTAATATGAGATCTACCCTTTAAAAATAATTTTAAATATACAATACAGTATTATTAACTATAGGCATGAAATACAGCAAATCTTTGAACTTATTATCTTGTATAACTGAAACTTTCTATCCATTGAACAGAAACTCCCTATATTCCTCTCCCTCTTATCTTCTGGCAACCACCATTCTACCCTCTGCTTCTGTGAGTTTGACTCCTTTAGATACCTCATATAAATGGGATCATGCAGTATTTATCCTGTGACTGGCTAATTCCACTTAACATAATGTCTTCCAGGTTCATCCATGTTTTGGCATATTGCAGAATTTTCTTGTTTTATTAATAGCTGAATAATACTCCATTGTATGTATATCACATTTGCTTTGTCCGTTTATACATCAATGGACAATTAAAAATTTCCATACTTCGGCCATTATGAATGATACTCCAAGTATCATTCATAGATAGAATAGAAGTGCATGGAAGTGCAAATATCTAATCAAGATCCTGGTTTTAGTTATTTTGAATAAATATACAGAAGTAGGATGTTGGATCATATGGCAGTTATATTTTAAAATGTTTAAGGCACCGCCATACTCTTCTCCATAGCAGTTGCACCAATTTACTTTCCCAACAATAGTGTACAATGCTTTCAGTGTCTTCCTATTCTTACCCAAATCTGTTATTTAATAATGGTAGTCCTAACAGGTGTAAGGTGATATATCATTGTGAGTTTGATTTGGATTTCCCTGAGAATTAATGATGTTAAGTATCTTTTTATATACCTATTTGACATTTGTATGTCTTCTTTGGATAAATGTTTATGGGAGTCTTTTCCTCTTTCTTTAATAGTGTACTTTTTTTGTTTTGTCCTTTTTTTCTTGTTTGTTTCTGCGATTGCATTGTAGGTTTTTTAATATATTTTGAATATAAATCCTTTATCAGATATATGGATTGCAAATATTTTCTCCAAATTCATAAATTGCCTTTTCAATCTATTAATTGTTTCCTTTGCGGTGCAAAAGATTTTTAGTTTGATGTAGCCCCACTGGTTTATTTTTACTTTTGTTGCCAATGTTGTTAGTGTTATATCCAAGAAACTATTGCTAAGACCAATGTCATGAAGCTTTCCACTTTTGTCTCTTTCAAGGATTTTGTTATTTTAAGCCTTTATTTACATCTAATCCATCTTGCATTGACTTGTGTGTGCGGTGCAAGAAACAATTCCAATTTTTTTTTCCATATGGATATCCAGTTTTCTCAGCACCATTTGTTGAAGAGACTATTCCTTCCCCATTGTATATTCTTAGCCCCCGATCAAAGATCAGTTGACTGTATATTTGTGGATTTATTTCTGGGATCTCTATTCTGTTCCATTGGTATAAATGTCTGTCTTTATATTAGTACAATGCTGTTTGAATTACTGTAGATTTAAAACATGTCAGTTACATTTTTATATACGAACACTGGACAATCTGGAAGAAAATTAAGAAAACAGTTCGATTTATAATAGCATCAAAATAATAAAATACTTAGGAATAAATCAAACTAATGAGCTGAGAGACTTATGCACTGAAAACGGTGAAACATTGATGAAAGAAATATTAAATGCGTCCCAGAGATTCTGGTATGTTGTGTCTTTGTTCTCGTTGGTTTCAAAGAACATCTTTATTTCTGCTTCATTTCATTATGTACCCAGTAGTCATTCAGGAGCAGGTTGTTCAGTTTCCATGTAGTTGAGCGGTTTTGAGTGAGATTCTTAATCCTGAGTTCTAGTTTGATTGCACTGTGGTCTGAGAGATAGTTTGTTATAATTTCTGTTCTTTTACATTTGCTGAGGAGAGCTTTACTTCCAACTATGTGGTCAATTGTGGAATAGGTGTGGTGTGGTGCTGAAAAAAATGTATATTCTGTCGATTTGAGGTGGAGAGTTCTGTAGATGTCTATTAGGTCTGCTTGGTGCAGAGCTGAGTTCAATTCCTGGGTATCCTTGTTGACTTTCTGTCTCGTTGATCTGTCTAATGTTGACAGTGGGGTGTTAAAGTCTCCCATTATTAATGTGTGGGAGTCTAAGTCTCTTTGTAGGTCACCCAGGACTTGCTTTATGAATCTGGGTGCTCCTGTATTGGGTGCATATATATTTAGGCTAGTTAGCTCTTCTTGTTGAATTGATCCCTTTACCATTATATAATGGCCTTCTTTGTCTCTTTTGATCTTTGTTGATTTAAAGTCTGTTTTATCAGAGACTAGGATTGCAACCCCTGCCTTTTTTTGTTTTCCATTTGCTTGGTAGATCTTCCTCCATCCCTTTATTTTGAGCCTATGTTTGTCTCTGCATGTGAGATGGGTTTCCTGAATACAGCACCCAGATGGGTCTTGACTCTTCATCCAATTTGCCAGTCTGTGTCTTTTAATTGGAGCATTTAGCCCATTTACATTTAAGGTTAATATTGTTATGTGTGAATTTGATCCTGTCATTATGATGTTAGCTGGTTAGTTTGCCTGTTAGTTGATGCAGTTTCTTCCTAGCCTCGATGGTCTTTACAATTTGGCATTTTTTTGCAGTGGCTAGTACCGGTTTTTCCTTTCCATGTTTAGTGCTTCCTTCAGGAGCTCTTTTAGAGCAGGCCTGTTGGTGACAAAATCTCTCAGCATTTGCTTGACAACCCTTCATGCTAAAAACTCTCAATAAATTAGGTATTGATGGGACGGATCTCAAAATAATAAGAGCTATCTATGACAAACCCACAGCCAGTATCATACTGAATGGGCAAAAACTGGAAGCATTCCCTTTGAAAACTGGCACAAGACAGGGATGTCCTCTCTCACCACTCCTATTCAACATAGTGTTGGAAGTTCTGGCCAGGGCAATTAGGCAGGAGAAGGAAATAAAGGGTATTCAATCAGGAAAAGAGGAAGTCAAATTGTCCCTGTTTGCAGACGACATGACTGTATATCTAGAAAACCCCACTGTCTCAGCCCAAAATCTCCTTAAGCTGATAAGCAACTTCAGCAAAGTCTCAGGATACAAAATCAATGTACAAAAATCACAAGCATTCTTATACACCAATAGCAGACAAACAGAGAGCTAAATCATGAATGAACTCCCATTCACAATTGCTACAAAGAGAATAAAATACCTAGGAATCCAACTTACAAGGGATGTGAAGGACCTCTTCAAGGAGAACTACAAACCACTGCTCAATGAAATAAAAGAGGATACAAACAAATGGAAGAACATTTCATGCTCATGGGTAGGAAGAATCAATATCATGAAAATGGCCATACTGCCCAAGGTAATTTACAGATTCAATGCCATCCCCATCAAGCTACCAATGACTTTCTTCACAGAATTGGAAAAAACTACTTTAAAGTTCATATGGAACCAAAAAAGAGCCCCCATCGCCAAGTCAATCCTAAGCCAAAAGAACAAAGCTGGAGGCATCACGCTACCTGACTTCAAACTATACTACAAGGTTACAGTAAGTAAAACAGCATGGTACTGGTACCAAAACAGAGATATAGATCAATGGAACAGAACAGAGCTCTCAGAAATAATGCTGCATATCTACAACTATCTGATCTTTGACAAACCTGAGAAAAACAAGCAATGGGGAAAGGATTCCCTATTAAATAAATGGTGCTGGGAAAACTGGCTAGCCATATGTAGAAAGCTGAAACTGGATGCCTTCCTCACACCTTATACAAAAATCAATTCAAGATGGATTAAAGACTTAAACGTTAGACCTCAAACCATAAAAACCCTAGAAGAAAACCGAGGCATTACTATTCAGGACATAGGCATGGTCAAGGACTTCATGTCTAAAACACCAAAAGCAATGGCAACAAAAGACAAAATTGACAAATGGGATCTAATTAAACTAAAGAGCTTCTGCACAGCAAAAGAAACTACCATCAGAGTGAACAGACAACCTACAAAATGGGAGAAAATTTTCGCAACCTAACTCATCTGACAAAGGGCTAATATCCAGAATCTACAATGAACTCAAACAAATTTACAAGAAAAAAACAAACAACCCCATCAAAAAGTGGGCGAAGGACATGAACAGACACTTCTCAAAAGAAGACATTTATGCAGCCAAAAAACACATGAAAAAATGCTCACCATCACTGGCCATCAGAGAAATGCAAATCAAAACCACAATGAGATACCATCTCACACCAGTTAGAATGGCGATCATTAAAAAGTCAGGAAACAACAGGTGCTGGAGAGGATGTGGAGAAATAGGAACACTTTTCCACTGTTGGTGGGACTGTAAACTAGTTCAACCATTGTGAAGGTCGGTGTGGCGATTCCTCAGGGATCTAGAACTAGAAATACCATTTGACCCAGCCATCCCATTACTGGGTATATACCCAAAGGAGTATAAATCATGCTGCTATAAAGACACATGCACACGTATGTTTATTGCGGCATTATTCACAATAGCAAAGACTTGGAACCAACCCAAATGTCCAACAATGATAGACTGGATTAAGAAAATGTGGCACATATACACCGTGGAATACTATGCAACCATAAAAAATGTTGAGTTCATGTCCTTTGTAGGGACATGGATGAAATTGGAAATCATCATTCTCAGTAAACTATCACAAGAACAAAAAACCAAACACCGCATGTTCTCACTCATAGGTGGGAATTGAACAATGAGAACACTTGGACACAGGAAGGGGAACGTCACGCTCTGGGGACTGTCGTATGGTGGGGGAAGGGGGGAGGGATAGCATTAGGAGATATACCTAATGCTAGATGACGAGTTAGTGGGTGCAGCGCACCAGCATGGCACATGTATACATATGTAACTAACCTGCACATTGTGCACATGTACCCTAAAACTTAAAGTATAATAATAATAAATAAAAAAATATTAAAGACACACATAAATGGAAAGACATTTTAATATTTTTAAAATGTCCATACTAACAAAAACAGTCTACAAATCCATTGTAATCTCTATCACAATGTCAATGACATTTTCTACAGAAATAGAAAAATCAATCCTAAAATTTGTATGGAACCACAAAGAACCCTAAGTAGCCAAAACAATCTTAAAAAAGAAAAATAAGGCTGAGTCATCACACTTCCTGATTTCCAAATATATTTTAAAACTAGAATAATTAAAACTCAATTTTAAAGAAGTACTGATTTAGCTGTTTTGCTCAAAGATTCAGTAAACTATTGCCACAATAATATTGCATAAGAGGGAAACCCCAAAATTTATATGACTTTCAAAAACATTTATATCTTGCTTACTCATTTGAAAGTGAGCTGATTTCTTGCTCACCAATGCTTTCTTCAGCTGGGCTTGGCTCCACATGAGGGGTTAAATGCATTTTACTTCCTGTGTCTCTAATCTGCTTTGGACAAGTGGCAAGGAAAGCATATTCTTCACAGGGTTAATGACAAAAAACTAGAGAACAAACCCAAACACTCATCTTATTTAAAGTCTTAGGTCACCTCTTATTCATAAATATCCCACTGGGCAAAGCAAGTCAGATATTCAAACCTCAAGTCAAAGCACATGCCCATTTTCCTTACATGAAGCCAAATAAAGGTTACATAACAAAGCTCAATATTAGTGGAATGGAAAACATACTCTTCCCATGCAGGTGCACGTATCTGTGTATTATGAGGCTAAGAAGTGGATATTAGATGAATAATAGTAGACTATATCCACTCTCGGAAGTAAAATCTTTTCTGTATTTTCTAGATGAGGTTCACTGGGTCAGATAGTTTTCTTACAAAAACTCAGAGAGACATTTTTATCTCAGTATTTTCTAAAAGTTGTGTTAAAAATTAGTGCAAATATGTTGTTTGCCATAATAACTTTAAAAATAGTACTTCTAACAGACATTGTATGTCGACCACCTGACGTCAAGATAGCCTCATTTTTCTTTGTCTTCTAATTCTCAGTCTCCCAAGCATTCTTTTAAGATGGCCACATTTCACAATCCTGGTCAATAACATTTTGGCTAAAATCTCTAAGTAAAGCTTCCAGCTTGAAACAACTTTTAAAGGAAACTTACGAAGAAGATTTTAACCTTTTTCCTTAGCCTTACCCCTTCTTTCTGCCTTCATCTAACTTAAATGTCATACAGCCATCTTTGAACGCTAAAGTTGAAAGCTGCCTACCAAAGATGCTTGAAGCTAAAATAAAAGGACTCTGGATTTTGATGATATCATGGAACTACTAGACTAATTCTGCATTTCTTGATCCACAAAAATCAGATATATCTATGTGGTTAAGCTATTGGAAGTTGGGCTTTTTATTATTGTGGCCTAATGTATTTATATGTAATAAACCACAAATTAAAAACAGGTTTTTCATCATTAATGTCTAATTATCTTCAATGAATAACAGTGTAAGGGATTTTGTAGAAATATCTACTTTCTCTTTCCTAAATAAATTTTGTGAAATGCTGTAAATTTTAAATCATTCAATGTCTACTGCTTTTGGTCTGTGGGTCCCAGGACATTCTTTACTTCAGTCAGATTCTCTTTCAGAAATTCCCAATCTCTGCCAATAATTTCTGGTTTTCTTTGATTTCCAAGTCTTTAAAAAATATATTTGTTTATTTATTTACAGACAAGGCAAAACAAAACTTTCATTTACCTATTATTTTGAATGGTTATCTTTCTATTTGTATCAGCTGGGGATAGCACTTGACAGTAGACTCCTATAGACAGGAAGAGTGGTTCTATTTGGAGTAGGACTTGAACATGAATTTTCGTTTAATCACATCGTAGCAACTGTGACAGAGGCTGTGAGATTTCCCACAGAAACAGTTTTCTCATCTCTTTCTGACAAAACTCCTAACCTTTCACTGGATACATGATCCACTGGCTTAAAGATTGCATCTACCAGATATCCTTAAAGTTTGATGTGGCAGTTTGACCAATTACTGGCTTGTATCTAGGAGTAAATGATTTGTCAAACATCTTGGATGTGTCATTATTAGGACATGGTATGACCTGTTGCCTTTCCTTTTCCTGCCTTCTTCTGTTTAAAATCTAGATTTATTTAAAGGGCCCTATTTTGGGCCATTTGTTTCTCCCTAAGAATGATGAAAGAGAAAGTTGTAAAGAGTCTGTAAAGGTGTTGGAGATATCTGACCAGGACTAAATTACATGTATGTAAATTTTAGTATGCTAGAGAAATACATTTCTATCTTGCATAATCCAAGGTTATCTCCAGTACATACAAATGAACCTAAGTCATAGTAAAGACAAAGACCTTTACTCATTTTCTTTAAAATTATTAAATGTGTTAAATAACTTCCTTAGCTACAAAACTTACAAGGTATGCTTAACCATTTCACATCTTCCATTATACTCTGCTGTTATAGATATTCCACATGGAAAAATAAACAGATGAGAAAGAATTTATTTAGGAAGAGGGAAGTGCTGAACTTTGAAAGATGACATTTGTGCTGACTCTGGTTTATGTATGTATAGAATTTTAGGTGGGCCTGACTTCTGGCCTCACCTAAACTGGCATATCCTAATTACATTTGGAAATTGGATGTTAAATTAAACCTGATCTACGGAATTTTCTTGATCATGTGCTGGAGCCTTATTCATCATCTCCTGCATTGAGAAAGGAAATGGATATGGAAGACTAGTATCTGAATTCTATCTTACATAGTTTATTATGGCTTGTATCTGCTTGCATTAGGCCAGAAAGCAAATATCTAGCCAGGATTTTTTTTTTCAAACAATTGAGAGTAGTCATGAAGCCATTAATGTCCTCTGAGAAAGGTTCAGAATTAGATTCTCTAGGAATTATACTTTAAATCCCATTTTTAACCAGGCGTTATCACTGGCAGATACTTGACCCATAGTGAGGAACCACAGTGATGCTAAGGAAACCACACATTGAAATGAGTGTGTGACACTTGCTAGGTCTTCTGTGCAATTATGTATGTATGACTAAGATATTGTATCCTTTAACTAATTAATAAAAAATAGATTGGCTGGGCGCCGGTGTCTCATGCCTGTAATCCCAGCACTTTGTGAAGCCGAGGCGGGCAGATCACTAGGTTAAGAGATCGAGACCATCGTGGCCAACATTGAGCACCAACATGAGCACCTGTAGTCTCAGCTACTCAGGAGGCTGAGGCAGGAGAATTGCTTGAACCCGGGAGGCGGAGGTTGCAGTGAACTGAGATCATGCCACTGCACTCTAGCCTAGGCGACAGTGTGAGATGCTGTCTCAAAAATAAAAAAAAAGATTGTTTTCCTATGTATATGTTGTCCTCCTATTAACTAACATACCTTGCTGGAAAGAAGGGCAATGTATCCCAGTGATTAAGAGATTGGATTCTGAATTTAGATTGACTGGACTTTTATATTGGCTTGGAGTTTCATTTAAAGGTTTTGAGCAGAGGAACAATCTAATCTGAATTAGTTTTGTTTTTAAGTAAACATTTTATGAAGTGTATGTATACATGCAGTAGCTTGTTTATTTTTACTCTATATTCTATCACTTGTTAATACTCAAATGTATACATTCTACTGTAGATGGACATTTGGGATGATTCTAGTTTTTCATTACTATGGATAATTGCTTCTATGAATATTCTAGCACATGTCTTTACACACACATATGTACCAAATTTTTTGGTTATATGCCCAGGTGTGGAATTTCTGAGTCATAGGATAGTGCATTTTCAGCTCCAGCAGATAATGACAGGGTTCAAATATACCAATAATATATGAAACTGAAAATTGTTCTACATCCTCACTAGGTATTGCCAAGTTTTTAATTTTTGCCATTCTGAAGATTTACAGTGGCATCTCTTCATGAAGGTAGTGTCCATTAATTTGATGACTATCGAATTTGAGCATTTTTTCTTAGGTTTGTTGGCCATTTGGTAGCCTACATTTTAAATGCCTTTTCACATTTTAAGTGCCTTTTCACACTTCTTTTATATCATCAATTGTCTTTATTTTTCTTATTTTGTAGGAAGGTTTTAAACGTAAGTTGTTTGTTGAATATATAAATTTCAAAAGTCTTTTCCAACTGTGGATTTTTATAATGAAATTTATTTTTTTAGGGAAGCTTTAAGTTTGTAGCAAAATTTAGCAGAAAATTGAGCAGAACTCATATATATATATATATATATATATATGAGCAGAACTCTATATATATATATATGAGCAGAACTCATATATATATATATGAGCAGAACTCATATATATATATATGAGCAGAACTCATATATATATATATGAGCAGAACTCATATATATATATATGAGCAGAACTCATATATATATATATATATGAGCAGAACTCATATATATATATATGAGCAGAACTCATATATATATATATATATGAGCAGAACTCATATATATATATATATGAGCAGAACTCATATATATATATATATGAGCAGAACTCATATATATATATATATGAGCAGAACTCATATATATATATGAGCAGAACTCATATATATATATATGAGCAGAACTCATATGTATATATATATGAGCAGAACTCATATATATATATATGAGCAGAACTCATATATATATATGAGCAGAACTCATATATATATATGAGCAGAACTCATATATATATATGAGCAGAACTCATATATATATATATGAGCAGAACTCATATATATATATATGAGCAGAACTCATATATATATATATATGAGCAGAACTCATATATATATATATATGAGCAGAACTCATATATATATATATGAGCAGAACTCATATATATATATATATGAGCAGAACTCATATATATATATATATGAGCAGAACTCATATATATATATATATGAGCAGAACTCATATATATATATATGAGCAGAACTCATATATATATATATATGAGCAGAACTCATATATATATATATGAGCAGAACTCATATATATATATGAGCAGAACTCATATATATATATATGAGCAGAACTCATATATATATATGAGCAGAACTCATATATATATATATGAGCAGAACTCATATATATATATATATGAGCAGAACTCATATATATATATATATGAGCAGAACTCATATATATATATATATGAGCAGAACTCATATATATATATGAGCAGAACTCGTGTATACATATATATGAGCAGAACTCGTGTATACATATATATGAGCAGAACTCGTGTATACATATATATGAGCAGAACTCGTGTATTTATATATGAGCAGAACTCGTGTATATATATATGAGCAGATCTCGTGTATATATATGAGCAGAACTCGTGTATATATATGAGCAGAAATCATGTATATATATGAGCAGAAATCATATATATATATACATATATATATAACTTCACCCTCCAAACACTGCTTTCCCCGTGCCAACAACTAGTAATATGTCATATGCTTGTTACAATGGATGAATCAATACTAATATGCTATTATTGACCAAAGTCCACAGTTAACTTTGCAGTTTGCTCTGTGTATTGTGCAGCTCTATGGATTTTGACAACTGTATAATGTTATGTATCTGCCATTATAGCAACATACAGAATAGTTTCAGTGCCCTAAAGATCCCCTGGGTTCTACCTAATGATATTTTCTTCCTTCACCCCAACCCCCTGGCAACCATTGATCCCTTTTCCGTCTCCATAGTTTTGCCCTTTCCAAAATGTCACAGAGTTGGGATCATATAATATGTATCATTTTAGGATTTGCTTCTCTCACTTATGAATAGGTATTTAAGGTTTTCCCAAGTCTTTTTGTGACTTGACTTATAGGGTTTAATTTTTCAATAATAATTCCTTCCCAATAACATTCCATATCCATCAAATGATACACAGACTGTTCATTCATTTACCTTTTGAAGGACATCTTGTTGAATTATGTTTCATTATTTTAATGGTGTCTATCATGAGTCCTAATTTTAAAGGTTTCCAATTTGTCAATCTTTTCTGATGTAATTATGTGTTTTTTCCTAATTATGACACTTTTACACTGTTGGTGGGAATGTAAATTAGTTCAGCCATTATGGTAGACAGTGTGGCAATTCCTCGAAGATTTAGAAATAGAAATATCATTTGACCCAGCAATTACTGGGTGTATACCCATGGAATATAAATCATTCTGTTATAACGATACATGCACATGTATGTTCATTGCAGCACTATTCACAATAGCAAAGACATGGAATCAACCCAAACCCCCATCAATGATACACTGGAAAAAGAAAATTTGGCATATATACACCATGGAATACTATGCAGCCATAAAAAGGAACAAGATCATGTCCTTTGCAGGGACATGGATGAACCTGAGAGCCATTATGCTCAGCAAACTAATGCAGGAACAGAAAACCAAGCACTGCATGTTCTCACTTATAAGTGGGATATGAACAGTGAGAACACATGGACATGACATAGGGAGGGGAAGAACACACACTGGGGCCTGTTGAGGGAGGGTGGGCGGGGGAAGAGCATTAGGAAAAAGAGGTAATGCATGCTGAGCTTAATACCTAGGTGATAGGTTGATAGGTACAGCAACCACCATGGTACGCGTTTAACTGTGTAACAAACCTGCACTTCTTGCACATGCACTTTAGAACTTAAAATAAAATAAAATAAATAACAATACATGTGCTAAGGGGGAAAAACAAATAAAAATAATTTTTAAAATTCCAATGTAATGAAGATAATTTCCTTTGTTATCTTCTAGAAACATTTCTCTTCTTCTCTTTTTAATATATTTTTTCCCATACTATCAACTCAGAATGTATTTTTGTGTATAGGGTAATGTAGAGTTCAGAATTTATTCTTTTTCCAATGTGGCTATACAATTAAACAAGTTTTATTATTAAGGAGACCATCTTCTTTCTGTGTGGAAGCTTGCTCATAAATCTGGAGAATGTATATGCCTGTTCCAGAACTCCCATCAAGGCAGTATGCAAGGAGTTAAATTTTATCAAAAGACTTCTTATGTATAGCAATTATACTATTATCTATTTCATTTTTCAATTTGATAAATTACTTAAGCTGCTTTTCACATGATAAACTAAGATTACATTCAAGCAATAAATCAAATTCGATTGTGATATTTTTATATTTTCCTGAATTCAACTTGCAAATATTTATTTCAGATTTTTGTGTTTATATTAATGCAAAATTCTGACCTGTAATTTTGATTTCCTGTAATGTCTGTATCCAGTTATGAAACAAAGTTATATAAACATCATTGGATAAAGTAAACAGTACATCCTATTTTCTTTTGTCACAAAGAGTTTGCATAAATTGGTGGATTGTTTCTTCCTTACATGTTTGAGAAGGTTCTCTGTAAAGCAACCTAAACTTGAAGTTTACTTTGCAGAATGATTTGCATTTATATATTAATGTATTTAATAAATAAAGGATTATTTCTATCTTCTCTATTTTACTATGTCACTTATATTTTGCCTTTCAAAAGAAATTTTTCATTTAATATAAAATTTAAATTATTGGCATAATTTTTAATAACGTTTAATCTATTCAGCCATAGGATATTTACTTATATACTGTCTTTATTCTGAATTTTGATAGTGTATGCTCTCATGTTTGCTCTCTCCTCTCTCTCTTTCTCTTTGGGAACACCTTGTTGGATTTTATCATTTACATAAATAAATCTGATCTTAGTATTATTTACTTTATTCTACTTTTTTGGATCTAATTTGCTGTGTGTGTTCTAAGTTTTTAATATATGATATGTGTGTGTGTATAAATACACATATATGTATACATATATATGAATATAGATATTCACCATACATACACACATACATGTATATATACACATACATACATAGATATATGTGTAATGAATTCAGCAATTTTTTTTTCATTTCCGATGCATTGAAGGCTGTAACATTGCCTCTAAGCTTTGGCTGCTCTCTGCATGTTTTGATATGTTGAAAGAATGCATATGCTGCTGCTTTCTACTTTGTCTCTAGACCCACCTTTCATAGAAATTGGTAACTCTTGATGGGCAAAAAGAAGAAAAAGCCCCACTTCCTTCCATATGTTTGTCTTCTCTCCATGATCCTGGAAACTTCATTTTTGGCTGTATATACTCTCTGATACAATCAAACATTTTTGAAGAAGTATTTTTATTTCTCTTCTCTAGTTGTTCAAGAGTGTATGATATTTTAATCTAAACTACTGTGTCACAGTCAAATTCAGAAATTCTAATTTCTGACTGACAGATGACAATGAATTGTGATAACTAGAATGGAAAAATGAGAATTATTAGAAAGTGATTGTACCAGTCCAGGCAAAAATATTGAGGTACCATTAACTAGCAATTTAAGCAGAAAGGTGACAAATAGTTGGTTTGGGGATATCTTTTCATATAGGTCTGGCAGAATTTTTTAGGTGTTAAAAAAAAAGAGACGATTGAGAGTGATTCCAATTGTTTTTGCCTTAAGCCAAAGAGAGGTTTTTTGTTTTGTTTTGTTTTCTCACTTAGACCCAGTTTGAAACAGGTTCTCCCATCATAGAGACAATATGGCTATAGCAGTTTTACCTTCAGTAACCTCTGTGTTGAAATATATATATAGGTGTATATGTGTGTGCAAGCATGTGTGTATTATAGAGTATGTATATATATTGTATATATAATCAGATATAAATAACCAAATATATATATACATACACACACACACATAAATATAGTTGAGCCTTTAACATCCCCAACTTCTGTACAGTCCAAAATCCACCTGTAACTTTTAACCCCACCGTAACACAACTACTAATTGCCCACTGTCAATGAAGGCTTATTAATAACATAAACAGTTGATTAAAGCATTTTTATATGTTACATACTGTATTCTTAACACAAAGTAAAATAAAAAAGACAACATTTCTAATAAAATTATAAGGAAGAAAAAATACATTTACAGTACTTCCACTGTTTATTTACAAAATGGATTCTCTTTTGGAAATGGTGAGCAGCTGCAACTGCAGTCTTCAATCTATAGTGCATATCAAGCAATTCACCTTTTTTTTGTAATGTCTTGACTTCTCTCTTCTTGGCAGTACTTCCAGTATCACTAGTGATTTCTTATACGTCCCATGATGTTATTCGATGTTTACAGTTTTGCGCTAAGCACAATAAAAAATACACAAGAATCATGAGAGATCACTTTTTCCTGTAATAGTGCAACTTACTGAAGAGGTAAAGTGGTCATGTGGAGATAATTAGCATCACCAGGCATTTTAAGTGGATACCTGCTACACTTGAGCTCACCACAATAGCAATAGGAGCTGGCTATAAGTACAGTATGCTACAATTAATTTTATGCAGTTATTATTTATTACTGCATCTGTACACTTGATTACATTGCTCTTGATTGCAAATGGCAGCCAGGTATGGTCTGTAAATGTTTGTGTAAGTTTTGATAAATTTTACTTTTGTAATAGATATTGTGTATATTTGATGGTACTAAATGATAAAATAGACTAATCTTACATATATTTTATGTTTTCATGCATGCCTTGCTTTTTCTGAATTTTTCTGATATTTGTAGGCTACACAGTTCACCTGTGGTTTTTTTAAACTGTTGCAAATCTTCACAAAATTTTCCAATGTGTTTATTGGAAAAAAATATACATATAAGTGAACCTACATAGTTCAAACCTCTGTTGTTCAAGGGTCAACTGTATATATCTGATTAGGTTGGCTGCATATACTTGAGACAATTGCCATAATCAGGGACTTTTTAAAATAAGTCTCAAATAGAATATACAAATGAGAAAAGTAGGGAAAAACAAATGCCCCAAAGAAAGTATTGGTGATATTGCACTCAGAAAGAGGAATATGTGCTTACGACCAAAATACAAACAAAAATCTACTACAGTAATGGCACATAAAATGTTCATAAGCACAGGTTAGAATAAAGATTATTCAAAAACCAAAAAAGATTATATAATATAATATATAAAGATTATATATATAATATATATTTATAATATATATTTTATATATTATATATAATATTATATGTGTGTGTGCGTATATATATATATATATATATATTTAGGAATTTCATGAGAAAATTAGCAATCTGGTAAAGGTGAAAAGGCCAGTTTTTTGAGAAAAAGAATTTGCATAGAGCTATAGCAATTGAAGGTGAAAAATAAGCAAAATAAGCATCACCATGCTAATTGGAAATAATGGGGCACAATACAGTCAAACTTCATGAAAAGGTAATTTGTTAAAGGAACATGTACTTTCATGTTGGAAATGTAACCTGAGTCCTATGCATCCTGGAAACGCCATAAAGTTATCTGGTATTATGAGAATGGGTCCAGCATACTCTGAGAGTGCCCTGACACTGTCATATATTTTATAGCTTCTAGCTTTACTGTCTAGAAATGAAGGCATTCAATATGGTTGGGAAAAGGGGGTCAAAATCCATTTCTGGTAAAGAGGAATTTGATTAGGTCTGAACACATTAGCACTAAATCAATTTATCAATGAGCACAATAAAAGTAACAATTTCCTTGTTTTTAACATTATTATTCAAGTACTATGCTGTAAAATATTGATAAAGGCAATTTCTATATTCAATTTCTTCTCCTTGTCAAAGCATCAAAAACGCTGCTTTAACTTTGAAATGACATGGCTCACAGGTATATACTCCAAAGAGCCTAATTTATCACTGGTTAATTCTTTGGATTATTTTCTTAGTGGCAACTTGGTTTTGTTAATGACATAAATCATGCAGAAAGGAATTAAGTAATTTAAAATCAATTACAAGGAAGTACACATTTTGAATTAAAAATAATTTTAATTAACTAAGTTCTTAGCAATTGTAGCCATCTGGATTTTATTGAAAATATTTGCATTTTTGTAATATCTAAAGTTGAAAAAGCTATGTATTATGTGTTTAAATTTTTAATGTCTTTTTACCTTTAATTTGAAACTGTAAATAGAGGTGATAAAGTTTAATTATATTTTCCTTCTTAGAATAAATCTACTGATATCTGCTTTCAAATTCATATCTATTAGGGTTCAATATGGTTTTATGGGAGACCCATATAGGTAGTAGGTACATTTTCTAGTATGAACTACAGTCATTATAAAAATACTCAGAGCAATTACATGACTCATACATTATTTAAAAGCATTTAGTGATGAACGTTTTATAAAAGGCTGAATGGTGAGCTCAATTACACTGAGCCAATTATAGAAGTGTTTTTCATAGTCAGTGTTTACCTTTTAATAGAACATTATGTATATATAAATATTTATTGTATGATCTTCCATGCAATCAGATTTGTTAACAATTTTTCAAATATATAGCTTCTCTTTCTTGAAAACAACACATTTTGAAAGAACAATCAAACACATTTATCTCATTTTTACAGATATTTTAAGCATTTCTGAAACATTATTAAATTTATTACCACATAATTTTAGGTATTGACATTCATGACTCTGTATAATGTACCTTCTCTAAAAAGATTGAGAAAGTGAATCTCAGTATTTTCCTGTGAGAGCTTATTTTTTTCTTTGAGCTAACATGTCTGAAATCATTCTAATAATTATTACGCTCATTCACATTGGAAATGGCTTCTGCAAGATAAGTACTAGGGTACAACTATTAGTTAGAGTAAATAGCATAACAAATAGGCTTAAATATCTGAGGAGGAAACCAATCAAAATTCTTTTATTGCTCATGTGGTTGTCCGCAAGAGAGCCACTCAAAACCCAGGCTCTGTCCTGGGTTTTTGTCTTTATCACTCTATAGGTCCCATCATCAAATGCATCCACTAGAGGAGGGAACAATTATCTAGGTCCTGCTGCTGACAGCATAGAAAGACAATCACCGAGACAGTAAGTATTGCTAGGGCAGAAGTCACTGTTTGGGTGCTGTAGTGAAGGAGGTAGGAGTTAAGTCTCAAATCCATCTCCCTATCCCCAACCAACTACACTCAGAGGTTTATATAGCGGGGCAGGAATGTAGCTACATGTAGGAAAACAGGAATTAGGGAAGGGTTAGGAAGAGGAATTGGTAAAAAGTAATTAGGGAGGGGTTAGAAAATCATGATGGGTGAGGGGTCTGGCGTCTTATTGTCTGGATGTAGTCATCTGGTGAGTTTTAGTTTCTTGTTTGAGGAAGAAACTATTATGAGTTACTGAGGAAGGAACTCATAATACAAAAGTAAGTTTCAAGTTTTAAGACATGGAGGGTCAATTTCTCTTTATTCAAACAACTGTAAGCATCAGTTCTATGGGATAATTAGGCCGGTTTCACCATCCCCACAAGAACTTCCTGTAGGTATCTGCTACTCTTTCCATCTGGGATCCAGATTAAAAACACTTACAGTACAATTGAATCAAGCAGATCTGCAGCTTGAAGTGGTGGTGCCTAGCTGAGCCCAGCCTGGACACACAGAACACCAGCCAGTCTTCAAATACAGGCATAATGCAGATGTGAATGGCAGGGCCATCCTATGCACTATAGATGTGGAAAATAAATTATTATTTTCATTTGCCACTGAGCTGTTGTGGTTGTTTATTACATACAATTTCTGATAGGTATAATTCCTATATTTATATAAAAGCAAATATTACAGACAATGTCAAACTCTCTTTGTTCTTCCTTTAGGTCCTATTTCTTTCCTCCTTTTCCTCGAATAAGCATTCGTATGCAGATGACGGGGGCCTTCAAAAGTAATTTCCATAATTTTACTATATACTGTTTAAATGTTGTGTGTGGTCTGCTGCCTATTTATCCTCTCAAGAGAATATTTCTGCGTTCTATACCTATTGATATGCAAATAAATAGTTTATAAAGATATTTGGGTATTTCTAATGTTTAGAGTGAGCAGTGGTTAAGAGTAACTTTAGTGTATATTCTTAGAAGTGGAATTGCTAGATCATAAGATGTGCATATTCTGCATATTCTTAGAAGTAGAATCACTAGATTTTTAGATGTGTTTATTTTCGGTTTTATTAGAAATACATTATATTCCCAACTTCATTCTTTCTCATTGTCGATTATCATCTGATGGTTATTCAAACATATCTTATTACTATTTCTGTTTAAATTTCCCTAGTTATCAGAAAGCTAAGAACACTTTATGTTTTACTTATAATTCAATCCCTTTTTCTTTGATGAACTAGTTGCCTATTTTTATTATTTCCTCTATTTCTCTATTTGAGTTGTCTTTTTGTAAGTCAAATGTCAGAATGCTTTGTATTTTCTGAAACTAAAATTTTATGTTAAAATATTTTTCCCTATCTCTACATTTGTTTTTAATTTCTTCCTGTAGAAGATTTTAAAGCACGTTTTTTTTTTAAATGATTGCTATGGTTTGTGGGGTTTCTTGCATCATTTATACAATGCTTTCTATCATGAAATCACATAACTAAATAAAATATATTTCTTTAATAGTCTAAGTTTTAAAATTATCACTATTTTATTATTTTGATTTATTGTTTGTATAATATGTTTAGTTTGATAAAAATAGGAGTTGTCTATATGTCAGAGAGAGAAAGACATGGGGCTAAAAAATAAAATTGAAACAAAATCTAAAAGTTTATTTTTTCTATACTAAGTATTTGAATTTTATCAAATACTTTTATCAAATAAAATTTGAACAATTTTAGAGGGCTAGGCAAGGTTTTTTTTAATAATGTGATATAAACAGTAACAATAAATAAAAAGTTGGATAAACTTCACTTCATCAAAATTACAACTTTTGATCTTTCAAAGACATATTCAAGAATGGAAAATTGCAAGCTTTCTGAAAGAATATATTGTAAAACTATACTCAGAAAAGGGGATGTGAATGACCATAAAGGGGCACAAATGAACTTTTTAAGGTGAATGAAAGGTTTTACATCTTGATTGTTATGGTGATTACATGGCTATACAAAATTACCAAAATGTTTCAATTGTATAGTTATAATAGGATATTTTATTGTATGTCCCATGTAACTCAATAAAGTAGTACTTAAAAAAAGAGAGAGAAAAAAATCGCAACATTTTCAGAGATGTTGCAAGAATACACATTCTCAGCATATGCACAAACATCTGTACCCTAAACATACGGTTTTCTATAAGCACAGGTGCTGCCATTGATGCAGGATAATTTATTTTATTTTATTTTATTTTATTATTATTATACTTCAAGTTTTAGGGTACATGTGCACAATGTGCAAATTAGTTACATATGTATACATGTGCCATGCTGGTGTGCTGCATCCATTAACTCGTCATATAGCATTAGGTATATCTCCTAATGCTATCCCTCCCCCGTCCCCCCACCCCACGACAGTCCCCAGAGTGTGATGTTCCCCTTCCTGTGTCCATGTGTTCTCATTGTTCAATTCCCACCTATGAGTGAGAAAATGCAGTGTTTGGTTTTTTGTCCTTGCGATAGTTTACTGAGAATGATGATTTCCAGTTTCATCCATGTGCCAACAAAGGGCATGAACTCATCATTTTTTATGGCTGCATGGTATTCCATGGTGTATATGTGCCACATTTTCTTAATCCAGTCTATCATTGTTGGACATTTGGGTTGGTTCCAAGTCTTTGCTATTGTGAATAGTGCCGCAATAAACATACGTGTTCATGTGTCTTTATAGCAGCATGATTTATAGTCCTTTGGGTATATACCCAGTAATGGGATAGCTGGGTCAAATGGTATTTCTAGTTCTAGATCCCTGAGGAATCGCCACACTGACTTCCACAATGGTTAAACTAGTTTACAGTCCCACCAACAGTGTAAAAGTGTTCCTATTTCTCCACATCCTCTACAGCACCTGTTGTTTCCTGACTTTTTAATGATCGCCATTCTAACTTGTGTGAGATGGTATCTCATTGTGGTTTTGATTTGCATTTCTCTCATGGCCAGTGATGGTGAGCATTTTTTCATGTGTTTTTTGGCTGCATAAATGTCTTCTTTTGAGAAGTGTCTGTTCATGTCCTTCACCCACTTTTTGATGGGGTTGTTTGTTTTTTTCTTGTAAATTTGTTTGAGTTCATTGTAGGTTCTGGATATTAGCCCTTTGTCAGATGAGTAGGTTGCAAAATTTTCTCCCATTCTGTAGGTTGCCTGTTCACTCTGATGGTAGTTTCTTTTGCTGTGCAGAAGCTCCTTAATTTAATTAGATCCCATTTATCAATTTTCGGTTTTGTTGCCATTGCTTTTGGTGTTTTAAACATGAAGTCCTTGCCCATGCCTATGTCCTGAATGGTAATGCCTAGGTTTTCTTCTAGGGTTTTTATGGTTTTAGGTCTAACGTTTAAGTCTTTAATCCATCTTGAATTAATTTTTGTATAAGATGTAAGGAAGAGATCCAGTTTCAGCTTTCTACATATGGCTAGCCAGTTTTCCCAGCACCATTTTATTAAATAGGGAATCCTTTCCCCATTGCTTGTTTTTCTCAGGTTTGTCAAAGATCAGATAGCTGTAGATACGCGGTGTTATTTCTGAGGGCTCTGTTCTGTTCCATTGATCTGTATCTCTGTTTTGGTACCAGTACCATGCTGTTTTGGTTACTGTACATTGTAGTATAGTTTGAAGTCAGGTAGTGTGATGCCTCCAGCTTTGTTCTTTTGGCTTAGGATTGACTTGGCAATGCGGGCTCGTTTTTGGTTCCATATGAACTTAAAAGTAGTTTTTTCCAATTCTGTGAAGAAAGTCATTGGTAGCTTGATGGGGATGACATTGAATCTATAACTTACCTTGGGCAATATGGCCATTTTCACAATATTGATTCTTCCTACCCAGGAGCATGGAATGTTCTTCCATTTGTTTGTATAGTCTTTTATTTCATTGAGCAGTGGTTTGTAGTTCTCCTTGAAGAGGTCCTTCACATCCCTTGCAAGTTGGATTCCTAGGTATTTTATTCTCTTTGAAGCAATTGTGAATGGGAGTTCACTCGTGATTTGGCTCTCTGTTTGTCTGTTATTGGTGTATAAGAATGCTTGTGATTTTTGTACATTGATTTTGTATCCTGAGACTTTGCTGAAGTTGCTTATCAGCTTAAGGAGATTTTGGGCTGAGACAGTGGGGTTTTCTAGATATACAGTCATGTCGTCTGCAAACAGGGACAATTTGACTTCCTCTTTTCCTGATTGAATACCCTTTATTTCCTTCTCCTGCCTAATTGCCCTGGCCAGAACTTCCAACACTATGTTGAATAGGAGTGGTGAGAGAGGGCATCCCTGTCTTGTGCCAGTTTTCAAAGGGAATGCTTCCAGTTTTTGCCCATTCAGTATGATATTGGCTGTGGGTTTGTCATAGATAGCTCTTATTATTTTGAGATACATCCCATCAATACCTAATTTATTGAGAGTTTTTAGCATGAAGCGTTGTTGAATTTTGTCAAAGGCCTGTTCTGCATCTATTGAGATAATCATGTGGTTTTTGTCTTTGGTTCTGTTTATATGCTGGATTACGTTTATTGATTTGCGTATATTGAACCAGCCTTGCATCCCAGGGATGAAGCCCACTTGATCTTGGTGGATAAGCTTTTTGATGTGCTGCTGGATTCAGTTTGCCAGTATTTTATTAAGGATTTTTGCATCAATGTTCATCAAGGATATTGGTCTAAAATTCTTTTTTTTGGTTGTGTCTCTGCCCAGCTTTAGTATCAAGATGATGCTGGCCTCATAAAATGAGTTAGGGATGATTCCCTCTTTTTCTATTGATTGGAATAGTTTCAGAAGGAATGGTACCATTTCCTCCTTTTACCTCTGGTAGCATTCGGCTGTGAATCCATCTGGTCCTGGACTCTTTTTGGTTGGTAAGCTATTGATTATTGCCACAATTTCAGAGCCTGTTATTGGTCTATTCAGAGATTCAACTTCTTCCTGGTTTAGAGAGTTCTGTAGATGCCTATGAGGTCCGCTTGGTGCAGAGCTGAGTTCAATTCCTGGGTATCCTTGTTAACTTTCTGTCTCGTTGATCTGTCTAATGTTGACAGTGGGGTGTTAAGGTCTCCCATTATTATTGTGTGGGAGTCTAAGTCTCTTTGTAGGTCACTCAGGACTTGCTTTATGAATCTGGGTGCTCCTGTATTGAGTGCATATATATTTAGGATAGTTAGCTCTTCTTGTTGAATTGATTCCTTTACCATTATGTAATGGCCTTCTTTGTCTCTTTTGATCTTTGTTGGTTTAAAGTCTGTTTTATCAGAGACTAGGATTGCAAACCCTGCCTTTTTTTTGTTTTCCATTTTCTTGGTAGATCTTCCTCCATCCTTTTATTTTGAGCCTATGTGTGTCTCTGCTTTCCTGAATACAGCACACTGATGGGTTTTGACTCTTTATCCAATTTGCCAGTCTGTGTCTTTTAATTGGAGCATTTAGTCCATTTACATTTAAAGTTAATATTGTTATGTGTGAATTTGATCCTGTCATTATGATGTTAGCTGGTTATTTTGCTCATTAATTGATGCAGTTTCTTCCTAGTCTCGATGGTCTTTACAATTTGGCATGATTTTGCAGTGGCTGGTACCGGTTGTTCCTTTCCACATTTAGTGCTTCCTTCAGGAGCTCTTTTAGGGCAGTCCTGGTGGTGGCAAAATCTCTCAGCATTTGCTTGTCTATAAAGTATTTTATTTCTCCTTCACTTATGAAGCTTAGTTTGCCTGGATATGAAATTCTGGGTTGAAAATTCTTTTCTTTAAGAATGTTGAATATTGGCCCCCACTCTCTTCTGGCTTGTAGGGTTTCTGCCGAGAGATCCGCTGTTAGTCTGACGGGCTTCCCTTTGTGGGTAACCCGACCTTTCTCTCTGGCTGCCCTTAACATTTTTTCCTTCATTTCAACTTTGGTGAATCTGACAATTATGTGTTTTGGAGTTGCTCTTCTCGAGGAGTATCTTTGTGGCGTTCTCTATATTTCCTGAATCTGAGTGTTGGCCTGCCTTGCTAGATTGGGGAAGTTCTCCTGGATGATATCCTGCAGAGTGTTTTCCAACTTGGTTCCATTCTCCCCGTCACTTTCAGGTACACCAATTAGACGTAGATTTGGTCTTTTCACATAGTCCCATATTTCTTGGATGCTTTGTTCATTTCTTTTTATTCTTTTTTCTCTAAACTTCCCTTCTCGCTTCATTTCATTCATTTCATCTTCCATCACTGATACCCTTTCTTCCAGTTGATCGCATCGGCTCCTGAGGCTTTGATGCAGGATAATTTCTTAACTCCTTTGCAGGACTCCTGACAAGGGTGCCTCATTTACTCAGCCCACATGGTTCAACCCCTCGGAGGAGGGAGTGTATGAGCAAACAAGTGTGGCAACTGGCCAGCAGCTTCAGTGCCAGCAGGAGTTAAACTTCATGCATGTCCCACAGTAGCATCCAGGTCAGGGTGCCTGTGATCCCAATGCCCCAGAGGGCATGTTACAATGCTCTTTTAGGTCTGCTGTCCACAGATAGCAGTGTGTTATCAGCTCAATAGGCCCTTTGCCTTGTAGTTTGGGGCAGCTGCCCTCTGGCAGCAAGAGGAAAGGGCTAGTGTGACAGCCTTTTAGGGTACCCACACTTGGTGTGTCCCAAATTCTTGTGCAGTGCCCAGAGGTCTCTCAGAGGTCGCATGTCCAGAGGTCACACAGATGAACTGAAAGGTGATGAATGTAGAGAATTTTACTGGGTGATGAAAGCAGCTCTCAGTGGGGAGGGGAGCTGGAAAGGGGACACGAAGTGTAAGTTGCTCTTGCCTGAAGTCAAGCCACCTCTCTACCTCTCTCTTCTGAAGTTAAGTTGCCTCAACCAGCCACTGTCTCTGAAGTTAAGTCGCTTCTCCCTGATATCCAGCTGCTTCTGTCCTCTGCTGGCTGAGTCTGGGGTCTTTATAGGCACAAGATAGGCACAGGGCAGGCTGTAGGTAGTTTTGGAAAAGGCAACATTCGACTGGCAAAAAGATGTTATTCAGAGAGCACCAGCTGGGTTAGAGTGGGCACACAGGGATAGAAGCTCCCACTTTGGGCCACAGATTTCAAGTTTTTTGGCTTGAAGGTGGGGTTTTGCCAGGGACCCACCTCTGTCTGCCCAGAATTTCTCTGTCTCCTATTGTTACCACTCTTTTTAAAATAACCACATTTTTTTTGCTGTTGAAATAGAAATTTATTTTAAAGTATTATTAATTTTATTCTACCATTTATAGCAGCTAATAGAACTTCAATCATATGATATAATGTGCTCTGATATATCTTAATGTTAAGAAGGACTGTTATGCTTGAAAGTTCTTGGGTGCAATGTTGTGAAGAATAATCTCCAACTGAGAAATAATACGGTTCCTCATAGATTTTAGAATTGAGGTTCTTATTGGGAGAAAAATCAGAGAACTGAAGACCACTGAAACTCTTCAAGCCATTTATTGGAAGTGAAATATATAAAGGACAGAATAAATCTAATTTGCTTACTCACTGGATAGTTCAAGAGAGAAAACAAAATCTAGGACATTGTAGGTATCTGCCTTAGATAAATTAGTGAATGATGTTTTGTTTCATTTTGGGTTTTTTGTTTTTTTTTTTTGAGACAGGGTCTCACCCTGTCACCCAGGCTGGAGTACGATGCCATGGTCACCACTCACTGCAGCCTCAATCTCCCTGGCTGAAGCGATACTCTTGCCTCAGCCTCCTGGAGTAGCTGGAACTATAGGCATGTGCCACCATGCCCAGCTAATTTTTCTATTTTTTTTTTTTTTTTGTAGAAAACAAGGTTCCACTGTGTTGCCCAGGCTGATCTCAAACTCCTGGGCAACATACTGAGAATTCACTATGTTGTAGGTCCACACTATCCTCTCACTTCAGCCTCCCAAAGGTGTTGAGATAACAAGCATGAGCCACTATGCCCAGCCAATATTTTGCATACTGTGTTTTTATTACTCTTATGTTACCACTGATTTCAGGCAGCTAATGCTACCTTTCTTAATCTATATCTTGTGAGTTATGAATTAAAACGCTCTTATAGTTTCAATCCTGGTTTTATTCCTAAATGATTTCATTAGCTTACAAATAACATTCCACATTCAAAATTTATTTGTTTTTATTTTGATATAAACTTATGATGTTAAGAAAGTAAGGTTTATTTTAGACGCAATGTTTATTTATGTAAAAACAAACTTTTAACATTTATGTCAAGCTAGTAAAATTACAGAAATTTAACAACTAAAGTAAGTCTCCTGGGAAACTTTCAGGAAAGAATAGTATTTAGAATAAAATTGGAAGCTTAATTTTCTTCATTGCTTTATTTGTGATTGTATTTGAAATTTCAAATGGCATAAAAGTCAAATTACCTTAAAATGACATATTATGTAAATATATTTAAACTTAACCATTGGTAGTTAGAAATAGAAAATCTTCAGACATTTGTCAAACACATACTAACTTCTTCAGCTCTAAGAAAATCAAGAACCCCTAAAAGAGCACAATTATAAACATCAAAATTCGGAAATACTTGTTTTCTAAATTGGTAAGTTTATGACAACTAAAGTCAATAGCCACTCCAAAACTTACGAATAAGAAATAAAGACCACCTTCCAGGAGTTCAAGCAATGCAGATAATTAAGTCTGATCTGCAAAGTCACCTTTTGGAGCAAAACAATTTCCAGGGCTTAGTCCTAACTGGATACATTCAAGGAAAGAATACATGTATCAAAGTGGAAAGTTGGAAAACTAGCTCTAAGGCATTATATATCAGTATCTAAATGTACACTAGTTAGGAGTAGGAATGTTCTGGCTCTTGTATTAATAGATCTCTTTCACAGAGAATGATCCCTTTAAACACTGGTACCAAATGACTCCATTGCTATTCAAGAAATCATCATTTGCTTGTTTTACAGAGAGAGAAAGACGTGACCATGATAGCATAATTATTCTGATTCTTCTGTCACAGTTATTGTTATAAATTAAAACGATTGGAACTTCAGTTTATACACCAGTCTCTTGCAAGCATTCAATTGATATCAGTCTTTCCCCTGATTGGTATATCCATTTTAAGCACTCAGATAAAACTGCTTTGCTGAGCCTGAAAATTTGACGATTGATTAATTTGCAGAATCCAGATCTCTAGGCAAAGACTCCCAATGTTTACTCACTGGGTTTAACTATCAACAGACTGACGTTAAAACACTCTGTCTTTTAAACTTAAAAAATAAGAATGTTTTGTGGGCACATGAGAAGAATATATAAACTGTGATTGTTGTGTGGAGTATTCTCTAGATGTCTGTTAGGTCCACTTTTGTGAGTGTTCAGCTTAAGTCCAGAATTTTTTTGTTAGTTGTTTGCCTCAATAATCTTTCTAATGCCATCAGTGAATTATTAAAGTGTCCCACGATTATTGTGTGGGTGTCTAAAACTTTTCATAGGTCAAGAAGAACTGATTTTATGAATCTGGGTACACCAATGCTGGGTGCATATATATTTAGGATAGTTAAGTCTTCTTATTAAATTGAACCTTTATCCCTTTTTTTTCCTTCTTGATTGTTGGTGGTCTCAAGTCTGTTTTCTCTCTTGTAAGAATAGTAACTCATGCTCTTTTGTGTGTGTGTGTGTGTGTGTGTGTGTGTGTGTGTGTGTGTGTGCATGATAGATCTTTCTCTGTTCTTTTATGTTGAACCTGTACATGTCATTAGATGTGACATGGTGCTCTTGAAAAGAGCAGACAGTCGGGTCTTGTCTTTTCATAGACCTTTCTACTCTATCCTCTTTAAGTGGGGCAATTAGACCATTTACGTTCCAGGGTAGTATTGATATGTGAGATTTCAATCCTGTCATCATGTTGTTTGGCAGTTGTTTTGTAGACTTGATTACATAATTACTTAATAGAAGAGCTATGTGCTTATTTGTGTTTTTGTGGTACTGGGTATTGTTCTTTTGCTTCCATGTTTAAGGACCTTTTATAAGGCTTGTCTAGCGATAATGGATTCCCTTAATGTTTGCTTGTCTGAGAAGGATGTTATTTCTCTTTCCTTTATGAGGCTTAGTTTGGTGGGATATAAAATTTATGGTTGGAATTTCTTCTCTTTAGAGATGCTAAAAATAGGCCCCGATGTCTTCTGGCTTGTAAAGTTTCTGCTGAGATTTTCACTGCTATCCTGATGTGATTCTCTTTGTAAGTAACCCAACCCTTCTCTCTAGCTGCTGTTAAGATTTATTTTCCTTCACTGATCTTGGTGAATATGATGATTATGTGTCTTGGAGGTTGTTGTCTTATATAGTACCTCACAGGGGTTCTCTGTATTTCTCAAATTTGCGTGTCAACTTCTCTAGAAAGATTGGGGGCATTTTCATGGATTGTATCCTCCAATATATTTTCCAAGTTGCTTACCCTCTCCTTTCTCAAGAATGCCAGGGAGTAAAATGTTGTATTTCTTTACATAGTCCCATATTTCTTGAAGATTTTGTTCATTAAATTTCTTTTCTTTATTATTAATTTCTGAGTGAGTTGACTTGAAGAACTAATGTTCAATTTCTGACATTCCTAATTTTTGGTCTATTCTGCTATTTATGCTACAGGCTATATTATGAAATTCTTGTAGTGATTTTTTCAATTCCAGAAGTCTGGTTTGCTTCTTTCTTAGAATGGCTCTTTTTTCCTCAGCTCTTAGATCATTTTATGGGATTCCTTGGATTTCTTGGATTGGGTTTCAACTTGTTCCTGAACCTTGATAAGCTTATTTGTCATCCAGATTCTGAATTATCTGTCTGTCATTTCAGTCTGGTTAAGAAACATTGCTGGAGAACTAGCATACTCATTTGGAAGTAAGAGGACACTCTGACTTTTTGAATTGGGATCATTCTTATGCCGATTCTTTCTCATCAGAAGCTATTGTTCTTTGAGTTTAGTATAGTCTGTAAGCTTTGTTTCTGAGTCCTTTAGAAGGAAAAGCCTTTATACAGGATTTTTATTTGTGGCTGGATTCTTGCCCTGGGTGTCACAGGTAGTACATACTGGCAGAATATTTTTGATGTTGTAATTTGAACTGTAATCTAGTAGATGGTGCTTAAGAGTAATGGCCAGAAGATAGCCTCTAAATCAGCTGTGTGGCTATATTGTATTTCATTGAATTCACAGTGGTGCTTTTTGGTGGGCTGGGGAAAGACCTGACCCCACTCACCAAGCCTGCTCTTGGGCCTTGGGGGAGCCTCCTCTGATCACTGGTGCCATGTCCACATTTCCTTTGGCAGGTGTTCTGGGCATTTGGGCTCTCTCAGGAAAGGCTGTCGGGCTGACTGACAGGTCTCACTCTTCCTGGACCAGCCCTGTGATTGGAGCCACAGCCCACTCCCACGCCGGTCCACAAACCCACATTTCTCACCCCTCTCAGTGTTCTGAGTGTGGGGGATCCTCCCATGCTGCATGCTGCAGCCCTGAGGGATTGGGATCAACACTCAGCTACATCCTTTTGCCCCTCGAGATCAGACACTGGCTGTGTTGGGGGATCCTAACTACTCTCAGCCTACTGGGAAAGTACTCAGGTGGGACTGCAGGCAAAGCACCAGGTTGGGCAGCAGAGGCTGTACTGTGCACATACGTCTGTGAGAGTAGCCAGGGAGGGGCCTTAAGCCAGGCTAGCAGGCAGGGGAACATGCAGAACAGATGTACCCAGTCCTGCAGGAAAGTTGGTTCTGCTCTCTCTTGGCCTGGTGGCCAGCTGGGGTTAGTTAAAGCTTTTCAGAGAAAGACAGAAAGCCTCTAGAGAAGGGTGCCTATGGTGGTGTTCCACTGCAGCTACCTCAGAACACAGAAGCTCCTCGGCTCTGCAGCATGGGTCTCTGTCTCTGTCTACTCTCTGGGCTGATTCTCCTGTCAGTTCAAATGTCTTTGGTGTCATGGCATCTCTTGTAGCTGGGATCCCAGAGATCTGCTGTGAGAGTGGTCCACCTCACCATCCCTTTACTCACACCTTCTCTAGAAGCTGATCTGGACTGGAAATTAGCCCTGGCATTCAGCAACCCTGCACAAGATTTCATGCTTTTTTGCTCTTTAGCCACAGTGTTTACCTTGCGTCTTTAATAACTCTTGTTGTTTTCTCTCTAAATATTTGTTTAAAATATGTTGGTGTACTTGATATTTTGGTCTCTCTCTGTGCAAGTGGCACTTCCTGGCTGCATCTAGTAGGCCATCTTGTCTTAACATCAAGATCACTCTAATGACACCAGGGAGAATGGCTGGAAAGGCATGGATGAGTGAGGCAGAAATGAAGCCAAGTAGGAGACTTACAGGCTCTACTGAAGTCTAAAGTTCTGCAAATAAATAAGTGCCATATGAATATGTTGGAGTGAACTGATTCAGAAAATAATAGAATCACTCTCCATAATGCAAATGAGCCCCTTTTGTCTAAAATATAAATATATTGTCACTGCCTTTACACTCAAAACTTTCATTTTATGCACCTAACATACTTTTCTAAGTAAACTGTACTTCCAATAATTTGCACTCCACAAAACCTTTTGATTTTCCTTCAAGAAATGTGGACTTTTCTATTTAGAATAGAAACAATACACACTCATCTAATTATATGTTTATAAAATACTTCAAACTAAGAATTTTGGGGGGTAAAATGTTATTTATTAAATAATAGCCTCTATAAAGAGGAATTATATCTCTTGTTTTTGTTCCTGCTCACTCATAGAAAACAGTGCTGTAGACTGAATGTTTATGTCTCCCTAAAATTCATTTGTTGACACCTAATGTACAATGTGATGATATCTGGAACTGGGACTTTTTGGGTGGTAGCTAGTTTATGAGGGTACTACCCTCATGAACAGGACTGGTGTTTTCATAAAAGAAACCCAGATAGCTCCTTCACCCCTTCTGCCATGTGAGGACACAACAAGAAGAAGGATCTAACCATCCTCGATATTGAACTTCTCAGACGTCAAAACTGTGAGAAATAAATTTCTGTAGTTTACAATCACCCAGTCTATGATATTTTGTTATAGCAGCCAGAAGTAACTAAGACAAACTAATGCCTTGAACTTTTATGTAAGAATCACGATACATTTGTAAATAAATACAAGAAAGAAATATTAGCATTAAACCCAGTTATTCTCCTTTGAAATTTATAAACAAGTAGAACTGGTCAAATAAAACAAATTACAAAATTTACATTTGCTCTGCTAAATAAATATGAAATTGTAAATTCTGTGACCTAAAGAAAATTATGCGTTGTATCATATATGACTATAATTTCATTGGACATCTTAATTAATCTCTGACAATCTTTGCAACTTCACCCAGGAAAATAGACTTTATACGTTAGAGAAAATTTGTTCTAACAAGCTGAAAACTTTTAAATACGAAAACACTTCTAAAAATTCTAAAAGATATTTGAAAACAGTATATTTGTAATACTTTCTCGAGAATAAATAAGGTTGGAATTCTGTTCAACAACATATACATTTAGAAGGTAGAAAATGTAAATTACTAAGATCATACTCATGTAAACTTCAATCCTTTGAATTTTTCATTTTTTAAAGAGATTATCCTTATCCCGAGTATATATATAATTAAAAATAAAAATGTGTCAACTTTTTCAAGTTGATAATTATAGAAAACATTATAACTATGTCAATCTGCTGAGAATTGAAGACAGAATTGATAGCAGTATTTGGATTCTCAAGAGTAACTTTACTAAAATGTGATATCTATAAATTTTGTTGCTCAAGCATATTTACACAGTTTTTTAATTTAGCTGATTAAAAATTGTGTAAAAATAGTGTAGTGTTGTTCTAATGTTTGTTTGTAGAAGTGGAAATACCCTTATCAAATTTGAAAATGGTCTAAGAATACTTTGGTATGAAAATACAACTTATATCAATTTATTCTGTTCTTTGAAAAAGAAGACTTGCTTGTGTGTGTGTGTGTGTGTGTGTGTGTGTGTGTGTAGTGACATGTTTAGAAAATACAAATAAGAAAAAAGAGGACTGTTTTACAACCTAGAAATTGTCACTATCAGGGATATTTTAATATATGCTGCCCTAATAAATAATATATATGTTTTTAAAAATACATTATTGTATTTAGAACATATTGTTAAATACAGGTGGTGGCTCATGCCTATAATTCCAGCAGTTTGGAATTGCTGAGATGGGAGAATTGCTTGAGGCCAGAAATTCAAGACCAGCCTGTGAAACATAGCAAGACCCCATCTCTTTAAAAAAAGTGAAAAATAAATAAAAATATATTATTTATACGTACCATGTTGTTACCATTTTAGTTGAAAAGAAACTTTAAATATTTTTCAATATGATTTATTTTCTTTCAAATCATTTTGGATAGTTAACTAGAATTCTATTATGTGTGTGTGCGTGTCTGCATGTGTGTGTATAATGATAATCATATCCATATTGCTGGACATGTAGATGCTTCTAATTCTTTATGTATATGTATGTGTATGCAAATAATACTGCTATGAAGATTCTTGCCTCTAAATATTGTGTATCTCTTTGACATTTTAAAAAATATAAATTCTGGAAATGGAAATGCTACATCAGAGGGTAATACACACATTTATGTCTCTTAATCTGTGTTGTTAGACTAAACTCCAGAAGGTTGTGTCAATGCACACTGCTAACAAAAGCATATGAGAGCAATCATTTCCCTCACACTAAGTTTTGTAACTTTAAAAAAATCTTTGCCAATTCCATTTGTCCTTGGTGTTAAGTCTAGAAGACAATTATTTCAGGCTTCTTTATAACCCTCTAGACTGAGCTATAAAAGAAAGCTGTACATTTTTTACCAAGAAAATTTTAAAAAGAAAATGAAATATACATGTTTCCTATACAAAACATTAGAATTTATAGCATTATAAACCAATAGATGCTTATTAGGTTTAACTTTTATTAAGACATTTAGATATCCCTCATTGTCTCTTTGATGTTTGTTATGATCACTGCTGGGATTATAGGCATGTTTTATTTTGGAATGTTTTGTTTTACGTTGAAAGATTGTATTTCTCACATTCTAACATTTTCACAATAATATATGGGTAGTTTTACTTCAAAGTGACTGGGTATTTCAGAGTGTGGAAAATGTCCTGATGTGATTAAGGAAGAAGAGAACCTATATTCAAATTCAGCAAGAAGAAAAAAAAAGAAACAAAAACAATACAAAAGGTTGTTTTATTGTAGAGAAGGGAAGAGAGCATCAACAGGAATAAAAATCATTTAGCACCTATTTTGTGTTAATTGCAGCAAAGTTGGAGAAATAAAGAGTTACAGCAATATGTGTTTTTATAAAAACTATAAGTAGCATGTAACTATCAAATTTGTATATACATATATACACACATACGTACATATGTTTATACATCATTAACTACTTATACATACATATGTATATGTGTACATATCTATATATGTATACATACATATGTATATGTGTACATATCTATATATGTATACATACATATGTATTTGTGTACATATCTATATATGTATACATACGTATATGTGTACATATCTATATATGTATACATACATATGTATATGTGTACATATCTATATATGTATACATACATACATGTTTATATGTTGGATATATATACTTATATGTACACATGTATGCATATGTATACATTTACATAAACATTAAAAAATACCCTTTGAGTTGTCAGGCTGTGTTTCTCAAATATTACCAAATTGCCCTAAAAGCTAGACATATTTCCTCTCTTGTTTCATTTTGTTTCCAAAAGCAGCAAATGTTGATTCTTTATTACTTATACATGAAAGAACACTTACATGTTCTCTAATGGCAAGAGTGGTTTTTACAATGCAGTATTTCTTTAGTGTATTTTTTTCCAAAACTTTTATAGAAAATAAAAATAATATGACTGTGTCTTCCAAATAAATTTGTGTAAATTTGAATCATAATAGAAGCATAGATTTTAAATTTTATCATAAAACTATATGCTTACCTAATGAACAAGATATTTATTTAGGGTATTATGTATTCATGTAAAATTGACTAACGGTTAAATTAACTTAGGATCCTTTCTCTTTCCAAAGTTAATGATAATAATAAGTATTAAAAAGGCATTTTGTTTTTCAGTGTTTAGTCAGAGTAACTTCCAAAGTGTGATCAGTTTTCTATTCTAGTCTTTTTTGCAACTTTGATTTCTAGGATTTTTCCTTACTCCCAATTTTATTTTTGATGAGGCTTAATCCTACCAACAATTGCAGCTAGATGTAGGTAACTTTGAAAGTGAAAAGGCTCCACTCTTGCTCTATAATAAAGTCATTTCGCTTACAAAGAGTACCATAAATTGCTGGAGATTGCTGACAGTTGTTATAGACATTTTTTATAACTATAGTCATTCACTGATCTTTCTTTTTATCATTTAAATCAAATTTGGGAAGAGTTGTTACTGCCCAAGGTATTTCAAGTATAAAAAAAATAGCTAAGGTAACATATCATGTGACCTTTTAGAAGATGACTATTTCAATGTGAATCTTTTTAGAGTTTGACCACCCTAACTCTTCTAAATAGCAATACACAGTTATTCACACACACACATGCATACATGCAGGCACCTACCAGCCCTACTCACTTTACCCAAGAGAGTATCATGACTATACTTTAAACCATAAGAAGATTTGAAAATTCTAGATAGTATTAAAAATGCTTTCCTTGCTCTACTATTTCTTTATAGTATTGATTAATTTCTTGCATACTTCAAAATTTATATATTCATTTTTATATTGGCAGGCTCTCCTCTTTGTAAACTTTTAAGAACAGAAATCTTTGTCTGTTTTCATACACTGTTGCATCTAAATGGATGAAACAGGTACTGACACAGAATAAGTTTGTTGAATGACAAATGTAAATTTTTCATAGTTTAGAAAGTCTATAGAATTTGATTTTTTAAGATATGAGGAAGTGTTCACTATTATGCTGTTGGTTTGCTTGCAATACCTTTGCTAATTAATTCAGACAATGTGGTGTAAAAAAGTCACGTGTCCTTCAAATATGTGAGATTTCAAAACAAAAATTTTAATCTTAGGACTAGGTTAAATAATTTATTCTGGAATAACTCAGGACTTTATTTTAAAAATAGATATTAAATAATTTAGACATTCTGGGTTTTATTCTTTTTCACATTACTTAATATTAATAGTTGGATAGATCTGAGAAGCTATTTCAATATCCCTTCCTCAGTTTCTTTAAAATGGTTATTAATAATAGCATAATATGGTTGTGAGGTTTGAATTACTTGAAAAATTCAAAACAAAGGTTGAATAAACTATGATCTTGAGAAAGATTTTCAAATCTTGCAAAAAGCTCCAGTGTTAATCAGGGAATTTGAATTGCCATGGGCAGTAAGTGGGGAACTGACTTAGATATTTAAAGAAAACAACAGAAAAACCTGAATTTTAAAATTTAGATGAACTACCAATATTTTTGTTGATATTATTGATACTTAAGTCAATCACAATATCAGCAAATTTGCCAATTTGAGATGACATAGATCTAAGGATTTACTTAGTTCACTGCTCTTTTCCACTTCTTGGTTCTCCTCGCTCTGGCAGTTCACTATGTTACCTGTTCCACAGATCCTGAATACATTACTGTTCATGCCTAAGGGCTTTAAAACAGACTGAAAAAGACTACATACTATTGTGTCTAACTCAAAAAGGAAAATACTTTTCAGTCTTCACATGACATCTTTTACATCTTTCTTTCACCCTATTGTCATGAACATCACAACTACTTTTCTAATTCTTACTGACAAATCCACAAAATTCAGTTGCTAGACTGGCCTCTGACCTCTCTCCTGTATATGAGTATGCCATTTAGGCATCCACCTCAGTGCCTGTGATAAATTATGAACAACTTGAAGTTAGGGACTGTTTACTATTTAATTTTTAATCTACAGTGATCTTGTAGTGCCTTATAAAATCCACAGAAAATAAAATTATAAACAAAATTTCTCAGCTTGAAAATTCGGAAGTAAAGTAGAAAATATGAAATGCTCTTAAAAGAAAATGTGCAAATTTGTAAGTCCAAGTTAGTTCGAAGACTGTTTTATACATTAATCTGCTTTAAGGGACATGGATGAAGCTGGAAACCATCATCCTCAGCAAACTATTGCAAGGACAAAAAACCAAACACCGCATGTTCTGACTCATAGGTGGGAATTGAACAATGATAACACTTGGACGCAGGAAGGGGAACATCACACACCGGGGCCTGTTGTGGGGTGTGGGGAGAGGGGAAGGATAGCATTAGGAGATATACCTAATGTAAATGACGAGTTAATGGGTGCAGCACACCGACATGGCACATGTATACATATGTAACAAACCTGCACGTTGTGCACATGTACCCTAGAACTCAAAGTATAATAAAAATATATATATATAAAGAGAAAAAGGACATTTTTTTATCTGCGTTTTTCTTTCAACTTTTATTTCAGCTTCAGCGGGTACATGTGCACGTTTGTTACCTGGGTGTATTGCATGATGCTGAGGCTTGGGTACCAATGATCTTATCACCCAGTAGGTAGCTTTTCAACACTTGTTCCCCCTTTCTCTCTTCCTCCTCTAGTAGTCCCCAGTTTCTACTATGGTCCTCTTTATGCCCATGAGAACTCAATATTTAGCTCCCACTTATAAGTGAGAATATGTGGTATTTGGTTTTCTATTTGTGCTTTAATTATCTTATGATAATGGCCTCTAATTTCATTCATGTCACTGCAAATAACAAGGTTTTTTTAATGGCTGCATAGTATACCATGTTGTATATAGACCACATTTTCTTTTTTTTCAATGTACAAAAGTCAATTTTACTTATAAATACAACCAATAAATGATCTGAAAATATTAAGTATATTTTCACTTATAATAAGTACAAATATATATATATTTATTTTTCATTTTGGATTCAGGGGTTAAATTTTCAGGGTTGCTGCATGAGTATATTGCATGATGCTGAGGTTTGTGATATGGATGGTTCCATCACCCAGATGGTCAGCATAGTACCCAATAGGTAGTTTTTCAGTCCATGCCCCGCTTCATCATTTCCCTGTGTAGTATCCCCCAGTCTATACTGCTAACATCTTTATATTCATCAGTCCCCAAGGCTTAACTCCCACTTACATGTGAGAACATGCTATATTTCTTTCTTGTTCCTGCATTAATTTGCTTAGGACAGTGTCCTCCAGTTCCATCCATGTTGCTGCAAATGACATAATTTTTTTCCTTTTTATGGCTGTGTATTATTCCATGGTATATATGTACCATATTTTCTTTATCCAATCCACCATTGATGGGCACCTTGGTTGATTCCATGTCTTTATTATTGTGAATAGCTCTGCAATTAACATACAAATACATGTGTCTTTTTGATAAATTTTTTTTTTCCTTTGGGTATATAAACCCAGGAGTGGGATGGCTGGGTGAAATGGTAGTTCTGTTTTAAGTTCTTTGAGAAATCTCCAAACTGCCTTCCACAGGGACTGAACTAATTTATATTCCCAACAACAGTATATAAGCTTTCCCTTTTATCCAAAGCCTCACCAGCATCTGTTATTTTTTATTTTCTAATAGTAACAGAAAATGGGATGGTATTTCATTGTGGTTTTGATTTGCATTTCTCTGATGATTAGTGATGTGGAGCATTGTTTCATATGTTTCTTGGCCACTTGTATGTCTTCTTTTCAGAAGTGTCTTTTGAGAAGTGCCCATTTTTAATGGGGTTATTTGTATTTTGCTTGTTCAATTGTTTAAGCTCCTTATAGATTCTAGATATTAAACCTTTGTCAGATGCATAATTTGTGAATCTACCCTTGGTCTACATTTTTACGTAATGTATAAAGAATATTGCATCATATTGTATTTTATACTGAAAATTTGATAAAATGTAGATTTTAGGTACTGTTAACACACAGACACACGTGCACACATGTACAATGAGACATTACTATGGAAGGTGATGGATGTGTGAATGTGTTTACCTATAGTAATCATTTCATTATCTACTTGCATATCAAAACATCATGTTGTACACCTTAAATATACACAATAAAAAACACACAAAGTAAAAAATAACACAGAAATTCTCGGTAAATGGTGAGTGTACAATAATTCATGGCAATTATAATGATGATAATTAAATAGTTTAAAATTCATGACAGTTTATCATGCTTACTTTGTATCAATTTGTATTTATAGCAGATATATTCAAAAGAAATGATTGTCATGAAAGTTGCTGTACCCAAAATATTGGCTATCACATTTTTAATTTCTGCTTTTCTATTAACATAAATTATTTATAGTGACATTGAACAATATACCCTTGAAAACATATTTTAAATGTTAATTATATCAAGAAAAGAGAGACCATAACTAAAATGAAATATAATTCATGCTTTCTATACAACATATAGATTCTGTGTCATAAAATCATGGCTTTTTTCATAAAATCTTTTCAAATTGATGACTAACAATTTATTATATTTGAAATTATGCAGTTATTCCAACTTGTGTAGTAAAAATCACATTAACACCTCAATTTTATAATGACTTTATGCATTTTTCTGCATGCATTGTAAACTTCAATCTTTTAAATAATATATAAATTTTTGTCAATTATTTTTCCAGTATTCTCTGCAATTATCTTTGTGACCATTTCGCAACCAAATTCTATTTGGTAATTATTTATAGAATTTTATATCCTGAGTATTCTACTAAAAACTTTTTACTATATTTTATTTAATCACTAAAACAAATGTTTGAGTTAGTGATTAGTTTCCTTCCATTTTGCAGTTGAGGAACCTAAGTTTTAAAGAGTTTGAGAAGTTTATCAAAAGTTACATTGCAAATAAATAGGAGTATTGGGGAGCTGAAAAAGAGCATTCTGACTTTAGTCCTTAATTTTCAAGCTATACTATCTCTGTTATATGAGTTTACTATTTTTATAATGCATATTAACATATATTCAGTTAAGTGCTAAACTTCTAACTTTGTATTTTTATTTTAAATGTGTTTTTAGGACACTTGATCAGTTTACATGTGTTTTTATACATATACTTTTTGTGCATATATTTCAATTATTGACTGGTTGGAATTTAAAGAACCTATTTATTTGCTTTGTACAATGCAGGAAGAAACTAATGCATTTAAAAGGTGTCCACATCTTGCAAAAATAAAAAGAGATAGGGTAAAAACATGCATAGCATTGAATTCGCCATTAATCTGACCATATCCCCATTTGACACACTAGAAAACCTCTATTTACTGTTAAATGATGGGCTTTCTTATAAAAAAAAAAGAAAACCTGAAAAGCCAGAGTATGAATCCTTGTCATTTATACAATTCATAAAATCAGTTTAACCTCCCCAGATGTAAGTGTGTGTATTTGTAATTTAGTTACTTAATTACTTCTAGTCAAGGGGGAGGTTTAAACATTTCTGTTCCTTTCTTTTATTATTATTATTATACTCTAAGTTTTAGGATACATGTGCACAATGTGCAGGTTTGTTACATATGTATACATGTGCCATGCTGGTGTGCTGCACCCATTAACTCATCATTTAGCATTAGTTATATCTCCTAATGCTATCCCTCCCCCCTCCCCCCACCCCACAGCAGGCCCGGTGTGTGATGTTCCCCTTCCTGTGTCCATGTGTTCTCATTGTTCAATTCTCACCTATGAGTGAGAAAATGCGGTGTTTGGTTTTTTGTCCTTGCGATAATTTGCTGAGAATGATAGTTTCCAGCTTCATCCATGTCCCTACAAAGGACATGAACTCATCATTTTTTATGGCTGCATAGTATTCCATGGTGTATATGTGCCACATTTTCTTAATCCAGTCTATCATTTTTGGACATTTGTGTTGGTTCCAAGTCTTTGCTATTGTGAATAGTGCCTGACTTTCTTTTGCTGAAAAAGGATCTCGTTAGTATAGTCTACCCTGGGGATACTTTGGAAGAGGGTCAGAGGGGAGTATGGCATTATATAGCAGCAAAGAAACAAAAAATCTGTGACACAATCTTGCTTTTCATTTTATCCATTGATAGAAACTTCTGCTTTCTGTTGCACAGTGAACCCTATCATGCAAATTCTCCATAGTCAGATTTTGTGAACCCTCATGTCTCAAGTATATTTGACCTAAAAAGGCCCGATTCTCTCCCACTTGCAATTACTTATTAAAGATGGACTTTATTCATTAAAGCAAAAATGATTGAATATCACTCTATCTTAGGGAAGCAAATTTAGAAAGTCTTAATATACAGTTTAATAATAAATGATGCAGTAGGCAGAATTTCTTTTAATCTTTTAAAAATAACATTATTATGCAATATTGCCATTATTTGAATTCATCCTCCTAAGACTGCTTTATGCAGTTTCTCAAGGCTCTTGAAGGCAGTAAATGGCATATTCTTGGTCTTCTTATTCCAAATGGTGTCTCTTTTCTTATGACAGGTCCAAGATCTTTTCTTAATTGTAACATTGTTTTCTCCATCAATCTCTGGTAATGAGTAAACTTTTAGCTATTAGGAAATATGTATCAGTGATAAATGTTCTAATGGGAATATGCATGAAGAAAGAATCAACATCTGAAATCTTAAAGAGGTGCAAACTCTGATCACAGCAGTGGTTTGTCAGAGTTGGCATTACTTGCTGTCTGGATGTCATTTCGGATTTCTTGGTGATTGCTCTCCATTCCTACTTTCACACACACAAAAAAGAAATCAGGCCCGGTGCAGTGGCTCATGCCTGTAAGCCCAGCACTTTGGGAGGCTGAGGCAGGCAGATCACTTGAGGTCAGGAGTTCGTGACTAGCCTGGCCAACATGATGAAACCCTGCCTCTTCTAAAAACACAAAAAATTAGCCGGACGTGGAGGCGTATGCTTGTAATCCCAGGTATTTGGGAAGCTGAGGCAGGAGAATTGCTTCAACCTGGGAGGCGGAGGATGCAGTGAGCTGAGATTGCACCATTGCACTCCATCCTGGGTAACAGAGCGAGACTCCATCTCTAAATAAATAAATACGTAAATAAATAAATATCTAGCTTCTTCCTCCCTTCCTCTCTTTCTCATTTTATTTCTCTTCCGTACTAACAATAAGACATTCTTCCTGTGAAAGATCTTTTTCCAATTATTTCATTTTCTTTCTTCTTTTAACTCGACTGTAATTAAATATCTGTGACTCAAAATTTATACTTGTTGGTCACTTAATCATAATTTTATAAGACTACTAAGACTCAAAACTGCTTCTAATACAAAACTTGAAAATGCAAATATCTTAGTTTGTACTGGAAAGTATTTGTTACAACATCCCTCTCCTCCAGAATAAATCATATTACTAAGATAGAACACTTGGAACTTTTAAGCTAGAAGAAAAAAAATCTATAATAGTAAGATTTTAGTTATATAACACAACAATAATATATATAGATGGATGAAAATAAATTAGAACTTCATTCTTCTTAATGTAAGCCTTCTTTAATGAATATAGACTTTTAATTGAATTAAATATCATACTTAGCTAAAAATCAGACTACCAAAACCTCAGATGTTAGAGAAATAACTGTGAAGGTAAGGCAAAAAAGGATCTGGTCACCAATAAATATATTTGCTAAAGACAGGAAACCTCCTTAGGCACTTCCCTTTAGCAAATTTAATGAAAATTCTACATAAACAAAGTTAAGTCTTTTCATAGGCCTTATAATCTGTCTCATTTTCTAGGTAACCAGAATAGCAGCAATAGTAATCTTCAAATGGCCTACAGTCGCTGGAGGCAGACACATAGGAAGGAGACAAAGTATAGAGGCAAAAGTTTCTGAGATTATCATTTTATTCCACTCCATCCTACAATTGGTGCCCTAATGGGAACATTTTTAAAAATTAGAGCATTAACTTAACTTTACGAAGAGGTAAAGTATGCACCATTGATAAATGTTCTAATATTTTAGGAAAATACTTTGCCATATGCAGTTAAAATACAAAAACTATTGGCACTTAAAAGAAATAACATGTACCAAAATGTTTATATGATAAAAACTGTATTAAAAATGTTTACTAATATTATCAATAGTATTTATAAATGCCATAATTGTTAGATTAGTGAATTCTATGATTTGGAAAAATCCACTTCCATGGTTCATAGCATTTTCAAGTAATACTATGTAACATATAATACTTTGAATGATAGTAAACAAAGGCAGTATTCTATTTGTTCATTGTAATTTACTGTCTACCCAATTCAGCTTCTCTCTTCTACATCATTTTAAGGGTTCACTCATCTGCACTGAATCTTCTACTCTGTGGCTTACTCCATTTTCTCTTAAGCCAAAATTTTCTCACATCACGGACTTAATTTTATGGGCTAGAACTTATGGGCTAGTACTTCAAATAGTATATTCTATATAGTGCATATTCTTACTTTGTGCCTCTACTTCTCATTTTCTCCTTTTTTTGTAAGTATTTAGTATACTGTTTAATTTGTGGGCTTCCTATCTGTAACCTTTTTATATTTTTGTATTTTTTCCTAGGGATTGCAATATATGTGCCTAAATTATCACACTTTCTTGAGTTAATAACTTAATATTTCAAGTAAGATGTAAAATACTTATAGTCCCATACATCATTTTACTATCCCCTAGTGGCTTCTATGTTATAGTTGTCATATATATTACATTCATGTACATTGAAAACTCCACCAGATAAGAATGTTTTCTTTCAAGAGTTATACATATTTTTTAAAAACTAAAAGTAGAAAAATTATCTTTTATGTTTATCTAGATATTTACCATTTATGTTGTTCTTTCTTTATTCCTGAAGGTTCATATTTCCCCCTGGTGTTAGTTATTTCCCTCTAGCCTAAAAAACTTCTTTTAACATTTCTTTTAGATATGTCAACAGTAAATATTTCTGGTTTACCTTCACCTGATAATTTTCTTATTTTGTCTTCATTTCTGAAATATATTTTTGCTAGATATAGAATTCTGGTTTTGTGGCTCTCCTTTAGTACTTTTGAGATGCTGTTCCATGGTCTTCTGGCTGTCATAAATGTCTGATAAGAAGTCCATGGTCATTTAAAGCATTGTTCCTCACCTAAGAAGTTAAGAATAATATAAAGGAAGTAAATACATAGATACGGAGAGGAGCAGAGAAAGAGAAAATAACATATTTATGTTATTTCGCTATTAGTATATGGTTGAAAATGATGTAAAGTTTCAGTGCATTATGATTACAATAATAACTATGACAATACATGCTGTAAAACTAAAAGATACACAGTTGCAGATATCCATAATATGATTTAAAATATGCCCTTTGCCTATTGCAATAAGTCTAAATAGTATTTATAGTTTCTACTTAGGACACCAAAGCAAAGTAAATAGAGACACTGTATCAGTTTAGAATAAGATTCAATTCCTAAAATAAAAAAGCAAATAAGCTGCAAGAACACATTAGAGATTCATTTCTCTCTCATTTATAAAAAGTCTTCTGTGGGTTGAATGATAGGCTCACATTTGGTGTTGGGGGAAGGGAGTGGAGTGTGGGCTGTCTTATTTCTCTCTCATCCTTAGCATAGGATTCCTTCCTACTTCAGTTCTTCTTGTCACCCAAGATAGAGTCGAAGTTCAGTCCTCATATTTTCATTTCAGATAAGTAAAAAAAGGGAAGAGAGAGAACCAAAGGGTACTATTTCCATATGACTTAGCTGTACATAAGTATCTTTCCTGGAAGACTTCTTTTCTTCACCTCTAGAAGTAAGCAAGACTGTAAATTAGAGTTCTTTAAGTAGCAACATTACTTTTTGGAGAAAATAAAATTAGAGTTCTGCTTGTAAGCAAGCAGTATCTAAACCTTAACTTAGATAATTTAGATATTTTGCAATAGCCAAAATATTAAAAAACTCAAATTCCAACAACAGATAAATAAATAAATAAAATGTGGTGTATACATACAGCGGAATACTATTTAGGCTTTTAAAAGGAAATCCTACCTTTTGCAACAACATGGATGACCATAAAGGATATTATGCTAAGTGAAATAAAAATACTGAGAAAAAACTAAACTAAACTAAACAAAAACACTCTTAGTTCCCACAGTTTCTATAGGAGGATTTGGTCTTCATGCAAATATGTGGTTTCATATTGATCATCATTTTGGTCATCTGCTGGTGCATAGCAAAGAATCCAAAAGATTCATGGCTGAAAACCATAACAGTTATCTCACAGTTTCTATGGGTTAAGAATCTAAGTACTAATTCCCTGGGTACCTGGGCTCTTACAAGGCCACAGTCATCTCAAGTCTCAATTGGAAAAAATTAGGTTGGTGCAAAAGTTAATTGCCATTTTTGCCATTACTTTCAGGGGAAAAAAAAACCGCAATTACTTTGGTACCAATCTAACAGTCTCTTACCTGATTCACATGACTGTTAACAAGATTCACTTCCTTGCTGGCTGTACTGAGGCCTCAGTTGCTGATGACCTGTGGGCCAGAAGACTTCTTCAGTTCCTTGCTGTGTGTGCCTATCCAGAGAGTACAACATGACAGCTTGATTTATGAGAGAAAGGAATCAGACAAGAGAGAGTGCTGGCAAAAGACATGAGACTAGCAAGACAGAAGTCGCAGTCTTTCATAACTCAATCATAGAAGTGATAACCTATCACTTTTGCCATATTCTGTTCATTAAAAGCAATTCTCTAGGTACAGCTCACACTCAACAAGAAGCCTTACACAACAGGGTAAATATCAGAAAGCAGGGATCATTGAAACCCTCTAGAAGTTGCCTAACACAGGATTAACTGATATAATATATTTAAAAATATACAGTAGTATGACTAAATACAGCAGGTGTGTATATTTCAACAAATACTTTTTGGTAAGTATCGTGTGTTTTAGGCCATAGGATACATCAAAGAACAAGCCCCATTAATCCTCTGGTTATGTGAGGGGAAAGGTAAGAGACAATGAATGACAAACAAAATAATTAAATTGGATAATATGTGAAGAGGTGATTTATGTTATGAAAACAAAGATAAGCAAAAAAGACTAGAGGGAATTGACAGAATCCAAAGAGCAGATGGTAAGCTGGGGATAAGTTGTGGTGTTAAAAATGTAATTTACAACAGTGTTCATTGGGAATATAAGATTCAAGCAAAGACTTAAGGGACCTGAAGCAGTTAGTGAAATAGGAATCTAGAAGAAAAGCACACTAGGCAGAGAAAAAGATGGGGTAAAGGTAATAAAATGGGAATATGCTTGCTATGTCTGAAACAGCCAGAATCTCAGTGTGGTTAGAACCGAGGAAGGGGAAATGTTGTAGAAGAGAAAGTTGGAGAAATAACAAGGGTTATGTTCATGTAAGGCTTTATAGGCTATTTAAAAGCTTTAGACTTTTATTTTAGGTAAAGGGATAGGCAATAACAGCATTTTGAATAGGGGATTTATATAATCCAACTTATATTTAAGAAAAAAAACAACTCAGACTTCTGCATTTAGATATATTATGTGTGGATATGGGGTGGAGAGAAAGATCAGTTGAAAAGCTATGGAAAAATCTCTGGGAAGATAAAATGACATAGGGGGCACTGTGCTAGCAATGAAGATATGAAGAACAGGCTGTGTTCTGGAAAACCTTTAAACTAGGATCAAAAAGATTTTATGGTAGCCTGGATGTGTAGTAAGGTGAAAAGGAAAGGAAAAAAAAATGATTTGAAAAGGTTTGGCCTGCAAGGTTATTGGACAGAAAAACTAGAAGGATGGAGTTATTGTCAATGAACATGGGGATGGTTGTGTTTGTAGTAGCCTTTATTTTTAGGTGGAAAGAATGAGGAGTTTTATTTTAGATATATTTAGTGGAAAAGCCAAGAAGACAGTAGGGCATATGAATTTTGAGTTAAAGAAATAATTTTTGGCTGTGGATATTCATTTGAGACATGCTACTGTATAGCTAGAAAATAGAAGTAAGTGTAAGTAGAGAATAGAAGAGGTAGAGGATAGAAGCATTGATTATTCCAACATTATTAATGATGTGGAAAAAGATAGCAGCTAATTCAAATTAAATAACCCTTAATTTTTTCATTTAATTCAAATTAATTTGATATTTGTCAATCTACCATGTAACTGGTTTTGGCTTGAGAGGCATGGTAGATTTAGATTTCTTGGAATCAACAGAAACCATTACCCTTTATCTCAAGAATCCTGGAAACATTATCTAAAGAGAGTAAAAAAGATAAACATTTCTTAATTGAAGAGAAAGCTGTTTTCAGAGAAAGCTCATTTAAACAGAGTAAAAAGGATAAACATTTCTCAATCAAAGCTGTTATCAATTCATTAAATTGTCCATCTGAAAATCTGCATTTATTTTTGCAATAAATATATATCTAAATTATATCTGTATTTACAATAATGTTTATAACACATAAAAAAAGCAACTCCTGAATTAGTTTAACCCTTTGTTATTCTGTGTATGTGTGTGTATATAATTAGAATATAGTCTCTGGATGCTATTACAAAGGCCCAATTATAACATTGGTTATAAATGATAGAATTTTCTCTTTCATATTACAGTGCAAAGGTATTCTCAAATGCTAACGTGGACCTACTCCATGGTGTCTTGGTCTGTGCCTCTTTAACTTTGGCTTTTTATTTTTTGTTTAATTTGTTGTCGTTTTGCCATCCTCTAAGAAATATTTCTTTCTCTGGGTCCAGAATGCTTTTCTGACTCTCACAAACATGTACATACTAATAATTTGCAGAGGAGAGAGAAAGAATAAGGTTCTTTTCTTTTAAGAACATGGCCAGGAAGTAGAACATGTTGCTTCTATTCATGTTTCCCTGGCCTTAAGCTAGTCTTTGGTCATATGGAGCTTCAAGGACTATAAGTAATATAGTCTATAGCTGCATCAATTATTTTAGAGAAAACTACTAGTCTTCTATATTATATGCCATCTTGAGATGCATTAACTATAGCAAAACCTCATTTTCTTTATATGAGAATAAAACAAAATAATCAATGTCATATTTTATGTAGCAGATTCACATAAATACCAGCAGATTAGTAAAAATTATACAACTTAGAAATTTATAGAAATTATGTGATTTTCCAAATATTAAGCATCATGTAGAAATAAAAGTAATTTTTAAGAAAATGTTTTAGATTAACAGCAAAATTAAAGGGAAAGTATGGAAATTTCCCATATATTCCCTGCCCCAATCATGCATAGACTCCTCAATTATCTGCATCCCCAGTGTTTCATTTGTTAAAACTGACAAGCCTACGTTAATGCATCATAGTAACTCAAACTCCATAGTTTACATTAGAGTTCTGACTTTGTGTTGCATATTCTGGGTTTAGACAAATATTTGATGACATCTGTCAACCATTATAGTATTCTACTGAACAATTTCACTACCTTAAAACTCCTCTGTGTTCTGCCTATTCATCCCTCTCCCACACAACACTCTGGCAATCACCTGACTTTTTACTGTCACCATAGATTTTCCTTTATCAGAATGTCAAATGGTAGGACTCATACAGTAACTATGTAGCCTTTTCAGATTCACTCTCACTTAATAATATGCATTTAAGTTTCCTCCAAATCTTTTCATAACTTGATAGCTCATTTATTTTTAGTGCTGAACAATATTCCATTGACTGGATGTACCACAGTATAGCTATCCATAAACCTACTGAAGGTCATCTTAGTTGTTTTCAAATTTTGGCAATTACCAATAAAACTGCTATAAAAATCCACATTTGGGTTTTTGTTTTTGTTTTTTTTTGACGGAGTCTTGATCTCTTGCCCCCAGGCTGGAGTGCAATGGCGCTATCTCTGCTCACTGCAACCTCCACCTCCTGGGTTCAAGCGATTCTCCTGCCTCAGCTTCCCGAGTAGCTGGGGTTACAGACGCCTGCCACCACGCCTGGCTGATTTTTATATTTTTAGTAGAGACGGGATTTCATCATGCTGGACAGGCTGGTCTCGAACTTCTGACCTTAGGCAATCTGCCCACCTTGGCCTCCCAAAGAGCTGGGATTACAAGCATGAGCCACCACTCCCGGCCTACATTTAGGTTTTTGATGGGACGTATTTTCAACTCCTTAGGTATATATCAAGGAGCATGATTATTGGATTATATGGTAAGAGAATGTTTAGTTTTACCAAAAATTGCCAAACTCTCTTCCAAAATGCTGTACAATTTTGCATTCCCACCACCAATGAAAGAGAGCTCCCATTGCTCCACATCCTTGCCAGCATTTAGTGTTGTCAGTGTTGTGAATTTTTGACCATCTAATAGGCTTGCAGGGTATCTGATTGTTGTTTTAATTTTGCAGTTTCCAAAAGACATATATTGTGGAGCATCTTTTCATATGCTCTTTGTCATCTGTGTATCCTTTTTGATGAGGTGTGTGTTCAGGCCAAATACTATTTTTTTTTTAACTCAGGTTTTTTGCTTTTTATTGTTGAGGTTTAAGACTTCATTGAACATTTTGGATAATGGCCTTTTATTATATATGGCTTTTGCAAATATTTTCTGTCAGTCTGTGGTTCGTCATTTCATTTTCTTGGCAGAATTATTTGCAGAGCAGGAGTTTTAATTTTAGTGAAGTCCAACATCTCTATTCTTTCTTTCATAGATTATTCCCTTTGGTATTGTATCTAAAAAGTCATCACCATACCCAAGGTCATTTAAGTTTTTACCTATGTTATATTCTAGGAGTTTTATAGTTTTGCACTTTATATTTAGGTCTGTTATCCATTTTTTATTAATTTTGTGAAGGGTATATGGCTTATGTCTCAAGTCATTTTTTTGAATGTAATGTCCATTTGTTTTAGCATCATTTATTGAATAAAAATATTTTTCAGTGGAGAGAGAGTACAGGCCACTAAAACAGAAAGCCCAGAGTTAATCTATGACCTAATTGTTTACTAGCTACTTGACTTCTGATAAATTATCTAACTGATCTGAGCCTCGGATTCCTTACTTGCCATATAGGGCTAGTAGCACTTCTACTAATGTTCAGTATTTCTAGAACAACCCAACAAAATAGTGTGAATATCAAAGAATCTTATAGTATATCATATAAATATAATGCATTATTCATATATGAATAATGAACTCTTACATAGAAGTCATACGCTTGTTTGTCAAAAATAAGTGAAATGATATTAGTATTCAATACATAATGTAATTTATCTTTCATAGTTAATATAGAAATATTAATATACTTTTTGTGAATATTAAGTCAGTGTTAACATTTTATAGACTAGACTCCCTTTGTAAAAGATCTAATTGAATAAACAAAATAAATGCTTATTTGTAAAGAAATGAATATATTTGCCTACATACAGTTATTGCACTCAAGTAAATTTTAAATGATTGTTTAGGATGTTATTTTCATAAATATATGCTCTAAGAACATCTGCAGAAATTTGAATGTACAGTCATCAAAGCAAAACTTTAGTGCAGGTGAATTAGGTGTATGTGGAGAATATAGATGGTTATAATCAAATATAAGGTTACAATCAAATATAAGCAGGTGTGCACGTTTTAATGATCATGACTTCCATATCCAGTGATTTTGATATAAAATTATTTTAAGAACTGCGGATACAATTTTCTCTATTCCCACTGCTTACTCCTTTTTACTTAAATACTGCAAAATGATTCTTTAATGTTTTAAGTAAACAGTTTGCCTCTAACTTTAGAGAGCTTGCTTAGATTAGCAAAAGACTCAGCAGCAGCCTGTATGACATTCTGTGTGGTTAAACTGCCCCATATTCTCCAAATTACCCAGTAAACTTTATTTGGAATCATCAGTGAGGCATCAAGGAAAAAAATAATGTAAAGCTACTCCTCACGAAGTACTATCTTACAGTATGGCAGTACCTGTGAAGAAACTAGATTGGTTTATCAACCAAACTTAAAAAGCACTCAGAAAGAAAGCTGGCTAAATTAAAAACACATTAACTCTGTGGTGCTGCTTTCTTAAGTAACAGCAACACCTCTGAAATAGCAAAAGGAAGTAAATATAACTAGTGAATCACAAGAAAGACTATAATGTATTCATTTAAATAAAGAATTTTTAGTATACATTTTAAATCTTAAGTTTTGCGTTCTTTTTCACCTATCACTATTTTAGACAATATCCCCAGTAGAAATGGATATAAGGAAAACATAGCAAAGTAAGAAAGTGTTTTATTAATATAAGAGGAAGATTATATTAGAGTTATCTCTACTGTATTCATTATGTACTAATTATTGTGTTTGTTTTCTTGCTGCACATAATGGGTGTTAAGCAAGGAATTAAAACAAATAAAAATGAATGTTCTTAAAATGAAGAATTTTAAATAAAGATATTTCAGGTGAATCTAACCTAATTTGTATGTCAGGGAAGATATACCCTGAAAAAGTGATCTTTAAGTCAAGTTCTGATGCATGAATAGGAGTTTACAAAGATAAAGGACACGAAAAGATATTAGGAATGATCCTTTGCAGGTGTCCTTGGCCAGGGCAATAACACATTAGAAAAGCCTAGAGGAATGGGAAATTTGAGATGCATATAAGAACTATAGAAAATTTAATAGAATTTGGGCCTTGCAAGAATTTGTTCAAAGATATGACTAAAATAGTCTTCTTGGGGCATGATTACATGCAAGATAAGATCCCAAGCAAAAGACTATAGCTGGTAGAGTAGTTCATTATGTGAAAAGGTCTTTTTATATTTTCAAATGATTGCTCAATGGTGATTTTTTAAAGAAATTCTTTAACTCTTCTGTTATTTGATGGAAAGGATATAGCAAATGTATGAGTTATAAATTAATTTATTCTCAGCTATCCATCCCTACACAAAAGGACAGGGTGTCCCGGCTGGGCTCCAGATGTAGGCTCCATTGACAATTTGTAATTGCCAGAATTGAAGGCTCAGATTCTGGGTGGTATGGAAATACCACAGACCCAGTCACTACAAATGGAGGTTGTGATGGTTAATATTGAGTGTCAACTTGATTGAAGGATGGAAAGTATTGTTCTTGGTTGTGTCCGTGAGAGTGTCACCAAAAAGGAGATTCACATTTGAGTCAATGGACTGGGAGAGACAGACCCACTGTCAACATGGGTGGACACCGTGTAATCAGCTTCCAGCGCAGCTGGAATAAAGCAGGCAGAAGATGGAAAGCGCATACATGCTGAGTCTTCCGGTCTCATCTTTCTCCTATAATGGCTGCTTCTTGCACTCAAACATCAGACTCTAAGTTCTTCAGCTTTTGGATTCTTGGACTTACACTAGTGGCTTGCCAGGGCCTCTCGGGCCTTCAGCTATAGACTGAAGGCTGCACTGTTGGCTTCCCTACTTTTGAGGTTTTGGGACCCAGTCTGGTTTCCAAGCTCCTCAACTTGCAGACATCCTATTGTGGGACTTCACCTTGTGATTGTGTGAGTCAATACTCCTTAATAAACTCCCCTTTATATATACATCTATCCTATTAGTTCTGTCCTTCTAGAGAACCATGACTAATACAAAGGTGTTTCAAACGTTCCATGTGTTGTCAATGTTTTGTAATGTCTCCATCTCCTCCATCTGATGATATTCTTATCTTGAAGGCAGGAACTGTGTCTTATTCATCTTTTTAAGCAGCTCAATATTAAGCACAGTGCCTGAAAATAATAAGTGCTCAGTAAATATTTGTTAAAGGAATTACTACATTCTTTAACTTTGAAAAACTCTTCTGGATACATCCTAACAGGAAATTTCCTAATGTGGAAAAAATTGTTGCTAAAGAAACATTATGTTTAATATATTCTAGAAAGTTACAAGCCCATTTTATAGTGAACTAAACTTCTGTTATATCAAGGAATGCATGCAATATCAGTTATTTTAATGCCCATATTAGTTTAAGCTGAGCTTTTCGCCATCTGTTCCAACTCTTAACCATGAATGCAAAAGAACACATTTCCCTATTACATTTGTAAAATGTAATATATAAATGATTTAAATACAGTTATACACTCATGAAGTAATGCTGCATGCAGCTGGTACAGGGCTCCCTTATGTTACAAAAAGAAATAAAGGAGAAAGCCTGCTAATCTCTGACATAGAGTTTCATGCTATATGACCTTATTCTAGGGACAGTGGAAGGTCAAATATTCACCACAGCACAAAACTGACTTTCTCAGTATAAATTTCATTTATAAACTAAAATTCTGACCACCCCCATTTTGTTAAACTGTTAATGATTATATTTTAATTTTTTAAGAAATTTATTACATTCTGTAAAGTTCTCAAATAATGAACATTTTTGTCTCTATTAGAATTCTTAGTGCACTTTATGAGCCTTTATTAATACTGCTGTGGATTTTCTTTCTATTGAAATGTAGAAGCCCACCAAAAGAATTGTTCACTGAGACCAATTATAGTATGTATATAACTATTAGTAAGAAGATGTGGCCGGGCGCAGTGGCTCACGCCTGTAATCCCAGCACTTTGGGAGGCCGAGGAGGGTGGATCATGAGGTCAGGAGATCGAGACCATCCTGGCTAACAAGGTGAAACCCCGTCTCTACTAAAAATACAAAAAATTAACCGGGCGCGGTGGCGGGCGCCTGTAGTCCCAGCTACTCGGGAGGCTGAGGCAGGAGAATGGCGTGAACCCGGGAAGCGGAGCTTGCAGTGAGCCGAGATTGCGCCACTGCAGTCCGCAGTCCGACCTGGGCGACAGAGCGAGACTCCGTCTCAAAAAAAAAAAAAAAAAAAAGAAGATGTGTAAATTTTGTTAAAAATTTGCTTTATTTGGCTTCCCTACATTGGAATTTATTGCAAAAATAATTAAAAATATATAAAGTAGGTATTTTATGCTGTTTGTCAAATCTATACCTATTCCCATGATAAACACTTGAATGGCTTTGAGACCTATAATTTTTCAGAGAGTTATAACATGAAAAGGCCATGAAGCATAATAAATATTTATATTTTAAGGAGTATAGGAAACAAGAATTGACATTTAAAAAATGACAAGACTTTAAAACTCTTGCATTGTGTTAAGGTAACATGTTTCCCTCACCTCCTGAATAAAATAAGACATAATTGCCATAGGAGTGTAATTTAAAAAGTGGGCTATTTCTGTCATAACCTTGTTTACTATTGACATTTAGTATTAATTTTTTTAAATGGCATGGAAAATAAATTTAAATTTAACTGTCGTGAATTAGACTAGTGGCTCTCAAACTCTATTTATGACCAACATTTCTCAGGGAAGAAAAAAACTAACAGTATATTCTTACTCTTGAGTCAGCTATATATATATATATCATCTTTAAGATGCTATTATTTATTATTAAAGGTAAGGGAGACACACACAAAGACACACACATGCATACAGACACACACATGCTATCCTGCAATTTGACACAAATACTTTAAAACAATATGAAGTCTTTCAGAAAAAGGCCATACAAATTCAACCAGAAGAAATACCATTTATTAATAATAAGTTTTAATGTGATATTCATAAAGTACTATCTTTTATTTATGTTTTACTTACAACAATTTGCCTAACTACTACATGTGGGTCTAGCTTCATTTTCCTAGGTTTCATAATCATAACCACAAAATGTTGAGATATTGAATTAGGCAGTATACTCTTAACATAGGAAGGAGTTTACCTAATCCTAACATAGCACAGAGTTTGCCTAATCATCTGCTGTGACTTCTCCCCAGGAGGATGAAGTATTTGGAGCCCAGGTGTATTTCACACAAACTCAGCTGTTTTACCACTCACAACTTTTTTTGTACTTTTTGAGGTTTTCATTAGAGATGGGGTCTCAGTATGTTGCTCAGGCTGTATTCAAACTCATGGGCTCAAGCAATCCTCCCACCTCAGCCTTTTAAGTGTCTGCGTGGGTGGGCACCATCACACCAACGCCTCAAAATGTTCTTAGGTTTGAAGAACTTGCGTTACAAATCTACAAAGTTAGTACAGCATCAATACTTTACTAAAGATGTCTGAATACTATAAAATATAAGAAATAAAAATGTTAACATTGGAAGTCATTGAATAATAGGTTGTTATTCAAATTAAGAGTTAGTGTCAATTTAGTTCATATTCAGATGAAATTATTAATCCCTTTAGGCATCAACTTCCTTGCTGTCCTAGGGTGAGAGTAGAGCAAAGAGGACAAGAAGAAAGGGGTTTGTTTCTGTAGGTAAGATTGTGGATACTTCCCCTTAACTCAAGTTGCTCAGATCCAGGAACCCTGTAGCTTTCATGTATGCGCATGTGGGTGGGTGGGGGGCGGGGCGGGTAAAGCTGTGGGTGAGTGGGGGCGGGGAAGGTTGGGGGGGCTTCTTTTCTCAGCGTATTACCAGGATCATAAATAATTTATAATTCTCATCTGAAACTTAGGGTTCTCTTCTAAGATAACTGGTTGTTGGAAGATTTCATTTCCTTATGACCGCATGAGTGAGGTTCTCATTTTCTTGCTAGCTATTGGTGAGTAACGATTCTCAGCTACTAGTGGCCACCTGCAGACCCTTCCTATGTGGCCCATAGGCAGTTTACAACATGGTTGTAAACTGCAAATGCCTGCTTTAGACCAGAGGGAGTCTCCCTGACACCCACCCAATATAGGCTCCCTCTTGGTTAAGTCCAAGTCAACTGATTTGAACCTTATCATGGGAGTGATATTGCCATTCTATTCACAGATTCTGCCCACACTCAAGATAAGAGAGTTATACAGTGTGTCACACCAGGAGCAGGAATTTTGGAGCCCATTTTAGAAACATGTTATGCTAATAAAGATAGCATAAAGCTATGTTTATTAATGTTTTTTACATTAAACTTTATCTCGTCTTTTGAAAACTTATATTTTGTATATGTATTATAATATACATGTTCTATTACTACAGTTATACCTACATGATTCATAAGCATATACACATAAGAGAATTGGCATAAATTCTCAAAATGCCTTCTCATTAGACTTCTTCTCTAGGAAGCGAGTGTAGTGATGAGCCTATGGAAATGATGAAAAATTACTTTTACAAAAGTAAAAAAAAAATAAAGTCACTGGAAATGGCATCCAAAAACTTACCTCACCCTTTCTTGCATTACTATCTCTAAAACTGGAGTCAAATGTGATTAACCTGGCATTGGTGTTCATAATCCTAAAAGTATAGTATACATTATAATAAATGTTCATATAAATATCTTTTGCAAAAACAGAAAAAAATGCCTTGCTGAAATTAGTAATTTTGTGAGATAATTATCATTTACTCGTTTAAAAATAATTTACTCAATTTAAAAGCAAACTGTGATATTCATTCCATGTGCATAGGTTATAACTGCTTATGTTTCTTCTTCATTCTCTTAATACGGTCTTTCAGAATTGTGAGGAGTAAACTGAGTTCATGTGAAAACATGTAATATAGTGGCTAGCACACATAGTGCACCCAGCATATAATTGTTTTCTACATTCTTGTTCCATTCTTCCAAATGGAGAATTATGACTGTCCCTGTGAATAAATATTAAATGCAAATACAGCCCAAAGGAACATAGCTGAGGTAGATTCAGGATAATACCATACTGAGAACTGAGAAACCAGGTAGGAATCTGACATTACCAAAGAAAAGGCTGATTGCACTTTTGAGAACTTTAGAGAAGGTGTGGAAATCCTTATACAGACAACTTAGGCATCTGAGCCAGTGAAGGCTAGACAACTTGATGGAGATGTAGAACAACATAAAAATTTTTAAAAATCAGGCATGGCTTAGTTTTATTGTCTGTAATGATTTTAAGTATTTTTTTATTTTCTTCTAAAATAAATTTAAGGTAGCTGCTAAAATACTTTAGGTGCTAATGACATATTGTCACCTTTAAAGGTAATAGTTGATTCAGAGATTTATGAGTTATTTTGTATTATTTGCTGTTGGTAGTGATTTGTCTTTTAGTTTTACTTTTTGTTTTGTATTGACAAAAAAGTTTTAATTTATGATTCTCTGACTTTTAATCTTGAGTTCTTAAAAATTATCAAATTAAAAAATTGTCTTTAAAAGTATTTTATAAAAATAAAAATTCCCATTTATTTACATGGATTATTCCATACTGAAGCACATGAAGTTAGAGAGAGGTGAAAGAAAAAAAACTTGTGATTTTATTTATTATTATTTTGTTTTTCTTAACAAGGTTCTACTAAAGCAATATGTTTTGATTTTCCTAGAAATGCCATCATTTATTTAGTGGGTAGGCATAGTAGCAACTGCTGACAGCTTCATTACAAGCCACAGCCTCTAGAGTCTAAAGTCTGTGACTAGAAGTCTCTCTTGCTCAATAAATTAACATGCTATTTTCTTTCCCTTTAAAACTAAGATGACATTTCAGCTAAACTATATTGAAAATAACTTCCCACATGAAAAAGTCTCCAGCATATATATTCTTTTTATCATGACCTGAAAGCAAAGAGACAACAGTAAACCAGAAATAACATTGTCTTTCCACCTAGATTATGGTATGGCTAAGCTGAATAAATCTATTCATAAATAAAATCAAGCATTTACACTGAGACAATTAAAAAGTCTATTATTTTTAAAATATTGTTTTAATCCTCATTTATATGTATTTTTTACTAGGTAAATAGGATTGGGTATTAATTTGCATTCTGCCTCCCACTAATTCTGTATGTTATGTGCTTTGGAAAAGCAAGTAATGAAAGTTAAATAATGAAAAATAATATGCCTGAATGGAGTAAGAAAGCACTATAGCAGGTTAAGTAGTTGACTAGTTATTAAATTAATTCTATTATAATAAAAAGGATGATATATTAAATTCAATGACACAAAGGAAAAAATAAAATAAATCTTGTCTGAATGTACAATATACTAGAAAAAGTATTTATGTATTCAAGAACAGTGGATTCTCAACTGGATAACTGTCATAATCACTTAAGCTGCTTGAAATAGGGACGTCCTGGACCATCTGAGATTTCAGCTCAATTATTCAGGAAGAAGATCCAGGAGTCCGGCTTTTGAAAATGCTCCCTGGGGGTGTCTTTCAAAGCTAGTTGAGTGCATATCATTAGATTCATTTTGGAAAACATTATTCTACCAGGTAGTGGTGAAGTTTCTGATAGCCCTTCCTGACAGGATGTAAGATAGAGAGCTCATAATGCAAGATTTCTATAAGTTTTATGTCATGCATCTTTTAAAATGTACATTTTTAGCTGGGACAACCTAATTTTCTCAAGTTTCCTACCAGTATCTCCTGATTATATAGATAAATTTGCCCCCTTTTCAGGCTTTCTTTGCTAAAAGGGTTAAAGAGAAGTAGCTAAAGTCGACATATCCTGAGCCAAAATTTAAAAAATAGATTAAAATCTGCCTCTAGTTTATGATCTCTTACTTTATCAGATTATATTCTATAATGAAAAAACTCTTAAAATATCAGAACTCAATGCCAAAGGGAGATCTCTCCAACTCTAGATGCTAGATTTTGGTAAGTCCTCCTTTAGATAAACTGAATCATTTAGCTCCAGGCAGTAATATGATCATGTTTACAAGGATGGTTTTTGAAACACATAGATCTGAATGCCAGGCTGCCATTTACTATCCACATGACTGTAGTTTATTTAAGTTCTCTGTTACTCATTTTAATAAAGATTATGCGATAACTAACGTTGATTATGTGGCTCTTCCGCTGCCCAAATTTTTTTTATCAGATTTTATCCTTATTTCTCTGTAACATCATGATGATGATGATGATGACGACGATGTTAAAAACAATAGATATTGCCTTGCTAACATTCTGGCAGCTTGGTTAATTTGGCTTCAGCATTTGTCTTCCAGCCTAGTGAAATATATCCTCAATAAATTAAATAAAACAAACGTTTATTTGTAATTACCTTAATGAGAAGAATGAGGAATAGGAAGGATATATTAAAACACTTTCTCATGCTAATCGTAATTTTTAAGCATATTTTTCTTACATTAAATTCTCCTAGTGCTTAATAGTAGATGTATCATATTCTTTAATATTTAAGAAGATTTATCAGTTCAAGTAATACTCTATTTTTTTCTGAACATTAGAAGCGTTTGTTATAAATCTTGTCTTGAAAATTGTCTTTTTTGACAGGGTACTGAATGAAAGAACCACACCAGACCTTGCGAATAATGGTAGGAACACACCTGGCTGTTTAGAAACTAGATATTAATAATCTAAACATTGAAAAATACCACTTATAAAATAATTTGCAAAGTTATCCCACATTTTTGCCTACAAAATTAATATTTGACTTTACTTGCATATTGTCTAATTTAACATTATTGTTTCTGTAACTTTATTTGAACACATATTAAGAGAGTCCATTAAGATGTAAATGTGGGACTTCTGTGTTTTTGCTTATCACCAAGTTCTTTTCTTCAAGTTTTAGTTGCAGAGAATTATGCTTAGAAAGGCTTCATTGGCTCTGTGAAGAAAGAGTTTCCTTTTTAAATTATTTTTAATTTCTGTATTTTCAGAAATAGAAGTTTAAAAAGCACCACTTTTCTATAACATAAAATGAAAGAATTAAAACTTCCTGTTTTAACAAGGACATATATTTGGCAATAGAAACTGAACTAGGGTCAACCTCATCTAGAGGAGCAAAAACTTTCCTCAAATAGATGTTCCCCACATAAGGAGTGATTTAATTAATTTATTAGTATATACACCCATTGCCTTTTGGAAAGACAGAGAATTGTGCTGAATACTTGGAACATACCTTTGAAGGAAATCCTGCATATATTGCTGAATTATTTGATACTGGAATAGAACAGAAACTAATTTCTTTTCATTCAAACACATTTACTAACACCACTACCCACATTTTTTCCTAAACTCATAGAGGTTTTAAAATGATACAAGGGCATCCTAAATTAAATAATAAATAAAAGGATTCACAATCAATGCAAGCAGGTAACTTGAAAATGTTCTAAAATTAAGATAATAAAATGACTTAGTGATCAACTTAAAAGCAGCACCAGCCTCTTTGCATTATTAATTCATCTAGTAATATGTAAGAAAAAATGTATTAGGAGAAAAGAGGGAATAGACAAAATAATGTTAAGAGAAAGAAACAACATAAAATTTGTTGGATTAAATATCTCAATTTTGGACCTTGAATTTACACAGATTTCATATGAATGTCTTCAAACTTCAGAAAGTTTATATTTTTCTGAATTTGTGATTTTGGAAAACCAAACTGCTATCGCTGTTATTAAATTTTTCCCCATATCATTGAATTTGCTCTTTGCTTACTACTCCAGTGCCCAAACCAGTAGGTATTCAATAAATATTTTATTAATTTCATTGCTGATATATAAAATCTATGTTTGAACTGATGTGCAAATACAATCTTTCTGGCTTTTGTGTAGCAATGTGTCTGTCTGTCTATCTACCTATCAATCTTCATGTTTTTATATAGTTACATATATGAGGCCAGCCACAGTGACTCATGCTTGTAATCTCAGCATTTTGGGAGGCTGAGGCAGGTGGATTTCTTGATCTCAGGAGTTCAAGACTAGCCTGGGCAACATGGCAAAACCCATCTCTACAAAAAATACAAAAATTAATCAGGTGTAGCAGTTTGCACCTGTAGTTCCAGCTACTTGAAAGGCTGAGGTGGGAGAATTGCTTGAACCCAGAAAGTCAAGGCTGCAGTGAGTGGTGATCATGCCACTGCATTCCAGCCTGGACAACAGGGTGAGACCCTGTCTTAAAAAAAAAGGATGTAATAATTGCATATAAATTATGACATATCAATAATTGTCTGATTTTCTCCTAAAGATTAGTAGCTCTGTGCTCTAATTGTAGGCATTTTACCAAAACTTAGTTTCTTTTCTGGAAAAAATTGTAGGAAAATAACAACTTTTTATTTTTTTCCTTTATAGTTTTCTGAGCCTTTTATTGGCTCTTTGAAAACATCATCATATAAGTCATGTAAGTAATGCCCTAATGTGTTTGGCCATGCCAGCTTCTTTTTGTGGCTCGTGGTAACTTGAGAAATAATAAAGTAGATAATAAGAATCTAATCCTGGTGCATGGCAAGTGTGAGTATATTTGTGGGACAAATTTGATATGGAGAGTTGATACTCATAGCTTAAAAGCTGCATATACCCACAGTCCTTACAGTTATAGATAAAGTTCTTGCAAGAATCTAGTAAGCAAAAGTCCCCATAATTTCTGGGGAAATGTGTTTTCCCGACATAAGAATAATTATCTTATTATTGCTGCCAAATTCCCATTCTTGCCTATATTGCATACATGATGCTGGAGGAGACTTGTCCCTCCTGTCAACAAGAGGCAAACATGAAGACCAGACAAAAGCCAAAGAGTGTAAATAGCGGAGCTGCAAGATTGAGAGAGTCAAGTTCTCAATGTCATCTTTGAGTCACCATGCTGGTCTAGCTTACTTGCTACTGGATATATTGAAGCATGAAAAAAATTACCCCCTTCCTACTTCTAAGTTTCTTTTACTCATAGCTGAATGAGTTCTCACCAAATTGCTTAAACTAGGTGAAGTTTTCCCTTATTAGTCCAGAATATTTACATAAATAGAATGTTTCAGGAATAGAACAACTTAATAAACAATATTTATAGAAATATGGTTGTGTTTCTACTGAAAACTGTAACTCTCTTCTTGGTATTATGATTTCATATATTTTATATTTGAGTACCGTATACTTTCTGACATTGTAATGGTAGTTATTATTTATTAATGAACCAAACTAACAATCATAACCTCTATCCTTTATTAATCACAATGTACTCTGCAGTGCACTCTGTATAAGAAACCTCCTTAACTATGATTTAAATATACACTTTGAGTGGCATATTCATTCTCATTTAAAGGAAGAAAAACCAGGAGAGTTTAAATAACTTTCTCAGACTTTCATTTCTGTCTATAATATAGTAACAGATATAAGACTTATTCCCTCATGAAGAGCAACAATAAGAGTTTTAAATGCAAAACTCATGTGACTGAAGATTTCAATGCAATTAAGGATTGGAGGAACAAGATCAGAGAGAGAAAATATGCATTGTAGCAAGCCCATCATTTACCTCCATTCTCTTCCATCCCCTTCTGTATGGTTTTTGCTAATCCATGGCTTGGACAGAAAGTCTGAATAGACAAATACAGTCTACAGTTGACAATAAATCCACTGGACTAGGGAGACAAACACTGGAGTCAAAGTTACTAAGCAGTACCTTTACATGTATTAATCATAATTATTTAAAAGTCTGTGTTTGATCATTTCAATATCTACTAAGCCTGAGTGACTATGCTATTACTTAATTTTTCTCTTGGTTTTCAATAATTTGGCCCTATATTCAGGAAGCCAATATTCTAGAAGAAAAATAAAATGTAGAAAATTGAGCCCAGTATTTCATGTGTAATTTACTTTGAGGCATTTTCCACCCCCTAAAACACAAATGCATAGACTAAATAAATAGAAATTAAGAAGAAAATAGCTGCTACAAACCAAGCAGAGAACCTGGCAGTCACACAAGACAAGGAAGTCAAGAGTTGAAGTTCATGTACTAATAAGCAAGAATGGCCCTAGTTAAAGGGGAACATCACACACAGGGGCCTGTTGTGGGGTGGGGGAGGGTGGGATAGCATTAAGAGATATGCCTAATGTAAATGACGAGTTAATGGGTGCAGCACACCAACATGACACATGTATACAGATGGAACAAACCTGCACGTTGTGCACATGTACCCTAGAACTCAAAGTATAATAAAAAAGTATATAAAAAAAAAAGAAAAAAAAAAGAATGGCCCTAGTTAGTACTGCACACTTTCAGTGGGGATGCCAGAAGAGCTCTACCTTGTAGAAAAACAAACAAGAAACAGGTCAGCCTCAACTGAATCAGGTGATTTGCCCACGAGTTTCTACTGGCCAGTAATTAAATAAAAATAATTGATTCTACTAGAAAATAGGGGTCGAATGATTGAAAACCAAGAGAAAAATTAAGTAATAGAATAGTCACTCAGGTTTACTAGATATTGAAATGAAATTCAGACTTTTAAACAATTATGATTAATACATGCTGAAAAATAGAATATTGAAAGTTTCAACAGAGAACTATAATTAAAATTGTGTGTGTTTAGTGTGAAAACCCTAGCACTGAAATTTTTGATAACCATAATAAATAATTCAGTAAGTGGGTGTAGAAGAAGACTGGCTTTGAAAAAGAGAGCATTAATGTATAATCTTATTTTAAAAGAATGAATTAATCAAAGACTATCCATCTTGAAGAACAGAGACCATAAAATGGGACCTGTATATACTCAGTGTTTTGGAAAGAGAAAATAATAGGCAAACACAAAATCAAAGAGCCACTTGTGAATAATTTTTCAAATCTGACAAAAGACATAGTACCAAAAATTGAAGAAGCTACAAGAATCCCAAGTACAAAGAAAATCTAGCCATTTTATAGTAAACCTGTTGAAAATCAAAACAAAGGAAAAAAATCTACAAAAGGAGCTTAAAGGAAGGGCATAATGCTTTGTGTATTAGTTTGTTCTCACATTGCTATAAAGAAATACCTGAGACTGGCTACTTTATAAGAAAAGATGTTTAGTTGGCACATGATTCTGCAGGTGTACAGGAAACACAGTAGCCTCTCCTTCTGGGGAGGCCTCTGCCAGGTTTCAATCATGGAGGTAGATGAAGCAGGAGCTTGTATATTACATGGCAAAAGCAGGAGTGAGACAGCAAGAGGGGAGGTGCTACACACACTTTTATACAACCAGATCTCACAAGAACCCCCTCACTATCATGATGACAGTACCAACAGGAATGGTGCTAAACCATTTGTGAGAAATCCACCCCATGATCTAATCACCTCCTACTAGGCCCCACCTCCAACATTGGCGATTACATTTCTATATGAGATTTGTGTGAGACATACATCCAAACCACATCACCTTCAAAGGAACCAAATAAGACTGATATAGCTGACTCATAAATTACCAGATATATGACAAAAATAACAAAATAACACTTAATGTAGAAGAAAGATGATTTATACTATATCTATTGCAATATATCTACTCATATATAAAAGTATGAATACATAAATGTATACATGTGCACACATATGGATAAAAACATACATATGTGTATACAAACGTGTATGTAAGAAAGCATATGTATTACGTGTATAGTCACATATTTATATATTCATACATACAGATAAATGTGTGTTGTGTGTGTGTAAGAAGGAAAAAAGGAAGGAAAAATAGAAAAAGAAAGAAGCTTGATCACCAGGTTACATAATACAAGGTAATTAATTCCAAGGATCTTAAGCCCAAATGTAAAAGGTAATACAATGAAAACTCCAGAAAATAACAAGATATAGTCGTTACTTTGATATAGTTAAATATATGTTAACAAAACTCAAGAAGCACTAAGTATAAAGGGAAAAATTGGAAAATTGAACTATGGTAAAAATAAGAACTTCTATTCACTCTTAGGAGATTAAAACTGTGAAACTCAAAACCACAGAATGAGAGAATATTTTGACAATTTGAATAATTGTCAGGGAATGTGTTAATCTGAGAAAAAATGATTTAGAATACATACATTTATACAGATTAGTAAGAAAAGACAACCTAATAAAAAACTAAGCACTTCACTAACAAATCTATCTAAATAGATAATCAAATTATGTGGAGGTGCTCAACCTCATTCATCATCGGTGAAATACAGATTAAAACCAATGAGTATGGGAAAAAACAAATCCTGTTGACAATGTTGTGGAGGACTAGAAATCTCATTTACTCTCAGTGAATGTGGAAACTGACACTGCCGCCGAGAAAAGTTGGCAATTTCTACTAACGCTGAACATATGAATACTTCACAGTATAAATAGGGCAAAAATGAGATACAATGTTCAAAGCAACACAATACTTTTTCTTCAGGACAAAATCACATGACATATAATTGACTATTTTAAAGGGTGCAATTCAGTGATATCCAACACATTCTTAATGTTGTATAATCACCATTTCCATCTAGTTCAAAAGCATTTCATTACCACAAAAGAAAACTCTGCACCCATTAAACAGTCAAAGCAAAATAATTATTAATGAACAAAAATATCTCACATTTCCATCAAATTTGGAATGGGTAAATTAGATGTGGTCATAAAACCATTAGTGGTGGTCATGCAATGTGAGAGTGCATAAAATGAAAATGCTCAAATGGCTACTACATGGAACACTGGTACTAAATCTTATACATAGAATATTCTCCAAATGAAATTAGACATAAAACATAGTGTGCTATTACATCTATAAAAATTTCAAAAACAGACTTAGTTATTTTATGGTGACAGAAGTGAGAAGAGTCGTTACCACCGAGTCGTTGGGTACAGTGATAATTGGTAGGGCCCATAAGGCAGGCTTTTGCGATCTTTGAAATATTCTATAATTTGATTTGATAAATGGCTGTCTCAATGAATGTGTTAGCTTCATGAAGATACATCAAACTATACAATTAAGAGTTGTGCACATTACCTTATGTGTTTTACCTCTCTAAAAATAAAAACAAAATTAGGTAAATCTGAAATCATAGAGGAGCATACCTTTAGTAAATTGCAGAGTTGGAATTTGAACCAAAGCATATCTAAATAAAACTTCTTTAAACACTATAATGTCATACTATTCCTTTTTCACAGTAATACCTGAAAGCTCACTATGCTTTCTTAAAAAACTCCAGTATATAAGAAAACAGGCATTGCCATAAATATTATAACTGAAAATTATTGATTGTATGTTCTCAATTATTATTTTACTTATTCAGCATTGTTACATACCACCTAAACGTTTTGTAGCCCCCAATGATAGAAATTAAGTTACATTTTGTCTTAGCCCAACTAACTTTTTCTTGCTACATCTACAATATACCTCTGCTCTCTTTTCAGTGACAAGAGATCTTGTAAAAGCTTATAGCTGAACATCTGTAGATTTAATAATTGCTTGAATCATGTACTCCTCAATGATAAAGATCTGAAGCCTAGCTATTTGAGTTGTAAAATAGAAGGTTCCAATTCTTGGCTTTCCTTGACAATTTAAAATTATATTTAAGCAAGACTCAAAGCTTTAATGAAATGTATGTTTTAACATTCATTATATTAGACTCAGATTTCTTTGATTTGTCTGGGGAAGAAACATAAAGTTGAGTTAAACACACATAAAGTTGAGTTAAACACTATCTCCTTGCCAATTTCAAAGTCTACTTTGTCAATCTTAGAAGAAAATATTGATGTTAGCTTAGTTTTTTGCTGAGATTCATTTTAATAATTTATTTCTTCAAAAATAATTCATTGAGCACCCTCCATTCAGCAGGTTTAATTATAGGTACTAGAGATACAGCAAACAAACAAAAGTTCCTGCTCTCATAGCTTTACTTTCCAGTGAGGGATTCAGGTAGTAAGTAAAGAGTAAATGATATAATTTTTCATTTCAAAACAATGCAATGAAGCATATTAAGATAGGGTAAGGAGAAGGCTATGCTTGGTTTAGGTTGGAGTTGCACTTTTAATGAGGGTGGTGAAAGTAAATTTTGCATTTAAGAATGTGACTATCTTAGGTAAGATTTCCAGGAAACTAACTCTGAAGCAAGAAATTAGGTACAAGTAAGTTGTGTGTGGTGATTCCCAAGAACCATGGCAGGAAACAGGCAAGTGCTGAGAAGGAAAGGATTCCAATAAAAAGTGTACAAATGATCAGGAAGCTGCCACAGGCAACCCAGGCTCCATCCTTCTATGGAATTCTGGGAGACTGTGTGAACCATGTCTCATATTTTATCATCCAAAGATTGAGGGAAATGGGAGGCACTTGGCTACTAATTCCCTTCTCTAATTAACTGAAGGCTGCTTTGGGGAACATTTTTTACCTTCTGGCCTGACCTGTATGCATGTCAATCATGCACCATTGGCCAATGAAAGCAACATCTCAGACGCATGCAGCAAAAGGTCTCAAACATATAGGCGAATCAGAATTGCTGAAGGAAAATGGGCAGGGCATGGGAAGCTCAGCCATAGTGACACTTGTAAAAGCCTGGAAGTGGTAAGAGGGAATGTTACACAGTATATGGAGGAGGAGTATACTTGGAGAGATCAGCAAGTACAAAACACCTAAGTAGGCAAACATTGCTTGTAAAAAATAGTTTCATTCTACCTACCTCAATATCTATATTTGCATCTATAGCTATACTATTGTTCAACTTGTATTTGGTCTATATATTGGATGGCTGACATATCATTTTGGAATACTCATTCACCAATACAAATGTTAGAACAAATCTTACTGTATAGGAGAAGCTAAATAAATTCTTATTATTTATTTTACTCTCTAACTTATTTTACTGTCTATGTAGAGAGTAAAAAAAAGTTAAAAAAAAACTGGTACTCATGAAGGGTAAAGATTTTATTTAGTGGTAAATATCTCTAAACTAAGTTTATTGACACAATTGTTGTTACTTGGATAGCCAAGTTGTTTCCAGTCATTCTTTTTTACTGAGGCCAAAGTGCTCAGTTACAGTTACAAAAACAGAATGATACTTTGGGAGGCCAAGGCAGGTGGTTCACCTGAGGTCAGTAGTTCGAGACCAGCCTAACCAGCATGGAGAAACCCTGTCTCTACTAAAAATACAAAATTAGCCAGGAGTGGTGGCACATGCCTGTAATCCCAGCTACTCGGGAGGCTGAGGCAGGAGAATTGCTGGAACCTGGGAGGCAAAGGTTGCGGTGAGCCGAGATTGCACCATTGCACTCCAGCCTGGGCAACAAGAGTGAAATTCCATCTCAAAACAAACAAACAAACAAACAAAAAGAATGCTGCTGCTCATTTAGCAAAAAGGACACTCATTTAGGACACTGTTCCTGTTGAAGGGTCACTGTTCTACAATCCCTTAGCCTTCGTATTGTTCATCTTTTAATCAATGTTTAAATCAATCTATTCCAAACTTATCTTTTGATGTAAAACACTAGTAATGCATGGCCCAGTAAAACTTCTTAGTAGTGCATGACATAGTAATGGTAAGCATTTAGAATATCAATTTTTATATATTTACATATAATGTTTACATTTGCATACAGGTAGGGTTAGTATTACCATCTCCCTCTCATAGATGATTACACAGAGCCATGGCAATAGTATGCAGCTTGCCCAAATTTACATATATTCAAACTGTTTCATTGCAATTGTGAAATCCACACTCTTTCCACCATGGCTAATCACATCCATATATATATATATATATATATATATATATATATATATATATATATGAGTTACATGATGTAATTTTAAGTCCTGATAGCAGTTTTCATCGTATATGAACAGTACACAATGTAGAAAATAATGCATGGTATTCATATTAAGAAAGTGAGTAAAAAAGCAATAAGACAATATAAATGATAAAATACTACTTTTTGCCTTTTTTTTCTTTAAGACATTCATTTTGCAAATCACAAAAACAGCTGGTTGCTTTCTCTAAGTCAGAGCCTCAAGAAGTTTCATAAATAATGTGAAATGAATACACATAAATATCTGTGCTATAATGGTGTATTCCTTTGAGAAAAATAAGTGCATTATATACTTTACCAATGCCAATTGGAGCAGCTTTCCTGGGATGAGTAATTATTCAAATGACTTTGTTTTTTTACTGGAACTTTTTAACCTTATGCACGTGTTTTGTTTTCATTATCAGGAAAAAATGGGTCCTTGTCTTAGCAATAATTGTTCACAAAATATTTCAAGTTATATTTTCATAAAAAATAATATGTTCTAAAGAACATAAATCACAATAAATTTTATTCTATATTTTTGTGATATACTTTATGTGTAGCTATATGTGTGCATATATATATACAGACACACACATACATATAAAGTTTTACTGAAGCATAACACATATTCAGAAATTGCAAATTCTTAAGTGAACAACCCAGTACCTTTGCACAGTGAATGCATGTCTATAATTAATATAACTCTAACAGGAAATAAAATATTACCAATATTTGAAAGATTATTTTGTACCTCTTCCTAGTTATTAAACTCAGTCTACCCCAAAGATAATCAGTAGATTGACTACTTTTTCCAAAATAAAATGTAACCATTTTTGCAGCCTATATAAATAAAATTATACAAGACATAATATTTGTTTATTACATCTTTTCTCAACATTAGGTTTGAGACTCACTCATGTTGTCACGTATAGCAAAAGTTTGCTCATTCTCATTGATATATTTTATTCTATTATGTAAATATTTTAAAAGATATTCATCAGTTTTACTGCGGGAGGACATTTGGATAATTTCCAGTTTTTGTCTGTTGCAGAGAGCTGTCGAGCAATCGAATGTGTATCTTTTGATGCTATATGCATATACTTCTTGAATATGAAACTAGGAGTGGAATTCTTGAGTCATAAGATGAGTACATTTTCAGCATTAGTATGTATTGCCAGTTTCTCAAACTGCTTTTGCTAATTTCCGGTTCTTTCAGTTGTATATGAATTTCACATTCCCTCAAATCTTGAAATGATTATTTTAATAAATTTTGCTAAATATGGTGAATGAATATTTTTGATGAGAAATAATATGGAATATTCTCTTACATGGTATTGGTCATTTGGATATCTTATTTTGTGAAGATTTTGAACAAATATTTTTGCCTTTACATATTGGATTATTTTCTTTCTAATTTTTAGAGGTTTTATGTGTGAACTTATTATAAATGTCATATTTGCAGTATAATTGGCATAAATTAGGCTACACATATTTAAAGTGTGAGATTTGATAAGTGTAGACACGTGTATATACTACTGAAACCATCATGACAATCAAAATAATGAACACGTCTGTTACACACAAAAATTTTGTGATCCTTTGCAATTCCTCACACCAATTCTTCCACCCCCACCTTTCTGGTTCCCAGGCAACAGCTGATCTGCTTTCTGTCACTATGGATAAGTTTGCATTTTTAGAATCTTATATAAATGAAGTCATATAGTATGTACTTTTTTGTTTAGCTTCTCTCAGTATAATTTAGAAATTCATCTGTATTGTTACATATGTCAATAAATCTTTCCTCTTGGGGAGTTGTTTAAGAGGTATAGAGTTTCAGTTCTGAAAGATGAAAATGTTCTGGAGATTAGTTGTGCAACAAAGTGAATATACTTAATACTACAGAACCGTACCTCAGAAATAGTTACTATGGTAAACTTTATGTTATGCATTTTTGTTAGAATAAAACATTAAGATAAAAATTTAATACTTTGATTTTAACTCAAAGAATTTTAACTGAAAGAATTCCATGTTAAGATATGGAAGACTGGAGTAAGGTCAGATTTGCAACGATATGGTAGAGTCAATTGTTCTATTTTGCCGTGTTTGAATTTTAAAATCCTTGTTAGAGAGCCAGGAATTGAGATCAGTATGCAGATGGAGAATCATATTTAAAGCACAGTGGAAAAAGGTCAGGTTGCAGACCTAAATTTGGTAGTCAACAGGAAAGATTATATGTAAAGCCATGGAACCGGAGAAGATTATCTGCAGGGAAAGTATAGATTGAGAAGAAAAAGAGATCCATGATCAGTCAAGAAATACTCCAAACATATTATTCAGAGGAAAAGAAGCCGGCAAATGAGCCTGGGATTGAAAGGCTTTGCATGGTATGAAAGAAATAAGAAGAATGTAGTACCACTAAAGACGAGAAGAGAATCATTCAAGAAGGAATCACATAATTGTTAGAACATCAGGTAAAATGAGGACTATTTTAGTGCCTTTGGTGATATGGATGTTCTATAAAAGCGAGTTGAGAAGATATTGTAAAATGAGAAAATAAATATTTTGAGATATTTTCCAATGTAGAAATATGGTTACTAGAGAGACAAATGAAGTAGTAGAGGGGTTTATTTTTGAAAGCATAAAAATATTAAAACAGTATTAAACACCGATGAGGATGAATTAACGCAGAGGGAGTAACTTATATGAATAAGAAGAATTAGCATGAGAAAGTTTGGTAAAACTTTGTTAAAAGAGTTTTGTAGACAGGCCGGGCATGGTGGCATGTGCCTGTAATCCCAGCACTTTGGGAAGCCGAGGCGGGCGCATCACGAGGTCAGGAGATTGAGACCATCCTGGCTAACAAGGCGAAACCCTGTCTCTACTAAAAAATACAAAAAATTAGCCTGACATGGTGGCAGGCGCCTGTAGTCCCAGCTACTCGGGAGGCTGAGGCGGGAGAATGGTGTGAACCCAAGAGGAAGAGCTTGCAGTGAGCCGAGATCGTGCCACTGCACTCCAGCCTGGGTGACACAGCGAGACTCCGTCTCAAACAAACAAACAAAAACAACAACAAAAAAAAAACAGTTTGGTAGCTAGTTGGGATGGGTTGATATTTGGGCTCTCCTACACAGGGGCTATTGTTTTCTCAGTGAAGTTTAAGGCTATTCCATCAGTTGTAATTAAGATTTTTGCAGTAGTGAGTGTTCATTTGTTATTCATGGTCAGTAATTTAAAGTAGTAACAATTGTCAGGATTTTGAATTTTTCTCCAGGTCTATTCAGCATGCTTCTATGACAAAATGAGGGGTTGAAATTTCAGTTTAATCACTTTAATAGAAAACATCCACATTAATGGATAATTATGTTTGAGAAACCTGTGTAATAACATGAAACTATAATTACGGTATTGTGTCAACAGAAATTTACATGTGTATATATGTGTGTGTGTGTGTGTATATATATACACACACACACATATATAATGTCAGTGGAAATATAAATATACTTCATACATATTGCAAGTTTGGTTCCAGACACCTGCAAAATGAATATTGCAGTAATGCAAGTCCCATAAAATTGTTGTTTCCCAGTGCATATTATAGTTATGTTTATGCTATACCATAATATATTAACCTTGGAATAGAATTATATCTAAAGAACAATGTACACAACTTAATTTAAAAATACCTTATCGCTAAAAACTTGAGTATTATCTGAGCCTCTAACAAGTTGTAATTCTCTCTGCTGGAGGAGGGTCTTACCTCAATGTTGATGGCTGCTGACTGATCAAGGTGGTGGTTGCTGAAGATTGGGGTGACCATGGCAATTTGTGAAAATAAAACAACAATTAAGTTGGTTACATTGACTGATTCCTTTTTTTTTTTTTTTGAGACAGAGTTTTGCTCTTTGTTGACCAGTCAACACTGACCAGTTGGTACTGGTACCAAAACAGAGATATAGATCAATGGAACAGAACAGAGCCCTCAGAAATAACGCTGCATACCTACAACTATCTGATCTTTGACAAACCTGAGAAAAACAAGAAATGGGGAAAGGATTCCCTATTTAATAAATGGTGCTGGGAAAACTGGCTAGCCATATGTAGAAAGCTGAAACTGGATCCCTTCCTTACACCTTATACAAAAATTAATTCAAGATGGATTAAACACTTAAATGTTAGACCTAAAACCATAAAAACCCTAGAAAAAAACTTAGTCAATACCATTCAGGACATAGGCATGAGCAAGGACTTCATGTCTAAAACACCAAAAGCGATGGCAACACAAGCCAAAATTGACAAATGGGATCTAATTCAACTAAAGAGCTTCTGCACAGCAAAAGAAACTAGCATCAGAGTGAACAGGCAACCTACAGAATGGGAGGAAAATGTTGCAATCTACCCATCTGACAAAGGGCTAATATCCAGAATCTACAAAGAACTCACAGAAATTTACAAGAAAAAATCAAACAATCCCATCAAAAAGTGGGCAAAGGATATGAACAGACACTTCTCAAAAGAAGACATTTATGCAGCCAACAGACACATGAAAAAATGCTCATCATCACTGGCCATCAGAGAAATGCAAATCAAAACCACAATGAGATACCATCTCACACCAGTTAGAATGGCAATCATTAAAAAGTCAGGAAACAACAGGTGCTGGAGAGGATGTGGAGAAATAGGAACACTTTTACACTGTCAGTGGGACGTGAAGTAGTTCAACCATTGTGGAAGACAGTGTGGCAATTCCTCAAGGATCTAGAACTTGAGGATCCTTGACCCAGCCATCCCATTCCTGGGTATATACCCAAAGGATTATAAATCATGCTTCTATAAAAGCACATGCACATGTATGTTTATTGCAGCACTATTCACAATAGCGAAGACTTGGAACCAACCCAAATGTCCATTAATGATTGCCTAGATTAAGAAAATGTGGCACATATACACCATGGAATACTATGCAGCCATAAAAAAGATGAGTTCATGTCCTTTGTAGGGACATGGATGAAACTGGAAACCATCATTCTCAGCAAACTGTTGCAAGAACAAAAAACCAAACACTGCATGTTCTCACTCATAGGTGTGAATTGAACAATGAGAACACTTGAACACAGGAAGGGGAATATCACACACCGAGGCCTGTTGTGGGGTGGGGGGAGGGGGGAGGGAAAGCATTAGGAGGTGTACTCAATGTTAATGATGAGTTAATGGGTGCAGCACACCAACATGGCACATGTATACATATGTAACAAACCTGCACGTTGTGCACATGTACCCTAGAACTTAAAGTATAATAATAATAATAATAATAAAAATAATAATAAAAAAAATCAGTTGGTTGATTTGGCTTTATCTCTGAATTCTCTATTTTGTTGCATTGGTCTATGCATCTGCTTTTATATTAGTACCGTACTATTTTGGTTACTATATCCTTGTAGTATAATTTGAAGTCAGGTAATGCCATGCCTCCAGATTTGTTCTTTTTGCTTAGAATTGTTTTTGCTATTTAGGCTCTTTCTTGGTTCCAAAGAAATTTTATAATTATTTTTTCTATTTATGTGAAAAATGATGCTGGTATTTTGGTATAAATTGTATTGAATCTGTAGATTGCTTTGGGCAGTATGATCATTTTCATGATATTAATTATTCCAGTCCATGAGCATCGGATGTATTTCCATGTGTTTGTGTTGCCTATGATTTATTCCAGCAGTGTTTTGCAGTTCTAGGTGTAGAGTTCTTTTACCTCCTTGTTTAAGCATATTCCTAGATTTTTTTTAGTTATTGTAAAAGGGATTGAGTTGTTGATTTGTTTTCAGCTTGGTTGTTATTGGCATATAGAAGTGCAGCTGATTTGTGTATATTGATATTGTAACCCAAGACTTTACTAAATTTATTTATCAACTCTAGGAGTCTTCTGAAGGACTCTTTAGGGTTTCCTAGGTATATGATCAAATCATCTGCAAACAGATAAGTTGACTTCCTATTTTCTGATTTGGATGTATTTATTTATTTCTTTTCCCTGATTGCTCTGGCTAGGACTTTCAGTGCTATGTTGAATAGAAGTGATGAAAATGGGCATCCCTGTATTCTTCCAGTTCTTATAGGGAATGTTTTCTTCTTTTCCCCATTCAGTATGAGTTGGCTGTGGGTTTGTCATACATGTTTTTTATTATTTTGAGGTATGTTCCTTCTATGCCTAGGTTACTGAGAGTTTTTATCATAAAGGGATGCTGGGTTTTATTGAATGGCTTTTCTATGTCTATTGAGATTATCATATGGTTTTTGTTTTTAATTCTGTTTTTGTGGTGAATCACATTTGTCAGTTTGTGTGTGTTGAATCATCCCTGTATCCCTGGAATGAAACCCACATAATCATAGTGAATTATCATTTTGAAGTGCTGTCGAATTTGGTTTGCTAATATTTTGTTGAGGATTTTTGCATCTATGTTCATCAGGAATGTTGGTCTGTAGTATTTTTGTTGTTGTTTTTATGTTATTCCCTGTCTTTGTTATTAGAATGATACTGGCTTCATAGAATGAGTTAGGAATATTCCCTCTTTCTCAATCATTTGAAATCGTTTCTGTAGGATAGGCATCAATTCCTCTTTAAATGTTTGGTGGAAATTGGCTGTGAAGCCATCTGACCCTGAACTTTTGTTTGCTGACAAATTTTTTGTCACTGATTCAATCACACTGCTTGTTATTGGTCTGTTCAGGATTTCTGTTTCTTCCTGATTCAAGCTAAGAGGGTTGTATGTTTTCAGGAATTTATCCACTTCCTCTGGACTTTCTAGTTTGTATGTATAGAGGTGTTTATAATGGTCTTGAAGGATCTTTTCTATTTCTGTGGTGTCAGTTGTAATGTCTCTATTTTAATTTCTAATTGAGTTTATTTGAACCTTCTCTCTTCTTGGCTAATCTGGCTAGTGGTCTATCAATTTTGTTCATCTTTTCAAAGAAAAAACTTTTTGCTTCATTTACCTTTTGTATTGATTTTTGATTTCAAATTCACTTAGTTCTGCTCTGATCTTTGTTGTTGTTGTTTATCTTCTGCTAGCTTTGGATTTGTTTTTTTCTTGTTTATGTAGTTTCTTGTGGTGTGATGTTAGGTTGTCTATTTGTGATCTTTCAGACTTTTTGATGTAGGTATTTAGTGCTATAGACTTTCCTCTTAGCATTGCGTTTGCAGTATCACAGAGGTTTTGATAACTTGTGTCACTGTTATCATTCATTTTGAATAGTTTTTAGATTTTCATCTTGATTTTATTGTTAACCTAAGCATAGTTCAGAAGTAGGTTGTTTAATTTCCATGTATTTGTATAGTTTTGAGGATTCCTTTGGGAATTAATTTCTAATTTCATTCTGCTATGGTTTGAGAAGATACTTGATATTGTTTCAAGTTTTTAAAATTTATTGAGAATTGCTTTGTGGTTTGTTATGTGTTCTATCTTGGAGAATGATTTGTAGGCTGATGAGAATAATGTATATTTTGCAGTTATTGGGTAGAATGTGCTATAAATATCTGTTAGGTTCATTTGCTGTAGAGTGTAGTTTAAGTCCAGTGTTTCTTTGTTGACTTTCTGCCTCAACGATCTGTCTAATGCTGTCAGTGGAGTGTTGAAATCGCTTCTATCATTGTGTTGGTGTTTGCCTCTTTTCATAGGTTTAGTAGGAATAATTTTGTGAATCTGGGAGCTACAGTGCATATATATATTTAAGCTTATAACATCTTTTTGTTGGATTATCCTTTTATCATTATATAATGACCTTCTTTGTCTTTTTATTTTTTTTACTTTTGTTGCTTTAAGTTCTGTTTCATCTGATATGAGAATAGCTACTCCTGCTTGCCCTCAGTTTCCATTTGTGTGGAATATATTTTTCTATCCCTTTAGCTTGAGTCTATAGGAATCCTTACATGGTTAGGTGTGTGTCTTGAAGACAGCATTATTTGGTTTGTGATTACTGTATCAATTCTGACAGTCTGTATCATTTAAGTGGAGCATTTATATAATTGACATTAAAAGTTACTATTGAGATGTGACATATTGTTCCAGTCATCATATTGATTGTTACATAGTTACTTTGTTTTCTTCATGTTTTATTGTTTTATAGGGATGCCATCTTCTATTAGAAGGCTGTTTCATTATCGAAAATTTGTTGTTTACTCTAGCCACTTTCATCAGTTGTCTTAGGCTGATCTTCTGGATAACTTGCTTCAGCTTCTGCATCAACCCTTGCTGTTTCACTTTGCACTTTTAAGTCATACAGAGGGCATCATTCCTTAAATATCATAAACGAACCTCTGCTGGCTTCAAACTTTTCTTCTTCAGCTTCCTCAACTCTCTCAGCTTTCATAGAATTAAAGATAATTAGGGCCTTGCTCTGGATTAGGCTTTATCTTAAGTGGATATTGTGGCTGGTTTGATATTTTATCCTGACCACTAAACCTGTCTCCATATCTGTAATACAGTTGTTTTGATTTCTTATCATTCATGTTTTCACTGGACTAGCACTTTTAAGAACTTTTCCTGTGCATTCACAACTTGCCTAACTGTTTAGCATAAGAAGCCTAGCTTTTAGCCTATCTTGGCTTTTGACATGCCTTCCTCACTAAAGTTAATCATTTCTACCATTTGACTTCAAGTGAAAGACCATGACTCTTCCTTTCACTTGAACACTTAGAAGCCATTGTAGGGCTATCGATCAGCTAAATTTCAATATTTTTGTGTCTCAGGGAACAGGGAGTCTCTAGTAGAAGAAGAAAGATGAGTAACAGCTGGTCAGTGCGGTAGTCTGAACATGCACAACATTTCACTGTCTTACATGGTTGTGGTGTGTGGTGCCCCATAACAATTACAAGAGTAATATCAATGATCGTAGATATAATGAAACAGATAAAATATACAATAATAATGGAAAAGCTTGATATATTGTGTGAATGACCAAAGTGTGACAAAGAGACACAAAGTGAGCACTTTGTATTAGAAAAATGGTGCTGATAATTTATTCAATGCAGGGTTACCACAAATGTTCAATTTGTAAAACTGCAATATCTACAAAGTACAATAAAGCAAATTGCAATAAAACAATGTGTTCTTGTATTTGTAAAGAGACTGAGAATAACTAGAACAAATAAATACTATAAGTCATTTAACTAATATGATATGTTATGATAATTTTATTTTGCCTTCCTCATTTTCTTTTTAATATATTCATTTAGAGAGGGGGACGTCAACAATAACTTTTAGTGGAAAAATTGATTTACTCCTACAACCATATTATGTAATACTTGAACTGTTCCAAACCTCATTATCTAATCAAGACCTTAATATGACTATTTGTATATGTAGATATACATAGGTATATATAAATACAAATTGTGTACATTGGAAAATAACTAGTAAAAATGTCTACAATCTTCTTCTAAAATATAAGCATTAAGAATTTCAGAATCATTCTAAAATGATTAGCTCAATATTTTCAGCAATACTGTTTTTAATAATGATTAGAATTTTTTGTAATAAAGACATAAAAATTCTGATATCTTAGGGATTTTTTTGTCTATTACTGAATTTATAAATTAACTCACTGCCACTAAAATTTTCCAAACAAATTTATATCTTGGGCTAATTATTTTCATTTCTACATCGAAAATTACATAAAGTGGAGATATTTAGCTTATTCACTCCCATAACCTCAGAACTTAACAAAAAACCTGTCACTTAGCAAATAATCAATAGGTAATTCTTAAATTTTAAACATTTTTAACATAACATCATATATAATTGTCTTTTTGAACTGTATTTGCAAATAATTTCCAAAATAATTAGGCATAGGAAAAGGTCTCAATGTATCACAGCTCCGAATATGTTACAATAATTCACTAAATGCCTATTCTCCAATTGAAATCACCAAGCTAAATCACACAAACCTCTTTTAAAGAAAAATATTCGATACATTGTTTTAAAAGAAAACGTTGTTTGGATGTAGCTGAACATCAGAAGTTCCTCTAGTTAAGAATTTCAAGTCCTTATCCTTTGAGTCTTAGTTATATCATGATATAACTATAATGGAGAATAATAATGCTGTCTTCACTGTTCTAATAAAATAATTAAACATGAAAATGTTAGTGGAAAATTTTATAAAGACAATTGTTACATAATAATAAGGGATAATAGTTAACTGATACAAACTATTAAAAAAACAGTATGTAGGTCTTCTCCCCCCACACTCTGACTCCCTAAGTAACATAATTAGAAGATTAATGAAATCTGTTGTCTTAAAAGACTAGCATATATCAGCCTATAATCCTCTGAATTATATTGTCATAAGTTGTCATTTTTTGAGATTTCTACAATCATAAATTGTTGCACAAAATTGTTTTGTTGCACAAAATTGTTTTGTTGCACAAAATTGTTTTGTTGCACTTGCTTAATCTGTATACAGATGAAAAATAAGATACCAGATATAAAAATGCAAAAAGAAAAAATCTCTCCATCCAGTTAATTCATATTTTTCGTAGTGGTACTGCTGGTAACGCTTAACCAGGCTTTAAACCCATGGGAAGCAAGGCAAAGATTATATAATCATATAGTTGTAAGATCAATGTATTGCTTAGATCATTATAAAGAGTGACACAAATTGAGACTATTTTTATTGAGACTTAATTTTTGATCTAGTGTTCATATTCATTTGATAACAAGAATATGCCACTTGTAGTTATAATGAGTTAATGCTTCCAGAAATATTGAATGTTTAAAAATTTCAAAAAAGCCAATGCTTTGTGACCTCTTCATTGCTCCCATAAAATTTAAGGATGTGATTGTGTCTGGGCCACTTTGAAGGTTTAGGCAAAGGAACAGTGGAATATTTAATGAAACTTAGAAATGCAGCAGAGCTGGTCTCAGACTCTGGGGTGTGTTGTAAGCATTATTGATGTGGGTTTTTTGCAAAGCAGAGATATAGAATGTTCATTTGAGTTTTATCAAATAGTAAATGAAAGAGACTTAATAATACTGATATCTCATTAGTACATAAATACTGGCCTGACTATTGTTAAATTTAAAAATAAAGACATATAGGTGCTAAGTAAATTTACGTACCAGACAGTATCATCTTGATTTATAATTGTGTGTATTTTTTTTAATCTTAGACCACACTTTCAGACATGGTAATAGAACTGACACTCACAAATGCATGCTTTCTTTAAAGATATTAATCTCAGTATTGAACAGAGAAACCAAACAGCTTGTATTGAAAGTAGAAATGTAATGGGCTTGTTTGGAGAAAGTCTACCAGAATAACAGTCACTAGATTCAACATGCAAGTGCCATCATGATGAATGTTTACAACACTTTTTTGAGATCCAATTATACTGTTTTTTTGTGCAGGAACTGGAGATCAGCCAGATCACTTGTATGCACAAAGCTGCTGTGGATCTGTCTTTCAAACAAGAGCTGCAGAAAACGCTATAGCAAGGTTGAAGCTTTATCCACTCTGGTAAGAGAAGCTTTCTTTTTCTTTGCTATGGTGAGAGTTTGATAAGAAATCCTTTTAAACCATAATGTGGTCAGGGAGAGGAGACTCTGTTATATGTTTATAAGTCAGAAAATGTTTTTTCTTTGAAATATTTTTTTCACTATGCTTTGTGCCTTTATGTTATAGCAAGATAAAACTGAAACACTGAGTCATATTGCACATGTTAAATTTGTATTGGACATAGGGAAGTCTTAAACTACTCTTCTGTTGAGTGAAATGTGAAGTCATTTTATGTTTATACTGTAGATCTTCTGGACAGGACAAAGGGAAGAAAGATTGGTATTCTGATACCATGGCTGAGAGTGAATCTATGTGTTTAAGTTTTCCCCTGACCAATGGTGTTATTAATTCCCAGAAGCTCACCACCACCAAATTCGGCCTTTGGATTCACTTGCAGATATTTTTGACCACTCTATTCTCTTTTTATATTTAAAATTGGAAAAGCTGGGGATTATTCTGGATGAGTTTATTTGAATATGGTTTTCTCACTTTAGCTCTAAAGACTGTAACTGTGCACATATATACAAAGTACAAAATTCTGTTTTTCATGTAATTTCTTCAGCCTGTAATGTGCTTCAACATTTGTATGAGAATCTCTACCTATTATAAACTCTATCTGAATTCATATCAGTCTAAAATGACAATAAATATTGAGAGCATATACATGTGTATACATATACACATGTATATAAGTACATATGTGTAAGTATATATAAATATTTGACATGAGCAAAATTAATTTTAGATAATTACACATTTACATATTAAAGCAATGTAATCCCTATGGAAATTTATAGCTTTTAATTTTCATTTATATGGCCCTTCCTTTTCATTTTCTTGGTAAACTTTAGTTCAGAAAACAATAACATAAATATCAAAAAGACTTTACAACCAAAGAGCTACATCTGAAGATAAATTATTTTTTAAATAAACTTGTATGATTCAGATTTTATTCTTTTTAAGTTGCTCAGTTACATCCATGATTTAATGTATATATCTATGAGATTTAAATACAATCATTTTCAGGAGTTTACACCAGAATAGCCTTCCAGGCTTCAAAGTTATAAGTAGCTTGCCATGTCTGTCTAATAAGTTGCCAATAAAAATTCATGCTTATCTGATAACTTCAATAGGTATTTATTGATTAGGTACATTGCTAAAAGCTTCCAGGAGAGGAAATATGTAGCTTAAATAAATTTAACCTAACATCTGTATAGATTTAATGAGGATTTAACATATATGCTTAAAAATAATGAATTCATAGTGAAGGTCTGGCTAAGGACAAATAGCAGAGTCAGGAGGAGTCAGTAATGACAATGAATACAATGAGACTTAATTTTTCAGATGTAAAAAATAATTCTATGCTTTAATGCACGAGCTTAAAAAACTTTAGCAATGCCGTTTTCCCCTTGTTCTGCCCTCATTTAAATTATGCATGCATTCAATTCAACCCATTTGAAATATTTACCTGTGTACCTTGCACTGAAAGAAATACAGACAGCCTTGCCTCTGAAAGAGATTCTAGTTTAAAGGGGAGCTGAGGGGAAAAAAAGTCATTAACTATGTTACCATGAATCCATGTAGTAAAAAAAAATATATTTGCTTTAAATTTCTGTGGTTTCTGCACTCTTAAAGACTGTTGCAATAGGCACATGCAGCAAGCTACAACAACAAAAAAGTATCAATTCCCTCAGTTTATATCTTTCCAACTTTTAAGCGAATCTCAGACAGAAAGAAAATCCTTCTGTGTATATATATATGCACACACACACATACACGTGTGTGTGTGAATGTGTGTATGTATGCACACACATACATATATATGTATATCATTTTATATATATAGTTATAAATATATGTGTGTGTGTTTTTTTCCTTTCATTGTTATCTTCACGTTTAGGAGCTACAATTGTTAACATACATACACATGCTTTAGTTTAGAAGATAGGAAAGAGAAGCAAGTATAGCATCTCTGCCCCCCTGATGAGTTTGGCACAGCAGGATATCCTACCATTTTCTACTTTCATGCCTTTGCTTTTGCTGTTCATCTTGAGAACACTGCTTTTTTCTACTGTCTCTTGTCCAGGTTCTAACTGAACTGTGTGGCTCAGACTAGAGGCTGCTTTATATGAAGATATCTTCCTATCAAGCCTCATACCCACTCCAGGGAAAGTGATTTCTTCCATTTGGGAATTTTCTTATAACTTCAATTTTATGAAAAAAAAAGTTGAACAGGAAATATTATAAAGTTTACAAACAGGATGCAAATTCATTGCTTTCTAATTATAAATACAATGAGACAGTTTTGTTACACTTTCTTTCCCTTTAGACATATTTTGAGGAAACTGCTTTTTAGAGAGATATTTTGTAGAAAAGTTTTTATTACTTTTCAAATTTTCTTTGCTTTATTCATTCTCTTTTTCTTATAGCTGATAAAATTGCATCCCATTTCACTGAGAAGATACAGATTATTTAATGGGTTCCCCTGTGTTCTTTTGCCTACAAATCTACAAAGCTTACCTCCCAATCTGCCCTCACACTGCACTTCTTTCCTTTATTTACAATGGGAAGAAGTATCCCAACTTGCATGACCCCACCTTCCATCTCTTCTACTTGTGACTTCTCAGGTATATGCCTCTGCCTGATAAATATTTTTATTCCTAATATTTAGCTCTATTTTCTCCATGAAATTGTTCCCATTAAACACCTCTTTATATTTACTACACATCTCTACCAATATTTGGCTGGGACTACACATCCCTCTCTAAATACCATCCATGTATCTGCTACTTCACAGAAACATCTCAAAGGTTTTTTTGTGTTTGTTTGTTTGTTTTCCAGATACCATTTCCATATCTTTGCCTTCATTTTTCTCTAAATTTGCACAATCCTTGTGATTCTTCCAAATTTTCTGAGGTAGTTACATTATTTTCTTGTTGCTAAGTCCACTCAGTTTTCTTGGTTTCCCACCAGTATTTAAGAGGTAATGATTCAATTCTTTTTGAGATAGTATTCCCTTTACCTCCTTAACACTCTCCTAACTTTGTTTTGTTTCTTTTCTCTTCCTGTTTCTTTGGTAGCTTTTTCTTCTAGTGGAGTACACTTTTAAGAGTTCCTCAGGACACAATAGTTGACCTAATACTTCCTCTCTCTCTCTCTCTGTCTCGCTCTTTCCTCTTCTCTCCATAGTCTTTATTTCTATAATTACTTAAAATATCAGCAATCTTACAGCACAACCCTATAGCGTGTATCAATAGTTGGGTGCATTCCTTGATTCTATATGGATACAGATGAAACTTTTGAGTGTACAATGGTGCGAAGGTGTTATGTATTCAATAGAAAGTGGCATGATACCCTCTTAAGGTGCAGGGAAGCAGCAGCAAGCTGCAGCTCCAGTCAGTCACTCAATCATGATGGGAAATAATTGATACTCTACAGTATACTGTGTTGCCAGATAATTTTGCCCAACTGTAAGCTAACACAAGCATTCTGAGAACATTTATGGTAGGTGAGGCTAAGCTATAATGTTCAGTTGGTTCAGTATGTTAAGTGCATTTTTGACATAATATTTAACTTATAATGGGTTTATTGGAAAATAACACCGTTGTAAATGGAGGACCATCAGTATACTCGTCAAGGGAGATTTGGGGTCAAGCAATGAAAACACCCTCTCTCCTGGAAAATATTTGATTAGGTTTTACCATGTTTTTATTTTGATGTGTCCCTAGCATTCTAAGATGCTTTCCAGGAAGCCCACTCTGGCCTTACCTCACAGGGAACTCTAGGCAAAATGGTATGGCTAAACCACCCAGGTCCAAATAGAACCAAAGAAAGGAGGCAGAGACCACAGTGACAAGAGTGGATCTTGGTGGGACCACTGTGTTCCTGCTAGCTGTGGTGCCCAATTGCAGATACCAGTCAACCTCATTGCCAACCTGCAGTACAGAGCTAGGTGTCTTTGAAAGCATGGTGAAAATTTCACCTAGTTTGAGTCCCTATATGCTTTTAACTCACCCTGCCTCAGGGACCCACCCCAACAATTCTGCCTAGGCAAGGAGATGCCAATCTCCTCCCTTTTTGAAGAAATGAAGGGGCTAGACCAGCTTAACTTGGCAACTTAACAAGCAGCAGCTTTACTCAGCAAAGAAACACTCCCAGTGACTTTGCCCAGGCAAGGAACTTCCCACTTCTGTGAATTTTAAAGAAGCAAATGGGCTAAACCTACTTAACCTAGAAAATCAAGTAGTATCTTCACTCCACACATAAGCCCTCCCAAAGAGTCCCAAATCCTCTCAACATAGCCAAAAAAACCACTTCATGGCTCCATATTGACAGGGAGAAAATCCTTAATTGTGTATTTCTAAGGACCATAGCCTCTGGATCCACCTGTCCAGAGTAATGACTCCACCTAACCTTGGAGCCCAGCCTCCAGCCCTGCCCAACTTCAGGTCACCAATAACATAATTGGCTGACCAGAGTACACATCTTGTGACTGACCTCAAAATCCATCACAGTACTCACCCAGCAACTCCACTTTATAGCCAAACAAAGCCAGTGTTCCCACAGGCCATCAGAGCCCAAAGAGCAACCTCACCCAAACAAAGTCAATAGCCCACTAACTAGAGATCTCACAGAAAGCTCTGCCTCCCCAAGGATGTCCCCAGCTGGCTTTTCCAAAATCAGAGGCTAGATTAAATAATGCATGTGTATCCCTGCCAGAGAACACCGTAAAGGCCAAGAGGGGACTATTCCCTCAAATGTGCAGACAACATAAGGACACAGGATTATGAAGAATCAAGGAATCATGACACCTCCAAAAGAAACTAATAAAGCTTCAATAATGAACCCTAAAGAAATGGAGATCTAGAAATCTGTAGCAGATAAATCAAAATAATACTAAAAAAGATGTTGCATGGAGTACCAGAAAATATGAATATAAAATGTAGTAAAATTTGAAAAACAATATACAAAATTGCAAGAAGTTAGACAAAGATATAGAAACAATAGGAAAGAACCAGACAGAAATCTTAGAGATGAAGAATACAATGACTGTAATGAAAAATTCCATAGAAAACTTCAACAGCAGAAGAAAAAACTAGCTACTTGAGTTGAAAGACAGAACATTTGAAATTATTGTCAGTGGAGCAGAAAGATAAAGGAATAAAGCTTACAGTAATTATGGGACACCATCAAGAGATTAAACTTTCACATAATAGGACTTCCAGAAAGAGACAAATAATAATAAAGGCCAGAAAACGTATTTAAAGAAATAATGGTTAAAAACTTTTCTTGTCTGGGATAGATGCCAATAACCAGATACAGAAAGCATGAAGGTCTTCAATCAAATTCAACCCAAAGAGAAGCACAACAAGTCATATAATAACAAAACAATAAAAAATCAAGGACAAGAAAAAATTCTGAGGACAAGTGATAAGAAACACACCATATATGAAAGAGGGTGAATATTACTATCAGAGTATTTCTCAACAGAAAGTCTTCAAGCAAGAGAGAGTGGAAAGATGTAGTCAAAGTTCTGAAAGAAAAAAACAAAAACAAAAAACGTGACAACCATAAAAACCTTATTCACCCAGATGGAAAATCAGTAAGGAAACATTGGACTTGAACAACACTTTAGATTTAATGGTCCTAACAGAGATAAACAAAATATTTCATCCAACCGCAACAGTGTATACATTCTTCTCAAGCACACAAACAAACATTATTCAGAATAGATCACATGCTAAGGTACAAAGCAAGTCTCAGCAAATTTTAAAAAATATAAATTATATCAAGTATATTTTCTAAACACAATTGTTTGAAACAAAATTCATAACAGTAGCAATTTTAGAAAATTCACAAATATATGGAAATTAAGCAACATGATCCTGAACAACCAAAAGGTCATTGAAGCAATCAAAATGAAAATGTTTTAAAAATCTTGAGACAAACACAAATGGAAACACAACACATCAAATCTAGGTGATACAGCAAAAAGCGGTTCTAATAGCAAAGTTCTTGCAATAGGTACCTACAACAAAAAAAGAAGAAAAAGATCTCAAATAAACCACATAATATTACACCTTAAGGAACTATTAATAGAAAAAGAACAAACTAGGCCCAAAGTTAGCACATGGGAAAAAATAATAAATATCGAATTAGAAAAGAAAATGAAATAAAGACTAGAAAAGCAACACAAGAGATAAAAAGTAACTCTTTTTTGAAAAGAAACAAAATTGTCAAACTTTAGCTAGAATAACTAAAAAAGAGAGAAAACTCAAATAAAATCAGAAATGAAAAAGTAGACATTACAACAGATACCACAGAAATAAAAAGGATCATAAGAAAATACTATTGACAATTGTATGTCAAAAAATTGGATATTGTATAAGAAATGGATAAATTCCTAAACACATACAACCTAACAGGACTGAATCATTAATAAATAGAACATCTGAACAAACTATTAACAAGGGAATATAATAAGTAAGAAAAAGTCTCCCAGCAAGAAAAGACCAGGACCTTATGCCCTAATAGCTGAATTCTATCAAAAATTTAAAGAAAACAGATACAAATCCTCAAACTCTCTCAAAAAGTCGAAGAGGAGAGGCCGGGAGTGGTAGCTCATGTCTGTGATCCCACCACTTTTAGAGGCCGAGGCAGGCAATACAAAAATTAGCCTGGCATGGTGGCACATGCCTGTAGTGTCAGCTACTGAGCCCTGCTTTTCAGAGATTCTTTTCTATTATGCTCCTCAGTCCTGCTCTCTGTAGATACATGGTTAAGAATGAGTACACGAGGATCAGAGAGGCTTAGTTCAAACCCTACTTATATTACCTGCCAGTTATTAGGAACTTGAGCAATTAACCTAAACTGTACACTCTGCATTTCCTCATCTTTAGCATGGAGATAATAACACCTATTTTATATAATTAAATGAAATAATCTAAATAAATAATTCGATCTTGAAATGTATGTAACATCTGCATTGTTTATTCCTGTAACCTGATATTTTAATTTGAGACAATGATTTTATACTATATTAGCGGGTTTTTTTGTTGTTGTGGTTTTGTTGTTGTTGTTGTTGTTGCTGTTGTTTTTGAAATGGACTCTCGCTCTGTCTCCCTGGCTGGAGTGCAGGGACACGATCTCAGCTCACAGCAACCTCTGCCTCCCGGGTTCAAGCGATTCTCCTGCCTCAGCCTCCCGAGTAGCTGGAACTACAGGCACCTGCCACCAAGCTGAGCTAATTTTGTGTATTTTTAGTAGAGACGGGGTTTCACCGTGTTAGCCAGGATGGTCTTGATCCCCTGACCTCGTGATCCACCCTCCTCAGCCTCCCAGAGTGCTGGGATAACAGGCATGAGCCACCGCGTCCAGCCTATATTAGCTTTTAAATATTCCATGTGAATGAAAATGTTCACCTTTTATGACATTTTAGAGAACATATGGCAATTATATACTTCATTTCCACAAGTATAAATGGAATGGAGTTTCTTTTTTGGGAAAACTAAGAATGTGACTACTAAGGATGTGAAAGCTTATCTTCCTGAATGGATAAGAGGGTGTGTGCACATGTGCATGTGTGTGCTAGAGTGTGTCTGTGTGTGTGTAAGGTGGATGGGAGAATGAAATAATTCTATAATTTAAACAAAATTATGCTTCATTAAGTACAGAACCATGATATTATTAACTTTTCCTTTTGAAAAGATAAAAAGTAAAAGAAAATATATACTATAATTATAATATGTATAATTATCTTAATTAAAATTGTTAGCACATTTTAAACTCTATTAATGTGGCATTATAATATTATGTATAATACTCTCTACCTCTCCAGTAATTGGATGGTCAAAGTCAGAGCAACAGTAATATGAAATACATGTCCATTTATGTGTAAATGTAGAATGGAAGCATCAAAGCTGCCTGCTAAAGGTAGAAGGCAGCCCCTCTTAGGGAAACACACACTTTTCCCTCCAAGAAGCTTATAGAACAAAGCTATAACAATAGTATCCCAAATCTGTGATGGCCTTTCTTTCCCCAATACCTCCTTCCCCAGTTAGCTGACATTAATAAGGCATGGACACTTGAATAGGACAATGGTGTAAGAGGGTCTGAGCAGGATACTTAGATGTGATTTCTCTCTCTCTCTCTCTTCTTCTTTTTCTTTTTTTGAGATGGATTCTCGCTCTGTTGCCCAGGCTGGAGTGCAGTGGCATGATCTCAGCTCACTGCAAGCTCTGCCTCCCGGGTTCACGCCATTCTCCTGCCTCAGCCTCCCGAGTGGCTGGGACTACAGGCGCCCGCCACCACACCTGGCTAATTTTTTGTATTTTTAGTAGAGACGGGGTTTCACCGTGTTAGCCAGGATGGTCTCGATCTCCTGACCTCGTGATCCGCCCTCCTCGGCCTCCCAAAGTGCTTTGATTACAGGCGTGAGCCACCACGCCCGGCCCTTCTCTTTTTATCTTGAACTTGTAGTCATGTCTTTATATAGCACTGAATGGAGTATGCATTTGGAGCAGAGGCTTTGGATCAGTCTACCTGGATTCCAGAAACATTTCTGCCACAGGTTAGCTGAATTAGCCTGAGCAAGTTGCCTGACATCCCTAAGCCTTTGTTTCCTTATTTGTATATGGTGAATGATACTTTATTATACATATGATTATTATTTTTCATATGTGAAAATAACTAAGATAAATGTGTTTATTATAGTGTCTTGTGACTTATAAATGATCACTAATGATAATTATAATTTTACTCTTATAGTTCACTTTCTGCTCTTCTCAATATCTAGTAATAATGCAGAAAACTCGTGAGCCAATCGGTAAACGAATGGCAGCGTAAGGTTTTCCATTTTCTTGAGCTAAAAATACACACCAGTACTCTAAGGACATTGCTGAAATAGATTTTACCCGAAGAGTCAATGACTGATGGACCACACATTCAGAGGAGACTTGTTAAGGGGCAGATGCCATAATATACTGCCTATTTGAATGACTGCAAAATAAGTTGTATACTTCTAATACAGTTATTAAGTGAAATACACTCAGATATTTAAATATGTTTATTGCATTAACATAGTTTGCTTCTATTATAAAAAGAGGAAAACTTTTTAATTTTTATTTTATTGAGATAAAATATATCATGAGTATAATCTGGACTGGAGTATATGATTATTAATATTGGCATATTAATTTTATTAAAACAGTTTAAATATTAAAAGAAAATAAGTCATTTGCAAATTAGAAGAAATAATCAGAATGAGTCTTTAGTTATACAAATGTAAATTAATACCCATTCATTCATCTTGGAAATACCCAAGATATTGATAAAGTTATATGCATGCAATACTTCAGTCTTCTCATTGAAAAGGGATCATCATGTAATTTCCTTTGCTGGCTGGTGCAAGATTTTGGCTGGTGCAAGATTTTGGAGTCAAAGGCATTAGAGAATGTCCTCAATACCATCTGCAACTTAACAGTGCTAGGATGCAAGTGGTCAAATACAGGTATAATATGTATAACAGTATAGTAATTTGTTTTTTCATTGCTATAAAGATACTACTGGAGACTGCGTAATTTATTAATAAAACAAGTTTAATTGACTCACAGTTCTGCATGGCTGCAGAGGCCTCAGGAAACTTACAATTATGGCAGAAAGTGAAGGAGTAGCAAGGTGCATCTTACATGTTGGCAGGAGAGACAGAGCAAGAGAGCAAGAGCGAGGAAGTGCTACACTTTTAAACCATCAGATCTCGTGAGAACTCACTCACTATCATGAGAACATCATGAGGTAAACACCCCCCATGATCCAATCACTTCCCACCAGGTCCCTCCCTCAACTCGTGGAGATTACCTACTAAACAGTTTTGAAAATATTGTCAGTGTATTTCTCATTCTTCTTAAATTATGATGAAAGACTGCATAGTATAATGTTCAGAGCAAGAAATCTGGAGCCACCACATTGCTGCCTAGGCTTGAACTCAGATTCTATCACTTAATGAGTATGGGAATTTGAATAAGGTACTTTATCTCACTGTCTAGACTTAGCTTTAAAATGTAGGGCCGGGCACAGTGACTCACGGCTGTTATCACAGCAGTTCGGGAGGCTGAGGCAGGTGGATCATGAGGTCAGAAGATCAAGACCATCCTGGCTAACACGGTGAAACCCCGTCTCTACTAAAAATACAAAAAATTAGCCAGGCATTGGAGCACGCACCTGTAGTCCCAGCTACTCGGGAGGCTGAGGCAGAAGAATTGCTTGAACCCTGGAGGCAGAGGTTGCAGTGAGCCGGGGTCCTACCACTGCACTCCAGCCTGTGCGTCAGAGTGAGATTCTGTCTAAATATGTATGTATATATATTTTTAGTAGTACCTCCTTTATTAGATTGTTATAAGAATTAATTGATTTAATCAATTTGTTCTTAGAATAGTGCTTGGCATATGAGATTAAGCTCTATATAAGTATTTATAATGCAGATGCTATTCATGCTGCCCAGCCATCCCCACTTGGGAATCAATGGATTTCATTGCTTCAGAAGCTGGGGAGGTATTATTTAGAACAGTCAGCCGTTGCTCAGATCTGACTCTGAAATTAGTTTGGTGAGTGAATTGGTGGAATGGTACCCTTGAATCCTAACAGTTAAATATAATTTTTAAGAAGTATATAGCCAACATTTTTTCACATCAAAAGAAAGGTAAGAAATTTTATTTCAGGCTAAAAAAAGAACACTGAATAAAACATAAGAGAGGTTCTCACCAAATGGAGGATGCATAGTGCACTTCCTGTGATGATTGGAAGAGTGGGGGACAAAAATCTAAAGAGAAAGGCTAAACCTTTTAACAGCTACAATCAGCACTATTAAGATTCTTCTTTTACAGGTGATGAAATGGAGGTTTAAAGATGTTAATAGGTGGCTGCAATGATTCTGGAACCTAGGTTCTTCTAATTTTAAACACAATGCTTCTAATTTTTATTTCCTTCTATCAAAGTTTTTATTATATATGTTGGTTAATGAAGTTTAAGCTATGAAGAGAGATCTCTCTTTAATTTGCATTCTTTCATCCTTACACAAATAACCAGGCCTTTCTTGTGTGTGATTTGCTAACCTATACTAACAACTTAGTTTTGCAGATATTTCTAAGTGGAAGATTGTATCTCTCGAAAGCATAGTCACACTTATTTTCCCTATGTCCTACCCCTTTGAGGCTCCTTTTTGAAATATTTAGCTTGTATGGGTATGGCTCTAAATAGATACATTTTTAAAACAAGAACTTCATTTTTACTTTCTCATTATTAGGCAAGACAGTGCCAATTCTAATGTGAGGAATCACGCTAATAGTTCATTACAGGCAAGACATTATGAATGGATAATAATGTAATGTAATGTTCAATACATTATGAATGGATATTTTACACATCAAGTTTTGGACTTTTCTGGTTTTCATTTTCAATTCTTTCTACCATGAGTCATTTCCAGTATCATTAAACTTAAAATTATATTAAAATATAATTCAATTATTACACTATATTCCCTATACACACACATACATTTATACATGTACATGTGCTATACATGCATACATTTGCACACAAACACTCAATAGAAGAAATTATATAGTGGATAGTCAAATTTTTAGTTGTTCTATCATAGAAAATTCCATTGCTGTTGGTAAAATTGAAAACACTATCATTACCTTATGTTTTCTGAGACTTGTTAATTTTTTTTATTTAAATGGAGCACTTACATGCTAACATAATATTAAAACTCCAACTTCCATAATTTTATGTTAAATGACAATAATAATAATATTGCTTCATAGATGTCAAAATATTTAATATTTAATAGTGTTTTATTTAATGCACCCTGTCTGTATGATGTGAAATATGTGAAATCCATAAAGTTTTGATACAAATAGAAACTTTTTTTAGTCTTAAAACATTCATTAACTAAGTAATATAATAAAATTAAGAATAATTTACATTCAAGCAAACAGTACAGGCAAAGAAAGAGTTGCAAAACAAATCTCAGAAAACAGCTGATTTTCTAATTCTACTTGCATCTCTTTTGTGTCTGTGCTCAAAAAGCCCATATTATTCTGATGTTCGTGCAGATTACTTTCTGCCCATTCTACATCTTTCTTCCTCCACTATACAACAAAATGAATAGGTGATGGCTCTCAGCACTTGACACTGGTGGGAAAGATTAGCAGGAATGTTGACTATGACATATCAGATATATTAAGCCCTTGCTGGAGGGATGCAGTGCAGAAAAAAACTTGTTTGTCACAGTAACCCAGATACTCTATGTTTTTTTTCCAAAATAAAATACAACAATTTCAGAAGAGTATATTGAAATGGAAACTAATTGCCAGTACAATTGAATTTTAAATTATTCCACAATATCTTTATTGAATTGTGTCACATTAGCCAGAATATTGACCCATGTTATGTTATAAAAAGGAAATAGAAATTTTATGATTCTTTTTAAATTGAGAGTTAGCATAGGCATGAAAATTGATTTTAAAATGTCATTTATTTGACACAGAAGTTGCATGTTGGCCATAAGATTTAGTCTACAGCACATTCTTACAACCAGAGATTTTGGTTTGCTTGTGTTTTTATAAGCTGTAGCAAGCTTTAAGATGTCAAGGGTTGAAAAATGATATTTTTCCAAATGCATGACTGTTTCAGTGATACTGATGTTCTTTTAACTGATCTGTGAGTAAATTTTGAAAATAAATTGGTTTCTCATAAGTTATATTTTTAATAATTAAGGCAACAATCCAGGACTTCTTATAGTTCCAAGGTTTTGAACAGCGGCTATATATCTGCTGACAGAATTTTGTACTTCAGTTAATCTTGTGTTTAAGCTAGGGTGAGAGAAGGAGTAAAGAAGGATAGGAATGGTTGAAGGGCAGATTTGAGTAAAAAGGTTTTGGGATGGTTGAATATTTCATATTAATGCTATCTCCATTTTTTTAGAGTTGTGGGTCCCCCTTGATTTTCATCATTCTGTCAATCTGTATCATTCTGTCTTATCTTTGGATAAAACTCCATTTCTAAGCCTCAATTCAAGGAAAACATATTTTGTAACAAACCACTAGTAAGTAACCTAGTTTCTCTGCCTAAACTGGTTTTGTCATACATTTAAGTAATTGAGAATAACTCTTCAGAATGACTTACAAATTAAGACTTACAATTTCTGCTTATACTTCAAATTTATGTACTTTTTTATTTCCTTGATCATATACCAGATATAACATACGCATGATATGTGGGACTTATATTTTTCTCTTTATATTTTACATTTGGTTTTTAATCCAAGGTTTTGTTTGTTTGAGATGGAGTCTCTCTCTTGTCGCCCAGGCTGGAGTGCAGTGGCGCAATCTCGGCTCACTGCAATTTCCGCCTCCTGGGTTTAAGCGATTCTCCTGCCTCAGCCTCCCTGAGTGACTTGGATAATAAGCGCCTGCCACCATGCCTGGCAAACTTTTGTATTTTTAGTAGAGACGGGGTTTCTCTAGGCTAGTTGGCAAGGCTAGTCTTGAACTGCTGACCTCAATTGATCCCCCTGCCTCGGCCTCCCAAAGTGCTGGGACTACAGGCGTGAGCCATGGCGCCAGGCCAATCCAAGGTCTTTTAACAAGCATAGGCTGCTTGGCAAATCATTAAATAGGGTTATTTGGGAAAAAATATATTTCTGGAAAAAGAGATTTTTGACAACCAAAGGTATGAGCTTCAGTTCAATCAATCAATATGTAAAGAATAATGAATTTGATGAATGTACCATGGGCCTAACTTCTGGAAATCTAAATGTCACTTTACCAGCAAGGGGTAGAACAATTATCCGAACCATAGGTATAGCCTAAACACTTTTTTTGTGTAATTGATTATCTGATCATTAATGCTGTTACATAGAAATGCTCAATTTTACTTCTGCCATGTAGAGACATTCAAAAGTCAGCAAAAGTCAGGACAAAGAAGACCCAAGTTTAAAGGTGTATATTCTACTTTCCAGAGAAGATACTCAAATTCCTACTGACATTAAATTTTGTTTGGTTCACAATGTCTCACTATATTTTATTACTATAAAAGGAGTTTTGAAATGTGAACCAATTTGAAAGGATGTGCAGCATAACTTCTATGATTCAGATTTTACCAGAAAAAGTATATATATACACATGTATATGTATGTATATATACACATATACACGTATGTATATATACACATATACATGTATGTATATATATACACATATATATGTATATACATATGTGTGTATGTATACATACACACACACACATATATATGTGTGTGTGTATATATATATATATATATGTCAGGTAAATATTTATTCTTGATTTTTTATGGCCAAACTGTTCAAGTAGCAGGCTATATGGAACTGGATATATTTCTAAATTAAAATTGTTTCAAACTATAATATTAGGAATCTTGGAATGCAAGTTGTTATACATCTCAAAGCAAAATGTGGTTCTTAAAGTATTATGAATTTTTCTACGGTTTATTTCTTATGGAGATGAACTGGTAGTATTTGCAATTCATCTCAGCAATGACTTCATATTATGAGCTGCTAAGAGGTGGCCCAGCCTATTTTATGGTACTGTAAATATTGCGAATTTAGAGAACCAATGAATAGTCTTGCTACCTATGCATTAGCTTAAACAGTAAACACTTGTAAAATGCAGTTTTAATTTTTTTTTAATTTTCTTTTTGAGACAGGATCTTGCTTTGTAGTCCAGACTGCAGTGTAGTGGCACAATCATAGTTCACTGCAGGTTTTAACCTCTGGGCTCAAGTGATCCTCCCACTCCCGCCTCGAGAGTAACTGGGACTGCGGGCACATGCCACCATGCTCCGCTAATTTTTAAAAATCGTTCTTAGAGACAAAAGTTTTCACCATGTTGCCAAGGGTGGTCTCAAACTCCTGGGGTCAAGCAATTCCCCCACCCCACCCTCCCAAAGTGCTGGGATTATGAGTATAAGCCACCACACCAGGCCTGTAAAATGCATTTTTTTCCAAGTCTACATGAATAACTCAGAGTTTCAGAATCCTACTTAAAATGGTTAACTTTTAAAAAAAAAATTATGGTCTTTATTGCAATTCCTAAACTATGGGAAAGACAGTCATATTTAAGCTAAGTTTAAGTAGTGTTTTTTCCTATCTCTGTTTTCCTCACCTTTGCTGCTGCACTTAACACATAACATACAAAGTAATTTCTACCCATGCTTTTTTCTATGCCCTGATACAACTCTCTTAATACATAGGGTCAATATTAGCCTTCCTTCTCCAGTACCATGAAACACACCCTTCACATTATCACAAACACATTGAGTCCTTGAGTGTTTAGGTCTCATTTTTCTTTCATTACCATCCACTACAAGAAAACTTCATGAAGTGAAATGGCCTTGTCCATTCATCTCCACTTGAGTACCAAAATATTACTATCCATTGCTCTATTTTTACTTCTTTTTTACTCCCTTCAGAAGATTTGTGTAAGACTAAAGTGTCATGCTTTTATTCTTCTGGTCCCCTTTCAGAATTCAGAATAGGCCTCTTAATTTATTCCTTGATCTAGGAAGCTGGAAAACTCACTGAGTTGCAAAACTGGTAATGTTAATTTGTATAATTTTCAAATTTAAATTATCTATGTGATATATATTTATATATAATTTAAAATTTATGTATGTATGGATATATGTACATATATATGTATGTATATCTCAAAGAGGCTGAAATAAAACTCAGTTTCTTTGTTCATTTTTAATATGACTGGTTCAAGTCCTTGGAATTAGGGTTTTGGATAAAGGACTTTGAGCAGAAATTTTTAACAGATCTGTAAGATTGAAGAAATTATCTTAATTTAGGTATAAGAAATCCTAAAATTTTATTAAATTCTACATTAATAACCTCATATTTCAGTAATAATTTTATAACAGATCATGAAATTTTAAAAGTTGGAGGGAGAAATAATGTTATATTTTTTCCCTCATGAATGCATTTGATTGAAACACACTATATAGATGAAATTTTGGAAAAGGTTTTGTTTTGCTGTTCTGTAACGTCTTTTGCAATAACCATAATAACTCTTTAACCTAGAGAAAGGTCTGAAAGTTGTGAGTGAAACAAAAATATGAGCATTTTTTCTAGGAAATAATTTCAGCAGAATATTTGACCTCAACTTTCTACTGTTATTTTTACAGTGACCTAAGTGATTTCTTGGCAGAGTCCAATCAACTTTTTTCAATTTTCTTTCCTTCCCTAGCTAGTTATATTTGCAATTTCTTTAATACTCTTTCTTCCTTCTACACACATGATGCTTTACTCTTTTTAAACTTTGTTTCTCCTTATTGGTACTCCTTGTAATCAGTTGCTGATGAGCTCAGTTCTTTGCAATATTCTCTAAATATGCATTTATACTTTCACTTATTCACTTTTTCAACAAAAATGAATACTTATTCATTACATTTATTTATTTATTTATTTATTTATTTATTTATTTATTGAGATGGAGTCTTGCTCTGTTGCCCAGGCTAGAGTGCAGTGGCACGATCTTGGCTCACTGCAAACTCCGCCTCCCGGTTGAAGAGATTCTCCTGCGCCAGCCTCCTGAGTAGCTGAGATTACAGGCATGCTCCACCATGCCTGTATTTTTGGTAGAGATGGAGTTTCACCATGTTAGCCAGGCTGGTCTCAAACTCCTGACCTCAAGGGATTTGCACATCTCGGCCTCCCAAAGTGTTGGGATTATAGGCATGAGCCACTGTGCCCAGCCCCTATTACCTCTTATGTGTTAAAAACTCAGGCCATCCATCAACCACTCTAGCATAACCCAGACTTATGTTTATATGAATGATTCACAAATCATATGCTCTGATCATTCAATCTACCTACAGTTAGTCATGAGCAGCATTTGAAATGAGAAAATTAAGATTGTAGAATATTTTATCAATAGCCCTTCTAAATGGCTTTTATTTTTCAATAGCTAAAAAAAGTTTGTGCAAAGAATGTACATTCTTTGAATACGTATTTACAAAATTTATTCAAATAATATACTTATTAACCATAAAGGTTTTGGAATGTGATAGGACTCTAGTCTTGTCTCCACCATTTCTTAGTTGTATAATGTTGGGCAAGAAACTCAGTTTATAAGCAACAGTTTTTTCATTTGCAAATGAGCATAATAATTACAGCTACTTTGTAGTTTTGCTTGTTTTTTGGCTTTTGATAATTAAATTAGATAGTCTATGTAAAGTATGTGATAAAATAAGCACTAATTAAATCCTAGGTCTTATTATTATCATCATTATCACCATTAATATTCTTATTAAAAGAAAGTATCTCTCCTTCATCCATGAAATATACATAATGCATGGTGGAAATAAAATTTCATATTGCAAATACTGCCTATAAATATATCTCATTCAAAGAATGTAAACATGCAAAAATTTAAATATTAAGCCAACCATTTATGTCAAGCATTTATAAGTCAAAAATATATACAGGTACCCACATTCACAGTCAGGGTGAATGTTTAATTCTAATATATTTTGTTCAATTTACATAAATTCTAATTTAATTAAATTACTAATACTAAAGCAGATAAATAGGATTATTAGTTGTATATGCTTTGTTTGGGGTAGAAAATGCAAATAAACTTCCATCAATAGATTTTTCAACATTTAAGCAGATAACATGATTACTTACGTTTTTACTTTATTTTAACAAGGTATACTTTAGCCTTAAAGATTATTGAAAATTTAAGCTCTTTCAACACTGAAGAACACTGTGGTCATTCTATTGGTCATTGTGGTCATGTTATTTAATATAAAACATTAAAATATTTTAAGATAGGAATGTGCAAACAATTGTTCAATCCACTTATCTATATTCTTATCATATATCTCATAAACCAACCAATTTTGAAAAAAAAATATTCAACTATTTAGTTGTCTCTGCATTCTAACAACCAGTTGACCGATGCAGACTGTTGGTGATAATTTTTATTGGATGTATTAGTTTCCTAGTGCTGTTGTAACAACATACCATAAATTAGATGGCTTAAAAAAATAGAAATGTATTGTCTCATGGTTCTGGAGGCAAAAAAAGTCTGAAATCAAAGTGGTGGCGGGCCATGTTTCTTTTGAAACCTGTAGGAAATAATCTTTCCTTGCTTTTTCTGACTTCTGGATTCATATTAATTTAAGGCCCAGTCCAATGATATCATCTTAACTTGATTATATCTGCAATGAAGACCCTAATGCCAAATGAAGTTACAGCTGTAGATACCAAAGGTTAAGATGTCAACATATCTTCTGAGTGACATGATTCAACTCATAATATTGAGCATGTTGTATCTTGTTTAGTCCTTTTCCTAATTTTTCACAACTTCTTCCTGGCTACACTTCCTTATGTGCTCATCCAAAACCCATGAGATCTATATCAAGTGCCATTTACATGATACTCCTACTTCTTTGTTCCTGTTATTCTGCAGGGTCTAATCTAGTTACTCTCTTGCACCTTAACCTGGCCAAATGTGAGCATTTAGTCTAGAAACATTTTTGAAACTAATAAGATTGCTGCCAATATCCAGGTGTAGTGTCAATCCTCAACTGGGTAACCAGTGCCTCTGGTCAATATTTCTTAATGTCACAGCTATTCAGTCTTCTGTTTTGTATGACAGTCATTTAAAAATCTCCAGCATTCTCTCTAAAAGTCCTTTACCAATTTAATATAAGCCTGATTCATAATTAAATCAAATACTGATTTATAAAGAAAAATTTTTATCTCAGAATGTAAATTTTTCCATCCCACAGTTAATTTATCCTGAAAAGCTTATCACATTTTTTCCATCTCAGCCAGAAGACATGATCCTTCACTTGAATAAAAAATACTTCCAACAGGTTTGGCATATTGTCTACTCTTTCTTAGCTATCTTGACTTAGTTAACTAATATTTCTTCTTTTGATCCATTTTCAATCTCTGTCTCTATTAGATTTTTGGTCTATTATATACAAATGTGTACATATATCCCTCTATACACAAATGTTCGAAATGTATTTTATATAAGCCTATTTTCCCCTCTAAATAGCATTTCATGACATTCTCTTTCTAGGCTAACCATTCTTTTTAGAGTCATCCTCACCTGGTTATATTTCCTGAAATCTTTTTTGTGTAATTAGAGTTTTTCCTCCAGTAATCCATTGAAATTGCCATGTCAAAGATTGCTAATGATCAACATTTGCTACAGTTGAACACAAATTAAAATAGGTTTTGTATTTGTTGTATGGACATACCCATTATTCTGACATATTGTTAGTTTTCTTTTAACCTTTCCAAATGTTCTTTCTTAGAGTCCTATGAAGTCCTCTCTGAATTCTCCTTGATAGATTCCCTATTTCAAGGTTTTGTATCTTCATTGATCCTCTCCACAATCATGCCAGGATGATCTTTCTAAAATTCAAATACTGGGATATCATTCTCTGGCTTTAAAAATATTTAATTATTTATGATGAATCCATTGTGCATAGGAAAAAATAAATCCTCAAACTTAGATTGACTTCAAAGTCCTAACAATACAGACTGCATCTACTACACTAAACTCTTGTTCCATCACTTTTTCATATATCCATGATACTCCTGTGTATTCATATGCCCACTGACTATCTCTTCTCTCAATTATTATCCCCTCCTCTTACAGGTACCATGTTGTAATTATCTTTGTATGTTAGTTATTAACATAGGGTCTAGCATACCATTATTATTAATAAATGTAGAATGCATGAGAGTTGAGGAAATAAAGTCTTATATCCATGTCATTCCAGGCCTTATTGCAATTTTGCTACAATTAGAACACCTGTAATTGACTTAACTCTTCTCTGTAATTCAGGTTTGCTGATGTACAGAGGTAATTCTCTTTTGATAGACAATCAGAATAAACAAGTCCAGGAGAGACTTGAGGTCCCGGTGTCACCTTGCCTCTCATTCATTCCTTTCTACCCCTATAATTTTCCCATAGATTATCTGCTGCTGCTAGAATAGGGGTGGAAAGTTTAAAAAGGAGAGGTTTGTCTAGTATCACCAGTTGAAACTCAAGATGCATCTTTCCATAGATCATTGTTATAGATGCTTATTGCTGTAGTACAAATAGTGCTCAGTCACACATTGAGTTAAACTTGTTTTGCAGGGAGAAAGGACATTGGTCTATAAAATGAACTATCATTAATAACATGGAATGCAGCAGCATAAAATAGCTGCTACTTCTACTGATGAAATTAGGGAAATGTCAGTTCAAAAAAAGTGGCTTGAATTAATAAGCAGTTCTTCCCATTCGGTTCAAAATGAAACAGCCCTGTAACAAGTACACTTGTAGCAAAATATCTAATCTCCTTTTGAGCAGTCAGCCATTAAGGTACACTAGTTAGAAAAACAAGAAAAGACACAATGATTAAGATTATAGATCTTCAACATGAAGTGAATTTATTTTGGCTCTAAAAAAGTAACTAACGATTGTTTTAAAACACCTACAGGTAGGAAATCATGTTGTAGATTTTAAAAATGGGATTTTTCTGACAACTCATATATTGTCTAAATCAATAAAAAGTAACCAATATGTGCCCTGCATTTTATAAAGGAGGCTCTTGGACTTGAAATTGTTCTTATGAGAATAGGATTAACTTGCTACATTTTGCTGATCACACATAATATTGTAAACACTATTTCCGTGAGGAGAATAATTAAAAAACAAAAATGTATTTTTCTTTACACTGTATTGACTAATGCCGATGACTTTCTGGTTTGAGAACTTGTTTAACATTAATTAAAATCCATTCTTAGAATCTTTATGTTTCTGTATTTTTTTCTTCAGGTTTAATTTCCCACAATAGTCAATTTAGTTCAAGATTTTTATCCTTAATATGAATTTAGATGAATAAAAACTATCAAATGAATTTTAATTTTACCTTTTTATATCTTTCTTCTCAACTCTTTATTCAAGTTGCTTTTCATGTACTTGCAGAAAAAAAAAACTTGCTGTAAGCATTTTTCTGGAGCAATTTCTTCCTTGAAATGCTTCTTGTTCTAGGCAGTCAAAACTTGGTTTTAACTATATGTTATGTGCTGACAATTCTGGTTACTTAAAAAATAGTTACTGAACAAAACAATTCTCTCTTCTCTTCCTGCTTCTCTTTCCCTATCCCTACTTCTGCTCTCCCTCCAACCCCTTATCATTACACTAACATGTCCAAACTCCCACGGTTAAATCCAGCCCTGGTTTTAAGTATGCCAATACTTGGGAAGCTAAAGATGGCAAAATAAAACCGCACACACTTGCTGACCAGTTTTAAGTTCAGCTCATAAGCAATAATTTAGGCAGACCCCCTAGTGTAACACTACCATTCTACTTTATTCCCCCCGAAAAATTACTCTAACAAATCTTTGACTTTGTAACATCTCTGCTCTGCGCAAATTTCCAACACTTCCCATGTCTTCAGATTCTCAGCTGCCTCTTCCTTTTCTATTTCAGCAACAAAATCTCTCAGAAGAAAACTTCCACACAGGTCCAATCTACCATTCATATATCTTGAGCAACAGATCTTGTCCCTTCTCACCTAATTTAGTAACATGAGTATCAATTTGTCATTGGCAAACTTATGATTCTAGCTCTGTATACTCTCCTGAGTTTCAAAGTCCCATATTCAGTTTATTAGGCATCTTACCTTAAGGCTCAACATCTTGTTTCATTCATTTTCCTCTGAACAAGCTTCTTTGCCTCCTATTAGCTATTCACTTAGATTTTTAGCTGAAACCCAGAAGAGCGAAGTCATCTATCCCTCTTCTCTTTCTCGATAGTACTTCCCACATTAATTTTTCTTCTATCTGTGAAATGTCTACAGCTGGTCCATTTTCCCTCCATTCTTATTCTAAGTACTGTTTTTCAGTATACAAAAGTCAATTTTATTTTTATTTATCAGACACACAATTTAACATAAAATTTTGTTTAATTGGAAAAAAGAGGTTAAAAATCACGGTTTACTTGCAATCACAAAACCCAAATACCTTGGAATATATATTAAAAAATACAGCCTTACATGGCCAGAGCAGGAGGAAGAGAGTGAAGGGGGAGGTACTACAAACTTTTAATCAACCAGATAACTCACTCTTATAACTTGTGATAACTCACTCACTATCGTGAGAACCTCAAGGAGGAAGTCCACCCTGATGATCCAATCACCTTCCACCAGGCCCCTTCTCTAACACTGAGGATTAAAATTCATACATGAGATTTGGGTAGGGACACAAATACAAACTGTATAATTTGGTCCATGGTCCCTCTCAAATCTCATGTTCTTCTCAAATTGCAAAATACAATTGTCCCTTCTAAACAGTCCCCTAAAGTCTTAATTTCTTTCAGCATTAACTCAGAAGTCTGCAATCCAAAGTTGTACCTGAGACAAGGCAAGTCCCTTCCACCTATGATCTTGTAAAATCAAAATAATTTAGTTACTTCCAAGATACAATGTGGGTACAGGCATTGGTTAAATACTCCCATTCCAAAAAAGAAAAATCAGCCAAAACAAAGGGGCTACAGGCCCTGTGCAAATCCAAAACTCAATAGGGCAATTATTAAATCTCAAAGCTCCAAAATAATCTCCTTTGACTCCATGTCTAACATCCAGGCCACACTGAACCAAGAGTTGGGCTCCCAAAACTTTGGGCATCTCTGTCTCTTTGGTTCTACATGGCTCAGCCCCTATGGCTGCTCTCAAGGGCTAACATTGAGTGCCTGCAGCTTTTCCAGGTGCATGGTGCAAGCTGCTGGTGGAAATACCATTCTGGTGTCTGAAGGATTGTGGCCCTCTTCTCACAGCTCCCCTAGGAAGTGCCCCAGTGGGGAATCTGTGGGGGGCCTCCAACCCCACGTTTTCCCTCTGCACTGCCCTGGTAGAGGTTCTCCATGAGGGCTACAACCCTGCTACAAGCTTCTGACTAGACATCCAGGTGTTTCCATACATAGATACATCTTCTGACATCTAGGTGGAGGCTCCTAAGCCTTAACTCTCGTCCTCTGTGCACCTGCAGGCTTAACACCATGTGGAAGCCACCAGGCCTTAGGACTGGCACTCTTTGGAGCAGTGGCCTGAGAAATTTTGGGGCCCCTGTTAGCCATGGCTAGAGTTGGAGCAGCTGAGATGCAGGGAGCGGTGTCCCAAGGTTGTACAGAGTAGTGAGGCCCTGAGTCTGGCCTGAAAAACCATTCTTCAATCCTAGTCCTCCGGGCCTATGATGGGAGGGTCTGGTGTGAAGACCTCTGAGGCCCTTTACCCATTGCCTTGGCTACTAACATTTAGCTCCTCTTTACTTATATAGATTTCTGCAGCCAATTTTAATTCCTCTCCAGAAAATGGGGTTTTCTTTTCTACTACATGGCCAGGCTGCAATTTTTCCACACTTTTATAGTCTGCTTCCCTTTTAAATATAATTTCTAGGTCCAATTCATTTCTTTGCTAAAAAATATAAGCATAGGCTACTACAAGTAGCCAGGATATATCTTGAATGTTTTGTTGCTTAGAAATTTCTTACACCAGATAACCTAAATCATCTCTCTAAATTTCAAAGTTCCACAAACCCCTAGTTCAGAGGCACAATGCTGCCAAGCTCTTTGCAAAATCGTAGTAAGAGTTGTCTTTACTCCAGTTTTCAATAAGTTTCTCATTTTCAACTGAGACCACCTCAGAATGCTTCACTATCCATATCACTATCAGCATTTTGGTCACGATTATTTAATAAGTATCTAGGAATTTCCAAACTTTCCCTCATTTTCTTGTCTTCTTCTTAGTCCTCCAAACTGTTCCAACCTCTGTCCATTACCCAGTACCAAAGTTGCTTACACGTTTTAAGGTATCTTTATAACAAAACTTCACTCCCACTACCTTTTTTTGTATTAGTCCATTCTCACATTGCTATTTTTACACCAACATAATATAAGGAACTACTTGATACTAGGTAATTTATAAATAAAAGAAGTTTAATTAGCTAACAGTTCCACAGGCTACACAGAAGCATGGCTGGGGAAGCCTCAGGAAACTTACAATTATGGCAGAAGGTAAAGTGGATGCTGACACATCTTACATGGCCAGAGCAGAGGAGGAGAGCAAAGTGGGAGGTGCTACACACTTTTAAACAACCAGGTGTTGTGGGAAGTCAGGGACCCCGAATGGAGGGACCAACTGGAGCCACAGCAGAGGAACATAAATTGTGAATATTTCATGGACATTTATCAGTTTCCAAAATTAATACTTTTATAATTTCTTACGCCTGTCTTTACTGCAATGTCTGAACATAAATTGTGAAGATTTCCTGGACATTTATCAGTTCCCAAAATTAATACTCTCATAATTTCTTATGCCTGTCTTTACTTTAATCTCTTAGTCCTGTTATCTTCGTAAGCTGAGAATGTACGTCACCTCAGGACCACTATTTTACAAATTGATTGTAAAACATGTGTGTTTGAACAATATGAAATCAGTGCACCTTGAAAACGAACAGAATAACAGCGATTTTAGGGAACAAGGGAAGACAACCAAAGGTCTGACCGCCTGTGTGGTCGGGCAGAATAGAGCCATATTTTTTCTTATTGCAGAGAGGCTATAAATGGATGTGCAATTAGGAGAGATATCGCTTAATTCTTTTCCCAGCAAGGAATATTAATAATTAATACCCTGCGGAAGGAATGCATTCCTAGGGGGTGGTCTATAAATGGCCGCTCTGGGAGTGTCTGTCTTATGCGGTTGAGATAAGAACTGAATTATGCCCTGGTCTCCTGCAGTACCCTCAGGCTTATTAGGGTAGGGAAAAGATCCTGCCCTGGTAAATGTGAATTCAGACCAGTTCTCTGCTCTCAAACCCTGTTTTCAGTTGTTTAAGATGTTTATCAAGACAATACGTGCACAGCCGAACATAGTCCCTCATCAGTAATTCTAATTTTGCCCTTTGCCTTGTGATCTTTGCTTTGCCCTTTGCCTTGTGATCTTTATTGCCCTTTAAAGCATGTGATCTTTGTGACCTACTCCCTGTTCGTACACCCCCTCCGCCTTTAAAGTCCTTAATAAAAACCTGCTGGTTTTGCGGCTCAGGCAGACATCACAGACCTACTGATATGAGATGTCACCCCTGGAGGCCCAGCTGTAAAATTCCTCTCTTTGTATTCTTTCTCTTTATTTCTCAGATCGGCCAACACTTAGGGAAAATCGAAATACCTACATTGAAAAATTGGGGGCTGGTTCTCCTGATAACCAGGCTGTGTGATAACTCAATATCATGAGAATAGCAAAGGAGAAGTCCACCTCCATGATCCAATCACCTGTCACCAGGCCCCTCCTCCAACACTGGGGATTACAATTCAGACATGAGATTTGGGTGGGGGCACAATTCTAAACCATACCAGAAATAATTATCCTTGGCTACAAAGATCAATAATCAGGGTAATTCCATTTTGACATTGAACAGGTAGTTGCTGGGCTGAAGTCCTTGTAGAAGTAATTTTTCTGTAAGGTTGTGATGTCTTTTGTGCAAACTTTTTTTTTGCAGTCCTTTGTAATAGTTTTTGTTAACAAGCATACAAAGATGAAAATGCACACTTCATGGCCTTCTGTGTCTCCAATTGCCACAGGTTTTTGATTGTTTGTTTTTAATATTAGTGACTACATTTTGAATCTGAAAACTTTCACAGCTTCTATAAATGCCAATGCATTATCATTACGCTCTTGGCATTGAATTCTTTCAGTGCTTTAATTGTGGAATACTATTATTCTTCTTATTATTACTATTTTCAGCACCTATTACCATTCCTAAAACATATCATTTATTTGATAAAATTTGGTTGGCCCAATGAATAAACCTGTAGTTACTTTGTATTAGTATTTTCATTAACTAATTTCTAGATATAAAGTAGCTAAATAGAATGAGTACTGTTGAATTTAGAGTTCTTCACAGAGAAGTGTAATAAAGTAGATTAATTTTCTTTCTCGAAATTTCTTGCTGCCTTAGATATTTAGTTTCCTTACTACGCTACCCCAGCCCAACCAACACACACTCTGGGGGCATCATAAGAAAATAAATCAGAAAGAAAATGTCTAGAAAATTTTTCTGATCTTCACAAAAAGTCATTGAGTGACTGAACGTAGACAGACTTGAACCATTTCTAAAACTTAAATAATAGGTTATATACTATTTAGAAGACATTAAAAATGAACAAGGGAATAGCTGGACATACTATTCTGGAAAAATGGAGACAGAAGTTCTATCTCTCCTTTTTGATAACAATTAAATAATGAGATCAATCTATTCAAAGAGAAAAATAAATAGGTTAGCAAGCTTGTTTTTCTGAGTCACAAATGTTACATAATTTTTAAATATGTCCCTTCCTACCAAAAATTATTATAAATCTTTCAATAGTATTTGTGTATGTGAATTTCAGAGACAGAGACTCTAGGTATGGGAAACCAGTTGGGGAAGCAAAAAATAAAATTTAAAAAATATAAAATAAAATTAGAAAAGTTAAAAAGTACCCAATATGCAAGAATATATATATATATATATATATATATATATATATAGAGAGAGAGAGAGAGAGAGAGAGAGAGAGAGTTTACTATGTAATAACAATTTATTCCAGTTATATAAATGATAAGAAATTTATTTTACGTCATTCTAATTAATTTTTGCTTCACAAAATCTCCTCAAACACATATATAAATCTCTTAAGAACACTCAATTCATCTCAGAAAATAGCTGATTTCAATCCTTAAATGTACTGTGAGTGATTGAAAATCTATGATGGGTCATATTTTTATTAAAGACTTACAAAATGAAGCATACTACAAAATAGAATTTTATTTCGATGTCACCCATGTGTGCATTCAAACACATTTTATGAAGACACTATTTTTTAAAACACAAGAGATTTGGTCATTTCTGCAGTTGTGTGTGTGTGCGTGTATGTGTGTGTGTGTGTCTTGATACCATCAATTACAGGAAGAATGTTTAATCTATCCAAGGAAGTTGCCTGGCAACAACATTAGAGTCAATTGCATTGCAGGGTGCAATATATACCCATGTTTAGATTGCTATTTATCTTCATTATAACTAAGTAATTTAAGTTGTCAACTTTCTTGTGACTATTGGATATCTGTTAACTATACATTTAATGCTTGACTAGACTGTGCTTCTAAAAAGAAAAAGCAGCTATAAATTCCTGTGTTGAGTTTAAACCTTATGGCTGACATAAGGCTACAATATGTCTTCATCTTCTTGAAAAAACGTTGTCTTTCTACCGAGTATGTACTAAATGAACCTTACAGAGTAGCGAGGAGTATGATTTATTCACAAATTCATACAGAATAAACAGTTTTATGAAACTGAATCAAATTGCACCTGAGGGGATTGTTGAATCACACAGCAAACTGATTAAACTTAAAAAAAAGTAATATTCTACTCCAGTAACCTCCACTTCAAAATGACATTAATCCCACTGAACCACAATAGAGTATGCATTTCTAAGCAAATAAGAACTTCACCCAAACTTTCTTTTTTTCCCCATAAATAGTGAGGTCTGCATACCTAATATTCTCATAACATTGTTTTTAGAATAAGAATGATTAAATATAATATAATCATTTTCTCACTACACCCTTCAGTTACAGGTTAACAACGTGTATAATCTTCTATTGCATTCTCCATTATAATTTAATATATAATGTCAGAAATTATAATACTGAGCAAAGATGCTTGATTATATATTCTGTGAAAACAGTGTTGATAAGGATACTCAATTCTACTACATATTTTAAAGCACAATGTTGAAAAATGATAAATATTAACCATGGGTACAAAAACTTCTGCATTTTGGACCCTTGCAGATCTCACCCTATGTACTTTTTCACCTGGCTGTTCATCTGTATTCTTTATAAAATCTTTTATATCATGCCAATAAATGTGTCCCTGAGTTCTGCGAGACTTCATGGCAAATTAATTCAATCCATAGGGGAAATCATGGGAAGCCCAGTTTGTAATCACTCAGTCAGAAGTATAGGTGACAACCTACTACTTGCAACTGGCATCTAAAATGAGGACAATCGTATGGGACTGAGCCCACAACCTATGGATCTGACATATCTCCAGGTAGATAGCATTAGAATTGAATTGAACTGGAAGATACCCAGTTGGGGTCTGCTGGAGAATTACTTGACGTGTAAAATATCCTCACACATTTGGTCACAGAAGTATGCGTGTTGAGTGTGTGAAGAGATAAAAAAGTTTATCTCATCCTTTACAGAGTATAGTTGCTGAGTTATATAGCATTTGCACATTTAGTTTTTTTTTTTAAAGAAACTGCCAAACTGATTTCCAGAGTGGTTGTACCATTTTACATTACCAGCAACAATGTACGAATGGACAAGTTTTTCTGAATTCTCACCAACTTTTGCTATTGTCACTGTTTTTTTGTTTGTTTCTTTTAGCCATTCCACTAAATGGCTAAAAAACAAAATACATATAGATATGTAGTGATTTAATTTGCATTTTCCAAATTGCTAATGATGTTGAACAACTTTTCATGTGCTTACTTGCGATTTGCATATAATCTTTGGTGAAATGTCTCTTCCTATCTTTAGCTGTGTTTTATCAGATTGTCTTCCTTTGTTGAGTTTTGAGAATTCTTCATATATTTTAGATATTAGCTTTTTATTACATATACAGTTTACAAGTATTTTTCTCCACTTTGAAAGTTGTCTTTTCACCCTCTTAATAAGGAAATTCACAGGACAAAAGGTTTTAATTTGGCAGAAGTCCATTTTATCAATTTTTTATTTGTATCATACTTTTGTTGTCATCTAAGCACTTTTTGACTAGCTCTAGATGCTAAATATTTTTACTTATGCTTTATATTTTACATTTAATTCTATGATCCATTTAGGGTTAATTTTTGTTTACTAGGTGAAACTTAAGTCAAAGTTTTATATATATATAAAAATTACTGTATATATATAATAATTATATATAATTGTATATAATATGTATTTGTATATATTTATATATAATATATATTTTTTGTGTATATATATATATATGTATAATATAAATACATACATGTATTTATAAATGTATGTATAATATAAATACATACATATTACCTATGTATGTCCAGTTGTTTCAGCACCATTTGTTGAAGGGCAGTCTTTCCCTCACTGAATTGCTTTGCAACTCTATTAAAAATCAACTGGATATATCTGTGTAAATTAATTTCTGGGGTCTCTATTCTGGTCCATCAAACTATTTTCTATCCCTACAGCAATAACACACACTTTGATTACTGCAGCTATATATTATATCTGTAAATCAGTTAGACTGATTCTACCTATTTGTTTATTCTTTTTCAAGATTGTTTTAGCTCATTTGGTTATTTGTCTCACTGTATGAATTTTATATAAAAAACAATTCAGAAATTGTGATAAGAATTGCTTTACAACTGTATTTCAAGTTGAGAGAGTTGAAATCTTTACTACGTTTAGTCAATTGATCCATAAACCCAATGTGCTCCTTCATTTTTTAGATCTTCAGTTATTTCTTTTATCAGTATTGTGTAGTTTTCAGCATACAAGTCTGGTGCAAGCCTTCTTATACGTACTCCTAAGTATTTTTTATGACTGTTTCTAAGTGGTATTTTATTTTTAGTTTTGGTGTCCACTAGTTCATTGCTGGCATATAAAAATATAATTGACTTCTGCTGTTTATTGACTGTTCTGTACTCACTTATTAGTTCTAGGAACATTTTTTAGATTCCTTGGGATTATTTTACGTAGATAAACATGCCATCTTCAAGTAGGAACAGTTTTATTTCTCCCTTAATTTCTTGCCTTATTGTACTGGCAAGAACGTCCATCACCATTTGGAATAGGAGTCCAAATGTTACTATTAACATTTAAAATACTTCAATTTTATTGATAAAAAGCATTCTGGGGAATCTTTCATAGTTTCTGAAAACTTTTTTTCTTGTTTCTTTTATGTAATTTCACCCCTTTAAAGATTGAGAGATGGAATATCTAGTTTTAAAGGAAAATTAAACCTACTGTCTTTCTACTAGGAAGATCCAAGGAAGTCAAATCACATAAAATAAATTATTACTTTCCTATCTCATTTAGTTACACATTATATTTGTAACTGAATTAAATTTGATGTTCCCATATGATACTAAGAGAAAGTATCTATTTTTACTTTCAAAGGCAGTCCATAAGTCTTTCATAGATGATCAATCATCTTTTATATTCATTAGGTAATCTTCCTAACAATAATTGTTTTTTACATCAGACTTTTCTTTTCTTTTTATTAAAATGTGGGTGTATTCGTTTTCTGTGTCTGCTGTTATAAATTACCACCAATTCAGTGTGTGAAACAATATAAATTCCTTCTATCACAGTACTGGAGGTCAGAAGTTTAAAATTAGTACCACTAGGTTATAAAGAGCTCTTATGCCTTTGAAATTCTAATTTCTGCCTCCATGGTCACATTGCTTACTCTTTTTCTGTGTGTGAAGTCTCCCTCTCCCTCCCTCTTATAAGAATATACTTAGGGCTCTTAAAATAATCATCTTTAGAATTTTCTTGTATAATCCAGGATAATCTCCCCATCTCAAGATCCTTAGTCACATATGCAAAGACCCTTTTTCCTTATAAGACATATACAAGTAACATGTACCAGGTCTACGACTAGGATATGATATACTTGGAAGTCACTGTTCAGCCTGATACTGCAAACTTGCCTTTATTAATTTAGTGTCTTGTAATTTTTATTGTCATTTTGACATAATATTAAATGCTCTTGCACCAAGTCCGTTAAATATGATTATGAATTTTTTTTGAGACAGGATCTCACTCTGTTGCCCAGGCTGGAGTGCAGTGGTGCAATCAAAGCTCACCGCAATCTCAAACTTCTGGGCTCAAGCAATCCTCCTGTGTCAGCCTCTCGAGTAGCTATGACTACTGGTGAACACCACCATGACCAGTGAAAGGTTTTAATGTACAGTCTTCATTATTATTTCCGGTAATATTTGATTATCTCAATATCACATATACACAATCCAAGTTCTTCCAGTATATACAATTTTACAGAATTTCATTGCTTCAGTATTTTATTATCAAAAACTATCCTGCCTAACTTAATGTTTTTAATACATTTTATTTAAGATTCTGTCCTTGCCATATGCATGCTTTCAGATCAACCAATCATAAAAGTGTCCCCATTGGGAGTCAAACTATCTTCATTCTTCCAGGACAATAAAAAGTATTTCAGGAAAACAGTGGCAAAATATGGCTTGAGAGATTTTAGTCTTCCTCTGCTTCCTTCCAAAATCTATACCTAAAAAATGCATACATATTACATGTGTTGCTATTACTTCTCTTCTTAAAAGAGCGAAAATTTCAAAAACTTAAAATGATCCTAATTTCTAATAGAGGCATATAATTTAAATGTAAAAATTCAGAAAAAAAACATCAGATGGGACCCTTACTTTCTAAAATGAATGAGATGTTCTGTCATATGGAATTATGTCTTCTTTGTGGTTGACATTTCTGTAATCCTAGTGAGTACACCACTTCTGCCCTAGCAAAAATTCTATTAGATTATTTGCTTTCTATAAGGAAACAGAAGCTGCTAACAGGGTATTTGCATATATTTTTCCTTAGTACAATGTGTTACAGGAATGGTTCCAGAGACTTCCATCAGCGTTACATGGTTACAGACCATTGTCTAAATATATTAAAGCATCATTCCCTGTAAGAAAACTTTCCCTAGGGCAGGTTATGGGAAATAATAATAATCAATGTCAATGGTGGAAGGTAAGCTTTACCATTTATGTAAGAAAGTGCTACTGATAACTCAGTAAAACATATTGCTGTTTTAAATAAAGATGCCATAACAGTAGTGATATAGCAGAAATAAAATGGGCATTGAATCAAGAAATGTTGAATTCAAATTTGATAGTCATGGCCAATATAAAGTAAGACAAGTTATTTAACATGTCAGAGCTTCAGCTTTGTCATAAAACATGTTAGTTAATATTACCTAAACCCAGAAGTTTAGTGTGAGACTATAAAATAAGATTATATGTGTAGTTCCTAGTTCAGAGTCAGCTGGGAGAAAATGCTCAATAAATAATAATTCCACTTTTTCTTACTTCAGTAAAGTTTGCAATTTAAAATCACATTAAAAGAAAGAAATTCCATCAGTAATGCTGCAATTTCTCAAAATACTTGAGGAAATAGTCTTTTAGATTTGTCTTTATAACCAGATAAAATTAATTTTTAAAGTCAGTATATAAATCCAGTGCCTACTATATGTTAGAGTCTAGGATAAGTTGAAAAGTATTGGAAATATAGAAAAAATCATGGTAAATAACAGATATTGTTTATTGTCAAGAAGAACAAAGAAAAAGAATATCTCTGTCTACTGATATCTATTTATCTATTATCTACCTATCTATCTTCCAAGAATACCAAATTGTATACAATGAAACCCCATAATTTTTCTACTACAAATATAAATAGTGTGTTTGAGAATATGGAGGAGGAACAATTTGTCCCCAACCTCTTATTTTTATTATTATTATTTTTTTTGAAATGGAGTCTCGCTCTTTTGCCCAGGCTGGATGGAGTGCAGTGGCACCATCTTGGCTCACTGCAACCTCCACCTCCTGGGTTCAAGTAATTATCCTGCCTCAACCTCCCGAGTAGCTGGGATTACAGGCACATGCCACCACGCCTTGCTAGTTTTTGTATTTTTAGTAGAGACGGAGTGGTCTTGAACTCCTGACCTCAAGGGATCCGCCTGCCTCGGCCTCCCAAAGTGCTGGAATTACAAGCGTGAGCCACTGTGCCCGGCCTATTTTTTCAACTGAAAAGAGTATTATTCTGCTTGCATTGTGTTTTAAATAGACGACACCAAATTAAAGTATACCCTTAAAGGGCAAAGATTTTTCCACAATAATAATATAATAATATGTTAATAATAATATAGAATATGGCATTAACTATCAATACAGGACATGCAGTTTTACAAAAATGATATTTTCAAGAAGTCAGCAATCATAAACATGTTTGTAAGCGCTTGTACAAGTCTTAAATTATCAAATTGTTTCTTAGAACTCTTCCATGTCACTTTTCCAAGTGTAGGTTCATTTTTAGCCTTATTTTTGACTGTTAACTATTTTTCATGTTTCATGTACTTAAATAACAAAATGGTTTTTTTAGTTGCAAATATTTGAAACTAGTAAAACTAAGTGCAATAATATTTTATCTTCCAAAAACTTTATTTCTCTGGGAGATGTTGCTAATGTTATAATGTGCTGGAAGCTAGAAATATGTCACAAGACGTGAAGTGAAGACTTCTTTCTACTTTTGTCTCATCAATCAGAACCAAAAACTGAAAACTTCTCTTAGAACTTATAGGAAAAAAAGTGAATAAACATAAGCTGGTTTTAGGAATAGATTATCTTTTTTGTCTAATTTGACAAAATTTTGAAGAGATAAGTAAAATTTAAAATGAATTATTGCCATTTGCCTTACCTGACTTTCTTTCAAGCTATGTGACATGGTAACATTGAAAAATCCAGTGATTTTTGTTGTTGTTATTGTTAAAATTATATGTACTGTTGTTATTCTATGGCTTTTTACTCTGCCATTAACTTAATAGGGGCTTTATAAATATTTGTGAGCAGCCATAATAGAAATATATATATATATACACACACACACACACCCACATACACACACACACACACACACATATATATATGTTATCTACAACTTTAGTATGGAATAAATCTCATAAATATGGGACCTTTGAAAGTTTATATGAACTGAATTTTACACCCAAAAATAAAAAAAAATCCATGAGTTCAAAAATATTTAAGTTACCTATGTAAACACTATTATTAACCAAATTAATTTAAAATACTGAGATAAATTCAAAATTATTTTTTAAAAACAGCCATTTCTTTATAAATAGGGGTATTCAATTTTTCTTTAGTAAAGTCTCTCCTTCTAATTTATTCAAGAAGGAAAAGGGAAACACTAAAATTTTCTGTGAGATCATTCTACATAGGCTCCAAGACACATATGCTAGATACTCACTTAACCACTCTTTAGATGTAGATAAATACCTGAATCCTAGAAAAGCTAAATTACTCACAAGTCATGCAGCAGTATGCAGTTTAAGAAAAATCCTACTTTGACTGTTTTTGTCATTATGACTACCTCTATATTAGCCTGCTGACCATAAAAGGCTCCATCACTAACTTTACAAAATTCCCTGTGACATCTGAAAACATCTTCATATTAATTGAAATATTCATTAATGAGAATATACAGAAAACACAAAAAAGTGTAATTTAAACATGATGTTACTTTCTCATGTTTACATTCAAGTTTATATGAAAGCTCAGTTCAAAGATGGCACCAGGAACAAATGCTTCTCTGTTTTTCCTTTTCTATTCCTGGAGGCTTGTGTGATTTGCTTGGTCTAAAATGGCTTACCATCTAATCTGCATTCCAACCAATAAGCAGGAAGAATAGGAGAAGAAAATCGTCTACCTCTTTCTTTAAAGAGAATGGTCCAAAAGTTACCTACATCAAAATTAGTCAAAGCTTTGTTATGTTTTTACCTGTGAATAAGGGAAGTTGGGTAATACAGTCTTTATTTAGTAAAAATCCTAATACTAAGAAATAAAAAGAAAAGTAATTATTGGGGACAACTGGAAGGCTATTCATGCCACATTGTAATAGTGTGAATAATACCCACAGAGGAAAAAAGACAAATTGTTTCCCCTCTGTTCTCACACCACAACCACAAATATAGAAGACTTCTGTGACCAAAAGGGTTGGGGAGTTTCGCCCTCACCTACTAAGCATGCAGTCAATTCTGCAGCAGATACCAGCTGGGTGTCCTCCAGTTCATTCTGACACTATCTACCTGGAGTTAGCCTCAGTTCCCACAGATTGAGGACTCAGTCACACAACACTGTCTCCCCTGAACTTCCAATGCCAATCACAAACCCCATTGCTTTACCTGTGCTTTTGACCTACCAGCTATAAATCAGGGATCCCACAACCCTATTCTTGGGTTTGATTAATCTGCTAGTATGGGACACAGAACACAAAGAAACACTTACGTTTACCTGTTAATTATAAAGCATATTTTAAAGGACACAAATAATCAGCCAGGTGAAGTTATATATAGGGCAAGGTCTGGAAGAGTTCTGAGTGTGTAGAAACTTTTGTTGCTGTGGAGTTGGGGTGCAACACTCTCCCTGCATGTGGATGAGTTCCTGTTCACCTTCCTGTAAGCTCCCAGTAGTTCAGCTGTCCAGAAGCTCACCTTACTTTCTCCTCTTGAGCCTTTCATGGAGACTTCATTGGATAGACATGATTGAAGCAAGGACAACCGTGTAGAAATGTAACTGGACAGGCCCGGGCACGGTGGCTCACACCTGTAATCCCAGCACTTTGGGAGGTCGAGGCAGGCAGATCACGAGGTCAGGAGATGGAGACCATCCTGGCTAACACGGTGAAACCCCGTTTCTACTAAAAATACAAAAAATTAGCCGGGTGTGGTGGCGGGCGCCTGTAGTCCCAGCTACTCGGGAGGCTGAGGCAGGAGAATGGCATGAACCCAGGAGGCGGAGGTTGCTGTGAGCCGAGATTGCGCCACTCACTCCAGCCTGGGTGATAGAGCAAGACTGTCTCAAAAAAAAGAAAAGAAATATGTAATTGGACAAAGGATGGGCTCAGTGGCTCGCGCCTGTAATCCCGGCACTTTGGGAGGCCAAGGCAGGCAGACCACGAGGTCAAGAGATCGAGACTATCCTGGCCAACATGGTGAAACCCTGTCTCTACTAAAAATACAAAAAATTAGCCGGGCACGGTGGTGGGTGCCTGTAGTCCCAGCTACTCGGGAGGCTGAGGCAGGAGAATCGCTTGAATCCGGGAAGTGGAGGTTGCAGTGAGTCAGGATGGCGCCACTGCACTTCAGCCTGGCAACAGAGTGAGACTCCGTCTCAAAAAATAAATAAATAAATAAAAACAAATGTAATTGGACAAAAAGCCTGTCATCTAATACCTGGCCTGGACAGCGGAAATCCCAGACCTGCCTGTTCAGATTCTTCTTGACCTCCCTGTGAGACATTCCTTCCCTCTGGTATGGGGCAGGACTCCTAAAATGGAAGTCTCTGACCTACAATCAAACAAAGTAGGTGAGATAATTTTTTTATGTCCAACTCCAAGACAGAAAGGTGGTGGAAGATTAGAATATATTTTTAGTTTCTAAGGCCTGCCTCAGGAAGAAAAAGGAGCAAGTAAAAGACGGGCAGGAGAAGATCAGAGAGAGAGATTCTGTTTCCTGAGGCCTGCTTATGAGACCTAAAGCACCCAAACATCATCATAACAAAAGACTATTAAAAGGGCTATGGGACTTATGAGTCAGGAACCATGGACAAGAATATATATACCATATTTATATATATGGTATACATGTATACCATATATGTATACATGTATGTTAATATACTATGATAGTATATGATCAAGTTCTTATCTCTGTAATTTGTAAATGTTACCTTAGATGAAGGAACAGTCTTTGCAGATTAAATTGCAACAGACTTTTGTGATTAAATTAAGCATGTTGAGATGGACAGATTATCTTGGATTATCCAGGTCGGTTCTATATGCAGTGTGACCATGGAGGCAGAGATTGAAGTGATGTGGCTACATATCAAGGAATAGCAACAGCCAGAGGAAGCTGGAAGAAGCATGGAATTGATTCTTCCCTACAGCCTCTGCTAAAACATTCATTCTGGCTTGGTGATACTGACTTTAAAGTTCTGGCTTCCAGCACTGTCAGAAAATAAATTTATACGGTTTTAAACACCAAGTTCACAGTCATTTGTTATAGTGGCATCAGGAAACTAATACACACCGAATACTGTTTGTTGTTGTTCCCAACTAAATAATGCTAATTGTTTCTCGGAATACAAACTTCCAAATATTCTGATGCTAAAAACTTACAAATTATTACACAATTAAAAAAATTAAGAAATGGCATCTCTGTCACTCAGGCTGCAGTGCAGTGGTGTGATCATAGCTCACTGCAGCTTCAAACTCCTGGGCTCATGCCATCCTCTCACTTCAGCCTCCCAGATAGCTGGGACTACGGGCACGCTCCACCATACCCAGCTAATTTTTAAATTTTTCTTGTGGAGATGGCTTTCTCTTATTTTGCCCAGGCTAGTCTCAAATACCTGGCCTCAAGCACTTCTCCCACCTTGCCCTCCCAAAGTGCTGGGATTACAGGTGTGAGCCAAAATGCCTGGCCTGATTATTATATAATTCTAATAAAAACCAAATTATATTATTTTAAAAATATTTAATGAGGAGCTAATATACACAAAGCAGGGATAAACAGCTAATAAAGTAGAAGTAGGGTGAATAAACATAAGATATCTACACTAGATATAGGGATCTGCTTGACTTGATTCATAGGCTGCTTTTTAAGGTTTTAGTCAATAATCCAACACCCAAAGGAAAAAAGAAAAATCTAAGAAAGGTGTGGATATGAGGCAAAAGCCTACCTAGAGAAACCAGTAAAGATCAAGTTGGTTTAAAACGGGGTTTTGGAGGCAAAAAAATCAAGTTGATTCAAAAGAGGGTTTGGGAGGTTTTGAAGGCATTGAGTTATCTGTCTAAATGAGCATGATGATGTTTGCTTGGCTGAGCCATTCTTTTACTTCATACATATATATTAATATGTACAAAGTACTAAATACTATGAGGGTTGCTTGGAATATAAGGAAAAAAACTCATTTTCTGCTCTCCATAAAATTCTTTTGCTGAAATGTGAATATTTTCAATAGAATATGGCAAGTGCTATAAAGGCAAATGTTCCAAATACTAATGGGCATAATAATCAATATAATAATAAAATGCAGGCCTCCATCTTTGAGAATTCATATTTACTGTGTCTGAATGAGGTCATGAAATGTGTAGGTTTTGGTAGTTTGGGTACAAGTGATCTTCAAATCGTAGATTGAAAAAAGCTTCTGTAGAAAAGCTGAGGAACATTTGTATTAAGAAAAAAGAAGAAGGAAGACTAGCAGAAATGATACAAAATAGGTAGGCAAAGATATTGTTGGAAAATCCCCTGGATACAGTGTCTGAAAGTATTTTTATTATAACAGTTATGGCTACCATAATAGCTACAGATGTGCTTTTTTCATGAATGAGTCAATAGTCAATTACTTCTAATTTTATTTACTCTAAAGTGATAATTATATAAAAGTAAAATACATAATGGCATTGTATCTTTGTCACTCCCTGCCCCATATCTTACCTGCCACTTCCTGCTTTTCTGCATCCTATCTCACTCCTTCTCCCCCACCTTTGTGTTTTTGTTTCATTTTGTTTGTTTAGAAAATATACTTGAAACATGAATAAAATTTTCCATTATAATTATAAGTAGCCAAATGATGGATGGGCATCCAGATAATTGCCAAGAGCATTAATTTCCTGCTGCGGGTCAAATGCAGCAGTGTCTTTTTGCCTAGAGATGTGTGAGCATAGTAATCTTTTAAGATGTGTAGAGCTCGATAATCTCCACGCCTTTGTGCAAAAAAATTCCTTGATTCTAAGCATGTATTTATTATAAACAAATATATATTTTTTAAGGTTCTCACATTGGGCAATGAGAATCACCTGGAATGCTTTTAAAAAGTATTAAGAGACATGCTTCACTCCAGAATAAATAAACTCACAATAACTTAGAATTTTTGAACTGGAGCCTGGGTATCAATATTTTAAAATATGCTCCAAATGAGGCTAATGCATCTAGGTTTGAGGTCCGTCAGTTGAACATAAAAGTTTAAACTTCTTAATTTTACTTTTAGATTTTTTACAGAATCCAAAGTATTGTTGTTGAATGATAGTTATTACCTGGAGAAAAAATTCTATAGTAAAAGAGAAAAAAACACAACTCATTGATATTTACTGCACATTTAAATCGTGGACATAAGATCAGGATAAAGGAAATTATACTAAATAAAAATATCCAGCTTAGAAAATGTAAAATTATGGTTATATTTCCACATATTATTATTCTGCAGCATGTATTGTTAACTCCTGGTACTAATTGAATTATTTTTGTGAAACTCTGAGGCATATGTTAGCCCATCCTACATCCATACAATGTATCACTGCCAACAAGCACACACAAAAAAATAGATGAAGTTGTATTGAGAAGACACTCACTTTAAAGCTGTGTTATAGATTTCAAGGGAAAGAAAATCAAGGACTTATTACAGTATTATAGCTACTGTGCACTGAATTGTAAATTCAAAAGGCCACTGCACTTTTAAAATACAAAAGCTCAGTACCACACATCAAAAACTTACATTGGTTGAATGTGCATAACAAAGAACAGATTTTTACTGGAGGAGTTTTCCTTGAATACAACTTTGAAATGTGTAATCCAAGCTTTAATAACTCACCTCATTTTTCTCTTACTTGTTGGATGATACACAGTTCTGAGGCGCTTAGTGTATTTTCCATTTTCTGTGCTTTTTTAAAAGCATAATTTAAAAATGTCCTGAATGTATATTGGTTTAGCTATTACAGTCTTTTTTCCCTGTGAATGCTCTAATATGGTAAGATAAGTAAACCATGAATAATATTATAGTAATAAAAATATTCTTTCAAAATAAGCCAGAACCTCTGTATAATGCAAAGGATGATCTCTTCCAGCTCTAAAATTCAGTAACATTGTCTAATATATGCAAAAGAAACTGATTAGATCTGAGATCTCAAATTTTTGTTACCTGAATTAGCTAGATCGCCTGCTTCCTTAAAGTCATTTATTATGTTCCATCTTTTTAACCTTACATTACTTTACTAAATTATGTAATGTCCCTACTTATCATTCAAGACCATTTTTTTTATGCTTTTTTTCCTAAAGCTCTTAGACATATAGTTTCTTAACAAGAAGATATGAACAAAAGTGAGAAAGGGGACTCATAAATGTACTTCTGAAATATTATTTAAATAGTGATACAAGTTACATGTAATATTCCTCAAAAAAACATAATTAAGCCGGGTGTGGTGTCTCACACCTGTATTCCCAGCACTTTGGGAGGCTGAGGTGGGTGGATCACCTGAGGTCAGGAGTTCAGGACTAGCCTGGCCAACATGGTGAGAGTCCATCTCTACTAAAACTATTAGCTGGGCATGGTGGTGTGTGATCCTGTAATCCCAGTTACTCAGGAGGCTGAGGCAGGAGAATTGCTTTAACCCGAGAGGCGGAGGTTGCAGTGAGCTGAGATCTTACCACTGCAACAGACAGAGACTCTGTCTCAAAAAAAAAAAAGTACATATATATATATATATATAAAGTATATATATATAAAATATATAAATATTTTATACACATATATAAATATATATAAATATATAAATATATATAAATATATGTATAAAATATATAAATATATAAATATTTAAAAAATATATATATAAAGTATATATATAAAAAAGTATATATATATAATTAAACCAAATTTCTAATAATATTTCAGAGCAATGATAATATTCAGTGGACTAATATCAATGGAGCATACAGCCTCTTTAGAACAAGCATTAACTTTAGAATGACTTAATAATAGCCTGAAAATATTCACATAACTTATTTTCAACAACCAATTTTACCCAAGGTATCTATTTCATCCATTAGTATGTCTTGAAAAGCAAATAACGGATAGTCTGATGGACAGCGTTTAGCCCATATGGCTATATGTTGTTTATTAATTGAGAATTAAGAAGGCATACATTCCCCAAGTTGATTCAGTAATCCTTCCCTCTTCTCTGCCATCCTTTTGGTTACCTTATTATGCTAGTGGCCTCATTGTCTCATGGTGGCTGCTCAGCATCTGCTATTATTATTCTGGGAGAAGAGGGAACAAACCATATGAAGTGTTTAGGAGCAAAAGTGATTGTTCTTTATACTAGGAAGAAAAAATCATTGGAGTCTATCACAGACTTCATTTTATGTGTCATTGGCCTGAACTGGTTAACATTCCCATCCCTCCACTAAATCCTGACAAGGTGAGGGACACGATTGGCATGATGAGTGAAGCCAGTGTTTCCAACTAGCAGCATTGACATTTTGGATGATGCCGATTTCTATAGTGCAGGACTGTCTCATAATTCCTAGGCATTAAATGCCTATGGCTAATCACCATGAAAGACATCATTCTCCATACATCATGGAGGGGAGCAGCACTGCCACCCATTGAGAATCAGTGATTACTATACCCTCCAAGGCTGGATATTTTGCCAAGAGAATAAATTCAATTTTTACTTATCAGGGAACAGATGGGATTTGCCTTGGGTAGGTGAATAGCAGAGTCTGCCACATCTCTAAAAACAATTGAGTTATCAATTTTTGTTATGTTTCTTATATATTCACTCTTTAAAAGATAATATAGAAGAAAGTGCTTTAATCTCAATCAGTTTTCTAAATGTGTTTTATTGGAAAAAAAATTTTGTCTCTCCAAACTTCAGTTTTCTTATATCTAAAATAATGATATTGGATTGTATGATCCCTTGTATTCCTTCCAAGCTAGAAATAAAAAAGCTTCAGGTGTATAAATCATTTTTTACATCTTTTTTTTACATCATGTGGATTAGACATGCTGTAATTAAGAAAGTGATACAAATCAAATGCTGTAGGAAAAGTTTTTCTGTGTGTATTTCTGTACTTTTTCACCAAAGCATATTGGGCAAAGAGATCTCTGAAGAGTAAATAATAGCATTCATTTATTCATGTATATCAAATACATTTAGAAAACTCTACATAATTGTAATTATAAGAAATCCAAAGTTAAATAAGTATTTTTAGAGTAATTTTTCAAAAACCTGGAAAGATAATATTATTTTCCCTGGAAAAATAATTGACCTTCTAAGCTTTGTTTTAATTTACATGTTTGTATGTATGTACACTTTAACATCTTTTAAAGATGCAAATTGTTTTCTTAGTTTATTATAGGTTAAAATACTTCACAATAACAGTGGAACTGTAAACATTTCAATAATTTATGTATCATATTCTGTTAATATTTGGATCAATAATCATATGATTGTTTATAGTGTACAAATTGATGATGAATTTCTTCCAACCATTATCATAGGCAAAAGAAATTTTATCAACAGGTAACTAATTCATTCAAACATATATTTACACATCTATGCAATTATGTATTTATCAGTCAAATATTTATTGAATATGCAATGCATACGTCAGATTGTGAAGAATTTGATTTCCCAACACCGTTTTGCAGATTTAATTCCTGTACACCCTTAAAAACTCAGGTAAAATATCACTTACTCTAAAAGCCATCCCTCACCACTTTGTCTTGATTAAATATCCTTCTTTTTGGTTTTATTGCACCCCGTGCTGCTTAGGCTTTTGGAGCACTTATTACTCATTGACAGTACCTAATTCTTCTGGTTTGTTGTTGTTGTTGTTGTTGTTATTTTTGACAGAGTCTCATTCCTGTAGCCCAGGCTGGAGTGCAGTGGTGCAATATCAGCTCACTGCAACCTCCACCTCCTGGGTTCCAGTGATTCTTTTGCCTCAGCCTCCCAAGTAGCTAGGATTACAGGTGCATGCCACCACACCCAGCTATCTTTTGTATTTTTAGTAGAGATGGAGTTTAACCATGTTGGCCAGGCTGGTCTTGAACTCCTGACCTCAGGTGATCCGCCTGCCTTGATCTCCCAAAGTGCTGGGATTACAGGACTGAGCCACTGCATCTGGCCGACATTACCTAATTCTTGCTCTTCTTCTAGAAGACCATAACTTTTATCTTGGTATCTCTAGTACCAAACACTGCAACTGTTACATTGTAAAGTTTACCCAGTAATCATAACAATTAAATTACCATTTAGATACATAAAATCATCACCACAATCCTATAAGGCAGGGTATTATTATCCTCATCTCATCAGTAAGAAAACTAGAATTTTAAAAAGATAAATAAATGACTCATTATTATTCTGCTAAAATGTAACAGAACTTAGAGTGGAACTCAAATTAACTTTGCTTCCCAGCCAGCCGACTTATAAATGCCAACTTTTTTTTTCTTTTTTTGAGACGGATTCTCACTCTGTCCCCAGGCTGGAGTGCAGTGTCGCGATCTCAGCTCACTGCAAGCTCCGCCTCCCGGGTTCACACCATTCTCCTGCCTCAGCCTCCTGAGTAGCTGGGACTACAGGCACCCGCCACCATGCCCAGCTAATTTTTTTTGTATTTTTAGTAGAGACGGGGTTTCACCATGTTAGTCAGGATGGTCTCGATCTCCTGACCTGGTTATCCGCCCGCCTCAGCCTCCCAAAGTAGTGGGATTACAGGCGTGAGCCACTGCACCTGGCCTAAATGCCAACTTTTTGATTGAATAAAGTTACCAAGTTGCTCAGTAAATATTACAACTGGACCTTATCCGCAAAGTTCAAGCACACACACCTCCATTTTATCTAGAAATCAATGGCATTTCTTCTTCTCTAATTAGGCTGGTATATTTAAATGTATATTTGTTTATTATTACATGTGAATTCACTGCCCTTTCACATTCTGATTAACCCCATACTGTTAAAACAGCAACAAACCTTTGGCACAACTGTCCTGTGTTTTGAGCTCAGTACCAATCAGGTAAGTAGAAAATCCTTTACTCTAAAAATCAAAGTGCTTACATGTACTCTCTCATACACTGAAATTTCTGTGAATTCATGTATGTTTTTAGACTGTAGTTATTTCACACTCTTTAACTGCCTTTCCTATCATCCAAAAGCTTCTTAAATAAAAATTTGAAAACTCAAGACTACCTTTGCTGACAGTTGCAAAATTGCAAGAGATTTTACGGAGAAAACAGATTTTGAATGCCTCCTCCCACAAAATGAGAAAGAAAAAAAAATTAAGTGACTCAGTAGCCCCATATTCTGTAACCCTTTAAGTCCTTTCTGGAAATCAGATATGTTTATTCATAGGAAATATTTCCATGAGATTAATGCATGAGTAGGATACGGGTTGTAGAATTAGAAGAATTGAGGTCAACTCTTGGTCCACCTTGTAAATTTCTCTATTTTGTGGCCTAATATTAATCTTGAGCCTCAGTTTCTTATATGAAGTTCTAGTTCTTTGTTCTATTACTAATTATTGTTCCTGGTAACTAAAATTTGAAAGGTGTAGAATGGGGTTCATTTTTTTAAATCAAATTATAAATATGATAAAGAAAAGGTTGCGACTACTGGTCACCAGATTTTTTTCAAAAGTCTTTATTTGTTTGTGATTCAAATTTTGGGATGAAACTGGCATTCTGAATGTTTGCTCTTTCTCCAGCAATGTGATTCATATGTCTGAATAGTATGATTTTAAGTTTCTTCTCAAATGTATTGTCTTTTGCAAAGTGAATTGATAAGTACACAGGATTATATTATTTTCTTTTAAATGTTGAATGAATTTTAAATATCATATAAAGTATTTCTGCTATGACTTATTTATTTTCCATAAATATTTTCCCAGACTAGATTTCAGTTACTAAGTCTCTATCCAACAGTGATATACAAAATATTAGACTGGAAACATATGAATTTAATATGATAATAAATAAAATTTGTTTCTTAACTATGGTACGTAACAAAATAAGAGAGTTTCTTAACAATAGTACTCCAGAAACTCATATGTGTATTTATGATTTATACAACAATAGTGTTGTATTACAAACCACCTCAAAGTCTGTGGCTTACAACAAAACTCACAGGGCTGTGAGTCAACAGTGTCTCTTCTGAGCTCTTTTGGAATCAGCTTAGTGTTTCCCCTATAAGCTGTGGGTCAACCGGGCTTGTTTCTGGAATCCTCAGTTGAATCAAGGTCAGCTGAATCATGAGTTTCACTCTGGAAACTGGCTGAATGTAATGTTGTTAAAAAGTGCATGCTCTCTAAGAAAGGATCCCAGGAGCACATAACCAAAATCAAATTATACAAATACATTTAAGACTTCTATACTTTTCTGTTCTATCATATAGACAAAACAAATATCATAACCACATGCAAAGGCATTGTTACGGTGAAATATGCTGTATCCCCGAGAGAGAAAAGAAATCCTTAACATTCATGAAACAATAATTCAGTTTATCACATAGAATAATTTTGAAATAATGTAAAATTTTGACATCCACATTTGGAAAAGAACCTTCAGCATTAGATATAACATACTGTAAAACATAATAATTTGATACTTACACCCAGTAGTTTCAGTGAGATTCACCTTATAATTTACAAGTTCTGGTTATACACTGTTAGGGTAAATTAGTTCAGTTATTGTGGAAGACAGTTTGGCAATTCCTCAAAGACCTAAAGACAGAAATACCATTTGACCCAACAATCCCATTATGGGTACATACCCAAAGGAATATAAATCATTTTATCATAAAGACTCATGCACACATATGTTCACTGAGCACAATTCACAATAGCAAAAACATGGAATCAACCTAAATACCCCATCAATGTTAGAATGAATAAAGAAAATGTGGTACATATAGACCATGGAATACTATGCAGCCATAAAAAAGAATGACATCATGTCCTTTCCAGGGACATGAATGGAGCTAGAGGCCATTTTCCTTTGCAAACAGCACAGGAACAGAAAACCAAATACTGCATGTTCTCACTTATAAGTGTGAGCTAAATGATGACAACACATGGACACGTAGAGGAAAACAACACACAATGGGGCCTTCCAGAGGGTGCAGAATGGGAGGACGGAGAAGATATGGAAAAATAACTAGTGGGTACTAGGCTTAATACCTGGGTGATGAAATAATCTGTACAACAAACCCCTGTGACAAGTTTACCTATCTAACAAATCTGCACTTGCACCAGTGAACTTAAAAGTTAAAAAATAAAATAAAATTTACAAGTTCTTTACATATACTAGAAGAAAAAAACTATGCTCAAGAATGAAACTGGCCAGGAGTGGTGGTTCAGGCCTGTAATCTCAGCACTTTGGGAGGCCGAGGCAAGCGGATCACCTGAGGTCAGGACTTCAAGACCAGCCTGGCCAACATGGTGAAACCATGTCTTTACTAAAAATACAAAAAAATTAGCCAGGCATGGTGGCTGGTGCCTGTAATCCCAGCTACTCAGGAAGCTGAGGCAGAAGAATAGCTTGAACCCAGGAGTCAGAGGTTGCAGTGAGCCAAGATCATACCACTGCACTCCAGCCTGGGCAACAAGAGCAAGACTCTGTCTAAAAAAAAAAAAAAAAAAAAAAAACAAAAAACGCTGAAGTGTTTATTGATCAAGTGTCATTGATAGGCAGTTTGCTTCAGTGGGAATATCTCTTAGTTTACTTAGTTTAGAGGCAGTTCTTATTTAGTTTTATTTATCTCCTTCTGTGATAAATTTAATTGGCCTATGTGTAAATTAAGTTGCATGATTCAATATCCAAGAAATGCTTTACAAGTTATATTATTGGTTCAAAATATTTCTTCATTGTTATCAATGCTTCTTTACATATGAAAAGAAGTTCTAATGAGCTAACTTCTCATTCCAACCTTAAAAAAATTGTACAAAATAAAATATTGTTCTCATCTTGGAAATTATAATGCATTTCCTTTCCTAGAAGACTGATAAAGTTAAAAATTATGCAGTTGGTACTTGTTTATCACTTTTATATTTTCTCTCCAAAATATGTATATTTGAAATCCAACTAAATACAAACTCCTAAATAACACTGCGAAAAGCTTCTAATTTTCTTCACATCTTCCTGATAGAATGAGAACTCTATTCTATTAATAATATATTATCATTATAGTCTTCTTACTGCATTTATAAAATGGCTTTGCAGGAATCAGTTAAGATAGATGGCTTGAATATTTATATTATTAAAAGAGAAAGACATTTCAGCAGCCATGTCTGAATTACAAGCATCTATTCTGTCTTGTGCATAAGTGTCTGAGCATTAATATCTTGAAACTACACACTTACTGAATTTCATAATACTAGCTCATGTTCCTGCTTCATAAAACAATAGAGTATTTTGTCATAGTGCCTTTCAGATATACACATTCATCAAATTATGATTAGCTAAGGTCAAGCTTGCAGCTACAAATAACATCCACAGTATTTGATAAATAATGCAATAAAATATCATTAACTGCTCAATGTAATGGATGATCTACTTTTTTCCCCTTCTGCTGCTCAGCTATAATCTTTAGGGCTACAGAAGTCATACTACAGCTTCAGTAATAATGGGCTTGTTATTGAATCCATTAACTTAATATTTTCCCATTTTATTGCACATTCTAGATAAAATAACCGATTGACAACATTTATAAATAATGCCATTGAACATTGTTTAAATACACTTTTACTATGCTTCCTCCCTCAGCAGTTCTTCATGTTTAGCTTATGAATTTATTATAAGTAAATATTGCAAACATATAAATAATCCAAGCATATATATTTCCATAATATTTTGTACAGAAAAATGAATGCTTTGTAAAAATTCTGTTTTCAATTCTAGATTGATAATAATAACACTGATATTACACATCTGTGAAATACACACATATAAACATATATGTATATATTTATATAGCAATAATAGAAAACAGAGGATGAATATTGATGTTATTTACAATATCAAATATTATACATGAATCTAGAAGTTAGAAGTGGCATAATCATTGTCTCTGAGAGATTAGGACTAGTAAGTAAGTATGCAGTAAAATTTTCATTGCTGTGGGCTCAGGATCACTGGGAAATTCATGAAGACATAAAGGAATTAATTCAGACAACTATGTACACTTTGTATTTGGAGGAGTCTGTTAGAAGAAAGACTTATTACAGTGTCTGAAATGTTGACATTAGATATGTAATATTCATAAAATTATGACAATATTTAAGCCAATTTATAGAAAATAAGGAATACATATGGCAAATTCCAACTATGCAACTTGCTTCAAATTTTATTCAATTGGTAGCTTAGACTTCTGAGAGAAAATTTATTTAAAGTGATATGTGTTATTAGTCAGCTATGCAAACACAATAGCTAAATTGAACTTTGCATGAATATATTTGTGCCATGTAGTTAACAAGTCAAATAGAAGAAGAGACAATTTCTATCAAGATATTGTATATATAAAAATGAAATTCAACTTTCAGTAATATTCCACTAAAGTCCACTGAGATCCTTTAATTATTATCAACCTTATTCCATAATATTTTTTTCTATTGAAAGTAGTAGTCCAAAATATTAACTTGTTTGAATGTAAACAATTTCTTATCATTTTACTTTCGATCACAATGTGAAACAAGCATTGAAATAGGCAGAAATAATGTAATTGAAATGAAGGCAAATAAGCTATGTATACAATTCTGTTTTCCAACGTGCCACTGGGGTAATCTTTCAAAATAAGATATGTTTCAACTGTGATTGTGAAGTCCTGAATATTAACGGTCCAAGACTTCTCCATATAAGACAAGGGAAGCTTATTCATCAGTGAGCACTTCCTGTCTATGAGGTACCAGTGATTGGGAACATAGAAATCAGAGGCAGGCCCCATTTTTTTAGGTATTCATTGTCTAGTGGGAGGAGGTAAGCAAACACACTACTCTTCTCTGTAAAGACTGGTGATGTAGGCATCTGTTTTGTTTGGCACTGTATCATCTGCATTCCCTGGAACTATCACAGTGCCTTGAACATAGTTGAATCTCAAAAATAATTACCTGGCTCACACCTGTAATCCCAGCACTTTGGGAGGCCGAGGCGGGTGGATCACGAAGTTAGGAGATCAAGACCATCCTGGCTAACACAGTGAAACCCCGTCTCTACTAAAAATACAAAAAATTAGCCAGACGTGGTGGTGGGCACCTGTAGTCCCAGCTACTCAGGAGGATGAGGCAGGAGAATGGCGTGAATCCGGGAGGCGGAGGTTGCAGTGAGCCGAGATCTTGCCACTGCACTCCAGCCTGGGTGACAGAGCGAGACTCCGTCTCAAAAAAAATAAATAAATAAAAAATAAAAAATAATTACTGATGAATAAGAATAATGGTAACATTTGTATAAGATTGAGAGGGAGCACAGAAGACACACATCTTAGTCACAGCTGGAAGACAGAAAGGGTACCGTGAGGAGGTATTATCTGAATTTAATTTGAGCAGTGTGGAGGAAACTGAAATGAATGAAAAGAACCAGTGAGACAGGTGTTGGTAGACAACACAGCATACTGGCAGGAAGAGCAACAGTTGAACAGGCTCAACTTCATCAATCCCATGGTGCATTTTAAGTAATTTTCTGTGGCTGAAGTGTAGTGCACTTTGTGGTAAGTAGCAAGAGATGAGGCTGACAAGACAGGCTTGGACCACAAAAGGTCATACATGCTATGCATAGGCCATTCGATTTTATCTTACAGACAGCTGAGGAGGCATTGAAAGACATTAAGCAACAAAATTTCAGGCTAATATTTTCTTTTCTTTCTCTGACATCTAGTTGGAGGGGAGGAGTTGCACTCCTTATGGCATGACATGAACAGAGCCTGATATAAATGACATTTAATAATAAAAGAGTATATACGTAGATTTGAAAGCTACAATTTAAGAGCTAAGAGGAATAGGATTTATCCTCATGGAAAATATTCTAGTATGAAAAAGGCCCAGATGAAATGATATGCATATATTATTCTTATTATTATAAATTATTTTATCTTATTCTTGTTTTAATTTGTTTGTGAGAGCATGTCAGTTGCCAATTAAAAAATTATGTAACTCAGTCAGATTTATTGTTTCAGCAAGTGTTTATTGAGCACCTACTGTGTGAGGAATACTGTCATGCTGGGGAATACTGTAGGAAACTACACTGAGTTCAATCATTTTTTTAGTTGAATTTTAAATGGTAACATTAACTTTCAAAATATTCTTTTTAGTAGGGGAAAAACTGCTATTTGAATGAATCTAGGCAAAGATGGGGGTTAGGAGAAATTAAGTAGGTCAGAAATTAGTAGAAATTAACCATCTGAAAGAGAACAGCTACCTAAGTAAAATGGTTAACAGCTTAAGTATCCATAGTGGCAAAGGAGCAGAGGAGTAGCTGGTGATGAACGGCAAGAAAGAGGCCATCTGAAGAGGGAGTAGAAGATACGAACTTACACAGAGTGTGAGACTCTGTCCTGCCCAGATTACTGGACGTTAAACAGAAAGCTAGTTCTATATCATTCAGTTAATGTGGCTCACACCTTGATGTTTCTGATACAAAAAGGAAATGAGAATACATAAATATTTTGTTATTTTTTAACAAACATTGAATAAAGGAAAACAAATAAAGGTTATTCTCCCAACGGAAGAATGAATATTTTCACAATTTAGATGTTTTTCTTGCTGTATCAAATACTAATGCGTTTGGGCAAGATATTTTATCTTCTTTAAGTCTCACATTACGTTAATAATGATAAGCCCTGCCTTACTGGGGCTGGGATCATAATCCCAAAGTCACAATCCTGAACACCATTATCCCAAATATTGAAATCCTGAACAATCAGTGTCCCTAAAGATGAAAATCTCTAAAGTCTATATTTCCACTGTCAAAAATCCCTAATGTCTAAAATCCTGCAAATTACAATCACAGGATAGTTGTCTCATCTTAGGTAGAAATATTACCTTGTTATCATCTTCATATGGAAATTAAGTATGGTTTTAGGAGATGCATGTGAGTACTGTATTAGTCAGTTTTCACACTGCTGATAAAAACATACCTGAGACTGGGCAATTTACAAAAGAAATAGATTAAATGGACTTACAGTTCCACGTGGCTGGGAAGACCTCACAATAATGGCAGAAGGTAAAAGACACGTCTCACATGGCAGCAGATAAGAGAAGAGAGCTTGTGAGGGAGACTTCTGTTTTTAAAACCATCAGATCTCATGAGACTTATTCACTATCATTAGAACAGCATGGGAAAGACCTGCCCCATGATTTAATTACCTCCCACCAGATCCCTCCCACAACACATGGGAATTCAAGATAAGATCTGAGTGGGGCACAGCCAAACAATATCATTCTGCCCCTGGCCCCTCTCAAATCTCATGTCCTCACATTTCAAAACCAGTCGTGCCTTCCCAACAATCCCCCAAAAGTCTTAACTCATTTCAGCATTAACTTAAAAGTCTACATTCCAAAGTTTCATCTGAGACAAGGCAAGTCAATTCTGCCTATCAGCCTGTAAAATCAAAACCAAGTTAGTTACTTTCTGGATACAATGAGGATACAGGCATTGGGTAAATACAGTTGTTCCAAATGGGAGAAATTGGCCAAAATAAAGGGGCTACAGGCCTCATGCAAACCAAAATTCAAGGGCAGTCAAATATTTCTTTCTGTTTTTTTTTTTTTTTTTTTTTTTTTTTGAGACGAAGTGTCGCTCTGTCACCAGTCTGGAGTGCAGCGGCGTGATCTTGGCTCACTGCAACCTCCATCCCCAGGTTCAAGCGATTCTCCTGCCTCAGCCTCCCAAGTAGCTAGGACTACAGGTGCATGCCACCACGCCCAGATAATTTTTGTATTTTTAGTAGAGATGGGGTTTCACCATGTTGGCCAGGATGGTCTCGATCTCTTGACCTCAGGTGATCTGCCCACCTTGGCCTCCCAAAGTGCTGGGATTACAGGCGTGAGCCACTGTGCCTGGCCAAGGGCAGTCAAATCTTCAAGCTCCAAAATGATCTCCTTTGACTTCATGCCTCATGTCCAGGTCACGCTGATGCAGGGGATGGGCTCCCACTGCCTTGGGCAGCTCTACCTCTATGGCTTTGCAGAGTATAACCCCTCTCCTGGCTGCTTCATGAGCTGGCATTGAATGTCTGTAGCTTTTCAAGAAACCCAATGCAGGCTGTCAGTGGATCTACCATTCTGAGGTCTAAAGGATGGTGGTCCTCTTCTCACAGCTCCAGGAGGTGGTGCCCCAGTAGGCACTCTGTGTGGGGGTTCTGACCCCACATTTCTCTTTTGCACTGCCCTGGCAGAGATTCTCCATGAGGGCTTTGCCCCTGCAGCAAACTTCTGCCTGGCCATTCAGGCATTTCCATAAATCTGAAATCAAGCCAAAGGCTCCCAAACCCCAATTCATGACTTCTGTACACTCACAGCTCAAAATCCCATGGAAACTTCTAAGGCTTGGGGCTTATACCTTCTGAAGCCATGGCCCAAGCTCTATGTCTGCCCCTTTCAGCCCTGGCTGGAGCAGCTAGGATGCAGGGCACCAAGTCCCTAGACTGCACACAGCACGGGGACCCTGGGCCCGGCCCATGAAACCATATTTTTCCTCCTAAACCCCTGGGCCTGTGAAGGGAGGGGCTGCCATTGAAGTCTCTGACATGCCCTGGAGACATTTTCCCATTGTCTTTATGATTAACATCCTCGTTACTTATGCAAATTTCTGCAGTCAGCTTGAATTTTTCCTCAAAAAATCTGATTTTCTTTTCTATTGCATTGTCAGGCTGCAAATTTTTTGAACTTTTATGCTCTGCTTCCCTTTTAAAACTGAATGCATTTAACAGCACCCAAGTCACCTCTTGAATGCTTTTCTGCTTAGAAATTTCTTCTGCCAGATACCCTAAATCATCTTTCTCTAGTTCAACATTCCACAAATCTCTAGTGCAGGGGCACAATGCCACCAGTCTCTTTGCTAAAATATAACAGGAATCACCTTTGCTCTAGTTCCCAACAAGTTCCTCATCTCCATCTGAGACCACTTCAGCCTGGATTTCATTGTCTGTATCTTTATCAGCATTTTGGTCAATGCCATTCAACAAGTCTCTCAGGAGTTCCAAATGTTCCCACATTTTCTTGTATTCTTCTGAGCCCTCCAAACTGTTCCAACCTCTGCCTATTACCCAGTTCCAAAGTCGCTTCCACATTTTCGGGATAAAGACATACCCAAGATTGGGCAATTTACAAAAGAAGGAGATTTAATGGAGTTACAGTTCCACATGGCTGGGGAGGCCTCACAACCATGGCAGAAGGTGAAAGGCATGTCTCACATGGTGGTAGACAAGAGAAAATGGCTTGTGCAGGGAGACTCCCATTTTTAAACCTATCAGATCTCATGAGACTTATTCACTATTACGAGAACAGCACAGGAAAGACCTGCCCCCGTGACTCAATTACCTCCCACCAGGTCCCTCCCACAACACATGGGAATTCAAGATGAGATTTGGGTGGGGACACAGCCAAACCATATCAGATGCCTAATTGATAAGGAATGGATTTATGAACAATTTTATGTGTCAGTTTGATTGGATTAACGAATACCTAAAAACTTGGTAAAGCATTTTTGTGTGTGTGTCTGTGAAGATATTTCCAGAGACTAGTGTGTGAGTCTGAAGGTATTAGGTGGGAAAGATCTGCCCTCACTGTTGGCAGGCACAGTCTCTACAGAAGGTGAATTGGTCTGTTTCTGAGAGTTGAGATAGATTTTTCCTCTGCTTCCTTGGACTTCAGAACCCCAGGCTCACAGGCCTTTGGACTCTAGGACTTGCACCAGAGACCTCCCCGGGTCGTAAGGCTTTCAGACTCAAACTGAAAGTTACACCATCAGCTTCTCAGATTCTAAATGTGAAAACATTGGAACTTTCACAATAAATGAAGATATGTCTTTTTTCTCTAAATCTGAATTTGTGATCTTGAGATCCCAGCTCTTTTGGTGACTGCATATACTGCAGTAACCCCTTTTGGTTTTTTTAATCTATCCTGTCAAAAATCTCAAGTTGACAGCCACGTGACAAATGAACACCATTATAAAGCTGGGTACACATGATTCCAACTATAGTGGTATGCTTTTTTATATTTCACTTTTTGAGCTTTCTCTTAATGAATACTGTTCACCTGCTCATAACTGTTGTACCTGTTAAACTGTCAGTTTCTATGTCTGGGTGTTTATGCTTGCAAAAACATGTATGCTATTCTTGCCTATTTTATTGTATAAATTGGCCTATGAAGTGTTTTCTCATATTTTCATATACTTCTCAAAGAAATTCCCTTTCAAAAGAGGAAATAAATGTCTTTTAAGAACATTTAAAATTATTTTTTCCTGAATTATATTTTCAAGATTTTAGACGTTAGGCATTTTGATCTTTTGGGATTTCAACATTTGGGATTATGGGCTTGGGATTGTTAGCCAATCTCCTTGTTAAAGCATCTTCAAAAACTGCATATTTTTGAATAAAATGTAGGTTTTATGGATTATGTCTCTCTGGATTGTGATTGGCTTCCTCCTTATTGTGTTCTCATGAAGACTAAATGAAATGATACACACAAAGGGCTTAGTAGGTATGTTGTGTAATGTTGAATTTTGATCTAATCATGATTTTTCACGTATTCATTCTTTTAGGCATGGAAGAGACAGCACTGATTATGACAGAAACAATCTATGTCCTTGTCTGGTTTACTTTCTACCAAACGAAGTCATCATAATCATTAATTTATTCCAGCATTAATTTTTTTTTTATTTCTGGCATACAAGCAATGTTATAATGTATGGCATGGTCACAGTCAATATTTAACACCACGAAGTGGCAAATTCAGTTTTTTCTGTTAAGGATTATTAAGAGAATAAGTCTATTTAACCAAAAGAAAGAGAAGCTGGATAAAACAGCCTTTCAGAAATTTGGTGAATTTTTTTCAATTTTTTAATGTTATTTTTAATGTCAGTGTGAAGCCTTTTGTAGTGGCTCTGATTCTTAGCATTTCTTTTCACTCTGTAGAAAGAATGTGTATTGTGATGTAGATCAAGTATTATTAAGCAGAACCAATTTAAACGTATTCAGTGTTACAGCACATTAGTCAATGTTATCATAAAAAAATGACTCATATAAGAAATAATTGTACTAGTCCTACTCATTTCTAGTCTTTGGCCCAGAAAATAATACCTAGGATATCGCCACACTTAAAATTCATAGAGTGAAAGGTTAGAATAATGCTTGGCTTTATTAGCCTCTCCTATACAACACCCACTTATGAATCCCCACAAATTTTTCTATGCTGTGAATCACTTATTTGATTATGAGTTTACTTTGAGATGTTAGATGAATACCTTTAACAAGAACACTTATTCTAACTCAGGATAAAACAAAATTTTGGATTGAAGAATGACAAAATAGGAAAAAGATAAAAGAGCAGATATAAGATTATTGAAATTTGTAATAGAAACGAGCAAGCCTTAGATTATGACTGAAAGTATAATTTTAATTAATTGTTATCTATATTAAACTTTTTCTAAAAAAAGTATTGTTTTATATAGAATGTAATTAGAATACTAAGAGTAAACAGTTTTTTTCCTTTGCTCATTCACTGGTCAAATATTTATCTAATGCTGTGTGCCATGTACCGTTCTAAGCAGTAGATATATAATCATGAATCAGTCAGACACATTCCCTGCTCCCAAATAACCTTTGCCAGAAAGAGGTGGCAACAGTGTTTAGTGCAAATAATATAAACTTTACTGCATGATGCTATTTTCAGAGACAAACCTGTTCAACTATCAAGGCAGAAGTTGGAATAAATATTCATAGGCTCTATTATATAAAATGCCTAATTTCAATTTTTAGCCAATATATTCAACAGCAGCAAAACGATGATTAAAATAATAAAGAAGCATTTTCGTCCACATGGGAGAGAGGACAACTATGACTATATTTTAGTCAAGTAATGGTGATAGCTTGTATTTATGCAACACTCTCAACTAGGCATTGTTCTAAACATTTTACATGTATTTATTCATGTAACTTTTCCACAAATTTATAAGGTAAATATGAGTATTACCAATATTTTAAAAATAAATAAGCTGAGAACCTTAAGGTTATACTACTTGCCTAAGATATTGTTCAATTGTATTTTTAATGGACAAATAATTATTGTATATATTTATGGAATACAATATGATGTTTAGATATACATTTTTGGCAAAAGATAGAGTTCAGATTCAAATCAAGCAGGTTGATTCTAAGAGCTCCAATATTGGTTCTAAATCTATATAGCCACCAGGCAAAAGATAGCAGAACTCCTTCTGGCCTCACTGTAACTTTTGTAAACTTCTCTAGTCTGGATCCTTAGATACTTCCTGGGACTTCATTTTAAGACTGTTACCTTGCAACTTCGTCAGCCAACATGACTTCAAGTTCCAAGTAATTGAAGATTATTTCTAGATTAGTATCGTGAGATTGATTTACTCATCTTCTTGCTAATCTTATACTTCACATTTTCTTCTAGGGAAAACCCTGTAAATAAATCATATTGAATTCGGATCTCTATAATTCAAACTTTCTGTAGGTCATTATTTCTGTGTCTTCCTCATTAACATTAAGAGAACTGCTTATCCCCAGTCCTTTAAGCTCATGATTCTTGGATAAAATAATGTTAAAATGAAGTCATCGTGTTTGCTCTTTTTTTCTTTCCTCCACCAAATCTAAAACTCACGGATATGAATTTACAAACTTTAAGTCATATTGCTTATATTGTTCCACCTTATTATACAAGTCAAATGTCTAGAGATTCTTATGAATTAGCTAAGGAAAAACGAAAAATCACATCCTTATTTTTTGACTCCAAATTCAAGTCCCATGTAAATACCAACACACTGTGGTCATTCATATAACCAGATAACAGTAATAATTAATACTCCTTTAGTAGTTCCTCAAAAAAAATTAAAAATAGAATTGCCATATAGTCCAACAATTTCACTCTGGGTATATACCCCAAATCATTGAAAATGGGATCTTGAAGAGCCATTTGTACACCCATTTTCATAGCAACATTATTCACAATAGCTGAAAGGTGGAAGCAAGCAAAATATCTATTAACAGATGAGTGGATAAATGTGGTATATACACACAGTGGAATATCATTCAACTTTAAAAAGGAAGGAAATTCTGACACATAATACCACATGGTTGAATATTGATGAGATTATGCAATGTGAAATAAACCAGTCACAAAGGGGCAAATATTATATGATTCAACTTATATAAAGTATCTATATTAATCAAGTTCATAGAGACAGCAAGTAGAATGGTGGTTGCCAGGGACTTGGGGCCAGGGAAGGGGAGAATGGAGAGTTACTGTTCCATGAGTATAGGATTTCAGTTTGGAAAGCTGAGAAAAGTTCTCAAGATGGGTAGTGATGATGCTTGCACAACAATGTGAGTGTAGTCATATCACTGAATTGCATACTTAAAAACTGTTAAGATGGCAAATTTTATGTTTTTATATTGTACAACATTAAAAATATGTAGAAAAGGAAAATATTAAATCATTATTGATCTTTGGTGAAAAAATCAAAGGGATGAAAAAGTCTAAGTATATTCTTAAGTGTGTCACTGTTAAAATTAAAACATCGTTAAGAGCGCAAGTCATTATTTAATAGTTCATTGTTGGGATTAAAGCATTGAACACAACATATATGCTGCTATTCTGTGTAATAGTAAATGCCCTGACAAATATGTTGGTTTTGAGTTAAAGACTACTTGCTATCACTGTTGATTACCATTTCATTTTAAAATAATAGGAAAAAAGCAGTAAGATTTTTGTGGTTAATAATGTAAATGCCAGCCGGGTGCAGTGGCTCACGCCTGTAATCCCAGCACTTTGGGATGCTGAGGTGGGCGGATAACCTGAGGTCGGGAGTTGGAGACCAGCCTGACCAAGATAGAGAAATCCTATCTCTACTAAAAATACAAAATTAGCCAGGCGTGGTGGCGAATGCCTGTAATCCCAGCTACTCAGAGTCTGAGGCAGGAGAATCGCTTAAACCTAGGAGGTGGAGGTTGCAGTGAGCGGAGATCGTGCCATTGCACTCTAGCCTGGGCAACAAGAGCGAAACTCCATGTCAAAAAAAAAAAAAAAAAGCAAATGCCTAACCACAGGAAATAATATTTTTGTTTCTTTTAACAAAAATAATTATATAATGAAATGTAGAAAAATATGAAAATGAAGGTTGAAGAGAAGAATAAAGTACATTAATTCCACTAGTGTCAACAACTTAAAGATGTATCTCTCCTTTCAATCTCAATCTCAACAGCTCTCTTTCTCTTTTTCTCCTCTCTCTCTCTCTCTCTCTCTCTGTCTCTCTCTCTCTCTCTCTCTCTCTGTCTCTCTCTCTCTGTCTCTCTCTCTCTGTCTCTCTCTCTCTTTCTTGCTCTTTGATGTAGGTACGTACATGGGGAGGGGAGTGTCATCACTTTACCCCTTAAGTCCTGCTTATTTATATTTTTCCTATTGAGTTAATGATGATTTTTGTTAAATACTTATGTTTTCTTATGGTTCTAAATTTATGTTTATTCCTCCTATTTTTGTCTTGTCATGTGACCTAATTTTTGTTTGTATTTACCATAAATAATAAAGCCTCTCCCATTTAGTCATTCACCAAATATTCATTGGGATTCTAATATATTGTTCTAGGCACAGGAAAATATAGCAATGTACAGAAATGTCTTTACATTCTGACTAAAAAATTGTATTTCATATATATATGTATATACACAATAATCTTTTTGTTTCATTTTTCAAATTTATTTATTTTTGGTTTTTTGAGACAGGGTCTCATTCTGTCACCCAGGCTGGAGTGCGGTGGTTGGATCTCAGCTCACTTACTGCAACCTTTGCCTCCAGGCTTTGAGCCTGCTGGGTAGCTGCTGGTACTACAGGCATGCACCACAACACCCGGCTCTTTTTTTTTTTTTTTTTTTTTGACATGTGTTATCTCCATGTCTCTCAGGCTGGCTTGAACTCCTGGACTCAAGCCATCTGCCCTCCTTGGCCTCCCAGACTGCTGGGATTATAGGCATGAGCCACCCTACAGCCTCATTTTTTCAATTTAACTATCCATTTGCAAATTTGAGTGTAATGTAGACAAATAATTATTTCCAAAACAATTATATAGTGCTCTCCAAACAATTTACCTTAACGTTCAATCTATTTGCAATGATTTAAATGCAAACATTATAATAGATGGTTATGATCATTGACTTTCCATATTTTCCATTAATCTATATTTATCTCTCCCACTTTAAAATATTATGCGTTGTATAGTCTCTCCATTTTTAAGTAGCATTGCTAGAGGTATATTTATTATTTTACTAGTGAAACACATTCCAAAGATTTTGATATTCATTGTTCTCATTGTTAGTGTTCTCATTGTTAATGACAATCTTGAGTTTCCTTTTGCTTCAGGGCTTATTTATTTATTGTTGTAAACTTCTTATTTTATGATTTAGTTTAACTTCTAAAAATTAATATTTGAAAGTAGAAAAATAAATAACTATATACAGGTATACAAATAATCTGGTTCTGTAAAGTACCTAAAATGATGTATCCTAGTTTGGAAGAATTTGTCAAATATTTATTTATGCTTATACAAATTCCTCTTTTTCCTTCTCTAAAAATTCCAAAACTTTAAGAAACAGATTGATTAGGTTAACTATAAAGAAAAAAAAATAAACCTTAGATGATTAAGACCAATTACAATAAACCTAATATTAGTAGACAGCATGTCTAACCATACCTTATTTTCTTTTCACATTTTTATATTTTTGAGATGATCTGAAAATGATTTTCCCTACAGTTCAGTAACAACACAACAGAGAATTTTTTGCATAGAATCTCCATGTAATTTCTCCATTCTTTCTCTACTATTATTTCCAGTGGTAAATACAAAACCTTGAGTGAACTATTCTTTTGTATTTCCTATTTCTATATCTCTTTCAAGATGCAAAACTGCTTGAAAAAGGAGGCTTAGAAATACTGGGTTTTTTTCTCTTAAATAGGCCAACACTCACTGTTTTTTTAAATTTTATTCATGAGAAATCATAATTGAGTGACAAAGAGTAACAAACGAATTTACTTTAGCTGAAGGGGGAATATTCTGACAGTAGGGAGTGCTAAACATAAGAAAGTGTTGGCAAAAGAAGTGGATTACCATTCCTAGCATGAAAAAATATGATCATTTCCTCCTCAGTTATCATGTCCTGGAGATTATTTGTTCATAAGATCTAGTGTATCTTTCTGAAAGACTGAAATAGAAATGTTACTACACCAGCAAAGCAGGCCTTACTGGTTCTTGCCTAAACTACGAAATTAGTTTTGTCTTTAGTAGACTTAATAATTGATGTTTCCAGTAATTGTAGTAAGCCTTCAATAAATATGCTGTTAAGCAGAAACTCCTCCACAAAATCTGAAGGAATGCTTCATTTTCTTCTTGAAGGCCAAGTGCATGGTGAAGCATAAGCTGTGGATCCAGAAATGCCTTATTTCTGATCTCAGCTTGGCAAATTGCTTAACTGAACCTAATTTTCTCATTTTTAAAAATGGAATAAATTGTAAACATCTTGTAAGATGCCTATAAGGAATATAATCCTTACACTGCCAAATTTAATATATTGATTGCCATAGTAAGTATTTAATAAATTGTTGTTGGTATAACCGTGAAAACTCATCAAAGAATATAATAGTTTCTTCAGTGATTGCAAAGTCTCTGTTGTCTTTGTAGCATAGCACTGTGCCTGACACCGATTAGATGTACAAAAAATAAAAGTCACTTGAGTACTAGATATTTTGCATTGGGTACAGTCACAAAGTTATTCTTTCTAACTATCACTTTCAACATACTTTTTCAGAAATCAACTTCCTTCAGTGTTTCAGTATCATTTGTTGAAATCCTTTGCTTGAAACTTAAATAATCTGTAATCCTGCTTCAATATATTGTTCATTCTCAGCTCACACTGATGATACTTGCACTACAGCTAAACACATCTCTCATTTTTTTCATGTCTGTTTTTGCTCATGACTTTTCTACCATTTTCCACAGAGAAGCCATTAGATAGGCTAAATAACCTACAAACATCTCGATTCTCTAGACTTTGAGATAGGTTCTGCAGGTAGGGCTCAGGACTTCCTGTGTCATAAGGACCTAACACAATGCTTGAAACTTAGTACACATTCAAAGTATATTTGGTAAATGTAAGAATGAAAGTTACAGCTGTATACAGCAGTGGTTGTTAATGTGAGCATTTCACTGAATAAATTAAGAGCAAGATGTTAAAAGAAGATGAATGGACTGTGGGGCAGAAGGAAGCAGAATGAGAAAACAACAATTTTGGTGGTGGTGTTCAATGGATATTGCCCACTAAACAACCTTAGTTCAAGTCTTTTGCCTATTGACCCCTTCACTGTGTTTCGCAGCTATTCATATCTGCTCTGCTATGGTTTGTTAATGCAGTAGTAACAAAGAACTATGCTACATCAAAAAAAAAAAAAACTATTTTCTTTTGTGATGGCAGTTCCCATTTCCCTATAATCAATATTTAGACTGGAAAAATATATACAGAATTATTAAACATTTCTTCTTTAATCTGCTCTGGGATACTGTTTATCTACTTATCTAATGTTTAAACAAATGATTTTTGCTGTAAGTATTTGGGGAAAAATAAAGACAAGAAAAATACAATATGAGGTACATATTGTAAGGATGATATAAATTCTGTCTGGACAGTTTCACTTTGCTATACTCTCATTGTCTACAGTACTGTGCAATCATGATAAATGTTTACAATAGGGTCAGTCCCAAGACTGATCTCTGAATGATGAAAGATGGATCAGTTTTGTTAAACAAAGTTTAAAGGGTTGAGCATATTTAGTTTTGAAATGTTACAGTAAAAATAAAATAGCATTTGTAATCAAACAGATTCTGGATCTGTTTCCTTTTAAATCTTAACCCTATCAGTTACCAAGATGAGGAACGCAGTTAATATCTCTTAGCTTCAGACTTCTCACTTGTGAGAGTATAGTAAGGTTTTGTTTATAGTGCTCCTATAAAAATTAAATGAGTTAATATATCAAAATACTATTAATATCTGAAGTTATATAAATAATTGTTGCCTTCTTTTGCCTTTTGTTATAATTTTATAAATGATTATTCATATATGTAATTATTTATAATTAATTTTATTTATTATATTCAATTCAATTACTTCCAAAATGGAATTTGAGGTGGTTTAACAATATAATTATACTTTTATTTAAACTATATACTTGTTGAGCATCTACAATGTGTCAATTGATAGTTTGGGTGTGACAAATCTAGTGACAAAAGTGTTTAGACAAAATACTAAACACAGAACAAATGAAAAAGCTATACTAAGAAATTGTAGCTGATGCAAGCTATTGCAATTGAATATAAAATTGTATTAAATACATGGCAAGTTGCAGTTTACCAAATATATTTAATTAAATGCAACATTACATTGTCTAGTTCCTTTGTTTTTAGATTGCCACTACCATAAGGAATTACCGGTTCTGAATATATAATACTTCACATAGACTTGGGCAGTATATCCATAAAAGCTTTTAAAGCAGAAATACTTTTTATTATTTCAGAAGATGAACTGCATAATTCATCATTTCCCTAGTAATATCCTAACAAATAACTGCCATTGTTTTTCCTTTGTACCTTGTATAAAATATGTAACAATAGAATTATGTGATTTTAAAGTATTAGTTTTGTTCTAGATTAATTGCTTTTTTCCTTTTTAATAAGAAATAGGAGACATATTATAGAATTAAGATACTCCAGGGTGTGTTTTATTGATCCACTAATACATGATTCGGGTGGTTAAAGTACTTAGCCTTTAGGTTTGCAGCTCATAATATACCCTAGGCATGAATAAATGGAATAATAAAATGTGCCCTGGAGTGTCTTGATGTCATATTAAAAATAATAAAACACATGAACTGCTATATTCTGAATTCAAATAAATGGTTAGCTATGCAAACATCCAATACTCTGATTTGAATTAAACTGACACTTTTAAAAGCCTAATAATATGATTACTATACATAAAATTTTATTTGATATAGTATATTTTTTGAAATTTATTTTCTAAAATTCATCTTATGGACTTGAAAAAAAAATCTTCATTAACTTTGAAGTACCCAAAGGCAAATGTTGAATACTTAAATGTAGAAGTATCCTCCAGGAAAATTCTTCACATTTTTTATTTCCAGGAAAGTGTTTATTTCATGACTTATTATATTACCTAACTTCCAGGTCTTTTTCTCAACTCTGAGTTGATTTATTTTTATTTAATTTACTTTAAAATGTATTTCATACTTTCAATATAATAAGAACTGAACCAGGAATTTGGCCAAGTATTGAGGAATCAAAGATAAATAAAATGCATTTCCCAACTTCAGATGTTCACAGTCTAGAAGTGAAACACAGTCTAGAAATTATAAAAGTAATTTCATTCAAAGAGAAAAGTGCTCTAAGTCAGGGTCCTAGCTACTTCTGCCTATGGGATAGGGAGGGAGGCTTTATAAACAGGAACATATTTTTTAAAAATTTAAAGGAAAAGACAGCATGAAAACACATGAGGCCAGTCACTGTTACCTAGTGAGGGGTGTTCTACCACTGGCTTAGGGTTTTGAGATTCTCCCTGAAGGCAGTGGAAAATTGCTGAACACTTTCATTGGTGTTTCATTTTTTTATCAAGGGAATCATAAGAGCAAATTTATCTTTTGGAAAGATCCCTTTAGCAGCAGTATGGAAGATTGATTGTCCTAGGGTGAAGTAATTACAAAAGTTTAAGTGAGAGATGGTGAGGAACTAAAGAGTGGGAAGGAAATGAAGAGCAGAATTTGAGAGAAATGACTGAGTTAAAGCTTTCTCCCTTCACAATGCACACCAATAGACAGAAAGTCTTGGTGACTAATAAGATATAGGATGCTGGGAATGAAAGGCAAGAAGGAAAGGAAGAGGAATTTTCGAATATTTAGTCCTCTTTAGCTGGAGCAATAAATAATACTAACCCAAGGCATGTGAGCACCTTTTACAATTTTATTAATCTTGTAAGACTCAGTATGAATTTTATTTCCTGAAAGAAATATTTTCTCAATCAACTTATCTAAACTTGCAGCCTCTCTGCTCCTATACATATAGCAACCTATGCATAATGGTATAAAATCATCTTGATATGGTATTGAAAGGGCCACCCCTCACCCCTCTGCCATCCCACTAAAGGAGCAAATTTTTAAGGGCTGTGATGCAGCCTTATTTATGTGTGTATTTCTAGTGCTTAGCTTAGTATTTCAATGCTTGTCATAGGACATAGTCAATACTATTGAAATTACTTTCGGGAAATTATGCATACATATTGAACTTTTGGGGATTAAATAGGGGAAGAAAAAAAGGCAAATAGGAAAACAAGTTACTCAGGAGCAGTAGAGCTACTTTATTGTGTGATAAGAAACATTCATAGCATTTTGCCTTCATTATTCAGTTTTGCTTTCGTAACAATCTTTTAAATCGGTAAATCTATTCCGGTTATTTCCTTTGTTAGCACCTATCTATACTTTTCTACTGTTTTCCAAAGGATATTCAACTTCCTTAGTAGAATAAAAAAGATATTTAAGCTCTGGTAACTTCTTATATCTGAAAGCTCATTCAGTCTCATCACCAGGCAAGTTTTTCCATACTAGTGCTATATCAACATGCTTGTATTTTTCTCATACATCGTATATACTCACTTCTTGATATTTTGCACACGCTGTTTTCTCATGCTGAAGATATCTATTTATCTTTCCAGTTTCAGTGGAAGTATCACTTCCTGGTAGGAGACTTCCCTTTCACTCCTTGTCTGAATAAAATACTCTATTTTTCCATTTCATAATGTATATTTACTCTAACATTTAGTACACTATATTATGAGTCCTTCACTTTTAACTATGAGCTGCACCTCATTTCTAGTGAGGTAAATGTTACAAAGTTGGTACTAAGGCTCAATAATCGCTTTTGAATAAGCAGAAAATTTTCTTGTTGATTTCCCAATTCACCTCCTTTCAGATAAAATAGTTATTTATATATGGTATATGCCTCTTTTATTTTCTAAATGCAAAATAGGGAAAACAAAATAATAATGAACTAAAAATATGTAAGTTAGGACTAAAAAAATAGAAAAGGAAGAAGCTATTAAGTAAAATCCAGAATACCTAATCACAATCTAGTCAGCTGGAATCAGAGAAAATAGTACTAAATCTGCATTTACAAAATGAATTAAACAGCATAAAATGCTATACATATAAATTGTCTATTGAAGATTTAAAAGAGGTGGCACTTGAATTTCAAAGGCAGATATTTTTGCCTTTTTAAATCAACAATAAAAAAGCAATGCATTATGTAATTCTATTTTGTAGTTTGTCAATGCTGTTGAAAAAGGATAATAACAATAACCATAAAAATGATTAATGGCTGCACAATTAAAAAAATAAATTCTGACCTCAATAGCATAGTGTATGTGGAGAAAGTAAAAGTGCAGAATTACTGCATGTGATTGAAGTTGTTAATAGCTGAGAAGACTGTTATAACTATAAGCAATTTTATACAAGCCCCATGTTAACCACACTAGAAAAACCTATATCAGATATAAAAATGACATAAAGGAAGAAAAATGAAAGAATATCACTACAGAAAATTATCAAAACACAAAAGAAGACAGCAAAAGAAAAAGAGAGGAAAAAATTACAAAAAGACACAAAAACAACAAAATGGCAATAGTAAGTTCTTACAGTTCCATAATTACCATAAATGTAAATAAACTAACAAATTAAAGATATGATATTTTAAAAGATCCCACTATATGCTGTCTATAAGAGACTCACATTAGATTTAAGTAAATATATAGGCTGAAAAGGAAAGGATGGAAAAGGATATTCCATGCAATGGAAAATTAAATGAGAGAAGGCATGGCTAAACTTATATCAGACAAAGTAGACATTAAGTAAAAAATGTTGGTGAAAGATATTACATAATAATAAAAATGGCAATTCAAAAGAAATGTATAATATTCTAAATATGCATGCATCCAACATCAAAGTATCTCAATAGATAAAGCAAATATTGACGTCTGAAATAATAAATAGACAATACAATACTAGTAGGAAACTTCAATACCCCACTTACAATAATAGACATATCAGGCAGAAAATCAATAAGGAAACAGCAGACTTGAACAGCACTATAGAAGAAATGAGCATATATAGAAATTCCACCCAATAGCAGCAGAATCTATTTTCTTTTCAAGAGCACATGGAATATTCTTTAGGATAGATCACATGCTAAGTCACAAAATAACTTTTAATAAATTTAAGAATATTGAAATCATTCCAAGTACATTTCCTGACCACGGTGGAATGAAACTAGAAATCAATAAGAAGAGAAAGAATTTTTTAATTTACAAATTCACACAAATAACATGCCTTTGAACAATCATTGGCTCAAAAAATAAATCATAATGGAAACTGGAAAATGTCTAGAAACAAACAAAAAAATGCAACACACTGAATCTTATGAGATGTAGCAAAAGCAGTGCTAAGATGGAAGTTTATAGTGATAATCACCTACATTAAAAAAAGACAAAAGACCTCAAATAAACAAACTAAAATTATAGCACAAAGAAACACAAAAATAAAAAAATCAAGCCTAAAGGTGACGGAAGTGAGAAAATAACAAAGATCAAAGCAGAAATAAAATAGAGAAAAGAAAATCAATAGAAAAAAATTACTGAAACTGAGTTAGTATGCTGAAAGATAAAATCAACAAACATTTAACATGACTAAAATTTCTCATTTAAATTACACTCCCTAGCTAGACAGGCATTTCTTTCTGTGAATAGCAATTAATAGTAAGCCTAGTTTTTGTTTTCCTTTTCATTGTTGATATGCATATTATCACATATTTTAGATATCATATTCTTGACAATTCCAGATATTTTAAGTATTTTCCTAATTTACCCCATATTAACTTTGTCTTCTAAGACAAAGAACACAACTAAGAAAACAAAACTTTATTTTTATTTTAGCAAATTTCCGTAGTTTTAATGTTATAATTTGAGTTAATAATTATCATTTAAAAAGATACTGTAAGAATTAAAGAAAGGGGAAAGAAATGTGAAAGGTGGTTCGACAGTGAAGGATAGGTTTATTTTAGAGAAAACAAACCTGAGAGGCGCTTCTGGCCATGTTAGGTCGGAGCCCACTCTCTTAGAGACTAAGAGTTTAAGAGTTGTTTTTTTTGTTGTTGTTGTTTTTTGTTTGTTTGTTTGTTTGTTTGTTTTTTTGAGACGGAGTCTCGCTCTGTCGCCTAGGCTGGAGTGCAGTGGCGCAATCTTGGCTTCACTGCAAGCTCTGCCTCCAGGATTCACGCCATTCTCCTGCCTCAGCCTCCTGATGAGCTGGGACTACAGGCACCTGCCACCACGCCCAGCTAATTTTTTGTATTTTTAGTAGAGGCGAGGTTTCACCGTGTTAGTGAGGATGGTCTCCATCTCCTGACCTTGTGATCCACCCACCTCAGCCTCCCAAAGTGCTGGGATTACCGGTGTGAGCCACCATGCCTGGTCCAGACTAAGAGTTTTTAAGGATTCAGGGTTGAAGCATTCAGCGGAGGCTTGGACTGCTTCTGTTTCTGTTTGTTGTGCTTATCTGGGAGGGAGAGTTGTGTGTTCCCAAACATCTTCCTGCAGCTGCTGGCATACTCCCCAACACTGGATTCTGCTTTTAGCTTTCCTATCTTAGCGGACCTGAAGGGTAAGGAATGTGCTATTGAGGCCCACTGTTTTCTGGGGCCCATTTTATGAGGGTGAAGTTTGGCAGTTACCCAAGAAACTTTACCCCCACTTCCTTTTGTGCTCAAGCTATCTTATCTGTGTTTTACTATCTGCCCTTTCTGCTTGTAGTTAGGACAGAAGTGATTTCCTTGAAATGCATGAGGCTAGAAAGGGAGCTGGAACTTAAAGTGGTGGTGTTTGTCTGAGATGACAGTGCTCCTGCTCTGTCAGTTACTCTATAACCAAGGTTATAAAAATATACTTTCACTTTATTTTTTGAAGTAGTTTTGTGGTGTTACTTTTAACACTTTCAAATATGATGCCAGCTGTAGGACTTTTGTAGATGCTATTTATCATATTAAAGTGGTTCATTATATTCCTAAATTGCTGAGAAGTTAATTTTTATAAATACATTTTTAATTGTTTCAAATACTTTATCTGCATCTATTATTAAGATAATGTGTTGTTTCTCCTTTAGTCTGCTACTAGGAAAGTTTCATTAAATTATTTTCAAATAGTGAATTATCTTTGCATTACTGGATTATTGCTGGATCTAATGTGCTAATTTTTAAACAAAAATTTCAACTTTATTATACATTAAAGGCTACATGTGCAGATTTGTTAGGTGTGTATATTATGTGATGCTCAGGTTTGGAGTATAAATGATTTCGTCATCCGGGTAGTGAGCATAGTATGCAATAAGTACTTTTTCAATCCTTGCCCCCTTCCACTCTCCTCCTCCTAGTAGTCCCCAGTGTCTGTTGTTGCCATCTTTATGTCCATGAGTACCCAATGTTTAGCTCCCACTTACAACTGAGAACATAGGTTTTTGGTTTCCTGTTCTTGCATTTATTTGCTTAGGATAGTGACCTACAGAACCATTTCCTTCAACATAGTACCAAAAGTCCTAGCCAAAGCAATCAGGCAAAAGAAAGAAATAAAAGGCATACAAATAGGAAAAGACGAAGTCAAAATTTCTCTCTTTAATGATGATATGATTCTATACATAGAAACCTTAAAAACTCTGCTCCTGGAACTGATAAGCTAATTGAGTAAAGTTTCAGGATGCAAAATCAATGTACAAAATCAGTAACATTTCTATACACCAGTAACATTCTAGCTGACAGCCAAATCAAGAACACAATCCCATTTACAATAGCCACACGCACACAAAATGAAATACCTGGGAATTCATCTAATCAAGGATGTGAAACTGCTCTACAAGGACAAGTACAAAACACTGCTGAAAGAAATCATAGATGAAAAAAATAAATGGAAAAACATTTCATGCTCATGGATTGGAAGAATCAATATTGTTAAAATGGCCATACTGCCCAAAGCAATTTACAGATTCAATGTTATCCCTATCAAAATACCAATGGCATTTTCCACAGAACTAGAAAAACCTATTCTAAAATTTATTTGGAACTAAAACAGTGCTGAAATAGCCAAAGCAATCCTAAGCAAAAACAGCAAAGCCCAAGGTATCACATTACCAGTGACAGTAACCAAAACAGTGTGGTACTGGTGCAAAAACAGAAACAAGACCAATAGAACAGAATAGAGGACCCAGAAATAAAACCACACACCTACAACCATTTGATCTTCAGAGAAAAAAAAAAAAAAAACAGTGGGGAAATGTTGCGGGAAGTCAGGAACCCCGAACGGAGGGACCAGCTGAAGCCAAGGCAGAAGAATGTGGATTGTGAAGATTTCATGGACATTTATTAGTTCCCCAAATTAATACTTTTATAATTTCTTATGCTTGTCTTTACTGCAATCTCTGAACATAAAATGTGAAGATTTCATGGACACTTATCACTTCCCCAATCAATAGCCTTGTGATTTCCTATGCCTGTCTTTAATCTCTTAATCCCGTCATCCTCGTAAGCTGGGGAGGATGTATGTTGCCTCAGGCCCCTGTGATGATTGCATTAACTGCACAAATTGTTTGTAGAGCATGTGTGTTTGAACAATATGAAATCTGGGCACCTTGAAAAAAGAACAGGATAACAGCAATGTTCAGGGAACAAGAGAGATAACATTAAACTTTGACCGCCGGTGAGCCGGGCGGAACAGAGCCATATTTCTCTTCTTTCAAAAGCAAATGGGAAAAATATTGCTGAATTCTTTTTCTCAGCAAGGAACATCCCTGAGAAAGAGAATGCATCCCTGAGGGTGGACCTCTGAAATGGCCACTTCAGGGGGCGGCCGTCTTTTATGGTCGAAGCTGTAGGGATGAAATAAGCCCCAGTCTCCCGTAGTGCTCCCAGGCGTATTAGGACGAGGAAATTCCCACCTAATAAATTTTGGTCAGACCAGTTGTCTGCTCTCAAGCCCTGTCTCCTGATAAGATGTTATCAATGACAATGCATGCCTGAAACTTCATTACCAATTTTAATTTCGCCCCAGTCCTGTGGTCCTGTGATCTCACCCTGCCTCCATTTGCCTTTGTGATATTCTATTACCTTGTGAAGCACATGATCTCTGTGACCCACACCCTATTCATACACCCCCTCCCCTTTTGAAATCACTAATAAAAACTTGCTGGTTTTATGGCTCAGGGGGCATCACAGAACCTGCCAACATGTGATGTCACCCCCAGACACCCAGCTTTAAAATTTCTCTCTTTTGTACTCTGTCCCTTTATTTCTCAGACCAGCCAACACTTAGGGAAAATAGAAAAGAACCTACGTGAAATATCGGGGGTGAATTTTGCCCAATATCTGGCTGAATTTCCCCCGATAGGGAGAGGATTCCCTATTCAATAAATGGTGCTGGGATAATTGGCTAGCCATATGCAGAAGAATTAAAATGGATCCCTATATCTCACCATATACAAAAGTTAACTCAACATTGATTAAAGATTTAAATGTAAGACCTCAAACTCTAAAAATCCTGGAAGAAAACTTAGGAAATAACATTCTTGGTGTTGGTATTGACAAATAAATTATGCTTAGTCCCCAGAAGCAATTGCAACAACATGTTATATTTTGTTGAAAATATTTGTATCTATGTTCATGAGGGATATTGTTCTGTGCTTTTTATTTGTTGTAGTGGCTTTGTCTGATTTTGGTATTCAAGCAGTGATGGCCTCAGGGAATAAACTGACAAATGTTTCTTCTTTTTTTTAATTTTCTGGAAGAGGTTCTGTAGGATTACTGTAATTTCCTCCACAAATTATTCTTAGAATTACAGGACCAACAAAATTACCTGGGCCTGTAATTTTCTTGGAGGATACTTAACTACCAACTCAATTGGTTTTACAGATAGAGGACCATTGAAGATATCTATTTTGTATGTGTGTGTTTGTGTCTCTGTGTGTGTGTGTGTGTGTGAGAGAGAGAGAGAGAGAGTGAGAAAGAGATTTGGTAATTTTTTTCTTAATAAATTGGTTTATTCACTATAAGTTGTTGAACTTATAGGCATAAATTGTCCCTAATATTTCTTCTTATCCTCTTATATTTTATTATATATTGAATAGCTATGGGCTTTGTAATAATATCCCTCTTTCCTACTGATGTTGGTAATTTTTGTTCACTATTTCTCTCTTTCTGGCTTTCCCTCTGTTCCTTTCTTTGGTTGATCTGGAAAAAGGTTTTTCAATATTATCAAATTATCAAACTTTTCAAAGAAGTAGCTTTTGGTTCCATTAATTTTATTATTTTCTACCTTCAAATTTCATTGTTTTAAAGCCTAATCTTTATTATCACATTTTTTTCTCTTTGTGTTGTTTTTCATTTCTTCTTAGTTTCTAGTTTATTAATGTGAAAGCTTAAGTTACTGATTTGAGAATTTTTTTCTTTTCTAATGTAAGCATTCAATGCTATAAATTTTCCCCCCAACTCTGAATTAGCTGCATCCTACACATTTTATGTTGCATTTTTATATTAATCAAGTTTAAAATAGATGCTAATTTGTCCTGAAACTTCTTTTTGACTTATAAATTATTTTCAAGTATGTTGTTTAATTTCCAAATACTTTGTGATCTTTATAGACAATTTTCTATTATTGATTACAATTCTTCTAAATTTAAGTCTGTTATGTTAACATAGATGAGACCTATCTTGACAAATGTTCTACATACATTTTAAAATAATATGTATTCTGCAACTGTTGGGTATAATTTTAAGTTGTTTAATAATATTGATAATATATTATATACCCTGGCTTATTTTCTGTGTACTTGTTTTATTAATTAAGATAAATAGGTATAGTTTTGAATTTGGTTATTTCTCTTTGCAGTTATATTAGGTTTTTCTTCAAGAATTTTAAGTTCTGTTGTTAGATCCATGCAAATTTGGTATTACTATTACTTCTTAATGAATTGACCCTTTGGTCTTTATATTGTTTGCCTTTGTCATTGGTAATTTTCCTTATGCTGAAATCCACTTTAGCTAATATTACTATATACACCCTCATATGCTTTTTTTTTTTTTTTTTTGAGATGGAGTCTCGCTCTGTCACCCAGGCGGGAGTGCAGCAGCGTGATCTCGGCTCACTGCAAACTCCACATCCCAGGTTCACGCCACTCTCCTGCCTCAGCCTCCCAGGTAGCTGGGACTACAGGTGCCCACCACCATGCCCGGCTAATTTTTTTTTTGTATTTTTAGTAGAGACAGGGTTTCACTGTGTTAGCGAGGATGGTCTCGATCTGACCTCGCACCCTCACATTCTTTTAATTGCTGTTACCAGTTTGACTTCTTGGTACAATTATATTTAAAGTATTTTTCTTATAAAATATATGACTGGATCTTTTTATTATTCTTGTTTTAATCCAGTCTGACAATATCCGACTTTTGAATTGGTGTGCCTATTTTTTTTATTATACCTTAAGTTCTAGGGTACATGTGCACAATGTGCAGGTTTGTTACATCTACATATATGTGCCATGTTGGTGTGCTGCACCCATTAACTCATCATTTACATTAGGTATTTCTCCTAATGCTATCCCTCCCTCCTCCCCTCACCCCATGCCAGGCCCCAATGGGCGATGTTCCCCACCCTGTGTCCAAGTGTTCTCATTGTTCAATTCACACCTATGAGTGAGAACATGCAGTGTTTGGTTTTCCGTCCTTGCGATAGTTTGCTGAGAATGATGGTTTCCAGCTTCATCCATGTCCCTACAAAGGACATGAAACTCATCCGTTTTTATGGCTGCATAGTATTCCATGGTGTATATGTGCTACATTTTCTTAATCCAGTCTATCATTGATGGACATTTGGGTTGGTTCCAAGTCTTTGCTATTGTGAATAGTGCCACAATAAATATACGTGTGCATGTGTCTTTATAGCAGCATGGTTTATAATCCTTTGCGTATATACCCAGTAATGGGATGGCTGGATCAAATGGTATTTCTAGTTCTAGATCCTTGAGGAATTGCCACACTGTCTTCCACAATGGTTGAACTAGTTTACAGTCCCACCAACAGGGTAAAGGAATTCCTGTTTCTCCACATTTTCTCCAGCACCTGTTGTTTCCTGACTTTTTAATGATCGCCATTCTAACTGGTGTGAGATGGTATCTCATTGTGGTTTTGATTTGCATTTCTCTGATGGCCAGTGATGATGAGCATTTTTTCATGTGTCTGTTGGCTGCATAAATGTCTTCTTTTGAGAAGTGTCTGTTAATATCCTTCGCCCACTTTTTGATGGGGTTGTATGATTTTTTCTTGTAAATTTGTTTGAGTTCTTTGTAGATTCTAGATTTAGCCCTTTGTCAGATGGGTAGATTGTAAAAATTTTCTCCCATTCTGTAGGTTGCCTGTTCACTCTGATGGTAGTTTCTTTTGCTGTGCAGAAGCTGTTTAGTTTAATTAGATCCCATTTGTCAATTTTGGCTTTTGTTGCCATTGCTTTTGATGTTTTAGTCATGAAGTCCTTGCCCATGCCTATGTCCTGAATGGTATTGCCTAAGTTTTCTTCTAGAGTTTTTATGGTTTTAGGTCTAACATTTAAGTCTTTAATCCATCTTGAATTAATTTTTGTATAAGGTGTAAGGAAGGGATCCAGTTTCAGCTTTCTACGTATGGCTAGCCAGTATTCCCAGCACCATTTATTAAATAGGGAACCCTTTCCCCATTTCTTGTTTTTGTCAGGTTTGTCAAATAACAGATGGTTGTAGATGTGTGGTATTATTTCTGATGGCTTTGTTCTGTTCCATTGGTCTATATCTCTGTTTTGGTACCAGTATCATGCTGTTTTGGTTGCTATAGCCTTGTAGTATAGTTTGAAGTCAGGTAGCATGATGCCTCCAGCTTTGTTCTTTTGGCTTAGGATTGTCCTTGCAATGCAGGCTCTATTTTGGTTCCATATGAATTTTAAAGTAGTTTTTCCAATTCTGTGAAGAAAGTCATCAGTAGCTTGATGGGGATGGCATTGAATCTATCAATTACCTTGGGCAGTATGACCATTTTCACGATATTGATTCTTCCTATCCATGAGCATGGAACGTTCGTCCATTTGTTTGTATCCTCTTTTATTTCGTTGAGCAATGGTTTGTTGTTCTCCTTGAAGAGGTCCTTCACATCCCTTGTAAGTTGGATTCCTAGGTATTTTATTCTCTTTCAAGCAATTGTGAATGAGAGTTTACTCATGATTTGGCTCTCTGTTTGTCTGTTATTGGTGTATAGGAATGTTTGTGATTTTTGCACATTGATTTTGTGTCCTGAGACTTTGCTGAAGTTGCTTATCAGCTTAAGGAGATTTGGGTCTGAGACGATGGGGTTTTCTAAATATACAATCATGTAATCTGCAAACAGGGACAATTTGACTTCCTCTTTTCCTAATTGAATACCCTTTATTTCTTTCTCCTGCCTGACTGTCCTGGCCAGATCTTCCAACACTATGTTGAATAGAAGTGGTGAGAGAGGGCATCCCTGTCTTGTGCCAGTTTTCAAAGGGAATGCTTCCAGTTTTTGCCCATTCAGTATGATATTGGCTGTGGGTTTGTCATAAATAGCTCTTATTGTTTTGAGGTACGCCCCATGAATACTTAGTTTATTGAGAGTTTTTAGCATGAAGTGCTCTTGAACTTTGTCAAAGGCCTTTTCTGCATCTATTGAGATAATCATGTTGTTTTTGTCTTTGGTTCTGTTTTTATGATGGATTACATTTATTGATTTGTGTATGTTGAACCAGCCTTGCATCCCAGGGATGAAGCTGACTTGATCATGGTGGATAAGCTTTTTGATGTGCTGCTGGATTTGGTTTGCCCGTATTTTATTGAGGATTTTTGCATCAATGTTCTTCAGGGATATTGGTCTAAAATTCTCTTTTTTGTTGTTGTTGTGTCTCTGCCCAGCTTTGGTATCAGGATGATGCTGGCCTCATAAAAAGAGTTAGGGAGGATTCCCTCTTTATCTATTAATTGGAATAGTTTCAGAAGGAATGGTACCAGCTCCTCTTTGTACCTCTGGTAGAATTTGGCTGTGAATCCATCTGGTCCTGGACGTTTTTTGGTTGGTAGGTGATTAATTATGGCCTCAATTTCAGAGCCTGTTATTGGTCTATTCAGAGATTCAACTTCTTCCTGGTTTAGTCTTGGGAGGGTGTATGTGTCCAGGAATTTTCCATTTCTTCTAGATTTTCTAGTTTATTTGCATAGACGTGTTTATAGTATTCTCTGATGGTAGTTTGTATTTCTGTGGGATTGTTGGTGATATCCCCTTTATCATTTTTTATTGCGTCTATTTGATTCTTCTCTCTTTTCTTCTTTATTAGTCTTGCTAGCAGTCTATCCATTTTGTTGATCTTTTCAAAAAACCAGCTCATGGATTCATTGATTTTTTGAAGGGTTTTTTTTTTATGTCTCTATCTCCTTCAGTTCTTCTCTAATCTTAGTTATTTCTTGCCTTCTGCTAGCTTTTGAATGTGTTTGCTCTTGCTTCTCTAGTTCTTTTAATTGTGATGTTAGGGTGTCAATTTTAGATCTTTCCTCTTTCTCTTGTGGGCATTTAGTGCTATAAATTTCCCTCTACACACGGCTTTAAATGTGTCCCAGAGATTCTGGTATGTTGTGTCTTTGTTCTCATTGGTTTCAAAGAACATGTTTATATCTGCCTTCATTTCATTAGGTACCCAGTAGTCCTTCAGGAGCAGGTTGTTCAGTTTCCATGTAGTTGAGCGGTTTTGAGTGAGTTTCTTGATCCTGAGTTCTAGTTCGATTGCACTGTGGTCTGAAAGACAGTTTGTTGTGATTTCTGTTCTTTTACATTTACTGAGGAGTGTTTTCCTTCCAACTATGTGGTCAATTTTGGAATAAGTGTAATGTGCTGCTGAGAAGAATGTATATTCTATTGATTTGGGGTGGAGAGTTCTGTAGATGTCTATTAGGTCTACCTGGTGCAGAGCTGAGTTCAATTCCTGGATATCCTTGTTAACTTTCTGTCTTGTTGATCTGTCTAATGTTGACAGTGGGGTGTTAAAGTGTCCTATTATTATTGTGTGGGAGTCCAAGTCTCTTTGTAGGTCTCTAAGGACTTGCTTTATGAATCTGGGTGCTCCTGTATTGGGTGCATATACATTTAGGATAGTTAGCTCTTCTTGTTGAATTGATCCCTTTACCATTATGCAATGGCCTTCTTTGTCTCTTTTGGTCTTTGTTGGTTTAAAGTCTGTTTCATCAGAGACTAGGATTGCAACCCTGCTTTTTTTTGTTTTCCATTTCCTTGGTAGATCTTCCTCCATCCCTTTATTTTGAGCCTATGTGTGTCTCTGCACATGAGATGGGCCTCCTGAATACGGCACACTGATGGATCTTGACTCTTTATCCAGTTTGCCAGTCTGTGACTTTTAAATGGAGCATTTAGCCCATTTACATTTAAGGTTAATATTGTTATGTGTGAATTTGATCCTGTCATTATGATGTTAGCCAGTTATTTTGCTTGTTAGTTGATGCAGTTTCTTCCTAGCCTCGATGGTCTTTACAATTTGGCATGTTTTTGCAGTGGCTGGTAGTGGTTGTTCCTTTCCATGTTTAGTGCTTCCTTCAGGACCTCTTGGAAGGCAGGCCTGGTGGTGACAAAATCTCAATATTTACTTGTCTGTAAAGTATTTTATTTCTCCTTCACTTACGAAGCTTAGTTTGGCTGGATATGAAATTCTGGGTTGAAAATTCTTTTCTTTAAGAATGTTGTATATTGGCCCCCACTCTCTTCTGGCTTGGAGAGTTTCTGCTGAGAGATCAGCTATTAATCTGATGGGCTTCCCTTTGTCAGTAACCTGACCTTTCTCTCTGGCTGCCCTTAACATTTTTTCCTTCATTTCAATTTTGGTGAATCTGACAATTATGTGTTTTGGGGTTGTTCTTCTCGAGGAGTATCGCTGTGGTGTTCTCTGTATTTCCTGAATTTGAATGTTGGCCTGCCTTGCTAGGTTGGGGAAGTTCTCCTGGATAATATCCTGAAGAATATTTTCCAACTTGGTTCCATTCTCCCCATCACTTTCAGGTACACCAATCAGACATAGATTTGGTCTTTTCACATAGTCCCATGTTTCTTGCAGGCTTTGTTCGATTCTTTTTACTCTTTTTTCTTTAAACTTCTCTTCTTGCTTCATTTCATTCATTTGATCTTCAATCACTGATACCCTTTCTTCCACTTGATCAAATAGGCTACTGAAGCTTGTACCTGTGTCACATAGTTCTTGTGCCATGGTTTTCAGCTCCATCAGGTCATTTAAGTTCTTCTCTACACTGTTCCTTCTAGTTAGCCATTCATCTAATCTTTTTTCAAGGTTTTTAGCTTCTTTGCGATGGGTTTGAACATCCTCCTTTAGCTCGGAGAAGTTTGTTATTACTGATGGTCTGAAGCCTTCTTCTCTCAACTTGTCAAAGTCATTCTCTATCCAGCTTTGTTCCATTGCTGACGAGGAGCAGCATTCCATTGGAGGAGAAGAGGTGCTCTGATTTTTAGAATTTTCCACTTTTCTGCTCTAGTTTCTCCCCGTTTTGTGGTGTTATCTACCTTTGGTCTTTGATGATGGTGACGTACAGATGGGGTTTTGGTGTGGATGTCCTTTCTGTTTGTTAGTTTTCCTTCTAATAGTCAGGACCCTCAGCTGCAGTTCTGTTGGAGTTTGCTGGAGGTCCACTCCAGATCCTGTTTGCCTGGGTAGCACCAGCAGAGGCTGCAGAACAGCAAATATTGCAGGACAGCAAATATTGCTGCCTGTTCCTTCCTCTGGAAGCTTTTTCAAAGAGGGGCACCCAGCCATATGAGGTGTCAGTCGGCCCCTACTGGGAGGTGCCTCCCAGTTAGGCTACTTGGGGGTCAGGGACACACTTGAGGAGGCAGTCTATCCATTCTCAGATCTCAAACTCTGTGGTGGGAGAACCACTACTCTGTTCAGAGCTGTCAGACAGGGAGGTTTAAGTCTGCAGAAGTTTCTGCTGCCTTTTGTTCAGCCATGCCCTGCCCCCAGAGGTGGATTCTACAGAGGCAGGCAGGCCTCCTTGAGCTTCAGTGGGCTCCACCCAGTTCGAGCTTCCTGGCCACTTTGTTTATCTACTCAATCCTCAGCAATGGCCAACCCCTCTCCCCCAGCCTCACTGCCACCTTGCAGTTGGATCTCAGACTGCAGTGCTAGCAGTGAGCGAGTCTCCATGGGTGTAAGACCCTCTGAGCCAGACGCGGGATATAATCTCCTGGTGTGCCATTTGCTAAGACCCTTGGAAAAGCCCAGTATTAGGGTGGGGAGTGATCCGATTTTCCAGGTACCATCTGTCACGGCTACCCTTGGCTAGGAAAGGGAATTCCCAGACGCCTTGTGCTTCCCATGTGAAGTGATGCCCTGCCCTGCTTTGTCTCATGCTCCGTGCGCTGCACCCAGTGTCCAACAAGCCCCAGTGAGATGAACCTGGTACCTCAGTTGGAAATGCAAAAATCACCCATCTTCTGCATTGCTCACACTGAGAGCTGTAGACTGGAGTTCTTCCTATTTGGCCATCTTGGAACCTGATCCAAATTAGTGTGTGTATTAACATTTAATGTAATTATTGATACGGTTAGATTAAATTTACTGTTTTGTGATTGGATTTTTGTTTGTTCCCTCTCTTTTTGTTGCCGTTGGTAGTGTTGTCAGTTTTGGTGTTGGTGTTACTGTATTGATACTTTTAAGCCTTTTCTTGGATTCTTTCAAAATATATTAATCCATTTAAATTTTTTTGACTTTCATCTACATACCTTATTATATTTGGTTGGGGTTGCTCTAGGAATTACAATATATAAATATAATTTTTCACTCTGTATGTAGCGTTAATATTTTATTACTTCAAATATAATCTAGATATCTTACCACCATCTGGGTTTCTTTATTTATGCAACCCCCTCTTTGTGGAGTGGCTATCATATGTATTTCATCTACATACTTTGAAAACTGCTCAAATAATTTTATAACTTTTATAACAGCAAAGTTATAAAATTAAGTTTAAGGAACGTACAGAGGCAAAATACAGCCTATTTTAATTGTTCAGTTGTCATTACTGTTGTTTTTATTTTGTCATCCCTAATGTTCTGGATTTTTCAGTTAATATTTATCTAGTTTCAAAAATTTTTTTACTATTTATTTAAAAGCAGGTGTAATGACAAAAATATTCTGCTTATTTTTTTCTTTAAAAATGTTTTTATTCCACCTTTATTCTTAAAGGATATTTTCATTATGTGTATCTGTCTTCAATTTTTTTTGTTTTCTTTCAACACTTTCAACATGTTGTCCTGTCTTTTAGTCTTATGCAATATGTTACTTTTCTCCACTTGCCTAAAAGGTTTTACATTTATCTTTGTTTTTCTCCAGTTTGATTATGGTGCATCTGAACATGGTTTTATTTGAGTTTATCCTATTTGGTGTTTTCTGGAATTATAAAAATCTGTAAATTTGTGTTCTTCACCACATCTAGAAAGTATTTAGCCATTCTGTCTTCAAATATTATTTTTTGACTAACTTTTTTCTAACCTTCTGAGACTCCAATTGAGAGGTGAAGCCAGCTGGACTTCCTGGGTTGAGTGGAGACTTGGAGAACATTTCTGTCTTAGAAGAGGATTGTAAAATGTGCCAATCAGCATTCTGTAGGTAGGATTGTAAAATGCACCAATCAGTGGTCTGTAGCTAGCTAGAGTTTTGTAAAATATGCCAATCAATGCTCTGTAAAAATGCACCAATCAGTGCTCTGTGGCTAGCTAGAGGTTTGTAAAATGCACCAATCAGTGCTCTGTAAAAACGCACCAATCAGCACTCTGTAGCTAGCTAGACGTTTCTAAAATGGACCAATCAGCACTCTGTAAGATGGACCAATCAGTAGGACAAGGGCGAGAACAAATAAGGGAATAAAAGCTGGCCGCCCCCAGCCAGCAGTGGCACCCCCCTTGGGTTCTCGTCCATGCTGTGGAAACTTTGTTCTTTTGCTCTTCACAGTAAACCTTGCTGCTGCTCACTCTTTGGGTCTTTGCCATCTTTAAGAGCTGTAACACTCACCGTGAAGGTCTGCAGCTCCATTCTTGAAGTCAGTGAGACCACAAACCCACCAGAAGGAACCAACTCCGGACACATAATGATACCTTGCAGCCTTGAGCCACAAGTTTGTTGCATACTTTTTAGAGATTCAAACTTACATTCAAGTTCAAACTACTCTCTGTTGTCCAAATTGAATAATTTCTATTAATATACCTTCAGGTTCACTAATTCTTTCCTTTGTCATTTCATTTCCAGTGAATTTTTTATTTATAGCATTTTAATTTTTAGATTTAAAATTTTCTGTGGTTTATTCTTATAACTTCTATTTCTTTTTGAGAACTTCTATCCTTCCATTCATTTCAAGGGCTTTTGCCTTCATCGAGACGCATTTATAATATCTGCTTTAAAGTCTACTAATAATTCTAACATAGGTTATTTTAAGGTCATTGTTTCTTAATTGGCTTTCTCTTTGAGAGTAGTTGAGCTATGCCTAGTTCTTCTATATATAGATTGATAGATAATTGTAATTTAGAGTTTTAAAATATTACTGTATAATACTATGGGTCCTGTTAAAATCTTCTGGAGATTTTTTTGTTTGTTTTGTTGCACTTACTTGTTTGTCTGTATTAGCAGGCAAATAGATGAGGTTCAGACTGAATGATATGACCCAACTTCTATTCACTATAATTTCAATTTCAGTATAGTAAAAAAATCCTTGGCAGTGATATTTTGGTCTGCCCAGCATGTCCACCAACCATGTGCTAATTTGTCACCTGGAAATTCACATTCATCATATCAAAGTTTTTTCGAACTTTTCATGTGTTGGTTCAGTTCCACACATACATAGGTTGGGATGAACCGTATACTCCTTGTACAGATTTTCTCCAGCTTTTCTCCAGTTCCATCCTCTTCTTGATTACCTTGTACTCTCTAAATACCGGAGGCCTTGATTTGGTACTCTAGCTATGAGGCCAGAGTATTTGCCTCATTACGCTCGTGCACATCTACAATTCTGTTCAACTTGGGGCAAAGCAGTAAGAGAAGAGAAAGAGAGAGAGAGAGGCAGAGAGAGGGAAAGGGATTGCTTCCTCACTTTAGATAACAAAAGCATCTTTTCCACTTTCTATAATGAGAGAGAAGGATTATTTTCTGAGTATTTTAATTATCAGCAAGTCCACTGATGCCACCATCATTGCTACCAGTTGCACTGTCTCCACCATGGAAATGCAGCTTCATGACCAGTGCTTGAGTGGGACAGACCTTGGAGAGTAAAAAGAGAAAGTCAAGACATGAAAATTTCCTCTCATTCTTTCTGTCCTATAGCGGTCACAGTTCCTAGAGTCTGCACCACAATGAGATAAGTTTCCTTGGAGCTTTTGGTGACTGTGTCTGCTGCACATTTATTGGATTCAGGCCAGAAGAGATGGGAGAATAAAGTGCAGAGAGAACTCACCCCATGGGATTCTTCTTTGAGTTTTAATTTCTCTCCTCAGCAAACTTGTTATTATTTATTTTTCAGAGTCTCTAGATGTTTATGTATTATACCCAGGGTTTTAATTTTATTCAGCGGAAGAGAGTGTGACATAATTACTCTATCTTAGCCAATTCTGCAATTCCTATCATACATTTTAAAAAGTCCTACTATCTGTTGTTTTGAGGCTTTACTGTAGAGGAGATAAGCATTGAAAAGTGGAGGACCATTTAAGAGGCAATTATATTAATCCAGGTGAGAGATAATGATAGCTCAATGGAAACAGTGAGAAGTGGTTAGATTCTGGATCTCTTTCTTTTTTTTTATAATTTATTTTATTTATTTATTTATTTATTTTTTTATTTTATTATTATTATACTTTAAGTTTTAGGGTACATGTGCACAATGTGCAGGTTTGTTACATATGTATACATGTGCCATGTTGGTATGCTGCACCCATTAACTCGTCATTTAACATTAGGTATATCTCCTAATGCTACCCCTCCCCCCTTCCCCCACCCAACAACAGACCCCGGAGTGTGATGTTCCCCTTCCTGTGTCCATGTGTTCTCATTGTTCAATTCCCACCTATGAGTGAGACCATCTGTTTCTAAGGTAAATCATTAAGATTTATTAACAAATTAATATTGTGTGTGATAGGAAGCTTTACAAAATATGAGAAACTTCACTTTTTGATCTGATGTATTTTAGCAGACCAAAAAATGCAACTAAGAAACAACTGAAAGGTGTTTTTGAATGAGGAAGAAGTATAATGTATCTATGTAATGGAACCCTATGTGGTCATAAAAGGGAATAAGGAAGTACAATTTGTACTGATATGGAAAGATTTCCAAGATACATTGTTAATTGAAAATAAATCAATCTATAGTAAATTACATATAGTATGCTATCATTGTGAAAAGGAGGAAAATAATATACATAGGTGTTCGTATACATAGGAAAAGTGCTAGCAGATGATGATGGGAAGGAGAATTATTTTACTGTGCTTTATTGTAACAGTTTTGATCCATGTATATTACATACTAAATAATTGAACTAATTTTTTTCAAGGATGTCAAAGTTTTATAGTCTCAAAATTTAATCAGTAAGTATTTATCAATAACTTGCCATGTTTAAGCCACTGTTTTAGACTTTAAAGCATGTCAAGTTAAATAAGACATTATTAATATTACCAGGAAACTCTTTTCATTGTTTTTGTTATAACAGACTGCACTAGACAGTACAAGTAAAATCTTATTTAACTTCATATGCATTAGCAGTGATTTCAAATAAGTATCAATTAATAAGTGCCAATAAGCTCTTTATTCAAGTGTTGTTACTTAGTAAATTCACTTCTTATTTATCTGCAATTTTTCTATATTTTTCCCATAATTTTTGCACATTTATTATAAGAAGAGGAAGACAAAATCACAAGAAACTCACAGCAATCCAACTATCCTAATGTAACTCTTTCATACATTAAACTGTGTTAAGCCTCTTTCACTTATCAACCATATAATGAATAGTTTCAGTTTTAACTGTGATGGCCTTGACAGAATTTTTCTGCATTATATCAAATGCGTTTTCCATGTAACTATAGTCGTTAGGATCTTAATTTTAAGGACTGATTAAGATGGTATGCAATAATTTACCATTTCCCCAGTCAGATATTTAGATTGTTTAACAATTTGCCATTAAAATTAAGGTTAAACTGAACATGTCAATGTACAAAGCAGCATTCTTCATTTGATTTTATTCCTCAGGGTTAATTACCAGAAATGAAATTATTGAAAGAAAAAATATTTATAGTTTCTGATAATTTTTCATCAACTGCTTTTCAAAATTATCTTACTGGCAATAATTATGTTAGGATAATAGGATTATGTGTGATTTAATTAATTTTGATTTCCATTTATTTTGTTATAATTTATAAATGTATTTGACAATCTCTCCCTTATTTAGTTCTACTTTAGGCAAGTTTCATTGTTCTTGATTATTCCTGTACATTATCTCTGCATCTGCAGAAATATTTGACAAAATATATGTATATCTCTACTACCATCTCTACTTATTTTTGTAACAGAAATTGGTGAGTAACAAGAGTACAGGTATTGTTATATATCATTATTAAACAAAATGTCTTATAATACAGTCTCACAAGAAGGAAATGTGTGAGGCAAATTTGGCCTAGGTTTGGAACTAAACAATTTCTAGTACATCTCTAGAGAAACCTTCATTTTTCCAGGCCAGAGATCTGCTTAGAAATGAAAGTATTGTACTTGAAGTACATCTTATTTACTGCTGTATACTAGAGAAGGATTTAGAAATCATATCATATATTCACATATTTAATATCAATCAATATATTTAATATTCCATATCATATATTTGAACTGGGTTTATATATATAGATATATATATGGTGGGAAAAAAAGAAAATTAAAAAAACAACATGTCTATAAAGGTAAATAAAAAACTACCAAAGTAAATAAAATACAGTTGCTCTAGAAAGAGATTGTGTCAATTTGTATTACCACCAGAAATGCATAATTATGTGAGTTCCACCACAATCTTATGAGAATTGTATATCAAACATTTCAGTCTATTGTAAAATATATTAAAAATTGCTAATTGTTGCTATTACAAATATTTGAAGAGATTTTTGAAATGCAAATTGATTTCTGAATATGTAAACCACAGTTTACAATGTGTTGCTTGTGTATATATTCTTATAGGTAGCAATCTTACATTTTTGGCACAAGCCTAATCATTGTATGTTCTTTTTTCTTTTATGCATAAGTGAATTCCATTTGATATCATTATCTTAAATAACATCTAGACTATAGTTGCAACAGAATCGGGCATTGGTCAATAGTTTCCATTTTCTTGCTTTGTCACTAGGCTTACGCTTGCTCTGTAAAATAAATTTGAAGGTATTCATCATTCATTTAGTTATTTGTTAAGCATTTATTGCACACCTGCCTTGTACCATGGACCTGCTACACAGTTAGAATACAACAGTGAATAAAACAGAAGTTGTGACCAAATCTAATAGCAAAAGAAACCCATTAAGGTGAGTTCAACATTCAGCCCACTTCATTTTTCCTTGGGACGTTTGCTATACCAGGCAGCAAGAGAGGGTGACCAGATAAGGGCTGCAGAGCTTTCAGCAATGGTATAGAGCTTGAGAAATATGTTAAAGTCTGGGGTTCCTGAATTATCCAAGATACAAGGGCAATAATCTCTAGGAAAAGAAAGGATAAGAGAAGCAAGCCCTAAACTTTGAGTTTCCCCTTCAAAGAATTTGCCAAATTCTTGAACTACATAGCACAGGAGGTCAAGAAATCACATAGGTAAAGTTTTTGGTTGTATCATCTTACTTCCTAAAACATTTATATAACTTTGGAATATATTATATTTATATTGGAATAAATTATATTTACATTTTAGTTTAGAAAGAATTTATGGAATAAATTATATTTGGAATAAATTATATTTACATTTTAGATTAGAAAGAAGGTATTGATAAATTTAACAATTCCAGATAATATTGACTGGCAACAGATAATTCGTAACAAATGAGATTTGTCACAGTAGATATGTAGCAAGTCCATAGTAAAGATGTACTGAAAGTTGGAGTTAAAACAAAACAAAACTGAGTAATGTATGAAATCTGCTTCTTACTGGCTATGTGATCCAGAGTAAATTAACTTGAAGTTTTTGTAGCTCGTAATTTTCAGTGGCCAAGTGTACTTTCTAAATGCACTGATAAAGTGTAGAATGAGCAGAGTTCCTAGCTGGTTGAAGCACTAGTTCGTTCCTAGATGGTACAAAGAAAAGAAAAACAGAGGGTTTACAAGAGGCTCTGCAGAATGTGGCTAGAAAGCAGAGCAGAGGATTTGACATTGCTACAGTGAGGAAGATATTTTGAGCTCAGGAACCTACAAGGAAGAGGACTCTGTAAACAATGCAGGATCATAGTTGGGAATACCAATACAACGTTTACTAGCAGTGGAAATGAGCCAGATGTATAGTGAGCCATCTGGCCTTATATTACCCAGCCTTAAATTACCTCCACCCCTTATGGGATTAAAATGATCTGCCCTGGTTCACTGACCACAAAAGGGTAGGAAGTAGCTTCTCTGAGCAAGATAAATTCATAGTGTTGGTCTAATTTCCCACACCAATCATCTGGCATTATGAGTGAAAATATATCCCAGTTCTTTGTTAGTTAATTTACAATAAGATTTCAAGGACATGGTTACCACATATCTGTAAAATATAGTGGAAATAAACCCAAGCAATAAGAACTTTAGTTTCAAGAAAATTAAATTGAGCTGTTTATTGCTATTGAGCTCAAACAGAATAATTCTAACAAAATGCTTAATTTTAGTCAGTAGGTGTGGTTCATCTTTTTAAACTGAGTGATATTATAATAAAAGTGATAAAATAGAAAATTCCACAAAGTTGATAATAATTATTTAAAATAAAATCTATTAATAGAGCAATTTTAATTTCCCAGATTGAGGAAAATGGTCACAAGATTTTTAAAAGTTTCCAAGTACCAAAAAGAATGATAAAAGGCTCATATAAATACACATCATTGTAATATACCAAACATCACGAATGATTGAGTCAGAAGTTTTCACAGAGGAAAAACATATTTTAAAAAAATTAAACAACTAAAAAACCACGTACTATTGAATGAGATTCATACAGAAAGCTACATGAGTAAAATGCTCAAAAGATGGTGATGCAAGGCCTTCGAAATTCTGAAATTCTATCCCCAGACAAGCTATCATTCAAGTGCCAGGGCCACATAAATGTAGTTTTAGGTAGCAATAATGTATGCAATTTATTTTGAAATACATCCTTTTGTGAGGAAATTACTTAAGCATATAATTCAGCAAAATCCAAGGAAGAGAAATGCATAGCAACAAGAAATGATGAAACATTCTGAAGATTTATGTGGAAAAAAAAAATCCCAACTAGGTAACAGGCCTAGAAAACAGCTAGTTGAATTTAAGTTAAAATATCAGTGGATTCTAAGAATATCTTAAAAAGAAAAATGAATTCTATTTTTTAAAATGAAGAAAAAGATTAAGGAGTGAATGATATTAGTAATATAATAATAAAAGTATTTGAGTCCTCTATGAACAAGCAAGGCAACTTTTAGAAGTAGCACATTTATTGCTGAAGTGTCAGGTAAAGTAAAATGTGGAATGATTTCGAACAATAAGTGTAAATAAAAATCATTTAATTCATCTAGATGTTAGGAATATTTTATTGATCCAAGGTTTGTCACAGTGGACTAAATTTGAAGAAGTATAATTTACACACATCATTCTAAACAACAGTTACACAATGTTTGTGTGTGTATCTTTCAAATAATGGAAATGTTTATTAATTTGGTTATCACACTTAGAATAAGCCTAAAGAAAAAATTAGGAAGGCACATTGTTACAGAATAAAATATGATTTTATCAACTTGATGTGAATTAAAATTAAAAGGACAGAACATGAAAGTTCAAAGGAAAAAAGGAGAAGTAAAGTTAAAATAACAATTTTACTTTAATGCTTTTGTAATAAAAGTGTCAGGAATTGTTGGCTAGGAAACATGGGGACTATGCTTATGGTCCGATTTTTCCTGACTCTTTGTAAAATGGCCTATCCCAATGAATGAACCATAATTTAAATGTTATCCATGCTGCTTTTCTACCAGAACCAGAAGTAAATATGTGTCTATACGAGGTGACAAGTACTTAAATATGAAAATGTCTTATAATTTTATTGGGAGCTAAGGTAGCATTGGCAGGTAAAGTTCCTAGGGATATGAGTAATTGACAATGTATACTCTTGGAACTGAGACAAACGGGATTTGTTCCAAAGGTGCTCAGAGACTGGCTCTCCTAATTAAGCATAGAACTGAAAGGAATCAGTATTTTTTTATACTTAATATTTCTCTATAAGTCACGAATTCAGTGATCAAATACTCATATTTTGTAATTAGTCTTAATGTGGGCATGTTTTTAAAATATGCCATGTGTTTTTTTATACTTAATATTTCTCTGTAAGTCATGAATTCAGTGATGAAATACTACATATTTTATAATTAGACTTAATGTGGCCGTGTTTTTAAAATATGCCATGTGTAGTAGTCAGGTTTGTCTAGAGGGATAGAACTAATAGCATATATGTATATATGAAAGGGAGTTTGTTATGGAGAATTGACTCAGACGATAACAGGTAAAGTCCCACCATAGGCCGTCTGCAATTTAAGGAGCAAAGAGGCCAGTGGTGGATCAGTCCAAGTCCCAACACTTCAAAACTAGGGAAGCCGACAGTGCAGTCTTCAGTCTGTGCCCAAAGGCCCGAGAGCCCCTGGCAAACCACTGGTGTAAGTCCAAGGGTCCAAAAGCCAGAGAAATTGGAGTCTAATGTTCAAGGGCAGGAAGCATCCAGTATGGGAGTATGATGAAGGCCGGAAGACACAGCAAGTCTGCTTATTCCACCTTTTTCCACTTTTCCACGTACATTTTCTAGCCCTACTGGCAGCCGGTTGGATGGTGCCCACCCAGATTGAGGATCGGTCTGCCTATCTCTGTCCACTGACTCAAATGTTAATCTCTTTTGGCAACACCCTCACAGACACACCTAGGAACAATACTTCGCATCCTTCAATCCAATCATGTTGACACTCAATATTAACCATCACACCAGGCATAACAACAAAAGTTGCAGTTATCCTCCAATGTGAGAATTGAAAGCATTTTAAGTGGCATATTTTTATTAATTGTAATAATGTATTTCAACAGGTGAATAGTTAAACAAATTGTGGTTTGTTAACTTCAAAGAACAAACTATGGGCCAGGCACTGTGGCTTACACCTGTAATCCCAGCACTTTGGGAGGCCGAGGTGGGCAGATCACTTGAGGTCAGGAGTTCGAGACCAGCCTGGCCAACATAGTGAAACCCCATCTCTACTAAAAATACAAAAATTAGTCGGGCATGGTGGTGCACATCTGTAGTTCCAGCTACTTGGGAGACTGATGCAGAAAAACCACTTGACCCTGAGAGGCAGAGGTTGCAGTGAGCTGAGATTGTGCCACTGCATTCCAGCCTGGGCGAAGAAGTGAGACTCTGTCAAAAAACAAAAACAAAAACAAAAACAAAAAAACTACCTAGTATTATAGCCCATATTTGTATAGCAAATGATAGGTGGCCTTCTTCTGATGCTGCATATTATAATGCAAACCAGGATTTAAAATAGTGGGCACAATTTATATAAATAGCATTTAAATTTGGTTGAAATTTGGAAGTAAAATTAACCACTAAAATCCCTTTTTGCTATTTCTGTAAGAAATATTATTCTTAGAAAATCATCACTGGCCATCAGAGAAATGCAAATCAAAACCACAATGAGATACCATCTCACACCAGTTAGAATGGCGATCATTAAAAAGTCAGGAAACAACAGGTGCTGGAGAGGATGTGGAGAAATAGGAACACTTTTACACTGTTGGTGGGACTTTAAACTAGTTCAACCATTGTGAAGGTCGGTGTGGCGATTCCTCAGGGATCTAGAACTAGAAATACCATTTGACCCAGCCATCCCATTACTGGGTATATACCCAAAGGATTATAAATCATGCTGTTATAAAGGCACATGGACATGTATGTTTATTGCAGCACTATTCACAATAGCAAAGACTTGGAACCAACCCAAATGTCCAACAATGTGCACATATACACCATGGAATACTATGCAGCCATAAAAAATGATGAGTTCATGTCCTTTGTAGGGACATGGATGAAACTGGAAACCATCATTCTCAGCAAACTATTGCAAGGACAAAAAACCAAACACTGCATGTTCTCACTCATAGGTGGGAATTGAACAAAGAGAACACATGGACACAGGAAGGGGAACATCACACATCAGGGACTGTTGTGGGGTGGGGGAAGGGGGGAGGGATAGCATTAGGAGATGTACCTAATGCTAAATGACGAGTTAATGGGTACAGCACACCAACATGGCACATGTATACATATGTAACAAACCTGCACGTTGTGCACATGTACCCTAAAACTTAAAGTATAATAATAATAAAAATAAAATAAAATAAAAATAAATAAATAAATAAGAAAGTGAGCATAAAAAATAAGCAAACAAGTAATGTGAGTGCAGCTTGATTCCTCTTTAGAAACTTAAGGTCAGTCACAGCTTTATGTATGATGTTCTTAACATTTTCCTGAAACTGAAGTATATTACATTATGTTGGGTATCATTTGTGTGACATATTTGTCTGTTCAAAATATTTTGTGTTAAAATTTTAAAATAAAAAAGGAACACATTAAAACATCATGCATAAATAGTGGAATAATTCTTCAGTGATTTTATCTTAATTCTCCTTAGGAGTGTTTATAGAAAATACAAAGCTAACAGCAATGTATTTACCTGTACATAGTTGTTCAAATTGTCACAAACTAAATGGAAGCAAGCCTTATGTTTGATGGATTAAATATGTCAATATGTCACATGTATTAATGCAGTGGGCAACAGCTTCCTCTAGAGAAATCTTGTGCTTCCTCTCAATGTGCCCCTCTTGCCGCTACACACACACACACACACATACACACACACACACACACACACACACACACACACACACCGAGAAGAGATAGAACTATATTGCTGTCTATTTAACACTTAAAGAAAATGACATTTTTCTTAAATAAGTCTTTTAAATCTTACAAATCTTTAAACACTTTGTATAGTCTGTATTCAATGTGTGTAAAGTACAATCAATTGGAACCTGTTTAGTATTTCTGACACACTAAGAAGAAACAGTAGAGAGAGATAATTTAATTTCATATAATTGTATTAACAATGTTTGACAAAATTTTAAAAGTGTTATTTTTCAGAAGTCAGTTCATGTTTCTTTTGGCCCAGGAATGCTTTTCTTTCTTGAAACAGCAAAACTGTCAAGGAATAAAAAGAGTAGTCTATTTAGTTCTTCAGCGCCTTACCTAATCAATTAAAAGCAAAGTCCCTTGTGATAGAATAGTCCCTAAAGTTAAAAGTAAGCACAAATATAAAAATGATTTCATTTCAAATTGTAATTCATTCTTGAATCCTTAGAATGTTTTTCTTTTAAATGTATTGAGTCCATCCATACCTTTCTTAAGTGTTTGCATCCTTGAATTTTTCAACCCCATTTATTCAATGTTTCTGAAGAAATTCCCTTGGGAATTCAAATATCAGACTATCTTTCTGCATTGGGGGAGGGTATACATTTTGAGAATCTGCAATTCTTACTTTATTCTGGCAATTTATTCTGTTTTTAGCTTAGAACTAGTGACAGAAAAGTTAAACAAAGGTAGAATGAAGAAATGGCAGCACTGCTAAACTCCCAATTCAGGTTATCTCTGTGTGGATTCATTGTTTGGTGTGAAAGAATGGCCAAACAGCAGGCGTGCACTCATATGTAAGCACACAGACCTATAAAAAAAACACATTCAAAAATGAAAAGAAAAAAAAAGCTTTCCTGCTGCTATGGCTTAACTTCAATAGTTTTTTACATAAAGAATTAACTGAATGAGGCTTCATAAGAGTTGAGAAGAGGGTAGTTGGGGAAGATCGATAGATAAGATGTTGATGTCTCGTCTGATTTTTGATGAAGATATATTTGAAAGTGTACACAGTGTAATACATAGTGTTGTATCTTCATGTATGTATCTGGAATCCAGGTGAGGTTTGTCTTTCGGTTTTACACAATGCATTTCTCAATTTTTTAATGTTTTGAACCATAAATCCATTTCTAATACTGAGCTTCCCTTGTTTAGAATTTTTGGGCAATAGGCTTAAAGGAAAATATACAATAAAATATATGTTTTTCCAAGACATATTTCCAATAGGTTTTGTTAAAAAAAACAGTTTTAGGATGCAATATGCTCAAATAACTAAAAATGGACACATTCCATAAGGGAGGAGAAAAATGCTTTATATTTCTCCTATCTATCTTACTAACAGATCAGTATATTGTTTGAGGTGACGATACATTGATCAAAACATCTACATTTCAATTTCCTTTTTGAAAGGTGTTTTCAATAACATGTAAAGCTGAAGTTACTGGGTCAGTGTCAAGAACAGCTCTTTTTATTGGACATGCTCAACCAGTATATGTATGTTTCTTTTGCCCTCATCTCTTCCTGTCTTCTGCTTTCTGGAGCCTATATAGTTTACCTGGAACTGAAGTAGCAATGTTGTAATTTAAAGGTAGAAGCCATTAAGAGTGGCAAAGCAGCAAGAATCCTGAGTCGTTAGTGACCACAAACTTCCAAAACAGCCCTGAGCTTTCTATCTCAATCTCATTTGAGTCGTTTTATTACTCTTTAGTTTTTTTGAATTACTTATGTTTCTACCCTATCTAGTAAAGACAGTCATCATGATGAGGAAAACAACATGTAATACATTCTGTTTGCAGCGATCTTTCTTTGGTAATTATAATCAATCGATTGCATTGGGTGTTTCCTATGAATCATTCACTGAAAAGGCATGGCTAACTGCCAAGTTACATTCATCAAATATTTATTGAGGCTGACATTGCATTAGATACTGGAAATATATGACAATATAAAAAAAAACCATGGCTGGGAGCAGTGGCTCACGCCTGTAATCCCAGCACTTTGGGAGGCCGAGGTGGGCGGATCACGAGATCAGGAGATCGAGATCATCCTGGCTAACATGGTGAAACCCCGTCTCTACTAAAAATACAAAAAAATTAGCCGGGCGTGGTGATGAGCCATGGAGCGTATGTGGGACCTGTGGGAGACAGACTGACACCTCTCCTTGAATTGGCTGAAGCTTGATGGAGGTGTGGATGAGGCACTTAGGGTCTTTGCTCCTTCATTAGCCCAAGGATGGCAAGGGCAGTTCCACTGCATAGGCAGTGGCAGAGAGGCTTTGAATTGCCCCTGGAGGCTCTTTCCAGGGAGTTGCTGAGTTGGTACTGTCTTGATAGCTCCTTCAGGGGTGGCTGGAGTACCAGACCTGGAGGACCTGCCTGCTGAGGAGACATGGAAACAAGCACCTACGTTATACTCTGTCTACTTTTCCATAGGGCTACTATGCTATGCTTGGGGCTTGCTCCATTCCCTAGTCACCTCAGATTTTCCAGAACCTGGAGGCATCACCAGTGAAGGTTGCAAAACAGCAAAGATGATAGCCTGTCCCTCCCTCTGGGAGCTTTGTTTCAGGGAGGTATGGACCTGTTGCCAGCCTATAAGCATGTATAAGAAATGGCTGGAGACCCCAGTTGAGAGGTCCCCCCCAGAGAGAAGGAACTTGACAGGAACCCACTTAAAAAAAGCAGTCTGGCCATATTTTGGTAAATCAGCTCTGCTGCGCTGGGGGTCCACTTCAGCCCTCTGTCACCTCAGGCACTCCAATGCTCAAAGGCTCGAATGGTTAAGTCACCCAAACAGCAAAGATGGCGACCTACCTTCTCCTCTAGGAGTGCCGTCCTAGGGCAATTCAGATGTCTGATGGCTGGAGAGCTCAGGTGGGTGTGGCTGAAGGCCTTGACTGGGAGGTCCTGCCCAGGATTGAGTGCCTGCTTAAAGCAGCAGTCAGGCCACATTTTGGTAGAGCAGCTGTGCTGTGCTGGGGGATCCCATCTGCCCTGGGTTGGCTCAGGCTCTCCAAAGCCTGAAGGCTGGAATGGCAAAGGCTCCTGAACAGCAAAGATGGGAGCCTGACCCTCCTTCTGGGAGATCCTTCTTAGGGGAGTGCAGTGCTGCTACTGGTAGCTGATTGTAATTTTAAGCCAGTGGGTCTAATCTTGTGAGGTGCTCTGGAAATGCAGCCTATGGGCTTTTGCTGCTCAGCCCCCTGGATTCAGCCTCTTGCCTGGGGTTATGTACAGGAGTCTAACCTTCTACTTTGCTAGAGCAGCAGCTACTTTTGCCAGAAAGTCGAAGTATCTAAGGCTCCATGGTTTCCATGCACACCTGAGCAGCTGCTCTGCTGAGACTCCATGTAGCTCTGTCTGACAGACTGAAGATTGAAGGCCCTAGTGGAGTGGGTTCACAAGGAGATCTTTTGACCCTAGGGTAGCAAATATCTGTGGGAGAAGCATAGTTTCCTGGGGTGGCTCATTCATTTATGGCTTCCCTGGGCTGGGGAGGATCCCCTGACTCCATGTTGCTGCCAGGTGGGCCATTGTCTTGTCTTGCTTTGCTTCATTCTCTGTGGGTCAAGTTGTTTCTGTGATTAATGTCAATGTGAGTACATGGGTGTTTCAATTGAAGGTGTTGTATTTACTTGCCCCTTTTGTTCCTCTCCGTGAGAGCCACAAGCACTAGCTGCTTATAGTCAGCCATCTTGGCCACTTTTATATTTTTTTATAAGCCCTTTTAAATATTTACTTTTATAAGCCCTTTTAAATATTTTGGAAACTTCTTGTTAAAGAACTTAAAATCAACCAGGTTAAACTTGGGCCTTAAGGTGAGAGAGTAACCTCAAAAGTTTACTTGTGAAGACTTCTTCTGAACTCCTTTATGTCTCTCCAGTGTACACACACTATCATGTTCACTCTATGAGGAACCCAGGATTCTTCTATTTGGTTATTCCACTGTGTAGGTCTTCTAGTTCCAAGCCACAGTATCTTTATAACCTGTGTTATTTCCAAAGAGTCATCAATAATGATATCCTTTTATGTTGGATTCTTAAAATTTGTGTCTTCTGTCTTCTCTGCTTGCCAGTTTAACCAAAATTTATCAAAGCTTTTATCTGAAAAGTGAGTCAACTTTTGCTTTAATTGATTTTTCTACAATTTTATCTTTCTGTTACTATTTTATTGTTCTTCTATAGAATCTTTATGGTTTCCTTCTTTTTTTCTTGCTTGGAAATTAGATCAGCCTTTCTTTGTTAGTTTCTTAATGTGGCTGCTTTGGTTATTTTAAATCATTCTTTTTGTTGAATATAGGCTTTCAAGCTAAACATTTTTTAAACACTGCTTTATTTTCATTCATCTGATGCAAAACGTCTTCTAATTTCCCTGGTTATTTTATTTTTCTCTTGGTATTTAATCAAGCCTTGACTTCCCTTTTACTTGATTATTTCTGAGTGTCAGACATTGTGGATAAAAATTATAGAAGTAATTTGAAGATATAAATTATGTTATGTTCTTTAAGATGATTTACTTAATATCTGACTGAAATAAAGAATAAAAGCACATGAAGCAAAATGAACTCTTCTGTTATTTATAAAAGCTAATCTGGAGATTGTAACTTATATTAGTGGACAAGAACTTCAGAATTAAGCCAAATTTATCTACTCACTTATTAATATATTCAATGTTCAAATGGGGACAAGCATCTTTACAGGAAGTAGAGCAGAGGAGAAGTTGCAATATCTAGATAAAGGCTTTGTCCCCAGAAGATTTTAAAAAATAAAACCAAAGTGCTGCTCTATGTACTGTAGCCTAGAAGAAACATAAGAAAGAGCTACCAATCTAAGATTTGGAAAAGATTAAACAGAGAAAGGAAAAAGGCCAAAGTTTGGCGTACTTGAGGAAAAGAAAAACTATTGTGGCAAGAGTGTCTTGGATACTAAAATTTGCTCTGTGTGTCTTTGTGTGTGTGTGTGCATGTGTAGGTGTGTGTGTATATACTATAAGATAGAATATTAATCAGAGAGGCTAAGATAAATAGTTTGAATTGTAAATTTTCATATAAATAATGTAAGTGTATGGAAGTTTCTCAGAATGTTGCTGATCTCAGATCTGTCTGTGGTAAGAAAACATATTTTTATATATGTTTAATACAAAGACATTTAGAAGATTGAGTGATCAAATTTGATTGGAATAATCAAGGAAAAACATGTATCTTTATAAATTTTCATTTGAAGTAGACCTTTTAAGGAGGCAAATATTCTTTTCATTCTTTAAAATCTATCTGAAATATCATTTCCTAATTGAAGCTACTCTGATATCATCATCTTTGTGCTTTCTACCTTGCCGACATAGTTTATTCTACTATTGCCCACAGCTGATTCTTTACTATCTTCTTAGATAATAGTAGCCCTATATGAGCATTGCCTGCTCTTAAAACTACTCTATTTCTGGCACTTTTTGCATAGGGGCTAAATGCACAGACTCTGGAGGCAGACTCTCTGGTTTGGATTCATGTGCCTTCATTTGCTATGTAACTTGGACAGATTGTTTAACCTCTTTGTGCTCCAATTTTTTCATCTGTACAATAGGGATAACAATAATAACAATAATACCAACTTCATAGGGTTGTTTTCGGCATTAAATGACATAATGCATGTTATCAGCATAAAGCAGCATCTGACAGATAAATGTGCTCAAATAAATATTAGCTCTTTCTCTCTTTCTCTCTGTTTTTTTTTTTTTTTTTTTTTTTTGAGATGGAGTCTCACTCTGTCACCCAGCCTGGAGTGCAGTGGCACTATCTCAGCTCACTGCAACTTCTGCCACCTGGGTTCAAGCGGTTCTTATACCTCAGCCTCCTGAGTAGCTGGGACTACAGGTGTGTGCCACCATGCCTGGCTAATTTTTGTATTTTTGTAGAGATGGGGTTTCACGATGTTGGCCAGGCTGGTCTCAAACTCCTAACCTCAAGCGATCCAGCTACCTCGACCTCCCAAAGTGGTGGGATTAAAGGCGTCAGCCACTGAAACTGCCTTTGCAAAATTATGACTGAGAAAGTGAAGGGGATCTAACCTAACCGACTCCATCTTTCTACTAACCTCCAAGCTGTCCTTGTTCATTCCTGGGCATAGGCTGAACTAACTTTGGGAGGAATTTAGTTTATAGTTTATCATTTAAAACAAAGACAATAACAGCTCTTTCCCAAAACAAACCTCCTTCTTACCGGGGAACTCAACTGCCTTTGTAGGACTAAGAAATTAGCCACAAGATTAGAAATTATGGTTTAGGAGTCACGCAGCTAGAAGATTCTGACCCTCCCTAAACTGCTCCCAAGAGCAGTGCTTGAGATATTTGGCAGACCCTGCACTTGATGTATCAGCTGGAACCACCCAGATTGATAAACTGGCTCATCTGATCTTGTAGCCCCCACTCAGGAACTGACTCAGCGGGAAGAGACAGCTTTGACTCCCTATGACTTCATCCCTGACCAATCAGCATTCCCAGTTTGCTGGCTTACCCTTACCCACTAAGTTGTCCTTAAAAATTCTGCTCCCCGAATGTTCGGGGAGACTGATTTGAGTAATAATAAAACTTTAGTATCCCACACAGTGGGCTCTGCATGAATTATTCTTTCTTTATTGCAATTCCCCTGTCTTGGTAAATCAGCTCTGTCTAGGCTGCAGGCAAGGTGAACCCATTGGGCGGTTATAACATTGCACCTGAAAGCTCTTTCTCTTATGATTGCTGCTATATTATATTTTGAAGATGTCATCCACTCGATTGATTGGCTTGATTAAACAATTCTCTTATAAAACATATGAAGTGATTCCTACAAAGACTTCTACAACATAGTTCATCATCCAAACAAGGATAATTTTATAAGTAGAAGGCTCTGCTATTAATAATTACATTCAGATAACAGTTAAAAAGCAGAAGTATGTTTATCCTATTATTAGGCCATCCTATTATAAACCCATCATTTCAGTAAATGTCGACTTTTAGTTAATGTATCTGCAAATATTTACTCAAACAAAGTTTTAGCTTCTACTATCTGTTCTCACACCGCTATTGTATCTTGCCTGAATTATAACATTCACTTCCCAACTTTTTTTTTTTTTTTTTTTTGAGACAAGATTTCATTCCTGTCGTCCAGACTGGAGTGCAATGGCACTATCTCAGCTCACTGCCATCTCCACTGCCTCCTGGGCTCAAGTGATTCTCCTGCCTTAGCCTCTCAAGTAGCTGGGACTATCACAACTGGCTAATTTTTACATTTTTTAAGTGGCAGGGTTTCGCCATGTTGCCCAGGATGGTCTTGAACTCCTAGGCTCAAGCGATCCACCTTCCTCGGACTCTCAAAGTGCTAGGATTACAGACATGAGCCACCATGCCCAGCCACTTCCCAACTTTAAAAACATCAGAATATTATTTCAAAATGTAAATTAGATAATATATTTCCATTTTAAAAACACTCCAGCAATTTCTGTTTTCTTCAAACACTTTGTAACTCCCAGGACCTAGTATATAGTATATGTGTACTTCACTGTCAGTATCATAGATTGGTTTCTATCATCATCACCACATCATCATCATCATCGATCATTTTCTGTGTACCAAGACTTAAGTTAATATTTTAGGTACAATTCCCTTTAATCCACATAAAACTTCATGTACTATCCTTATGAATGAAATGAAGAAGCTGAAGTTTAGAGAGGTTAGACAACTTGCCTAATATTATACAACTTATGAGAGGTAGAGTCAAATTTCAAAACCTGTTAGTCTGACACCAAAGCCCTTGGCAGTGAATATTAAGTTATATTGTCTTGCTCATTAATCTATTGATTAAAATAAAAGTGAACTCGCATACAAATATTGAAAAATAAGTGCCTTTCCTTTCTCTTATTTTGTTTTAGCCTCATTTCCTGACACCCCTCCCATTTCACTGAATACACTGTAGCCATTCTGATTTTTCTTGTCTTCATACTGTAATGTTTATCTTCTTTCTAGGTTTTCACATGTGCTGATGTCCTCCTGGAGTGTTTTCCCTACTGAAAATTGCCTGGATAATACCATGAAGTGACTGGCTTTGATGATATTTCCTCTATTATACTTTTTATTCTCTGTTCCTCTTTTATCAGGCACCTCCCTTCTGTTTTCCCAGACACAGCATTATCACTGTCCTTTAAATATCAAATTATTTGTATCAGTCTTGTGCTAGATAGTAGGTATTATCAAGGCATACCTTGCACAGCACTGAATTAGCAGAGTGCCTGCTGGCACATAATAGACACCTGAGAATGTGAAAGAAAAATTGCACTTAGAGTTAAACAGGCAAGGAAGATTTATAAGATTAGTAGTGTATTTGGCATTTATTACAAAGAAGGGGAGATATTGAACTGAACTCTACTGAAACACAAGGTGGTAGGATTGTTCGCAAATTAGGTGAACTAGTGGAAAGTATAATTGTCTCTCTGTATCTGCAGGTTCCTCATCCATGGGATTCAACCAACTGTGAATAAAAAATACTTGGAAAACAAAAAAAGTAACAATGCAACAATAAAAATAATACAAATAAAAATACAGGATAGCAACTATTTACATAACACTTACATGGTATTAAGTAATCTATGCCAGGGAGGTGGCAAAGTACAGGCATTGGAAAGTGGTTGACGCAAGGGTTGGTAAGAAGAATTTATCAACATCAGTATAGGTTTAAAAAAGGAAGGTTTTGTTAGAAAGAACACTGCAGAAGAGTGCAGTGGGACGCTTCAGCAAGAGAGGACTGAGCATGCCATGGTGGATTTTTCTTTAGAGGTATATATGGACCTTAAAGCGGGAGATTAAGAGTATTTTGGACCATATTAGCCATGTAGGTCATGATAAATGATTACATTTGTAGACATTTTGGTGCCTTAATGTCAGTAAGGGTTGCACAATGAGTTTTGATAGTCATGCATTCCAGAGATGTATAGAAATTCTAGTTACTATATGTTTTTTGCAAAGAAACCTGGAACAAGATGTGGGCTTTAAATAACAGTATAATTACTTCTGAATTCCACAGATAAAGAGTTTTGCCTCTGGATGGTCACCAGGTAATTTTGGCTCTCCTCAATCTAGAGATGATTTTTAAGGGACTTGAGCATCTACAAATTTTGGTATCTGTGAGGTTCCTGGAACCAACCCCAAGAAACCATTCTACCAGAGGATATTAGTGAGGGGATTTGCCAGTGTTATCAGGCCATCTGTGTTTGCTAATATTGCTCATCTAAGTTAGGCTTATACTCTCCCATAGAGACTGGGAGATAAGGCCATTATTTTTCTTTATGTTTACATTTCAAAGGGATGTATCTCTGGATCCTAGAGAAAGACTTTACTGGGTTGTAAAACTAGCAAGGTGCAGAGAGAAGATTTACATCTCAAAGGGGTAGAAAAATAATAAAATAACAAGTGTTCTGAAATAAATGTTCTAAGTAAAAAGAGGTTAGGGGCCTAGAGTCAGAAAGAAACCTATATATAGTTCAGTCAAGCAGAGGGAATGTTAAGGGCTTCCTGATCTACATTTATATTTGTTGAGTTAATGGATAGTTAACTAGAAAATTCAAAAATATTCCATAATACAGTATAAAAATCTTGACATGTAATAATGGAAAAACTATTATGACTATGCATTTATATAATTTAAATAAACTGGGGAATAATACATAGCAGTTAAAATTTTAAATATTCAAATGAATTTTTCTGAATACATTTTTACATTTTCCTAACTCATAAAAAATAAAATAACATTATTATAATATGGAGGTTCACAGGTAGAGTTTAATGTTTTAATTGAACATCTTAGTTCTGCATTTGCTAAAACTTCTAAGAAATTACTGATGACTTTGAAGTACATTGCAAATCAAGTAACACTATAACATAGTAGCTAAATAGACCAGAAATAATAATTTTTATTGCCTACTAACTGAAGTTCTTTCATATTTTGAATGGTGTTTAATGTGGTTTAAATTATTGCGGCTATAAAGGAAATACATCCAATCTAATTAAACCTGTGTAATTTCAAAGAAGGTAAATTTAGTAGCTATATTTATATCCCCCAAAGTGTCATTGGATATGGTATTGGTAATATTTTCAAAACATTTTGCTTTTATTTCTTAAACATTTAGGGTACTGTGAATCACCTCATATATAGGACAACAGATAATTTAGCTAAATTGATCATATTGTTTATTCTCTAAGTTACATGGCTTATTTCTTTTTCTTTCCAGCATCATCCATGTCTCTCCCAATTCCAGATGCCCAGCCATTTTGCATGTTTATGGAGCTTAATCCCAGACTTGAATTTCATTAACTGACCATAGCCTTAGTTAAGTTTCTACAGCAATGAGTTCATTGGGCTGAAATTTTGCAAAGATATTGGGGGAGAGAGAGGGGTAAACATCATCTACATTTGAAAAGACCACATTTACAAATCAGGACTCTTTAATGCAATTTTTTTCCCCTTGACTAACTGGGAGTTTATTTGCATGCATTCTAAGTGACAGTGGAATGAGAAACTAAGATTTTTGTCATTTTAATTTAACACAGACTCACCCAGAAAGCACAGCCCTGATTCTGCGTGAGAAAGGCTATCTCTACAGAAACTAAAACGTGAGTCCTGTTGATTTGTGTTACTGAATTTTACTATGCTATATAACTGTCCTGGTAATATGATATGGCATTTGTTAAGATATATAATGAGATAGTCTTGATTAAGTGCAATTTCTGCATTCTTATAAGGAATACAGAAAGTGAGAATTGATATGTTTGTTTTACTGTTTAGTTTAAAAGAATAATAGATACTTAACTCTGAAGAAGATAATGTATTTGTGCTATTAACTGATATTCAGTTTAAGGCATATGGTTTTACATGGTTTTGCTATTCCAATGTATTTATGGTTGATAAAGTGTGTAAATAAGATCCCTCACAAATAAACATTTTCCATGCCTTTTTTTAACATAATTTAAAAATCTCTGTGACTAATATGCCTAAATACTTAGGACATATATTTATTATCCCAGTTTTTCTCTTGGATTTTCTAAACAGAATAAGCTATCAGTTAATGATGAAGCTTGGTTCACTTTTCTTCTTTGCTCTGTCATCAGTCTGTCTTTTGGCTACTCGCTAATGGTGGCCATCTCTGCTCACTGTTTGGCCTGTGATAAGTTGTCTTTGATAGCCTGCTGTTTTGTTCTTGAACCCTGCCATGGCTACAACTCTGGGATAGCAGAACTGTCAAAAATAAAAGTAAAAGAGCAAGAGGCACAGAGCCTGTGAAAGTTAGAGAGGACGTAAGGCCTGATAGTTGAGAGAGAGGGGTAAATGATGAATTTTCAACTGGAAGATAGTTTTCACTTTATACCATTTGCTGTCACATTACCTGAAATAATAAGGGGAATTTTTTTCCCCAATAATGGCCAATGGGGGCTGTTTGCTTTGTGAGAATCTGCTAAGGAAACATGCCATGTGGCTTTATCTTTGAAAGTGAGGGTGAGACAAGTTTGCCTGGCTGCAGATAAGTGACTTAGAAGGAATCCTATTCAGATGTACCTGTCATTAATTTATCAGGAGGTTCTGTCATTCATACATACTACTCTGTGTGCGATAGAGCATTATATTGGTTTCCTCTGGGAGCAGGTCATATTCAGGGGTCGTCAGACTCATGCTATTGGATGATGTATGCTTGTTTCATATAGCCTTTTTCTGCTGGTAACTTGAACATATGTTAGATGATCCCTTGAAACATTTCAACAGCAAAAGGATTCACAAAAACTTGACTATCACTTAATATGCAAGTGTTTGTAACAAAAAAAATGTTAATCAACCTGTCCTCTTTTAGCACAGTCATTTATTCTGATAATTAAGTAGTTATAGATATGTTTCAATTTAATGGCCTAGCTCTTGATGGATGCACTTTCATAGCTCCTTTATTTATTTAAACAAAAGGATATTTACTTAAGCTCATTAATTTACACTGAAAAAATGCAGAGCTGCTTTGAAGCAAGTCTCACACACACACACAAAAAAAAACCTTTAAAAAGTAAAGATTTTTCCCAATTACGATATGGCTTTTTACTGTGGAAATTTTACTTGATTACTTCATATATTTTGAAAGACAATGGCATGTGTTGTAAAATGAGATAGATATTGGTTTGAATTCGAGAGGAATATAAAAGGAAAATATGCTTATTTTTGTGTGCTTAGATTGTCTTGAGTGACTTGAGAGATTTGGGGCTTTTTTTTTCTTTTTTTTTGAGAGATACTTGGCAAATACCAAAAAAAGAAAAAAAAATCCGTTCTTCATTTTATTATTTTCATGATGGAGTGTGTAAAACTAAAACCTAATATCTTTCCTTGAGTTTTAAGTGTGCTTCATTCTGTGCAAAATTAAGCCAATAAATGGCAAAGTGGCAGTTAAATGAAAGCAATCAGTAAAATCTTTCTAAAGTATTTTTAGCATGCCGTGACAAAAGTCTTTACTGTGGGTAAATGAGCAACATAAACTGATTTTTTTTCTATTTTTATAATTTAAAATTGTTCATTATATTCTGTATTGCAATCCAAAACAAATGAGATAATTTCATGAAGTAGCAAAGAAAGACTCTTCCAAGTAGATACAAATGATGCCTTTACGCTGCATTTACATGGTATACTCTTTTAATTTTGTCCCAGTTGTGTAAATGTGGAATACTCAACATAAACCAGAATTTTCTTATTGATGAATTAAAGCATAATTAGGGCATTACTGTAGGGAACCTATTAGACCTTTTGTGTTTTTTATGTTTTTATAAATACTATTATAAATATACAACCTATTAGGTTGTATTTGTTAGAGACATTTACAAGATTTCACAAACATTTGCTGCTCAGATTATAGTGGTAGTTTTAAATAGTTCTATCTTTCGTAAATTTTCCTCTGCTCCACATGTTACATTAGGTAGTCAGGCAGACATGAGCAAGGCAGGAGAGGCCCCTCCCTACCAACCACCAGGAATGCCAGGAGACGATCAGGTTATGATCAGGCAGTTGTTAAACTGTCTCTCTAAAAGAATTATTGGTTGCAGCCCATGCCAGGGAAAAGCAGTCTCCTAATAGATAGAAACACCAGAAACTGGTGATCAGCAGTTTCCTAATAAGATCTCAGAAGTTGAGTAAGTGTGCTCAAGAATGCACACTAAGAGGCAGAATGGTAGAGTTTAACTGGTATATGACCTTCCTCTAGGAATACTCAACTGGGAAGGGAAAAATGCCTCAAGTCACTAAGGGGCAAAATGGTAGAGTTTAAACATTCGACTTGTAAGGGAAAAATGCCACAGTTGTACATGCGTATAACTTCAGTAAACACACTGCTCATGCAACCCCTCCCAAGTGCTAGCAGGCCACTGTGCAGGCAGACAGCCCACCCCAAGGGAAGAATCAAGGGAGAAGGGATGCAACCGCTTGGAAGCATGCCAATGTACAAAATGCCAAGTCAAAGCTCAAGCTTCACACTTGAATCTCTCAAGTTGCCTGCTTGGCCCTCTTCCAAGTATACTTTACTTCCTTTCATTCATGCCCTTCCTTCTTATAACTTTTAATTAACTTTCACCCCTGCTCTAAAACTTGCCTTGGCCTCTCACTCTGCCTTTTGCCCCAGGTCGAATTCTTTCTTCTAAGAAGACCAGAGTTGAGGTTGCTGCAGACCCACATGGATTCACCACTGCTAACATATATATACATGTATAGGGATAATAATTGCTATATGATAGCTCCCTATTTCTCAGACTCTGCTGAAGTAGTTTGAAGATCTCTTTGGAAAGACCTTTTGTAACATTTCAATCTAGCCATTATCTCTCATAGACTTCTTTTACTTCATGACACTTGCCATAATAAGTATAATTGTTTATTGTTTATTTGTGTATCTCTCCCACAAAACTTAAACACTATATACAGTGCCTAGCATAGTGCCTGTAATATAATAAGTAATCAAAACATTTTGTTGACTGAATGAAATCAGATAATGAAAACCAGATAATTCTATAAATAAGACTATCACACAGATCCAAAAGTTATGTAATCACTGGTTTATTTAACAAAATATTTACAGATAGACTTTGTAAATAAATAGAGAATTCAGTAAGCATCACACCTCAGTAGACAACAAAAGCTACTAAAAACTTATTAGATATTAAATGCCATATGTATGCCAATATATTTTTCTCATTGGTCTCAAGATTTCTGGCTGGCACTCCTTGACAGATTAACAAGAGAAAAGTATAACAAATTTATTTATTCAAAGTTTTACATGACACAGGAGCCTTCAGCAATAAAGTCCCAGAGAAATGGTGAAAAATGTATTTTTATCCATGGGGTGGAATGAAGAATGGACAGTTATGTAAAAGAATAATTTGATAAAAATGATACGTACTAATGGCAATAAACTGGGGAGTAACTTGGCAAGGCCTGTTTGTTCAGATTCTTTTTGGCCTCTTTGTGTAACATTCCTACCCTATAGATATGAGTAAGTGCATATCACATTAGGGTCCTCAAAAGAGGGGACAGGAGAAGGTCAGAGAGATCTTTCTGCTTCTATGGTTTTCTTAATTTCCTTCAGCTTAAAATACTCAGTCTACAATAAGTCTATATTTGTAGGTAGCATTTCCTGTGTCCTATGACATGGAATACATAACTAGTATTGTCTAGAATAAATTATGAAATTTTCTGTGGATATCTTTTGAAATAGTTTAAAGAAACACACAAACACCTATGATTATTAAAAGCATCCATTCATTTATTTTACAAGCATTTGTTGAGGGTTAACTATGTATGAAACTGTGCAGAGATCTGCAGGGGATTTACCATTGTAAATTTTTAACTCTAACACCATGGAAATGATACACAGTGGGGAAATTTAATATACACTTTAAAATACAGTAGAGCTTTAACTATAAAGTGTAAGTTGAAAATGTCAATATCCATTAAGAAGTATTAAGTATTACTTAATATGAAAGTATATTATAAAGTTTATAGTATTAAGACGAATGAGACATCATTTTCAGCTGAGGGAAGCAGCAAAAGTACATTGCAGATGTTGATTTGAACCTAGGCTTTGAAGAAAACTGAGGGATTCTTGGCATAGGAAATGGAATCAGGAAAGGTATGAAGAAGGTGTTTAGTAAGAATTAGTTGCTTATTTTGGCAGGCATGTCAGCTAAATGTAAGAGGATAGAAAATATTATGTTTGACAGCTGCTATGGATAAAAGTTACATATTAAAGTAGATCAGGACAAGATTTGTGAAAGATTAATACTAGTTTAAGGAGTTGGGATTCTGCTGATATGTAACTATGTCCACTGAACCAGCCCTTATCTTAGAAACATAGAAAGTAAATCCCAAAGTGCTGGGATTACAGGCGTGAGCCACCACGCCCGGCCAAATTTTTCTATTATTTTTGTTGCATTAGAGCAAGTTTTGGAACAAGGTTATGTAACTCTAACAAGTGTGTTTATTTTCAAGATTATTTTTACCATTCTACATCTTGTTCTATTTTATTTATTTATTTATTTATTTATTTATTTATTTATTTATTTATTGAAATGGAGTCTTGCTCTGTTGCCCAGGCTGGAGTGCAATGGCATGGTCTTGGCTCACTGCAACCTCTGCCCCCTGGGTTCAAGTCATTCTCCTGCCTTAGCTTCCCAAGTAGCTGGGATTACAGGCACCCACCACCACACCACCTGATTTTTGTATTTTTAGTAGAGATGAAGTTTTACCATGTTGGCCAGGCTAGTCTTGAACTCCTGACCTCGTGATATGCCCACCTTGGCTTCCCAAAGTGCTGAGATTACAGGTGTGAGCCACCACACCTGGCCCTTTCTATTTTATTTTAAAGTCAGCTTATGAGTTGTTTTAACTTCTTGTAACATTTTGATTAAAAATGCATTAAAGCTAACAAATCAAAGATAATTAAGATCTAAAGAAACATTGAGTCTTCTCGTTTGTGAAGATGATATTTGTCTTTATATTTAATTTGTCTTATATTATTTCTCGTTGAAGCAATTTGTAGTCTTCATAATATGAATCTCACAAATTTTGTTACAATTATTCCCACTTGATGTTTCTTGGTGCTATTATAAATGGTAATATTTTAATATTTTTATTTTCTATTGTTGCTGTATAGAAATACAATTAATTTTTATACTGACCTTGAATCCTATGACTTTGCTAAATTTACTTACAAATTCAAGTATTCTATTACTGTTATTGTCGATTCCATAGACTTTTCTATAGACATACTAGTGTTATCTGATAATCAAGACTTCCATTCCAACATTTGCATTTTTATTTCTTTCTTACCCTATTTCACTGGCTGGGACTTCTATTACAATGTTGAATCACAGTGGTAATAATTGATTTGCTTCTTGTATTCTCAAAGTTTAGAAACATGTTCAGTGTTTTCTCTCATAAATATGTCAGTGTAGGTTTTTCACATATACCATTAATTAATGGTATATTAATGTTACTAATGGTACATTATTGGTATTGGTACATATAATGGTACATTAAACATTTATAAAGCTAAATTTAATGTAAAGGTGGCACATTGAACACTTACATCTACTTCCCATCCTTGAGCTCCAATAAAATGACACTAAAGAGTGTTTTGTTTTCATTTCAAGACACAAACTTTGAAAATGGGAGGTTGGAGGTCTAGAACAATGCAACAACATTTTGCTATCTGGGAAGTTTCTGGACTAGAGGTAAATAATAAACGTTTGAAAAAAAATAAACCTTAAGCTGTCAGTGGGGAAAGATAAATAATATCATTGATCCCATGCTATGGAATTCCTCAGTCTCAGGAACTTGCAGCAAAGATACCTTTTGTGCAAATTATGAAAGATGGAGTAGAGTGGAGAAAACAAAGAAACAGATTGATTGAAAACCAAGAACTCCTGTCAGTTCTCTGCATATTCAATTTTTTTTGTAGGTGGAATTTCCTTCTTGGTAACAATATCATTGTGTATCTTTAAATATATTAAGTCAGAGTTTTCATCAATTTTGAAATTTTATTTTCTTTTTACCTCAATTTTCTTCAATTTTTTCCACTTAAACAAATTTGATTTATATAATTTCAATTCCACTACAGTAGATGTGATGTTCTTGGTTTGCATTAACAAGCAAACTCATGAACCACAAGTTTTCAAAGAACACCAGGTTTACACAGCTTTAAGAAAGAGTACAAACCAAGCAAAAGTTAGCAGGGTGGTGACTAGGCTGAAGCAAGTGAGGCACTCACTTTGAGTGAAAGTTTGAGTATGCATCAATCAACTCAGCAATCTAAATAAATAATATTTTAATATAATACAATGAAAATAAAAAAATTAAAAAATCCAAAATTAACAAAATAAATTTTAAAACAAAGACAAGATCAATATTACTGATTTTTCCTTTTGCCTCAGCTTCAATATGGCTTGTCACAGGACTATAATATAGTGCTGGGAGATAAATGAGGGCAGTTCCTGGGAAACAAAGTAAAAAGACAGATAAATGAAAAATAGGATAATAAGATAATGGTAAATGCATATTTTATAGTTTGTTTTGCATTAGTCCTTACATGTCTATTATCTTGAGTACATACATAACTAATTATAAAGATATAGTTTAGTCATTGTAGGGAAAAGTTTTAGAAAGGGTGGATGAGCCATCTGACAAGTGTCCTGCTATTTGAAGCAGTAATATAAAAGGCTTCCTGACATCAAAATACAAATTGACAATTGTCTGAATCATCCTTCTTAACTAGCTTATTGTCTTATTTTTGTTATTATTGTTTAAAGAGTGAAGTAAGGCTCCTTTAAAGTGACTTTTTTTAGTTAAAATATTTTGCCTTTAATTATTTATTAACTGCTTTCATTTCTGATTGTTCACACTGTTTTATTTTGTATGAAATAGAAAATGGTACGATACACACTGACAAATGTAAAGGCTCAAGTGGGTTTTCTTGATTTTATAAGTGATTAGATATATTTGTTTTACAAACACAAAATTTCCCTTTTGTGACATAAAATATGATCCACATGTATTTAGAATCTAAACTAGTTATTTACTCTTCAACAATTTCATCTACCTTTTCTGGAATAAAAATATTACCATTTTATTAAAAAGCCTAGTAGATTTAAGTCTTATAATGCTTTATTTCTCTTTGTAATTCATTTTTTTCTTTTTTCACCTTTACTGAGGTATAATAGATAAATAAAATTGTATAAATTAATCGTGTACACTGTGATGTTTTAATATAGGTATACATTGTGAAATGAACAATACAATCAAGCTAATTAACATATAAATCACCTTACATAATTACCGTGTGTGTGTGTGTGTGTGTGTGTGTGTGTGTGTGTGATGAGAATACTGCAGATCTACCCTCTTAGCAAATTTTAAGTATACACTACATTATTAACTATAGTCACCAAGCTGTACATTAGATCTCATATTTTTTCTCTTCAGCTGAGTGACAGGGTAAAAAATAAATATTTGTTGGCCGCTTAATATAAAAATATATTTATTTTATCTCACATAATCCTCCAATAATATTATGTAAAATAAAATATTATTCTTATTCTAAATAATAGGCAAGCTCAGATCAGTAATATAATTTGCTCACAGTTACATAGTTAGCAGAGTCAAGATGGTCTTAACTTCAAAGCCCAAGCAATATTAACCTTGCCATTTTGACATGAAGAATGTAATAAAATAAATAGAATAAAAATGACTGTATAGGGAACCCTGTGTCAAGCATTATTATTTTTTTTTTTCTTTTTGGAGACAGGGTCTCAGTCTGTTGCCCAGGCAAGAGTGCAGTGGTATGATCACTGCTCATTGCAGCCTCGACCTCCTGGGCTCAGGTGACCCTCCCGCTTCAGCCTCCTGGGTAGCTGAGAATACAGGCTGCACCAGCAGACCAGGCTAATTTTTGTATTTTTTGTAGAGATAGGGCTTTGACATATTGCCCAGGCTGGTCTTGAACTCCTGGGCTCAAGCAATCCACCTGCCTTGACCTCCCAAAATGCAGGGATTACAGGTGTGAGCCACTGTGCCCAGCCTCAAGCACTATTTTAATTGTTTTAATGCTACATCTCTTTTACCCACCTTACAGATAATAAGCTATAGAGATCTTTGGATTTGCTCATGCACAGAACAAAGTAGTCAAGTCAGGATTGAACTGTAATCCTTTTTGATTGCAAAATTAGAAATGTGCCAATATTATATTGTACACTTATTTGTGAATTGGGGTAAGGTTTTGTTTTGTTTTTCACTCTACATAGTGTAGCTCTACTAAGTTCTAAATAAATTCCTAATTTTTTGATATGCTGCTGGAATATACAATGATTAATGAGAACTTAATGTGGAAAAATCTGGAAAAATATCAATACATGTTTACATGGAGGACAAAACTTTTCATAATCCTCAGTATTGGTAGTTACTGTGAATTAAATTATATTAAGAGACAATCCAATCTAAAAAAATAAATATCTGTACTTGAATGTATACTTACTGCAAATAACATATATAGAATTGATCTAGTAGCTTCAAATTGTTGTTCATCCATGTGTGAAGCATAAGTGAAGAATGCAACATTTATATTAAAACAATTGACTGCTTCTGAACATCTACAATAGGTCAAAAAATTGACATTTATTTTATACCAAGTAACAGAATAGCTGAAATAATTTTTAAATGCTCATCTGAAACTAAACATGTCATTTTAACACTGCAAGGCTCAATAATAATCATTAGGAAGTGGTTATTTGGGAAAAACAAACAATTGTCATTAGATTTCTAAGACTGTTATCCAAGTACTTCCATTAAGCCACATCTCTTGAGAGTCATACAAACCAAATAAACATTCCAACATAAATCTGGGGCAGAGAGCAAATGTTTCTGGAAAAGAAATATTGATTGTTTTTCTAATTTGCTTTGCACAAGCAGAAAAAAAAAACAACTCTCGTTTCTCTATGGATTAGTTGTCAAAGCGTATATATTCTCATTGCTTTACCTGCTAATACAAAATTAGAATATTCTAAATGGTACAATTAATGTTATTTATATATTTTCCCTTTCAAATTTACACTTAATAAAGTGACACATATGAAATATGCTCTAATTACTCCTGGATTTAACTCACATGTTTAGCAATATAATCTACTACTAAATTAAATTAAAAGCAATAATAAATATATCAAAATCAAACAAAATAAAATAAAATTAATGTAGAATATATTTAATTAATAAGTAACCAAAATGCACAAAAAGAATTAAAAGAATGTAAGAATATGGAAATTATGTATACAAAACATGAAATAAAATCAAGCTCATTTGTGGTCACTAATACAACATAATACATATTTGCTTTTAATGAGGATGTATTAAACAGTGCTATCTACCACTCTTTTACCACCCATGAGAATCTGCCTAAATTTGTAAGATAGATAACTAAAAGAAAGGGGCAATACATAACCATAGAATAAGAAATTGCTATTTGTTTTTAACTGTGGAGATTTTACTAGTGAAGATAAATGAATTTGTGACAGTATACTTAATTTACATTGCTGAATTTAATTAAAAATAAAGAAATTATGCTTCCGGTAATCAATGTAAAGAAAAAATAAAACTAATTGAAGTTTCATTTTTACTTCCAGTTTTCTTTTGATTCGTAATAGCTTATATAAGAATACATAGTCCATATTAAAATACAATATTTTGTCATCTGATTTCACCATTTTATAAACTTGAATAATTCATGGGAATAGAAGAATATTGCCTCATTTAGGCTAGTGGCAAAGATTTAGTAGCTTTAGGTAGTTCTTGATTTAAATATCAAATTGCGATAATAGGAATTGTCGGAAGCATCAACAATTTTATCGGAAAATGTTTCAATGAGAAGGCATGAAGCATGAAGCTATAAAGTTATTTTAAAATAATTTTGATTAGTAAATATACAAAAATAAGATATATTGTGTATTTCGTCTATTTATATATATGTATGTATTTACTACGGTAGTTATATTGTTTTGCTGCTGTGAATTTCTGTTAAGTGATTATTTGAAACAGAACACCTATGAGATTTGGATATTATATTTTCCTTAAATTAAATTAACTGTATTATTATCTTTTTACATACTTAGTGTTTTTCTTTGCCTTCTGCATATTGAAAAATATCTTATTTTACGATCCTAAATAAATATTGTGGTTTTTTTCATATTACCATCCCTTTAATATTATTTTAGGAAATAAAGATGAAATATATTAAAACTTTACCAAATTAACCACTGATACAAAAAGCAAGTTGAATATTAAAATATGGATGATTATAATAATTTACTCTGAATTCATGTAACTTTAGAGAGATACATGTGATATTAACTAAACACTTAATTTTTATAGAAAACTTGAATAATATATGTATTTATTTAGGATTGCAATGAGAAATATAAAAATTATAAATTGTTTTTCCAGCAGGAGTATATCACTAAACAGCATTGTATAGTTAACATTAAAAAAAAAAAAACTTCCAAGAAAATATTTCTGTGGGCTTTGTGAGATCTTTCAAATTCCTGTAAACTTATATTATCTGTCAAACCTCATGTGTTGCAGAGTTTTACAATAGGATTTTAAGTGCTGATTGCAAGCCAATAAAAATGAGCAATGCTTGTGATGAGTTTATAAACATCTTAATAATTATTTGAATAATGAATAAAATATAAAATTAACTCTTCCGCATTTCCTGCAATAAACTTGACAATGTATACAGAAACTGAAGCAAGTATTACTATAAATTTAAAACTGATATTTTCACAATCCAAATCTAAAGTACCTTGTCTCATGCTAGTATAATTTTGCAATCTAAAAATATATGCTCTATGACTCATATATGAACACGTTATTGGACTTGTAAAAATGCTAGAAGGTAATATTTAGGGAAAATATTCTGTTTGCAAGTCAAAGCAACTAAATTGCCCTTCCCGTTGACCATTTTCAATGAATTATAACAAAGTAAGAGCAATGACAGCTCTACCAGCAGATGCCTTAAATAAATAAAAATAAAAATAAAAAAAATTAAGAAACCTCTAAATTCATTTTTTTCTAAACAATAAATATAATACTGAATTGGCTTCATCCTCTTAGAAAAATAAGGAAAGAAACAAAAGAAAGAAACTTATAATCTGTTAAGATTATATGTCTAAAAATGTAATAGCAACCAAAGTTAGTTCAATAGCTAAACCAATGGTTTAGAATGAACCATTTAAGCAGTTCTCTGATTTTTTTTTTTTACTTTAAGTTCTAGGGTACATGTGCACAACGTGCAGGTTTGTTACATATGTATACATGTGCCATGTTGGTGGGCTGCACCCCTTAACTCGTCATTTACATTAGGTATATCTCCTAATGCTCTCCCTCCCCCCTCCCCCCACCCCACGACAGGCCCCAGTGTGTGATGTTCCCCACCCTGTGTCCATCTGTTCTTATTGTTCAATTCCCACCTATGAGTGAAAACATGCGGTGTTTGGTTTTCTGTCCTTGTGATAGTTTGCTCAGAATGATGGTTTCCATCTTCATCCATGTCCCTGTAAAGGACATGAACTCATCCTTTTTTATGGCTGCATAGTATTCCATGGTGTATATGTGCCATATTTTCTTAATCCAGTCTATCATTGATGGACATTTGGGTTGGTTCCAAGTCTTTGCTATTGTGAATAGTGCCACAATAAACATACGTGTGCATTTGTCTTTATAGCAGTATGATTTGTAATCCTTTGGGTATATACCCAGTAATGGGATGCCTGGGTCAAATGGTATTTCTAGTTCTAGATCCCTGAGGAATCTCCACACTGTCTTCCACAGTGGTTGAACTAGTTTACAGTCCCACCAACAGTGTAAAAGTGTTCCTATTTCTCCACATCTTCTCCAGCACCTGTTGTTTCCTGACTTGTTAATGATCGCCATTCTAACTGGTGTGAGATGGTATCTCACAGGTCTCTGATTTTTAAAAAAGTATAACTTGAGGACATTTTTAAAAAAGAACATAGTGGCATTTGAATAAATATATTTTCTGGCGGCCATTTTCAGCATTTTAAAAGCATTCAGCTAGTATTGTTTTCAATGGTGTGTCTTAGTTTACTCATTAGCTCTTAAAATTAAAACAATAAATAAATCCCAAACTATCAAAATACTCCCTGAAGCTCAGTAGAAATCAACTGAAAAGTTTCATTTGGTCTGGAAAATAAAAGAAGTTTCTGATATCTTCATCCAAGTGTAAATGATCTATTTTATGGCATAACTTAAATTAAATCAAAATAGAGATAGAAATACAAGGATATGAATGCTACATTTTAGAAGACATGTTAAATCAAAATATTTGCTAATGTAACTGAAGTGGTCTTTTATCTTAAGAATTCTCACATCATGTCTTTTTTCTCTTAATTGTCAAATTTTTAAAATAATTTTTCACACATAGATTTTAGAGAATGTTGGGTAATAAAATTGAAAGTTTGAAAGATTGATACTTTAAGACCCTTAATTTTAAAAAGGTATAGTGACTTTAAAAATGTATAAAAATGGTTTTAAGATTTATCTAGTTTTTTTCTATTAAAAGATTTCCATACATCTTTAGAATATGAAATTAGAAGTTTTTTAGGGTACATTTTTGATTTTTTCCTATCTTAATTGTTTAGGAGCAAGAATGGGATTAAATAGTGCAAATTATATAGTTGGTAGATTTTGATCCATTAAGAAAAATGATGTGGTAACGATTAGAGCTGGATAAAAATGTAAGTTGCTACTTTATGATGTCATTTAGTTTTTCATTTTCAGAAAGAAAAGGTTTTGTCACCACTCAAGGCTATTAGTAAGGGATTCATGCCTAGGGCTTAATGACAGATAAATCATAACCCAGTTGTAAAACCATATGGGTTTTTTTGAGAGGCTGTAGAAAATCATGATTTTTGGAATTATACAGATCATAATATAAATCCCAGCCCTGCCACTGATCAGCAGTGAGATTTAACCTGTTGAAGCCTAATTTTATACCTGTAAATTTGGGATAAAAGTGATTTTCTATAGTACATCTATGACCATGAAATGAGATACTGTTTGAAAAGCATTTGGCACAGTTTTTGGTACATGGCAAATTCTCAATAAATTTCAGTTCTTACTATTATTGTTATTACTATTACTATTTTTACCATGAAAAATATTAAGTCTTAATAAACTAATAGTATGAAAAGAAAATGCCACTCTTTGGTAATCTAGACCACCTTTATGCAGAACATCTTTTTATGTAGTTTAACTCAAGGAGCTGGAAGAAAGTTAACACCTTCCCTACTGGAAATTACAATCAAAACATTAAATTGTTTATTCATTCCTTTGGGTTACTGGCTGTTGCAAACCTTTGTAAAAGATGAATTAAGCCATTATCAGATATCAATATTTTTTTCTCAGACAGGATTATCAGATTAGTTTCCTTTACCAAGCTGAGAGTAAAAAAAGAAATACAAGAGAAGTGGATTTAGAAGAAGACGTGGTGAGGGAGATCTTGTAGTGTCAGGAAGTATGGGCTGGGTCAGAGGCTCCCAGGGCAGAACTGCAGATATCAGTCTGTCCTTCCTTGAAGTTTACAGTATTCCAAAAGAAAAACAATAAGAACCACGGAACTGGTTCTCTGTAAAACTAAATTCACTCAGTACATCGTGAATTTATTTTCTTACTAATTTATGAGAATTAAAATTTCATTTCTTCTTTTCAAATTATGGACTTTAAAAAAATTTTATCATTTATTGAATCCTAAAATATTGGGCACTTTGGGAGAGGTAATAATTCAGCCCCTTTCAACTTTCAGATACTTGATGTGAAAAGGGGGAAATGCAAGATGCTAATATAATATTTCCTAGGTAACTTGACAAGAAACATTTCATTTCTCACAAAGCCAGCATTCATACATTCACTTACTTAAAAAAATATAACCAACATTTTAAGTGTTAGGAATTCAGCAGAAATAGAGACAACATCCTAGTGTCATTCCACTTGCTTTTTAATGGAAGAAGAGAGAAAAGCAAACAAGTATTACCATTCTTGACAGAAATAAATGCTAAGTGATATAAAACTGGGATATGAGTGATTGGGTAGACCATTTTATTCAGGAGTTAATAAATGCCCCAATAAATATAGTAAGGTATTTAAACTTAGATCTGAATGACATGAAGGAATTATTCACTGCTTCTTTGATGGACTACGTGGAAATGGGATGGGTTGCTGGGGTGACATGAGAGAGATTTCTTATGCATGTATGTGGGGTATCAGTACATCTAAAGAAGCAGTCTGAGATCACATCATGAAGAGCCTTATATTTCGTGCTAAATGTGTTAAATCTTTAGAATTTTATCCTAAAAGTAATGGGAAGAGATTATGAAATTATGCATGATTTGGTGTATAGAGGACATAGGAAGTCATCTAGGAGTCCCTTGTAATAAGTTCTTCCTTCATAGATATGATTATGGGCTTCAGTAGGAGTAGAAAGGAGTAGGTAGTTATCTGTGGTCTGTCAGAAAATGTGTTCTCACAGGAAACATTTTCCCTGAGTCTTGTAGAAGGGTAGTTAGGTGTTTGTCACATCTTAAGAAATAGAGCTTGGGTGATAGATGTTGAAATCCCAGGCAAAATGAGAAGAGTGGGAAAAAGCATAGACTTTAAAAACATGTCTTGATCACTAACACTTAATGACTGAGGTATAAGACCATAGAGGTAAAAGTCAGAGATAAAACTGGAAGTCTCACCTCTTGAGAGTGATAAAGAACAGCAGCCTAAAAACCATTAATAACAAACCTGGGATGATCCTAAATAATTAAACAGTGAAAGTTTGTGCCACTTAAAGATGTGCCGTTGGGATGGTTGGGTGAATACTGAGAAGGGATATATTTTACTTTACATATAATATGATAAATATAATACTATAATATAATTAAAACAACATCATACAACATAGTATAATATAGTCAGGACTTTTTTGTTCATGACTTAGATCTGGAAGCCAACTATACAGTAAGTTTAAGGTACAAAAAATATTCACCCTACAAAAAAAGACATAATATTTTAAGGAAAAGCCGTATACTTTATTTATGTGGTCTAGAATTGGGCTCAGTATGAAGAAGGCTGTTCCAACAATTGTGAAGAGTGAAGTGGGATGGCAGGTGCCAGCACCAACACTTCCAGAGAACTGGCTTGCATTTTGGACATTGCCAGACATCAGGGAGCAGTGATTTATCACCCAGCTCTGTGATGGCTGCTCCTTCAGGTGTAGACAGTACTGCTTAGTATTAATGTTTCAATAATGTGAGGCGTGTTGGAAAGAAATTTCAGGCTCAAAAGAAATAGTAACATTCATCTAGTTCTTTCAGGTATGAATTCAAACCTAATATGAAAAATGACAAAAAAATTCATAAAATAGATTATATATTTTATATTACCCAAAGAAAATTAAACCAAATAAATCTCTCCTCACAGAACCAATTTCTACTTTATAATTTGTTTATGTACTTCCAGCTTCTTTTTCCTTTGATTTCTCTGAGAGGTTTTCATCAAAATTATCTTCAATGAAAATTTAATATAAGGCCTTATTTTGCCTTGAGTTAAGTTAAATTTGTTGCTTTATTTCTAAAAGCTGAATTCTTTTAACATAAGATAAACATGGAGAAGGAAAAGGATAACTATGAGATTTCTTATTGCAAAAATTCAGTTAAAATATCATATTTAAAAAATAACTTGAGTTTGCCATCTAGTAGCAGTTCTTTGAAAATCCTTCCGCTAAAGGCACGTTAGACCATAGAACCTCGAATGTAATGTCTCTTATATACATGAAACTTTCCTGAAATATCTTATTAATTCACTTCTTTACAAGATGGTTCATTCCAGTGTTATTTATTAGAAAACCTTCTATATTTTTAGCCAAAGTTGCCTCATACTCCACACTCAAACTTCTCAGACTAAATATCCTAACTTCTCAAAAGAGTAGAGGTTTGCTTTGTTATCTACATAAAATAAGCCCAAAGTCAAAACTACCATCCCAGTCACACATCCTTCCTACTCTCAATGTCATACTCAAAAGAACACATTACTTCTTTAAACCTGTGTATTTTTATATTTTTTTCTGACACATATAAATGTCTCAACAATGTGTTAATATTGTTGAGTCTAATTTATTTATCAGTTTTTAGAGAATACCTGCCTTTCTCTTACCAGAAATGTTTACACATCCCAGAAATGTATATCCCTATTTTTAATACAAACCTGCATTTCTTATTTCTTCAACTAATGATATTATTTTTTGACTTTCCTCTTTAAAATTATATCTCCTATCTTCCTTCACCTCTCTCTTCCCTTCTAACACACAGCCTCTGCCATCTGTAGTAATGTTTTTGCTCTTTTTTGTTAATAATATTCAGGCATTCTTCTGAAACTATACTGTCTTCCATCTTTTGTGAATAGATTGACTATAAAAGTTGAAAGTATAAAATATTAGCCTTATGTAAATTTGTTCAAATAGAGCCAATTACTATTATATTTTTCTTCTTGTATACTTATGTTTTTCTAGGGTTTCCTTCCTTCCTTCCTTCCTTCTTTTGTCCCTTCTTTTTTCTGTCCTTTCTTCTTTCCTTGATTCCTTTTTGATTTTGCTTTAAACATTGCACTAATTTTTAAATATTTCAGTTAAAACTTTTTGCTTCATTTCATTACTTTTTTGGCTTAGGGCTTATCACTTTTTTATAATATAATTTCAATGTTTATTTTAGAATGAGTGGTACGTAGGCAGGCTTGTTACATGGGTATATTGTGTGATGTTGAGGTTTATGGTATGATTGATTCCATCACCCAGCTAGTGAGCATAGTCCCCAAGAGTTAGTTTTCCCACCCTTCCCCTATTTCTTCATCCCTCCCCACCAATAGTCCCCAGTGTCTATTGTTGCCATCTTTAATTCCATTGGTACTCAATATTTATCTTTCACTTATAACTTGTTTTTTTGTTTTGTTTTGTACCTGCATTAATTATCTGAGGATAATGGCCTTCAGCTGCATCTATGTTGCTGCAAAGAACATGATCTCATTCTTTCCTATGGCTGCCTAGTGTCCCATGGTGTATGTGTACCACATTTTCTTTATTCAGTTCACTGTTGATGGGCACCTAGGTTGATTCCATGCCTTGCTATTGTGAAGAGTGCTGTGATGAACATATGAATGCATGTTTCCTTTTAGTAAAACAATTTATTTTCTTTTGGATATATAGCCAGTAATTGGATTGCTGTGCTGAATGGTAGTTCTGTTTTATGATCTTTGAGAAATCATTAAACTGCTTTCCATAGTGACTAAATTAATTTACATCCCCACCAACAGTGTATAAGCATTCCCTTTCCTCTGCAGCCTCACCAGCATTGCTGTTTCTTTGACATTTTAGTGATGGCCATTCTGACTGATGAGATGGTGTCTCTCATTGTGGTATTGTTTTGCATTTCTGTGATGATTAGTGATGTGGATCGTTTTTCCATTTTTTTTTTTTTTTTTTTTTTTTTTTTGCTGCTTGTATTTATTCTTTTGAAAAATTTCCATTCATGTCTTCTGGCCACTTTTTAATGGAATTATTTGCTTTCTGCTTGTTGAATTGTTTAACTTACTCATAGATCTGGATATTAAACCTTTGTTGGATGCATAGTTTGTAAATATTTTCCCTCATTCTTTACATTATCTGTGTACTCTGTTAATCGTTTCTTTTGCTGTGCAGAGTCTCTTTAGTTTAATGAGGTACCACTTGTCAATCTTGTCAATTTTCGTTTTTGCTACATTGCTTTTGAGGATTTTATCATAAATTATTTCCCGAGACTGATGTCCAAAATGTTGTTTCCTAGGTTTTCTTGTAGGATTCTTTATTTTTCTTTTTTCTTTTTACTTTGAAACGGAGTCTCGCCCTGTCCCCCAGGCTGGAGTGCAGGGGCGCGATCTCGGCTCACTGCAAGCTCCGCCTCCCGGGTTCATGCCATTCTCCTGCCTCAGCCTCCAGAGCTGCTGGGACTACAGGCGCCCGCCACCACGCCCGGCTAATTTTTTTTTTATATTTTTAGTAGAGACGGGGTTTCACCGTGTTAGCCAGGATGATCTCGATCTCCTTACCTCGTGATCCACCCGCCTCGGCCTCCCAAAGTGCTGGCATTACAGGCGTGAGCCACCGCGCCCGGCCTTCTTCTAGGATTCTGATACTCTGAGGTCTTAACATTTAAATATTTATTCCATCTTGAGTTATTTTTTGTATGTGGAGAGAGGTATGTGTCCAGTTTCATTCTTCTGCACATGGCTAGCCAGCTATCCAAGTACCATTTATTTAATCAGGAGTGCTTTCCCATTTATTATTATTTTTTTTAACTTTGTCAAAGACCAGATTATTGCAGGTGTGTGGCTTTATTTCTGGTTCTCCATTCTGTTTCGTTGGTCTATGTGTCTATTTTTGCACCAGTATCATGCTGTTTTTGATACTGTGGCATTATAGTATAGTTTGAAGTAGTATAATGTGAGTCCTCTAGCTTTGTTCTGTTTTTTATTTGTTTTTTTTAAGGTTTTCTTGGCTATTCAGGCTTGTTTTTTTTCAGTTCTATATGAATTTTAGAATAACTTTTTCTAATTCTGTAAAAAATGACATTGGCAGTTTGATGGGTATAGTGTTGTGTCTGTAGATTCCTTTGGGCAGTATGGCCACTTTAACAATACTGATTCTTCCAATTTATGAGCATGGAATGTTTTTCCATTTGTTTAAGCAACCTGTGATTTCTTTCAGCAGTGTTTTGTAGTGCTCCATGTAGAGATCTTTCACCTACTTAGATAATTGTATTCTTACGTATTTTAATGTTAGGGGTTACTGTAAATTGGATTGTGTTCTTGGTTTGGCTTTCAACTTGAATGTTGTTGGGGAAATGCTATTGGCAGAATCTGCTACTGGTTTTTGCCTGAAATGCTACTGATTATTGGCAGAAATGCCACTGATTATTGTACATTGACTTTGTATCCTAAAACTTTACTGAAGTCCTTCGTCATTTCTAAAAGTCTTTTGATAGGGTCTTTAGTGTTTTCTAGGTATAGAATCATATTGACAGCAAATAGAGATAGTTTGACTTCTTTTCCTATTTGGATGACTTTTACTTTTTTCTCTTGCCTGATTGCCTGGGCTAGGACTTCCAGTGGTATGTTGAATAGGAGTGTTCAGAGTGAGCATACTTGTCTTATTCCAGTTCACCATGTTGGCTAGGATGGTCTCGATCTCTTGACCTCGTGATCTGCCCACCTGGGCCTCCCAAAATGCTGGGATTACAGGTGTGAGCCACCGCGCCCAGCCTATCTCTTATCCTTCTCTCTCCTCCATCTCTCTATTTTTATCAAATCAATTCTGTGATGATAAAGCATCCTACAAACTTCATTACATTGTGCTAAGCTTTTAAGTAACCTCTATAAGAAGATGGAGAGTGAATGGGGCCAAAAGATGAAAAACGATATTTGAGAAAGCTGACAGGGAGCTTATTGTGCTCCTGAAATAATAAATATAGGAAACACTTATCCATTTCCATTGATACAGAACAAAACAGCACAAATGTAAATTAGAGCAAATATATTTCAGTTTAATTCATTGAAGCAGAAGTAATTCATTTAGTTACTTCAATGGGAATTAATTCCAACTACTACTTAGGTCCCTATAGTTTCAGCAATGATTTAAGATTGTTTCACATTTGTGCATCTCATTTCATGATGCTAATTCTCTTTCTATAGACATTGTAGATCATTTGGAAAATGTTTTTAGATATTCATAAGCTTTCGGTATTTAATACTAATATTTGTCACCAGCCAAACAAATATTTCTAATTATCTTGGTAATTAGACCTTAGTTATTTTATCATATTAGCTCCTTTGCTAAGACGTAATTTAGTTAACCTAGTCACAGAAAAACAACTGTTTTCTATTGATTGCATATTTGTTTCTTTGTTTTTATGAGTTCGTGAGAGAGTAATTAAAATTTTTCTCCTGGCTTTTCTCACTTGTAGGAATGTGTTTTTTTCTGCTTTTAGTTAACTGCCTTATAGGTCTTTGCTGATTTCCATTAATCAATAGCTAGCTATGCTTTTAATGGATGCATAGACTTCACTGATCAACTGACTTCGACACTATTTTTTAGTAATCAGCATATGAGTTACTTACGGCTAAATATGCTGATTTCATGATTTTGAAAAGAGGATAATAAAATTTTAATACAAGTTAAATTTGTGTCTGCAAAAATTGTTTCTCCATATCTCTTACCTGCATTGTGAGTTTTCATTTTAAGACTGAATAAATTAGTTGCATCATCTGTGAGTACCCTCAATGATTTCACACAGATTACTTAAAAGTACCCTGATAAAAATTATGGCTTATTTGGAATTTAATTTTATTGTGTTTTAAACTGCTGTTTAAAACAATACCGTTTAAAAAAAATACTGTCTTTTTGTATAATAAATGTGAAAATATCCAAATTCATGTTTTTGCTAACTGTTGATTATCATAGACATTAGCCACCACTGTAACACTATTAAAACATGCAGAGTGGGCTAATATAGAGCTCCATTTTATGCACACTAAAATTTCACATATCAAAAAACCAGAGGAAATTTTTGTTATCTAAGAAAAAAAGCCTTTTGATATATTAAAGACCTTGAATATTATGCTTGGGGCTCAGTTCTTCCAAAAGCCATAAATTAAGCTTGCTACTGCAGGGCACTCAGCCCACTCATCTCTTCCCTACAATGACAGTTGATGGGCCAATGCAGACTCAGTAGCCATAGCCTTATAAATGCTATATGATGACTTCTAATCATTTCAGCTAAAATGAAAGGTTTGTTTTTCTCTGACACAAAAAGGAGTTAAACCTGTGTGCATTAAAATACTAAAAATATAAAATATTATTTACATTATATATATATAGGTTTTCATAAGAATGAAAGAACTTGTATTATATGCTAGGCATTATGCTACAAATTTGTTTCATCTTACACCATTCAACCTGAACAACACTGCAAGAACATTCATTATTAAAACCGTTTTATAAGAGCGAAGCTGGCTAAGGAAGGTTGAGTAACTTGCCCAAGGTCATCACTTAGCAAGTGGCAGAATGAGAATTTGAATGTGATCTGTCTGAGTACATCACAGCTCTGCCTTATATGTGCGAGAAAACTAAAGTGAGCAAGCAGCTGTGTTAACAACAAAGAGTGATAGCTATTATGCTGGCATTTTCTCTTCACACTTTCCAGATTTGGGGTAGAGTGTAATGCGGCTTCTAAATAGAATTGCCTCCTGTTTCTTTTAACTACATTTTAAAGCACCTTCAGGTTTTGCTGGACCATTTATTTTGATGTTGCATGTTTTAGGCAAAGAAGAGGTTTGTGAAGTGCAAGGGAAAGAGTAGGTAAGCAGTGATAAAATACCCTGAGAAGCAGGACCAGCTATGTTATTTTGAGAATCCAGTATAAAATGAAAATGCAGGACACATTGTGCAAAAAGCGAAACAACAAAACAAAACAAAACCCACCTTTTTTTTTTCTTCTGTGGTCTTTCTTGAATTGCTGTGGTGTTTTTTATTTTCTATTTAATATTGTGACCCCTCAATCATGGGGCCTCATAGGTGCCTTGGGCAAAGCCCCATGACTTGGTCCCTGTAATGTATATGCATACCCTAACTCTCCTAACACCTGTGTCCAGGCCCTTGCTGGAGTGGAGAGTGCCAGTGGTATCTGTACAGGAGTGGGGCATTGCCAACCAAGAACCCAAGATGGGGAAGTGGGGAGATGGTGGAGGTCAGAAGGAGGCAGGACAACCTGTGGACAAAGACTCTAAGCCCCAGCTCCTGATCCATGTCCCATCAAACCTTCTAAAACACACAGAAGCATAAAATTAGTAATAATTTAAAGACAACATTCACAGAGTTGTATTAAACCCTAAACACGGGGCTTCTTTCTGAGTGCAGAACCCTTTGCAATTCCAGTGATGCCATACCCATGAAGCCAGCTCTGTGTGCAGGACCTATTCCTTGGAATAGACTTGATCTCAGAAAATAGATGACAACAAATAAGCCAGAATTGAACACTGTGTGGCTCTTATTAAAAAAATTAGTTTAGACCAAAGCAAAAATCCTAAAACCCTTTTAAAAATCAAATACTGTTATGCACTGCATTATGTTTCAGTCAGCGACAGACCGCATATGCACCGGTGACCCCGTAAGATTATACTTTATCTTTACTGTACCTTTTCTATGTCAGATGCATTTAGGTACACAAATACTTAACACTGTGTTATAATTGCCTATAGAGTTAGTACGGTAAAATGCCATACAGGTTTGTAGCCAAGCATCAATAGGCTATCCCATATAGCCTAGGTGTGTAGTAGGCTACACCATTTAGGTTTGTGTAGGTACACTATAGGATGTTTGCACCGTGACGAAGCCACCTAAGGACACATTTCTCAGAACACACCACTATTGTTACGTGATGCATGACTGTAACTAATGGAGAGCTTTGTGCTAGTCTCACATATAGAAAAGTCATCTGGAGAAGAGCAGAGTAAGCAGCAGGACCCATCGGGCCTTGAGAATAGCTAGAGGTAAAGTTAGGATATCATTTTATTCCCTTCCGCTTAATTTGTTTGTTTTTTTGTTTGTTTGTTTTTTGAGACGAAGTCTCATTGTGTCGCACAGGCTGGAGTGCGGTGGTGCGATCTCGGCTCACTGCAACCTCCACCTCCCTGGTTCAAGCAATTCCCCTGCCTCAGCCTCCCGAGTAGCTGGGATTACAGGTGCATGCCACCATACCTGGCTAATTTTTTTGTATTTTTAGCCGAGACAGGGATTCACCATGTTGGCCAGGCTGGTTTCGAACTCCTGACCTCAAGCAATCTGCCCGCCTTAGCCCCTGAAAGTGCTGAGATTATAGCCATGAGCCACTGTGCCCGGCCTGCTTAACTTTTTAATAGTAAGCATGCAGTCTGGTAGCCATAGGCCACAATCCCCAACCTGTAGGAATGGAGTCAGTAAGGGCTATGAGAGTATTCACATTAACTTAAACTTTTTTTTAATGAGTTGTCAGTATTTCAGATTTCTCTTAAAATTTAGATTTCAGCTTCTGATTAAAAAATACTATCAATACTGGACAAAGCTGAATGGTGCCTACCACCGGCCCTCTTCCAGGGCCAGTATGAATGCTGGTTTGCCATACCATTCTTTGTTGTTTTCCAGAGACTGAGAACACTACCTTTGATCATTTCACTTTTACTATTGTTTATTTCAAAAAGAAATGTTTATTCCCCTATCAAATGCAAGGAAAGAAAGCTGATTTAAAAACAAAATAAAAAGAAATGAAACACTGGCCACATTCTTCTTACAATCAGCCCAATTTACTCATTCACATTACCTGCCTGACCTCAGGCAAAAAAAAAAAAAATTGAGTTTGAGACCCTAGCTTAACACTTTGACTCCTCCCTCATCTTGCCCTTAGCTCACTGGTTTCTCTACTTCATACTGTCACTTTTATTCTTCCTGTTCTTTTTCTATTATTTATTTTTTTAATAGGGTCTTCTAGTACTCTATTAATAAAGTCTTCTTTTTGTTGCTTTATCGTATCTTTCTTTCCTCCTTCTCCTTCTCCTACCAATACAGATTATACACTTCCCTATTTTATAAATTATTTTTAGTGCACACTGTGCAAGAGAGATAAATTATTTTTAAAATTTTGGACTCGAGATAAAATCTGTTGGAGTCTGGACAATATATTCATGAATAAGGAGGTCATCAGAGAAATAAGATAAGCAACACAGCCATTTATTAATATGCTTTCCCCTAGGTTTTATTGTTTCAGAGGAAGTTTATAATATTGCCACCAACAATTTAGAAAAATCTATATTTTGCTTTTACTAACCTGTTGCAATGGTTTGCATGTATCCCCCAAAATTCATGTTTGGACACTTAATTCTCAATGCAATAGTGTAGATAGATGAAACCTTTAGAAAATGATTAAGTCATGAGGGCAGAGCCCGCATGAATTTAGGCTGTTACCTTGGAGTGGTTAGTTATTCCTGGAGTGGCTTCCTGATTAAAGGATGAGTTTGCCCCCCGTCCTCACCTTCTTTCCCTCCACTATGTTATGATGCAGCAAGAAGGCCCAAGCCAGATGCCTGCACTTTGATAGTGGACTGCACAGTCTCCAGACTATGAAAAATAAACTTATTTTCTTTACAGTACATTACCCAGTCTATGGTATTCTTTCATAGCAACACAAAATGGACTAGGGCACTTGTATTTGGCAACTAAGTTTTTTGGTGGTGGTAAGCTGAATACACTTGCTTGCGTCCAGGTTTTTGCTCAATTATGCATTTATCAGAAGATCCACAACATTTAGGGCTTTATAAAGAAAGGCCAAAATACTTATTTGATTTTGTTCTGAATCAGCAAGCAAGTTAAAGACCAGAAGACTGGGACAGTGGTAATCATCTGAATACCATGTTAGCAACTGATAAAATGAGAATTTTTTGATAGAATCAGACCTTATCATTATTATGGAAGCAGAATGGGTATTAATAAAGATGAGATTTTACTTTTCTTTTTATTAAGTTAAATATTAACACTAAATAGTCTCTTCAAAAAATATAGCTCTCTGGTTACAGATAATCAGTTCAAACTTTCACTGGTGACTTCAGACAAGTCCCTTCTCCCAAAATCTTCTTTTTTAAAAAATCTATAGAACAGAGATCACAATCTGACATCAAAAATTTTTGTAAACATCAAGTGAAATAATGTATATAAAATACTTAACACAGTGTCTCAACCATAGTGGGTTCATACTAAATATAACTACAGGAAAAATATGATTATCTACTGGGGACTTCTGTATTTGATTGAAGCAAGAAAGAATGGCTTTCTTTGTATTAACTTTCCTTCTCAGTTTTTGTGTATTTTGCCATTTTAAAAATCTATTTACTGAAATTATTACCATCACTATTAGGCTGTAACATGACCAAGCAACCAATCAAGCTTTTCGTGAAACAACAAACAATCAAATAAATGCCTAAATCCCTATTTTTTTTTCCTTTGCAGAAGAAAACATCCTTTTATTTTTCTTTCCCTCAGATCTCTTTTGAGTGAAAGAGAATTTGGATTTGTTATTGGTAATAAGCCTTAAGAGATTTGTGTAAATTCAAACCTTTCAGAAATCTGTATTTGTAAAGAAACTGATATAAAAACTCTCAGCACAGCAGGAATAGTGTTGCTGTTTTATTTGTATTTTTCTCTCTAACAGGCACTTGAAACAAAATAGGTATTTGGAAATTCTTTTCTAAAGGAACAAAATATTCAATAAATGCATCAAATTTTTTAAGATATTTCATTAGGAAAGATGTTCAAAAGTCCTGTATATACATTATACATGTCTGTGTGTGCAAATGTATGTACATAAACATAATTGATGTTTTCAAATACGTCCTTAGATATCAAACATTGTACATCTAAATAATACAAATAATACAACATAACACAAAAATATACAAATAATACAAATATAAAAATTGTACAAAAATAATACAAAAAAATTGTACCCAAATGGTCGGGCGCGGTGGCTCACGCCTGTAATCCCAGCACTTTGGGAGGCCGAGACGGGCGGATCACGAGGTCAGGAAATCGAGACCATCCTGGCTAACACGGTGAAACCCTGTCTCTACTAAAAATACAAAAAATTTAGCCGGACGTAGTGGCGGGCGCCTGTAGTCCCAGCAGCTCTGGAGGCTGAGGCAGGAGAATGGCGTGAACCCGGGAGGTGGAGCTTGCAGCGAGCCGAGATCGCGCCACTGCACTCCAGCCTGGGCGACAGAGCTAGACAACGTCTCAAAAAAAATAAATAAATAAAATAAAAGAAAGAAATTGTACTCAAACAAGCCCCTGAAAAATACTGCCTTTAAAATATTTCAAAACAAAATAAATGTGGGCAAGATGTCTAATTTTCTACAGAAAACTGTGACCTTCCTCTATTTAATATAAAATTGTTGCTGAAAAGCAGTTGCCCGAGCATAGACAGCATTTCTCCACCCCATTTGCATCTAAGTAGACCCTTTTGATTAGTTCCAGCTCATGGCTAGATAGTAATAATTCTTATTATCACTTTAAATGGAATGCATCTCTCCATCCTTTTCTTCCACAAACATTTATTTTAAATCCACTATATAAAACATGTATTAAGTAAGATTAAAATAAGATTATAAACAATGTAGCAATGTAGAAATAAATAGTTTATTTTATGTAATTCATGCCAATGCTGCTAGTTAATAAGTATACATTTGCCACAACACTATAAAGATAATTTCTCATAATTATTATGAGACAAATCTAATACAGTTATTATAATAAATACAGACATTTAGCAGAACCTTTTAATAAGCAAACTATCTTAACTGACAGTTACCTGTTTTGAATTCAAAGAGTATCTCTATTTTAAAGAATTATCATGAATGGCTCTGGATCAATATGATTGAAGAATTCTGGACATAGAAGTGACATTTTTCATTGAATCTACTAGAAAAATCATTCTAAAAATGATTTCTGCATATGTGTGTGTAAGTTTTTCTTATTAAAATTTTTCAACATTTTGTTATGAAAATTTTCAAACATACTGAAAAATAGAATTTCATAATACCCTTATACTCACTAATATTACAATGTACCTAATTTATATTTTGCTACATTGTACTATACTTTCTTTATCACGTATCCCTTTATCTGTCTATAGTTCAATCATCTTATTATTTTCTACATTTCAAAAATATTTGTAGAATCGCTGCACTGTTCCCCTACATACCTTAGCATGTATATATGTAAAGGTCATTATTTGTTTACAATTCACTTTACAATTAAACTTCCACAGAATAAAATGCACAAATCCTAGGCATATTATTACATTAATTTTGACAATTGCATATGCCTGTTCAATCCAACACCTGTCAAGGTACAAAACATGCTTTATCATCACAAAGGAAAAACCTTCATACCTTCATACTTTTTTTACTGTCAAACACTTCACCACCCAACCCCAGAGGTAATCAATATTTTTATTAATTTTGTCTCTTTTAGAAATTCCTATCAATGAAAGTATACTACATGTATTCTTTTGTGTAAGACTTCCTTCATTTAGCATGGTTTATATGAGACTAATCCATGTTATTGTATATATCAATAATTACTTCATTTTTATTGCTAAACAGTTTTTTATTATATACACATTGTTTATCCATTCTGATGATGACAATTTAGGAAGATTTCAGTTTTTGCCTATTTTGCTTAAATCTGCTATTAACTTTCTTGATAAGTGTGTGTAGACCTATGTTTCTGTTTCTCTTGAGTAATTTCCTAGGAGTGGAACTGTAGGGTCATAAGAGGTGAATCTTGAGGTTTATAGGACACTGCCAGATCTTTTTCTCAAAGTGATTATAATCTCTAATTGTATTCTTTTATCAAGTTCTAATTTGGAAATTAGACTTTCTTACCTAATCAATATGAATTCAACCTTTCTTGCAATATGTATCTTTCCATCTTCCTCGATAGAGGAGAGATATACATTAAAGATATAATGTACATCTGAAAGTAAAACAATTTCTTTTAAAGATGGGTAAAGGGTGAATGTGAACAACTTTATATAAAAGTAAGTAAGTGCAGTCACCCCTCCATATCCACTGATATCGCATCCCTGGATTCAACAAATCACAGATTGAAAATATTAAAAAACAACAACAATAAAAGATAACAATACAACAAGAAAAATTACAAATGTAATAATACAGCATAGAAACTATTTACATATAATTTATATTGTATTAGGTATTCTAAATAATCTAGTGATAAACGTAAGTATAGAGGAGGATATGCATAGATTATATGCAAGTACTGCACCACTTAACATAAAAGACTTGAACATTTGCAGATTTTGGTGTTCATGGGGAGTCTTTGAACCAATATCACATGGATACCAACGAATGACTATATATATTATTTTAAGAGGTATTTAATTTAAAATTGTTACATAGAACATTGAAAAAATTTGTTAAAAATAATATAGGCTTTATTCCCATAATCAAAACATAACAGCATTTCTTTCTTTCTTTTTTTTTTTTTTTCTTTGAGACGGAGTTTTGCTCTTGTTGCCCAGGCTGGAGTGCTATAGTGCAATCTCAGCTCACCACAATATCTGCCTCCTCAGTTCAAGGGATTCTCCTGCTTCAGCCTCCCTTGTAGCTGGGATTACAGGCATGCGCCACCATGCCCGGCTAATTTTGTATTTTTAGTAGAGATGGTGTTTCTCCATGTTGGTCAGGCTGGTCTTGAACTCCCAACCTCAGGTGATCCGCCTGCTTCGGCCTCCCAAAGTGCTGGAATTCCAGACATGAGCCACTGCACCAGGCCTAACAGCGTTTCTTAACTTACTATTCAAGTGAAGTGTTGGACATCATTATATTCAGTTTTAAACCAAACCTAATTTAAATCAGAATTAAAACTACATTTATTTTTGATAAAGACCAGATATCTGTCAATTTCCTAATGGCTGCCATAACAAGTATCATACACTAGGTGATTTAAAATAACAGAAAGTTATTGTCTCACAGTTCTGAAGGCTAGAAGTCTGAAATCAAGGTGATGGCAGGACCATGCTCTTGAAACCTGTAGAGGAGAACTCTTCCTTCTTCCCAGCTACTGGTGGTTTGCTGCCATTTGGTAATATCATTTGACTTGCATCTTCAGCATTCTAATCTCTGGCTCTATTGCCATATGGCGTTCTCCTCTCATGTGTCTGCATCTCTTCTCTTTTTATAAGGACATCTGTCATATTGGATTAAGGTTCACCCTAATGACCTCATCTTAACCTTATTAAAATCTACAAAGAACTTATTTTCAGGTAAGGTCATCTTCACAGGTACATAGGGTTAAAATTTAAACAGTTTTTTGGAAGATAACAATTAAACTCATAGAATAGGATGCATGACATTTGGTATATTTCCCATTTTGAATATGTAAGAAACAATGGCATGATTAAAAGCTTGGTCATTTCTTCTTAAATATATTAGGATATTTGATGATGCATATAAGTTTTGACAGTTGGAATAAGTATAAATTTTTGATTTTGCTATTTTTTCTTATTCTCTTAATCTAATAGCTTTAGAAATTATCAGATAGAAAGTAGAGTATGTAAATGATTGTTTCCTTCAAGCTCTTTCACAAAAATGCCAAAAATAACAACAACTTGTTTCACAAAATCAGCAGAACATTACTGATTGAAAAAATCAGCTCAAAGAGTGAACTTACACAAGTTTGCAACAAAAAAAGCTTATCTGCCAGCAAAAATCATTTTGGAAAGCTGAAAACAATTTTTATTTTTTGACACTGATATAATACAGCCTCAAATATTTTGATTATTAATTATAGTTCTAGAAAAGCCACTTTCTCATTTCAAATGGAAATTTAACATCAAGAAGGAATAAAAACTGCTAACAGTACTGAAATTCTATGAGGAAATATAACTTATTTGTCTTGTGTATTTGTGAGACATTTACCTATTATCAACTCAAGCTTTACTTGGAATGCCTACTTTCTATTCCAGTAAATAAATATGACACAGATATATAGAGGTTGAGAGAGAGAAAGGAGAGGGAGAGAGAAAGAGACACACAGACGAAGACAGAGAGAGGGATGGAGAGAGAAAGACATTGGCTTTCACAACGTAACAAAGTAAAAATTACCACATTCTTAGATATTTAATCCATTGAAAACTAATATGTTCTAGCAAAAGTAAAATGAAATTAGTGTATTAATCATAAGTAATATAATTTTAAGGGATTAATTTTTATGTTTCTGTATACAGAAGGTAATAATATAATAGCCTTCATTACTATATGCAGAAACCAAGAGCCAGAATTATTTAAGGTTACATAGCTTGATGAGGCCAGAGAAAAGAATTTGATTTTTTTTTAAACTCTGGATTGCAGTAGTTTTATTCTTTTTTTTTTAAGTGTCTTCCTTCAATCATTCTCCAAGTTATACCTATAAAATTTTAGTTTAAAATCCCAGCTGTATAAGATCTGACTCAAGGTAGGAAGAGATATTAATAGAATTTTCGAATGGAACTCTACTATAAGATTCTGATTTCATCTATTCCTATAGGGACAATGCAGCTAATGGTCTCCTTTAAAGATTTAATAGCTTATAAATATATCCAAGTAATGCTGTTAGATTCTATGTTTTGTATTTTAATTTGAAAATTCAGAGAGGCTGGCATGGTTTCAGAGCTCTGGAGAAAGGAATACAGACATAATCAATTAATAATAACATCTTAGATTAATTCACCTTAAAAGAATAGGTATATCAGTTTATATCAAATTCTAAGTTCTCCTGTCTTCATTTTTATTATAGCAATAAACTAAAATTAGCTCCACAAAGGATGGAGGTTAAAATGTTGAGTTACAGTGAGAATACTGTAAAAATAGGAGAAAAATAGAGAAGTAAAATTAATATCAGAAAACGAAGGGAGAAAAATAGTTGAAGTTCTATTCTGAGCTGGTGGAAGAACCTCATGTCTTCACAAAATGTGCGGGAAGAGTTAGACCCTGAATTCCTTTCCTCAAGGTAAAACTTGTCATTGCTTCTTGGAATCTTGATCCCTTAGCTTTCATCCCTCACACCACCATTCCTCAATTCAAATTCATCTAACAGAAGTATGTCAACTGTTGAAATCATTGGTCGACTGGCAGTCTCAGATTCTGTAATCTTCCTAAGGTAGAAAATGAATCGGGTGAGATCAGTAAGTAAATAGCAACAACAAATAAATAAAAGAGGCTGCTGTCCTGGTGCGGTGGCTCACACCTGTAATCCCAGCACTTTGGGAGGCCAAGGCAGGTGGATCACATGAGATCAGGAATTCGAGACCAGCCTGGGCAACATGGTGAAACCCTGTCTCTACTAAAAATACAAAAATTAGTGGGGCACGTTGGCGTATGCCTGTAATCTTACCTACTTGGGAGGCTGAGGCAGGAGAATCGCTTTAGCCCGGGAGGCAGAGGTTGCAGTGCGCCCACATTGCACCACTGCACTCCAGCATGGGCAACAGAATGAGACTCCGTCTCGAAAACCAAACCAAACCAAACCCAACCAACCAACCAACCAACCAACCAAACAAACAAAAACCCTGCAACTGCCTATTCTGTCTCCTTGTCAATTTCCTACAAATTATGGATTCTTGTACAATAGAGGCAATCAAATTCTCCTAAGGTATATTTATAATTTGCTGATTTTTTAAAAATTTCAACTGTTTTTATTTAATTAGATGTTTCAAGGCTTCGATTTATTTGAAGTATGCTAAAGAATCTTTATATCTAATCTATTTCTATTGCCGTAAAGTTTGAATTCTTGTGTGCTTACACACTGGAGCAAAACACTGATTCTGGAAAAGAATAATTCTCATGACTGAATTTAAACCTACTTTGGGGCTAAGATTTAAAAAAAGTTTATTTAAAAATAGATTTATTCTAGAGTTTCATAAGTAATTAAAATAGATTAATGAAATATTGCAGCAATGCAGAACATACATAAATTTCTCTTTAGGAAGTCACAGGAGTTGATGTTGACTTTTCACCTATAGGCAGATATTCTTGTGAATCCTGCATGTTATCAATTCTAAGATTCCATTAATATAAGATATATCATAAACCTTGATTGTACATTTTGTCTGCAAAATTGCATCAGTGCACGTAGCAATTTAGGATGAATCTTGATTTGAGAAGTATTAAAATGAGAAAAATATTTTAATATGTGAAGAAATATGGCATGATATGTTAGAGTATGTTTCATTGTTTTCTTATTACAGTAGAAACAGTTTATAACAGAATTGTACAGTCATCCTGACATATATCACACATCCATATGCAGAGGTCAGATGAAAATAGAGGATAATTTGTCTTTCAAAACAAAACAACAACAACAAAATCAACTAGAAGATACATCCACTCAAATACTGTGTCATTGATTTGGTGAGAAGAACACAAATGTAAAAGCAGAAATATTTCTATACCAAGGAGCATATCATTCATTAAGTACAATGTATTTTAGAGTACTACTGATTTGTAGCTCATGATAACCATAGTATGAACTGGAATTGACTTTCTATGATGTGTAAAATAGAAACCATTTTCCAAGCAAATTGGTAATGTAAACAAGGAAATTATTTATTATACTCAAGAGTGAAGTTTAGCAAACTTTTAAAGGCTTGAAAATATCACTGATAAAAAATAAATGAGCTCATGATAAATGATTCTTATCTATGAAAGTAATTACAAGACTCTTTCAGTTACAAAGACCAGCTTAACATTATCTCTTTCCTCTAGCAACCCTTTGAGATGGTCTATATGTCACACCTCTCACTGTTAGTGAGCCCCTGGGCGTGAATGAGTTAAAGAGGACCAACACATTGCACTATCACTTGATAAATTGTAAAGGGTTGAAAAGTAGAATTAAAAAGAGTTAATGTCAATTACTGCTTACTTTTCTGCTCCCACGAGATTGAATTTGAGTCTCTCTTCTATGACCCTATAGCACATAGTAAATAGCTAATTTAGAGCAAGTTCCCCACTGTTTTGAATTGATTTACTTGTTCTTAGATATCCCTCCTTAGACTGAAACAAATGACTTATAAATACTCCTAATCGAGGATCATATCTAACATAACTTTTTATCTCTCAGTAGCTCCCATTTGACTTGATTTGCTATTTTTTGCAGTACAACTTTATTTTATACTCAGTTTATGAAATGCAAGTGAAACAGATTTCATAAAAATTTAGAGTGGGGGATGAGGAGGGGGGATCTTTTGCTACATGGCAGGTTATATATATTTTTTAAAAGCTACAATGCAAGCTAATGCTTTTTAACAACAAAATGTTTACTAGTTGATTATATATGTAACTTGAAGCTGCTTAGTAGTGCTATCACTTCTTGGTTAAAACAATCACTTCACATTTGTTCTTGTCATGAAGGAACCACCCTTCTCTGTTTTTTGTTTTTTGTTTTTCTGTCTTTCCCATTCCATTTAAAAATATGTACTCTATATATACCTAGACAGATTTTGATCAATTTCAGAATTACTGATTTGAATGGCCATGTACAATTTATTATTTTACTTTAAGTGATGATGGAGTTTCCTAAGTCTGTTTCATTTTTTAAATTTCGTGACAATATCTGGATGGTCAGAAGCTGACAACCAGTTTCTGCTACAATTTACTTTTTAATCAAAGAAAGTATGTATGTATTCCATGATAGGTATTTTTGATGACCTGCATCACAGTGTGAAACTCCTGTCAATTTCCAACTAACAACAAAGAAAAAGAATAGAAAAAAATTGGATGCACAGAGAATAAAATGCCATTTCACACTGGGTGCTTTGTAAATGTAACCCAACTCACACAAATCCTTTAGGCATCAGTAGAGATGAAGCTGAGCCAGAAAAGAAGAAAACATGTCCAAATAGAGAAAGTTTGCTCAGCAAATTGAAATTCAGGTCTGAAATTGATAAGTTTGAGTTAAATCTACTGCAAAGGGCATATACTCATTCTTTTCTTAAAATGCAAAGTTTATTAAATATTGATTTTTGTTGCAGATTCTTTGCCTATTTCCAGTCTCCTCTTCCACTTGATTTTCTGACACAGTACTTATTACTTAGGTAAATGGGAATAAAAACAGAATGCTAAATATTTAAACAATTTTATCTCAGTTTGCACACAGAAGTAAAATATACTCCTTTATGTAATTATAGCTCAATATAGAAGATATAATTTGGCATATTGTCCCAAAGCAAATACCTTTTATATTGTTGTGTAATATGTTGAACAAAAAACAGTTCAGTTGTAAATTAGAAAGCTTTTACATTAAATATTATATAATTTCATTATTTGAGCTGTATCAAGTTCATGAATGTAAAAGTGTTTTGTATTAAAAATTCCTAACAAACCCAAAAGAGAAAGCTGAGTTAATATATTAAAAATTGTTTGTCTCTATTGACCCAAACTAAAGGACAAACAAGCTCTCTTCATTTCTAAATTCTCATTGACATATTTATTTACCAATATATAAAAGAGACATTTTCAGGTAGAAATTTATTGAAAAGAGGCCAGGCACAGTGGCTCACGCCTGTAATCCCAGCACTCTGGGAGGCCGAGGCGGGCGGATCACGAGGTCAGTAGATGGAGACCATCCTGGCTAACACGGTAAAACCCCGTCTCTACTAAAAATACAAAAAAAATAGCTGGGCCTGGTGGCATGCGCTTGTAGTCCCAGCTACACAGGAGGCTGAAGCAGGAGAATGAACTGAACCCCAGGAGGCAGAGCTTGCAGTGAGCCGAGATCGCGCCACTGCACTCCAGCCTGGGCGACAGAGCGAGATTCGTCTCAAAAATAAATAAATAAATAAATAAATTTACTGAAAAGATCAGAGTATTCTATAAATTTTCTGATTCTTTAACTATACTCCAGCAAAGAAAAGCAAAGAGCATATTTATTCCCAACCCTTACAGGGAGTTGTAACATATATATGTTTTAAATAGTACTATGTGTTATGATTATAAAAAGGATATGCACTCATTGGTGATAATTTCCAGATTACATAAAAGTATAGAAAATATAAATAAATTTAAATTCAATTTTTTTCTCTTAATAACCACTTATTGAGTGATTGGTATAGATATACTAACTGCTGGACTGTTGAGTATTTAGAGGTAAAATACAATATTCTCATTTCTTGCTTACAGTCTACTAGTTGACTTCCAGAATAAATAGATTACCATGATTACTGTTTTATTTCAACACAACAGGTTTCTCAGTATGTTTTTTCCAACTTAATATAAGAATTTTAAAAATTCATTAAAATTTCTCCAAAACAATTTTTCACAGCTTTATCTGAAAGACCATCATTAATTATTTAAGCTTTGCCATATTTTTGAGGTTTTAGGTTTCTTCCAGTGTTTATTATAATAAATGATGTTATGAGAAACTTGTTTATGCTTGTTTTGATGCTTCCTTTATGACAGAATTCTAGAAATAGAATTCCTAGGTCATAAATTATGAACATATAAAAGTTGCTGATGTATAACATTAAATCGGTTTTCAGAAAGATTGCAGCAAATTTACCTGACTTCCAATGCTATATACAAGTTGCCATCTCATGACAAACCTGTAAGAAATAAATATTATCCCATTTTATAATATTTGATGATTTAAACATGAAAAATAATACATTTTTATTGTATTTTTGTTCTTCATGAATAAGTTAAATATTTTATGTTTATTAACCATTTAGATTTTTACTGCTGTGAATTGCATAATTTTGTACTTCATTGAATAGAAATCATTATTTTGATACAGTTAAACCCATTGATTTTTTTTTAACTTTTGCTTTTTACCCTTTAGGGCTTTTATTAAGTTTTTCTCCAAAGCATGACCTATTGCCCTACACCCTCTTCTGTTCACCGTCTTCTACTAGTTGTGTGCATGTATTTATGCATGTATGTATTTATATAACAACCTATCAATTACATCCACATATCTTTATATATATGTTTTCACATAGTAAATCATTTTTTCCCATCACTGACTTTAAAATCCATTATTTCTGCACTGATTTTTGATGTCATGTTTATCAAACATCAAGCTCTCATATTTAAATGACCTCTCCTTTCTGTTTTATTTATGTATGTTGGTAACATGCTTGTATTAATGTGGCTTTATAGTGTGTCTGAATAGATAGGATGAACGATCCTCCCTTTTTTTCTTTTGTTAAAATTGCATTGGGTTTTCATAAACCACCTGTGTATGAGTTGATAGTAGTCAAAGGTGCAACAAACCCAAATCTTATCAGCACCAACTCTGTCTTTTAGGATCAGACCCTCCTCCTGGTTTCTTAGAGTTTTTCAATGGAAATCTCTTTAGTCTCTCACACATTCATAGCATTATCAATCCACAAGGGATTTGGAAAGTCTACACTCAGATTTTGTTTCTTAATCATTCTGCAACTAACTTGCTTTTACAGTTTTCTCCCTTAATGTGCACAGACTCAAATGTAGTTTAAATAAAATAATATGTAAGGTAAAATTCTATATAAAATGTATTTTTTCTTTTAGTAACATTTTGTGTAAATATATAAGTATATACACATACACATTTGCATATCACGTGCAAAATCATACTATTACCGTGCTTCAAAGATTGAGCTACATAAAATCTTGCCTCCCACTGTTGTACAGAAATAAACTCTCCAGGACATAATTATTATGATTCTTAAATATTCACAAGCTAATGTTATTCTTAAATATTCAGAGCTTTTTGTAGGATTCGAAAGCCTAAGTCACCTTGTCAATGGTGAAAATAAAGTATTACTTAAACTTCCATGTTTATCTTTTCTATTTCCTTCATTGGGGTCACATCTTCTGTAAAGTTCTTTTACTGTATATTTAAATTTTCTTTACTTCACTAGGGAAATATTTTCTTTTCCAGGGAAAATTAGATATCTACAACTTAAACTTGTCTTTATCTGCCTTTTTTACAAGAAAATATTTTAACCTTTGGCTGTTACTGAGAGGTGACAGCGTGCTGGCAGTCCTCACAGCCCTCGCTCGCTCTGGGCGCTTCCTCTGCCTGGGCTCCCACTTCGGCGGCACTTGAGGAGCCCTTTGGCCCGCCACTGCACTGTGGGAGCCCCTTTCTGGGCTGGCCAAGGCCAGAACCGGCTCCCTCAGCTTGCAGGGAGGTGTGGAGGGAGAGGCGCGAGCAGGAACTGGGGCTGCGCGCAGCGCTTGCGGGCCAGCTGGAGTTCTGGGCTTGGCGGGCCCCGCACTCGGAGCCGCTGGCCGGCCCTGCGGGCCCCAGGCAGTGAGGGGCTTAGCACCCGGGCCAGCGGCTGCGGAGGGTGTACTGGGACCCCCAGCAGTGCCAGCCCACCGGCGCTGCGCTCGATTTCTCGCTGGGCCTTAGCTGCCTTCCCACCGGGCAGGCCTCGGGACCTGCAGCCCACCATGCCTGAGCCGTCCCCCACCTCCATGAGTTCCTGTGCAACTGGAGCCTCCCTGACGAATGCCGCCCCCTGCTCCACGGCGCCCAGTCCCATCGACCGCCCAAGGGCTGAGGAGTGCGAGCGCATGGCACGGGACTGGCAGGCAGCTCCACCTGCAGCCCTGGTGTGGGATCCACTAGGTGAAGCCAGCTGGGCTCCTGAGTCTGGTGGGGACGTGGAGAGTTTTTATGTCTAGCTCAGGGATTGTAAATACACCAATCAGCACCCTGTGTTTAGCTCAAGGTTTGTGAGTGCACCAATCGACACTCTGTATCTAGCTGCTCTGGTGGGGCCTTGGAGAACCTTTATGTCTAGCTCAGGGATTGTAAACAAACCAGTCAGCACCCTGTATTTAGCTCAAGGTTTGTGAGTGCACCAATTGACACTCTGTATCTAGCTGCTCTGGTGGGGCCTTGGAGAGTCTTTATGTCTAGCTCAGGGATTGTAAACAAACCAGTCAGCACCCTGTGTTTAGCTCAAGGTTTGTGAGTGCACCAATTGACACTCTGTATCTAGCTGCTCTGGTGGGGCCTTGGAGAGTCTTTATGTCTAGCTCAGGGATTGTAAACAAACCAGTCGGCACCCTGTGTTTAGCTCAAGGTTTGTGAATGCACCAATCAGCACCCTGTGTTTAGCTCAAGGTTTGTGAATGCACCAATCCACACTCTGTATCTAGCTGCTCTCGTGGGGCCTTGGAGAACCTGTATGTCGAAACTCTGTATCTAACTAATCTGATGGGGAGGTGGAGAACCTTTGTATCTAGCTCAGGGATTGTAAATGCACCAATCAGCACCCTGACAAAACAGGCCACTCGGCTCTACCAATCAGCAGGATGTGGGTGGGGCCAGATAAGAGAATAAAAGCAGGCTGCCAGAGCCAGCATTGGCAACCTGCTGGGGTCCCCTTCCACACTGTGGAAGCATTGTTGTTTCGCTCTTTGCAATAAATCTTGCTACTGCTCACTCTTTGGGTCCACACTGCTTTTATGAGCTGTAACACTCACTGCGAAAATCTGCAGCTTCACTCCTGAGCCCAGCAAGACCACGAGCCCACCAGGAGGAATGAACAACTCCAGACGCGCTGCCTTAAGAGCTGTAACACTCACCGCGAGGGTCTGCGGCTTCTTTCTTGAAGTCAGTGAGACCAACAAACCACCAATTCCAGGCACATTACTTTTATCAAATAGTGCAAAATAAAAGTTATCACAAATAATTTTATAGCTTTGGAAATCGAATTTTAAGAGAATACTAAGGCTAGAACAAAATGTCCATGTTTAATAATGAAATATGTATACTATTTAAATAAATTGTTTATGGCTATTTTTCAGAGAACTAAAATATATTGAGATTAAAAGCCTGAATAAAATAATAAGTAGTTAAGGGATTTTAAGCAAAGGCATTATTATTATAGGACCATTTTGTGCTTTAAAGAACCATTCTCCATGTAATTGTGATGACTTGATTGGAAGTCAGAAAGATGAACTGAGAAATTTTGGAATTATTGAAGAAGATTTATGTGACAAATATTGTTAAAGTGGGAATTAGAAGGGGCAGAAGTGAACAAAGACTTTACGGGGCGCCCTTGATAAAAAGCTTTCATTGTAATAGAGAAGGAAGGGAAAATGGTGGGAGCAAATGTAGGTGAATTTGCAATCTTGGAAGTAGTGAGTTGAGGGAGTTCTGATAAATAAATACTATTATTGCAAAATAGGAACCAAATAGTCTGCTGATACTGGGACAAGAAATAAGAGTCACAGGTTTGAGACAACTGGGAAACTAAAAGTATTTAACTTTTTTCCCCCCCAACAAATGCTGACTACAAACCAGAGATAAAAACTTTACTGAATATTTCACATTACTTGTTTTACAATTTTGTACAGTTGCAGAAAGGAGAAAACCAGATTGTCTGGGAGAAAGTACAGTTGAATAAAATGAAGTACTTTGTTCTCTTTTTGTTTTGATTTTCGGAACAGTCAAGCCCTGCGTGTATTTGCATGCAGAGGAGAACAAGCGCAATCGAAGAGGCATGTGGTGCTAGACAGGAAGATAATAAATTTGGAAGCAAAGTTCTGGAATAAGAAGAGTGATAAAAGCAAGGATTTAGATTAAAAAAAAAAAGGAGTTTTAGTGAGTGTGAATAACACCTTTTCCCCCATGATAGACGAAAGCTAGGAAGATACAGATAAAGACATGAAAGAATTTAATTAGAGACAATCCAGGAGAGGGATGGGAAAGGAGGCCCCCAAACATGTCCACTGCTGTAGTGATTTCACTAGCCACGAGTTAGCTAAGTAAAATAGCTTCTAAAGAAGTCTAAGTTACAGTTGAACTGCATAGGTGGTTTTTTTTTTAATATTGTTTTTTAATTTCTAAAGTGCTATGAGCCAGGCACCATTCTATGTCCTGTAATATTTGTCATGATCTTTGTGTGCACTGGTGGAGTTAACACTGCATCATGGGAGATTTTGTTGCTAGGAGTTAGAGCAAAAGAATCAAAGAAGAAAAGTGAGACAATTGTGATTTATGGATTAATTCATAAAGGAAAGAGGTTTAGTTGACTCACAGTTCCGCATTGCTGGGGAGGCTTCAAGAAACCTTTAATCATGGCAGGAGGCAAAGGACAAGCAGATGCCTTCTTCACAGGTCAGGAGGATGGAGTGAGTGAATGCAGGAGGAACTTCCAAACACTTATAAAACCATCAGATCTTGTGAGAACTCACTCACTATCATGAGAACATGATCTAATTACCTCCACCTGGGTGCTCCCTTGACACGTGGGGATTACAATTCAAGATAAGATTTGGATAGGTACACAGAGCCAAACCATATCACACACTAAGCTACAAACATATCATAATGACTCAATTGTTATAAGTCATAAAGGAGACAATGCATGTTACTCAAATTTAAAAAACAAGAACAAAGCAAGAAATAAGAAATGGCTCAGAATTCAGATTTCTTCAATAGGTAGAGTACACATTTTTCAGTTGTCAAAAAAATTAAAATCCTGAGTTCCTATTGTTGAATTTTGCCTTCCTATTATTTTTTTAAAAACAGAAAGAAATATCTAAAAAGTAGTGATAAAGGTGAGAGACAAAATGTTTTCTTGGAAAGACCAGCTCATTATCTTATAATAATTCAGCAATATTTGGTAGAAAAAGGGCTTAGGAGACTCACTATTGACTCTGTTTATCACAAAAAGACTATTAAACTAACAATATCTATTTTTTTCAACATTTAACCCCATGTACACACTGTCTCCATGCACACACTGAACAACCCATTCAAATCAGCAAGAAATAGTCACATTTATAACTAGCATAATTTTCAATTTCTACTTCAAATTTAAAAATTGAACTTTTAAATAATCAGCGCTAAACAGCATATCTGTTATAGAAATCTTATTCACCAGGGGTCGTACTAACGTTTAGAACATTTTAGAATATTCTCTTTGTCTTGAATTGTTTATTGATATCTCTAACCTGCAACCAACTAATTTTCTCATTTTTTCAATTATGTCAAATTACATATGAACTAGTTTTCATTAATTTTTTAGCAATTAGCACAAGCCCTTTAATCCCATTAGTAAATTGCCTGTTATAATTTAGAAGTCCCAAAGTTGCAGGTTTAAAAAAAAAAAAAACAGTCATTTCTTTTACCTTTCTGTTTTCCCACTAATAATAAATAACTCACAACAGCGATTTTATTTTCTTCTGTCAGGAGACTTCTACCAACATGATTAAAATGACACTCCAAGCTGTAGCTGTTATCAATTATACCAATTAAGGTCAAATAGAATGGAACAGCAGTTTTCGTGGAACGCAATATGGGTGATGTAAACTGTTATTAATTTAAAGACATCACATTACCTATGACAGCTCTTCAGAAGTTATCATTAATTATTTCTAGACAGTCATCTATATCCACATTTCTGAATTAACTTGTTTTGTGTTCCTTGAATTTGGGGGAAAATGGGCCCTGCTGAAAATCAGTGTTTTCCAAATGGAATAGCTCTCCTGATCTCTTCACTAAAAAAAAAAGTAGTAGGGTTTTTCTTCTTATTCTTTAAATAATAGACTGAAAAATTATGAATTTTGATGTCTTTGCACAGAAATAGGAAAAGCTTAAACCTCTTTCTAGTAAGTTAAAGGAGTAGTTATATCTATATATCTAAAATATGATATTTTAAAAAAATATTTTAATAGTTCATTATAAAATTATAATTTTTCATTATATTTTTGCTAAAATGTATTTATATTATTCAGAGTTATTAACACTAATTGCTGTACCACCACCACCACCAAACATCCAGAAATCTCAGTGGCTTAATAAACTTCATCTGTTGCTAATTCCTTCCTGAGTGGTTTGCCTCCAAGCAGTAACAACAGGCTCCTACAATCCTCAAATGTCTCTGTCTTTATCTTAAGGAGGTGAATGTGGAGAATCAAGCATAAAATTGTGTGGACACAAGTTAGTCATATGATCCCAAGCTAATTGAAATGGGGCCTGAAATCATAGCTTTAACTGTGAGTCCAAAAGGAGGTAGATATGCTTTGATAAAAATAGAGCAGTGTCTTTGTTATAGTCTACCCTTTGGCCACCCAGTATTTCATTAGTGCTATTTTTCATATCTTCCACTTACCCCCAAATCCTATTCACAGTATTCAGTTTATTTCCGGAATCTTTGGCTAATTGCAGTTATTAGGTTGGTGCAAAAGTAATTGGGGTTTTGCCATCACTTTTGCACCAACCTGATACCTATGTTAGGTCCACATGTAGTAGCATATTCATGCTTTGTAATCTGCATGTTAAAAATCCATTTATTCTGCCCCTGGATCCTTCATATATACATAATGACAGATACAGATACACTAATATCAATAACAACCCGCATTTGGAAAACACGAGAATAGAAGGCACACAGAAGTCATTGATCCATGGCATTTATGGAATCCAGCTAAGAACATATTGTGAGGACCCACTTCCTGGTGAAAAAAAGAAAGCTTCTCAATTAGACCTGATCTTCCCTGGGAGTAACTACCTTGTTAAGAAAACCAAATTTAGTGAATGCTATTTCTTCTCATCCTCCATGCTTTATCTAAATTACACATTAAAAATATCTATTTCTTGGCTGTCCAGCTTACAGAACCCATCTCATGTTCATGCTCATGTCCAAGAGTTCTTTCTAGGATTGCAGAGTCAAATACTTTTTAACCCGGACTTGTGGCTATTTGGCAATATAAATCTTTTAAGAACTTGGCAAACTATTTGCTTCCAGTCAGTTTCAGGTACAAGTAGCTCAAACCACCAGACATTATTCTCAACTATGTTTCATTTCTTTGCTATCTTGCTGTCATGCCTCTTTGTATCTCACCTTAAAGTCAGATAAGCTTGTGACCATCAAGCTTGAGTGGGCAGAACATGTGCTTTATCTGATCTTTGGCACAAATATGATACACTGTTCAGCTGACCCAATTTCTCTGGGTCTTGGTTGTTCAAAGCATTTTAAATTTCAACTCTTACCTTTTTCCGAGCTTCCTTATTCCCTTTCACTTCACTTTAAATCTGCTAATTATTTTCTGAGCTCATCTCTTTCTTGTAATACTCTGCTAAAACTGTCAATAATAGTAACATACCGCAAGAATGTATTTTTCAAACACTTTTAGACCTATAAACTGAGTCAGCTTTGGTCTGCCTTCCAAGTTACCATGGGTTATGGTTTCTTGTGGTTATTGTTTACTTTAACTTATTCCTCTTTTTTTTTTTTTCTTTCCTTAACTTTCAGCTTCAGAGGCGATATATACAGGTTTGTTACATGGGTAAATTGCATGTCATTGGGGTTTGATGCACAAATGATTTTGTCAGGTTATGGTTTAAAATGTGTTTTCATTTTAATCACCAAGGGACCAACCTACTTTATTCTCTTGCAATCTGTCACCCCCTACTAAGTTAATAATATGTGTTTCAATTTTGTTTTGTCAATATCTCACTTTAAGGATCCAGTTTTTTTATTAGTCTGTATAATCAATGCTGACTACTGCAAATCTCAAACCCTCCGTGATATTTGTCATGCAAATTTGAATTGGGATATTACTGATTGTGCTGCTGCTCTCCTGCGTAGCTTTTATCTAAAAAGTGAGTTAGAGGCCGGGTGCGGTGGCTCATACCTGTAATCCCAGCACTTTGGTAGGCTGAGGCAGCCAGATCACCTGAGGCCAGGAGTTCAAGACCAGCCTGGCCAAACCCGTCTCTACTGAAAATACAAAAATTAGCTGGGCACAGTGGCGCATGCCTGTAATCCCAGCTACTTGGGCGGCTGAGGCAGGAGAATCACTTGAACCTGGGAGGCAGAGGTTGCCGTGAGCAGAGATCGCACCACTACACTCCAGCATGGGTGACAGAGCAAGACTCCGTCTCAAAAAAAAAAAAAGTGATTTAGATATTCAGAATCCTTCTAGCTAGTAACTCCATTGTCTTTTCAGTATGACCTATGATGTCTCTTTTTAAGGAAAAAAGAAAGCATGGATGCTAACCTACAGAGTGGTTATGGGTGGGCCTGTAAGTCCACATTTTATTAACTTTCTATATGTTTTCAAAGCAAATGCAAAGGAGACTATGATCTATGAGTTAACTATGAATTTGGGAAAACAATTTCCTCAACAGTAAAAACCTAAAATTTTTAAAAATAGTAAAGCAAAATAACACGTTAGCAAAGTCTCAGGATACAAAGCCAGTGTACAAAAATTAGTAGCATTTGTACACACCAACAACATCCAAGCTGAGATCCCAGTCAAGAATGCAATCCCACTCGCAATAGCCACAAAAGGAATAAAATACCTAGGAATACAGCTAGCCAGGGAGGTGAATGATCTCTACAAGGAGAATTACCAAACACTGCTGAAAGACATCAGAAGTGACACAAACAAATGGAAACACATTCCATGTTCATGGATAGAAATAATTAATGTTGTTAAATGGTCATACGGCCCAAAGCAATTTACAGATTCATTACTATTCCTATCAAACTACCAATGACATTCTTCAGATAACTTGAAAAAAAAAATTACAACTCATATGGAACTAAAAAAGAGCCCAAAGGGTGAAGGTAATCTTAAGCAAAAAGAACACAGCCCGAGGCATCCAATTACCCAACTTCAAACTATACTACAAGGCAACAGTAACCAAAACAGCTTGGTATTGGTACAAAAACAAACACGTAGACTAGTGGAACAGAATAGAGAGCCCAGAAATAATGCCATGCGCCTACAATCATCTAGTCTTCAACAAAGTTGACAAAAACAGGAAATGGAGAGAAGACTTACTGTTCAATAAATGGTGCTGGGATAACTTGCTAGCTCTAGGCAGAAGATTGAAACTGGATCCTTTCCTTACACCATATACAAAAATCAAGATGGATTAATGATTTCAATACAAAACCCAAAACTATAAAAACCCTGGGAGACAACTTAGGCAATACCATTCTGAACATAGGCCCTGACAAAGATTTCATGACAAAGACATCAGAAGCAATTGTGACAAAGACAAAAATTAAAAAATGAGACCTAATTAAACTAAAGAGCTTCTACAAAGCAAAAGAGATTATCAACAAAGTTCACAGACAACCTACAGAATGGGAGAAAATTTTTACAAACTGTGCGTCCAACAAAGGTCTAATATCTGGAATCTCTAAGGAGCTTAAACAAATTTACAAGGGAAAAACAACCCCATTAAAAAGAGGGCAAAGAACATGAACAGACACTTTCCAAAAAAAGACTTACATGTGGTCAACAAATATACTAAAAATGCTCCACATGATTAATCATTAAAGAAATGGAAATGTTTGACAAACCTGACAAAAACAAGCAATAGGGAAAGGATTCCCTATTTAATAAATGGTGTTGGGAAAATTGGCTAGCCATATGCAGAAAACTGAAACTGGACCTCTTCCTTACACCGTATACAAAAATTAACTCAAGATGGATTAAAACTTAAATGTAAGACCTAAAACCATATAAAACCCTAGAAAAAAACCTAGGCAGTACCATTCAGGACATAGGCATGGGCAAAGACTTCATGACTAAAACACCAAAAGTAATGGCAACAAAAGCCAAAATTGACAAATGGGATCTAATTAAACTAAAGAGCTTCTGCACAGCAAAAGAAACTATCATCAGAGTGAGCAGGCAACCTACAGAATGGGAGAAAAATTTTGCAATCTATTTATCTGACAAAAGGCTAATATCCAGAATCTACAAGGAACTTAAACAAATTTACAAGAAAAAAACAACCCCATTAAAAAGTGGGCAAAGGATATGAACAGGCACTTCTCAAAAGAAGACATTTATGCAGCCAAAAAGCATATGAAAAAAAGCTCATCATCACTGGTCATTAGAGAAATCCAAATCAAAACCACAACGAGATACCATCTCATGCCAGTTAGAATAGTGATCATTAAAAAGTCAGGAAACAACAGATGATGGAGAGGATGTGGAGAAATAGGAACACTTTTACACTGTTGGTGGGAGTGTAAATTAGTTCAACCATTGTGGAAGACAGTGTGGCAATTCCTCAAGGATCTAGAACCAGAAATACCATTTGACTCAGCAATCCCATTACTGGGTATATACCCAAAGGATTATAAATCATTCTACTATAAGGACACATGCATACGTATGATTACTGCAGCATTGCTCACGATAGCAAAGATTTAGAACCAACCCAAATGCCCATCAATATTACAGTGGATAAAGAATATGTGGCACAGTTTTGGCTCTATGCAGCCATAAAAAATGATGAGTTCATGTCCTTTGCAGGGACGTGGATGAAGCTGGAATCCATCATTTTCAGCAGACTAACACAGGAACAGAAAACCAAACACTGCATGTTCTCACTGATAAGTAGGAGGGGAACAATAAGAACACATGGACACAGGGAGGGAAACATCACACACTGGGGCCTGTGGTGGGGTGGAGGGGCTAACGGAGGGATAGCATTAGGAGAAATACCTAATGTAGTTGATAGGTTGATGGGTGCAGCAAACCACCATGGCACGTTTATACCTATGTAACAAACCTGCACATTCTGCACATAATCCCAGAACTTAAAGTATAATTAAAAAGAAAAAAAAAGTATAAAGAAAAAAAAGAAATGGAAATCAAAACCATAATGAGATACCAACTCACACCAGTCAGAATGACTATTATTAAACGGTAAAAAAAATAACAGATTCTGGAGAGATTGGGGGAAAAGGCAAATAATTATACACTTCCCTGGTGTGTGTAGGGTGGGAATGTAAATTAGTTCACCGCTTTGGGAAAGAGGTTGGTGATTTCTCAAAGATCTCAAAGAGGAACTACCATTTGACCCAGCAGTCTCATTATTGAATACCCAAAGGAATATAACTCACTCTACCATAAAGCCACATGCATGCATATGTTCATCACAGCACTATTCACAATAGCAAAGATATGGAATCACCCTTAAATGTTCACCAATGGTAGACTGGATAAAGCAAATATATTACTTATAAATCATGGAATACCATGCACCCACAGAAAAGAATGAGATCCTGTCCTTTGCAGAAACATGGATAGAGCTGGAGGCCATCATCCTAAGAGAACTTACAGGGGTACAGAAAAACAAATACCACATGTTCTCACTTACAAGTTGGAGCTAAGCATTGAGTACATATGGACACACAGTAGAAAACCACAGACACCAGGGCCTACAAGGGGGTGGGGGTGGGAGGGGAATGAGAATAGAAAAATGGCCTATTGTGTACTATGCTTATTACCTGGATGACAAAAGAATCTGTACACCAAACCCCTGCAGCACACAATTTACCAATATAGCACACCTGCACATGTTCCCCTGCACCTAAAATAAAATTTAAAAAGAAAAATTTACTTTTCACTTAGAAACTATAAACTGTCATGAATATTCAATTTTAAAGGTTTCATGCCTAATGAATATTCATTTACTGCCATGTTTTAAAAACGTACATGCTTAATAGTGTGAGGAATATTGGCTGGTTAGTTGTATTATTGTCTGTATAGCAATTTCTCTTTCTCAAACAAGTATAAGTACTACCAATTTTGAAACACATTTTGATGGAAAGCTTAATGTAGACATAGTGCATGGCCACTTACTGCTAAAGATGGAATTTTAATTAGGGCCTCTCTAATGTTCTTTTTACTGCTAACATTTTATCACATGTGACACACTCAAATTTAAGCCAAAGTCATGCTAGGCTAGCATTTTAATGTGTATAAAACGTCACATCCTGTCTCCAACTCACTAAATATAATAATCAAGGCTAGTTTCCTGGTGATATTTTAAAGGACAAGAAAAGGATACAAGAATTAAAAATTGCCTTTTAAGACAATTTTGTCCTTATTTCTACACAGTATGTTTATTATAGAAAAAAGAAAAATAAAGAGAAACAATAAACGTTTGCAAAGACTTTATCACCCTTAAAATAAATAATTATTTCTGGTTTGTTGTATTTCTTTTGTGAATGTGTGGGTATGTCTTATAATCAATGTGATTTTATAAATGTGGAGTTCTGTTTCTCATGTTTTGTAAGCATTTTTATGTCATTAAAGAATATGTGAATACATGATTGAAATATATGCATAATATTTCATTATAATATTTTATTACATACATAAGATTTATTTAATAAATCCTCTGTTAGATCTTTAGGCAATTTGCAATTTTTATGGACATGAGCATAACTGTAAAAAGTATCTTACACAGATCTTTACATACATCTCTAAAGACATCAGGGGTATATTTATATTTTTGAGACTTTTGAGCACATATAGTAGTCTAAAATTATGTTTTTCAGAATCAGTGTATCAATTCACACTTCCATCAATAATATGCAAATGTGTTGCTCCCTCATTTCTATTTCAGTAATTATTGTTTTCTAACTTTTGTCAAAATTTGATAGTTGGAAAGCTCCCAGAATCATTATTTGATGTCCTATATTGTTAAATATTCTTGTATGCTATTTGCATTTTGTGTGTATGTTGTGTGTTGTATAAATGAGTTTTCTGTATTAAATATATATTGATTTTTATTACAAGCAAAGCACAATGCTACACACTGGATACACGGTGGTGAACACAATAGTCAACATCCCTGCTCTTATGAAGCTTAACATTCTACAAGATAAAAGGAACATTGAATATGGTACTTTAAGCTCTCTTAACAGGCCCTTACATAACTGACTCTCATTGAATCAACACCCTTCATTCCTACAGCAAAATATAGTGTCTAATATCTATAGGAAGCCGAATATTTGTGACTGGAAGGCTAGTACCTGGAGATGATGTACATTTCTACTCCCTCCACTTGTTTTATCAATTAAGATTTAAATGTGTTTGATCTCAAATTTGTTTGCCCAACATGTTCCTGTTATGGTATTTTTGAATTTTAGTGAATATTATTTACAGTAAAAAATATGAGCACAAATGAAATATGAATTTGTTTCTATGAAATTTTGTCTAATGTTTAGACAACCAAAGTTTAGTTGCTAAAATTAATACTATTACATAAGGATGAAAATTACTGAAAAAATAATTGACTGTGCAGATGACATATGCTCTCAGGATTTTCTGAATTACATTTTTCTTCCATCTAAAATTAACAGAAATTGGAGATTATGGTATATTCATGATGGTTGTTTGCACATGGGAGAAGGCTGCATGGAACTCTAATTAGCAGACTATTGCCACAAGAAGAAGTTTTAAATATAAACTAGGAAAAAGTGTACACTTACATGGTTTATGTCAAAACAAATCTTTAATACAGACAAATGATTTTTCATGGTTTCCTATTTGATTCCACTGTTTCTTTTCAATTATTAGAAGTATTTGATAGTAAGACAACTTCTACTATAATTAAGTCATAATAAACATAAGGGATAAGGGTGGAATTATAAAATATTTTCACCAGGGATATATGATTTGTTTTTTGGGTATTTTTTTGGCAGATTTTTTCAGACTAGTTTAAACTTCAGCATAATCGTCTAATAAATAATTATATCCTGGGCTAGATCTTAGAAATAGGTGAAATCACTACTTCTAGAAGAGGTGTCTCCAGAGAAGCTTTGCGAGGACCACATTGTTACTTTTTATCTTCTCAAAGTAAAGAGATAGAGGAAAAAAATGTGCATTTAGTATATATTTATATATATATAAACATTCATCTCAGAAGACTAAAGGATACCTTTATTTTTACCTACTATTAAGTCTGTTTGTGTATTCAATATTTTAAAATTGTTTTTAAATGAGACAACCTGTTATAGAATCATTGATTTATATTTCCCAACCCTGGATAGTGTATTTGCATGTTATGCTTTATTCACAAAAACAGTGTGGAGGTCTTTTAGCCAGTGCATTTAGCTTAGATGATACAAATATATTTTTGTTTGAATACTTTTAAGTCTTAGAAAACTTTATGCTTATCTTTTATTCAGCTATATAAAGTCCTGTGCAACATGTAATGTTTGTAGTAGATTTAATAGATGCAGCAGAGGATCAAATTGTAAACATTTTGAGGCAGCAATGCCTTAGCACAAAGTGTTGAACATGCTTTGAATTCCATATAGCGATATACTGTATCTCTACAGAACTGTCAGGGTGAAGAAAAGCAGTGTTCCAACAGCTATAAACATGTCACATACAGACATTTATTTAGACAAATAGAGATGTAGCCAGGTGTCATTTTAAAGCTCAACTATTTATGCTCTTGGCAGATAGTTGAAAACAGAATACACTTATATCTCAGAGCTTTGAAAATCTAAAAACAATCAACAAACAGTATATCACCCATGGTCGCTGTATCAGAATTAGCCTAAGCATGTGAAATGCTAAGTTATTATATTTTGATTTCATATTTAATCATATTAATAAAAACTAGAATAGTTAAGAAGAAACCAAACTTGTTCCATTGTGGAGATTGTTTAAATTTTTTTCTTCTCTTATGTCCTGTCTTAGATTAAAAGTTCTAAATATGTACAGTATTTAAGAGAGAGAAGAAGAATTTCTAAAGAGTGGAAATTATTTATATATAATATAACTTGATATAACATAAATATATAATTTCCACTTATGTCCATGACAGGCTAGCTCTACCACTATAAAACACTATAAGAACAGACAAAATAGGTGAAGCAACAGTGTTTAGAATCTGAATAACAAACAGAATAGGGATGTGAGAAGTACAAGAGGTGAACCTCACAGTTACATCACTTTTCTATTTGGAAGAATTTTTTTTTTTTTATTGTGGTGGAAGGCAGAATGGTAGAACCCAAGAAAAGCATAGTGCTCTCATTGTTCTGAGGAGGCAGAAATGAGAGTTCAACAATGGTGAAATGGCTGTAATTGCCAATGGAAGGTATGAAGACAAAAGGCTCCAGGACTTTGCATGATGTTGCTTTGGTGTCTTTTACCAGGCACTGAGTTGCACATGCCCAAGATGATATATTGAAAGTTTTTGCCTAGAAAAAATACTGAGTAGCTTTGATCTAAAGTTTCATAGTGCTAGAAGACACACTGGGTATAATATAACAAAATGCTTTGCTAAACACCCGAATCATTTAATCAAGAGTCCAGAAAAGATATGCAATATAGAAAAGCTTTTGTAGTTGGGCTGCAATAGTCCTAGAATAAACTTTACTCTAGAATCACACTAAAAACGAAAACAAAGCAAAACAAAACAAAAAGCTGAAAAACAGGACTGGAAATAATCAAGGTTATATATCAGTAGATTAAGTATTGCCAGAACAAATTTAATACTTTAAAGGAGCACAGTTAATTAGATACTGAACAATATAATATCCACAATATGTAATAAATATTTACTAGATATATGGAGAAGCAAGAAAAAAGTATCATCATTAGAAACAAATACCTATGACTGGTATACCAGGATTAGCTGTTTCAATATTTTATTTTGTTATTATAAATGAGTATTTAGAGAAAAATATAAACACAGTAAATTAACAAAAAGAAACCTCAGTAGAAAAATGGTAACTATTACAAAAAAGAACTAAATGAAAATTCTAGAACTGAAAACTCCAATATTCAAAACCAAAAAGAAGGCATTGGATTAGGTTTAACAACAGATAGAATATTGTATAAGAAATTATTGGTCAGATTGAAGATAGAAAAATGTAAATCATTGAAAGTAATCCGTAGAGAAAAAGAGTGTTAAATAAAATAAGCGTGCCACAGGGACCTGTGGAAAATATTAAGCAGTCTAATTTATGTGTCACTGGGATTCCAGGTGGAAAGAGAAATTGTATGAGGCTGATTACTTCATGGCAAAACATCTTTTTGCAATTTGAAAGAAAACACTAGTCTGGTGATGAAAGAATCACATCAAATACTGAGCAAAGTAAAATTTAAAAAGCCCCCATGTACATAACATAGTCAAAATGCTATAATTGAAATATAAAGAAAATTTTAAAGCAGGCAGAAGGGAAAACATTCTACTTACATAGGGAAGAATATTGACTGTGGTCTCATACTTTAAATAAAAGCAACAATAAAATGAAGTCACTAAAGGCTAAAGAAAGGGAAAATATAATTGTTGAAATATAATTTATACTCCAGAAATAAGTGTCCTTCAAATAGTGTTCACAAAAAACAGGCAAAATAAAAGTATTTTCTCATGAACAAAAGCTCAGAAAACCTACCACAAACAGTACTGCATGATAAGAATGCAGAATCAGGTTTGCTGGGTTAAAATACAATAATACATTATAAAAGTTGGAGTTTATACAAAAAACATCCGGCATAATGGGTTATGCCTGTATCCCAGCAATTAAGAAGGCTGAGGCAGGAGGATGACTTCAGGCCATGAGTTCGAGACCAGCTTGGGCAACATAGTGTGACCTCTGCCTCTAAAAAAATAGAAAAATTAAAAATTAAATATAAAAGTCTTCCAATAATTATTTATAAAACTTCTCCAAAATATAATTAATAAAAATGATGATACATTTTGAAGATACATATACAGAGATACAGATATATCTCTATTTCTATCTACATCCATATCTATGTATATAGGGAAACAAAATGGATATATATTTTATATTGAGAGGGATGGAGAGAGGAAGGAAAGGGGGAGGAAATGAGGGATAGGAAGGGGAAAATAGAGAAAACATATGTGTGACAACAATTGCACAGAGGCTTAGCAAGGAAAATGAAAGTATACCAATGTAAGTTTCTTAAATTTTTAACAAAAATGATTTCAAGAGAGTCTGTTCTGATAAATAGAAGATGTATACCGTAAGTCATAAAAACTACCAAAAGAAGGGAGGGGCACAGTGAAAAAGAGCCAATAAACAACAGAAAAGGAAATAACAAAAATGTATGCAACCAAAAAGAAGATAGGATAATAGAAAACAAACAAACACAAAACTTACAAGACAAGCAAAATATAAATAGCAAGATGACGGACATAACCATGTCAATAATAATATTACTGGTAAATGGATTAAGCACTCTAATTAAAAGACAAAGATTGCCATAATCATTAAACAAAGAGGGAACCAACTATATTCTCTGTACAAGAGCACATACTAAACATAAAAGACTACAAAGGTTAAAAGTAATAAGATAAAATATGTACTTTGTAAATGTAAACAATAAGAAAACTGAAGTGATGATAATAAAGTCAGCAAAAGTGAAATTCATAGTAAAAGAAAACAAAGTTATTTTTGAAAATCATCTCGCAATGATAAAGGGTTATTTCATTTAAAAAAAAAAAGGATAGAAATTCAAAATGTGTAAACTAGTAAGAGAGGTTCCAAACACAAATAGCAATAATGGACACAATAAGACATAAATAAACAAATCTATATAATGAAATTTAAAAGCAATAAAGCATGAAAAAGCATTCTAAATTTTTGAAACATTTCTGAAAAGATATGCATTAATCTGTTATTGAAGCTTTATATCCGAAATGGTAGGCCATGGATCTTGAGTCAAAAGGACAGTTTACATTTACTTTATATGGTTTTATATTTTTCAAATAGTTACCTTTTAATAATATAAATTTAGTTAAAATAAAAATAACTGCTTCACCTAAAAAATAGATTTGTAATGACAGGATATAATAATTATAAATATATATGCACCCAACACTGGAGAACGTAGATATATGAAGCAAATATTATTAGAGCTAAAGAGAGAGATAGACTCCAATATAATAACACCTGTAGACTTTAACACCTCACTTTCAGCATTGGACAAATCTTTCAGGCAGAAAATCAACAAAAAAATTGAACTTAATCTGCACTATAGACCAATTGACTGAATAAATATTGACCGAATAAATATTTACAGAATATTTCATTCAAGGGCTGCAGAATACCCATTCTTCTCCTAAGCACATAGATCATTCTCAATGTTAGACCATATGTTACATCACAAAGTAAGTCTTAAAACATTCAAGAACATTGAAATCATATAAATCATCTTCTCTGATCATAATGAAATAAAACTAGAAATCAATAACAAGGAATTTTGGAAACTATACAAACATATGGAAATTAAACAGTATGCTCCTGAATGGGCCCACAAAGAAACTAAGAAAATTGAAAAATTTCTTGAAACAAATGACAATGGGAACACAACTTACCAAAATCTATGGGATATAGCAAAAGCAGTACTAAGAGGGAAGCTTAAAGCTATAAGCACCTACATTTTAAAAAGTAGAAAATCTTCAAATAAACAACCCAACAATTCTTATTAAAGAATAAGAAATCAAGAGCAAATGGAACCCAAAATTAGTAGAAGAAAAAAAAAAGATCAGAGCAGAAATAAATAAAATTAAAATGAAGAAAACAATAAAAAAGATCAACAAAACAAAATGTTGCTTGTTTTCGAAAAGGTAAGCAAAGTTGATAGACTAAGAAAAAGAGAGAGGAGACCCAAATAAATAAAATCAAAAATGAAAAGGAGACTTACAACTGACACCACAGAAAATTAAAGAATCACTTGTGGCTACTATGAGGAACAGTATGCCTATCAGTTGCAAAACCTAATATAAATCAATACATTTCTAGATACATACAACCTACCAAGATTGAACTATGAAGAAATCCAAAACCGGAACAGACCAATAACAAGTAATGAGATCAATGCCATGATAAAAATCTCCCAGCAAAGAAAAGGCCAGGGCCCAATGGCTTAACTGCTGAATTCTACCAAACATTTGAAGAAGACCTAATATCAATCCTATTCAAACTATTCCAAAAAATAGAGAAGGAGTGAATACGTCCAAACTCATTCTACAAGGCCAGTATTATCCTAATACCAAAATCAGACAAAGACACATTAAAAAAATAGAAAAGAAAAGAAATAAAACTACAGGCCAATGTCCATGATAAACATTGAGGCAAAAACAGAATACTAGCAAACCAAATTCAACAACACATTTAAAAAATCATTCCTTATGATCACATGAGATTTATCACAGGGATATAAGGATGTGAGACATCATATCAACTGACTGAAGGACAAAACCTATATGATAATTTCAACTGTTGCTAAAAAACATTTGATAAAATTCAACATTACTTCATGATAAAAACTCTACAAAAACTGGGTATAGAAGGAATATAGCTTAACACAACAAAAGCCATATATGACAGAGTTGCAGCTAGTATCATAAATGGGGAAAAACAGAAAGCGTGCCAAGGATGCCCACTTTGACCACAGTTATTCAACATAGTACTGGAAATCCTAGCTAAAGCAATCAGAAAAAAGAAAGAAAAAAATTGCATCAAATTGGAAAGGAAGAAGTCAAATTATATTTGTTTGCAGATGATATGCTCTTATATCTTGGAAAACCTAAGGACTCCACCAAGAAATTACTAGAACTGATAAACAAATTCAGTACAGTAGCAAGATACAAAATCAACACACAAAAATCAGTAGCATTTCTGTATGCCAACAGTGAAAAATCTGAAAAAGAAATAAACAAAGATGGGCATGGTGGCTCACGCCTGTAATCCCAGCACTTTGGGAGGCCGAGGTGGGTGGATCACCTGAGGTCAGGAGTTCAAGACCAGCCTGCCCAGCATGGTGAAATCCCACTTCTACTAAAAATACAAAAATTAGCTGGGTGTGGTGGCAGACACCTGTAATCCCAGCTATTTGAGGGGCCGAGGCAGGAGAATCACTTGAATCCAGGAGGCGGAGGTTACAGTGAGCCAAGACCATGTCATGAACTGCAGCCTGGGCAACAAGATCAAAACTCCATCTTAAAAAAAAAAAAAAAAAAGGAAGTCAACAAACTAATCCCATTTCAATAGCTACAGATAAAATTAAATATCTAGGAATTAACCAAAGAAGTGAAAAAAATCTCTGCAATAAAAACTGTATTATATTGATAAAATAAATTGAAGAGGACACCAAAAGTGGAAATATATTTCATGTTCCCTGGATTGTAAGAATATTGTTAAAATGTCCATACTACTCAAAGCAATCTGTAGATTTAATGCAATCTCTATTAAAATGCCAATGACATGCTTAAATGAAATAGATAAATAATCCTAAAATTTACATGGAACCCCAAAAAACCCCAGAACAGCCAAAGCTATCCTACACAACAAAATCAAAATTGGAGGAATCATATTACCTGACTTCAAATTATACTAAATAACTATAGTAACCAAAACAGCATGGTCCTAACATAAAAAAAGACACATAGACCAATGGAACAGAACAGAGAACCCAGAAAGAAATCCATGAATCTACAGTGAACTCATTTTCAACAAAGGTGCCAAGAACACAATTGGGTAAAGGACAGTCTCTTAAATAAATGGTGTTGGGGAAACTGGATATCCATATGCAGAAGAATGAAACTACCCCACTCTATTCTGTCATACACAAAATTGAAATCAAAATTGATTAAAGACTTAAATCTAAAACCTCAAACTATGAAAAGGCTAAAAAGGAAACAATGGAAAAAGTCTCCAGGACAGTGGACTGGGCAAAGATTTCTTGAGTAATGCCCCACAAGCACAGGCAATCAAAACAAAAATGGGCAAATGGGGATCACGTCAAGTTAAACAGCTTTTTGCACAGTAAACAAAATAATCAGCAAAGTGAGGAGACAGCCCAATGAATGGGAGAAAATATTTGCAAAGTATTCATCTGACAATGGATTAATAACCAGAATATATAAGAAAAATAATAATCAAAAATGGGCAAAAGATCTGAATAAACATTTCTCAAGAGGAGACATACAAATAGCAAACAGGTATATAAAAATGTGCTCAACATTGAGAAAGGCAAATGAAAACTACAATGAGATATCATCTTGCTCCAGTTAAAACGGCTTTTATCCAAAACACAGGCAACCAGAAATGCTAAAGAGGATATAGAGAAAGGGAACTCTCATACGCTGTTGATAGGAATGTAAATTAGTACAACCACTAGGGAGAACAGTTCGGAGGTTCTTCAAAAAACTAAAAATAGAGCTACCATATGATCCAGCAATGCTACTGCTGGGTATGCACCCAAAAGAAAGGAAATCAGTATATTTAAGAGATGTACACTCCCATATTTATTGCAGCACTATTTATAATAGCCAAGATTTGGAGGGAAGCTAAGTGTCCATCAACAGACAAATGGATAAAGAACATGTAGTATGTATACACAATGGAGTAGCATTTAGCCATATGAAAGAATGAGATTCTGTCATTTGCAACGGCATGGATGGAACTGGAGGTCATTATGTTAAGTGAAATAAGCCAGAAACAGAAAGACAAACTTTACATGTTCTCACTCATTTGTAGGAGGTAAAAATTAAAATGATTGAACTAATGGAGATAGAAAGTAGAAGGATGGTTTCCAGAAGTTGAGAAAGGCAGTGCAGGTGTTGAAGTGGGGGATTGAGTATGGTTAATGAGTACAAAAAATAAAAAAATAAACAGAAAAAATGAATACCTTCTACTATTTGATACCACAACAGGGAGACCATAGTCAATAACCATCTAATTGTATATTTTAAAATATGAAAGAGTATAATTGGATTGTTTGTAACATAAAGGGTAAATTACTTGAGGTGATGGATATCCCATTTACCTTGCGGTGATTATTACACATTGTATGCCTACATCAAAATATCTCATGTACCTCGTTAAATATAGACACCATATACCTACAAAATTAAAAATTGAAAAATAGATTTCTCATCTTGTAAAGTACATATTTTTCAATAATAATAGCTAAATTTAAGTAATTATGTTAGTATATTAATTTCCTATACTTGTAAAAAAATCACTACAAACTTAATGGTTTAAAACTACACAAATTTATTTTGTTTTCTTTTTTTTTTTTGACGGAGTCTTGCTCTGTCGCCCAGGCTGGAGTGCAGCGGCGCAATCTCGGCTCACTGCAAGCTCCGCCTCCCGGGATCACGCCATTCTCCAGCCTCAGCCTGTAGCTGGGACTACAAGCGGCCAACACCACGCCCGGCTAATTTTTTTTTTTTTTTTTTTTTTTTTTTTTGGATTTTTAGTAGAGACGGGGTTTCACCGTGTTAGCCAAAATGGTCTCGATCTCCTGACGTCGTGATCCGCCGCCTCGGCCTCCCAAAGTGCTGGGATTACAGGCGTGAGCCACCGCGCCCAGCCAATTTATTTTCTTACAGTTTTGGAGGTTAGAAATCTAAAACAGGTCAGCACTGCTATGTTCCTTCTAGAGATTCTAGGGGAGAATGCTTGTCTTTCTCAGCTTCTTGAGGCTGCCTGAATTATTTGGCAAATGGCCTTGCATCACTCCACTCTCCGCTTTAATCCTCAAATCTCCTTCTCTGACTCTGGCTTTCCTTTATCCCTCTTATCAACACGTTTGTCACTACATTGGATCAATTTGTATAATCTCTCCATCTCAAGAGCTTTGACTTAATCATATTTGCAACTTTCCTTTTGCCAAGTAAGGTAACATATTCCCAGGTTCCGGGGATTAAGACATGGACATCTTCGGGGGTCATTATCCAACTACAACAGCTGGGCATTGTACTGATTGCTTAACATTCATTATTTCATTTACCTTCATAAAATCCTTATGATACGGCTCTATTCAACAGAGGACACAAGTTTAGAAGGATAATGAGACTGCATGAGATCACAAGGTGATTAAGTTGAGAGACAGAAATGGAACCTTTATCTGAATGACTCCAGTGCTCTTACTCTTAACCATTATGTTATCTACTCTCTTTAATATTATCAGATTGGTTTGTGATAGTATTATCCAGCTGATAATTTGTGAAATTTCATATTAGTTGTCGTTTAATTTTCAAGTGACATTTCATACTTGTTCTGAATGGTATATATTGTGTCAATTAAATCAAGATGAATGAACTGTTGACTGTAGGTTAGCTTTGTTTTCCTTGAACAACCTTATCTACTTTTTGAAACAACTTCAGTTTCCCAAAACCCGAGTGGCAATGCTAAAATGTCTGTGGGCCCCTTACCGTATGTTCGACTACCCTTCAGCCAATCTTTGCAGTCTGATGACATGAAGCTTTTCTGCAAGAAGAGCTTTTGTTATTCTGTCAATGTCCACTTTTCTCACACTCTTCCTTTCACAGAATGGTGTTAACTCTTAGGCAAAAATTGACTTTCAAGCCTGCTTCTGTATTCTGCCCTGGCAAGTCTGGAGGCAAACAACTGACCCCAGTATTATGTTTCACCTTAATGTAATAGAATGACTCCAGCCAATCTGGGTATATAATGTGGACAGAGGATGGCTAAATATTCTTCTATTAAATACTACTTTTGCTTTTCATATAGCCCATGAAAACTTAATTATGGAACATTCCATCTGTAAATCTGCCCAGGAGTTCTTGGTTATTGTCTAGCAGCCATTTTTTAACATTATTATCTGGTGCAAAAACTCGGTAGCCAAATTTACTTTCAAGGGTTTGTTCTATAAATTGATGAAGATTGCCTCTATTGCTTTACATTATGTTGACTTGTATTCATATTAAAAAATATAATCTCTAGCACAATGGCAGTTTTATCAATGGGAAACATATATAACTATATACTATACTATATATATAGTTAAATAATTATTTAGATGATATCCACTTTTTAAAGACTAGAGTGTCTTTGAGTGTGATATCGATTGGATATATGTCCCCACCCAAATCTCATGTCAAATTTTAATCTTGAATGTTGGAAGTGGAACCTGGTAGGAAGTAATTGGATCTTGGAGGTGATTCTCATTAATAGTTTAGCACCATCCGGTTGGTGCTGTTCTCCTGATAATGAGTGACTTGTCATGAGATCTGGTTGTTTAAAAGTGTGTAGCACCTCTTCCCTCACTCTCTTTGTTGCTCCTTCTCCTGCTGTGTAAGACAAGTGCTCCCTCTTAGGGGAGCTTACAAATTATCTGCCATGATTGTAATTTTCCTGAGGCATCCCCAGGAGCTGAGCAGATGCCAGCATTACGCTCTTTGTACCACCTGTGGAACTGTCAACCAGTTAAGCCTCTTTTCTTTATAAATTACATGGTATTTTTTTATAGCAATGCCAGAACGGTCTAATACAAGGTGCAAGTACCATTAAAGTTTTTGAGCTTCAGAGCTGCATAAAGTTTCTGTTGGATTAAAACTATTTGTGGTTTCATGATACGTTGAATTATTGGGGTTTCATCACTAGGCCCTCTTATCACTTATATATTCACTCTGTTATCGTATGCAGTGTATACACTGGCAAATCTCTTAAGTTTTGTAGATTACTGGGGTCTCACTACAAGACCCTCATTTTATTTATATAATGACCCTATGTTATGGTATATAATCTGTACACTGATGAATTTCCACATTGTGACTCCAGGTCTCATCTCTTATCTCTCAGTTTCATAGTTGGACAGTCCAATTTTCACTTAAAATTAAAGATTATGTATGTTGCATGCAGATTTAAAATTAAACATGCTTCCTGTATATATTTGTTTGTATTGGTTTTTATCATAATAAATAGTAACATTCAATCATTTTGCCATAAACTTGGGAAACAATATTTATATATTTCTCCTCTAAATATATTTAACAAATATGTCTATATTTTTCTTATGTTCCATTAGTCTAAGAGCCTTGTCTTTCAATTTATTTAATTGTTATAAAGTACCAAAGAAATAAATATTGTTACTAATCTATAAATGAGAAGTCTAAGATACAGGAAAATCAAGTAACTTGCCCAAGATCACACAGCTGGTAAATAATGAAGTCAGAATTGTAATCCAGTAATTTAACCTCAAAAATTTGTTTCTTTAATCAACATCCATGCTACATCCAGGAAATTGATCTTGTCAACTCTTGTTTTTCAAATATTTCTCCAATCCTGCTTGCTAACATGCTATCTACACCACTAATATCTCCAGTTTAAAGGACTCCAAAAAGTCTCCTATTTTTTTTCTGTTCTAAGAAAACAGGAAATAATTAATGGACACTTCATTAATATTAAAAAAGAGCTATGTTGCTGTTTATGATGTAGAGGGTCATTGTCAGGCAAACCTAACATCAGGTCCTTTGTCCGCCATCTGTACAATGAATGCAAATATTTAATTAATTTAATTTATTTATTTATTTATTTGAGACAGGGTCTCACTTTGTCACCCAGGCTGGAGTGTGTTGGCATGATCACTGCTTACTGTAGCTTCGACCTCCCAGGCTCAATGTGACCCTCCCAGTGCAGCCTCCTGAGTAGCTGGGATCACAGGTACATGCCACCACACCTGGCTAATTTTTGTATTTGTTTGTAGAGTTGGGGATTCACCATGTTACCCAGGCTGGTTTCCAACTCCTGAGCTCAAGCAATCTGCCCACCTCAGCCTCCCAAAGTACTGGAATTATAGGCATGAGCTGCACCTGGAAGAGATTTATTTTAGATATCATTATTGCATTAGTTTTTAGTTGAGGATTGTTTAGAAAAAAAAAATCTCTCTTAGGTATCCTAGGTGAAGGAACATCTGTTTAAAATAATACAAATCTTAACAATATTGTATCATGGTTTCTTTAAAAAAATAACAATTCTACTTCTAGTAATATAGCCAAAGAATTGAACGCATAGGCTCAAATACATGTCTGTGTACCAACATTCATAACAGCACCATTCACACTAGCCAAAACATGGAAACAATCCAAATGTCCATCTAAGGATAAATAGACAATATGTGGCCTATATAGACAATGAAGTATTATTCAGTCTTACGAATAAATAATTTTTTTATTTACACAAATTTATGGGATATGTGGGAAATTGTGTTACAGGTATATAATGCATAGCAATCAAGTCAGTGTATTTAGGATATTCATAACATGAGCCCCAGTATATTTTTGTTAAGTATATTTACCCTACTCTACTATAAATATTGAATTTATTCCTTCTATCTTGCTGTATGTTTATACCCTTTAACCAGTTCTCTTCATCCTCTTCCCTTCCCTGACTCACCTTTCCCAGTTTCTGTAGTTTCATTGTCTATCTCTATGTGATCAAATATTTTTAATCTCACATATAAGTGAGAACATGTGATATTTGCCAATTTGTGCCGGATTCATTTCACTTAAGATAATGACCTCCCAGTTCTATCCTTGTTGCTGCAAATGACAGGATTCCATTCTTTTCTAATGACTGAATAATAGTCCATGCTGTATATATACCAAATATTCTCTACTCCATCATCTATTGATGAAAACTAATTGGTTCCACATATTTGCTATTGTGGATAGTGCTGCAATAAACATGCAAGTGCAGGTTTCCCTTGGACATATTCATTCTTTTTTGTTCAGACCGATACCCAAGTAATGAGATTACTGGATCAAATGGTAATACTATTTTCAGTTTTTTGGAAAATCTCTATACTGTTTTAATAGTTTGCACCCCCACCAACAATATGTAAGTGTTCCCTTTTTTCCACATCTTCATCAACATCTGTTGTCTTTTTAATAATAATCATTTTGACAGGTATAAGATGGTAGCTTATTGTGCTTTTAACTTAATCAGTAATGATTAGTGATATTGACTGATCATTTTTTATACACCTGTGGCCATTTGTGTTTTCTTCTGAAAAATATCTATTCATGTCCTTTGCCCGCTGTTGTATGGGATTATTTGTAATTAGTTGGTCTTTTCCTGTTCAGTTGTTTGAGTTCCTTTTATATTCTTGACATTAGGCCCCTGTTGGGTGGATAGTTTGCAAATATTTTCTCTCATTCAACAGGTTTTCTCCTCACTGTGTTGTTTCCTCTGCTGTGCAGAAGCTGTTTAGTTTAATATAGCCCCACTTGTCTGTTTTTGTTTTTGTTGCTTGTGCTTTTGAGGTCTTCATAAATGTTTTGCCTAGACAAATGTCCAAAATACTTTTTCCTAGATTTTCTTTTAGTATTTTTTGTATTTTCTTGTCTTATATTTAAATCTTTAATTTGTTGTAAGTTAATTGTTGCATGTGTGGAAGATAGAATTCCAGTTTTATTTGTCTGCATTTGGCTCTCCAATTTTTCCAGCACCATTTATTGAAGAGGGTTCTCTTTCCTCAATGTAAGCTCTTGTCATCTTTGTCGAAGATTAGTTAGTTATAAATACATGACATTTTCTGCTTTTTAAATTGTTTCATTGTTCCATGTGTGTATTTTTACCAATACCATGTCGTTTACTATAGCCTTGTAATGTATTTTGAAGTCAGGTAGTGTGATGTGATGCCTTCAGCTTTGTCCTTTCAGCTCAGGATTGCTTGCACTATTTGCACTTTTCTTTTTCGGTTACATATAAATTTTTAAATTGTTTTTGCTAATTTTGTGAAGAATGATGTTGATATTTTGATGGGGATTGCATTGAATCTAGAAGTAAGTGAAATTCTAACACATGCTGCAACATGGATGAAACCTGAAAAAAATATGGTAAGTAAAATAAGCCAGACAAAAAAGAACAAACATTGTATGATTTTAATTATATGAAATTCCTAGAGTAGTCAAATTCATAGAGACAGAAAATAGAATTGTGGTTGCTAGGGGCTGGAAGGAGAAAGGTATGGGGAGTTCTTTTTTAATGGTACAGAGTTCCACTATGGGCTGGGCTCAGTGGCTCACACCTGTAATCCCAGCACTTTGGGAGGCCGAGGCGGGCGGATCACCTGAGGTCAGGAGTTCGAGACCAGCCTGGCCAACATTTTTTAGTAGAGATGAAACCCTGTCTCTCCTAAAAAAGTGCCAAAAATTAGCTGGGCATGGCGGTGTGCACCTGTAATCCCAGCTACTTGGGAGGCTGAGGCCGGAGAATCTCTTGAACCCAGGGGGCAGATGTTGCAGTGAGCCGCGATCATGCCACTGCACTCCAGCCTGGAGGACAGAGTGAGACTCTGTCTCAAAAGAAAAACAAAACAAAACAAAACATAACAAAACAAAACAAAAACAGAGATCCACTACGGGAGGTGAAAAGTGCTAGAGAAGGATGATGGTGATGCTTGTACAACAGCGTGAATATACTTTATGATACTGACCTGTACAACCAAAATGGTTTAAAATAATAAACTTTATGTTATATATATTTTATCACAATAAAAAACTACAATTCATATGGATACACAAGAAGAATCAAGTAACATTTTCAAGGAGATTGGGAACCAGGGTACCATCAAAAATATCAACAAAATAACTATATTGACTTTTTATGCATTCTTTCCTCCATTAATATAGTCTAAATCTCATAATATCTTCATTTCAATATTCAAGTGCTCACCTATATGCCAAGTCTTCATGAAGTTAGGGTCATTAAGCACAAAGAAGATATTGCCATTTTTGAGGCAGTTTCTCTAAGAAGAAAAATGAGGAGAAAGTGAAAAATACTGGAGATCTCTTCTACACCTGGCAACCAGGAAAAAAAAAAACAAAAAAACCTGAATTGGAGAGTTTATAATTCAGTTAACACTGTAAAACTGTCTTTGTCCTAAGTGCCACAGGACTGGAATATACTAACAATCACATTTTATGACTGTAGTTAAATTGGAATTTTCTTGACTACTGTCAAGAAATGTTAATAGAATTAAGGATCAGGACTACACTTATATAAATGACCAAAAGAAAAAAAAATAAACTTTACTTAAATATTTCTTGGAAATAAGTAGAAATGAGCCCATATCTCAGTATTATAATAAAGACAAATATGTAGATGAGGTAAGACCTATCTAAAGATATTCTAAGTGACATAATGATATAAAACACTTAAGCAGGTTATTTCCAAATAGATATAATTATAACAACTTTGTGCTCTACAATTTTTTGAAGAACTCATAAATATCTGCTGAAGGCCTATGAGGAGCTCACAACAATTAAATAAAATGTCATGAGGTTAGTGAAAACTCCACATAGTGTGAGAATTAAAAGAAAAGAATATATATATATATATATATATATATATATATATATATATATATATATGTAAGTATGAAAGAATATATACAAAAGGCAAATGAGATGTGTATGTGTGTGAGGGTGGGTTGATGGTGTTCGAAAGGGGTACTGTAATATCTCCTCTACTTGTTTTTCAGGCAAAAAAAAAACACCCTTTCTTTTTTATTTTAAATGTATATGCATAATTACTAAGAAGAAAAAAATGTGCCACTTTACTTTCTTTCAGAATAATAATATTTCTTGGTAAAAACTGAAATAAACAATAAAAATGAATTTATTGTTGGCAGAGCCAAAAAATACATGTGTATGTATGTGTGTGTGTATGTGTATATATATATATGTGTATATATATGTATATATGTATATATATATATATGTAGTTAATATCCTTTTGTTTGTTTGAGCAGTAAGCCAATTAAATAACTACAACAAAATATTTTATTAAGGTTGTATCTTCTCTTTACTAATGTTTTTAATGGACCCTTCAAAAATCTATGAGTCCGTAAAAGTATGGTAGATAGTAGGTTTAAAAGGGAAAAAATAAAGGTTTCAATATACATTCACTGAAGTGAAGAAGATGAAGAAAAAAAAATCCTTTATATATCATGTATTTTTCAATGTTTTTAAATCTATATGAGCAAAATTTTGACATAGTAAGTAACTCTTTTGTGATGGGCCAGTTGAATATATTAATACAATGAAGTGTGTAACAAAGAGATGGAGACCTGACAGCCAGAGTCCAAAGTCTGGCTTTCAATTAAGGATGTCTTTAGCTAAAAGACTTTGGGCTAGTTGACTAAAAATTTCATTTTTCACATCTGTAAAATTTGTAGGCTGAATGAGATGGTGAGATCAATAATTTCTAAGGCCATCAGTAGCTGTACAACTCCATAAGTCTGTAAGACTGATGAAAGCATTCTCCTTATGGCTTAAAAGAATTTATAATTCAAGGTTGACATACACAGCTATCTTTCTAAGCATCTTCTCTAATGAGATCCCTTGATACTTCAAATCTAACTTCACCCCAGGAATCTGGGGATGTCGCTATGAGTTTCAATATATTCTAATGCCACCAAAACCTATTTCTGTCCTACTGCCACTATGTTAGTCATATTTTGGTAAGAAAAATTAAATTAGAGTTACTCAGGAATTGCATTGCTTGTTTGCAATTGATACGTCTACATAATTCTATGAATTCCATATTATAAGTGAAAATCTGGTTCTAAGATCTTAACAATACTTCTTCCCAAATCAAGAGAAGTCTAAATTTTTACTTTAAAAATATGTTCATCTTTGCTCTGCATTTATTCAATGGTGTTCCAGTCTAGGCCTACTTACTAGCTTGTACTGACTTCAGATATTTTTATAACGTTCCATTCTCTTTATGGTTTATTTATTCCCCCCTTTATTGAATTACTACAGTCTAGTGCATATAAAAATATTTGAAAGAACAGCTGTGAATTAAAAAGACAGCTCTGAACTATACAGATTTAATAAATCTAAAATTTTATTTAAAATTTATAAATTCTTTGTTTCTTTCTGTCTGTTTTTGCGTCTTGGTAGAATTTTGAAGTGGTGCCACTTGATTCCTTTCTCCTCTTCCTTTGTGTAATTGCTTTACTAGTGATCTGTATAATTTCAGGTGTCTTCATGATGGTGAACATCTACCTTTCACTTCCAAGTTTAAGATACCTTTGAGTGTTGCTTGTAGGTCCCGTCTAGTGGTGATGAATTCCCTCAGCATGGAAATGCAGCCTACCAAAATCTGTGAGATACAGCAAAGCAGTGCTAAGAGAGAACTTTATAGCTTCAATATCTGCATTAAAAAAGTAGAAAGATTACAAATTAACAATCTAATAATACACTTGAAGGGACTAGAAAAGCAAAAACAAACCAAAACTGCAGAAGAAAAGAAATAACAAAGTCAGAGCCGATCTAAATGAAAAAAGACCAAAAAAAAATTACAAAAGATAAAACAAAACTAGATTATTTGAGTAGACAAACAAAACTGATAAACTAACCAATAAGAGACAGGAGACAATAAAAGTAGAATCAAAAGTGAAAAAGGAGATATGAAATATAAAAGATCATTAGAGAATATTATGAATAACTATATACTCACAAACTAAAAAGGCTAAAGGAAATAGATAAATTCCTGGAAACATGCATCTTCCTAAGATTGAACCAAGAAAAAATTTAAAAACCTGAGCAGGCCAATAAACAGCAGCAAGATTGAGTCAGTAATAAAAAAAAAAATCTTTCAACAAAGAAAATCCCAGTGCCAGATGGATTTACAGCCAAATTCTACCAAAGGTATGAAGAACTAATAGCAATCCTTCTGAAACTGTTCAAAAAATTGAGGAAGAGGGAATTTTTTCTAACTCATTCTAGGAGGCCATTATCACCTTGATACCAAAACCAGACAAGGACACAATCACAACAACAAAACTCCAGAACAATATCCCTTATAATCATAGACACAAAATTTTCAGCAAAATACTAGCAAACCAAATACAACAGCATATCAAAAAGATAATACACCACAATAAATTCGGTTTTACACCAGGGATGCAAAGATGATTAAACATATGCTGACCAGTAAATATGATACAGTATATAAACAGAATGAAGGACAAAAACCCTATGATCATCTCAATAGATGCAAATAAAGCACTTGATAAAATTCAACATATTTTCATGATAAAACCCTCATTTAACTAGGCATTGAAGGAACATGCCTCAAAATAATAAATGTCATATATGACAAACCCATAGCCAATATCATACTGAATTAGGAAAAGTTGAAAGCACTTCCCCTAAGAACTGGAGCAAGACAAGAATGCCCGCTTGCACCACACCTATTCAACATAGTACTAGAAGTCCTAGCCAGAGCAACAAGGCAAGAGAAAGAAATAAAAGGTATACAAACTCGAAAAGAGCAAGTCAAGTTATCTTTGCTTATTTAAGATATAATCTTACAGGTGGAAAAACCTAAAAATTCTAGAAAAAGCTCTTAAATTTGATAAATGAATTCAGTAAACTTGAAGGATACAAAAAAGCATACAAAAATCAGTAGTGTTTCTATGGACCAGCAACAATTTAGCTGAGAACCAAATCAAGAAGGTAATCTCATTTACAATAGCTACAAAAATAAATATAAATACCTAAGAATATATTTAACCAAGGAAGTAAAAGATCTTTGGTGAAACACTGATGAAAGAAATTGTAGATGACACAAATAAAAAATATCCCAAGCTCATGGACTGGAAACACAAATATCATTAAAATGACCATACTTTCATTGAATCTGCGGATTCATTGAAATCTATATCAAAATACCAATGTCATTTTTCACAGAATTAGATAAAGCAAACCTAAAATGTATATGAAACCAAAAAGACCCTGAATGGCCAAAGTGATCCAAAGCAAAAGGAAAAAACCTGGAGGTATCACATCGCCTGACTTCAAATTTTATTACAAGGCTTAGAACAACGTGGTACTGGTATAAAAAACAGGCACGTAAATCAATGGAACAGAATAGAGAACCCGGAAATAAAGTCACATACTTATAGCCAACTGGTATTTGACAAAGTAAACAAGAATACACATTGGGGAAAGGACACCCTTTTCAATAAACAGTGGTGGGAAGATTGAATGGCCACATGAAGAAAAATGAAACTGTCACAGGATCCTTGGGGTGTTGTTTCGCCAGCTGGGAACCTCTGTGGCTGGTGACGCTTTTGCCTGAGTTTTGCTCGGGCCTGCTGGGCTCGTTCTGCCTGTTTTGGCCTGGCAGGCTGCGCTTGGCTCGCGCTACTGGCCTGGATGTCACACCTGACATGGGTGAGCCAGGCGTGGAGCAGTGAGGGATGTATGAGGGAGCGAGGTGGGGTCTGGCCACTGCGCACAGCCAGGCATGCCGGCTGGGGGTCGGGGGGTGGGGCAGCTCCAGGTGCCCGCACGGGTGCCGGCTCCCTGTGAGGCTGCGGCTAGACCAGGCTTACTGCAAGCAGCTTCCATGGCTGGCACCAGGGAACGCAGTAGCGCCCAGAAGATTGGAGATGCCAGGAACCGCAGAGCCCCAAAGAGGGTGTCACAGCCCATGCTCGTCAGTGCCCAAAATCCAGAGAGGGCTGAGGCGGCAGGGGCCTGATGTGTCAGCACTGCCCCAAGAGTGGGCACAGCCGACTGGGTTTGTGACAGCACCTGGGCTTGGCCTCAACTTTGCTCTGAGATCGGAGAGGGCGCCGGGAGAGGCCAGGCAGTGAGAGCAGGCACTTCTGAGCCTGCTGGGGCAAGGGGCTGCTTCCCGGGCCCGGAGAGTGCAGAGATGCTTGGGTCCGTAGCCATGGCTTGGGCGGCTGTAGCTGCACCCCAGGAGGCGGGGACCCTGCCTGTCCCTGGCCCCCAAGAGCACAGAAATGCCCGGGTCCGCACACACAGCTGGGTGGCTGCAGCTTCACCTGGGAAGCAGGAGGCTCCTGCCCAGCTAACTCGGAAGGGGGCGGGACTTCCACCTGTTCCTTGCTTCCCTTGGCTCTGTGGAGTGCGCAGCCCCCTCCCCGCCTCCCCCGCTGCAGCCCGCGTCTTCGCAGTGGCAGCTCCAGACGGGCCTCTCCTGCAATCAAAACGGGGCCCTCAAACAACAAAAACAAACAAACACGGCTCCTATCCCCTATCTCTCACCATATACAAAAATAAATTAAAAATATATCAAAGACATAAACATAAGACTTGAAGCTATAAAAATACTAGAAGGAAACCTAGGAAAAACTCATTTGGATATTGGTCTAGGCAAATAATTTATGACTAAGACCTCAAAAGTACACGCAACAAAAATAGACAAACTGAACTTAAACTAAAAAGCTTCTGCACAGCAAAAGAAACAATCAACAGAGAGAGCTGACAACCTGTTGAACGGGAGAAAATATTTGCAGACTATGCATTTGGCAGGGGACTAATATCCAGGATGTAGAAAGAACTCAAATAACCCACCAACAACAACCCCCCACCCCAAAACAAGTAATCCAATTAAAAAGTGGGCAAAATACATTAATAGACACTTCTCAAAAGAAGACATACAAATGACCAATAGGTATATGAAAAAATGCTCAACATCACTAAGCATCTGAAAAATGCAAATTAAAAGCACAATGAGATATAATATGCCTGTCAAAATGGCTATTAGAAAGACAAAAAATACCAGATTTTAGTGAGAATTTAGAGAAAAGGGAACTCTCATATACTGTTGGTGGGAATGTAAATTAGTACAAGCTTTATGGACAACAGTATGGAGATTTCTTGAAGAACTAAAAGTATAACTACAATTTCATACAGCAGTCACACTACTGGGTATCTCCCCAAAAGAAAAAAGATCAATGAATCAAAAAGATATCTGCACTGATAGGCTCATCGCAGCACTATTTATAGTAGCAAAGACATTGAATCAACTTAAGTGTCATCAATAGATGATTGAATAAAGAAAATTTGGCATATATACACAATGGAGTACTATTCAGCCAAAAAAATATGAAATTATGACATTTGCAGCAACATGGACAAAATTGGAGGACATTATCTGAAATGAAATATGTCAGACACAGAAAGACAAATATTGTGTATTCTCAGTCATAAGTGGACATACAAATGTAGAAACATGGACATAGAGAGTATAATGATAGATAATAGTGACTCAGAAGGGTGACAGGATGAGATAGAGTGGGTGAAGAGAAATTACTGAATGGGTATAATGTAAAGTATTTGGGTGATAGATACCCTAAAAGCCTTGAATTGACCTCTTTGTGATGGATGCATGTAACAAAACTGCACTTGTATCCCGTAAATTTACACAAATAAAAATTTAGAATATTTGTTTGGCTCTTCCAATCTAGACCCATATCACTGATCTTTGGTTTCATCTACCAATTTATGGGGTTACAACCCCATAATTACATTTGAAATTACATTTGAAAAAGAAATGTAAGTTACATTTGGAAAAGAAAGCTTTCACCTTTATATAGTAGGGTAAAAATCACTCTTTTAATAGAAAATATATAAAATAAAACCTTTTAAACAAATGACAAAGTTTTTACAGTCAACATTACTATATCTAGGAATAAAGTTGAAAAATATTCCATATGGAAATCCAGTCGGTCAAAAATTTTGGAAGTACAAATAATAAGTAAAATATTTTAGTAAGTGCTAGAAAACATATTAAAATGGCTTATCTTTTCTCTAATTCTGACTGCAGGCAGAAATTACCTTTAAAAGGTTTATCAAATACAAGTGATGTTTAAAATTAGAAAATTAAAAATAAATTCCAATTTCATGCCAAAGTTTTTAATATGCATATTTTGTGTAGTATACTAGAATATCTATATATGAATGTACTCTAAAAATGAATCATATGCCTAAGAGAGTAAGCAAAAGCAGACAGAATGTCTGCTTTCAAGAACCTAGTGGAAGATACAAACATCTTAAAAGTCACAGAAGTAAATCTATTGCAATGATAAATGCAACAAAAGAGAGCTATCAGGATATAAGGTCACTTAAAGAGATTTGATTTAATAAGCTAGGCAAGAATGACTTCTTTGAAAAGGGATAGCTGATCTGGAATGAGTAGAGACACCTAGATAAAAAGAAAGATGGCATGCATAGAAAAGTATTTAGAATAGAAAGCATATGCAAAGAGCCTGTGGCTGAAAGATACAATATGACTATGAGTGACTGATAGATTCAAATGGCTTGACATGTGAGAATAAGGAGTAATATGAAAGGAAGAATGGGTAGAAAGCATTCCAGGTAGAAACAACTGTCTGGATATATGAACATGCTCTGTAACAAAATAAATTATGGAAGAAATGGGACTGAAACTTGTCATTTGCGATGGAGAAGAGAGAAACACAACAGTGAGATGAGAAGGCTAGTGGAAGGTAAGGCTAGAGAGATTGTGGTCAGATCATACAGGACATTGTAAACTATATTAAATTTATGCCTAGTGTTCTAATATTGGAACGCTAAGCATGTGGGAGTTATTTATATCCTACTGCTCAATGTCATAGCCAAGATCTGATTGCAAAAATTCAAAAAATTGCAACCTGAGGCATAAATGGGTTAAAGGGGTTGCCTTTCTCCTTATAAGAACAAGAACTTCTGAAGGATTTTAAACAAGGCATGAATGTGGTGGGGGAGGGATGTTAAGAGTTTCCTTCATTTACATTCTGTAATGTGATTCTTACTTCCCTTCACTGTAATTCTTACTTCCTTACAAGGCAGAGTGAAACCCCAAGGTACAACACACTTCTGGTATGCTCTCAATTAATCATGAACTCCATTACACCTAATCAATTCAAGATGATTCAGAAGGTACTTGAGTGCCTTGATATGCCTCTTGGTCTTGGTTGTGCATATTGAAAATCAATAGAGTACGATAGATACACGGGTTGCAAAATATTGGTCTGAATCAGTCATGACATTATTATATATCTTAAAAGTTACTTTTCTCAGGAAATTGCTTCTAATAGCTTGCTGATGTTTTTTTACTAATTCAAATGAGGAACAGAAATATTTGACATTTCAGCCTTCTAGGTAAACTTTCGTTTATGTTAACTGACCAGTAAGAAAATTGGTCTGGTATATTTTATTTAAGGTTTCAAGCTCTCCCTTGACTAAGGTTTCCTTGAAACTGAAGTATGAGTCATATTCATGTTTGCATCATAGCAATTAATTCAATGTCTGGCATTATATAAGGTCTTCAATTTTTGTCTATTGAATGAATAGAAGTGAAGTTGATGCAATTTGGGTTTTTAAATATGTTCTGCTGCAGAGGTTCACCAATTCTTAAAATGTCAAATCAATTCAATACATGTTTAATGAGCTACTACTCTGTACAAGGTAGTGCTAGACAAGTATTTATAACTGCCACACAAATGTTTTAAGATGCTGCTTCTCTCAGACACAGTTTTACTTTATCATGTGCTCCATTGTTCCTCATGGTTCTGTTTAATACTTATGAGTAGCTATATATGATGTTTAATGAACAAAACCTTCATTTGAGTAGCTATATATGCTGTTTAATGAACAAACCTTTCTCTTCAATGGAAAAAAAAGGTATATAGCTTTGTTTCTGTTTCAAAGATATTTTTATTATATAAAAATATAATGGGATATGGGAAAAATTTGTCCCTTGAGCAATTACCAATTAGCAAGTACTAAATAATGATCTAAATAATTTATATAATATATTTCTCTTTTTAATAACTTTAAGAAGCCTTTGAGAAAGATCACAAGTTAGACAACATTGTTCAGGGAAGGTAAATAACTTGCTCCTTGTCATGGTGCATAAAATATACAGTCAATAATTGAACAGAAGAATCTCTGACTTACACTCTATGCTCTGATCCAATTCTAATAGTGGAGCTATTCTAGAGAAAGTAAGTGCAGATAATAACTAACTCTGCTTCATTTCCTATGGAAACACACCTTACTATGAAAATAATTTGATTTGGAGGTTTCTTTCTATTAGGAAATTGGCACATTGTAAATTATTCAATGTTAACTTTGATAAATTTAAAAATAAAAGGTAGTAGGCTTCTGGCTATTTCTGCCTATCAGGGTATGGCTGTGCCTGCATCATATTCTAATTTTAAAAGGCCCTAAGTAACCACATAGCTATTAAACAGGGTACATTGAGAAACGAGTTTAGAATTAAGACAGTACTTTAAGGGACAGATGTGCTTACTTTCAGTGGGAGCAAGGGGTTGAAACAATAAAAGGTGGGTGGGAGCCAGCTGTGGACAACAAGCGTTTTTACAAGGGCATGTTTCTCTTTTGTCTCTGTGTTTTTAATTCTCTTACCACCTAATTCTCTGCAAACATATTAATAAGTATTTGATATAAATTTTTATTTGATACTCCAACTTGTCCTTCCATTTTTTGAGCAGATTTAATTTTAATATACCCTAATGCAATAAAGCCTATTTATCTGTTAATTATGTGTCTATGTAGTAAAATAATGCTAATGAATAGTAAAATGCCTACATTAAAATTGGTTAGCTTCCTCTCACCACATTCAACAAATTTTTTTCTTGAATTACAGGTGTTACAATTGTAACAATGTTGTTCAAAAAAAGGAAAAAACAAAATAAGACTTTTCATATCTAGTGTTGTATGCTTTATGACATGGGGCTATTATGTTACTAGTCAGGGTGCTGAGTTATGAAAACTATTGAAATGATCTTATTATAGATATTTACTAATATACATTTACTGAGAATGAAGCTTAAATTGATGTCTATAGAGTGTTTTGCCCCCTCATATTAAACTTTTACACACTATTAAAGTTAAAATATTTTATATTCTCTGAACTCACAAATGCTAGCTGGCCATTTTAGTTGGAGGAATGTAATAAATAATGAGACAACGTTGGTAAATTCATTCTCAAATGCAGTGTTTGTTATTATTCCTTTATGAAATTAGAGCTATATGCAGCATTTTACTTTTCCACATGTGTATATTAAATAGAATATTCAAGAAATGACACCATCCTTTTATTTTTCTTGTAGTTTCTTAAAGTTTTAACATTTTTACATTTAGAATTTTTTTTACATTTTGTAATCAGGTTGTATTTCTTAATAATATTATTTTAGTATAGTAGAAAACAGTTACGTGTCTTATTATCAATGTTCACATCACATACACACTATCTTATTTTTGACCTTAACCCAGATACATGTGCAGACTGATGTCCAAGTATCATCAGACTTTTTTCCAAAGGACATTCTGAAAATAAATTACTGAAAGGTCTTGAAGTTTAGTATCTCTACTTTTCCAAAAGAAACACCACTAAAAAATCACAAAAAAATTTTATAAATTCTACTAATTATTACTTTCTAATGATTTCTCCCCACTGTAAGAGAATATATGTATATATATTTTCTTCTGTCCTTATGTATAAAATATACTTTGGAGTAATAAAACTGATATTCATATATGAACTATTATATCCTGTATTTATCTGAATGTTCCTGAGTGTATAAATGTAATTATTTAAAACTAAAATATAAATTCTGTCCTAATAAATAAATACAAAATTTGAAGTTGACTTAATGTATGTGATAAAGATTCACTCATTATTCTAGTCCAACGTTAGTATGAAGTATTTCTAGTACATTATCTTTTTTCCTATCAATTTTCCTAGGAATTAAAGTATAAGCCAATAATTTTGTTAATTTTTAAACAATTCAAATTTTAAATATGAAATTATTTTCATATGTAATAAGTGTATGTCCTTAAAATACTAAGTAATTCATTAGAGACTCCATCTTGTATAATATTTAAGCATTGAAATCTATATTCTTAAAAAATCTCACTGACATATTTTAATAACAAAAACCAGCTTTCTTTACTAGGTACCTTATTCACTTGTAAACAAATTTTGTGTAGGATGTGGGTTATTGATACAAAATGCCTATACGTTGATACCTGTGGAAATTGACAAATAAATAAATGAACAAACAAACAAAAATGCCTGCAGAGCCCTAGGAGTATTTAAGTTTCCCAATCTTTATATTGCTGTATTTCTCTAGGCACATTATATGTGGCATTCTGTCACCCAAACAAATGCAAAACAAATAAGAGAGGTTATGATTTCTGTGCACTAAAATCACCAGAAAATACATTTGTCTTTAAAAATTAACTGAATGTAGATAGATAGATAGATAGATAGATAGATAGATAGATAGATAGATAGATAGATTATATCCTGTTGCATGTAGAAAACATGCTGAAATTATTCTGGGAGGGTTAAAACTCCAAAACAAACAAACAAAAAAAAAATTGAGTGAGTCAGTGTTATAAATCAAGTTAATTTGCAACATTATTTTTGAGTTGAAATATTAAGGGTTTAACATATTTATATCATTATTTTGAGGGCACCAAAGTAACTCTAAATTTTAAATCTTCCATGTGTCTTTAAAATTAACGCATTTGATTGTTTTCATAACAACGATAATATTAATTATCTTATATTTATGTAATACTTTTTATTTTATATAACAAGCTTCTATGCATTGTCTCATCTGATCCCCATATCTTTATTATTATTATTTTGCTGTATGTAGCATTACCACTCTCAGTCTATACATAAAAGATGCTAAGTTACCAGAGTTTTTACAGATAGTAAGTGGTGGAGCAAGAACTGGAGGATGAATCATTTCAACCCTAGTCTAGAACTCTTGCTCCCATGTCACATGCTAACTCGCTTCTCAGAGTAATCAAATAAACTGACTATCATAAAAGTCAGAACTTGGGAGGAAATGTGAACATATGAAAGTGTATTTTCATATATTATCAACTTTTTGAACTCTTATTGAGGCCATTGAGTAAAAATAATTTTCTGTCACTGTAAATGCAGAGGGAATGTAACAAGTATTTGCCCTGAATCCATTATTCAGAAATAAATGAAACAGCATAAAGTCATGCAAGTGCACTGTTGGTGACTTTCCTTTCCCTAAAGTTGGGGTGGTTGAAGTGAATTTCCTTGCTCTTTCTCCAGGTGCTTGTACTGTTCGCATGCTGAGCTGCACAGCTTTCAAAGGGCTTGCCCTGGGATATGGCTGGGCTAGATTTAGAAGGAACTGGTCATTGAATAGCTCTGGTAATTCTTGCATCTCACAGTTATGCGGTTGACAGCTCCTTTCAGTAGGGAAAGCTTGGGTATATTTCAAGGTGATTGTAGTTTTGTCCCTCTGGCAGCAAGCTGCTGCAACCAGCTTAGCCCATTATCCTCCTCTCCCACTGGATTTAAGCCTGGGGAGAAATCTGGGGCTTTTGTCAAGATAGAAGGTAAGAGATGGATAATTATTCCCTGTGTGTGCTCAAAAAGAACAGCACTATATCATAGAGTAGCTTTCAATTACTGAAATGGGATTGTCTGAAGTTCCAGTGGCTTATAAATTACTCTTTGTAAAAACCAATATTTAACATTATTGTATTAGTGATGTGCTTTTAATATCTCTTTCATGTAATATCATGTAATAAACTTTAAGGTTTATTACATGAAACTTTGCAAACAGTGTTTAACACTCAGAGAATAAAATGCATTTCCATTTTTGTGGTTTTATTAGAAGATTTAAAAACAAATGGCTGCTCTGAAAAAATTGATTAAAAACTTCACTGTACAATTGACTACATTATAATTTTTCTCAATTTGAGTTTCTTAAATCTCAGGGGCTAGTACTGTAAAATCAATGCAAAGTAATTACAAAATTTAAAATTCCAGATGTTATGATTACATACATCTTGTCCTTTAATATCCATTCTGTCAAATACCTTTTATAAACACTGCTACTTAACAAAACACATTTGGAAAATAAAATTTTCACTAATTCTGATTAATTAATTAGGTAAATCAGTCTTAGCATAATTAGAGGGCAGTATTTTCAGTTTGTGATCCCCCAGGAGCTCAACATTACTTTCACTCTCCTTTTAAAGGCAGAAATTATAGTCAGAAATGTGCATTTCAATTTGTAGCTGACAGTTTAGGGTTAAGATATGATTCCAGGTAACAGAAGCCAATGAGAGTACACCCAGTTGATGTTTGTGACATCATCTTCCAGTCAGAGTACATAGAACAGCTGAGGTAGCGTTCAGTTTCAGCACAGTGCCATTATGATGGATGTTTACATCTCTTCATTGAGAGCCAATTATCTCGCTTTTGTGTGAGGCCCAAGGATCACTCATGCTTCCAGGCTGCACAGAGCACTGTTGGATCTAGCTGAACGAATTGTTTTCTCTGTCTCTGGTAAGGGCTTCTTCTGTTTTACCTTCTCTTTTAAAATAAAGGTAGATGTGTCTTACAGAGAAAATATTATAAGGGTCAAAAAGGATTACTATCTGGTAAGCTTTTATTCAGGAATGTTTATCATTATTTAAAGGACTATGGAGTTAGCAAAATGAATTAAAAAAAGAGCTTGCTAACGTGTACCTGACAAACTAATTTGCAGCAGAAAATGAAAGGCAGGTAAATCCGGCTTCGCTTTAGAAAAAGGAAAATACTGCTATTATAAGACCACAATTTTGAATGTGTTTTTAAAACTGTATATGTGTATGTATATCATTCTGCATCATTTCTCTATATTTTTCTATTAGTATTAAAGAATAGTGGTAGAAATGGTCAACCAAGTAGTGTTGCTGTAGACTTAAAATGAGTCAAAGTTTCTAATTGTTAAATGGCAGTTCTTTGGGACAGTTTTCCAAAGTTGCATTTATACAGGGAAAACAAAGTTTACCAAGTGAGCAAAGGCTCTGGCTTCTGAAATAAAGTTGTAGGACTTTACATTCATATTTACCATTTAAATATTTGGAAATAATAATAATGAAAAATTTTAAGAATGGATGTAAGGGTTTCTTTGTGGAATTAAGAGATATTAAAATCATTTATTGCATTTTTGTTATGCTTTTTGGTGCATAATAAAATACTGTCTTTACATAGCCAGAAAATATTTAAATCCTAAAAATATATCTTTATATTATTTAATCATTTGTCAGTAGTAACATTTATGCCTGAGGATCTTGTTATATTGTAGCAAAACAAATATATTTAGAGCTGTTGAACTGCTATGGATAGGTGATTGAATGTGACAGAGAACCTGAAAAGTCACTACACTAAAAGCTTTCAATTGACTGAGAATGTTCACATGATAACAAATGAAGAATTCAAAAACATTTGTATCCCCTCAAATGTTGTCTATTATTATGGTATAAAGTAGCATACTGTTGTTATTTTAAAGTTGGATGCAGTTATTTATGAAATAAAGCCACAGAAAAGTGTAATTAATTGTTATTTTGTTTAACGTGCTCTTTTATTTTAATAGCATCTCCATTCCTCCTAGGGTTATAAAACTTTTGAATAATGGCTTGTTCATCAAGTGTTGATGTGCTTATGCTTTTTAGATTTATTTTTACTGTGCCTTTAACATAGAATATTTCTGCCTTTGCAAACTAGTAATTTTGATAATTAAAACTCAGGATTTGGAGATTCTCGAGTTGAGCTTTAAGACAGCAGGGGTTTTTCAGCTATGTCACACTCTGTGTCTTCTGCTAGCCCAGTCCTGTTTGGCAGCTCTAGACATTACTGTTGTTCGAATTGTCTCCTTTAGTCCATTCAGGTCTGAACAAAACTAAGTTTATAGACAGTGTCAGACGTGTATTAATTAAATCTAAACAAGTGAGCTTAATGTCTCAGCCACAACAATACGTAATCAACAAAACCTCAAAAAGCTTCCAATATACATCTAGAGTCAATTTTTTGCTGAGAAAAATTTAAGTTGGTATATTCTGTGAATTTCAAAATTTAAAGTGAAATCTAAAAGTTTTGGATAATATGAGCTTGAAAGCATGAGTCACTGCTTTGAAATGAATTTTTTTTCTTTCCCTAAGTACTCTATAGTGAAGTTGAAAAACCCAGTGGTACTGACTGTGTCATTTTCACAGGTGATTAAACTTAACTAAGGGAAAAGCATTTGTCTCCTAATAATTAATTCTTTAAAAATCTATTTATATCATTCTGTCAACAATGAAGAAAATCTTATTCAGCTAATGAATGATCTAGACATTTAAATTGCATTTTTTTCTGTGTATGATTCCTTCTTTCAGTATTAGCCTTGCTAGTCACAAATGCACTACATTGATGGTGACTGCAGTGTTAAATTGCTTATCTCCTTCTTTTCCTTTGGACAACTTTATACAACGCAAGTACACGAGATATGAGCTACCTAGCTAATGGACTTCATTCATTTCACAAAAAGTTTTTTATTATTATTTTTAATTTAAGAGAGGACATCAATGATATCATAGCAATTTCCTATGCCACAAAGTCCCTAGGAAGGCTTCCCAGTACAGGGTGACATAAATAAATGATGTGTGATGTTACTTGTACTGCCCTATTCTCTGCCTCCTTTTAAATACATATGTTCTTTGTCTGACTTATGTAACCAGTATTAAGAAGAGATGGAAAAAAATAGCCATGAAAAGATACTTATTAACTCTTCTGAAGTTCTCTGCATACTCCATATGCTGGGGGTGATATATTTTTTCTTTTGAAAATGACTCCTCAAATTATGTTTTTACCTATTGCAAAATAATACTCTTTTGTATATTTTAACACTTTCCTAGAATTTAGTTTATTGTAAGCCCCTTTATTAGTTTCATGTAATGATTGAATGCACAATACTGCTTGGTTTTTTAGTTTCTCAGTTCAAGCACTTGAATGATCATGAATTCTATGCTTGTCTTGACAGTGGGAAATTCTGGGCATTCCAGGCCAACTTTTTACTTAAGCCAAAAAATATAGTAACTATGATGTCATTTTGGACAGCTTGGACTTATTGTGTGAATGTCTGGATATTTAGGTGTATATTTTAGGTACATAAATGTAATGTTTTTATGCATTTTAAAGTTTAAAAGATCTTTTTATCAACCTTGTGTATATATACAATTAATTCTTAACAATTGATATGTGATAAAGTAATTGATATTATGCAACTAAGGAAACAGAGACTAATAATTCGTAACTTGTTGCCAAAGATCACCCAGTCAGTAAGTCAGTAAATGGAGGAGCTAGGACTCAGAAACAGGTTTACAAATTTCAGTGCCCCAAATCAATCAATTTCTCTTTCTTTCTTTCTTTCTCTTTCTCTCTCCCTCCCTCCCTTAATACAGCCGGTTATCTAATCAGTCACTTCTCTTGAGTATCTACTTCGTGCCAGGCACTCTTCTAGGTACTTGGCATTTATAACTGAACAATGTAAAAAAATTCTTGTTGTTGCACATATTATTTTTTTTCTACCTGAAAAGCTCTCATCTTTAATTTACTATAAAAGTAGAATGTATTTTAAGGTGTGGCTAATTAAAACCAAAAACTTTATGGGAAATAGGAAACATAAGTTAAAGGATACATTCATTTGCATTTCTTGTGTTTCTGTGTGTCTCTAAGTTCTCAGGTATGTTTTAATCTAAAATAGATTTTTACATTATATTTGGGTTTTGTGAAAAGTCTATCAATTATTTTATAACTCATACTTGATTCTGAATGTGGTCACTGAAATATTATAAGAATAAAATAGCTTGTGGTAGATATCAAAACAGTATCAATCATTTTTGGACAAAGTTATCTTGTATTTATAATGTATGTTCAAGCAAGCTAGCTTTATTTTTATTGTCTATTTTACAATCAATTATTTGCTGGTAATAGTATGCCGAGTTTACAGTTGTTTGACTTTGGACAAGGTTCTTTATAGTATAAGTAAAATAATAAAAAATGAAGAATTTTTTTATTTTAATTAAAAACTTAATATCTCCCAAATGATAGTAGTTTGTGTTTGAACAAGCAAACTAGAGACAATTTACTTTTTAAGGCCAATTTTTTCACTGTCTTGGTAGCTACTAATGCTAGTTCCTAGGACAATGGCACTAAAAAGTGATATTTATTCGCTATTCAACTTATTTACAGATACTCAGTGATTTAAAAGAAATAAAAAGCCTAAAATACAACCTCCTCAGAGAAAACCAATCCATACGTAGAACCTATCAGTTGAAGATAAATTGTTTTTAGATAGTATCATTTAATTAGCCACTGAAGAATCTGTCTAGTGACATACATATAAATTGTACAACAAAAGTTAACTGAACACACTTGATTTGGCTCAAAATATTTTACTGTGGTCCTATTGCATAATAATAAAACAATAGCCCTGAACTTAGTCCCTTTAGTAATGCCCATTTGAAGTATGCAGAATAAGACAGTAAAATTAGAATTCAATAATTGAAAGTACGAATGTGATTTTTTATCTGCTTTCTCTCTCTGCCTCTGAAGCTATGACAAACGAATGTGCCCTTTTCAGGGGTTAATAAATTATGAAGACTTTTCCACTTCTTTCAGAGTTAGAGACAGAGAAGCTTGTTCACATTCGAACTGCATAAAATGAAAAAATAATCTAGAGCTATTAAGCAGTAGATGTTTAATAGCACTAAAGGTACTGGGCCTTGGGTTTAGCTATTTTTAACAACTTATATCCATGAATTAATTTTAATAGTGTTTTTGATGAGAAAATATAAATGGACAACAGTACTTTTTAATGCTAAATTCTGCTAAAAGCAGAGAATTTGTTGTTCAGTGTTTGATACTGGTCTCAGTGGCATGGAACTGAGCATATCATAAAGGTTGTCTAGGTAAATTTTCACAAGTAAGTGGCTCTCTACCTGTGTGCCATGGCACACCATAAAACTCTCAAGGGTATCTCCTAACATTTGGGTCAATGTGGAAAATGCATTTTGCCTAAAACTGAGTATACATATTTGTGCTGCAGTCAGTCAGATAAAATATGGAGCTGAGTGAAACCAATAATATGGGGAAGAAAATGACACAATTTGCTGTGATGAGAGGCAAGGTGTAAAGTTAAGTTCCAGCAACTTTTCTCCATTTGAAGTACAGAAGAGGCTATGATCATGCTAGAAAACACTTTTTCTCAGCAGAGCAAGAAAAGAGCAGATGCTTTTAAAGACACTTTCTTTTTTGTTTGCGTGCACTTGTTGCATGTAAGAATATGCAATAAGTGCGTGCAAATTGTATTCAGGTAGTCTGGGACCAGGTGTGTCTAATTAAAACCAAAAACTTTATGGGAAATAGGAAACATAAGTTAAAGGATACATTCATTTGCATTTCTTGTGCTTCTGTGTGTCTCTAAGTTCTCAGGTATGTTTTAATCTAAAATAGATTTTTATGTTACATTTGGGTTTTAAATGTTGACTTTTAATATTTTTAAAAGTCTGGGACCAGACTACCGGAATACAATTTGTTGTTCCACCCTTTTCAGTCTTCATGCCTTCATAATAAAAAAAAAAAAAAAAAACGGGAAATAAAAGTACCTACCTCGTAAGTTTGTTGTGAAAATTTCATGAACTAATCTTATAAGCATGGAGAACAGTGCCTTGCATATAGTAAATGTTCAATTACTATTGCCTCTCTTTAGTATTTTCATTGTTTTCATTGTTACTGACTTGCTTAGTATTATGTGTCTGTGTCTTTTAATTCATTCAGGAGTTTCATTAAAAATTGCTATTCACTAACATGAAAACTCTGGTATAGTACAAACACAATTTTGGGAACCAATCATACTAATTACTTTTGAAACTAGATGCTGATTGTAGATTTTGTTGGTAAACACGGGTTAATCATTTACTGCATATAAAACTTCTGATGTTTTAATTTTAACTATTGTAAGATAAAAAATGAATTAAATAACTTTTAGGAACTTTTCTCAAATCTAAAATGATATAATATGGGATATCATATACATACAAATCTAAGTACGTAATAAAATAGAAAGTCTTATAGCTTTACCTTTTATCTTTTACTCTGTTTTACTTTGCTACTTTTTATTCTATGATTTTTCATAAGTCAATGAGAGTTTCAAACCTGGAGTTATGAAAGTTTTATTTGTCTGATATATGTAGAGACCAACAGTCTCTGCTTTTCAACAGTCCATTGTCTCATATTGGTGATGAAGTGGTGATAGAATTGAGTTAAAGTTTTTCAGTTCTTCTTTACTCATGACGTTCTGTATTCTTAACATAGTCATTAGAGGCAAAGTATGTTTTTATTTTAAAAATCTCTCTCTCTCTCTCTCTCTCTCTCTCTCTCTCTCTCTCTCAGTGTGTGTGTGTGTAGGTTGCTTGTTTGTTTTGTTTTAATGAAGCATCTAACATGTACTTAATACTACCTCAAGAGAGATACAAATAGAAAAGGATAAAAAATGTAATGTTTAAATTAGGTTATTCTTCCCCACTGTTTATAATCTTGTAGAATCAAGGCATTAATGAATGTGTAAAACATTTTCTAAAAATCTATTCATTCCACTAAGGTATTTTCCCTTCACTTTTAAGTGCTCTGACTCATTCTACAAATTATTTAAAGCTCAGCCACTCAACTACTGAGCACTTATGGCATGCCAGCAGTGAACAGAGCACCACCACTGCTCTCCAGGGGTTCATGGTCTAGTGACCAACACAAAGTTGGAAATAAATAATTACAATCCATTGTGATAAGTTTTACATTAGAGATATGCACAGAGTGCTCAGGGGACACCCACAAGGAGTGATTTATTCTATGTGTAAAAATCTGGAAAATCTTTAAAAATAAGCTGTCACTTAGCTGAGTTTTGGAAAATTAGAGACTTTTTCAGGTACAGGTGGGCAAAGGATATTTCAGATAGAGGGACCTCATTAAGAACAAAGTCAAAATGAGAAGAGAAAGCACAGTGTGTTCAGTTAAGGTCAAGTTGCTTATCATAAGCAAAGGCAGGAGTGAGGGAGAGCTAAAAATTTGCACCAAGGTATCAGAACAGATTCTAATTGTAAATAACCAGTAAGGACAACTGTCATAACTGCATAACTTTAATCCTTGGCTGGATGTTTAAATTAGGTTATTCAAATTTTAAATACTCTAGAAGGGCTGTGATGAGATGGATCACTGTGGTTTTGAGAAAATGAGGAATGCTTCCTAAAAGAGGTAAGAAGCAGGATTATTTGGCACCATTTAAAGCAGTCTGACACATCAAAGGAACAGGAATGGTCAACACATTCTACTTCATTAATTTCCGCTAACTTTACTAGGTATATCAATCTATTAAGTTATTTTAAATAATGGATAATGTTGGATGGGGTGATTAATTACTCAAGAATAGAAAGGTGGGTCACACATGACATAATTGAGAGGAATACCAGAGTTTGGGAAAGAGTTTCTGAAGTCAGTATTTATTCACTATTTATGAACTTGAGCAAACATGAACTAGGGATAGGAAGTGTATGATGCTGAATGACAAAATGCTTTACTATTGGGCTGGGGTCAGTGGGAAAATCCAGGGAAAGGAACTCCCCTTCTTATAGAATAACTCAGTTCATTGCACTTATTTTTTAAATTATCTGAACAACATTATATAAAAGTTATATATTAAATAATTATTTTAAAAGAAAACAATAAGCATTGTGTCATTCTTTTCTTGGTGTAAAATTTTCTCAAGTGGCATGTGATTTACAGTGAACACAAATAAATAATGGGGGAAGATGGAAAGAGGTGCTCAGCATGGGAACAGAGCATAACACTAGCTAGTTTCACAGCTGTCTCTTAGGCTGTCTCCCAGAAATTTATTCTAAGTTTATTCACTTATTTCATCATGGTGAGATTCCGATATATTTAGATGGTATCCAAAGAGAATTAGGCTTTATGTATGACCGCTCCCATCTACAATGTTATAGGCATTCTGATAGGTGGCGAAGTTACATAAGGATGGTGGTGGTGGTGTATCAAGAAAATGTGTGTCATAGCAGAGCACAACAGGCAATAGGACAGAAAAGGCATGACAGAAGAGGCAAGACAATTGCCTATCTACTTGGAAGGGAACCGCTTCTCACTTGCCTGTATCTTTAATATTAACTCTCAGAGCATTCTTGCATAAGAGCGTGCAAGTGATAACTTTGGCATGAGAAAGAGAACATGGTTCTGAGGGTAGAAAATAGGATAAACTGAGGGGCATTAGGGAGGTGGAGATATAGAAAGGTAAATATTTGGGGGAAAGAACAAAAAAAAATCCACAGACAGGGTTGTAGTCACAAATCATAGAGGGTATTTTACTCTCTTGAGGTCAAAGATTCTCCCTAATTCTTTTCTGAATACCTATGGCCTAGCAAAGTGCTCTGCAGAAGTTTGCTGAATGAATGTCTGGCTGCCTGAGAGAAGGAAGGAAGGAAGGAAGGAAGGAAGGAAGGAAGGAAGGAAGGAAGGAAGGAAGAGAAACTAGGTTCTTTCTTTGTGTACTTTAGACATGCTATGCTTGAGATGTCCACTAAAGAGCAAATAAGACATGTAGGTATTGGTTATCAAGAAGCCTTAGGAAATTCCTCTATTTAAAAGTGGTGAAGAGGAGGAAGAACAAACAAAGGAGACTCAGAATCAAAGAGCCTTTGAATAAGGAGGATAACTACATCTAGACTATTAAAACTTCAGATCAGGAAGGAAAAGATGGTGCTGAGGGTAGAAAATCCTCTGAAACCTCTATGCAGGAAATACAAATCTGAACATGACACTCCTTTCCCCTCTTCCCCATAATCTTCCTTCCATTCCCTTGTGACCTAAAACTCTTCAGTGGCCTTCCATTACGTACAGGATAATAACAAAACTAGTATGCTTCATAAGGCCCAGCATGATGGTCTGTGTGTTCCAGCAACATTTACTTTCTTTTCATCTCTCTTACAATTTCTTCTTCAGTTCCACCACTGAGCCTTAGTTTATGCCATTCTGTCTGGCTAGCAGGTTCCTCTGAACCTTTTCCACATGTTTACTTCAAATTTATTATTCAATTCTCAGTTAAAGAAGCACAGCCTTAAGGAATTCCTCCTTGACCTTCCTGATGAGGCCAGATATCCCTATTACAGGTTCTTAACACAGTATTTAACACTTTCAAAAGTTTCCATTGTAGGCTTTCTTGGTTGATTAAATTGTTAATGCCAGTCTTCCCACGAGACTGTAATCTTTATGAAAGTAATGGCCAGAGTCTACTCTGAATCAGCACTGAACCTCCAGTGTCTGGAGTAAGGAAATCAGCTAGATATATATGGTCAAGTGAATAAATGGTGTGAGTAAACAGAAGATTGCAAAAAGTGTATTTACACCTGGGAACAACAAAGTACTGAGATGCTACTGAATGTTAATCATAGAAATAAAATTTGAGTGGACTTTCTTAGAGCATAAATAAAATGCATGCCCATATCTGCAGCCTCCTTCCCACTAATATGTGTGTAACCCTATAACTAATTATATAAGTATTTAAGTAAGAGAACAGATTGTGCATTTTGAGTTATGCACAGAATAATAAAAAATATTGTATCCTAATGGTCATTTGTAACACACAGATAGTTGAAGGATATGAAGAGATACAGACTCATCATAGAAACTGTGTATGTGAGTGTGTTTGTACAAAACTTGTACCAGGGTATAACTGATGCTACTAAAACTAGAAAGAATGTAATTGAGAATGTGATGTCCCATCATATGAAAGGGTGCAGAAAGTCTCAAAATATAGAACAAAGAAAATTGCACTTTAAATTGCAGGGAAGGTCACTGGTGGCCTTAAAGAAAGTAGTTTGAGATATTAGATAGCAAGGAGTCCAGCAGGAAATTGATACTTAGGAGTTGAAGTCATGTTCAAGCAATTTACAACAGAAAAGGAATAAAGACTTGCTGGTCAGAACTGTCAAATAATAACCCTTTCAGGAATGGAAAAAGTTGATTTGGTGGGCAGATATATGAATTATTAAGTAACATTTACCTTTGTAAATTGGCCTTCATAACTTGTACAAAACGTATTTATAATAAATAAAGTGTTTATAGAACATATAGCTACGTTTAAAAATTTCAAGCACAGTTAGAACAAAAGATAGCAATATATCCAAAAATATAGAAAATTGTGGGAGTCATTTACTCAGCAGTTAATTTATTCTTTTAAAATGACTCTTTCAGTAGCCATTTATAAGCATGTTTATAGATGGTAAACTGTTCATGAGTGTGTAGGCAAATAAACAAAGAAACCTTCTGGAATGAAGACCTAGACTCTCTAGAAGGTTGCAGGATACTCTAAGAAGCAATGGTTGACGGGCGCCTGTAGTCCCAGCTACTCCGGAGGCTGAGGCAGGAGAATGGCGTGAACCCAGGAGGCGGAGCTTGCAGTGAGCGGAGATCAAGCCACTGCGCTCCAGCCTTGGCAACTGAGCGAGACTCTGTCTCAAAAAAAAAAAAAAAAAAAAAAAAGCAATGGTACACTAGGAGATATTCATGGCCTGCTAAATAGAAGAGCTCTTAAACTCTAAGACATTGGAGAAATTAACTGAAACCAAAAGAGAGAAAGGTATATTTTAGACACAGCTTAAAAATCGGTTGGATTGGAAAATACTACTACACTCTAATATATAAATATGAATGTACAATTAATGTGTATGTATATACAAATTATTTTAATTTAAATATGTAAAACTGTATAATGGTGTAAACTTTTGTTTTAAAATTTGGCTACACATTGAGCTATTTATTCTGGTAGCTCTATGATGATTATAGATTTATTCTCAAGAAATTTTTGATTTACTTAGAAAAAAATCACTTTAATTAATTTGTTCTTGTTGTAGAAGAGGGCAAGATATTTTTGAATAATCTAAAGAGGAGGAAAATTATATTCTACCTCTTTCCAAAATAGTTTGAAAAACAAAGTAACAGGATTTGAGTACTAACCCTAGGAGCTAACATGGAAGGAGGACTGGGATGCACCATGGCTTCAGAGAAATTGAGATCAAAAGGGGGGTTTTGAAACTGGAACAGTTGGGCACAATACTATGCCTAGGAAACATCACAGCCACCTCTATGTGACAAAGATACTCACTCAGAAATCTCTTGTATTCGGGCTAAACTGAAGATGACTAGACCCTAGAAACCAGACAGAAGCACAGAGACCCAAAAACAATTTGAGGATGCCCATGGGGCCAAAATATAACGAAGTTCAAAAAAGGAGGCAGAACATGGTGTCTGATGTCTGATAGGAGGAATCTAGGCAAGAAGACTGAACTCAGAGACAAGATTGTAGTTTCCAGGAAGCCTAGAAGGGCAGAACCTTAATCTAGAAACCTGGCATGCTAACCTGGGACCCAGTAACTGGAGGAGACCTAATTGCTCCTCTCTGTTTTTGGCAAGAGAACTCGAGGGCTGGACGGAGTGTCTGAGATCAGGGAGTTGTAGAACCTTGGTGGATTTCTACCCATAGGATGAGTTGGTGTTTCTATTAGTGAAGGGTAGATGGCTGATCTCACCATTTGGTGTATTTTTTTTAGTTTAGAGTGGGCCATTATAGTGTGGGCTTAGGAGTCAGTTGGCTAGGCATTAATTCCTGGCTTCCCACTTAACCAGTGTTGTGACTATGAGCAGAGAATTTAACTTCTCTGTGCCCCAGTTGCCTCATCAGTGGGATGAAGTGAGGATCAAATGAGATAATGCATACCACCCACTTAATACTGCACTGACACAGTACATGCTGGATAAATGCTGTCCCTTATAATTATTATTACTCACCCATAAACCCTATGCTTCAGTTCTGCTGCTCCTGAAACTCACCTCTGGGCATTGGCACATGTTCTTTCTGTTTGAAGAACTCTGCTATGTCAATTCCTTTTCATCGTTACTGGTGGTGTTTGGGGTTTCTTCCTAGAACCTCTTTGATGAGTGAGGTGTCCCTCTTTTGTGCTCATAGAGCATTTTCACTTTCCCTGTAATGTATTTAAATTGACCATTGCCTTCTCTGTGTCCCCCATTAGCCTCTAGGCTTTATGTGTTTTGGGATTTTATAAGTTGTATCCATTGCTGTATCAGCAGTGCTAGCGCAGAGTAGAAGCTCATTAAATGCTGATTAAATGAATGTATGATGAGAGACCCCAGACTTAGATCCCTTTAGGGAGCCATAATCTGAAAGGATTTCTCTATTAGAGTTTAATTTGGGGAGCTCTATTAGAACTTAGTGGTAGAGCCAGAACTAGAAGGTCTGAGGTGAGAGATAAAGCTACTTTTAGAAGGAGGCAATGAAACCCACCCCTTCACTAATCCCTGTCTGTCTCCTGCCCCAATGGTGTTGGTAAAACAACTTACATCCTGAGAGTTTCTGACACAGCCCTCGAGCTGCTGTGGCAGTCACCATCTTTCCTAATCTAATTGGTAAAAACATGCCTGGAGGGTAGTCAGCAAATGACCGCCCAGCATCATTAAACAGTGCAAAGCATTCTAGAAAGTACAGGATGTGTGTTGCTTATGTGCGTGTAGGCGTAGGCATGACCTAGGCAAGATGCTGCTGTTCTTAGTATTTATAAGCATTTCTCTTGCATTTCTTTCATCTTAATTCACTTTTTTACCTTAGTGAGAAAAATGACAAACACCACCAGCAGCAGCATAGCCTTAGAAGTCACAGGGGCAGGCTGAATATGGCCAGTCTTTTCTCCTCCTGGACTCTTCTCACTGCATGAAAAATGTATTTGTTTTATATTGCTGTGTAACAAGTTACCACAAATTTAGATGCTTAAAGCAATAGACATTTATTATCTTGCAGTTTCATTGGGCCAGTGATATGGACACAGCTTGGATAGGTCTTTTATTCATGGGTCTCTGGAGGCTGCAATAGAGGTGTCTACTAACCTTTTTTTCTCTCTGGAGTTCAGGGTTCGTTTTCAGACCCAGGTAGTTTTTGGCAGAATTCTGTTTCTTGCAGCTGTAGGATGGAAGTCCCTGTTTTCCTGATGGCCATCAGTAGGATACCACCCTCAGAATCTATAGGCCGCCTTAGTTCCTTGCCAGGAGGCTCTTTCATGGGCTTTTCATAAAAGTGAAGCTTACTTCTTCAAAGCCAGCAGGAGAATCTCTTGTTTAAGTCTGCTAAAATGGAATCTTACATAGTCTAATAAAATCATGGGAGCGACCCATCACCTTTGCCTTATTCTATTGGCTGTAAGTCACAGGTTCTGCCCACACTCAAGGGGAGGGAATAAGACAAGAATGTGAATCATTGAGGGTCACCTCAGGGTGTGTCTACCACAGGGAACAATCACAGAACATTCTCAGAGACCTCTAAGTGACTGTCAGCTGCCACTGCCAAATCATTTGTTAGATATATTTTATTAATTTCCCTAAGTTTGCAAGTAGCAGAGCTCACCCAACAAGAATAATTTTGATTGAGAAAAATTTGTCAGTAACCAAGAAAAATTGATTATTGGAGCCAGATGAGATGGCCAGATGCCTACCCTGTGAGCTCAAAAAGAAACTGTACCCTCATGTACTCATTTTGAGTTTGGAGACCTGGAGAAATGGCTGCAGTGTTTGCCACTAATTAGACAATTTGGAAAGAGTACATGTTGGGTTAGAAACCCCTATTTTCAACCCATTATTGAAGAAGAGGAAAGTCAAGAGTCACATTGCAGATTTTATCACTTGGGGCCACCTTAATGTTAATCTGCTTAAAAAAGCAAAATATCTAAAAGGTGTCTTGTTCCTGGGCTCTGTTAGTAGCTAGAGTCAGTTCCCTTAACTTGCATCGCTGAAAGTTCTGAAGAGCCATTAGAGCCCATAGGGAGCTGGGAGGTGTGTGTTGTATGTGTACATGTGTGTGTATATATATGTGGTGGGGAGTGGGGGATTGGTGCCTTATGCATGCCATTGTATAAAGGTAAGGTTGGATGGGACAGCTAGGTTTTCAGCCACCCCCTTCCTCCATTTTTCCCTCTCTTTTATTCTTTCTATTTGCCTTTAAAGACCCTATTTTTTCTACTCTAAAGTACTTCCCCGGACAATCAAATAAAATCATAAAATCGGTAAAGGCTCTTGAAACTTTAGTCCAAAGTCAATGTGTCCTGATAAACAGAAAGTACAGGATTTAAAAAGGAGTCATTACATGTGAAATATTCAATAGAAGAAATAGCAAAAAAGATACTTGTTTAAGGGTCCGTGCCTATTCACATGGACAAAGTATCAAAATAAAGGAATCTGAGAGGTCATTTAAATAAATGAAATGATGCAGATTCAAGGGAAAGATAGATTGAACCTGAGGCAGTATCTATGTTTACCAAATCCAGCTTCGTGGCGAGTGAGCTGAAGGGGAATGTCTTACACACCTTTGCATTGCAGGATCCTGCAAATGGAGATTTTTTGTAACGCGTTCTCTGGAGTTAGACTGAATGGGTGCAGCTCTATAATCAATGTCTGCCTGTTAACTGCATAAAAGGGAACTTGTTCTACTTGAGGTTGAGGCCCTAGGCAGAATTTAAATCTCACTCCAAAGCCCTTAAATATTTTCCTAGAACCTCAGCCATGTGAAGGTCCCCAGCAAAGGGAGGCAACTGGGCAGTGTGATTGTATAGTGAAAAGATGGAGGTTGCCAGTAGAGTGTGGATAACTTCTGAGACACTGGGAGGCCACCAAAGGTAAATACAGTGGTATTTTCTCAATTTCCCCCCCTCCCCTAGTCTCAGATGATTTGAGAGCTGGATTGGCAAAGCAGGCTCAGGCAAGGCTCAGGAAGAGTGGCTTATTGGGCCAAGTCAGACAGGTAGTGAGTATGAAGCTAAAGGCTTGTCAGCATTGTCAGACCAGGCCTTTTGACACATGGTTAACCACCTGAAGTGAAGGTTGGAAGAAGTTACATTGCATTTTAGGAGGCACTTTATAAAGTGCTTTCCCACATAAAGCAGTCAAACAGGTCTAGTATCTGAGGCCAGCCTGCAATCAACTGCTGCTAATACACTCTCTACTGATCTAAGCGATCTTTTTCCTCTTAGGCGAGACCACTCTGCTCCTTCTAGACTTTCAAGAATGGTGTCATGACCCAATCTACAAAAATGTCAGAACCCAAACAATTTGGAGCAGTAATGAATTACAAGCTATCAAACAAAATAATGAGGTATCAAATTATAAGCTATGAAACAAAATAAAATTTATGAGCCCGTAATAATAATAAAGAGTTAGTAATTAGGGGAAAAGAGATGATCCTTTTTTACATTAGAATTCAGACAGCCAGTTGGAAATGTTAGAGGGAGAGATACTTGGAAAATTGTCGTTTTGCTTCCGTAGTAGTAAAGATGGGATGAGAAAAGAATCACCAATGGATGCTAAATCCAGGGACTAATTTTATTGTGGGGCATGATACATGTATAGTCATAAAGTGACTTTCCAAGGACTTCCTATTAGTTTCAAGGAAGAACAAAAATAATCATTACTGTGGAAAACCAGAAAATAGTTAATTGCATTTTTTAAATTAACATTATCAGTGAGGGACAGATGGATATTATGTACCCCCAGATTTGTTTCCCAGATAACAAAATCACCTGTGTATTATTTTTTTGCCTGGAATGCATAATTTAAAACTAATCATGAACGTCAGACAAACTGAAGGTGAGGAATATTCTGTGAGAGTGGGGAGATTGTATTCTTCAAAATTATCCATGACATTAAAGACAAAGAAAGGCTCTGATATAATTCAGGTTAAAAAAAGCTCAAAAGAAATAACTAAATGCAACACCTAATTCTAGACTTGGTCCCATACTGAAGGGGTGAAAAGGCAAACATTTCAACAGGCAACGTTGATATGCAGCCATGTATTATTTAAAATTATCATATCAATATTAAATATGTTGATAATTTTAATGTGGTAATATAAGATGAAAGAGTTATTCTAGGCAATAAAAATACAAATATTTAGGAGTAAAAGACCATGATGTATGCAACTTCCCTCAAATGATTTTGGAAAGAGAGTCAGGGGAGGGGCTGGAGGGACAAATAAAAGGATTAAACAAATGATTAAACAATAACATAAAATATTCATAAGAGCAGAATCTGAATTTTGGTTAAAAGTAGATGAATGTTCCTCATTTTTTTTAATTTTTGCTACTTTGTGGTAAATTTAAAATTATTTCCAAATGAAGAGTTTATTTTAAAAGTTATCCAATAAATATTGTTGTTAAAAACCCACAAATGTAGAACAGTATATTCATTTTGCTCCCAGTTGTTCAAAAATAAATAGAAACACAAAGACACACATGTTCATTAATTTACATTAAATTATATAGAAAGATAGATTGGATATAAAAAAGTGATAGACATTTGCCTCTGGATCAGGGCATATATATCTAGAGAGGAGAGATACCTGCTTTTCACTGTGTAACTCTTTTGCGATGTTTGAATAAAAACAAAATACACATATATATATATGATATATATCATATATATGTGTGTGTATGTGTGTGTGTGTGCTTTTGAAATGAAAAACAAAGCACATTTGATTTAATTCAATTTCAAATATATTTATTAATTGCTTTCTGCACATTAGAATAGGCATTAGAGATATAATTTTATTTTATTTTATTTTATTTTTTATTTTTTTTTTTTATTATACTCTAAGTTTTAGGGTACGTGTGCACATTGTGCAGGTTAGTTACATATGTATACATGTGCCATGCTGGTGCGCTGCACCCACTAACGTGTCATCTAGCATTAGGTATATCTCCCAATGCTATCCCTCCCCCCTCCCCCGACCCCACCACAGTCCCCAGAGTGTGATATTCCCCTTTTATGTCTCCTTTCTTCCAGGAGCACATGTTCCACTGAGAAGAGAGGGATAAGATCTTTTAATCAATAAAGAAAAGTAAAAGCATTAAAAATGCCATTATTAGAGTAAAGTAAAAGAAAAAGAATTATAAAACCTTTGTTGTATGTCTGGATCTCCCACTGACTTAATTGTTATAGCTTACCTAAAATCCTTTATACTTTATTTTTCAAACTTTATAAAAGGATGAATAACATTTCTCTTCCTACTTTCCACATAAGAATGCTCCAAGGATTAATGGGATTGTTTTATGAAGATTTTTGAACTTCACTTGGAAAAGATATCTGAAAGGATATGAAATGAATACATATTAATTTTAATTGATATTAATTTTAATTGTAAAGCATGCTTCTTTGAAACACATTTATGCGTCAGCTGAAGTAGACAGAGAGAGAGAGAGAGATGGCTGTGGCTTCTTAAATTAATTTAAGGCTTTCTTAAATTTAATTTAAACCTTAAATTAAATTTCTGTGTAATTTGGCATTTTACAGCAAAAGTAGTCATGTTCCTTCCTCCACGAGCTTTCCTAAATAAAAATTTTCATGTTATCAAAGCCAGATTCATTGAGACATCCAAAAGTGATGACTTTGGGACAATTACTTGCAGTTACTCCACTGAGATTGAATCCAAGTGTGTCATGGTCTCTGACAACCTTTTTGGAATATACCTAGTTTTAATAATGCAGTTGCTATTACACATTTCCTAAAAGTAAAAGACAAGAACACTCGCCGAATGCCACTATAAAAAAAAAGTTAAAATATTTTTTGCAGAACGGATCTTAAGGGTCACCCTTTAATATCATAAAAGGAGAAAATTCCAAGTTTGATGTTAAAACATGAGTCTTAGATTTTCATATGGTACCAAATATTACTGTTTTTATAGAATACTTTTTAATGTGATTCTGATAGACAGCCAAAAAACCCATGAGGTCTACTAGAAATGAACACTTTAGGCTTTTAATATTAATACTATGAGTTTGCATAATACTTTATCTTTCTTCAAAGGCTTTCACATTCATTGTCTCATTTGAGAGCCTTAGCTGCTTATTCAATGGCCTTTTCATTAAATCACATCACCTCTCCAGTAACTTTTTCATTCTCTTGTGACTGAAAAAGTACATCTTAATTATAACCATAAATAATTCTATATTTTATTATTGTGCTGGATGAAATATTGATTATTGAGTAAAAAGGCTCAACAATTTGAAGATGGCATACAATACAAATTTAGATCTACTATGAAGCTATATCTGTGTTGTCCAAGTTTTCCAGTACATTAGAGCTTCCCCTTCAGCTAACAGCTTTGTAACTGCTAACCCTGAAACCATGTAAGCTGAATTCAAATAAACCTTATGACTGATAATGCATGTGCCTACATTTGTACTGTAATGATTTTTTTATGATTTTGTAAACTTGATGATTGTATTAGAAAACATCAGATAGTATAAGAAAATTATGAAAATGATTAAAATAAAATATGGTAACATGCAAGACAAGTAAATTATTTTTATCATGGATTATTCTTTGCAAAGAGCTCAAAGCATCTTCCACGTGTTCAGTCTTTTGTATTACTTGACTATGCAATGTACTGACAGAAGATGAGCTTTGTCTACTCTAACATGAAGGATTTACATACCCCTTAATAGTGACTCCACTGGAGAACAAAAGCCACTAATGCATTTTTTTTGACTTCCTAATTTTATTTTAGGTTCACACAGGTTATCAAAAAGTAAAGGGAAATGACTAAACAAACTCACTTATTATACTTATTGATGGCTATGTATTGACTTCACAGTAAATGATAACTAAAGTCTATCCAAATTTTTCAAAAATAATGCCATGTATTTCAAATGACTCTACAACCCCAGTGTGGATATTTTATGCTTATTTGTGCAAGAGGCCAAGACCACAGATTATGAACGAAGAAAATTTGGGTAGACTTTAGTTATTATTTTCCTTCAAGATCGCAAGATAAAATTATCTATGAATTAACTGTTACAGTTAATTACACTGTGTCACTTTTTCATGTTTTCTTGTTGGTCTCTTGTTTTCTATCGTCCCTAATGTCGTATCTGTGATTCACATTTTCAGAAAACTTTATTGCAAGTAGACTGTGAGCTTCAAAGAACTTACAGCAACACAAATTTATCTCCTAATATTCATCTGTATGACATTATCTCTCTGCTTAATTTCCATAGAGATATGAATAAAGGAAAGAAATTGAACCTATAGAAGCAATGGTTTTGGTCTGCTCTTTGAGCCTGATTAAATAAAAGATTTTAATAGACAATTTTAAAAAGTTTTATGAATAAGATCTTGCTTATAATTTTATTATGGCTGTATTGTATGTCTAATATTGTAAATAATAATTTTTATTTTATTATAGCTAATATTCAAGTGATGTTTAAAGCATGCTCGGTACTGTGTTGAACACTTACACATTTTCCCCTTTAATTGCCCAACAATCCTAAATTGCAAACTATCACAATTTTATTGATAAGAAAACGTAGGATTATTTAGGAAAGTCACACTGCTAGTGAATAATAGAGCTAGGAAACAACTTATAAGTAGGTTATCTATATCCGGAACTTTTATTCACACTGTTTTATTAAGTAGATAGATTGCCATTTTGTTCATTTGTATGTGTGTGTTTGTGTGTATGTGTGGTGTGTGTGTGTTTTCTATATCCTTATTATGTTTATATTAAACTGTATATCCACATTCTTGCTTCTCTCTCTCTCCCCCACCTTTCCTCACTAAATATATGTAATTAGAGATGGAATACACATATATATATATAAATATTAACATATATTTATATATCATATATTAAAGGCTGAGCTAACGGGACATACGATACATTTTTCTTGTTCAAGATAAAGCCTTTACCAGGTATACAAATTTGGCTAATGTTTTTTGAAATCATCTTTAGGACCTGTTTACCAAGATAATCACATTAGATAACTCTGCTTTTTAGTCTCATGGCTGCAGAATATTTTGCTCATATTAAATTATTTCTGTTACCTCTAGAATCAACTTTTGTGTTTTTTCTAGTTGAACTTGAGATGGTCCTTTAATTATTTAGTAACTATATCTGCTTGCAATTATACTATTTTAACTGACCATGTAAGAACTACCTGTTCACTGTTTCCATCCATGATATTCACATATGGGCTTAATAAAGAAGCATTCTATGTGTTGGCATTGGATTCAGACCCTAAATAGTGGCAACTTTTTGGCACTTGGTTTTGTATTAGCAATGATGTTTAACTTCTTGTCATCCATTTATACTTCTCCCTTTATTAATTTAGGACAATAGTTATAAGCCCATCTTCCTTGCTAGAAATAAAACTGAGACCTGATTTTTGCTTATAATGTATAGGCAGAAACCTGCTGGGATAAGGGTGGAAATGATGAAAATTCTTTTTCCTAAAATAAAGACACAGAAATGCAATATCTTTTGCGGAGCTGCTACAAATATCTTACCAACTGTAAGTAGCCAGAGAACCAAGATAATTAGTATGGGAGGGCTGAGTGCTGAAAAGAATCCAGGCCTCTGATAGTTTTGTACAGACGCTACATCAACCAACCCTGAAAACGCTCTACCTTTAAATTGTTATATTAGACTGTACCTTTCCTTATTTTCTTGTACTTTCATTGAAAACATATGTACTTTCAGTGACACATGAACCATGTATTTCTGTGATGTCAGTAGGATATCTGTGCTCACATTTTAAATGGCCATAAATTAGACCTTTCAGTCTGCTGCAAAGAAAAAAATACAGATTTTTGTATACAGCTGTGACATAATGCTATGTTAATCCAAGAGTATATCTTAAAATATGCTGACCTTCTGTTATGTAGACTTGCTTCTTAGGTTTTTGGAGTAGTTGGTAGTAGTGGTTTTGAAATCACACCATAGATATTTATTTAACACCAACTTTATTCCAATCACTATGCTAAACTCTAAGGACAATAACAATAAGTAAGACTCAGTACTGGCCTTCCAGAATCACGCTTTAATGAAGGAAGCAAGTATCTACTCAGGAGCTAGGTATTATGAGATTCACAGGAAAGGTGCTTAAACTAGTCTTCAGTGTGTGGAGAAAATACTCCAAGAAGAGTACTTTCTGAGAATAGATCTAAAACAATGAACAGAATTAGCCAAGTACAATGATATGGCATTTCAGACAGCATATACAAACACTCAGAGATAGAGAGAACAATTTATATTCCATATCAACCTGAAAAAAGTCAGTATGACAATAGCATTGAGTTAAGTGACAGAGGCTGAAACAAGGGGGTGGAGGGAAGGAGAGGAACTATTACAAAATAAATCTTGTAACGCCTTAGTATGTAGTTTATGTTGTAATCTGTTTGAAGGAGGAAGTCACTGGAGAGTTTTAGCTTTATTAGAATAGTGACATGAATACATTTATATTTTATAAAAAATCCCTTTTGATTATTGATGGACTGAAGCTAGATAATCTTAAAACAGATATATCAGTGAAGTGTATGTTAAAATTCATTGAGGAAAGAGATGATGTGACCTAAACAGAGGTGATAGCATGGGGAAGAAGAAGAGTAGATGAATCTGAGCAAGTGGAGTCAAAAGAATATTCATTATGCTGCCGAATCTATAGACCCGGAGTTCATGGGAAAAAGCTGCCCTGGGAGCCATACAAATATAAATAAACCTATGAAGATGTATGAACTAACCCAGCAATGGAATAAGAGAGGTTTTGTTTGTTTTATAAGTAAAAGAAAAAAATAAAAGGCTAAGCACAGGTCTTTTAAAAATATCAACATTTAAGAAGAGACAGAATGAAGCAAGAGAGCCCAAGTAAGGAGACAAAACACTAAAAGAGACGTAATAAGAATTTAAACATTTATTTCAGGAAGATGGAAGGAGGCAGTGGTGTCAGATGAAGTACCAGTTCATGTGTGGGAAAAAAACAAAAACAAAAACTGAGAAATGTTGATTGGTTTTAGCAAAAAGGAGGTCATTGGTGACCTTGGGAATAGCAGTTGCAGTGGGGTAGTGTGAGAAGAATACAAATTAGAAAGGTTTTAGGAATGAATTAGAGTAAATTAGGGGAGACAAAACTCAAGCAACTAATGTGAAGGGAAAAAAGAGAGGTTATTAAGTAGAGAGGACAACCAGTGTCGGCCAAGAGCTTTGCACTGATGTATGAGTTGTCAAGATTTCTGACTACGTACCCAAGAACTGTCAGTGCAAACCAGGACTTATGCTTGCATACACTGTTTACCAGACACAGATTGGTACCTATTTTGCATTTAGAATGATACTCAAACCACAGCAGCATGCTGACTCAGCACAGAGATTCATACTTGATGGAGAGTTTCTCTCAAGTGTGCATACAAAGTGCAATGTTAGGCATACAGTCATTCTTCAATAAATATCCACATGACATAAAGGACTGAGTATATTAATCTTCAGTTACCTATCATTTTATAAAAATCAATTCAAATCCTTTGTTTTCTTTACTTGTAATTTTTTCCCCAAATGCTGGCTCTACATTAGTCTAAGATAATGTTCTATCACTATTTCAAATAATTCAATTTAAATATCTTATTATCAGATGTTCTCTGGAATTCATCTTTAGGGAAACACATACATGTTTTTTACAAAAAACTAAACCAGATGGCTTTTTCAATCTGAACTGTGTGTACTAAATAAGAAATGTTCATCCTGGCCCATTTTCATGCCTTTTTATTGTTATTACTATTGCTACTATGATAGCATACATTATTTGAAAAACATAAAATAAATTAATATCAAATATCACTTGAGAATAAAATATCCAGTTCTATATAAGAACATTTAATTAATCCATTACATAATACATATTATAAGCTTGTATATAATAGAAAATAAATCACAAACTTTTCAAGTCATAATAGAATAAAACAAACAGAGCTGAGCTGTCTTTAACTGATTTTGATAAGAAGAAATGCTGTAAAATGAATGTATACATATACTTACTGCAATTTTATTTCACAAGGAAACATAGAGGATAATTCAGCTCAAAAAATAGTTATTTTCATGAGTTTTTCTTTAAATTATGAAATTTTTTAAATGCTCATATCATACCTATTTAGAAAGGGAATTCCTAATCAAATTCAAAAGAAAAAAAACCATAAGTGAAATTGTGTTCCTCTGCTTTGCTATTAACAAGCATGCTTAATTCACCCCACTTTGTAGTTGTAGCAGAAAGAAATTGTCCTGGAATTCACCAACAAAATATCAAGTCCAACCTGCTACAACTGTGAAACCTAGTAACTCAGAGGAATCAAAGTTTCTACTCCTTGAAACCCAGCAAGGCTGTCACCTATCAAAGGCTGCACCTTCGGAGTCCTTGTAATAAAGATCTGAAGAATAATGTAATGTGTCATTAGCATCAAAGTGTCTGCTAGCCTATAATATTGGTTTTGATTTAAATGTGTTAAGTACTGGCCCCTTGGCTTGCTTCCAAATTCCTAGTTGCTTACTGAGTAAGCACCAATACTTCATCATATGAATTTACCTCTTTGAAAACAGACTTGCATATAAGCTGCTTATGAAGAAAACTGTTTCCTGCAAAATACCACTTTCCTTTCTAAAACCCATTTAATTCACATTGCACCACAAGGGCAGTAGTCATGCAAAATTCGTAACACTACATATGATACAACAGAATAAATCTAAGTTAAAAAAATCTAAAACAGAATAACCTAGAGACTGCCTCAGCGATTACCTGCCTCATTGAATCTTTTCACCACTGCTGGCAAATTACAGCTGTTGATTCTACAAATTATTAAAATTTTACCTATAATGTTATAGGAAATGCCATTTACTGACTGCTGTATGGGATCAGGGAGTGTTTTTCTCTCCACGTAACATCAAAGAGCATTTCACAGACTCCAGATATAGGTGTTCTGTGTTAGCAAGTGGTGACATTCCCAGTCAAATCCTCACCTTCAAACTTGTGAAATTTATTTTCTCCTCTTATCCAGCTGCCAATTATTTGTTTTTCTCCTTGACACACACATTAACATGTACACACATACTCATTGATTCAATACCAGAGTGGCTGAGGGCAACTCTTTATTTGGCATTCCTTGTTGATGCATTAATAAACAAATAGGCAATGTGTAGGTGGGACACTTGTATTCGGCTCCCTTCTCAATCTGTTCATGTTTTATTTCATTCAACCACAGCATAACCCTCCGAGTTAGGTTCATTTTCCCCATATTTATCTGAAAAATTACTGAAGGTGAGAGAGAATAAATAGTCTAAGGACAGAGAGTGAATGACCAAGTTAGGGTTTAAACCAAAACACACTGGCATCAGATCTTGCGTTCTCAAGTACTCTGTTACACTGTTTTTCCTTCCAAATCTGACCACATTTGAAGTAGTTGGTAATATATTTTATGTCAATGTATTTGAGAAAAAAAATTTCTTGAACTCTTTTGTGAATGTTATCTTAGCCAATCACCAAAGTAAGAATAGATAACAAGCTAATATTTATTTGTTAAATAAGTGTTGGATTTTTAACTTTAAAATTTTTCCATACACATAAATAATCAAAATGGGACCATCTTGCTGAAACTGGAAATCTTTAGTAAGTTACTTAACCCCCCAACCCGCCCCCCTCCTTTTTTTTTTCTTTTTTGGAAGAGAGTCTCGCTCTGTCGCCCAGGCTGGAGTACGGTGGCGCTACCTCGGCTCACTCGGCCTCCCGGGTTCAAGTGATTTTCTTGCCTCAGCCTTCTGAGTAGCTGGGATTCCAGGCGCTTGCCACCATGCCCAGATAATTTTTTTTGTATCTTTAGTAGAAATGGGGTTTTGCCATTTTGGCCAGGCTGATCTCAAACTCCTGACCTCAAGTGATCACCCCGCCTTGGCCTCCCAAAGTGCTGGAATTACAAGCATGAGCCACACTTCACCCCTTTAAGCTTTGATTTTATAATGTCTAATGACATTTGTCTTTGTTAGAAGGCTGTTACTTGGTATTAAATAATATAATTATGAGCATATTCATTGTCAACAATAAATTTCTATACAAATGCATCATACTATTATTATATTACCAAAATGAATGTTAGAATTCTATACTCTATATTAACTGGGTACATCTAAGATAATTTTAAATGAAAGAGGAATAAATACCCTGTATATCACTTATATGTTCAGAGGAATTCAAATACATAGGTTCTGAGGTTCCTCAGTTCTACTTAGTAATATAAAGACATTATTTATTAACATTTAGATTGTGATGATTGTTGTACATACTTGATTTCCAGAATTAGATTATTTGATTAATTAAACCCTCTGCCTTACAATAAGCCAATCCTTTGTTTATGTTACGTGGGTAGTTAGATAGGCAGATGATTAGAAAGGCAGAAGGTAACCCACTGGTTAGGTACACAAATATAATAAGTAGGGGTTTTGCTCTACCCCAAGTATATTGAGAATTCATAAAAAGAATCAAAATAATTTTAATGGATCTTGCCTAAGGATAAGTTATCTCTTTTAGCTTAAAAATTGCTTTGCTCCAGAAAAGTTCTCTTTTCAAATATGTGCAAAATATCATCTCTGCCACTTCTTAAGAAAATAATTTGCTAAAGGGAATGTTTTAGAAAGTTTCTATTAGTCAGAAAAATCTGATTTATAATCTCCACAGATTTCTAACACATTATGTCTGATTACCAGACCATCGATGATATTAAAACTCGAGGCATAAATTTTTCGTCAGGGTTTTATTTCAATTTGACTCGGCTTTTCTACCACCTCAACTATAGTAGGCATCCATTACTGCTGATGATTGTGTTGACCCTGAGAAAATGCAGTGAGGGAGGGGATGAACTGTTCATAATATAATGGAAATTACTTTTCCCGTTTGGCACGTAAATTAGGAAAAAAGTAAAAAAAAAAAAAGGGAGTGTTTGAAGTAGTCATCTGTTAAAGGTCAAATTTCCAGAGTCATCCTTGCTACAAATCTGGGGAAACACATTATTCAAAATGTTTTGTTTTACCCTGCAAGTGGCAGAGGTGAAATTCCTTTTGTGTTGCTCAGAGATTTTCTCTTTGGAGTTTTTCCTTTCCCATATAAACATATGAAAGTGCAATTTATTTCTGTGTTTTGTGTTCCTTTTCCTGATCAGACTGGCAAACGATATGTTGGCATCATCACCTTCTCCTTTGTGACAAATTCTGATTTTCTACTTCATAATTAGATCAACTTACACTGGACACATTTTGTTTCCTCCGGAAGATGACTAGTTGAACTGAAATTTGTTTACACAAACACTGTAATTTAAGTGCTAATAATGCCTTTGAGTTAAAGGATGGATGTAATTGAAAAGGTCAAAACCTATTTGACTTCCTTTAAATGGTTGATAGCTTGTTCACTTATATTGATGTTATCTGAAATGCCAAGACATTTTCCCTTTTCATATAGAGTGTAGGGCTGTTCATTAATATTTTTTCTGGCATCCATTCATTCTAAAACATTAAACAGTGCCCAGAATAACTATGTGTTTCTAATAGTTAGTGAGAGGTAGTTCCTATCTTCAAAAAACACACATTCTGATAGAGGAAAACAACTACTTTGTAACAAGTGATAACCACCATTTTTAGTGCTTTTTTATTCATTCAGCACACATTTGTAAAGTACCTATTATATACTAGACACTATCATAGGATGTAGACACATACATAAAGCCAACTGAATCCTTGCCTTTTGTGTACCTTGCATTCTACTGGGGAGCAATCGCAGTATTTCAGATTCTGATTAGTTAGATTGACATTGTCTCTTTCCATGGGAATTTGCAAGGTCAGCAGAATTTGAGGGTGGTGGAAGAACAGAAGCATTTTCTCCTCCCTGCAATAAAGACATTATTTCATGTTGCTCATACTGAAAGGACATCTACATATCCATATTGTGTTTTTTAACACTGTGCTTTGCTGAAAGTTATATATAAGCTTATATAAGTAATATAATGTTTCCTACCATATAATCCAAGTTCTTCGTCATCACATTCACCATGAAGCTTTTCCTAACTGTCCCTGACAGAAGTTTATTCCATTTTAAGATGCTCATCTTGTTTTTCACATGTATATAATTATGTACTTCCTTATACCATTACTAGATTGTAAGCTACTTATGGCCAAGAAACTATGTTGTAATCATTACTCTATTATGTATAGAACTTAACACAGGGCATGGCTTATACTGAATGAATATTAAGTTGAAATATAACCAATGTAAACTAAGAATTAGAACAACAATATACACATGCACACACAATATTCTTCATTCTTTGTCTCCAATTTCCAATTTGAATTTTAGCATAATTTTGGATCACATGCCTTTGTCCACATAAATATCTTATACTTTCTATATTCTCCCAATATAGTAGACACACAACTACAGTTTCTGATTTCTGTAACTGAACATTTTTTCATGAGAACAAAGAAAAGACATTGGATTGAAATATGCTATTTATTGTATTAATAATATATTTAAGCATTATTCTTGCAATTCAATGTTTTAAGACATTAAGCATTTCTAAATTTACTTAGATTGCTGTATTTTTGTGAATGCAATTACCTATATCATTGAGAGAGAACAGCTATAGTAAAATTAATTATTAATTATTTTAACTTTGTTATTTATTTGTCTTCTAATTTATTTGAACTTCCTTATGATCATTAATATTCAGATTGATCATTAATTTATACCTTATAATAGTTATAGTATCTGAAGCCAAATCTTAGAAAAAGCATCAAACTAATTATTTTCTCTTTCCAAATCTGCACACATTTCATGATCCCTCCAGACATAAGAAGCCACAAGTTCACATTTTCTTGACAATGGCTTTGATAATCCCAGATAACATTTACCAGCTAGTAGATATTTGTTCCCTGAAGAGTTAGTCAGTTGACAGGCTGTATTTGTTTAGTTTCACTTTGCTGATCTTAACAAGAATTAATTCTCCTAGCTGTAGTTAATATCTAAGTACTGTAATGACATACATCTAACTGTTCCTTGCTGACTAAATGTTTTTTCTTTTAGTTTTAAATTAGAGTCTTACATACATAAAGAGAAAACAGGATTTATCAGCATAAGAAATTTTTTTTTTCACAAATGCAAATCCTTATTTCTCTTCCATAGAAAATACTGGGGGACTAATACAGTGTTCATTCTATTAGAGTGCAGAAAAATTCTGTAAATGTGAGAATTCTCTTGATTCCTGCTTCTCCCCAAAAGAGGTTCCCCTGATTCATTGAAAGCTGCACAAACTCTCTTTGTGTTTGAAGGGTGTTTTCTTATTTCAAACCAAATATATTTATTCCACTGGCTTAGATAAATATTGCTACAAAAATATTTATTGTGTGCATTTTAGATTTATTTATCAAATATATAGATATAAGGCATATTGAATTAAAATTATCTATAGATAAAATAGAGGTGCACTCAGGTAAAATTTTAGACTGCTAATCTTCCCTGAGGAATACTGATTCCCTTTGGTTTTATCCTCTCTTTCTATTAGATATTAATTTTTACTCTCTCTCTCTTTTATTTTCTTTTTTTGGTCTACAGAAAAGCCAATAGATAGAAGTGATGAATGTGGACATGTAGTTTCCAAGTAAAACTGTAGCCATGTGGCTCAGAGCAGCAACAATGTCTTATGTATCCTTTGTACCCCTGACATCTGATATGGTACTTGATGCATAATGTAGTTCAATAAATATTGAAGTGAATAAGCTATACAAGGAGGTCATAAGCAAGATATAATGAAACAATATGCTATTATACTTGAAAAAAGAGGTACATGAGGAATATTAAAAAGCCATGATTCAGAAACTTGGAACAGGAAACTCTAGCCTGATATTAAAATGGGGAAAGAATCTGGTTTATATTTCTAGCTGTACTACTACATCATTTAATTCCATTAGGAAATACTGGTGTCAAAATATTTATTATATTCTTCTCTTCTGCCATCATAGACACAAAATGATGTTTCTACATCAGGATAGAGAATCCTTGGTATCAGATACTTCTATTTTTGCACTGTATCCTCTCAAATACATTTATGGAAATATTAAAATTTTGAAATTACATTCAAATGTGGACTCATGACAGATACTAATGATGTAATGTTAAGTAAAGGCAATTAGGGCAATATATTATGAGAATAACTATATTTAGCAAGAACCTAAATATGAAAATGTGTTTTATACGTGTGCTGAAGTATGTTAAATGAAGATATCTCTAACAGGGTGGCTTTTGAAAGAAGTGACATCCAAACACCCAGGTAAGAATATTTTAGGCACAGAGAACAAATGCTTTGAAGTGCTGAACTGAAGGAGGCCATTGGATATGTAGTGAAACCAATACAGAGAGAAATAGTAAGTCAGATGAGAGATGATGGTGGCTTAACTGGGACCTTAGCAACAGAGCTAATGGAAAGTGCTTGAATTCTACATGTAGTATGTAGACAGTGATTCTAATTTAGGATTCGATGCTGGGCCACTGCATTATTTGGAAGTTTTAAAAATGAGGAAAAGTAAAAAAAGTAGACTAAAACTAGCATTTATTGAGAAAGAAGAAAAAAAAATGACATCTTTGATGCCAAGTAAAGAAAACAGAAAGCATGTAGTGATGAAATGTGTCAAAAGCTGAGGAGATGATTTAGATAAAGTCTGGAAAAAATTTTTAAAGACCCCTGGATATGTCAGCCTGGATGCAAGTAATGGCTTTGACAGGAAAATTTGCAATGAAGTTTAAAGTTCACTGAAAGGAGTTTAAAGAGTGGATAAAGACAAAGTGAAGTGATAAATATAAACTACAAGTTAGAGGAGTGTGCATTTGTTACTATAAAGAGGAGCACAGAAAGAGAGCACTAGTAGGAGTGGGTTGCAGGGTCCAAAGAAGTTCTTTTTCGAGAAACATTATATAATACTATATTCTGATATGGACATTATAGTAGAGAGGAGAGAATTTAAAAACTTTTGACAACGCTGAAAAGAAAGGAGGAGTCCAACTGTAAAAGAGGTGTCTGGGAGTGTGTATAAGCAGATGAAATCAGATCATAAAGTAGGAGAACTGGTTTTAGGAACATGATTCCTCTACTTCATGACAAAATATATAGCTGACTATGAATGTAGGTTAGTAGATTTCATCATTTGGGTTGCGGTGAGGGCAGTAATCTGAAAGTCCTTATCTAATTTATCCTATTTTCTCAGTAAAACAAAGAACAAAAGTATCAGATAAGACAGAGAGTAGAGAGGGGAAATGTTGGAAGTTTAAGAAGATGAAGATATAAGTTTTACCAGTGGGGGGTTATTTCTAGGTGTTAAGAAGGAAGGGAAATGAGAAATGAGTTGACACAGATTTTCTTACCAGTAAATACAGATTCCCAGGTACTCAATTTCATACACTGTATTCCAGCCATATTGATTTTTTCATACTTTTTAAATATACCTCACATTTTAAGACTTTGCAAATTCTATGGTTCTGATAGGGGAGCTATGTAACTTTTAATCATTCTTCCTACCTCAATTTAAATTCCAAGAAGGCTTCCCTGTGCAAACCCCAAAATCACCACTGTCCTATCACTTATTATATTATAGCGCATATACTTCTTTTCTTTATATCAGCAACTGCACATGTTTTTTTTTTTCATGTTGATATGACATGTCCAGTAGCTATGGGTAAAATATTGCATATTATAAAATTATATAGATCTGTTATTACATGCAAGCGCCTTGTTTTTTGCTTCCTCCCAGTGAAGAGATACAATTGACTTCTTCTTTTCCAATTTGGATGCTTTTTATTTCTTTGTCTTGCCTGATTGCTTTGGCTAGGACTTCCACTACTATGTTTAATACAAGTGCTGAAAATAGCATCCTTGTCTTGTTCTAATTTTCAGAGGAAATGCTTTCAACTTTTCCCCATTCAATACGATGTTAGCTGTGGGTGTGTCATATTTGGCCTTTATTATTTAGAGGTATGTTCCTTCAATGCCTAGTTTGTTGAGGAGTTTTATCATAAAAAGATATTAAATTTTATCAAATGATTTTTCTGCATCTACTGAGATAATTATATAATTTTTGTCCTTCAATCTATCGATGTGCTGTATCACATCGATTGGTTTTCATGTTGAACCACCCTTGTATCTGTGAAATATATCACACTTTATCATGGTGCATTGTCTTTTTCATGTGCTGATGGATTTGGTGTGGTAATGTTTTGTGGAGGAGTTTTGCATCTATGTTCATCAGGGATATCATCCTGCAGTTTTCTTTTTGTGTTATGTCCTTGTCTAATGGTTAGTATTGGGGTGATGTTGGCCTCATAGAACGAGTAGGGAAGAATTCCTTCTCTTTCAATTTTTTGAAATAGTTTCAGGAAGATTGATATTAGTTTCTCTTTGTTTGACTCGTCTAATTTCACTGTGAATTCATCCAGTCCTGGGCTTTTCTTTGTTTGGAGACTTTTTTATTACTGATTAAATTTCCATGCTTGCTGTGAATCTGTTCAGGTTTTCCATCACTTCCTGATTCAATCTTGAAAGTTGTATGTTTTTAATAATTTACCCATTTTCTCTAGGTTTTCCAGTTTGTTAGCATATAACAGTTGTTCCTAATACTCTCTGATGATCTTTTATCAGTTATAAAATCTCTTTTTGTCAGTTATAAAATCTCTTTTTTTCATTTCTGATTTTATTTTCTTTTGGATCTTCCTTTCTTGGTTAGTCTAGCTAGTAATTTATCAATTTTATCTTTTTGAAGAAACAACTTTTCATTTTTATGATCTTTTGTATTATTTTTTAATTCTCTATTTTGGTTTCTTTATGCTCTGATCTTTACTATTTCCTTCCTTCTGCTAGTTTTGAGCTTACTTTGTTCCTGCTTTGTGAGTTCCTTAATGTACAAAGTTAGATTGTTATTTGATATATTTCTACATTTTTGATGTAGGAATATATTGCTATACACTTTCCTCTTAACACTGCCTTTGTTGTATCCCACAGGTTTTGGTATGTATCATCGGTTTCAAGCATTTTTAAATTTTCTGCTTAATTTCTTTATTAACCCAGTGATTGTTCAAGAGCATGATGCTTAGTTTCCACATATTTGTATACTTTCCAAAGTATTTCCTGTTGTTGATTTCAGTTTTACTCCACTGTGGTCTGAGAAGGTATTTGACTTAATTTTGATTTCTTTAAGTTTATTTAGACTTGTTTTATGGTGTAACATATGGTTTACTCTGAATAATGCTACACGTGCTGATTAATGACTGTATATTCTGCAGTTTTGGGATAGAATGTTTTCTAAATGTCAATTACATCCATTTGGTCTAGAGCCTAGTTTAAATCCCTTTTTTTTCATTGATTTTCCTGCCTAGATGATCTATCTAAAGCAGGCAGTGGGGTGTTGAAGTCCCCTACTGTTATTTTATGGAGTCTATCTTTTTATTTAGATCTAGTAATATTTGCTTTATAAATCTGGGTACTCCAGTGTATTTAGAATTGATATATCCCTTTGACTGATTGATCTCTTTATCATTATATATAGTGACCTTCTTTGTCTTTTTTTCAGTTTTCGACTTATAATCTGTTGGGATGCCAGATGGGCAGTCTTCAGACCCCCCTGGTGGCAGAGGTGGGATGAGCGTACCTGTCTTGGGATCCGTAGTGTTAGTGGGTGGCTTTGTTGGCCATAGTGTTAGTAGGTACACACGGGCCAATTCTTGGACCTCCAGTTGTCTTGCTTAAATGCTGGTAGTAGTGGCAGTTGTTGGCCAGGTTTTGGGCAGATTCTCAGCACCCTGGGCATCTGGTGTGATGTGGTCAATGGCTGTGGTAGTGGTGGAGCAACTCACTGGAACACAAGTGGTAGTGCTAGTGATAGTAGTGACTGCAACAGGGTGGGTAGGCCAAGGCCCCATTTCACTGGTGTTGTGTGCAGATCAGTGCAAGCTATGGTAGTCTGGGCAAGTTGGGTTTGCCGGACCTCAGACCTTAGAAGGAGTGTTAGAAGGAGTGTTCAGGCACCAACAGGGCTAGAATGGGCTGGACAACTTCTAGGCCCCTGGATGGTGAAAACATCATTACAAAGTGAACAGGACTAGGCCACAGTCTTGTCCTCAGGCCCCCAGTAGTGAATTCAGGGACTGGCTATCTTAGGCAGGGGCAGGGTGGTTCTCAGGCTGCTGGGTGAGTAATCAGGTGTGGGTACACCGCGGGCCTGCCTCTAGGGAGGGTAAGGCACTCACAATGGAAGCAGGCTAGCGAGGTAGCTGTGGGTCATGTGGTTTCTTGGTGCCTTGGTATCACAGTAGCCTGCAGTAGCTGTGGTAGAATTTGCTCTTGAAGTGTGAAAGTGCCTGGCCTCCCCTACCCTTTTTTGTCCTTGGGTAGCAGTGGCAGCATCTGCACTAGCCCCAGGGCAGGACATAGACTTTTGGAAACTGGGCTCAGAATGGAGCTGCCTGTGGACTTGCCACTAGGGAGGATGGCAATCCTTTCAGCTGGAGCAGCACCGGCAGGTAGCTGTGGGAATGCAGTTTGGTCATGTCTTGGTTCCTCAACAACCCTCGGCAGCAATGCTGGGATTTGTTCATGGAAGTTCCCAGTTTCTCCTCTATCTTTTTGGCCCAGCCACAGCAGCACTGGCTTCCTTTGGGGACTTGGATCTCAGAATAGTAGCAAGGTGCACCTGCTCAGGGTTCGGATGCCTGTGGGACTCCATATGTTTTCCCTCTCTCGAACAATGCCTCTGTGCACTCTCTAGGCAGCTCCCTCTGTTAGCCTTGAAGCCCACAGAAGTCGAGGAGTTCTCCCATAGTTAGGGTTGTAAAATGGTATAGCAGGAGTGTGGAGTTGTGGGTGTCTTTCTTTTGCCATTACCTCACATCCGGAAGCTTCTTCCAGCTCCCAGACAATTCCTGCCAATCGACTTGCTTCTCTTCTCTCTCTTGCTTATTTAATCTTGACATTAACCTTCTCTACAAAGAAGAGTACAAGTTAAAATAGCCAGATCAAAAGTAAAATCTCTCTGTGATATGTATAGATTTTAGAAAAGAAACAACTAGGAGGTTAAAAAGGAATAATATTATAATAGAGTTTCAAAATCTTAAACGTTCATTTTGAATTTGATCATTTCTAAAGAGATTAAAATTAAGAATAGTTCATCTTTGAGCTAGCTGAGATTCGTTTTTTATGGTGTTCCATAATTAACTCAAACATGTTATTCAAACTTTGACTTCCTTGCAAATATAAAGGTATAATTTAGGTGGATAGAAAGAGTTTTCAGTAAAACAATATGCCAATAAGAGACTTTTTTCTTATTTCGTTCAATGTCAGGAAAATATAATAGAAAAAATCTGTCACTTTTGATGGAGTGCAGAGTATAATTAAATTTAGTCTTTCTTGAGACCTTTGTTTGAATTTGATTTTCAGTTAACTAAAGCTCATTGTTTAGTTCGAAAGCCTGTAAATTTGGTTTCCTATCTGCACAAAGAGACACATTAAAGCACCATACCAGATTTTTAAATGCACTTTCAATTCTTTGTGATCTGTATTGTAGCTTTCCTTTATTTAGAGCTGATTCTGATTTGAAAGAAAAATGTGCATTTTGACCTCATACTTTTCTTTCTCAGAGAGAGAGCAAGAGCTTATATTTTCAGTTTTTATACTGTGGATTATGTCTGTATGATATGTACTAGAACAGAGTTTCTTTGAAAATGTCTATTTCTGATTTTACATTATCACAACACCACTACAGTCAACAATTATTTAAGATCCTGAATAATTCTCTAATGAACATAGTTCATCATAAATACTGTTCTTATATGTGTGTATGTTTGTATATGTGCATGTATATAGTGTTGTTAAAGAAAACAAAGCCTTAGACAAATTAAATTTAGCAGAGTTTATTTGAACAAAGAACAAGACATGAATCCTGCAGCCCTTAGAACCAGAAGAGATTCAGACAGCTTCACATGGCAATGTGGGCAGGTAGTATTTGTAGATAGAAAAAGGAAGTGACATACAGAAACAGCTTGAGTGGTTACAGCTAGGTATTTGTTTTATATGGACATGGTCTGATCAGTGACAGCCTGTAATTGGCTGAAGCTTGGCTGCTATGATTGGCTGAGACTCAGCTACTTGTTACAAGAATATACCCTTAAGTCAGGTTGCTGCTTGTTTATATATACTAACTTAGATTGCAGGTCACTATGTACAGAGGCAGCTTTAGGACATAACTAATTTAACAATTCCCTTCTTTTGGTCAGCCTCTCAGTTTTGAGAGATTGACCAAATCCTTGGGCATGATGCTACTCTCCATCACTATAATGAGCTTGTTTAGTCCTCAGTATGGAATTCACAATTGATGACATAAAGAATGATTCTTTATATTATCTCCTTTTTTTGTGTCATTTAACCAGAGTGAGGCCACTTGATGTACAAGAGGTAGCCACATACAAGTATTTAAGACTCTTAAGAGGATATGGCACACCAGGAAAACTATTACGATAGTTATCAGGGGGATAAAATACCAAGAGACTGAAATATACTCCTTAACAGAAGCCCCCACGAGTAAACAGAATTAAATTTAACAACAAAGAGCCAGAAGAGGAAGCTACTTGTTTTAACCAAGTAGCTTCTCTGTTGATTCCGTTCAACTGAGTTTCTCCTATACCAGATTTATTTATCCAAGTCTAGCACGAGGTGTTAACTAGCACACACATTCCCCCGGTTCAGTCAACAGGTAGTCCAAAGCAATCCTGTTACCTAAAACAATTTTAGCAAGAGAATTTAAATAGGTTTGTTGGGCATCTGTAGCCTTTGTAGTAGAGTCAGCTATAGTAGCTAATATTTGAGACGGATTTCTAATCATAACTTCATTTACATTATGCTAAGCCAGGGAAGAAGCATCCTACAAGCAGAGTTATTTATTACCTGCTGGCAAATTCCTCTTTATTCTATACTGCATGTTAAGAGGTGTAGACCAATGTTCAGTTTCCAATTGGTTATGGAGTGATAATGCTACTGTCAGAATATTTAGTCCACAGTAGCCCCTTATTTTCCACTTATTGAGACATGGAGTTGCCCACACATAGGGTTGGTTGTTAAATCCTACATAGATAAAAACATATACTAGAGAGGCAAAACAGATGGTAGGATGCTTTATGCATTAGGAATCACAGTAGGGAAGCACTAGTGATATTTGTCTAAGGCTCTATTGTTGAATCATTGCATGGTTGAAGGCTACTTACAATTAAGGGATTAGGGTGGTAAATTCATTTACAAACCACTGAATTATCTTTCTTCTTATTAAATTTCTGGAATAATTTAACTGTAAAACTCTCATTATAAGTTTTACCTGCTGTTAGTAACATGCCATATGTAACATTCAGTTAAGTTCTCTCCAAAAGCTATTGATCATGAAATCTTAATTGTCATATTATCTTGCCATGTATACGTGAAAACACACAGGAGAAAAAGGAAAGGGGACAATGATTTCATGGTGGAGGAGATAATTCCTGTTCCATGATCTTGGGAAAGCTGCCCACATCTAGGATGTCATCTTCTTCTGAGGAGAAACATCCTTGGTTAATTATACCTTGAGGTCCCCAATGAGTGTACAGTCCCAAGGTTCTGGAGTTAAGGTTCTCTTCAGTTAAGACAATGTGAAGCCAATCCTTGAGGCTCTGATGTATAGGTGGTAAGAACTTGCTACAGTCCCTTTTAATTAAATTATAGGGCAGTCTTTCTCTGGTGCTAATTCCAAAAACCCAATCTCTGGGTTCTCAATCATGAAAGGTCTGATTGTCATCAGTTGGCAGGACATGAAGGGCTTATTTTATCTTGCAAAAACATACATTAGCATATTGGATTAAAGTCTCAAAATATTGAGCCATGTCAGAGTTCATAAGAGCATAAGTCACATGAAGTTCTTATGATTAGGGGGATAGGCCTTCCAGTAACTATTTCATAAGTGGTCAATTTATGTTTTCCGGCAGGAGTGAATCTGACTTCCATTAATTGGTAATACCTTTGACCAAAGAAATCTAATTGATTCAGTTTGCTTCACCAAATGCCATTGTGTTTGTAATACTTTAACTGACTGTTTTACAACTTGTCCAGTGAAATGATGACCTCTATCACTGGATATTTTTCCAGGAATGCCCTATAAGGGGATACTAATAAGGTTTTAGCTACTATTTATAATATTGGCCTTCCTGCAAGAGAAATCTTCCATACAAACAGAAAACATGCATTGAAGGTGGCAACTGAATGAAATGTTTCTGTAAGTGTTCAAATGATCCAACAGGTGCAAGAAATGTACCATCTGACGTTTTTATTGTCTTCTCAGGATTATGGGTTTAACAAATCAGACATAGGTTATGAACAATTTTAGATTTAGAACAGTCACCTCATCATTTTTTCATAACATATTATTTTATCTCTTTTATGATGCATCATATAATGCAGAGCTTTGAAGAATAGAATCTTTAAATACTCAGGAAGGATTAGGCAGCCATTAAGGTTCTCCATGAGTCCACACTCAACACTGAATTTGCATACTTTTTCTTTTTTCTTTTTTTCTTTTTTTGAGATGGAGTCTCACTCTGTCATCAGGCTGGAGTGCAGTGGTGCAATCTCGGCTCACTGCAACCTCCACCTCCTGGGTTCAAGTGATTCTCCTGCCTCAGCCTCCGGAGTAGCTGGGACTACAGGTGCCTGCCACCACGCCCAGCTAATTTTTTTATTTTTTAGTAGAGACGGGGTTTTACCATCTTAACCAGGATGGTCTCGATCTCTTGACTTCGTGATCCATTTGTCTTGGCCTCCCAAAATGCTGAGATTACAAGCATAAGCCACCACGCCTGGCCTGAATTTACATACTTTTAAATACCAGTTTTGTTTCTCTAATTCAAGTGTATAGCACTGTTTATTAAATAGTTTAACATAGATCATTTTGACTTGGATCAGTCTTATAGAGTTCATTTCAATTGTACATCTTAACAATTTCAGCCTAGTCTGCCTTAGAATGAAAACCTGCCACAGCAGTTCCATAGTAATCAAATAATTCTTGTTCTGCTTGAAATTGGGTTAGCATGAAAACATTCAGTTGTTTTATTAGAGTTCTGGGAATTCTTACTCAGTTAAATGGTATGATAAGATTTCTACGAATATCATACAATTTCTCAAACACATAATAATAACACTCCATACAAATAGAACTCAAAAAAGGTTTAGCATTACTTATTATTTCACAGTGTTTTTCTTATAATTTAATATATCAAATAAGCTCAATTAGTTTAATACTCATCTTTATCTAAGGAGAGAGAGCCTTTTGAGGTGTCTCAAGGACCCATTTGGAAAATCTCAAAGTTAATTTGACAACAATAAAAAATATTTTAGAATTTGATTTTGGGAAGTTTGTCAAAAATATCAAGGGTTCATCAAAATAGTATTACAGGTCACTGTGAAAAAATAGTAAATCATTTAACCAGAGTGATAAAGACTTCAAAGGAAATACAGAAAGTTACATGGTAGTGGAAAAACCTTAGCTCTTCTATTAGGATTTAACTTTCTTGAGTGATGCAGAAACTAATAATACAAAGCATAGAAAGTTATCTCGGTAAAATGCAAAATCTTTTTTTTTCCAATGACCTAAAAGGTAAAGAAAACCTTTTACAATTTCCTGTAAAAAGCCGACTAATGCTCCAAAAAAAAAGTTCTCGTTTTAGCAGAGAGGTCACATTCTAGTTTTGACTGTATAATTTTGATATTAATACTAAATTTTAGAAAAAATTTATAGATAATCTGCTTATAATCTTAGCCAGCTTGATTACATTTTAAATTCCTTTCACAAGATTCTTCTCCCACCAAACTTCTACAACCTTCTTATATCACTTCAATTATTTTATCTGTATTATTTTTTATTTTGAAACAATAGTCATTCTTCTTTGGGACTAAAAATACTTTCTTTTTCGTTAACTAAAACAAAATCTCTTCATACTTGATAGCTTTTTCTTACCAAAAGCACATTTTACCTTCCTTACATATTTGCATATAGAGTTGTTTTCTCATTATTTTTTAAAAATTAAGCAACATCTATAAATTAAAATTCTTAACTCTAGTAACCTTCATTTCCAGTGAACAGTGGGAAGCAAGCAGTTGTAAACTGTCACAGAGCAATATGTAGATTGGCAAATTTATGAATCATGATGTCTAGAAGCATGTGCTTTCTCATAGTACAATTTATCAATGTGGCACAAAACATGTTTACAAACAGTCACAGACATCTTTAGCCTCTCTTTGTGATAAGAAACTGTAGAGGGGACACTTTGGGAGGTCGAGGCGGGTGGATCATTTGAGGTCAGGAGTTCAAGACCAGCCTGGCCAACATGGTGAAACCACGTCTGTACTAACAATACAAAAATTACCCGGGCAGTAGTGGCATGTGCCTGTAATCCCAACTACTCAGGAGGCTGAGGCAGGAGACTCGCTTGAGCCTGGGAGGCTGAAGTTGCAGTGAGCTGAGATTGTGCCACTGCACTCCAGTCTAGGTGACAGAGTGAGACCCTGTCTCAAAAATAAATAAATAAATAAATAAATAAGAAACTGGAGAGGGGAAACATTTTGATCACTGTCCTTTGGTTTCTTTGCTAGGCTTGAGAATTAAATTACTTGTAAAGATTTTTCTCAGCCATAATTTTCAATTTTTGGTGATAAGAATGTTAAAACCTTGTGCTATAGGGAGGAAATCTTTCACATAGGAATTTTATCTTATAGTTATTTAACTTACTTATATTTAGCTATTGAGCTTGGATTGCTTATAAAGACGAGACAAAGCAGCTAGTCATCATCTTAAGTTATTTTTCTTCCTGAAAAAAAATTTGTAATACAAAGATAACATGAGCTTATTTCACCAGTAAACCAAGATAGTTGTATGTCTGCAATATATTTAATGCTGACAACTTCGAAGATATGCCAGATTTAATCAACACAAAATATTTTTTTACCAAGGATTAGCCAAGTCATGTAAACTTGAAAAGTATTCAGGTTAGTTTTTCTAACAGAATACCTGATTTATATAAGCACTTATTTTGAAGATGATTAGATAGAGCTCTTTTACATTTTAATTTGGCAATATTATAAAAAGATAGAAAAATATTACACACATTCATCATACATAGTGACATACATAAATATATAAACCTAAATAGCTCTTATCATTTTAATTAAAAAATGTTAGTTATGTGCCAAGGACAATACTACATAACCCACTAATTTCTTAAAAAACTTCTAGATCCAAATTGTTTTACTGGCCAATGGAACAAGAGTTTCTGCCCAGATGGCTACATCGTTTGAATAATATTTGTCAAGAAACTTAAGATTTTCTTCATTTGCCTTCTGTAGGGAAGCTTTTGATGTGGTAATCTTTTATTCTTTAATCTTTTAGATGGCTCTGTGTAACAATTAAATAATGCATCCTATTACTTTCTTGGTGTTTCTGATTCTATCTTTTCTAAGGCACCTCACCTCACAAGCCAACACATTTAAGTTAAAACTTCCCCGCACTAGTTACCATAATTCTGTGTTTTCATTAGTAAGGTTAACCCATTTCTCCAAAAATATACTAATTCTGGGCTCATAATTTTTGTACATAAAGTTAGCCAGTATCCCAGAAAATGGAGTCCTAGTCTCCTGGAGTCTCAGACTCCTTGGATTTAAAAATCTCATGTTTATTAAGGTATCTGAGACCTCTTTCTGGATTCGATCCAGTTATTTATGGGATCCAATTCAATCCGAGATCCCAGTTCAGTAAAAATTGCTCAAATAAATTTGAAGAACAAAAAGCAAATCTGTGGAGCTCAAATCTGAGGGAGAACTCACCCTTGACCCCAGTTACTGCAAGATAACAAGGAGCATAATGGGCCTGACAGGTACCTTTGCTTGATCTCTCGGTGCTCCTGGGAGTCACTAGTGGACTACTTTGGACCCCACTTTTGACACAAAACTGTTAAAAGAAAACACTAGACAAATTAAATTTAGCAGAGTTTATCCGAGGAAAGAACAAGTCATGAGTTGCTAAAAACGTCAGAACTAGAAGGAGTTCAGAGAGCTCCCCACAGCAACGTGAACAGGCAGTGTTTGCAGACAGAAAAAAAGGAAGAAATATGCAGAAACAGCTTGATTGGTTACAGCTCATCATTGGCTTTATTTGAACATGGTATGGTCAGTTGGCAGCCTGCCATTGGCTAAAACTTGGCTATTATCATTGGCTGAAATTCTGCTACTTATTAAAAGAGTATACTCTTAATTTAGATTGCAGTTCCTTTACATACTAAATTAAGTTGCAGTTTGCTATGTGTGGGGGCAGCTTTAAGCCAAATAAAATTTAACACTTTAAAACAACATGAAAATTGCAAAGATACCCCATTTGTTATTAGAGGGTCTTGCTTTGGATTATGGACGCAGCCATGGAAATGTGCAAGAAATTAATTTTTTTTAAACCCTAGAAATTAAGTCACACAAACTTACATATACAAAATGTACAACCTATGGAAAAAGAGATGATGAGGTGGCTCCATATGTCTATGGATTGGTTTTAATTTAAAATATATTTATACTCTAGCTTGCTCCAGAAGCATTGTAAGAGGGTCTTGTTAATTACAGCATCCTTATGGAAATAATCACTACTCCATAACTCAAAATCTAGTGTGGGGTTTTTCCAGGATTGAGAAATAGAGATAAGTCAAGAAGACCCTGTGAAGGTCATAGAAAAATAGAATCTCAAAATAGAATAAGTTGGAAAATTGAATCTACAAGAAACTGATATGATGCAATGTAACTTTAGTATCAGATCATTGGTACCAAATGAAAGTTACTTACATTTATCATTCAACGAATGTCCATTGCGTATGTTTGTTATGTTTCAAGTATTGCTGTGGACAATGAGAATAAAGAGGTGAATAAGACTTACATGGACTAAATATTTTTGTCTTCTAAAATTTATATGTGGAAGTCTTAATCCTCAATGTGATGGTATTTGGAGGTGTGCTCTTTAGGAAGTTATCAGGCAATGATGGTGAAATTAGTAAGAATGAAATTAGTGTGCTCATAGGAAGAGGCAGAATAGAAAGGATCTCTCTTTCTACCATGTGAGGACACAGCAAGAGGCTGGCCACCTGCAAACCAAGAGGAGGGATCTCACCAAGCAAATAAGCTAGCACCTTGATCTTTTCAGCATCCAGAACTGTGAGAAATTAACATTTATTGTTATGCCACCCTGTCTATGGCATTTTGTTATAGTAGCCTACATGGAATCAGACAAAGACAGACAAAATCTCTATTCTCATAAAACCTTCAAGAGGTATTTATAGTCTATAGGTAAAAATCAGATAATGACAAATATTCTGAAGAAAATGAAATTGGGTAATGGGATAGAGACTGATTAGCATAGGTGACCTAATTGTCACTAGGGGAAAGTATCTCTGATGCTTTGATCTGAGCAGAGAATGACCCACATAGTCCAGAAGAAAAGGGGTCTATGCAGAGGATACAAGACGTACAAAGACACAGAAATGAGGGCAAGCCTGGAGAAGTACAGAAACACAGAGAAATTCAATTTACAGCATTTGGATTGCAGAGTGTAATTGGAAGTGTAGTCCCAGCTAATATCACAGAATTGGACTCAAGAAAAGATGATATAGAGCCTGGGAGTCCATAGAAGAGTGGTATACTTTAAAGAATGCAATGATAACTTAAAGAGTGATGCAACAAGACCTGTTGTATGTTTACAAAGATCACTCAGACCCCCTTGTGGGGAATAAGTCTTATGGGCATACAATAGATGCAGGAAGCAGTTTAAAGTAAAGGTGTGATGGGATTTGATTTCAGGCAGTCACATAAAGATACAGAAAATTGGAACTTGCTCTAGAAATTTTCTTTCTCTGTGTCCACATAACCATACACTGATTTCAAACTTCTACTATGGGTCTATCCCCTTTTAACTTCGGTTTTGACAGGCAAACATCTTTGTTAGCATATGCTATGCAGTCCAATATGTGTATAGAATATGTAAATATTCTTGAATATAAGTTTTATATAAAAATGGCTAGCATGCTGATGCATTTTCAGATTGATATACTGTTTTTTTTAAATAATTGGTGTTAAGGAACCATTAAACATAAACAATTATGATTGTGGTTGCTATTTTTAAATGTGGAGAATAAAAAAATAGCTATTACATATATTAGTGAATAAATATGATATTATACATTATTTTTATTCACCATGAGGTTTAAAACTATTTTATTCAATGCCTAAAGAGGTATTTATTTCCTTGACTTACCATATGGTACCACCATGACTTTGTCCCTGTGCAATCATTTTGCTCTGTATCTGTGAACCGATCAATCTATTACAGTGATTCTCAGTAGGGGTGGCCTGGAATAGAAAGAGCAGCAGCAGTTCTTGGGAAACAGCATTAGGTCTCAGATTCACTTTTGGAAACAACTTGACAAGTGCATGTTTCTATCCCAAATTGATCTGTCAATTTAGATCACTGATGCCAAAAGCCAGAAAAGCAAAGTTATCAGGAAATCTCAAGTAAATTAGAACCATATCCTCCAGCCATAAATTCTCTTATCCCTCAGCAGACAAAGCTAATGTTCCAGGAGTGTAGCTATTGAGTTGGTAAAGGAAACGTCACTTCCTGAATTCCATTGGGAAATATGGCAAGCTGAATCTACAAAACACACAATTTAGAGCTTACTTTTAAAGACACTGTTCATGGAAGTAACTTTGGCTGCCATTTATAAAAACAATAATCTCACTAACAGTTAATGAGTGTTCTTTTTTTTTTTTTTTTTTTTTTTTTTTTTTGAGACGGAGTCTCGCTCTGTCGCCCAGGCTGGAGTGCAGCTGCGGGATCTCGGCTCACTGCAAGCTCCGCCTCCCGGGTTCACGCCATTCTCCTGCCTCAGCCTCCCAAGTAGCTGGGACTACAGGCGACCGCCACTACGCCCGGCTAATTTTTTTTTTTTTTTTTTAGTAGAGACGGGGTTTCACCGTTTTAGCCGGGATGGTCTCGATCTCCTGACCTCGTGATCCGCCCGCCTCGGCCTCCCAAAGTGCTGGGATTACAGGCGTGAGCCACCGCGCCCGGCCATGAGTGTTCTTTATACCTTTGTTTTTCTTTTTGGGTAACTATTTAAAGCTTTCATATAACTGACTCCAATAAGAATGGATATTGAAGTATCAATTACGTGATGATAATATAACCCAATAAACAAAAACAATTATTAAAATTTCTGCTGCCTCCATTTTTAAAAACATTTGGGTTCTGGCATACTTTTGTGACATTCCTATATTTTCCTCCTCTTCATGGAAAATTACTATACTTATTTTAAATGATAATGTATTTTAAAGATATATATTCTCTACGTCCAAAACCTGTGATAAAAATATTTTATAAGAAGTTCAATGTAATACCCTCTGCCTTTGGGTGGAGTAGATTAGAATGTTAGTAGGGTTGCTTCATAGGTAATTTGGCGGGATGCTATTTGGTTAGAGAAAAACCTATACTGATTTGAAAAGAATGGATTAGTGGATATGCAAACGAGATGGGTATTCTTTCCTTTGTCTTTCTTATCTCCACACCAGCCATAAAGTAATGATGATTCTAGGGCTATACTCTTTGAATTTAGAAAGTCAGTTAGTGTCTGTCTTTGATAGAAACGTTAGGAGGTAGCATAAGATATTTTTCTTTTCTGAGAAGATCAAATCTCTAAAAAGGCACCTGGAATATCAACTCCTAAGCTGTCCAGCAGCTCCAAAATTAAAGGACTAAACATGGTGCAAAAGATAATATCTGAAATGATTCTATCTTGGTAGACAAAGAAAATGGCAGAGATCACATTAGCAGGGCTTACTTTCCAACAGCTGCAAAGAGAGAACAAAGTCATGTAGGAAAAAAAAAACAAAACAACAAAAACCAGCAACAAAAAAACAACTCCAGTATGGATCAGCTTCTCTGGAGGAAGGGTACTAATAGCAAGGGAAATGGTTAGAACTTGAAAAGCATTGGCAGAGACAACCAACTTAAGACAGTGTTGAGATTGGAAATAGCTGTAATCTATGTAAGCTTTTATTTTGTTTATTGGTTGTGTTTGTTTGTTTGTTTGTTTTGAGAGGGAGTCTCCCTCTGTCACCCAGCCCGCAGCACAGTGGAGCAATCTCAGCTCACTGCAAGCTCCGCCTCTCGGTTTCCAGCCATTCTCCCGCCTCAGCCTCCCGAGTAGCTGGGACTACAGGCGACCGCCACCACGCCCGGCTAATTTTTTTTTTTTTTTTTTTTTTTTTTTTTTTGTATTTGTAGTAGAGACAGGGTTTCACTGTGTTAGCCAGGATGGTCTTGATCTCTTGACCTCATGATCCGCCCATCTCGGCCTCCCAGAGTGCTAGGATTACAGGTGTGAGCCACCTCGCCTGGCTGTAAGCTTTGGTTTTAACAGGCAAAAGCCCTTGTTAGGATATGCCATGCAGTCCAATATGCATATATTCCAATATGTGCATATTGGACTGCATGGTATATGCTAACAAGGGCTTTTGCTCGTCAAAATCAAAGTTAAAAGGGAAAGACCCACAGAAGCAGTTTGAAGCTATTTTTCCTTGAAAGGCAAATGGAAGCAAACAGGTATATACTACCATGTGTTACTTTCAGTTTCTGCATGTTCTGAGTTAGATGTCTATCCTCTATGTTTGATTAGCACTGTGCTAATATACTTATCACTGTCTATCATAGTTGTTGGTTTACCTCCCTCTCCAATCAGATTAGAAACAAACTGATAGCAAGGTGAAGTCTATTATTTCTTTATCCCCAGTGCCTAGCAAAGATCTGAAATCTGTTATCAACTATCTGTCAAATAAATGAGCCAGGTTTAACACTATTATCCTGAGAGAGACAAAGTAATCAACTAAACATCCTAAACCAAAATAATATGTGTCACTCTTGAGTAAAACCTGAGGTAATATGGAAGTTCATGGAGTTGATATTAATTCCAATTAAATGCAAAAAAGTTTGGCACTTTAATTAGCTACAGATCAATGAAGCCTTAAAGGTAAATGTAAGTGATGATTGTGTATGAGGTATTTTTAAATATTGAAACTCTTTCATAAGTGCTTCTAGATAACTTTACTGATTTCTAATTGGAAGCCATTGACCTAGAACTCAAGAAATCATTGAGGACCAAGGTCTGGAGTGTTTCTGACTCTGGACTAAAGCTGAGCTTATGAGTGAATATCAGATGATACCAATCACAGGATATAAAAACTGTCAACAATGAAAAACAAGGCAAGGGCTTACATCTCATATCACAGTTTTTTTATAGTGAAATAATGTGTTATGCACACTTTTGTTTACTTCATTTCTAGACATTATTGTCTGAAACAAAAATTTGCTGAACATTGCACCTGCAAGCCAGTGACTGCCCCAAGGTGAATCCACTTATTTTAAATGGCTTTATTTATAATTAAAGTAGTGATTAACACCACAACTTGATTATGGAATATCCGTTGAAAAAAACTACTATATGTATCTTAAGCGTATTTATCTGTGTGTAAAAAGACCACGATTCAAAAAGCATGTTCTGAAATTGATAGGTCATGGTGATCAATTGGCCAGGTAGATAAATTGGAGAGCAAAAGTGGTTTCAAGAAACAGGTAAATGAAACAGTTCAGCCTAAATTTGCAGCCCTTATCTTTGAGAGAATAATGGAAACATAATCTGTATAATTATTAAGAGGCAAAAATGAAAGGCAATTGAGTGAGGGAATTATAATTTCTATTTTTAAAGCATAGAAATGGTATTCCAAAGCTTTTACCTAAGGGGTTGTTTTTGTTTACAGAATAATAATTAAAACTCTTTCTATCTTCTTTTTGGATAATTGTAGAATAGAGAACTGAGAACTCTAGGAAGCATATGGTACAGTGAAGAAGAAAAAAATTACCTTCTTTTCATTTGTGCCAAGCTAGATCTTTGATGCTCTTGCTTCATCCACTTCCTCTTTAATGACTAGGCCTGCCTTTGAATCTTCTGTCCCCTGATGAATAGAAAATACAGAATCTTTTATTAAAATCATGTTGAGAAATGTAGATTGATCTGCTTGTTTAGTTTGATTAAATATGAAGATGAAAAGAATTTCATGTGTCCCAAAAGCTGATGCTAAGAATATTAAGAATTTTGGAAATTGCTAAACATATTGTAGCTTGGACAACATGATTGACAATATAAGAATCATATTGAAAGATAACTGTGTCAAAAGTTGTGACTTTTTATATTCATATTTTCCTTAATAGAAAATAATTCCTTAGACTAACAAATACTGATAAGATTATGGCTTTGAAGGTATTACTTATGAGAACTCAAAAAATAGAATTATCTTTGTTTTATTTTAGAGATTTTTTTTCAGAAGGGTAGTATCCAACTTTAACACAATGTAATTCTTTAATTATATAATTCTTGCAAATACCATTAAGTGCTATCTACCTTCAGAGAAAAATAATGGAAAAGCTCTTAATATTGTATAATATTGGTGGATATGAAATGTGAGTTCTTCTAAAAATTATATGCAAAGAATATCATCCATTTTTGTTAAGCCATATTTTTTCAATTGTAGACAGGATCTAAGGAAAATCTATTAATGCAGGGTTCTTATGCATACTGATACTAATGTTATTGTTGGAGAAATGTGTCATATTTGAATGCGATATTTAGATCAAAAAAGTCCATACAAATGAAAAATTGAGAATCATTTTTGAAACTAAGACATAAAGTTATTAGAGAAGTAAGTAGCGAATGTATAGGTCCTTTTTGAGTTTATTTTGTACTTACATGGCTTCTTATTAGTTACTTAAGTAAATCTAAATTGAGAGTAATCAATCTATTATTTAAGAACATTATATACACTGTTAGAATTTGGAATTTGGGGATTATGTTGAATCCAGATATTTACTCTTCAAAATGCTACTGTCCTCAGAGTTTGGAGGATTGTAATTATATCAAAGCAAAAATTGGACTGTGCAAAGTTAAACAGGGCAAAAATTAAAAAAAAATAAAAAACTCTACTGCAATAGAGAAAAGAGATCAGAAAGCAGTATCAACCCAGCCCTGCTGAGTTTTTCCAAAGGAGATCTCCCAGGTTCTTGGTAAAGACATTCCTGCTTTGTACACCTGGCAAGAAGCTTTTTAAAAAAATTACATCTTAAAGGGACAAAGAAAGGATTTACACGTTTTGTTGTTGTTGTTGTTGAGACAGTCTCATTCTGTCACCCAGGCTAGGGTGCAGTGGTGCCATCTCAGCTCACTGCAACCTTCATCATGTGGGTTCAAGCGATTCTCCTGACTCAGCCGCCTGAGTAGCTGGGATTACAGGCGCATGCCACCATACCCTGATAACTGTTTTGTATTATAGTAAAGATGGGGTTTTGCCATGTTGCCCAGGCTGGTCTTGAACTCCTGATCTCAAGTGATCTGCCCGCCTCGGCCTCCCAAAGTGCTGGGATCACAGGCATAAGCCACTGCGCCCAGCTTGAATTTACAGGTTTTCTAAAGTAAAGGCTCTAAGAGAGGAAAGAGACCTCTGTGATTAGGCCATCTGGATTCTATAAGGGTTGGGATGACAGGGAGGTCAGAGACCTAGAGGCAGGAAGAAGCTTATCTAAAGTTTAGTCAAGCTTAGGAAAACATTAAGGCTGTCTTGATCAATTATGAGATTTGTAAAAAATCCAAAATGGACTTCATCATTGATCTGATCTTAGGTAGTTTACTATTTTTGAAAGTATCAATTAAGACCATAATACTTTATTAACTTGAATAATATGATTCTTACTATTTTTATATCCCATATAGATATTATTTTAAAATATTTTCTAGTGATTTGGATGAATTGCAAATGTTCATTAATTCTTCATTTTCAGGAAAACAAGGATCAAAGTTCTTAGCATTGCTTTTTTAAAAAATTAGACATAATCTATTTTTGCCACCTTGAATCCTACATATTACCTACATAAGTTATTGCAGGACTGGGAGAATTAAATTATTTGCTGTATTTATAGTACTCATAATCGAATATAGTATATGCTATATAAGTGTCAGCAAATCTTTTTTTTATTCTTGTTCATGCTGTTTTTTTTCCTTTCTCCTTCTTCATTAGAGTGTTATTGTATTTTTGTACCTGACAAACTTGTATTCATTCTTCAAAATGCATAGTGTAGAACACATGGACACAGGGAGGAGAACATCACACACAAGGCCTGTCGGGGGGTCGAGGGAAAGGGGAGGGAGAGCATTAGGACAAATACCTAATGCATGCAGGGCTTAAAACCTAAATGACAGGTTGATAGGTGCAATGAACCACCATGGCACATGTATACCTATGTAACAAGCCTGCACGTTCAGCACATGTAACCCAGGACTTGAAGTAAAATTTAAAAAAAAGAAAAAGCAGAGTGTAAGGAAATAGTCTTTGGCATTTGATGCATGCGAAATGTCACTGTAAAGATAATTAATCTATATGAGCCTCTCTTTCTTCACTTCTAAAATGAAGATAATAGTAACTATTTCATTAAGTTGCAAAGATTAAGCGAGCTAAAAAAAAAAAAAGAAAAAAAAGGGTCCAACATAGGTTCTGTTTAATGGTTTCTTCTTTCCCTCTTTTTTTCTATAACTGTAAAGATTTTTTAGATTTTACATTACTATTTAACCCTCCTACTAAATACCCAAAATTCAATTTGTAATTCTCTTTACATTCAGCACCATGGAAAAGTACCTGGCATATGGCAGTTATTTGGCAAATGTTTATTAAAAAGGAAGAAAAAGAAACTGAGGTGAAGTGATCGTCTTGTTTATTCTTCAGTTTGTGCTTTGACCATATATTTTAGGAGTGTGCTGCCAGAGGCTGAGTATGAATATGGGATATGCCGATATGAAACTGAAAATATGGTCTTCAACTGTGAATACCTCATACCTTTCACATAATATATCTTCAATAAAGGTTTCTGAAAGGGATGTGGTAAAGGAGAAAGAGGGACGAAGGAATTGTGGGAAGAAGAGTGTGTGAGAGAGAGGGTGAGAGAGCAAGAGTGGAGAAATAAAAGGAAAAGAGCAAAAAAGCTCAAAGAGGATTGAAAGAAATAAGAGTGACAGACAGAAAAGTGAAAGGAATACAGGAAAACAAAAAAAATCAGTAGGTTTCCACTGAAATACCGTCTATCCTATTATACTTTACATTCTGCAAAGACTTCTGCCCCCAAAACCTAATACCACCTTCTCAGCCCAGCCTGTCTTAGCTTACTTATAGTTGTCATTAATTACATGTGTATAGATATTTCTGACAAACTTTGGTTCAAAAATGTCTCAAGGTATTTTAAAGTGTTTTATAATCCAAGCACAATTTTATGAATCTCTTAACCACACTGTGCTTTTCCACTTCCTTTTACATTCTCTGTCCTTATTATTTCAAAAAGGATAACAGGTATTGAAAATATAAGTGTTTCATAAAAATTGTTGTAATTATAATGGTTGATGCCAGTGTGTTGAGTCTACTGGAATTTACATTAATTAATTCAGATCCCATCTCTCAATACTGCCACATTGGGGATTAAGTTTCAACATGAGTTTCACAGGGGTCAAACATTCATTCCATAGCACATTGGCTTCCTGTTTATGTTTGAGATGAAATATACCTTCTGTACTACCCCCACAGACCTGCCCACATAATCTAAATGGAAGAAAGCCATAATTGCTTAATTTTTTTTTTTTTTTGGTGGAAGCATGCTGAATAGAACACATGTAAGAAAATGGACTAACTTTAAAAATATTGATACACAAATGTCAGAAACTGAAATAACTAAAAACACGAAGTTCACAAAGTACCATTGTAGGGAGTTTCAAATTAATTTAGGTCAAAGTAAATAATTTCCTGATTCTTATGGAAGTCTGAATTAAAATTCTGGAAATATAGAGTCAAGAAAGAAAATGTACTTAATATGCCATATTTATTATAAATTAGGTAAAGTACACATTTATCAATCTGCATTAAAGGCTTCTAGTAGTTGAAGGGTTTAAGAACCAGTTTTATAGGAAATTTCAAACATTAGAAATATTTAAGTTATATATACTAATAGCTATAATATTTAAAAATCTGTTAGCATTATGAATATCTAATTTCTGGTTACAATAAAAATATTGCTTTTATAGGATTAAAATACATGTAGATACTAAACTAATGTTGAAAATTATATATGTTTTACAACTGATTATAAGAAAAATTATTTGTTACTCTTCAAACTCCATATTCAAATATTTCACTTTAATAAAGCAATTTTTCAAGGGGGAATTTTAAATGTGACAAAATCACTGAAAAAATAAATAATTTAAAACTAACTATAATTTTCAAGAATCAAACTTAGAAAAAGGTATAATTTTTCAATGCATATATGAATATGAATATTGGTTAAATTTAAAATAGTTTAATCATACTTCATTTCTACTATCTCAAGATTTCATAATGTTACATTTCTGTTTCATTAAAAATGTTTCATGAGTTATAAAACTGCTGAGTTTTCTAACTTTCTGCTCTGAGCATTAATATTTTTGCTCCAGTAAATATCTAGAATCCAAATTTTTACATTTTTATTTTTATATACATGTAGAATAGAGTTACTGTACTGATAATATGTACAAGGATCAACATTTTTCTCTGTGCCATTATGCAATTTTTTTCAATTATTTTATATTGTATGTGATTCTTAACATATAACTTACTTTACAAATGTAACAACTATTTTTAAAAAGTCTGTGCTCTGAATTATCATTGTTTTCTTTGAAAAACTGTGTATCTGTATGTTTTTGGGTTTTCAATAATGTTTTTACTTAAAAGTTTTCACATATGGCATTTATTTATTTTGTTGACACTTTACATATGTTGACATATCTTGCAATTCCAAAGCAAATGGTAGAAACATTTACACATCTTTCCTGTAGGGACCCACCATCATCCTGGGTCTTAAATGTTTATACAAATAAAATCATAAGGAAAATGATCAGCCTAAGGTTAAAGTAACTCAGAATATAGAAAATAAGATACTTTGAACAGAAAATAGCAGAAATTACAGCCAAAATAGTCCACAGGAAACTCCTATCTATTTGAAAGTTGTATGCTGTTTCCAATGGTTTTGATGCTACTCTAGTCATTGAAATATATTTGCTTAATTTTATAATATGTCTATCAATGTTTTTCCTCCTCTTACATGATCTAAGATCTTTGAACATTTTAACATCATTTATCTCTATAAGCTTCTTTGCAGCAGTTATTTTTATCTTAATTCTACTTTGCTTTTATTCTTTCTCTTGAACTCTTGAACTCCAAAATATACAACGAGAATTATTTTATATCATCAATATTTATTTAAATTCACTCACATACTATAACCTTTTGTTGTTCTTTTCCATTTTTTTCTTATATCTCAACAATTTCATCAAGAAAAATTTTTCTTGTGATCAAATATCCCATCTTCAAAGTTTTTTAGAATGAGAGGTCTCCTTGTGGAAGAATTTCTCAATTTTTGGTTACCTGAACACTTTATCTGACTCTGTTTCTTGTAATATATTTTTGTGAAGAAGTTTGCTACCATCTGTTGGCTCTTTGAAGTAAATTTATCTTTATCTTTCTGCTTCTAATTTCTTTATCATTGTTTACTCTAGAAGTTAGCTATAAGGCATATATATATATATATATTTCTTTTTTTTTTTTTTTGAGACGAAGTTTCGCTCTCGTTGCCCAGGCTGGAGTGCAATGGCGCGATCTCCGCTCACTGCAACCTCTGCCTCCCGGGTTCAAGTGATTCTCGTGCCTCAGCCTCCTGAGTAGCTGGGATTACAGGCCTGCACCACCACGCCCAGCTAATTTTGTATTGGTAGTAGAGACGGGGTTTCACCACGTTGGTCAGTCTGGTCTCAAACTCCTGACCTCAGGTGATCCGCCCGCCTCAACCTCCCAAAGTGCTGGGATTACAAGCGTGAGCCACCACGCCCGGCTATGTATATTTCTTGAAATATCCTTGAAAGAAGGAAAATACATACAGACGAGCTCCACATTCAATCTGGCATTTTGTCTGGTAACATATTGTCTGGTGCACATTGATATGGAGAAAAAAATTAGTTTGGAGCTACCAAAACACCTAGAATTTGATCAGAGAGAGAGAAGATACATAATTCTGCAAAAGAAGGATTCCAAAATTCTTCCTGGAAATGTTTGAGAGTACTTACCTAATAACTGAGCTTCATATGTTCATGCTGAGCACTTTGCTTGTTACCTTGTAGACAATAGCTCCTGTTCAGCTCAGATCCGACTGGAAACTATAAGAGGTCATACAGTACTGGAGCCATTAGAGTTCTAGCCTACCCTTGGAAATTTACGTAAGAACCCAGAAAGTTTTATAGGGATAAGGACACCACCTTTGAATCAGAATATAACCGTTGAATTAAGAAGTTAACAAAAATAAAGACATCATAACTAAAGCTAAACAAAATACAGAAGATCTGTTAGGGTTTTATTATCAGAACAAACCAGTACCATATAAAGAAAGAAATTATCTCTCCTTTTAAGATAACATTGACCATGTGCAGAATTTCAAAAAATGTACTAGCTATGTAAAAACACACACACACACACACACACACACACACACACACACACAGGAAAATGTGACATATACTTAGCAGCAAAAGCAGTCAGTAAAAATGGATTACCAGATGAGATCGATTTTGAGTTAACAAAAAGGATTTAATACAGTTGTTAAAATATATTTAAGGAAAGTAAATAAAAATTTGGACATATGAAAGAATAATTTTGAAATTGCAAAAGAATGAAATCTATAAAAAGAAAATGGAAATACTAGAAAAGTACAATAAATGAAAGAAAATTCACTGAATGGGTTAAACAGCTTATTAGACAGTAAAGAAAAAAGAATAAGTGAAATCAATGACAGGTCAATAGACATGATCTAAAGTGAAGCTTCCAAAATAATAAAATAATTAAATGAAGATCTAGTAATATATAGGAAAATATCAAGTAATATAGCAATGAGTGTGGTTCTAGGAGAAGAGAGAAAAATATTAAAAGTAACAATGGCTTAAAACTTGTCAAACTGGTGAAAAATATCAACCTATACATCTAGAAATTCAGTGAAACACACAAAGATAAAAATATTTTAAAGAAAATATTTGCAAATTGCGTCCAATAATAAGTATAAATTATAATCCATTACTATGTGGAACGTTATCTATTGAATGCAGGATTGGTTTAACTTTTGAAGAGCAATTAATCCAAAATGAGACTCTAATAAAAGAGAAATATTATGGGTACATCATTAAACAATCTTTAATATCTAGTCATGTTAATAGCTCAGAGTAAAATGAGAATAAATGAAAATTTCCTCTATCTGATGAAGTATTTTTCTGAAAAACCTAGAACTAACATCATATGTAATGGCAGAATATTGATGCTTTCTTACTAAGATTTGAACTAAGGCAAGAATGTGAGTTCTCATTGCTTTATTTAACATTATATTAGAGGTCTTGCCAGTGCTATCCAGCAAAATCGTGACTGAAAAGAAACTAAGCCTCTCTTTACTCATACATGAAATGATTGGATTCGTGAAAAATCCTGAGAAATATATTTTATAAATGTAATAACTTTTTTTTCAAATTCACTGGATACATGGTCAATATATAAAAGAACAATTGTATGTAACAGCAACAAACAAGTGAAAATTTTAATTGAAGCACAATACCATTTGCTGTGGCATAAAAACAATAAAATCATAGCAATGAATTTAGTGGACAACATGCAATATATCTGCACTAAACATTAAAACCATTTCTGGGAGAAATGGTAAAGAAGGTCTATGGCAAGACAAATAGTTTTCATGGATTGGAAGATTATATATTGTTAGAATGTTTGTTATCCAATTATTCTATAGATTCAAAGAAACCCCAATAAAAAATCCCAACAACCAATTTGTTACAAATGGACTAACCAATTATTCTGGAAATTCAAAGGACCTAGAATAGTCAAAACAACACTAAAAGCAACCATAAATTTGGAGGACATACATTGCCTGATTTCTTATAATAAGAATTATATATTTATGTATTTAATATATAACTACATAAAATATAAATTTTAAATTTAATATAAAAGTATGATAAAACGTAAATATTTTATATTATGTAAATATGAAATGTTTTATATATGTAAATATAATTTTAAAATATAAAAATAAAATATTATAAGGCTTATAATATAGCTTCATTAATCAAGATGGTGTTATTGACATAATAATAAACAAGTAGAACAATGGATCAGAGTAGGAAGTCTACACTTAGTAGTCTATAGTAGATGCACAGTCTAAGTGGCTTTCAACAAAGTTGCTGTGATCGTTTAATGGCAAAATCTCACATCATATAAAAAATATTTTCGCATGGGTCATGCATACATGCAGAGTGCTTAAAATAATAGTTTCTAGAAGAAAAAATAGGGGAAATAACTTCACACCCTTGAAAGCATAAGCCACAGCCTAAAAGAAAAGTATTTGCTAAAAATCTGTATTAGTCTACTAGGGCTTTCATAATAAAATATCACAGGGTGGGTATTTCAAACAACAGAAATTTATTTTCTTGTAGTTCTGGAGGTTAGAAGTCAAACTTCAAAGTGCCACCACAATTGGTTTCTGGTTAAGCCTCTCTTCCTGGCTTGTAGACGGCTGCCTTCTCACCATGTCCTCACATGGCCTCTCCTCTGTGCCTGTTCAGAAAGAGAAAGAAATCTCTGGTGTGTCTTCTTTTTATGAGGAAACAAGTTTTATTAGATTAAGACTTTCATGACCTGATTTAACGTTTATTACGTCCTTATACACCTTTCTAAATACAGTCACATTGGGGATTTTAGGTCTCAACATATGGATATTGGGGGACACAGTTCAGCCCGTAACACCATCTCTCTGACAAATTGTATGCAAAATACATAAAAAAGTCAAACCTGGTGAAAAATGAGCAAAATCTACACAAATGTCCCGTAAGAACATAAAAAGGTGCTTATTTGATCAGTCATCAAGGAAACAAATATTGAAACTACAATGAGCTATGACTATGGCCTTTTATCTACTAGAAGGCCTAAAATTGAAACAACTGATGACAACTAAAGTTGTGGAGGAAGTGCAGCAACATAAACTCTTAATATACTGGTAGTGTATAAGATTTTCAACCATTTTGGAAAAGTATCTGGTAGTTTCCTACAAAGCACCATAATGCAGCTAGGTATTTACTAAAGAGTGAAAATACATGTTTACAAAACTACTTGTACAAGGATATTTAGAAAGCTTTATAGGTAAGAGTCAAAGACTAGAAACTACCAAGTGTTCATTAATAGAATAATTGATTTAAAAATTATAGTATATTCATAAAATGCAATGCAATAATACATTCAGTAATAAAATCAACAATGATCAAGACTCTATCTCAAAAAAAAACAAAAGCCAGACCAAAAAAAAACAAAAGCCAGATCAAAAAAAAAAAAAAAAAAAACAAATACATACTATTTGTGCCATTGTGATGAAGTTACAGAACAAGCTAGATTTATTTATGGGAATAGAAATATAAATATAGAGGGCTTGAGTAGAGAAGAGCTTGACAGGAAGGGGTCATGAGGAAATTCTCTGGGGATGGAAATGTTCTATATTCTGATTTGGTTATTACTTGTACTGTGCATTCATGTGTCAAAATTCATCTTAATATACACTTAAGAGCTTTGCATTTCATTATACATAAATATTAACATTAATTTATAAACATTGTATAAAATATTCATTGGCAAGTTTTAGAAGATGATTTATGTATTTGAGTTTTTAGCTCTTTGATATGGCATTAGTGATACACATTTTCCAAAAATAACAATGTTACATTTATTTAGAGATTAATATTTACATTATGTACTTCACTAAGCATTTTACATTCATTGTATTAATAATTATGACAATATATATGCTTGTTCTATAGTATATGATTTCATAGACCAGAATGCCACCTTCAATTAGGAAGAAATTCTTAAAATATTTTGTTAATTTACACTATATCTCCAATATCTACAACAGACCCAGGGCATGAAATACACATAAAAAACACACACATTAAATATTAATATATGCTTATTATTGTATTATGAATGAGGAAATAAAATATAACTTGGAATTTTTTTAAAACTTAAAAAAATACAATGGACTGAGCACTGAAATCAGAATATGCAGCTTATTTAGAACAAAATTCTACTTTTTCCCCTAAACTGTCCCTTAACATTGTCATCTCTCCTGCTAATCCTGCATTACCCTGGATCCTTCCTTTTTGTCTCTGCCTCCACTCACTGCTGCCTCTGCCATAAGCCTTCATACTCCAGCTGCTACACACTGCTGCTTCTATCCCTGAGGATTCCACGAGCATCCTTATTCTTCTGTCACTGATATGGTTCCTATTGGCATATCAAAAGTTATAGCCATATGAAGAAAAATCTAGGGATGCAGCAGCAGCAGCAGCAGTAGCAGTAGCAGCAACAGTCTATCAAGATGTTTTAATCTGGAATAAATTTCAGAATAGATCAATTCAGCATTATCATTAAGGTAACCATTATGAGTAACGCTATTAAATCCTTTAATAGTGTGTTATTTTCACATAGATGGCATTTGTTCTTTGAAAGTCCCAGTGATGTTAAAATGAACAAATTCTGGCACAGATTTGAGCATTTGCTCCACACAGCTATCTGAGTCTAGCGTGAGCCATATGTGATGCCCAAGCTTGCAAAAATGCAACAGTTTTAGTGACATACTCTTTAGTAGACCCTTGGTGCCTTGGGAAGAGGAATTTTCAACCGGTAAATGAAGATGTATTGGCATTTTGAGCATTACAGGGAAAAAAAGAGATGGAATTAAAGTTAACAGAGACATGCTCTCAAATCAACAACTGTCAGAAAAGCATCATTCTATAGTGAACCATCATTCCTAGTTAAAGTGTAAATTTTACCCACAAGAGTGTCACAATTTATAAAAATAAAAGTTTATGAACAACTACTCAAACTGACTTAAAAATACCCCAGTAAAATGAGAAGATCTGATGGAATAGGAAGCAATTTCTATGCATGCGAACAATGAAAATGCGAGAAAAACATATCATAAGGTTTATTAAAATAATTTTTATTATGAATTCATCTAAAAAGCAATGTTTTATAACTGTAGAGGTTACTAAAAAATGCAAATGTAATGTCAGAAAGTCAAACAGATTAGTCAAAAAAATTAGATTGTGGAAAAAATATTCTTTTTGGGTTTTGCAATAGTGCTAATATCCCAGGGGAAAAACAAATGACTGAATGGCCTTCAGACTCTACTGATAAAATGAAGTGATTTCGGTTTTAGGACTTTGTAATGGGTTATGTATATGTACATCTACTTAGACTGTGTATTCAAGTTAAATACTCCTGGTTGTTTTTGTATGTTTCATAGTGACAACATTTTTGAGACTGCATATTTAAATATATTACTAAACTTTATTCCATTAGCCAGTGTTCTGAATATGCATGATTTAAAATGAAGTATTCCAAAAATTCTGATCTTACTTAAATGAAACTTAGGGAGCCATGCTCTGAGCTTTACAATTCCCATTTCCTGAGTTGTTTATTGTAACAATATTTTCATTGACATATTTTTTTAATTTCTGGTCAAGTATAAATTAGTGTAAATCTCTCTTAAGCTATAAATTATGCTTACTATTTACCAGATATTACAATTACCCCTACAGAGATATTCTTGCTGAAGTTAGACTATACATTTGAATTGATAGAGGCAGATGTCTTGCCTGTGTAAGAATAATTCTACTAAGAATGCATCTTTTACTTTTTTGAGTTAAAAAGATGATGATGTTTCCAGTTAAAAATGTGCTATCATCTCTCTATATATCTACGTATCTATCTGTCTGTCTATCTTAGTTTGAGCTGCTATAACAACGTTTCATAGAGTAAGGTGGCTTATAAAAAACAGAAATTTATTTTCTCACAGTTCTGGAGCCTGGAAGTCTGGGATAACTGTGCCAACATGGTCAGGTTTTGATGAGTGCTCTCTGCGGACTGCCATTTTCTTGTACCTTCACATGGCAGAAAGAGGGCAAGAGAACTATGAGTTCCTTTTATAAGGGTGCTAAGTTCAATCATGAGGGCTCCACCCTGTGACCTAATTGCCTCCCAAAGATCCCATCTAATATGTCAGACTGAAGGTTAGAATTTTTGTGTGTGTTTATGTGTATAAATGTATACATATATGTATATGTGTATATGTATATATGTATACACACATACATATATACAGATAAATAAGAAGATCTTTAGAGAAAATGTCTCATCTTAGAGAATACTTATATTATCCTAAACAGAATATTGGTAGATACATGAACAAAGGTGCTTCTGGTGAGGTCTCAAGGTGAGAAATATGTTATTGGAAATTGGAGGAAAGGCAGTCTTGCCATAAAGTGGCAAAGAATTTCACTGAATTGTGTTCTAGTCTCTTGTGGAAGGTAAAATATGAGTGATGTCCTTGGATATTTGGCAGAAGAGATGTAGAAGCACAGTGTTGAAGGTGAGGCTGGATTTTTCCTTATTGCTTAGAGTAAAATGTGAGAGAAGATATACAAATTGAAGAAATTTTTAAGCAAGATGGAACCAGGATTTGAAGTTTTGGAAAATTATCAGACTAACTATGTTGCAAAAAGTGGAAAGCATGTTCTAGAGAGACAAAGTGTGTGGCTGGAAATTTGAAGTTTTGGAAAATTATCAGACTAACTATGTTGCAAAAAGTGGAAAGCATGTTCTAGAGAGACAAAGTGTGTGGCTGGAAATTTGCTCCTTAAAGAGATTACCTATGGATTTAATCAGCCATCTCTGCTGAGGACAGGAACGGAGATGGAATTACATCAGCAGAAGCACTGACAGCTGGAATAAACAAAACAGAGAGAATTGGATGTAATAAAGGAAGGCTGTCAGACTTCTGGGACTCTGCAGAACAAGACAATAGAATTAACTGGCTTCAAACATGCATTATCCTTCAAGAAATAGGAAGAACAGCCCTGAAAGTGATTCAGAGAGCAGCACAGTTGCTACTCCCATCACATACCCAACAAGGCAAAGGTGTTTTCTCTTTGGTCTCAGAGGAAGAGGGCCACCTCCTGGGTTTCAGCAGGGCAGAATGCCACTGCCCAGTACCTCAGGGGCAGGGCTGCCCAGGCCACAGGGATGGGGCTTCTGTGCAGAGTAGGGGAGGTGACGCTATTACCCCAGTGGACCCAAAAGGCAGCGCATCAGACCAAAGAGGATTATGCGTGAGCCTTAATATCTAAGGAAATTTGCCTTGTTAGGCAAACAGGGCTGGTGTCCTTTTTAGTTGGTAAAGAGACAAGAGCTCTCTCTTACAGAGAATGATCATGTGAGGATACAGCAATAAGGTGCTTTCTACAAACCAAGGAGAGAGAGAGAGGCCTCACCAGAAACCAACCTTGCTGGCACCTTAATCTTGGACTTCCAAACTCCAGAGCTGTGAGAAACTAAATTTCTGTTGTTTAAGCTACACAGTCTGTGATGTTTTGTTATAGCAGCTTCAGGCAGACTAACACACATACATAAATATGCAGACTGATACATATGTATGTTTATATATTTCTATATACATGTCTATATAGAAATATTTACATATAATATGGGAATAATATGGGAAACAGGCAGACTGGGGAAAAGATTTGCATCTAGGTAGAGTAAATACATAGTTCAAAAATGAATGCAGATTCAGATATATTTTTCTACTATATATAATTGTTTACTCTCATATATTTTGTGAGTCACCTTATGATTCAGTTAATCTGATAATCTCCTGGACCTCAAAAAATTAATTTTACTACACCATTTGAAATTTCTGTAACCTGAGAGATACATATATGATATGCATTATAATTCTCTAATATATTATCAACTCTGAGAATATTAGGTATGATCTATAGGAAGATAAATACCTATATCTGTGTGTGATAGAATCAGTGCTGTCTTTTCAGGGGATAGAACAAATAAATCTTTATATTTTAGTCTTTTCATTTTCAAGCATGTGTTATCATATTTTACAATAATTATTATGCAAAGAATTGAAAGCTTGTATCCAAAGACTTTAATCAAGAAAGAGTTTATTTCATATTTTATAGAGTGATTCAATGTCTCCTTTAAAAAATACCTTGTTTACTTACTGATAGCCTAATAAAATCACTATAATCCAATAAGAAAGACTGGCCTATAGAAGACAAAACAGATCACGAAGAACAATTATAAAAACTTTAAAAATGGTTTTAATTATTATAAAATATTAAAGAACTACTTCAGCAACCAGCCCTTGAGAAACCAAGAACTTGCAGAGAAGAATTATACCAAGCAGTGCCAAATTTCTGTGCCACCTTTCCCTTGCTTATTTATGTAAAGGGTCCAGATACTGAGAAGTCAATCAGAGCTTTGGGCAGTATCTTGGGATAAGAAAAGTGAAAATAAGGATTGATGTTTACCAATGCAGCCAGAACTTGAGGCACCAAGATCCCAGAAAGCAAGAGGAGTGCTGAGAGGGGAGCCTAACACTTGGCACTTTTCTACACATTTGCTGATATTTTAATTTTAGCCAAAATGCTAAGAAGCTGAATGGAGGTTTGCCAGTTTCATGGGTAGCAGAGACAAACATTTAGTTCAAGACCTGCCAAAGAAGATGGGCTTCGGTAAACACTTCAGGCTTTCAACTGGCATTAGAGCAAACCCAAATAAGCCCATTTGCAAAGGCAGAAATCCAACTTTGAATCAATCTTATCACAGGCTGATAAAAATTGATTTGCTCCAGCTGGGCGCAGTGGTTCATGCCTGTAATCCCAGCACTTTGGGAAGCTGAGGCGGATGGATCATCTGAGGTCAGGAGTTCAAGACCATCACGGCCAACATGGTGAAACCCCATGTCTACTAAAAATACAAAAAAAAAAAAAATTAGTTGGGCATGGTGCCAGGCACCTGTAATCCCAGCTACTAGGGAGGCTGAGACAGGAGAATCGCTTAAACCTGGGAGGTGGAGGTAGCACTGAGCCAAGATCGCACCATTGCACTCCAGCCTGGGCGACAAGAGTGAAACTCTGTCTCAAAAAAAAAAAAAAATTGATTTGCTCCTACTCTCCTGCCTCCTAAAAACAAAAGAGAATCCCTTATGGCTGAAAATACCTACATTAAAAAATCTCAGATTACCTTTCTAACTTTTCATACACTGTATTCAACATTTTCTCAAAAACTAGCAGATTTAAAAGGATGCAGGGCTATGTCACTGAAACCCAGTGATAAAAAAAAACAAGGGTTATTGGACTTTTTAGATGTTTTTAAATAACTATGATTAATGTATACAACAAGGTATACGATACTGTCAGCAGACTTCTTGCATTGATAGTATGAATCACATGGTAATTCTAGAAATAACATTAAGAACATAGAGTAAGAGTTAGTGAACAGGAAGATGAGTCATCAGAAAATAGAGTAGATAACAGAAAAAAATACATTACAAAGCATACAAGATTTATTAGACATGATCAAAAGGTTTAGCATCTCTTCTAAATACCCCCAAATAAAAGGAAAGAGAGAAATAAGAGAAAGTGAGGTTAGGTAAGATGATATGATGTGAGGTAAGAGAAGAAGGAAACAAAAGCGTTAAGTGAAAACAGTGGCTAGAAATTTTCCCAAAATAATGAGACAAGAAAGCTCAAAGTTAAAAGGAACTATGTACCTAAAGCAGAATATATACAAATGAAACCTCAATTTACTGAAAGTCAAATACATAGGGAATATTTTGATTTAAACAAAAGGCACATTATCTTTGAAACAGCAACAATGTCATCTATAGCTGACTTTATAACATAAGCAATGGAAACTAGAAGATAATATGATGCTGTTACTAGAGAGCTAAAAAATAAAACTGCCAAACTAGAATGCTGTACCTAAAAGAAAACATCCTCCAAATAAAAAGAAAATAAAAATTTATATCAAAAAAATTGAGAGAATTTGTTGTCAGCAGCTTCAAGTAAAGTGAGTTTTTTTCCTGCAAAGGAAAATAATTGCAACTGAAAACACAGAAATACAGGGAGGAATAAAAACCAATGATACTGGTAGATAAATATAAAATTAAAATGCATGACAATATAACACTGAAGCTAGGAACTTAGGAAAAAATAAAAATAAATTAATAGTGGGGCAAGTGAGGAGAGAAGTTCTATGGTCCTTATGTTGTTTAAAGTGAAAAATGTACTAATTTATATAAATATATTAAAACAAGGAAGCATGCTGTAATTTTTAGGCTAAAAGTAAAGGCAAAATATTGTAAAAATAAGCTAATAAAGTGGAAAATAAAAAAGGATTTCATTCTAAGAAAGATAATCAAAGGAACAAAAGAAATAGAAACAATGAAAAAATAAAGTGTTAAATTTAAAGTCAAATATATCTGATTTTATTAAATCTGAATATATTAAGCACTCCATATAAAAGTTGAAGTTTAAAATAATAGAAAAAAACCTGATTTATGCTGCTTACAGGAGATACAACTGAAAATAAATATATACAAAAGTAAGAAGTGAAACAGTAATAGAAGATAAGCTGCACAACCCCAAGAAAGATTTGATAGAGCAATAATATCAGATGATGACACATTTCATAATGCTACAATAACTTATCCAAGGAAAAGCTTAGAATGCTAAGTTTGAACATACCAACATATCTATAAAATACCTAAAGAAAATTTGATATAACTAAAAATGAAAATAGACAAACTTACCATCATAATGGGAGATTTTAACACATATCATTTACTTGTTGATAGAAAAACGACAAAAAACCATAAGGATGTAGAAGATACCTCAATATCAACAACAACAAAAATCACCCAAAATATTAAGCAATAAACACATTCCTCAAATTTCTCTGTATGAGTTAGAAAAAATCATGTGGTTCTTTTGGAGTATAGTGCAACTCTTCATGGGCCACACTTTGCACTTCACCTTTTTGGCTCATCTAGGATTTGAGTCTAATTAGAGGTCTACAAGCAAGGTGGGTGATGGGGGTGGATTCTGAGTAGAATTAGTAAAGTCTTGCAAGGCGTCTCAAAGTTCATTTAATTTCCTCAGGGAAGGCAGCTGTAATGTCCTCAAACAGGTGTGGAAGGGCTGTTGCTAAAGATGACTGCAGAATTTTGGAATTCAGTGTCCTCAGCTTCATCAAAATTGCTGATCAAAATATGTCCCACTCTAATTTTGAGGATTCCATTTCTTCCTAATCAGTGCCCTAATGTTAAAGCAGACACTCTTTGATTTTGGACATTATATACTTTTTTCTATTATACTTTAGGTTCTAGGGTACATGTGCACAACATGCAGGTTTGTTACATATGTATACATGTGCCATGTTGGTGTGCTGCACCCATTAACTTGTCATTTACATTAGGTATATCTCCTAATGCTATCCCTCCCCCCTCCCCCCACCCCACAACAGGCCCTGGTATGTGATGTTCCCCTTCCTGTGTCCAAGTGTTGTCTTGTTCACTTCCCACCTATGAGTGAGAACATGCGGTGTTTGGTTTTTTGTCCCTGGGATAGTTTGCTGAGAATGATGGTTTCCAGCTTCATCCATGTCCCTACAAAAGACATGAACTCACCCTTTTTTATGGCTGCATAGTATTGGATGGTGTATATGTGCCATATTTTCTTAATCCAATCTATCATTGATGGACATTTGGGTTGGTTCCAAGTCATTGCTATTGTGAAAGTTTCTATATCTATCCTGAAAACACCACACACACACACACACACACACACACACACACACACCTTTATCTCCTGTAGCAAACTTAACCCATAAGTAGTCTTATCCTGTAAGTAGCTGAATTTTGCTACAGGAGATAAGGGTGTGTGTGTGTGTGTGTGTGTGTGTGTGTGTGTGTGTGTGTTTTGTTTTTTGTTTTTCAGGATAGATATAGAAACTTTCAGATCATGTATGTTGTACTTGAGCTGGGAATTTGAAACCATGAGCTCATCCTTTTCTGTACCCACTTTGTCCAGAACAATTAGGAGCAATCAGCTAATCTCATTTTACTTGTTAGTTTGACAGAATGTCCTAAAATATCAAATACATGATCATCCAGAACCTTTCCTCTTGTATTTGATTAGGAGATATTTTCAATGTATTTTGAATATTTCCATTGCATTCAATGGAGACATTTCACGTAGTTTTCTTGCCACGTCACACCACAAAACATCAGTGCTCTCTTTACTACTAGAAATAGAGCCATTGGTACCTTTATATCTAACCAGATTAGAGCACCAATTCTAGAAAATCCCAGAATCAATTCAGAAAATTTATTTTGAAGAGTCTGTCCTTCTAGAACCATTCCCAGCACCAAAATTTGTATCACTCAGCATTCTTTAGAGAAACAGACCCTATAGGGGTGTGTGTGTGTGTGTGTGTGTGTGTGTGTGTGTGTGTGTGTGTGTGTGTGCAGAGAGAGAGAGTGATTTTAAGAAATTGGTTCCTGATTGTAGTGCCTGGAAAGTTCAACATTTGTGAGGCGGGCCAGCAGGCTGGAAACTCAGCTAAGAGTTGACATTTAGCACAGACTGGCAGTCTGGAAACTGGGAAATGATTTCTAAGTTACAGTCTTGAGGCAGAATTCCTTCTTCTCTGGAAAACCTCGGTTTTTGCTTTTAAAACATTTGACTGACTAGATGAGGCAAATTAAGGATTATCTCTTTGCTTTAAATCAACTTAAAATAAATGTTAAGGTAGAGTTGTTTAAAGTAGATATTAGTCCTATCTACAAAATATCTTCACATCTAGTGTGTGACCAAAAAAAGACACGTTATTTGTCTTAATCTAGCCAAATTGATGTGTAATATTCATCATCACAGAGTATTTACTTAGAAGTAAAATTGTGAGCTCAAAAAATGACCATATATTCAAATAGGTGTCACATGTGCTATTGCAAATTCAAGCCAAAATTCTCATAGAAACACTATATTTGCCATGAGGAAAGCAATTTTGAGGGCAGCAATGGTCAGCAAAGACTGATAACAACTCCAGAGATGGTTAAAGGAATGATGTATGATCTGATGAAATTATACCATTCATAAATGTGAAAATTTGTTCATTAATGGTTATTATTGTTACTTGAATATTGCAATTAACAGGAGAAACACACTTTAATTATGCCAATTTGATTATCAAAGAAAACCTGGAAAAGTTGAATTATCCTCTTTACTTTTGATCATAATTATTGAATGACATAATCTTTCTAATTGATTTTTTAAACTGTAATAGCAAATAAAGACTTAGAAAAATGTGAAAAGTGCATTGCCTTTCAGTAATCCCTGGTGTAATAAAAAAGGTGCTATCAACCCTATAATATTGTTAGGACTTTTCCATTTCCTTAATGTTTTCTTATTTTGGCATTTATTCCCCAAATTTATTGAGAGCTAAGTGGAAATTCCCACTGATAAGCTGCAATTTAGACATGAAAAGAAAAGGTGTCATCAAATGTCCTTCACAACCAAAATTCCAATCAAATGAAATCTTATTAAAATGAAATATTTAGCCTTCATTTTGAGATATATTAGGCATTTAAAGTACTAGTTAATTGCATAAATATGAACAAGGGGGTGCTGAGATCCTTTTGAGAATTATCACATTATACCATCAAAAGGAACATGATTTGCTGCCTGAATGTATTTTCTATCTGAAACCACAAATAATGACTTTGGAGGGAATACAAAAGGACTTAGAGAGTGAACTACAAGACTACCCATGTTTTTCCACAACTTCAGTACTCTCTTTGGTTTTTAGTTTTTGTTTTGCTTTCAAAGAAAATAATTGGATTTGTCATTTAAAATGTGGGGTTTATAAGTTTGCATATGAAGATGTTTTCAAAGGTAAAGAGCTTTTAAGAAATAAAAGATTTTCCAGTTTTCAGGTGCTCTTAGACTGTTTCCCTTATTTGCTAATAGGAAATCAGTAGCTTTAATTTCAACTTTTACTAAGAAGCACTACAATAGAAAAATTTTTTAAAAATACAATGTTCTTCAGTGTCATTCAATTTCCTGATTTTCCTAGTGCTCCTTGTTTTTGCTGTCACAATGCTAATTTCGTTTTGTATTTTTTTCAGCTTATTGTGATTTTTTTTACAAGTTGAGGCTGCTACTGTACTATGAAGGGCTATAGGTTAGACATAAATATATTACATCTTGAGAATCCAGTTACCTTAACAAATAATTTACATTAAAATGTTTTAGGTGACATTTCACCAGCAACAAAATGTAAAAATAATTTTATGAGAAATTTAAGGTGTTTTGGGCAGAATTCTCCTCTAAAATGGGTTGAGACGTTGAAAAGCGATGCAGGAAGTCTAGTGTTCTCTTTGGAGTGTTAGTTTTCAAAAGGAAAAGACAGTAAAAATCAACGCTATTTCTAGAAATAAAGCAATATTTTATGAGTCTTAACCATAAAGGGAAAAAATTAAAATAATCGCTTGACTTAACTTTACAGAGAAAGTCATCAATTTCTAAAATACACTCCTCTATCTCCACATAAAACATAGCAAAACCTGTCTAGTTACCCTAACCACTCTTATTTTAAAGCATATGCTTTATGATTGACTTAAAGGCATTATTTATAAACTTATTTATATTATTTATTTAAAATGTAGCATTTACTAAATTTATATCAATAACTTATCATAGGTTATTCAATATTCATTAAGTAATTTTATTATCATGGATTTTTAGTGACTTTTTTCCCTTCCAATAAACTCAGATGAATCGAAAGTTCACAGTGTCCCTTGCTCTTTATCAGCAGTTAGGGAGTTAACAAAATCACACTAGTTAATGAATTTTCCTTAAGGTCATAAATATAAAGTAAAATGCACAAATCAATTGTTCAAACTTCCAAAATATCACATCTAATACAACTTGTATAGAGTTATATGGAGGCTACATAATTTCTTATTTCTTTTGAACTTTAAAGTTCTAGGGATATTCCTCTAACGCATATGTTTCTGTATTCTAAATCTATTTCCAGCTTGTCTAGAGTGGGAATAGTGCCTAAGAATCTAAAGACCAAACTGGGACCACAGAGAGGGAAAGAACATGTCCCTCCTGTTTGTCAGTTTTCTCTCATATTGCATGTATGTCCCATATGTTACACTCTGCTGCCCACAGGCAAGGAAGAAATAATGTTTATACTCCTGAGGGAATTTTAAATGCTGTTTCAAAGAATTTCTTTTGTATCCTGCCACCAAACTATCACAACATATGCAGTTCCAGTTCTATTTTTCCCACTAGAAAACCATCACTATGCTGGAGTGGATAATATAAACTCTATTCCCTTAAAATCACTAGAATTCTTAATCATTTCTCATCATCATTCTGGCTAGTTGTTTTATACTCCTATTTGAAAAATACTTTTCTAGTATAACTTGAGCAGAAAAATCATAGCAGAAAAGAGAAAGTCAATCTCTACTAAAAGGAATTTACTTTAAGACAGGCAAAGGCCCATCAGGTTCTTATCTCAGCAGGACACATATCTCATCCTCAGTCTCAGTACACTTTGGATGTGAATGCTTTGGTCACCTCATCTAGGAACCATCAGATAAAATGGCCTTTTGGTGAACATTTGATTTGTCGAGAGAATTTCCTCCTAATTCAAGAATATCTTTGAAAATCTTGAGATAACTAATTATTGATTTGTATGAAATATTTTTAGTGAAGCGCACCTTAGATAAACAACCAATCTTTAATACGTTCAAGCCTAGAGCCCTGAAAAATGACATTTTTTTTTTTTTGCAGTTGGAAGGCAGGAAGACACAATGCCTAACAGCCAAGTAGTAGCATTGTGTCTGATTAGAACATTTTTTTTCTGCTTATTTGCCCGTTATAGGCCCTTTTTTAGTAACAATGAACTAGTCACTATAGAAAGGAAAGATTTATTATTATGTGACATTCTAGAAAAGGCAAATCTAAAAGGAAAGATTTATTATTATGTGACATTCTAGAAAAGGCAAATCTAAAAACTATTATACCAATAGTTGCCACATTCTTGGAGTAATGTAGGAAAAAAGTAATGCAAAGGGTAATGAAGACCCTGTTTCGGACAATGGAAATATTTCTCATTTTTATTTTGGTGGTGGTTACATTATTGTATAAGTTCATTAAGATTCAGTAAATTGTACACTTTAAAAGGACTGAATTTTACGTTATATATTACTAAATAAACAAAAAGGGAAGATTTGCAAAACTTCAAACTTATAATAATGGAGGGCTCCAGCTGTGTGGAATTAAAATAGAGAAATATTAGACTAGATTGGGTGCATTCAGGGTGGTAGGGCTATAGTAGAGATTTGATCTTTATGATTTGTGATACATATCACCTAATAAAATGGTTGATAGAATGTCAGGAATCACATCCTGTGTTTTAAAAATTTAGTGTAAAAGCCTCGTATAGAGCATGAAAAAAAATGTGCAGAATGTGTGCATGCCTATACACTTTGAATTATCTCCTTAGATGTGTCTGGATTTTGGTTTGCCTTCTTAGCCCATTGTGCTCACTCCAGTAATACAATATATAGATTATTCATGGCTGCCAAGCTGGCCTGCTAACACTATAGATTTAAGCAGGTTTGCTGAGCTTCCCTTTTGTCTTCTTATTCACATGAAGACCCACTGCACTCCTGTTCATTAATTTGAGGGAAGAACAACAGCAGGCTGTTTCTTATTCTTCCCTTCAGTTAGATGTAACTGGTCTTACGAACACAGGAAAGGCCTATTGCAGACTCTACTCATGATAAGCTTGAAACTACAGATTGTGCAGTCAAGTTGTTGACCCAAAGAATGTGGAATATGGTTTTAGGCAAGACCTAGGCATGTATGCTTCTCCTGTGCAACTAGGGGTCGTGGTTGAGCATTGAATCTCCCATGATTAAAGATGAGTGCTCCTCACTCAAATGTTTTTAGATTTTAGAGCTCAAGGGGAATAATTTGTCTGTTAGGGGTAATGAGCAATTTGTTTTGCAGCTTGGTAAATTGGCATGCTTGGTTCTTCAATTAGTATGTAAAGTTTTGTATTTGCAGCATTTACATTTAATGTTTAGCCCATAGGTTTCTGAATCTGAAAGGGTCACAACAATTCTCTGAAAGCCACGGACACCATGTGAATGATTTAAACTCAGTGAGTGACCTCAGCATGTCAGTTATTAATTGATATGAACACATTTGCCTTTTGGGGATGTGACTTTGGGATTGGTGCTAGCTTGAACTTGGGTTCATTGTTTATAATACCTGCATTTGTGCTTTAAAAAAGGATCTAGAAATTTCACATATGGTGACATGTCAAATATGTCACAGTAGGTATGGTATTGGTACCCTATGGTTGGAAGGCACTAGTGTGAGGCTGATTAGTCTATCCAACAGGTACCTCTTCTTTGAGACCTTTCTGTATCCTTCTCTCTCCTATAAGCCTGAGTCCTTTGGCCATAGCTAAATGATTTCATTCTTTTCAAATCATCTAGGTTGAGCCAATCAGGCTTTGTCTTACTAATTTTATATGTTGAAAATAGATATCAAGACTGAGTGATTATCTGCTAAGTCTCCTTAATGCCATTTTTTTTTCTGGGGTGGGGAGGGGAAATTGTATATTGTATTTAAAATACCACCTGTTAAATTTTCCTGAGCGACTCTCTTCTCTTTGCCTAAGAAATGTGTTTGCTGATTTGGTTCTGCATTTTGTAAAATACTCGTGTTCTTACAATAAAAGTTGTTTGATGGAGAAAGATAAAATAAAATAGAGAAATATTAGAGAGAATCTTTAAGATAATTTAATTATGTAAATTAAGTTGGCATATGGATTCAAATTTTTCAATCTGCAGTTAATTGCTGATTTCAAGTCAAAGTAAAGATGTCACATATATGTTTAAGTGATATTTGGTCATCAGTGACTATCCACAATTAGAATGGGGCAGAATTAGATCATGTTTGAAACTATGCTCTTTTTTGTTTGTTATCATTGTTTGTTTTTAAAGAACATATGCTTATGTGTATATCTACAGAGAACCTGAAAGACTGTGCTCCCAAGACTTGCTAAATGCTGATTACTCACAAAAGTCTCATTCAGAATAATGAGAGAATTTTAAAATACAAGTACTAAACTGTTCTCAATAAACTTTGGGAATTGCCTACAATGTATCAGACATATTTTGTGTATACCATATATATTATCCCTATTTTTAAAAATTATGAAAAGGTTAAATTACTTACCAAAATGAAGATAGTAAATATAAGAAGTAAAGCTGTACTACCTACACAGAGTAAAGACAAGCAAGTAAGGAAATAACAATGAATATAGTCACACAAAAGGAGGAAAGGAGTGTCAAAAGACAAAATTATAACAAATTTTGTTTAAAAATCTAATTGGCTTTTATTTGTTATTCCAGAGTCGGGCAACACCACATTCTATAAATTAGAATGAGTGTTCCAATGAGCTGAGCAGGGGAAGCTGGCTTTATGGGCAGAAAAGGGCTGAAGAGACAGAAACAGGAAACGAAAAGTAGATTGGTAATTTCAAAGTGACTTTCCTTACAGCGTTAAGACAGAGTGGGAACTATTTCTGTTATGTTGACGTAGGCTGACGGGAATATCCAGATTTTTTTCTGAAAACTGGCCCATTTTAAAGTTCAGCTTGATTATATATACTTAGCACAAATTACTGCATTCTGTTTGGTCTGGTCTTCAGGAGCCTAGTGCAGGAGGCTGGTCCAAAACAATGTCCTCCCATAGTTTTTTTTTTTTTTTTTTTTTTTTTTAACAGGAGAAAAAGAAATAAGGCAGGAACAGTGTAGGAAAGAAGAAAACAAAAGTAAAAGAAACCAACAAAGAGAGAAAGGAAAGGAGAATGGAAGGAAGAGAAAAAAAAAGAAAATGTGATAATTTATTCAACAAACTAAGTAATGTATATCCAGTTGACTTCAAAACTAATAACCCTTTCCACCCCTCTCTGTAGCCTCACAGCAAGAGGTGACCCAAGAATGATACACAGAAATTATTAAAATTTCGAGAAAAGAAGACAAAGGAGTATAAAAACTGTAAAAGTTAATTGTTACATGTAAAAATTCTTAGAATAATGTCCTGGCACATAGTAAATAAAAGTAAAAGCTTTTTTTTTTTTTTAAACGGAGTCTCACTTAGTCACCCAGGCTGGAGTGCAGTGCGCAATCTCAGCTCACTGCAACTTCTGCCTCCCAGGTTCAAGTGATTCTCCTGCCTCAGCCTCCCTAGTACCTGGAATTATAGGCAGCCGCCACCATGCCCAGCTAATTTTTGTATTTTTAGTAGAGACCAAAAACTTGTTTTAATTGATTAGTAATTATAGTAAGAAAAAGAAATGGAATATCATTTTCTAAATGTCAAAAAAATCAATGCTACAACAAAATACCTAATAAAAATTGATTAGTGATTAGTGAATGGTGAAAAGAGGAGAATTCACATTTGTGTGTCTGAAAGTGTGATCTGTATATGAATATACACATGGAATACACACAGACGACCAAATCGTTGTTCTCTTCAATATTTTTAAATGGCTTGATGGAGTGATTTGATAACTGATATATGTGGAATTTTGTCCCCCCAAATAATATGTTGAAGCCCAAACTCTCAATGTGATTTTATTAGAAGACAAAGCTCTTAGCAGATAATTAGGTTTGAATGAGGTCATAGAGGGGATCTTAAGTTGATAGAATTTAGGGCTTTATAAGAAGAACGAGAGAGAGAGATTTATCTCTCTTTTTGCATGCATACAGCATGGTAAGGTCAAGCCAGTATGTAAGTCAGAAGGCCACCCTCTACAAGCCAGGAAAAGAGACTTCACCAGGAACCAAATTGGCCAGTCCCTTGATTTTGGAATTCCCAGCCTCTAGAACTGGGGGAAGTAAATTTCTGTTGTTTACACCACTCAATTTATGATGTTCTTGTTATGGTAGCCTGAGCTGATTAAAACAATGGCAAATTGATCAAACTAATTGCTATTTCTATTAAGTTCTGTATCTGTATCAGATAGTTTGCTGGATACTGGAAATAAACTATGTATTTTAATTATCATAAAAATATATGAGATTGGTATTATTTTTATCCTTTTCTCGGATTAAGAAACTGAAGCATAGGAGAGATTAAATAACTAGCTCAAGTTACAGGGCTAATATGTAGCAGAGCCAGTCCTCAGTTCTTGCATTTTGAGATCTGTATTTTTTTCTAAATAGTTTCTTCTGAAGATGGAAACAGATGCTGAGTCCATTGAAAGATACAGATCCTTTCCAGAACAAACAAAATATCAAAAACAAACACAATAATATGAAAAATATAGGAGAGAAATGCAAAGTGTATAAAGAAAATATATGTGAAAACATAAAGCATGAGTTCCACAGAATGAAAATCAGGAATCTACTTTTACCAAGTAGTGTAGCCTGGCAAAACTGAACATGATGAAGAAAAATGGTAACAGTGCTTAAGAGTACAGTTTTTTATAGTACTGTCTAATCAGAATACACCCCAGAGATAACCCTAGCACAAATCTAAACTACCCCATTTGAAAAGCTGTTCCATTCTAATGTATAGATATATAGTGCTGGGTCTGGAAGTTGCAGAGATAATTTTCTAGGAGATCTATGTATCCCTAACTCAGATAAAATCAGTAACTGTCTACATGATGGTGAGGATTTAGATAATCCTGTAGCTCTCACTGGTATATATCATGACCATACTAACTTCCTTCTTCATATTTTATAAAAATGCACTGTTTGATATACTCTATTGCTGTTTATGGCTGCTTTATGTCAATCTAAGCTATCATTGACTTTTGTCAACAGAGTGGTCATGCAGAAAGAAAGGAAGAACAAAATGGAGGAAATAAAGGAGAAAACTAAATAGGAAGAGAGAATAGGAAGAAAATGAATAAAGAGAGAGAAGAAAGAAGAAAGGAAGGGAGGAAGAGAGAGGAAAGCAAGTAGGAAGGGAGAGGGAAGAAGACAAATGGATAGGGATATAACAGGCAAGACAGAATGGGAAAGGTGGGATTTACCATTAGCACATGTGAACAAGCTTCAGGGAATTTTAGTTAAAAACAAATGTAAACTTATTACCATGAATCTAATAAGAATTCAGTTGCATTTGTTGAAATACAGAGTTCAAATTAAGAAAGTTGTTAATCACAATATATTTAATTTTGTGCATAACCTGCTTTATTTGAAAACAGCCCCGACACAAGGTAGACTATGATGATGAGAGTCAAAAGCGAGAAGAGAAAAAATGAGAATGATTAGCCCAGTGAAATAAAGATAGAAGAGAAAAATGAAAGCTATCTTCAAACATTTAAGGAATATAAAATGTTGATATTCACAGTAATCATTTTATTCAATGTCCAAGAGGATGGGGAAGACAAATTTCAACTTAGAAAATTAGATATTAGAAAATCAACTTAGAAAATCAATATTAGAAAAGTATTTTAATATATAATTGTTATGCAAAATGTAGTACAATGCAGTAGATAGAGTGTTATTAGCATTTAAAAAATATTCTAACAGTGGTTTATTAAACTATAGAGGAAATGATCTAACTCAATTATGAGAATATAACTGATATAAAATAATATTAAAGTATTATTGGAAAGTTCAGAAGGGTTTAAAAATATGTATTTTAACAGAAAAATAATCCATAACACATCAATAAAAATCAATTGAAAAATTGAATGCTGAAAAGAAAAGAGACCTATTGCTTTTATTTGCTGAAACGAAAAACATGAGCAAAATTTTAAACATTTGGTTTGGTTGAAAAATTTTATTCCACAATCGATTTCTTTGTCTGTAAAATTTAGATGACTCTGATATTCATACTAAAAGTGATGTTTTTCATAATGGAAGTTCATGATAGATAGATGTAGAATTGCTTACATAAGTTGTTAAAATTTGCATTGTATAGATTGATATACTTAGGATCCTTGAGCATTCATCATTTCAAAGATTCCCTAGAAAAGTTGTTTGTAATATTGATTACTATAATGAATAGTTTTATATACTATATAGTTTAATATGCTAATTGACTGCTTATCTGTTGAATTTTTTCCAAGTACTTCCACTTCTTACCCCAAAGTATACCATAATTCTATGTCTACTTCAGATTTTATATTGACATCAGTATCAACTCTGGGCTAAATGTTAAGTTACCATCAAAATATACTTTAATCTAGAAACAGGTTGTATTAGTTTTTTTTCATGCTGCTAAAAAAGACATAACCAAAACTGAGAACAAAAAGAGGTTTAATTGGACTTATAGTTCCACATGGCTGGGGAGGCCTCAGAATCATGGCAGGAGGCAAAAGGCAATTCTTACATGGCCGCGGCAAGAGAAAAGTGAGGAAGAAGAAAACGTGGAAACACCTGATTAACTGATACGATCTCCTGAGACTTATTTACTGTCATGAGAATAGCATGGGAAAAACTGGCCCCCATGATTCAATTACCTCCCCCTGGGTCCCTCTTGCAACACGTGGGAATTCTGAGAGAAAAAATTCAAGTTGAGACTTGGGTGGGGACACAGCCAAACCATATCATTCCATCCCAACCCCTCCAAATCTCATGTCCTTACATTTGAAAATCAATCATGCCTTCTCAACAGTCCCCCAAAGGTTTAACTCATTTCAACATTAACCCAAAAGTCCACAGTCCAAAGTTTCATCTGAGACAAGGCAAGTCCCTTCTGCCTATGAGCCTGAATATCAAAAGCAAGCTAGTTATTTCCTAGATACAATGGGGGTACAGGTATTGAGTACATATAGCCATTCCAAATAGGAGAAATTGGCCAAAGCAAAGGGGTAAGAGGGCCCATGCTAGTCTGAAATCCAGCAGGGCAGTCAAATCTTAGAGCTCCAAAATGATCTCCTTTGACTCCAGGTCTCACATCCAGGTCATGCTGATGCAAGAGGTGGGTTCCCATAGTCTTGGGCAGCTCTGCCCCTGTGTCTTTACAAGGTACAGCCTCCCTCCTGGCTGCTTTCATGGGCTGGCATTGAGTGTCTGAGGCTTTTCCACGTGCACGGTGCAAGCTGTCTGTGTATCTACCACTCTAGGGTCTGAAGGATAGTGGCATCTTCTTCTTACAGCTCCATTAGGCAGTGCCCCAGAAAGGACTCTATGTGGGGATCCGACCCCGTATTTCCCTTCTGCACTGCCCTAGCAGAGGTTCTCCATGAGGGCCCCACCACTGCAGAAAACTTTTGCCTGGGCATCCAAGCATTTCCATACATCTTCTGAAATCTAGGCAGAGGTTCTCAAACCTCAATTCTTGACTTCTGTGTACCCACAGGCTCAACATCATGTGAAAGCTGCCAAGGCTTGGGGCTTCCACCCTCTAAACCCAGAGCCCAAGCTCTACATTGGCCCCTTTCAGCCATGGCTGGAGTGGCAGGAACACAGGGCACCAAGTCCCAAGGGTGCACACAGCACAGGGAGCCTGGCCTGGCCCACAAAACTGTTTTTTCCTCCTGGGCCTCTGGGCCTGTGATGGGAGCGGCTGCCATGAAGGTTGCTGACATGGCCTGGAGACATTTTCCCCATGCTGTTGGGGATTAACATTAGTATCTTTGCTACTTATGCAAATTTCTGCAGCCAGCTTGAAATTCTCCTCAAAAAATGGATTTTTCTTTTCTACTGCATTGCCAGGCTGCAAATTTTCTGAAATTTTATGCTCTGTTTCCCTTTTAAAATGGAATGCTTTTAACAGCACCCAAGTCACTTTTGAAGGCTTTGCTCCTTAGAAATTTCATCTGCCAGATACCCTAAATCATCCCTGTCAAGTTCAAAGTTCCACAAATCTCTAGGGCAGGGGCTAAATGCTGCCAGTCTCTTTGCTAAAACATAACAAGAGTCACTTAACAAGAGTCACCTCTGCTCCAGTTCCCAACAAGTTCCTCATCTACATCTGAGACCATCTCAGCCTAGAATTGTTCATATCACTATTTTTGTCAAAGCCATTCAACAAGTCTCTAGGAAGTTCCAAACTTTCCCACATTGTCCTGTCTTCTTCTGACCCCTCCAAACTGTTCCAACCTCTGCCTATTACCCAGTTCCAAAGTTGCTTCCACATTTTCAGTTATCTTTTCAGCAACATCCCACTACTGGTACCAACTTACTGTATTAGTTTGTTTTCACACTGCTGATAAAGACATACCCAAAACTGGGAACCAAAAGAAGTTTAATTGGACTTACAGTTCCACATGGCTGGGGAGGCCTCAGAATCACAGTGGGAGGCGAAAGGCACTTCTTACATGGCAATGGCATGAGAAAAATGAGGAAGAAGCAAAAGCAGAAACCCCTGATAAACCCATCAGATCTCATGAGATGTATTCAGTATCACTAGAATAGCACAAGAAAGACCAGCCACCATGATTTAATTACCTCCTCCTAGGTCCCTCCCACAACATGTGGGAATTTTGGAAGATACAATTCAAGTTGACATTTGGCTGGAGACACAGCCAAACCATATTCAGGTGTAATCTGAAAATGTGAATAGTATCGTATTGAAAAAAGCAAATAGCAGGCAAATAGGTTGAATCTAAAGATTCAGGAGAAAATCAGAAAACAGAATCTTATAAAGGTGAAATCATAAAGATCACAGCAGAGTTGAGGGGCATTGGTCAAGAAGTTAGGGATCTATGAGTCAAATAAGCTAGGCATTATTGAGAAACATACTGGCCAAAAAATTAAAAAGCTGAGGACATGACTGATAATGAAATGACAAGCTAATTTTTATATTAATATGAGTATCTTAAGATTAATTTAATGGTTTCATAACAAGAGTTTTAAATGTGTTTCTCCCTGCACCCAAATCTAAAGGCAAGCAGTCATTAGCTTAACTAATCACCACAATGGGATCAGCAGGAATCTCTGATTAAGGGAGAACAGTTTGGGAGGAAGATTTCTGCAGACTTACTTAACTACAAATAAAACTAGTAACAATAAAAATGTGATGAATAAACAAAATGTGTTAGGGCAAGAAATGCCATTTTAATCTGAGAATAGCAAAAGCAGGGAGGAGAAAAAAGTCAACATTCTGCTTACAATTAAATTCTCAGCATAAATGTGAACATCCATGCCCTCGGTCAAGGAACATAGAGATTACAAATGCTGCACCCAGCCAATATGCTCTATGCAAATTATCAACTTAATCTTCTATCAATGTATTTACTATAATTTCATTTTATTTTCATATTCTCACATCATCATAAAAAATGTGAAATTATTTTTCAATAATAAGTAAAATCAGCCAGGCGCAGTAGCTCATGCCTGTAATCCCAGCACTTTGGGAGGCCAAGGCGGGCGGATCACAAGGTCAGGAGATCAAGACCATCCTGGCTAACACGGTGAAACCCTGTCTCTACCAAAAATACAAAAAATTAGCCGGGCATGGTGGTGGGCACCTGTAGTCCCAGCTACTCGGGAGGCTGAGGCACGAGAATGGTGTGAACCCAGGAGGCGGAGCTTGCAGTGAGCCAATATCGCGCCACTGCACTCCAGCCTGGGTGACAGAGTGAGACTCTGTCTCAAAAAAAAGTAAAATCAACTTCTACATTATTAGTAGTAAGTGAATATATATTTGAATGCCTATCCCTAATAGGCTAGAATTTTTATTTAATTTTAAATTATAAATCCCATCTTGTGGGCTAATCACAATATAAGTATCTGTCCTTATAATCATGAAATGTAAAGCTAAGGTTCATATGGAAATGATTAGTAGAAAGGGATATAATCGAAAATATATTATATTAGACACTGTAATCACAGGATTTGTTTTCACAAATCCCTTTTCAGCATAGTAATTATTTTATGAGTAATACTTTACTTTTTCTCCATAAATCCTTTTAGCATATGTATTATATTAAATATAGGGTGTTGGTGACATAGAGAATAAATCACTCATTTTATGATTTCTATATGTATAAAAAGTTTATGCCCCACCTCTATTTCTTAGATATTGGGTGAAATCTAATAATTATTAAGATATTTCTGTTCTACTTTGCAAGCTTACTTGAAAAAATTTCTGTGAATGTTTTGAGTTCATTTTCAAAATTTTTTGTTTATGTACACATTGAAAATTGTTCTTGTTATTCTATTAAATGTTTTCTACATCACTTATGGTTAAAGATAGTGAAAACACATCATACATCTTTAGAAATATCATAGATTAGTATGAGAATATCCTAGGGAAGGTAATGCCATCAGAATATCTATTTTCATACTGAGTATCATCATTACTTTCTCAATTAGACTGCCCAATTGCTTTTCATTTCACTTGCATCCTCTTCTCTGTTGCTGAGAATTTCCCAGTAGCTGTAATCTTCTGCTAAGAGCTACACTTAGCATAAATGTTTCTTGAGAGAGTTGCAGGTCAATTTCATTTATTAGTAAGCTGGTATTCTGACACAAATTTTACCAACCAAAGCACATAGGGAGAAGAACAGATAGTGAAATGGCAATGGGTCAGATATACTGACCTGCTTCTTCACTGTTTACTTTTATCTCTTTGAGTTTGGGGAAATTACATAACTTTAAATGGTGCTTGCTACATAGTAAGCTTTTGATACATATTCCTTAATTTAGTAAATTAATGAACTGTCACTTAATACATAAGAAATATGATCTCTTCTTACCACTTCAGTACATACTAGATAAGAAAAATAAAACAGCAAATATAATTTGGCCTCACCCTAAAAAAGGATTATATAGAACACACTATATAATATCATCAATATTTTAATGTCATTGCTAAAATTCACAACATATAAGAAATTATTCTTATTTATAAAAAATCAGAATATCCTTAAACTATTAAAGGAGGAAACACACAAGCATGCCATTAATGTAATGGATATATTTTTATTTATTATTTTTAATATTCCTTCCAGTGATTGACATGTACATATTTTACTTTATGATAAATATCTATAGAGTCAAATTGCCAGATACGTTTCTGAATATATAGGGATATATAAGATGAGGAGCTCACAAAAATTGTATGCAAAACAGAAAAAATAGCTAATTACATTTTGGTAAGTATTGGGACATATGTATGCACAGGGACTCCCTTACATATGCGAAAGTTACACAAAATAAGAGTTTGGGAAGGTGTACAAGACTATGTTTGTGCTGAATCCTGAATTGGATTATCAGTAACCCAGGTAAACAAAGTTGCAAAGCAATGGAGTAGTGAAATAAAGGATGTTCCAGAAAGAACATACGATCCTGTATGGAAATGTACAAGAGCTCACACTATTTAGGCCTATGTGAAATGTGAATAAGTTTGAGAAAGTGATGAGAGATTAGGTTTGAGAAACAAGCTAGAGAAGTCATGGAGAATGTGTTAGGTTAGATTAAAGCAATGATTCTCAAAGTTTGGTTCCAGGATCAGCTATATTGGCATCACTAGGAAACTTGCTAGAATTGCACCTTGCCGGGGTTCACCCAAAACTACTGCATAAGAGACTCTGGAAAATAATCCCAGAAAATTATTTGTTTTTCTTTGTTTGTTTTGAGACGGAGTCTCCCTCTGTCACCAGGCTGGAGTGCAGTGGCGCGATATCGGCTCACTGCAAGCTCTGCCTCCAGGGTTCACGCCATTCTCCTTTCTCAGCCTCCCGAGTAGCTGGAACTACTGGCGTCCGCCACCACGCCAGGCTAATTTTTTTTTTTTTTTTTTTTTTTTTTGTATTTTTAGTAGAGACGGGGTTTCACCATGTTAGCCAGGATGGTCTCAATCTCCTAACCTCGTGATCCGCCCGCCTCGGCCTCCCAAAGTGCTGGGATTACAGGCATGAACCACCGCACCCAGCCAAAATTATTTAGGTGATCCTGATACCTATTAAAGTTTGAGAACTACCACACTAAAATGTTTGGTATACGTTTGACATTACAAAGCCACGTACTTACAAATCTGAGAGAGAATCCTGAATATGTAAACTCTAGAATAATCCTTTGGCAGATTCACCAGAAGAAGACATAAATAAAAACAAAAGAATGGATTTAATAATATTTCATTGGTCCATGTGAGAACTGATGAGGTTCTGAAATAATGTACTAAATACATTTAGATAGAGGATTGAGTGGATTTAAGAGAAATTTAGGATGTAAAAGCAATGTTTGAACAGGCAGACAGAAGGATAAGGTAAAGGAAGGAATTTTAATTGATTTCTAGTGTTCTAACCTTGCAAACTAAGTAGACCAGTCATATTATTAAGGCAATTATTTAATATATATACTCTCAAGTACTATTTGCATATATCATCAATTTACATATTCTTTTTTACAAAGACTTCAAAAACTTGATTATATCGTACATTTCTATACATTCTTTGATTTAAGGCAAATGTATCTACAATAATTTAGGTGACAACTGAGTTTCTCATTTATAGAAATTTATGCTATACATGGCAATTCTATTTATCAGCAGATATATTGAAATCATTTCTGTGGACATTCTCATATAGAAATTTATGCTATACATGGCAATTCTATTTATCAGCAGATATATCTTGAAATCATTTTTGGTGACAAATGAAAGTGATTATTAATTTTTATATTCATTAATTCCAAATACCAAGCAGGCTAAATGCTAAATTAACATTCTTTCAAAGTCACTGAACTAATGTGAGTTCTAAGCTTACCGAAGAAAATATAAATACGAGTGAGTACCAAATAATGCATTTTCTTCTTTATCTTTTGTTTCTAAAATAACAAATTTATTTTTACCTCTCAAACTTTTAAAATCAGTGATACCACTTTAATCCTAAGATGAAGTTTTATAAAGCTTGTTTTAATATCACTTCATTAAGAATGTTTTGATATTGGAATTACTGATGTTTTGACAATGAGTGGAGCTACATACTAAAGCCATAAAAATAGAAGAGAGCAATAAATGGTAGAACCTTAAATAATGCTTGGATTTCAACAATAGGAAGAGGGGCACAAGTCAATGATAACACATGTATTAGTGATGTTCACCAAGTGCTAAAAATGCCATATGCATTATCACATTTAACCTTTCAGTAAGCCATTAATTAGGGGGCAATATTTATTATCTAAATTTTGCACATAACACAACAAAATTAAGGCTTCCATCACTTGCGCAATTCACACAACTGTTAAGATTAAAACAACTGGAGTTTGTATACAAATGTTTCTGCTTCTGAGTCCTTAACAACCATTTGTTATTGTCTTGCAAAAAAATAGGAAAAAGAAGTGACTAGGGAAGTACATACAGACTAAGGTAAATTCCGTGCAATAATAAAATCAAGGAAAATAGAAATATCAAAAATGAAGATGCATTTAATTCAGTTTTTTATTCTGTGTGTGTGTGTGTGTGTGTGTGTGTGTGTGTGTATGTGTGTGTGTGTCTTTTTTGGTAAGAATAACCTACTTTTAATTTCACTGTAAAAAGCACAGATCATGGCATTTGGGGCATTTACTAAATACTGTGCTACTGGCTATTTTCCTTTCTCTATGTGAATGTGACAACATTGCATTAGCTGGACACAGAATGACAGTATTAAATGTTAAAGACAACACAGTGATATCACAGGACAAGCAAGCTTGGACATAAAAAAGAGAGAAAGAAGGAAAAACCCAATACAATTCTAGAGATCATAAAACTATGTAGCTCTCAAAAATGAAATGTAAAGTCATGAATGCGAAAAAGACACATATTAGAAATATAAGTGAAATCCCCATCCCTTTTTTTCAGTCCAAAACTATATTTACAAAAAATTTATCCCAGCGTAACACATCCCACACATACATTTATGTAAAATTTTGTTAAACTATATATTTCCCTATCAAATGAATAACAAAGTGTTCCACTGTTTGAAAACAACACTGGGGAAAGTCAAATAAAATATTGGATTACTATTTTTGATCAAAAGTATATTTTTGGAAATGCAAATAAATGTGATATATTTATAATTGTGGAAAATATTGTGGCTCATTGCGACCAATTCCTGCTGATCTGTTGCATATCATTTTTAAAATAAACAATATTTTGAATAAAAATAAAGTAGTTAATTGAAATATCCTTAAATAGTTGTTCTATTATGGGCATTCCTGCTTGAGGTATGATGATAATTACAACATTCAAATCAGCATTTCTAAAAATATATATCTCTTCATGTAGTAACTGGCAAGAGAGTCATTGTTTTAGCAATCTGCAGAATATATAAATGTTCAATTATAATAAATATAGTTGCCCAATATGAAAATTGCTGATACAGAGTTAAATTAAGTGTTCTTAGTAATGAAAATCACTTTTAGGTGAGGGATAACAGGAAGCTCTTCTAAGAAATATATGAATCCCAGTTAGGTTATTCGGTCTCTTGCCAAGTGATTTAGCACTGTGATCACAATTTAGCCCAGCCTGAACTGGAAGTCTCTTGCAGAACGTTAATGCTTGCATTAATGTAGATTTTGCTAGCTAACATTTATCCCTGTGACAGTTTCATATTCAAAATTGTATCTGCATGGCCCTCTATGCATATAATTTTATGATTGTATTTTAAAATGTAATGACTCTATAATTTTATACCTGGAAAAGTCATCAATGGCTCTAATAACTTTAATAAAGTTAATCATTAATATTCATTATTAAAAGGATTTATAGAATACACTGACTCAGAATACTTGGGTTTGGGACTCTGTCAGCAACATTAGAAGTGATCTCATTTTTGTTTTACCATCACTAATCTAAAAAAATTAAGTGCTAATCATTAAAAAACATAATATCTGTAAAGTGGTCTCTTTGCTCTGAGTTGAAACTCTAATTTATACCCTTAGCAAACTTATAGGATGTACAGACAACTGAATAAACACCATAATTCAAAAGTTAAATGAATGATAAATTATATGTGGCATATTTTAGCTCTAAGTGTTCTGGCTGAGTATAGATTCAGTATATGTAATTTATTTGTGAAAATAATTTATTTCTGTATTATGTCTGTATCCCCCATTAAAATAAAAGAAAAAAATGAGTTTTACCTGTTTTAAAAGCTGTTCTATCCCCAGTGACTACCAGAAGACCTGGTATACAGTATTTACACAATATTTGTTAAAATGAAATAAAAATATAGAAATTTTATTGGACAATTATATCGGGTTAACACTGAACAAGTGTTTTCAGTATATTAGTTTGACTATTATCCAATTATGTAGATGAAGAAATTTAGCTTGGTGAAAATAATATTTCCCAGATAAAACAAGTGGCTGAACCTATGTTAATTTTTTTGGTTTCTGAGTAAAATAATAATTATTATGTCCATGATAATAGTAGCTGAGATATATATTACTAAGTGCCAGATCCTGTTCTCAGATGTGTACTCATATTACTTCATTCAATTCATATAACAACCTCCTGAGATACATAGAATATTACTCTAATTGTACCAGAGGAGATATTGAGGAAAGGTTCAAAAGAAATGTTATGGTAAGTAACCTCCTCATACTCACCACAGGCAGAGAGCTGAAGAGCTGGATTATAAAGCCAGTCTCGCTCAAGGGTTTTTAGCCACTCAACTTTACAGCTTTTCAAGATGTTCATTTCTGTTTATGAATAAGGTGATTGCTTTGTGGGTCTCTAAATTGTTACTGATTGTGGATAAAATAAATTCTAAGGGTGAGACTATCTGGAAATGTGGATTCATTCATCCAAAAAACATTTATGAAGTTTCAGAAGTATGATGTGACTGGGGTTGCAAATCACAAAGGTTGCTGGAATTCATGAGCCAAAGGGAAATTTCTATAATGTAATTATGACTTGGTAATGTGTATTTGAAGCCACACCGTAAAGTAAAATGAACATCAGCCTATAAGGAAAATGTCTGGATTTTAAACCCCGCTGCAATATCAATAGCTATTGAACATCATTAGTTTATCTGAACCTCAGTTTCTTGATCTATTAAATGGAAATTATAAACTCCTGTTATGCTTGTTTTAATGAGCCATTAGAATGGTCAATTCACTTACTATTTGTGAAGGGGTTGTGTACACCAAAGTGCTATGCAAATTTTCAGTGATATCTTAGCTATTTATCTGCATGTTGTATCCCCATGTAAGATAGTAAACATCTTTCTATTTATTTATTTATTTTTTTGAGATGGAATTTCACTCTTGTTGCCCAGGCTGGAGTGCAATGGTACAATCTCAGCTCACCGCAACCTCTGCCTCCTGGGTTCAAGCGATTCTCCTGCCTCAGCCTCCCAAGTAGCTGGGATTACTGGCCAGTGCCACCACACCCAGCTTATTTTGTATTTTTAGTATAGACACGGTTTCTCTATGTTGGTCAGGCTAGTCTCGAACTCCTGACCTCGTGATCCACCCACTTCGGCCTCCCAAAGTGCTGGGATTACAGGGATGAGCCACCGCGCCCAGCCATAAGATAGTAAACATCTTAAGCACAGTGCATCATGGATATTGAAAAGTCTCAGAGTATCCAGCAAGATGCTTCATACTTAGAATGTACCTCAGAGAACAGAATGTCCGGGTATTCAAGTTCAGATATCTTATGATTAAAATATATAACCATTATCCTTTTTCTTTCTTCTCTTTCTTTTCTTTCTTTCTTTCTCACTCTGTCGCCCAGCCTGGGCTCAAGCAATCCTCCGACCTCAGCCTCTCTAGTAGCTCGGACTCCAGGCGCACACTAACATGCCCAGCTATTTTTTCCATTTTTTGTAGAGATGGGTTTTTGCCTTGTTGCCCAGGCTGGTTTCAACCTCCTGAGCACAAGCAATCCACCTGCCTCGGCCTCCCAAAGTGCTGGGATTACAGGTGTGAGCCACTGTGCCCAACCTATATAACCATTATTAAACATAGGAATAATTATTCATCAGGTCTGTTATCTTTGGAAAATTAATTTATTTAACTTTGCATTGCTCATGTCAAAAATAATATTAGTGACTACTTCATTAGCCTTTTACATGACATGAAACAATGTTTGCAAACCAGTTAGCACACAGTACTAATGCATAACATTATACATAGATAATTTAAACAGTAAATAGTCGCTAAAAGAATTAACATTAACAATGTGTTAATGACATCAAAACATAGGATTTCCAAGGAAATCTGCCCTTTAACATAGAACAGGAAGTCTGACAAGACTATCTGAAAGTATCAAGTTTCAAATGACATGATCCTAGGAGGTGAGAGGAACATTTTTGAGCTTTTATGAAAAACACTTAGAATTTCCTAAGTCCAGCTGTTTTCATGAGGATTCTCATAGCATGACAAATTACCCTTTTCTTGCTCAAGACTGTCCCAGTCTCAGCACTAAAAGTGGGTCACGAATGTTCAAAAACTCTGTTCATATAAGAAACCTTTAGCCCAACAACTAATCATACTGTCTCTTCTGCTTTCTGCCACACATCTGGGAGTAAAAAGTTCCCAATCAATTCTTCCATTCTAAATCATATACTGGTTGTTGGAAGAACTAAATTTACATGGGAATGCCTCTGGCCTGGTAATAAATCGCACATGCTTTTTTGTTTGTTTGTTTTGCTGTCTACATTTCCTTTGCTAACCTTTGATATGGGAAATATTTGTAAAATGAGGATACCATTAAATATGCAACACCTTTTTAATATACTTTTCATTCCATAAACTTTTTTAAACATTCTGATTTCTCCATATCTTTTCTCTTTCTGGGCTTTGGTAGTTTTTGAGAGTGAAATATACTCCAGTTTTCCCCTCAAAGGTAAAAGGAAACTCTATCAGAAGAGGTTGATCTGAATTATTGATGTGTATTTTATCTCTATGTGTTCTGTGCCTCTCCGCCTGATTTTTTCAGTCACCTGTGAAGCATCTGCTATATGCTTGGCTCTCTGTTAGGTTGTAGGGAGTAGAGAGATGAATTAATAATGAAACTACACCAATGGAGTACCCAAAGGTAAACAAAATATAGAATAAATTGTTGGATATGTATCTGCTTGTGCAAGAAAAATAAAACAAAATGATTAAATGGAGATGAAGTTTGAACTTGAGTTGCAAAATGAATAACTGTCCTTCAATTAAAATAGATTTGAAGAGTATAAATGATTATTTCTAGTGAGAGATAACTAGATGGTGGCTATAGGACATTCTGATGGTTCAGACAAATGCAAGTGACTTAGGACAGATATAGCATAGGAGAAGAAGAAAGGTAAGACTCAACAAGAAATTGAGCTAGAAGTCTGGCAAGGGCAAACTTATGAAGACCCAAGACATGAAGAAACCCTTGCATGGTTTTTTGCCTTCATCTTTACTGTGCTTGTCTCCTCATTCTTTCATGGTGTCAAGACTTAATAGTTCAAGAGTGGAAACCGCAGAAGAAAGTGATGCATTCTCTCTGCTAACATCACTATTTATTAATGAGTAAGATACTCAGATAATAAGAGATTGAGAAAACTTCTGGCGCCTGAATTTATCAAGAGACTTTGACATGTTTTGGGGGCAGTTTTCCCCCACATTTTTTTACAATCTTATCTCCAACATGAAACTCATTTTAAAAAGTACACAAAGCGATACAAACAATCAAGAACATAGTTATTGATGCTACTTAGATTTCATAAGATTGTACTCAGCCAAGAAGGAAAAGAAGCTGTAATGGTACGGGACCTGGACTACAGCAAAAGAAAAGACTCTTTTGTTTTCTGAAGCAAATATAAAAATATTACCTCAGACACTGCATGTCAGGTCATCTGTATTTACTAAATTCTCACATGGTTTCATCCACTCTTTTTGTCTAGGCATCAGGAACAGTGGAAAACACATAATCACAGTACAACAAAATTAACACCTTTACAACATGATAATCTAATCTACAGATTTTATTAATTTCTCCATTTGTCTCAATAACGTCCTTTACTGAACAGGAAAATTCAGAATTATGCATTGCAGTCAGTTATCCTATTTTAATTTCTTTCAGTCTCACATACTTCCTGAATCTTTCTGGTTTTTTGTTTGTTTGTTTTTTGTTTTCTATCTTTGGCACTGACATTTTTGAAGAGTTCATAGCAGCTTTATACAATATCTCTCAATATGAATTTGGGTAATTTTATGTCATAATAATTTTCTAATTATGGTAACTGAAAAAAATGCTGAATAAGTGATGCTGTACATCATATTGGAAGGCACATGTCTTGATTTGTTTCATTACTGGTGATAATTTCTCAAGAAGTAATTCAGTAATTTAACATGATAACTTTGTAGTTGGGAGTTTAAGTGTCCCAGTTGAGACTAAACTAGAGTTAATTTGACTTGTGCTATATGCGCACATGAAAAGAGACAATTTATACAGATTTGTACTTGAACAAAAGGGATTTATAACTATAAAACAGTGCTATTTTGAATATTTCTTGAATAAATTCTAAATTTATCACAAATGATATTTGATAAAGAGAACACTGACTTTTGAATATTTAAATCCAATTAGTTTTACCATTAAAAGGCATTAGTTGGTCTACCTTCTTATGAAAACTTTTATCATAACACTTAACATACTTGAGCTAGGTTGTGTGCTCACTGGCAGAAGACAGCATACCTTATTCACTATTTGACTCAAGAGGTAGCTCATAGATTTTTTGAAATAAATGTTTTGGTAGAACTTAGTTACGCTTTTAAGAAGATAGTCTTAAATTGAAAATGTTCACTGCTGTGGTTTGAATGGGTCCTCCAAAGTTCATGTGTTGAAATTTAACCTTCAATGCATCAGTGTTGATAGGAGGGACCTTTAAGAGGTGATTGGGTCATGAGGACTCTGCCTTTATGAATCGATTAATATTGTTATCTCAGGAATGGGCTCCAGAGAGTGGACTTTTATAAAAGTGAGTTTGCCCCTCTCTTTCTTGTATGTAACTGTGCTTGCTCTCTTTACTTTAAACCTTCTGCTATGGGATGGTCCTCACCAGATGCAGCCTCTTAATCAATCATGGACTTCTCAGCCTCAAGAACTGTGAGCCAAATAAATTTCTGTTCATTATAAATTGTCCAGTTTGTGGTATTCTGTTATAGCAGCACAAAACAGACTAAGATATTCACTGATTCAGATTAAGCTTTCTCTATTTAGTTTAAACTAATGAGGTTTCATTGTGTTGCCTAATTCAATAAACAATTATTAACCACCATCTACATCAGTGCTTCTCAAAACATTTGTAATAAATACTGTGAACTGAAAAAGAAGAAATAATTTCTGACCTCAACAAATGTACAATTTTGTATGACTATAACTATCATGATTATTGAGTTATTGTCTCATTTGTAAACATTTCTTAGTGGAAATGTGTTTTTCAACACCAAACTTGCCATAGAGTAATTATTGAGTAAATGAGCTTTGTTGATAGAATAAGAAACCTAGTTTTAGGTCTTGTATTTGTGTCTTTCTAGAAGTGTCACTTTAAGCACTTCACATAAACTCAATAGTCTTCATTTCTTCATAAGCAGGGTTGTTGAGAGAACTAAAGTATATGAGATAATTTACCAAAATATAAGGTATATAATTTTAATTCAAAGTCAGCAAATGAAGTTAAATATATTATTTCATAATTATGCATACTTGCCAAATATAAGTTTAATATTTCAAGTTGGCTGTCTTTTACTTTATCGTGTTAATATGAATATTGGTCATCATTTTCATGAGTTATTCTTTTTACATGTTTGAGTTATTTTGCTTTATTTAATTTTTTATGTACGTTATATAATGTGCTGCAGTGATACTTATAGAAGGATAGGAAGGTAAGGATTATTTAGATTTTCACGTATTGTTACACCATATATGTTAAGAAATGTCTAACCATAGTTATTTAATAGACTTTTTTTTTGAGACCTTCTCACTGTCTCCCAGGCTAGAGTGTGGTGACACGATCCCATCTCACTGCAACCTCTGACTCCTGGTTTCAAATGATTCTCATGCCTCAGCCTCCCGAGTAGCTGAGATTACAAGCCTGCGCCACCACAGCCAACTAATTTTTGTAATTTTAGTAGAGATGGGGTTTCGCCATACTGGCCAGGCTGGTCTCAAATTCCTGGCATCAAGCAATCTGCCCGCCTTGGCCTCCCAAGCTGCTGAGATTAAAGGCGTGAGCCACCGCACCCACCCGGCTTAGTAGTCAAATTTTATTCTAGTACATAGTTGTTGTTGTTGTTTGTTTGTTTGTTTTTCCCTTTCAGAAGTAAAATTCAACCTTGGAAATTCTACATCATGTATGGAATCAGTAATAGTTTAGAATTTAAGATGCATTTTATTATCTTAATAATTTTGTAAATGGTTTTCAACCTGTCAAAATATTTTAAATTTATTACAGTTGACTATACTTCTATATATGTGGTCTACTTGTTCCTCAATTTTCAATACATGTAGATAATTTTAGATATGACTCAAAGATAATAAAAGTAACAAGTTGCAGACAGCAAAGTAGCATGCAGATTCTTAAAGCACATTTATTTTCTTGCATACATAGTACACTTTCAAAATTAAGAGCGTGATTTAGACACTGCTTAAATTTTAAATTTGGTGATTTTTACATATGCAATAATCTACAAGCATTTAGCTGTTTCAAATGTTGACATTGATGAAGCCAGGATCAGCTCTACTATGTCCACTAAAATTCTTTCTGTATCACAATTTTATGCACTTAGAAAAACAAATGAAGCTACCCGTTTTATTAATTAAATAATAAATATGAGTTGTCTACCATTACATTTTCTAATTATAGTGTTTTTCATGTCAAAATAAGTTTGAGAAATAGAATATTGTATAAAAATATCAAATATCTCTCATTTATATCATCGTTTTAAATTGATTTCAGTTAAAATTCCATTGGCAATTTTAGTAGCACTTGACAATAAAATTCTCAAAGTGATTTAAATAATAGACCAGCCTATGAAAGCAAAAGGTAATTTGAGAATAATGAAGAAAGAATTGTCCTACCACATACTTGAATATATTGTGAAGCTTCACCTAAACAGTTTCCTTTGTGAACATATGAACAAATGGAAATACTTTGGAAGAAACAAAATGTTTAGCTCATAGACAGACTTTGATATTCATAAGAATATACTGTAGGATAATGTGTTAACAAAATACATGTAAAACAATAAACTGTTCTAAAATTATGCTTAGATTACATGTGATATTAAAAAAGAGAACCCATAATTTATGTGTGTGTGGAATGTTTAATTTTTAAAGAGTATATTAACTACATATATTTGTGATGTTGTCAACAAATGCATTATTTATATCTACATTAATTATTTTATATATGTATTTAGTTGTCTTAATGAATCAGCCCATAATCAATCTAATTATCCTAGCTTAAAACCTAGTTGTTATCATTGAAATCCCCTTTTTTTCTAACTTCCAATAGCCAATATGTGACTAAGGTTTATTCTAAACATCCTTTAAATCTGCCTCATTGTTCCTATCTACCAAATTATCATATTCAAAATTTAATATCATTTTAAACCTGAATGGACTACTCATTTTAACAACCATATGTCCCAGATATTCAATATTCCCTTCCTACATTTTAGCCTAAATGAATTTTTTAGTTCAATGTCAACATTTTATTAAAATCCTTCAATTACTAGCAGAAATTGAGGGATTTTAATAAATCCTCACCACCAGTGGTCTTTTCACGTCCAATCTCATTAAAATGGCCTAAATTGCCCTGCTAAGTGGGCTCCTGCCTTCCTCTCTAGCAACATAACTTGTCTCACCCTCACACTCTGCAACAGTAGCATTTTTTTCAAATCCCCAAGGGTACCGTGCTCTGTGGCCCATCAAACAAATGCACATGCTCCTTCTTCTGCCCATAATTATCTCTGCCCTAATCTTTTTATTCAGAACTGAACTCAAAGTCACTTATTCAGAGAAACCATCCCTAACATGTGCTCATAAAACATCATACACTCTTCCATAGAAAAATTACCAGTTAGAATAGTTTGACTATTTAGTGACTAGTTGATTAATGTCTATCTGTCCCATTAGACTTTAAATCTTATGTACGTGTTATTGCTCAACTTTGCACCCCCATTGCTTGGCAGAGTGCACAGCATAGACTCAGTATGCAGTAAACAGTTATTGATTAAATATGTATGATTAAATAGTAAAATACATGCGTTTCAGTTTTGCAAAGTATTTCATTTTCAATTTTAAAGATATTGGACATCACCTAATTCACATCAATTTGCTGGCAACTTACCTTTACCAAAATCATCAAGGAAACACAGAGCCCATAGATTAAACTTCAGATCTTTCAGCCTGGTAGACATAAGTCTCTTAAAACACAGCTACCTTTTAAAAGCTGTCCTTTAAAACTTATTTCACACTTTAACTCTCTATAAACCTTCTGTTTTTGTCAATTTGATTTACTCTCAAAGGCATCTGACATTCTTATATTTCACTCACCATGTCTATAAAACCCTTCTTCCCTCTTTGCTTATTTAATTCTAACTATCATTTAAAACCAACTCAGGTATGCTAACTGCCCTCTACTGCACATATGTAAATATATAAAACTACAAATTTGCTATCTACTATCTTGCATACTTTCATATCTTTATGTGCATATATGTCTTTTACAATAAGATTTTAAAGTATCATATGAGAAAGGGTTATGATGAATTAAGTTTCCTAATAAGGATTTGCAAAATATAAATTGATTGATAGATGAAAATTATGGAATTGTGAAACACAACCTTGGTACAAATAAGGGTTCAGTGGTTCATGTGATGTCTTATTCCATGTAGTTCAAAAATGTTTCACGTTATCCAGTTAGAATTTCATAAAGTTGTATTTTTTATTAAGCATTCTTATGTAGAGAATGATCTGTTTAAAGCAGTAATTTTATTTAAAAGACTGATCTAGTGATAACATGGATTTATTCAATACTTCAACAAAAAAAAATCTGTTATGTTCTAGTCAAAGGATCATTGTTAATGATATAAAAGTTTGTGAAATGGAGAAGGTCTGGTTTTCTAAGAAATTTTGATTATTGTCCAGGCACAGTGGCTCGCTCCTATCATCCCAGCAGTTTTGGAGGCTGAGGTGGGAACATTGCTTCAGGACAGTCGTTCAAGACCTGCCTGTGTAACATAGCAAGACCTGTCTCTACAAAAAGTTTTTAAAATTGGCCTAACATGGTGGTGTGCGCCTGTGGTCCTAGCTACTCGAGAGGCAGAAGGATTGCTTGAACCCAGGAATTGGAGCCTGCAGTAGGTTTGATCACTGCACTCCAGTCTTGGTGGCAGAGTGAGACCCTGTCTCAAAAAGAAAAAAAAGGGGGGGAGGATGATTTCTAATTGTTGTTCTATAATGTCAATATCATGAGAAAAGTGTGTGCAGAAGCTTTCTGGTAAAGGCAGAATTTAGGTACTGACTGTAGCGATTTTACTCACAGAAGGCTCTGCAGAGTACTGGAATCAGATTTTCATGAGATTTGAAATGCAGATTTCTAGGGCCCATCCCAGACTTACTGATATCAGAGGCTCTATGTGGGTATAACAGACATGCATTAATTTAATATAGCTATACAACTTTTATCCTAAGAACTAAGCATATAGTATTTGGAAATAAGGTTTGGTTTCTACATTTGTGGAAAATCTGAGTAGAATGTCCCACAAAGTATTGGTGATAGGAGAAACTTCCAATTATTTTTGGATGTAGATAAAACCATTAAAACTAACAAGTTATTTAGCTTCTATGCAAATTTAATTTATTTTAATGAATATTTGCTTTCCTAGTTAACAACATTTGCTAATGATATATTTGCTGTCAATAGCTGTTTGTTGACCTGACATATTAAAGGCTTTATAATCTATTATTATTATTATAATTTTTACTTCAACCTTCATTTTAGATACAGGGAGTACATGTATAGATTTGTTACATGGGAATGTTGTATGATGCTGAGGTTTGGATTATGAATCCCATCATCCAAATAATGAGCATAGTACCCAATAGGTAGTTTTTTTAACTCACTCCCCCTCCACCCTCTAGTTGTCACTACTCTCTATTATTCCAATATTTATGTCCATGTGTATCCAATGTTTAGCTCCCACTCGTAAGTAAGGATATGTGGTATTTGGATTTCTCTTCCTTCATTAATTTGCTTAAGATTGTGGCCTCCAGCTCCATCCATGATGCTGCAAAGACATGATTTCATTCTGTATTATGGCTGCATAGTGTTCCATGGTGTACACATACCACATTTTCTTTATCCAGTCTATTATTGATGGGTACCTGGGTTGATTTCATGTCTTTGCTATTTTGAATAGTACAGCAATAAGCATGTGAGTGCATGTGTCTTTTTGGTAGAATGATTTATTTCCCATTGAGTATACACCCAGTAATAGGATTGCTCAGTTAAAAGGTAGCTCTGTTTTAAGTTATTTGTGAAATCTCCAGACTGCTTTCCAGTGGCAGGACCAATTTGCATTACTATAAACAGTGTGTAAGTATTCCCTTTACTCTGCAGCCTCACCAGCATCTCTTGTTTTTTACTTCTTAATAATAGCTGTTCTGACTGGTGTGAGATGGTATCTCATTGTAGTTTTGATTTACGTTTTTCTGATGATAGTGATGCTGAGCATTTTTTCATGCGTTTGTTGGCAGCTTGTATGTCTTCTTTTGCAAAATGTCTGTTCATGTCCTTTGCCCATTTTTTAATGAGGTTATTCTTTGCTTGTTGATTTAAGTCCCCTATAGATTCTGAGTATTAGGCCTTTGTCGAATGCCTAGTTTGCAAATATCTTCTCCCATTCAGTAAGTTGTCTGTTTGCTCTGTTGATAGTTTATTTTGCTATGCAGAAGCTCTTTAGTTTAATTAGGTCCCACTTGTCTATTTGTTTTTATTGCAATTGATTTTGTGAACTTAGCCAAAAATTATTTACCAAGGCCAGTGTCAAGAAGAGTATGTCTTTTGTTGTCTTCCAGGATTTTTATAGTTTCAGGTTTTAACATTTAAATCGTTAATCCATTTTGAGTTAATTTTTGTATATGGTGAAAGGTAGGGTCCAGCTTCAATCTTCTGCATATGGCTAGCCAGTTATCCCAGCACCATTTATTGCATAGAGATTCCTTTTCTTATTGCCTTTTTTTGTCAGCCTTGTCAAAGAATGGTTGTAGGTGTGTGGCTTTCTTTCTGAGTTTTTAAAATTCTGATCTGTTGGTCTATGTGTCTGTGTTTGGTAGCAGTACCAATCTGTTAGGATTGCTGTGGCTTTATAGTACAGTTTGAAGTCAAGTACTGTGATAGCTGAAGTTTTGTTCTTTTTCTTAGGATTGCTTTGGCTATTTGGGCTCTTTTTTGGTGACATGTGAATTTTGGAATCATTTTTTCTAATTCCGTGAATAATTATGTTGGTAGTTTGAAAGAAAGAGCATTGTATCTGTCAATTGCTTTGGGCAGCATGGCCATTTTTACAATAATGATTCTTCCAATCCATGAGCATGGAATGTTTTCCCATTTATTTGTCTTGACTCTGCCATCTGTTGTATTCAAGAAACTCATCTCACATGTAATGACACCCACAGGCTAAAAGTTAGAGTAGATTAAGATATACATGCATATAGAAAACACACAAAAAAGCAGGAGTTGGTAATGTTATATTAGATGAATCAGACTTCAAACCAGTAAAAATTAAGAAGGACAATGAAGAACATTGCTTGATGATAAAGGGTACAATTCAGTAAGAAGCCTTAAGTATCCTAAATATATATGCATCCAACATTGGAGCACCCAGATTTATAAAACAACTTCTTCTTGGCCTATAAAGACTTAGAAAACCACACAATAATTGTAGGAGACTTTAGCACTCCACTGACAGTGTTAAATAGATCATTGAGACAGAAAACTAACAAGGAAACTCTAGACTTCAACTTGACACTTGACCAATTAGACCTAAGAAACATCTACAAAACACACCACCCAATGACCACAGAATACTCATTCTTCTCATCTGCACACAGAACATATTCTAAGATTGATCACATGCTCGCTCATAAAGCAAGCATCAATACATTCAAAGCAAATTGAAATCATACCAAGTACACTCTTAGACCACGGTGCAATGAAAATAGAAATCAATACCTATTGATTTCTTAATACTACACAATATTCCCAATACTACACAAATCTCCCAATACTACACAAATACATGGAAATTAAACAGCTTGCTCCTAAATAACTGCTGAGCAAACATTGAAATTAAGGCAGAAATAAAAAAGTCTTTGAAATATATGAAAACAGGGGAAAAATCTCACCAAAATCTCTTGGATGCAGCAAAAGCAGTGTTAAGAGGAAAGTTTGTAGTCCTAACTGCCTTTGTCAAGACAGAAAGATCTCAAATTAGCAATGTAACTTTGTACCTAAAGGAACTAGAAAAAAAGAGCAAATAAACTCCAAAGCTAGCAGAAGAAAATAAATAACTAAAATTAGAAAAGAACTTAATGAAATTGAGACGTAAAAATCTATAAAAAGATCAACGTAACCAAGAATTGGTTTTTCAAATAAATAAATAAGATTGATATGCCTCCTAGCTATATGAACAAAGAGAAAGAAAGAGAAGACCCAAGTAAAGCCCGATCAGAAATGACAAAGGTGATATTATAACTGACCCCACAAATACATCCTCAGAACCCAAATATACTCAGAGATGACTGTGGACAACTATGCACATAAATTAGAATATCTAGAGGAAATGGGTAAATTCCTGGAAGCACACAATCTCCCAAGATTGAATGAGGAAGAGATTGAAACCCTGAATAGACCAGTATCAACTTCTGAAACTGAATCAGTAATAAAGAACCTGCTAACCATAACGAAAGCCCTGGTTCAGGTGAATTTACAGCCAAATTCTACCAGATGTATAAAAAGAAAAAAAATATACCAATTCTACTAAAATCATTCCAAAAAGTTGAGGAGGAGGGGCTCCTCTCTAATCCTTTCTATGAAGGCAGCATCAGCCTGATACTAAAATCTGGCAGAGACACAATGAAAAAAGAAAGCTACCGACTAAAATCCCTCATGAACATAGACACAAAAATCCTCAAAAAAAAAAAAGTAGCAAATTGAATCCAGCAGCACATCAAAATGTTAATACAGCATGATCAACTGGACTTTATTCCTGAGATGTGAGGCGGGTTCAACATAGGCAAATCAATAAATGTGATTCACTGCATAAAAAAATCAAACAATATAATCGTCTCAATACTCGGAAAATGATGTGATAAAATCCAGCATCCCATCATGATAAAAACTCTCTAGAAACTAGGCATCAAAGGAACATACCTCAAAATGATAACAGCTATGCATGACACACCCACGGACTACATCATACTGGATGAGTAAAAGCTCAAACCATTTCCCTTGAGAACTGGAAAAAGACAAGGATGCCTACTCTCACCACTTCTATTCTACATAGTACTGGAAGTCCTAGCCAGAGCAGTCAGGCAAGAAAAATAAATAAAATCCACCAAAATAGGAAAATAAGTCAAACTATCTCTCTTTGCTGAGGATATGATCCTATACCTAGAAAATCCTGTATTCTGCCTAAAGACTCCTAGAATTGATAAACAATTTTAGTTAAGCTTTAGGATACAAAATAGGGGTACAAAATTCAGTAACATTTCCACACACTAACACCGTCTAGGCTGAGAGTGAAATCAAGAAAAGAATCCCACTTACAATAGCCACAAAGCAGATCAGATATCTAGGAATATAGCTAACCAAGGAGGTATAATCTAATTATAACTTGTGAATAATTACAGTAAACTTTAGATATTTAATTTTCTCTAATGGTGTAACTTACATATGACCTTCATTGTTTTTATAAAATTCCCTAGTTTGAATTTTTCACATTATATGCAATAGTTTACAGTTCACCTAAATGGGAATAAAGCATTATAGACCTTCAGCATCTGGTTCTGTGTTGTTGATTCTTTTAAAATAAAGACATGAAATAAGAAGAAGAAATAAAGTTACAGTTTTTAAATTTTTGCTTATTTATTGTATTGAACATTTACATATTCCATACCTTTAACAATTATATTTCAATATTTTATGCCTAGTTTAGAGCAGCCAAATTCCAACCTTGATTTGCTTTATTTTAATAATGCATAATGGTTAAAAAATAATTAGTAAACATCTCTAAAAGGTAAAAAATGGTCAAAATTTGAATTTTATTCTGTAATGTTATATTTTTAGAGTTCTAGTAAGATTTAGGCTATGGATTTATGATATGTAGGACATAGACTACATTAATGTATTTGTATGAGAGTCTCCCTATGTGCTCTGGAAACTCACAGATGAGTATCATTATGATCCTTGCCTGCCCTCAAAGGGTTGTGATTTATTAGAAGGAGATATATATATGTAAAGTAATGATCCAACATCTAGCTAAATGTATCGTTTTCAATATAATTGGTATTATATTTTAAAACTTTCATTTGGGCAATATGATTTATTATTTTCAATCACTTTCAATCATTGCTGCTTCTTGAATAAAGTATATTTTTCAGTTGTTTAATATTCTTTATTACTGAATTGTATAAGTCATAGAGGGGTGATATGGTTGGCTCTGTGTCCTCACCCAAATCTCATCTGGAATTATAATCCCCACATGTCGGAGGAGGAGCCTGATGGGAAGTTATAGGATTATGGGGGCCGTTTCCCCCACGCTGTTCTCATGATAGTAAGTTCTCAGGATATCTGGTTGTTTAAAAGTGTGGCACGTCCTTCTTCGCCCACTCTCTCTCTCCTGCCACCATGTAAGATGTGTCTTTCTTTTCCTTCACCTTCCTCCATGATTGTAAGTTTCCTGAGGCCTCCAAAACCATGTGGAATTGTACATCAATTAAATCTCTTTTCTTTTTTTTTCTTTTCTTTATAAATAACCCAATCTCAGGTAGTTGTTGATAACAGTGTAAAAACTGACTAATAACAGGGGATTTATTATTTTTCTATGCTCTTTAAAATGATTTTTATCTACCTGCATAACAAGAACATGCATATTAAAAATGTGGTGAATAATAGGGTAATAATGACACATTTAATTTGCATTACATAATATGTTCTTTAAGCATTGCCTTTAATCTCATTTTGAATTATTTCACTTAAAGAAGTAATACTTTAAAGTTATTATGTTTTAAATTCCATATGGATGTAATTGATTATACTTTTAGATTCAGGATCGACCGATGGTCGTTATGCATTTACTTATAATTACAAAATGGAAAGTCCTAAGTTAAAAAGAGGAAAATGTAATCATCTACTTAGTTCATGAATGCACTTTCCGTTAAAAAAAATTATAAATGTATATATTAAAAATATTGCAATATGTGTAAACTGTTTTTTTTCATATTTTGCCTAAAGCAAAATGCCTTATATCATGATAGTACTTGCATTTCTGACATGATCTATACTTACCAATTTTGAAGTGGCTCTTTAGGGTGAGATTATACAGGTTAAGAAATATTTCTGCAGTATCCAGGGCCTAAATTATAGCAATCACACACACCAGGAGGGGGATGGGAATAAAGAGAAGGGAAATTGCCAAAATTGCCCATTAGCTTTATTTAAAAAAAATTAAGCTATTTTCTTCTGGAGAATTATCTTGCTCTTGTGGAAAAAATAAATTTTTGAGTTAAACTGACCAGGGCTGCATTTGCTTTCTAACATTTTTTAGATGCAAAGCCCTGAGCCAAGTTTTCTGAGCCATAATTTACTCAGTAGAAAAATGAAAAATGAACATAACAAAACCTTATAGAGTTTTTCTAAACAAATAGTGAAATGATATTTATGTTCCTTATACTCTGGAACCAAAACTATTCTCACATGTTTTTCTGTACTTTTAAAAAATGTAATCTTAGCTGGACGCGGTGGCTCACACCTGTATTCCCAGCACTTTGGGAGGCCAAGGTGGGCAGCTCACCTGAGATCGGGAGTTTGAGACCAGCCTGACCAACACAGAGAAACCCCATCTCTACTAAAAATACAAAATTAGCCAGGCGTGGTGGTGCATGCCTTAATACCAGCTACTCGGGAGGCTGAGGCAGGAGAATCGCTTGAACCTGGGACACGGAGGTTGCGGTGAGCCGAGATTGTGTCATTGCACTCCAGCCTGGACAACAAGAGCAGAACTCCGCCTCAAAGAAAAATAAAATGTAATCTCATCAGTTTCATAGCTATCATCCACATGTCAGTGACTCTCAGATTAATATGTTAACCTTCATATCTATTTAATTATAATTTTCAAAAAGATAAACACAATAATCTCTGGCAAATATGAAATGAACACATGCCAAAGATTCTGTTTAACTCATTAATTAATAGCAAGATATTGAAACTGACCCAAAGAGCATATGAGAAAATAACTGTATATATATGTGTGTTTATATATGTGTACATGTATGCATGTATTAATATAATATGCAATTTAATAAAGAAATTTTAAGATTTCCAGGTTGGAGACAAAACTGGTTAATATTTTACAGGGCAATATGCTGTAACTTTTTTTATTTCACTAGACTAAAATGATATTCATATTTACACAATAGCAACAGCAAATGTGTAAGTTAGCCTCCATCCCTACAGAGTTGGAAAATGGCCTAGTTAATAGAAAGTCAAGGCCAGCACTGGATTAAAAGAACACCAAGTGTCTCTTTTCCCCATTTCCAACTTTAGAATATTTTTTCTTACCTTTTTTTCACCATAATTTGTGTGTATATGTACATACACACATAAGTTTAGAGACATACACAAATACAAAATTATATAGAATATATAAATAATTGTTTTCACCTATTTGATATTTCCAGTTGGCAATCTAGCAGTGTCATCTGTTGTAACATTTCTGAAACACACAAATGCACTCCACCTGCTCCTTCATACCTTTGCATATCAGTAAATAATGCCACCATCTCTCCATGTACTGAAGCCCCAAATCTAAGATCATCTTTGATCCTTTAATTATTTATTTTCCTTTAAACCCACAGACTACCATAATCATGTCCTGTTTAGAGCACCTAAACCACATTACGAATGTATCTATTTTGTATTTTTTCTATTACTATGCCTTCTATTCCATGGTGCCATCATCTCTTACTCATATTACTGCTGCACCATAGCTTCCAAACTTCATTTCTTCCCATCCATTTTCCACACACATGTCTAAACCATCTAATGGCTATTCATTATACTTTGATACAAAATTATTTCCGTTGCCTACAAAGTTCTATGAACTGGCTCTGAACTAACTTGCGAAGTTCATCTTTTATGATTTCTGCTACATATTCACTGTACTACAGCCACATTGATATTTTTGGTTTCTAAATTCTCCTAGCTCTTCCCTACCTGAAAAATAGTTAATTCCCTCTTCCCGTAATTCTCACATCCAGGATCATCTTCTATTTGTACCTTTGTTTAAATATCAACTCTTAATAGAGGCCATCCCTGACCACTTAATTTAAATTATCACTCTCTCATTACTCTCTATCATGCCATCCCACTTTATTTTCTTCAGAACACACACATTTATAGCTTACTTTTTAATTTGTTGGTCTTATTTCCACCGTAATATGAGCTCCATGGACATAGCTGTCTTATCTGTCTGATTCGGCACAGTCTCCTCAGTATCTGGAACAGGATCAGGCACGTGGGAAGCTCTCAACACGTAATTGTAGATAAAATGAAAAATTGATACAGATGAAGTACTAGATATTGCTAAGCTCTGCATAAAAGTAAGGTTCTTGATGCAGAAAATGGTTGGTGTGCCAAAAACGAAATTCACTTATTTATCTTTTTTTTGATCTAGATGTGGCTAAAATTGCAATTAAAGTATAATGTGAGAACCAATAGGTCCATTTCCGTTGGGCAGATTCACTGTGCACAGGTTACCAACTGATCTCAGCCTGGTGAGAGAGAACATCCACACACAAAAGAAGTTACAAGAAGCAAGTTTATTTTTTACAGATAGGCAGTGAGGGACAACAGAAGCATAGGATTCACCAAGGCTCAAAAAAGCTGACCACAGTGAATGGTATTTTGCCTGCACTTGCCTGACTTACACCGGAGCTGAGGGACCCTGAAAGGCAGCCCACTCCCAATTATATACCTAAGGGACAATGCCTCACCGTCAGAGGCTACAGCATTAACGAACATCTCATTTCCAGGGTAGACTGAAACAAAGCCCGGGCTGTTCTGGCCAATTCCCCCTTACCTCAGGATGTTGAATTCCCAGCCTATTTCATACTTATTCTTGAGAACTATAAGCAAGAAATGGTGGGGGGAGAACTGGGTCAGTCCAAGGCCACCCAGAGAACTGCCTTCCACTTTCTCAAATACAATTCATGGTAATGAACTTTGGAATGTACTCAAAAAGTACTCAATACCAAGCAAGTTCTACTTTGTGATGGTAAATGTGTTTTGTCCCAATATGAATCCCTATAACTTTCCTTTTCTCTTTTCAGCGTCTTTTGATTGATAATGTTCTACATCCCTGAAATGTTTTTATCTATAACATCATAATCTATTTTTTGGTATAAAGTTAATTTTCAGAGAAAGAAAAAAATGCTCACAATAAGAATGGAGCATGGGGAGTGTATTAGTCTATTTTCACACTGCTGTAAAGAAATATCCAAACTGGGAAATTTACAAAGGAATGAGGTTTAATTGACTCACAGTTCCACATGGCTGAGGAGGCCTCAGGAAACTTACAATCATGGCAGAAGGCAAAGGGAGAAGCAAGCACTTTCTTCACAAGGCAGCAGGAAAGAGAAGTGAGAGCACAGGAAAAAGTGTTATTTATAAAACCATCAGATCTCATGAGAATTCACTCATTATCACAAGAACAGCATGGGGTAAACCTCCCTACAATCCAGTCACTTCCCTCCCTTGACACATGCAGGTTACAGGTCCCTACCTGGATGCATGGTGATTACAATGAGAGATAAGATTTGGGTGGGAACACACAGCCAAACCATATCATGGACCCATTTGATTATTTAACAATATTTTAGAGGTAACTGTTTTCGTAACTTATAACTGAACACATGAGATGGACTGTAAATTGAGTCTTCAAAGGATTCAATGCTATGTCTATTTTGGGGTTTTTAGGGTTATACTTTCATGATTTACCTCAAACAATTTATTAAATATTTTACTTTGTTGTGTATTTCTATTGTGTGCTGATATATTCATTTGAGGGTAGGTTTTTTCTCCTTAGTGGCCTAAATGTAAGTGCAGTCAAGAGATTTCCTCCAGGAGTAGGAGAATTAGAGGCCATGTACTTGTTGGGTTTACAGCTGTTTGAATTGAGAGAGGGCAACTCACTGCTTTATTCTTGTTTTTAGTGTGAGAGAGGCTGTGACCCTTTGGTACTCTCCACCACATCTACAGTCATTCAGGAACAAAGAATATTTGTTTCATAATCAGTGGTGCAGATTGGGATCTGTGAAGTGGAAAATGTAACAGTTTGTACTATCAGGATCAGGGTGTAATATTATTGGTAGGACTGAAAAGTGATCTGAACTGGATTGGAAGCATTATTAAAGCACAGATAGACCCACGGATGACTGAAAGGAAAAAAAACGCAAGAGAGGATACTTTGGAAGTCATTTCTATATTCTGACCCTTTTTTGTTTATTAAGGGAAAGACTTGGACTTTATCTTTGGGTTTGTGTGTTTCACAAAAATGCATATGTGTTAACAAGGACATTACTTGGCTAGAACTACATACTCTCATATTTCCTAATAGAACAGTACCTGGTATGTAATGGCCACTTGCTAAATCACTAAATACTTGTTGAATGCATGTCATGTGAATAAAAGATAGATTTCTCTATGAATAGAGTAGCCCTGTGTGATATACGATGGGAAAAGAGAAATCCATGTGAGGACATGGAAGCAGTGTGGGTGCTGTGGCTTGAATGTGCTCCCCAAAATTGAAATGTTGAAACTGAATCACCAGTACAATAGTATTAAGATGTGAGATCTTTAGAAGGTGATTAAGTCATGAGGGCAGAATCCTCAGGGATGGAATTATGGCCCTTATAGAAAGGCTAGAGGGAGTGCCTTTGCTTTCCTCCACTGTTCTGCTATGTGAGACACAGCATTTGCCCCTCTAGTGGACACACAACGAGGCACCATCTTGGAAGCAGAGGTCAGGTTCTCACCAGACACTGAACCTGCCAGCGCCTTGATCTTGGACTTCTAGCCTCCAGAATTGTGAGAAGTAAATTTCTGGTTTTATAAACTATTCAGTCTCAGATGTTTTGTTATAGCAGCACAAACAGACTAAGACAATAAGCTTACTTACCATGATAGGGTAAAGCCTGAGGAAAAATTACAGGGATTTGGAAGGAGCCCCATCTGTCAAGTGACACAGCGGGGATGGAGGTGTTAGAGTGAGAGTGGCAGCTCAGGAAGGCACTCTCAGGGAGTTCCAGCAACAAGTCGTTGTACCAACAGGATTGCTGAACTTGATAGATGTAAGCATGGTGTCAGGTGTGGGACCAGGAAGACAGACTGGATCACATAAGTTAGTATACCAAGCTGGGACATCTGGCCCACAGCCTTAAATTGTCATACAGGAATTTGAAGAAAACAAGGTTATAGAATAGCCTTAGTGATAGGAACAACGTTAAGGCTCTGCCTTAGGAGCCAGGGCATTAAAGCATAAACCAGGGCATAAGCCATGACTATGAGCCATGCTCAATTTTGAAAGAGCCACCTGGATTACTGAAATTGTTCAGTTAGTCAGAAAAGTAATTAAAACATGATATTTTTAAAGATTACAATTAGGTAACAAGATTTTATTTAAATAAAACATATGGATGTGTTCATTCACTTATTCTCTAATCTTTACACATAGTGTCCATTTTTTTTTTTCTTTTTGAGACAGAGTCTCGCTCTGTTGCCCAGGCTGGAGTGCAATGGTGCAAGCTCCGCCTCCGGGTTCACGCCGTTCTCCTGCCTCAGCCTCCCAAGTAGCTGGGACTACAGGTGCCTGCCAACATGCCCGGCTAATTTTTTTGTATTTTTAGTAGAGACGGGGTTTCACCGTGTTAGCCAGGATGGTCTTGATCTCCTGACGTCGTGATCCACCCGCCTCGGCCTACCAAAGTGCTGGGATTACAGTTGTGAGCCACCGCGCCCGGCCAGTGTCAACATTTTTTTTTTCCGCTGTGTGTTCTGGGGCACTGATTTCACTTCCATTTTGTAATTTCAGGCAGAAAAAGGTTAACTCAGCAGTCTTGGTTGCTCACAAACTGCACATTCCAAAGAAGGGTCTGTCTTTGGTATTGGCTTTTGACTGAATCTTAGGAAATAATCTCTGAGAACTTGAAATATACTACTGATAAGAATATTTTTGTATACCTGGGGCCTTGGGACATGCTTTACCAGTCTGAGCAGTAAAGGTTATGCTAAGAATGTGATTTATGGTGAATGCCTGTTTTTGCTCTGAGGGAGGGGAGAGTCTGAGTAGCTGAGTTCAATTGCACTGGCATTGCATGCTTGCATTACTGACCCCCAATAAAAACCCTGGATGCCAAAGCTTGAGTGAGCTTCTCTGGTTAGCAGCACTTATCATGCATTGTTACACATCATTGCTGAAAGGATTACATACATCACCATGAGACTCCACTGGGAGAGGACCCCTGGGGTGACTTCTGTTGGTTTCTCTTGGACTTCCTTCCTTGCACCTTGCACCTTTTCCCTTTGTTGCTTTTAATCTCTATTTTCTCTGTGATAAACCATAAACCTAGGAGATTTCTGAATCCTGTGAGTTTTTCAAGCAAATTATTGAGCTTGAAGTTATCTTGAAGACCTCCAACACAATTTCCTGTATAAACCACCACATACTGCACCATCCACTATTTCCAGGTTTTGTTTCTTTGAAGAAGGAACTCTTAATAGAACTTGGAATCTGACTGCAGATTCTTTCCAAATTTTATAATTTTTGAATTAAAGGAAAAGTTCAGCTTGCAAAAAGCATGTATGCAAACTAACACAAGTGATTTTTGGTGGGCATAAGAGTACTAAAGGGAGTGGAAGTGCAGGGACAGTTATTGAGTAATAACTAAAACTTATTGAACGTGTATTATTTGCCAGGCAGTATTGTATGCCCTTATATGTTTCAACCCATTTAATACTCAGTTATGTCATTTAGATCAGGAGTCCCTAACCCCTGGTCCACGGACTGGTACCCTGGCCTGTTAGGAATGAGGCCACACAGACAGAGGTGAGTGGAGGGTGAATGAGCTTTACTGTCTGTTCATGTCTTGTAAGATCAGCGGGGGCGTTAGATTCTCACAGGAGCAAGAACACTATTGTGAACTGCTCATGAGAGGGATTTAGGTTGTGTACTTCTTATGAGAATCTAACTAATGCCTGATGATCTGAGGTGGAACAGTTTCATCCTGAAACCATCTTCCACCCATCCACCACCCAGTTCATGAAAACATTGTCTCCCATGAAACCGGTCCCTGGTGCCAAAAAGTTGGGGACCACTGACTTAGATGTCTGCACAAATACAGTGAAATGAATATCTAATAGTAAACTAGGATAATTCAAGAAAGAAATTTGAGTTTTTAATTTACCATTTTATCTACTTTTCCTAAAATACTCTCTTTAATTTATGAATGCCTTAAATTTTCTCTTTATTGAGAACCATGGTAGTTCTTCATAATGTTGTATTTGAAGATAAATTTTCATACTGATATTTCAAATAACTGTAAGTCATGTTTTGGATGACTATAATATGAGACCCCTGTTGAAGAATTATGTTCTAAGATATCAACCCACAAGGAGTATCTACTTTAGATAATTTCTTTACAGCTTTCTTTGTCAGTTAAGATTTTTAGTGAAAATTTAGATTTTGTGCTTTTTACTCTTTCATAGCTATGGCATGCTAAATGTTACTAGGCGCTGTATAAAATGTGAGAGAAGAGGGCAATATCCTGCCCTGAGATGCTTGGAATTTGTCTTAAGTGAACACTGTAAAAATGAACTCACCTCAAAAAGAAGTGACACAAGAAAACTTACTTTGGAATTAAACTTTTAAATGTAAACTTTGGTTACATAAGTTAAAATGAAGTACATATTTTTTCTATTTTGACTGATCTTGAAATGACATAGCCATGTCACATTTATCTCCTTTAATATTATAATTTTAAAATGAGGATTTAGAGGGAATAGCTTTTTTTGCAGATGGAAACCCAACTAAATATATGAATACCACTCATTTTAACATTAAATACAGGCATGTTGTTATTGAGGAGTATGAAAAAAATTTAAAAGTAAACATTTTTATGAAAAAATTTAAAAAATAAACAGTTTCTATATTAATGTAAAAGCTTTAAAATATTTCTCACATTGTATTTAGCATCAATAATTCATTCTTCAATTATTAACCTATAAGAAATTTTACATTCAACACCAGAAATAAGAACTTAAAATGTCATGTTTTGTAGACCCTCCCACTGATATATCATGTCAGGGCTAAACTTTTATTTTCTTTTCAATAATTGTTCATAAAATGAATAGGGGGGCACAGCAGTGCTTGAGGAGAGATATAAAAATCAAACATTAATTTTATTCAGATGAGATGATTTGTATGCAAGCTGATCAGGCTACAAGCTTATCTCATTACAAGCTCAAGGCTCTTAGAGTTTCATCATTCCTCAGATGCCATTAAGTTTAATAATATGACTGCCTGTATTGTGTATTAAAAATGTGTGTCTATTCTGCAATTCCATATAATGGTAAAGTGTTTATGAATATTTATTACTTTGTCTTTAGTGCTGTCTACTTTAGACTAAATAGCAAAGTTAATTGCCTATACTGCTCTAATTGCATTGTTTAGAGAATGTTCTCTCCTCTTTCTGTTCAGTTGCAAAGATATTGGTAGGATGCAGATTTTTTGAAGTGCAATAATTGGCATGAGAAAATTTGCACAGACATAGAATTGCACACCAAATTAAAACACAGTAGGTACATTTGGTCTCTGGCAAGGTCAATTAGCTCTATACCCTTCTCTCTGAGAATGCAAGTGGCCAATCAGGGTAATTTTAACAGATGCAGAGGCACAGTTTTGCATATACAATTTGTTTCAAGAAATTATGATAAGCACACAATGTTTTTTAACTGTTATTTTAAGTTCAGGGGTACAAGTGCAGGCTTGTTACACAGGTAAACCTGCATCATGGAGGCTTGTCGTACAGATTGTTTCATCACGCAGGTATTTCATTATGGTACTAGGCTTAATGATTCCTGGTTCTCTCCTTTCACTCTCTAAGGAGCACAAATTTTAAGTGACAGCAAAAAGAGTGTTTGCAAGAAGTCTTTTAAAAATGCGCCATTTAATTAGACATTCACTTTATTATTCTTTTCAAAATTAGTAGTTCTTTATGAAATGCTTCAATATAGATGTTGTAGTTTTTGTTAACATTATTTTGTTTTGGTTTTTCAAATTTTTCTCTCTTCTTCGTTTTACTCTCAATGGAAGCCAGTAAATATTTTGTTCTGAAATCAAGAGGCTTTAAATTTAGCCTTAGATTTGTCTCTCAAATATTGTCTTAGAGAGACCACTTTATATTTCTGTATGTGCTTCTATGCTGTCCAAATAATGGATCCCTTACCTATATATCATAATTTACAGTGTCTCCTCTATAAGTTACTAATATTAGTGTAAACATAAGTAATTATACTACTGATTTATTCCCTTAAATAGAAAAACTTTCACTCAATATGATTTCCATTTTTTCCTCCTCTCTAGTAATCCATCACACTATAGCAATTTGTCCAACTTTAAAGGAGAGCCAACTTTTCTTCTGTAAATATCTCCAATGCTCCACTCAAATTAGGATTATACTTCACCCAGACATGTTATTTAGGAGGAAAAACTATCCTAAGTAATATTTAAAAATGTACTGTTAAAACATTTAATAGGCCAGGCACGGTGGCTCACGCCTGTAATCCCAGCACTTTGGGAGGCCGAGGCGGGTGGATCACGAGGTCAGGAGATCCAGACCATCCTGGCTAACACGGTGAAACCCCGTCTCTACTAAAAATACAAAAAATTAGCTGGGCGTGGTGGCGGGTGCCTGTAGTCCCAGGTACTTGGGAGGCTGAAGCAGGAGAATGACGTGAACCCGGGAGGTGGAGCTTGCAGTGAGCTGAGATCGCGGCACTGCACTCCAGCCTGGGCGACAGAGCGAGACTACGTCTCAAAAAAAAAAAAATTTAATAAATTTCTGCTATCTTATTTCTTCTCTATACCCTCACCTCATCTAGTCTTAGAAAACTCAACCCACCTTTCTAAGACATATATGGGTCCAACACATGCATGCCCTTCTAGTTGAAAACAAATAAATAAAAATCATAAACACACACACCAGACACACACACACATTTCATAATGTAGGTGTTCCACATCTTTTTCTAGACATTCTAAAGACAAGAAAGAATCCATCCAATGTTGTTTAGATGGTCTGATAATTTAGTCTGTTTGTTGAGTGTTGTGCAGTAGAAATACTTCCAAACTTTACAGAGTTGGTGAAGTTTAATATATGTAGGACATTGCCAGGTGTGGAAAATGCAAGGATACAGGTAAATGGACATGAAAGTACATGTTATAATCTGGAAAAAAAAAAAAGGAGAGAATTAGAATGTATAAAGCAAGTACCAAATAAGGTCGATTGTTGTCCAATTGTAAAGGGTTTGAATCTCAATGATGGTAAACTTTACATTTTGCTGATTACTATTGAGAAGACACTAAATTTTTAATTAATAAATAAAATAATATTATAAAATTCATGGGAAGAGAAGCTTTCAAGAAATAGGAAAATCTCAAAAATATCCAGTGCTGCAGTGTCTAGAATGAAGACCTTGAAGAGGCCATTAGATCGGATAACTTCCCAGTTCTTAGAGAGATTTAAATAGAATAAGAGAACACGGAAAAGAAACCAGTAGATAACATTCTATTAAAAATACTTTTAAAATTAACTTCCAATTCTCAGTCCAGGGGAGTGAATGGAAGATGAAAAAGCAGGAGGACTAATGTAAAAAAGAAAAGAAGAAAACTGTATCTCATCTTCCTCAGAGAATGGTATGTGTATCTCTTAACTAATTGAATAAACAAATATGTGTTGAAGTGAAAACACGATGGGACATGTGGATTCCCTCAAGAATGCAAAAATGTTAATTTTACCTGTGATCTTAGCACAGAATAACCCGCCAGCCATAATTAGAATATACATGTAAGAAAATAAGTGGATTTTACCACTACTCCCTGGTAGGATAACTCTTAGACCTTGGTTTCAGGTCTTCGGATCATAGAAAACAAAGTAAGAAAATGTTTATTTTGCTATGTAAATATTGCTATGCTGTTGTAAATGTTGCTTTGCTGTTAAAATTTGATAATATTATTATGTTTCTGATCAAAAGGAATGTCTGCAACATATTTTTAGTGTTCCCCAAAAATGTCTTAGACTGTTTTCATTCATAGTTATAATATAATGTTTGATCTGCTAATTTTTTTGTATAAATACTTTTCATGTCGCATCTAGTAGTAAAAACCTGTTATGCAGACTGTGGCTGTAGCTGTGTTCCCCTAGGGTCTAATATTGGAAAAGATTTCTTTGTTATAGTGAAGGATACTTGGAGAAACTCTATTTTTGCCTGAGCAAAATCTTTCTGTTCTTTCTTTTTATAATCCTAAAATAATTTTCATTCTTTTTTACATCAGTATTTTCAGAAGTGATCAAATTAAATAGGTAAGGTAAATAAATGACTACCAAATTAGCACAAATCCCACCTCACTAACTTTTCTGTGATTATTAGATAAGCCCAAATATAAACATATTTAATTTCCTGACATGAGAATCCATAACAAAACACAGTATCTACAGAAGGCACCTTCGGAACACCTGATTATCTCAGGCACATGGATGTTTTCACAACATAAAAATATAATTAGGTCTAGCTTTGGCCAAATTCAGGAGAAAGGTTTGAGAATCTGCTACTTGGTAATTAACGTCTAATTGTTGGTAATTATGTTGCTTAGTTTTGTGCACAACCCAATTTATTTTTCTTGCACAAGGGCCCATACCAATTATACTCTGGCCACAACTGTTAAGGCTATCAACAAATTAAGTACTGATTGCCAGAACTGCATGAAAATGGTCTCCTACCAATTTGCATAAAGGAGGCTCCTAAGCCAAAAAAAAAGAAAGTCTGTGTTAATGTTGGATCTCCCATTTCATTTCTAATTATCTACTAATGGTTAGTCAGGCCAGAATTTATCTCAGAAGCTAGAGGTGGATAGCGATATAAGTTTTAGAGATCTATTTCTTATTATGCTTAAAATATTTAGACACCATTTAAAAGTTGTATACCCTGACAGAAAAGTTGGCAAGGTTTTGCATTTAAACAGCTTTTTGTTTCTGCAGTTGCTTTTGATTTACTTTAGTGCAGCAGAGTTGAGTCTTTAATATTTTTTTTGTTTTGTTTTGTTTTCCTGCAAAATAACCACTTGGTGCAAGCTGAAGCAAAATGTGAAATGAAGAGCATGCATTGAAAATGTTTACTCCCTTATTGATAAAATATTTCTTCTCATAAAAGACCCCCTAAAAATTGAAAATAATTTAAAATCTCCAAGGACTGGTTTTATAGTATAACTTATGAGTATTTTTTAAGATTCTTCTTGCAGTGACTACTTAAATAACTTTGAACATAAAAATTAAAACATAAAGTCTCTTGTAAAACCTTACTATAATGATAATTATGCTACTTTAGCCTATAACGTACAATAAAGATATGTACTGAAAATATGTTACACATTACAGTTGTGATGTATAATACTGAGATCCTGATAAAATGAATCTGCAGAGTGAAAGTATTTGGGGTTGTAATTCATGGAAACAATAGCTTTTAGTGTTCTGCACTATATTAAAAGAATGACAATGTTGTGATGAAATGTAATGTATAAACCCCTTGGTCACACATACCAATTCTTTTCTGACCTGAAGAATAATGTGTCTCTATTTTAATAATAGTGTCATGATTCTTAGCATCCTATATTAAGTAGAGATAAGACCTGTACTCGAGGGTATAACTAGCAATGTAGTTTCAATTAGGAGAATCTATCAGCGTTTTCACTGCATATAGCTTTCCTGGTAAAAAGAAATATTTTACTTACTAAAATAAAGAATATTTATTAACATGGCCTACAGTGACTGCATATTAAAGCTGAAATAAAAAATATTAATTTTAAGGCTTGATATGGGACCAGGATATATAAACGAACTATATGTAGGCTTATGTAAAAAACGTAAAGTACATGAAAGGTCTTTTCTGTCCTCTCTGTTTAAATTTGTCCGAGTGGTCTCTCCTGGATGCCCAGCCACCTAGTGGCTCCCTCTTCAGCAAACCACGTACTTGTGCGCATCATCCCTATGACTGGAATTTATTTAACACATATTATGTGCTAGGCACTGTGCTAGGGGCTGACATCACAAAGGATAAATCAACATTATTCCCATCTTGGAAAAGAATGCCATAAAAGTGAGGCACCTAAATCACTTACTAGCCTATGTTCTTTTTATTTCTCTACCCTCAACATGTTAGTTTCTATTGCCTTCATGTGCTGGGTTCAACAATATCTACAACCTGCTAAAATAGTATGTTTAGTATTCAGGGTTTCTGATTAAAAACACTTTTTATTTCTTTCTTTTCTTCTTACTTCTAATTTCTGCCACTCAAGTTTTCAAGTATCTGTGTTTTATCGGAATATCCTGCATTGGTTTTTCGGTTCTTCTCTTTAACATACTAAGGCTGATTAAGTAAGCCAAAATAAAAATCTCATAACAGCAAAGAACCTTAAGTACCTGAAGTCTTGTTTTTCAGGTGAGAAAGGGTAAACTTTTCCCAAAAATACCCTAAGCGTAAATTTTTCCTTTATTTCCAATGAGTTAGTCTTTCTTTCTCCCATAACAAGCTATCTACACCTCTATTACATTGTCATAGACTGTTGTTTATGAGTTTCCCTCTTTTTCTGCATGACAATCTCCTCTAAAGCAGAAAGCCAGACATACTTCTGGGTAGCAATAAATTAAATGTAAATTGGTTTTGTCCAGGGAAAATTTCACCCTTAAGCCATGCTGTGAAAGCAGGTGTGTGCTTTTTATGATAGATCTGTATCTCATTGGAGATGATTCTGAAACTAAGACAACTTATGAGTTGCTGTGTCATCTGGCTTCACTATGTAGAAATTTGGAGGATCCCAGGTAAATATTGGGCCCCCTCAGGCATGGGATTCACTGCTATATAAAAATACCATAAACTGGGTGGCTTAACCAACACAAATTTCTTTCTTACAGTTCTGGAGGCTGAAAGGCCATGATTAAGGTGCCAACAAATTTAGTTTCTGGTAAGGGTTCTGTTTCTGGCTCATAGACAATCGCTGTTTGGCAGTGTTCTTACACAGCTTTCATTTGTGGGATTTTGAAGACAATAAGTGGGTTCTCTGGAGCCTCTTCTTATAAGGGGACATTAATCCTTTTGAATGAGGTCCCCACATTTCTGACCTCATTTAACTTAATTACCTCCTTATAAGATCTATCGCCAAATACAGTTGCATTGGTGGTTAGAGCTTCAACATATGAATTTTGAGAGGGACACAACTGAATCCACAGTAATATATTTTGGTTATAAACAAGAAAAGCCCAACTGAAGCCTCGACAACCCCCAACCCTCCACAAAAAAAACAAAAAAAAAAAAGAATGGACCACAATGCCTCTCTCCATCCCTACCTATGTAGTTATTGTAACCACCAATATCTAAATATGTAATATAAATATATAAACAATCCCCTACTATATATTCAGCTATTCAGCTGTAAAGGATTAGATTTTGCACAGAACTACAGCTATGAAAATGAGAGAAAGCAGGATTGGTATATACTGAGACATTTCCTAGTAGCTGATTGCTGAGATTACAGATAATAGATTCTGATGTAAAATACCTCATTTGATCATAGCTAAGTTTGACAGGAAAATGAGCAACCCAGAGATCAGAGTTCTTACCTCACTTTAATTACATGAAAATAAACATGGGTACACTGACCTCTTCACAAGGGAGAAAATGGAATTGACAGCTGAGAACCTAGGCAGGAAGCTCCATCTTTAACCTGCACATGTGTGCTATATTGGCTTGATTTTCATCTCTCTGTGTGTGGCCTCACTTTCTCTCTTCACATCCACATGACCACCTTCCTGTTTACATCACCTAAATTCTGGGCATAAACCATAGATCAAATTAGCTAAACCTGAATTTCAATGCTCAGTTTTCAAGAGAGAATCAGACTTGCTTAACTGAAGTCAGAGGTTTGTCCTTAGTAGGACTGACTAAAGCCAGGGGAGTCAGTAATAAAGTTGATGAGGCTTCCTTAGAATTACTGTTTCCTCATATTAGTGTTGTTTGGATCCTAACATAAGACCACTCCCCTGTAAGAAAAGGACAGTAACTCTCCTAATAAAGGTAGAAAATGCTGACATCAAGCTTACACTGGCATGAAGTGAAAGGCTTCCTTTTGTCGGGTCTCTTCTTGGCCTATAAGGTTAGAGATATTTCCAGTCGCTGAAGCCACCAGAAATAGTCTTAGCGGGTATGAATTGCACTTGAATTGTATAATCTACATGAGTTAAATTATAAGCTTTTAGTTATGATATACTCACTTCCTCTGAAACTTAAAAAGCTTTTTTTTCTTTATGACTAAAAAGCTAAACTTGAACATTAGGTATAGCTGGTAATTGGTTAATAGCATTTTATATTTCAGCTCTGAAAAATAGGGGCCATTCCAAGAAAAGATTACAAAACCCTTTCTGTACAGCTAATAGAAAGTGTTCAGTTTAAAGCTGGCCCATACAATAGTAAGGTATATTGTCATTCATAGCTGATGACAGCCATGATCCTTACTGTTTTATGCCTAGACACATGAAAAGATTTATGTGATAAAAGGCTTATAATCAGTTTAAAATCAAGCAGTTCTTCACTCAAATTTTCCAGTGTTTAACTTTGTATTTCATTTTCATCTAAGTTATTTTGAAAAAATGAATTTGAGCAGCTATTTATTTATATTTCAACTTAAATTGAATTCACTTTATTTTATTGATAATTCCTTGAGAAACTTGTCTCTGTTAAACTTGTGTCCTTCTAAGAATTGTATCCTTTGTAAAAATTTATCTACTCTGTGTGTTAACTTTTTCTGTCTACAAATAACCACCAAATCTCAGAGGCATTCAAAAAGAAGTATTTATCTCTGAATTTGTTGATCAGATGGTATTTGGCTTATCTACACTTGTCTATGTGACACTTATTTTTCAGAGACCAGCAAGCTAGCTCAACCATGTTCCTCTCTCATGGTGCCAGTGGAAGGAAATAAGGCACACCTAAAAGAATGAGCACATTTCACCTTTCTGATTTCATGACACTCTGCACATTTCATTGGTCAAAGAAGATCATGGCATCAATGGCAGGGAAAAGCATACCACTCACTTGGAAGTTGGGGGTATTCAAAGTAAAACAATAACATAACTATGGGTTGAATAAAAATGTATCTCTTCTAGAATGAAAATTAATATAAACTATACTGTGTATGTGTTGAGGAGATTAGTCATTCTCATTCAGCATGTATAATGAACATTGACTATTTGTCAAGTACATTCTAGTTGCTCTAAATAAATTTGTGAACAACACAGAACAAGAAACTATGATTGAACCTATTGAACGTGAAGGTTGGTAGGGGGCACATATTATTTTATTTTATTTTATTTTTATTATACTTTAAGTTCTCTGGGACATGTGCAGAAAATGCAGGTTACATAGGTATACATGTACCATGGTGGTTTGCTGCACCCATCAACCCGTCATCTACATTAGGTATTTCTCCTAATGCTATCCCTCCTCTAACCTCCCACCCCCCGACAGGCCCCGGTGTGTGATGTTCTCCTCCCTGTGTCCACATGTTCCCATTGTTCAATTCTCACTTATAGGAGATAATGTGGTGAGAACATGCGGTGTTTGGTTTTCTGTTCCTTTGTTGGTTTGCTGAGAATGATGGTTTCCAGCTTCATTCATGTCCCTGCAAAGGACATAGGGGCACATTTTAAACCACAATTGTTTCTTCATTATTTTTGAGATAAATGTTATATTTAGAAAATGTGTAATTACAGCAATATGAGGGGAGTTAATCAATTCTGAAGAGTCCAGAAAAGCTTCCTTGCTGTAATGACATTTAATATATGACTAAAGGAGAAAAGTTAATCAGAGGAACAGGTAGAATTAAAGAGTTCCAGGAAGAAGTTTATCATATGAAGGCCTTGGGGCAGAAAAAAGAAATTTAAGGCCAGTATAGACATAGAAGGCAAGAAGAATGATATAAAATACTAAATGAGGGAGAGGTCAGGGCAAAAAGAATCCTTCAACAATGTTAAACTTTTAGAATTTATTTTAGGATCATTGAGAAACCATTAAAGGCTTTTAGGCAAGGTTTGGGTGACTTAATCAGATTTGTATTTGTAAAAGGTCATAGTAACTGCTGGATGAGGAATGGATGACTCTTAATGCAAATGCAGAGCAGCTAAAATTCTCATGCACTGCAGGTAGGATTATGAATATAAAGTTGATACAAATGCTGTGGAAAATTATTTGGCATTGTCTAGTAAAGCTTAAGTCATATCCTCAAAGAACCGTTTTTTTTCTATTCTTATTTAAAGAAACTCTTATATTTGTATATCAGAAAGCATATATATACATTTTCATTGAAATGCCTTTTTATAATTGTAAATTAATTAATGATTCATGTTAGTTATTAAGTTAATCTTTAGAAATTGAAAAACTCCCAAATACCCATCAACATTGGAATGGGTAAATAAGTTATATTTTACTTATATAATGAAATATTATACATCCGTGAAAATTTTAAAAAAAGATTCATATAACATATATGAAGATAAGGAACATAATTTTGAGTGAAAAAAGTTGTCATAGAAGAATATATACAGTATTATTTTATAGTTAAGTCTTTTAAACATATAGGAAAAATAAACAATATATTTTAGGGATACAGACATAAATGATAAAATTTTAAGGAAATCAAGGGAATGACTGATGAAACTAAAAGTCACAAAAATGGTCATGCCTGAGGAAAGAGAGAAGCACCCAGGGGGTTTCTTAAACTGCTGGATAAATTAGTCATTTGGCATGTTAGTCTTATCTTTTATAGCCTTTAATGATTTTTATAATTTCTAAATACTTAATAAAACACTGTAAAACACATCATAGAAGGATAAGATTAGATGCAAAGAAAATATTTTGAAAATTATCAGAAAAATTCAGTAGAAATATAGTTAATTACTCTAGGGTGAGGCAAACAAGATGGAGGGAAGTCATGAGGACCCAGGAAGATGATGTTGGGAGAGACTCTGAAGGACACAGCATTTTCCATTGTGGCCTTTCACACGTGATCTTCCAGCTGTTCCTCCCCACATCCTCTTGCACAGGATATTATTGTCTAACTGTTCCTCTCCACCCCTCTTGATACAAGGCAGGCTGTCTGTGGCTGCTAATTTATAAGGAAAGTTCCTCTCTTCCTGACACTAGTCCAAAAGAACTTTCTACCTTCCTCCTCCAAGTCTGAATGCCCGCTTAAGCCAGCAGTTCTCTTGTTAATTTTCCTCCATAGTGTGAGTACCTAATATAGAGATGATTTGTATTTTATATATATATGGATATATATGGAAATATATATATGGAAATATATATGATATATATGGAAATATATATATGATATATCTATGGAAATATATATATGATATATCTATGGAAATATATATATGGAAATATATATATGATATATCTATGGAAATATATACATGATATATCTATGGAAATATATACATGATATATCTATGGAAATATATACATGATATATATATGGAAATATATATATGGATATATATGGAAATATATATATATGTTATATACAATGTTTGTTGAGCTAGATCATTGAGATACATTGAGTTTGAGTTGCCTGATATCCAAGTGGGAATCCTGAGGAGGCAGTTAGGTATATTGTCTAACCCTGAGAAGAAAAGTCTAGGGTAGTGAAAAAAAAAAAATGATTGTAACATTAGTCATAGGTATGGGCAAAATTGCCTAAGGAGGGGGTATAGAGTGCAATGAGAAATGAGTCTGAGTTTGAGTGCTGAGGAACTCAGGAATTTGTATGTTGGATGAAGAAGGAAAAGCTGGTAGCGGAAAGCAAGGAAGAGGAGCCAAGCAGGATAAAGGAAACAGGATAGAGTGGAGTATTTAATCATGTCTTCAGAAGCAGGCCTTTCAGAACGTGATTCACATTCTGGTGATTTATTAGAAAAGTATTTCTGGAGAAACTGGTAAGGGAGTAGGGAAGAGGAAGAAACCATGTAAGTGTGTGATTATTGGGAAAATCCCAACTGTAGCCTGCTTCCTTAGGCAAGACCTGAAGGGTAAAATGCTCCTCAGAATTTTTCCCAACTCCATGCAAATGAGCTGAACTTTTATACTCTCATAGGGTATTTGCCGAAGTCAGCTCCATGTGGTTATTGGCTCCCACGTACTGTCTGTTCTCTGCAAAAGGGTCACAGTTGTCTGTATGCAGTCCTTAAAATTTAACTGCAAATGCAGGAAGTTAGAAGCAAGTTTCATAGGAGGGGAGTATAGGTATGCAGATATGATAAAAGTAATCGGAAGGAATCTGGCCATAGCACCTACAAATGTCTGCAAAATATGGCATCACAGAATCCAAAGAGAGTTCCTAGACATGGTCGATTTTGTTAAATACTTTTCTTGAGCGTATAAGGTGAGTAAAGAACTGATAAGAATTTATTAGATTTAATCAAAGGGCTTGTTTAAACTTAGGACTGATTATATAAGAAGTAATGTTTTATAAGGAGCTTGGACTTTAGGCAATAACAGTCACTGAATGGTTTTAAGAAGGAGCCTGACAAAGTCATATATACAATTATCTCAGTAAGGTCAGTAGAAGGACAGATGAGGATATTTAATTGAAGCCTAGGAAAATATATGGGAAGCTGTTGCAAAAGTGCAAGTAATCAATGATAAAGGATGAGGGTAGTCAGAATGAACAGAAGCAGCTTTTTTATTTATGAAATATTTAAGATGCAAAATAAATTGAGTCTTATGTTTCCATGAGGAAAAAGTAGTCAAGAATGGCTGTAGGTTTCTATATGTGGTTACAGAGTTAAGAAAGGAATATGAATGGGATGCTGAAAATAATTCATTTCGACTTGGAAAGAATGTATATAAGGTGACTCTGGGACATTCTGGTATCCTGACAGACACTAAACAGTTGAAGTCTGAAGTCTGTAATGGAGCTCAGGACACCAGATAGGATTTCGCATATAATAATCTTATCATATTTTTATAGTCAAAAATATGAGTGAGCCAGGCGCGCGGCTCATGCCTGTAATCCCAGCACTTTGGGAGGCCGATGTGGGCGGATCACAAGGTTAGGAGTTCGAGACCAGCCTGGCCAACATGGTGAAACCTCGTCTCTACTAAAAATACAAAAATTAGCCAGGCGTGGTAGTGTGTGCCTGTAATTCCAGCTACTTGGGAGGCTGAGGCAGGAAATCACTTGAACCTGGGAGGCGGAGGTTGCAGTGAGCTGAGATCACGCTATTGCATGCCGGACCGGATGACAAGAGCAAAACTCCATCTCAAAAAAAGAAAAAACAAAAACAAAAAAACAAAGATATGAGTGGATAAGAGAATGTAGGAAATGTTTGCAGGGTAGGAAAAGAAATAACTGATGGGATCTTGAGTAATATAACACTTAAAGAATAACGAAACCCTATCAGATGTTAATTGACCAACTCTTTCACATTGCATAACGTCTTCGTGATGTAACTGCTTGTCTAATCTTATTGTCATTCCTATTCAAAGGACACACTTATAGATGCCCTTCCTAACCACTCTATCTAAAATATTTGTCCTCCACGTCACCACCCCCACCTCCATTATTCTCCATCTCCATGCTTTCTTTTTTCTTCATAGCACATGCAACTAGCTGGCATTTTATTATATATTCATGGGTATATTTATCTTGTATATTTCCAGTAGAATGTGAGCTACATAAAGACAGAGTTTTATTTTGTTTCATTTTGTTTTTCCCACCAAATAGAGCCCCTGTTTTTAGAACACTTCTTAGAACATAAAAGACTCAATAATTCTTAATTGAATTAATGGATGACTGATCTATCTAACAGACTAATAGAGTGATTATTTTATGGATATATTTATTGATGTTTTAAACAATAATGTTTGCAAAATCAAATTCCCTTTATGTATTACTAATCTATGAGAAAATGAAGCAAAACTAATTCTCCAGTAATAATATAAATTCTTGAGTTGTTCTGAAGAAACCAAAACTACAGTTTTAGTCCAAATGAACAAAATTATTTTCTTCTCTTATCTTTCCATGTTTAAACTGTATCCCTAAGCCAAGCGAGTCACAATGAATTAATCAGTAGTTAACTTGTATCCAGATTTCACATGCATCGTAATTTAGCAATAATGTGTTTGGAATTAGAGGTTATTGATCACCTTAATCTGAAAAACATATTTTATCCTGCAGTTATAAGTTGTTACACTTCTATACAACATTAAGATGCTGCTAAATCAAAGATGATGCTGACATTCTCTAAGGGACAGATTCTAATCAGTGTCACAGGAAAGCATGTAGTTTAGGACACTATGTAAATGGTCACTATAATTTTGTGTTTGTTGCGGAAAAAGAAAATAAATAGGCCTGAGAGATATCCAGAAGGCAGGTATAGTTCATAACTATCCTTTTATCTTCCCAGCGTTTATCTTGTCTGCCCCCCCTTACTTTTTTAAGTAATACAACCTCAATATTTGCTTGCGTAATTACACCATCCAGCCTTTGCCTGAAACCTTACAAATAAGATCACGCACATACTCTCCCCTGATAGTCATATGGCTGTCTGTCTTTGGAATTTGAAATTTGAACTGAAAAACGTTTAAAACAAAAATGTTGGGAGGTGATTTTTACTAATGGCATTACCCTCATGAGACTGTCCATTAGTTCCTCCTACCATACTTCTAGAAACGTCTTTGATCCTGTCCTCCTTGATCTTCAGACTTTCCTAGGATTTCAAAAGCTACTCTATATCCTTCTAATAAACTCATGTTTTATATAAACCCTGAGTTGGTTTTCATTGCTTACAGTCAAAGAACACCAACAAATCCAGATGCTCTATTTATGATTCTTTTAACTACCCACAAATTGAGCAATATATATGTGATATGGTATGATAAAAGAAATAAAACAGGTATAGTTCAATGGCATTTCATAAGACGCTTACTTTCTGGATTTGGGGGTTGTGTGTGTTCCTGAAAAATATTCATTTAAACAAAGGTATCCTATAGATTTGTTCCTGGTGATTTGAAATACCATGAATAATACCTCATATGTAAGAAAAGTTTCTTTTTCTAAGTTCAGCTGAAATATCTTATTGTAGGCAAGCCTGTTATTAAATCTTCACATTTGACAAACGACTTTCTCTTAGCCATTCTGTCCCTCTCCACTGTTCATCATCCCAGCCTTAGAGATCGGCACTCTTCTTTGAATGCATTAGTCACTCATGAATAATGACATAAAAGCTTAGCAGTGCTCCAGAAAGAGAGGCTTTTATTATGCTTTTCTAACAACCATTAATATCTATAACACTCAGCAGTTTTCTAATTTTCTTTTATAAAAGGACAAGCTGTAACTACATGACAAAACGGCATGGGGTTCAGGACTATTACTGGTTTCATTAGTGAGGGTGACAAAGGAAAAAAAATAGAAAAATGGGTTATGCTGCTATCAGGCACAAGAAACCCATGATTAAATTAAAAACTGGTGGATGAAGGGTGGTCCTTAAATTTATAAACCCTACTTACAACAAAAACCACACCATATCAAAAAAATATTTCTTTTTCCAAACAAACCTTTTTATAATGGGTTTGGGGTGGGAGATTCTGCAAGAAACAAGAACTTGAAATCTATATTAGCTAAAATTTTGAAGTGAATATAGATAGTAAGAAATGTATATAGTCCTATAATATTCTTGACAAAGTTATGTCCAAGCAAAAATGAGGACTAAAAATTACTGGTTAATCAAATAAAATATTACATTTTGGAACTTGTGGATCCTGTTTGTGAATTATTTAGACAAGACTATTAGAAAACATTATTTGAGTCTAACTAAGTGGCTATCATAACTGAAAACAAAAATGGTCACGATTTATGAGTAACATAGAATTGTAAAACACATAACTAGAAATAATGTGATTAATTATATGCTGTTTTTTCTTCTTGAATTCAAGAAAAATAAAAAATGCAAACGTAGCATTTGAACTTTTTAGTATTTTTAGTTATTGTTATAGTGACGTAAAATTAGGAATAAAATCTCCTAAGTTTGAAATAAAACCTAAATTTAGCAACTAAATTGCATATTTCTAAGTTCTCCATGGAATGAGATGATTACTTTGTTTTTGTTTCATCTTGTTTTTCCCTAATTGAATATGTGTCATCCAAAAGGTCTATTGCAAAGTCATGAATAAATTCTTACAGATATTTTTACCAAAATTTTAACACTTTTACTTAACTGAATGCTTATTAAAGGAGATTTATTAAGCATCAAACTGTTTTTCATTGTAAATTGCAGCTCCTTGGATCTTTACATATAAGGATTTTGAATCCATTTATTAGAAAAGAAGTTACCACAGGTAATAACCTGCATTATAATAAGTGTAGGAAGTTAGTGCAATAAATACTGACTTAATTCTGTTATTAATCCAGTGAAGTAACCCTGATTGTATTTAGAGCTTTTAAGGAATCTTCATAAAAGATAAGCTGTCCATCTTTTATTGTACATTTTAAATTAGAGAAAATTATCAAACTGATCTTAAATTTGCAGTGCTTTATCAAAAAACTCATTTACTCTAAAATGCTTCCAAAAGCTTATAAGGCAAGACAAGTAACAAAGTCGTCATTTACAAATAAGGATACTGACATTTAAGAAGTGAAGTGCTTTTGATGGGTGGCAGGCTACTGCAATGCTTAAGTATTTGTTTCCCACTCTCTACGCTCTAAACCTTCCCAGATACAATTAAAGAGCAATCTAATCAAATATAAATGAGCAAATTACTTAACATGTGCTTTCTAAGTACATTTTATCTGCTTATTTTTCTAATAGGTAGTAATTGGAAAAGAAAGTATACTTCTCTTGAACAAAATTATGCAAATATAGGTATGAAACAAAGCAATAACAAAGGTACTTCTTCTAGACACAGGAAAATACTTAAGTCTCAAATACTTAGCAGATGTTTCTCCCAAGGAGAGTAATATAAAGAACAAGTCACTTTGTTTCTGAACTGAGAAAATATATAGACTCGGTAAAGAAACTGAATCCATCAATATGATGAAAAAATGAATGATGCCATGTTTAGAAGTAAATTTGTACTTTGATTTAATTTGACATATCAATTTGGGATCCTTTTGAGAAATAATAACATTTAACCCTACTGTCAGTTTTTCTTTTTTCTTTTTTTTTTTTTTTTTTTTTTGAGACGGAGTCTCGCTCTGTAGCCCAGGCTGGAGTGCAGTGGCGCGATCTCTGCTCACAGCAAGCTCCGCCTCCAGGGTTCACGCCATTCTCCTGCCTCAGCCTCCCGAGTAGCTGGGACTACAGGCATCCGCCACCATGCCCAGCTAATTTTTGTATGTTTAGTAGAGACGGGGTTTCATCGTGTTAGCCAGGATAGTCTCGATCTCCTGACCTCATGATCTGCCCTCCTTGGCATCCCAAAGTGCTGGGATTACAGGCGTGAGCCACCGCGCCCAGCCGTCAGTTTTTCACTTGTGTTTTAATTACAAGAAAGTTTCTACAGGTAGTGTAATTGTTTTATAATTTCATAAGATTGTGGAAGAAGTGATGAAAGGAAGAATTATTCTAAGTCATAAGCTCAATAGAAAAATTCAGGCAAAAAAAAAGAGAATCGTCTAAACACTGTTGAATTTTAGAATCAATTTATATTGAAAAAGGAAAGTTCATATTCTCCTTGGTATGTAACTGCTCATTCCATTCTGTTATAAGTCACATATTATATTTGCTTACAAATAAAGAAAATATTTCAAATGTTTCAGACAGATAATCAGAAAGTATTTATTGAGTACTCATTGAATACATTCATGTTAATTTCAAGACAAAGAGATTTTTGTTTTTAATTTCAGCATGAGAATAAATATGTACAAACTTCCCCAGACTGGTAGATCCTAAAAAAGCTTGGTGTTGAAAGCTGTCCAGAGAGAGACTAAATTCTTACCATCAAAAAAATTTATGGAATTTTTCATTTTAATCACTTGTGTCATTTATAATTTTACTGCCTTTAGTGTTATCTATTCTCGTTTTAAAAATGTACTAGTCAGTTTGATTCTTACAATTGAATTAAATGGGCCACACAATAGTTTATATTTGAGGAAGACTATTAATTATGGCTGCTATAATAATGTAGCCAAGACTTTAGTTATATAATATACAGCCTAAGCAGCTTATTTTTACAAATTAAATAGAAGATTTTCTTAACGGTTGTATTGTGCAGGCTGAAAAAAAAACCAGTTTTTATAAATCACCTCCTTACTTTGATACTACTATCTTGATTATCAGTAAATTATCATAAAAGAATTAAGGGTCTCGTAAGATAAACATCAAAGTCTGACTAATGACATAAAGCCAGTAAAAATTCATTAAAATATTTTAGCACATTTTTCTCAAGACAATGAAAAATAATGTCTATTGAAATAAAAAATTTATACAAAATAAAAGAATAAATGCCAAATTCAGCATAACTTTTAATTATTGCAAAATACCCCTTTGTAGATCATGTGTATCAGCTATTATTCAGAACCTTGTACTTCAAGAAATATGTAATGGACCTAGAGAATGTCCAAATATGAGTATATGAAATTTTGAGAGCAATAGAAAACTCACCCTATGAAGAACATCTTAAAACAAGGACAGAAAGATAAGGGTCATTTGCCTGGATCAGAAATGAATTAGTATTTATTGATCCCCAGAATATTATATGTACTATCAGCTTCTAGATCCATGTATTCTATATACATTATTGTACTATTTTTCAATAGACTAAGAGATAGATATTATTATCACATTTTATGGAGGAATTAACTGAGGTTCAGAGAGAATAAATTACTTGTCCAAAGCCGTATGGCTAGTAATTGGCATGATCTGTCTATTTCAAATGCTGTGCTTTTCAACGTTAAGGTCTGGAAAACTTGAGAGATGTTTTCACTATAGTTCTATCACTGATGAACTAACAAAGTATGAATTAGTTATTATATAATAACAGTTTTAATAGTTTCAGCAAAGGTAGTCAACATTATAGTAGAAATAGTACTAGTAATAATAATGATAATAGAGATATGATGGTGATGGTGGTGAGAGTAAAAATAATTATAATGGTTAGGTAGTATTGTGCATCAGCATATATTCAAACTAAATACAATATGGTTTTAGCTCAGTGGTAAGTTTAATTCAGGTGAGGAATATTTTGACCAGGTTTACTGAAAATTTATAAATTTAAAATAAATATTGAATCCAGATACCAACATAAATTTTTAAGATTATGTAATGGATGTATTATTATAAGCTCATACCTATTTCAGAAAAAAAATCATTGAAAACATTACTTCTACTGGAGTCTAAATTAATATTTTAATCTTATATTTACTCTTTGTACATATGAATTTGTATCAGCTTTCTCAATAAAGAAGAAAAGCAACACTAGAGAATTTTCTTATTCAGATATCATGTTCAAGTCAGCCATTTGTATTGAGTTAGGAAAGCATTGCCTTATATTATCTACTTTTTATAAAATACAGATATTATTTTTCCTAGATATAGTTACCCTAAAAAATCAGAATTCCAAAACGTATGTTGCTTATCCTTCTAAAATTGTATTGTGAGCCATTTTATTACATTTGGCATGGAAATAATCATTCTCACATTTCTTATATTTCATATTCAATATGGATTTATGTGGGGTATTTTCATTTTTGTGATAACAATCTTTAATGTTTATTAGTCAGTACTAACCAACATTGTCAAAGAAATGCATCTTTTATAAGACTAAATTTAAATGTTTATATTTTTGATGAAAATTATTTGTTTAAAAACCCACAGGCTCATGTGTCAGCTATCCTTTGGGCTGTAAAAATAAAACAAAATCATTTATCTGCTTTTCAGGGAACATAATTCCATCAGTATAGGCAATCATAGATACTTGTTTAAAAACTTCAACTTAAATCCTACATAACCAACTTTCATCACTCCTCAGAGTTAATGCTCTCTATCTCTTAGTAAAAGTATCCCAATTCCAGAGTGTCTCAGGCATTTTTCACACAGTGCATGTGCTTTATGTTGTAGGGGTAGACTGATTTGCTAAAGTTGGAACAGGAATTAAAAGAAGTTAAAGATTGTGGCCGGGCGCGGTGGCTCACGCCTGTAATCCCAGCACTTTGGGAGGCCGAGGCGGGCGGATCACGAGGTCAGGAGATCGAGACCATCCCGGCTAAAACGGTGAAACCCCGTCTCTACTAAAAATACAAAAAATTAGCCGGGCGTAGTGGCGGGCGCGTGTAGTCCCAGCTACTTGGGAGGCTGAGGCAGGAGAATGGCGTGAACCCGGGAGGCGGAGCTTGCAGTGAGCCGAGATCCCGCCACTGCACTCCAGCCTGGGCGACAGAGCGAGACTCCGTCTCAAAAAAAAAAAAAAAAAAAAAAAAAAAAAAAAAGATTGTGTAAGCAAAAACTCAGTTGTATGTAAGCAAACCCAGTTCCCCGTGAGGAAGAGAAAAAGGCTGGAGTCCTTTAAAATTAACTCTCTGTTTTTCTCTCTGTGGCTAGTGAGCCTTATTTCTCCCTTTCCCAGGCATTGTGAAGACTGTTTCTCTAGCTGTGCAGCTGCAAGGTCACTAGACAGATAATCTCAAGTTGTAAAACATGTTGTTCCTTGAAAAGTAATAAATAATGTAATGCATGTCTTAATTGAATAACTGTCTTTGTTTCTCACTTCTGTAATATGCTTCCCCCTGCACAGATCTCCCCCCACCCCACGAAATGCTTAAAAGGTAGCTTGACTCTTTGTTCGGGGCTCAGTCCTTTGGATGTTAATCCGACTGGGTCAGTGCACCTAAATAATTAAATAATTCCTCCTCAACCCCTCAGTCTCTCTGATTCCTTAATTATTCTGCACCAAAGTCAGTCAGCATATCCCATTCACCTCTTGCTCAGAGGTGAATGTAGGCACATAGACCAATGGAACATAATAGAGAACCTAGAAGTAAACCCAAATACTTACAGCCGACTGATCTTCGACAAAGCAAACAAAAAGCCAAAGTGGGGAAAGGACACCCTTTTCAAAAATGGTGTTGAGTAATTGGCTAGCCACATGTAGGAGAATGAAACTGGTTCCTCATCTCTCACCTATACAAAAATCAACTCAAGATGGATTAAGGGCTTAAACCTAAGACCTGAATCTATAAAAATTCTAAAAATATAACATTGAAAAAAACCCATAATACTTTATTAAATGCAGCAGAAGTACTAAACTCTGGCTCATATTTTGAAGAAAATATTGTGTTATTTTGGTCTTCTGTAGCTTATTGAGCTGCATTTTCCTTCTTTATCACTTATTCTTTGAACACAGATCCACGTATTTTGATATATATAGTCATGCCTATTAGTCTGTTTTCTCACTGGTGATAAAGACATACCCGTGACTGGGAAGAAAAAGAGGTTTAATGGGACTTACAGTTCCACATGGCTGGGGAGTCCTCAGAATCATGGCAGGAGGTGAAAGGCACTTCTTGCTTGGTGGCAGCCAGAGAAAATGAGGAAGATGCAAAAGCAGAAACCCCTGATGAACCCATCAGATCTCGTGTGATTTATTCACTACCATGAGAACGGTATGGGGAAAACTGCCCCCATGATTCAAATTATTTCCCACCAGGTCCCTCCCACAACACATAGGAATTATGGGAGTACAATTCAAGGTGAGGTTTGGGTGGGGACACAGAGCCAAGCCATATTATCATGTGTTGCATAATATTTCAGTCAACAAAGGACGGCATGTATGAAAGTGATCCCATAAGATTATAATGGAACTCAGAAATTCCTGTCGCCTAATGAAGTCTTAGCTGTCAGAACGACAAGCATTCCTCATGTGTTGGCTATGATAATGGTGGAAACAAATATATTGCACTGCCTGTCATTTGAAAATATAGCACAGAATTATGTACAGTGCAGAATACTTGATAATGCTAAAGAACGATTGTGTTACTGGTTTATGTATTTACTATACTATACTTTTAAGCATTATTTTAGAGTGTACTACTTATTTTTTTAAAAAGCTAACTGTGAAACAGTCTCTGGAATATCCTTCAGGAGGTATTAGAAAAGAAAAGAAGGAATTGTTCCCATAGGAGATGACCGCTCCACTTGTGTTACTGCCCCAAAGACCTTCCAGGGGACAAGATGTGGAGCTGGAAAACACTGCGTAGATGATCCTGACCCTGTTTCATACTAGGCTAATCTGTGTGTCTTTGTCTTAGATTTTAACAAAATGTTTACAGAGCAAAAATGTTAAAAAATTAAAAATATAAAAAAGCTTATAGAATAAGAATATAAAGAAAATATTTTTGTAAAGCTGCATAATGTGGTTGTGTTTTCAGCTAAGTGTCATTATAAAAGAGCCAAAAAATTAAAAACAATTAAAATGTTTATAAGATAAGTTGAAGTAATTATCTATTATTGAAGAAAGAATATTATTTTTTATAAATATAGCATAGCCTAAGTGTATAGCACTTATGAAGTCTGCAGTAGTGGACAGTAATATCCTAGGCCTTCACATTTACTCACTAGTCACTCAGAGCAACTTCCAGTCCTACTAAGTTAATTTATGATAAGTGCCCAAACAGCTGAGCCATTTTTAATTTTTATATCATACTTTTATTGTACCTTTTCTGTGTTTAGGTATGTTTGAATACACAAATACTTACCACTGTGTTAAAACTGTCTACACTATTTAGTACAGTAACATACTGTACAGGTTTGTAGCCTAGGAGCAATAGGCTACACCATATAGCCTAGGTATGTAGTGGGCTATACCAGGGGTCCCTAACCCCTGTGCCGCTGATCTGTACCCATCAGTGGCCTGTTTGGAACTGGGTCACACAGCAGGTGGTGAGCCGCCAGCTAGTAAGCATTACTGCTCCACCTCCTGTCAGACCAGCTGCAGCATTAGATTCTCACAGGAGTGTGAACCCTATTGTGAACTGCACATGTGAGGGATCTAGGTTGTGTGTTCCATGTAAGAATCTACTTAATGCCTGATAATCTGAGGTGGAACAGTTTCATCCTGAAACCATCCCCGCTTTATACTGCACCACTGCCCACCCCTATCCGTCCATTGAAAAATTGTCTTCCCCAAAACCGGTCCCAGGTGCCAAAAAGTTTGGGGACCCCTGGGCTATACATCTAGATTCATGTTAGTACACTCCATGGCATTCACACAACGACAAAATTGCCTAACAATGCATTTTCTCAGAACATATTCCTGTTGTTAAGCTGCACATGACTGTATATATCTGCTATTATTTTTAACTGGTCTGCATATCATAGTTTTGAGTTTATCTTTAAATGAATTATTTAAGATAGTGATTTTTGATATACATTTATCAGTATTTGAAGTTTTTGTTTGTTAAAACTTGTATTATCCAGTTTTATCACAATGTCAGAAACTGAGATATCTTATTTCTATATTTGACTTGGTGCAATAGTTTTTGGAAAATATGTTTATTCTTGGTGTGTTCCATGCCAAATTTAGTACAACGGTTAAACTGGCTTTTTTAATTGTGTAATTAAGATAGTCTGTATTCTTTGTTGATGTCTTAAGGACTAATAAGTTATGCACTGGAGTCTTCCACTATACTTATACTTTTGTTAAATTCTCTTTTTATTTTTAATATTATCTGCTGTGCTCTAATGGCTTATAATTCATTTTATATACATATATATTCTTTATTAGTAATATGAGACACTTTATTTTTAAAGTCATCTTTATTCAATATTAAATATTAATACTACAGTTACATATAGCATTTTAAGTAGGCTTTGTTTGAAGTTAATTTTTAAACAATTTTTATTCTGCTTTGTCTTTAATAAATGACATATAGTTAATTTTGTTTTGCAATCAAATCTGGAAATCCTTGTCTTTTCATAGGTAATTTTAACTGATTCCTGTATACTAATAACTAGTAGATTCAATCTTGTGTGTTACATAATATTTTCTGATTTTTAACTTGATTTTCTCATTTTTTTTCTTTTATTTTTATGTGGAAGACATTTTCTTTTAGTGAATAAATGAAAAAAAATTCTGATTTCCAATAGAAATTTTCAGACTCATATAAAATGTCTTTTTTAGTTTATGCAGCTGTCACTCATTGCTTCCTTTTGGGGTTATTATCATTTTAAAATTTGATATTACTTTTTCTGTCTCCATTAAACCTTTCACATTTCAAGATTTTAGTTTATCACATACAACTTGCTCTAGATTTCTTGGTATTTTGTCCTCTCCAATTATATTTTCAAAAAAATTAGACATTTTCTAAAATGCCCTCCTGTTTATTGTAATAATTCTATTTCATTGAAAGGAAACTATTCTTTTTCTATAACGTAGTCTCTTTGTTTTCATATGTCTAGTAGTTTTACTGTTTGCCATTCTTATTTGTTGTTTATTTTCATCTTTGTTATTGGGTCATCTGATGTCTTGAGATGATCTGTAACATTATATGAGTCAAGAAGGGAAAAAATGGGAATGGTTATTTTACTTGGCTGAACCACATCAGTTCAGAGATGCAGTAATATAAAAATGAATGAGACCCAAAGGCACCATAAACAGTGAGCATTTACTTTTTGCTATACCTTTTTTCCCTGTGTGGGATGTAGCAGCCTGGAACTACTATAAGTAAAATGCTAGTTCTCTTTGATAGGTACAGTATATATGTCTAGTGTACATGGAGTAATCCCTGCTTGATATGATCTCCAATAGCTGATGTGTGTTCCACAGGTGTTGGTGAGATTCAGATTTATAACCAAACACATTGCTTCCACAACTCTTCTCTATACACACACTGGAACACTGTCAGATCCCGCCTTCATCCTTCCAAATAAGATAGTTATTGAGGTTTAGTCAGAATCTGGCCAACTTTCCTGATAAGAGCAGTTGTCAGATACAAACAGGTGAGTTACAGGCTGTGTGAGCTCTTTCTTCATTCTGGTCACATTTCCACTCACTTTTGTAGCGTCCTATATTCCTTCAAGTATGTAGAATGTGGATACCATCTTTTCCTGGTTTTTAGAACTGATACAAATATTATCAATGACAAGAGACTGGGGACAGACCCAGAAATATGCCCTCACCTCTACAGGGAAATTTATTTCAGCATTATGTCTTCTCCATGCTTGGTAAAATTATAGCACTAAAAGGAATGCACCAGATTTACTGTATGACCCTGTCTCTGTGCCAGGTAGAAACTATAAGTCTCCCAAAACTACATCCTAGTACCTGAAGCAACCTCTTCCACCTCTCTGAATAGCCTATCTGGTATAAGACCACAGAGACCTCTGAATGCTGCTATTTTCTAAGACTGATGATTATAGTCATTTTCAGCCGAAATTTTATGAGCCACATCTGCTCCACTGATCATTAGCACTTGCTCTACAAATTAGGATGTTTTGTGAGCTTTACCAGGATGGGACTTACCAAACCAACCAACAAACAAAACCTCATACTTTACACTTTTCCCAATATTTCCACTTTTATCAAAGGTTCCTTAAAATTCTTAGAATGCGAAATGTATCTTTCACTAACTTACAGTATTGTTATATCTTTCCATTATTCTGTGTTTTCTTGTTCTGTTCTGCACTCAGCGTAACACTTGACATGTTTTTAAGTAATCTATCCTACTAGTAAATTATCATTAATATTTTTACAGCTTATTATAACTTTAGTTTTAAGTATACATGATAGGCAAGTGAGTTTGGAGAATGCAAATCTGTTTTTGAGAGAAGCAGATGCTAATGACACAGGTAGTGTAGTAAGATTGCATGTAATTCAGAGGTTGTATTTTTAAATTAACTCATAATTTTGAAGTGTATACAGTCCGTGTTATCTTTGAAAAATTCTTAAATCACTCTCATATCTCCAGGAACTGTAAAAAGGTTCACCATCTATTTCTTTTGGCTTATTTTACTTTGGTTTTGTCCTATCGGTGGAGTCGTAGAATCATTTGGGGAATGATTAAAAATGAAATTTAAGGATAACAATGGGACTATTTTTTTCCTACATCTCATTTCATAGTTGAATTAAATAAGTAAAATGCACATACAAGGGACTTTCTAGTAATTTCATAATAGAAACTAAAGCCTATCCTTCGTCCGTATTTTATAAAATAACCTGATTGAGGCATTTCAAAAAATTCTTAAATGCATCAAATATATAACAAGATAATGAGTTGCTGGAATAATTGAATGAAAACTGAACCAAGGATGCCACGTCCAGGACTCAAATCGTTTTTACTATAAAGACATTTACAGACAAAGAAAAACTTCACACTGGAATTTCAAAGAAATATGAACATCCAATTAGATAATTCATGAAATGTCTTAAAACAGTAGCTAGTACATACCAAGCACTCAGTAATAAATGTTAGATATTCTTGTCATTATTATTAATTCTAACAATCCTCCAGTATAGCAAATATAGTTGAAGATTTGGTATTACATGTGTAAGATAAAAAAGGCTGAAGTCATAGATTCTCTGTGCTCAAACTACATTCAGATGATTATGAATATATCTGAAGCCCAAAAACTAAGGATAATATTTTTTTCCATAGTTGAGCCTACCATCATGCATCTGATACAATCTCCCATGAAAAACACTCTTAATAACAGTAATCATATACTTTTTGTTTCAAATCACTCCCAGCACTTACACTGTCAAATCTCTCAGGACACTGCAATCATCTCTGACTAAACTTTGACAGTTATTTATGGATTCTACAACTTTTCTTTTTCAGCTGCTATTTTTATGAGCTGGCTAAAGGAGAAATACCATTCACAAAGAAATCTTGAGTGGCCACTGGAAAGTAATTTCTGGGAGGGTCGGCACTTTGCATTCAGCACATACAGCAGAGCCTAGCACAGAGTAGAAGTTCATTAAATATTTGTAGAATGAATGACTTAATCATGACTAATACTGGCTTGTCTAGATACAACCAAAAGCAGTGATATCCTACTGGCCATCTTTCCCCAATATATATTTTAATGCCGCTATCAATGCGTTATGCCTCTCCCTTTCTTTTTATAATTAATTACTTAGAAATAGGTAAAAATAAAAATTTATCTGTGTTGACACAATTTGTATCACCTTTGATGATGTATTAAGAATACTATCATTTTGTGCATACTTATATATATACACACACACACGAACATATACACATACACACACATTAAAAGAACTTTCAAGTATTTTCATATGTTTCTGCTTATTGTTTTGTTGATCCCTCTTTTATGCACTTTATAGCATCTCCTAGCAGATTAATTCGAAGCTTAATAGAACCATTTCCATCTGACTAGATCATCTTGCAGTGTTTATATATATGTAGTATAATGTTTACTTTCATCGTTTGTATAATTAACGTAGATGAAATGCTTGCACACCACTTTAGAGATGTTATAGATTAATTACCTATTTAGTTATAACTTAGATAAGATGAAAAGTGTCATATAAATTTTAAGCACTACAATTATAATAACTTTTTGCATAGCTGTAATTATACTAAAAGTGTATAAGGAAAATGTGATGTTGCCACATAAAAATACTTTAGAATATAGAAGACAGTAATAATAACAGTGGCACAAATGTATTAGATTTTACATGTTAGGATGTTGAAAGAAAGTAATAACCGAAAAAGAGCACATTTTTATAGTGCCTGAATGGTGGAATATGTATTTTTACTAATAAAAAGGCATACATTTTTAAAATGAGTACTTTTAATTATTTGTGTCATAACTTATATACAATGAAGTTTCTAAGTTATTACAAATATATTGACTTTTCAGAAACATGGTATTAATTTTCTAATGGTTAACAATGACATAGTATGTCAACAGTTTATAATTATAGCAGCTCGAGTTTGATGACTATAGTTATTTTTCAAATTTTTAGTTATTTCTGAGCAATTTCAATAAAACTAGACAACAAATAATTAAAAGAGAATATACTTGTGTTAATGTTTCACGTTCATTATTCATTTTCTTTTGAGCTGTTATGATCACAATTGTGAAATGTTGTTAAAATTAATCATTTGTATAACCCTTGGGGGAAAATCTATTCCAAAGCTATGGAAGCCTTCATTAATTAAATGGGAACAATTGGTTACATGTATGCAGGGGGTTAAAAAGTGATCTGCTTTTGGCATGTTTTTGCAGTGGCTAGTACCAGTTGTTCCTTTCCATGTTTAGTGCTTCCTTCAGGAGCTTTTGTAAGGCAGGCCCTGGTAGTGACAAAATCTCTCAGCATTTGCTTGTCTGTAAAGGATTTTATTTCTCCTTCACTTATGAAGCTTAGTTTGGCTGGATATGAAATTCTGGGTTGAAAATTCTATTCTTTAAGAATGTTGAATATTGGCCCCCACTCTCTTCTGGCTTGTGGAGTTTCTGCCGAGAGATCCACTGTTAGTCTGATGGGTTTCGTTTTGTGGGTAACCTGACCTTTATCTCTGGCTGCCCTTAACATTTTTTCCTTCATTTCAACTTTGGTGAATCTGACAATTATGTGTCTTGGAGTTGCTTGTCTCGAGGAGTATCTTTGTGGTGTTCTCTGTATTTCCTGAATTTGAATGTTGGCCTGCCTTGCTAGGTTGGGGAAGTTCTCCTGAATAATATCCTGAAGAGTGTTTTCCAACTTGGTTCCATTCTCCCCATCACTTTCAGGTACACCAATCAGACGTAGATTTGGTCTTTTCACATAGTCCCATATTTCTTGGAGGCTTTGTTCATTTCTTTTTACTCTTTTTTCTCTAAACTTTTCTTCTCACTTCATTTCATTCATTTGATCTTCAATCACTGATACTCTTTCTTCCATTTGATTGAATCAGCTACTGAAGCTTGTGCATGCGTCACGTAGTTCTCTTGCCATGGTTTTCAGGTCCATCAGGTCATTTAAGGTCTTCTCTACACTGGTTATTCTAGTTAGCCATTCATCTAATCTACTTTTCAAGGTTTTTAGCTTCTTTGCAATGGGTTCAAACATCCTCCTTTAGCTCGGAGAAGTTTGTTACTACTGATCGTCTAAAGCCTTCTCTCAACTCGTCAAAGTCATTCTCTGTCCAGCTTTGTTCCATTGCTGGCAAGGAGCTGCGTTCCTTTGGAGGAGAAGAGGCGCTCTGATTTTTAGAATTTTCAGCTTTTCTGCTTTGGTTTCTCCCCATCTTTGTGGTTTTATCTACCTTTGGTCTTTGATGATGGTGATGTATGGATGGGATTTTGGTGTGGATGTCCTTTCTGTTTGTTAGTTTTCCTTCTAACAGTCAGGATCCTCAGCTGCAAGTCTGTTGGAGTTTGCTGGAGGTCCACTCCAGACCCTGTTTCCCAGGGTATCACCAGCAGAGGCTGCAGAACAGCAAATATTGCAGAACGGCAAATGTTGCTGCCTGATTCTTCCTCTGGAAGCTTCGTCTCAGAGGGGCACCTGGCTGTATGAGGTGTCAGTCAGCCCCTACTGGGAGGTGTCTCCCAGTTAGACTACTCAGGGGTCAGGGACCCACTTGAGGAGGCAGTCTGTCCGTTCTCAGATCTCAAGCTGCGTGCTGGGAGAACCACTACTCTCTTCAAAGCTGTCAGACTGGGAAGTTTAAGTCTGCAGAAGTTTCTGCTGCCTTTTGTTCAGCTATGCCCTGCCCCCAGAGGTGGAGTCTACAGAGGCAGGAAAAATCTGCCCATTGTGCACATGTACCCTCGAACTTAAAGTATAATTAAAAAATAAAATAAAATAAAAATAATAAAATTTAAAAAGTGATCTGCTTTATATTTATATATATATTTTTTTCTCTTGTTACAAACATATTGCCTATGTTTCTTACCTATTTTTTTCTGTAAAGGTAACATATTTAATCATAAGACTGAGGCCCAGGAAAGTTGAGCTTGTATAAATTGTTAGCATTGTAAAACATAGCAAAACAATGTTCAAATCTTTTTTGAATAAGATTTGAATAATGTGAGCAATTTAATTCATGATATGCCACCAAATAAAGGAAATATTACTATAGTGACATTATTCAAATGGCATTTCCTTTTGACACACTCCTGGAACCCAGTTTTATTCACTTTAATATATTATTAAAAAGAAAAGCCAGATGCAGTGGGGCATGCCTGTAGTCCTAGCTACATGGAAGGCTGAGGTGGGAGGATTGCTTAAACTTAGGAGTTTGAGTTCAGCCGTGGCAATATAGCAAGACTCCTATTTCTATTAAAAAAAAAAAAAAAAAAAAGAATGGTGGGAGGGGGCCGGGCATAGTGGCTCACCGCTGTAATTCCAGCACTTTGGGAGGCCGAGGCTGGTGGATCACCTGACGTCAGGAGTTTGAGACCAGCCTGGACAACATGGTGAAACCCTGTCTCTACTAAAAATACAAAAAATTAGCCGGGCATCGTGGCGGACGCCTGTAATCCCAGCTACTCTGGAGGCTGAAGCAGAAGAATCACTTAAACCCAGGAGGTGGAGGTTGCAGATCGCGCCACTGCACTGCAACAGAGCAAGACTCTGTTTCAAGAAAAAAAGAAAAAAAAGGAAGAAAAATACTTAATGAAAACGGGAGTTTGTCACTCCTCTCAGAATATGGGGTTTAGAGTAACTGCTGTCTATGAAATTTAGTAATAGATGTTAGTAAATAAAATATACCTATAATCTTATCTTCTTAGGAATTTTGCTCTGGAAGTGGGTCTTTTCCTCTGGATACTTAGGCCACATCTCCAACTGTTATATAAATATATACTGATATAAAAATTAAAATAAGAAGATAATTTTAGGCTCATTTTATTAAAAATTATTACTTAATTTTTATTTAATACTTTAAATCTTGTTTTATCTCAAGTTTTGTCATATCACTTAAAACTATGTAACATTATTTCATTGTATAAATTAGGCTCTCTTGAGTTCTACTGTTAATGTGATTTTTTAATGTGATAATCACCACATTTTTCACAGTCAACTCTTAGAATATGATGCATCCAATTTTGTTACTGAAAATGACTCATCTATTGAAATTATACATCCATTTTAGACTAATAAATTATCATTTTGAATCTACATAAAATATTAGGAAAAGCATGAAAATACTCTTTCCAGATGCATATAACATAATTATATTGCTTTCTGGTCATCTACTGTTTTGTTAATTTTATCAGTATAAAAGCAATGCATTTTATTTGCTATAATTCCATTTTTATTACCTACAATAGCTCATAGTGATCTCTATTTATTTTTAAAGTCAGTATAAACCATCCTTTTAAAAAATCTAATATAGAAACATATCTAATTTAATGTCACAAGCCCTTGGTTTATAAACATATCATTTTTCACTAATAAAAAATGGCTCAGTTTTGGCATTCAGCATTGGCTTGACGAGAAGAAACCCCTGGTATTGGCCATCCTCTCTCTCATATGTCTCTGTTCCCGTGGCTAATCTTTTCATGGCCCCATTGCAACAGTACTGCATAGTCAAGGATAAGGATTGGCTGACATTCACAGAATGTTTCATGTTGTCCACATCATTACTAAGCAGCTCTTCTGAAACAGTTGCTCTTCAATGGGCACTAACATAAAATACAAAGATCCATGTGTTCTATCCCTACCAAAATGCCTCCCTCCCAGAATTTTTTGTCATCTATAACATTTGGATCTTGTTCCTTGCCGGACCCTGAACAATAGGACAAGTCATTGCAAACTTCCTGGAAGTCTTGAGTACCCATTCTTCAGGCTATTTCTCCTTCAAAGGCTCATAAAAGAGTTGCATTTTTTTCCTTTGCCCAGTGTCCAGCTACACTAGGAAATGGCATTCGATCCCCTTGGGAAATAATCAGAAAATGTTATTCATGTATCCTGGTAATAATTCTGCAACATTTTCTTCTAGTTATTTGAAGGTAGTTAGTCAAACTTACTTTGATCTACAACTTGGGTGAAAAATTGCAGTTTTCTGTTTTGGTGACTTGTCTGCCTTTTTTCTAGTTTGTGATTTTTTTCTAGTTATGCAAGTCAAAATCAATTTAGGCAGCTATTCGTCTCTCTTACCACTAGGAACATCATGACCCATTAGTCATCACCACAGATTCCTGTATTTCAAGGCAGTTTGACTGCCATTTTGGCCATGAAGTTCATTATGGTGATTAAGTCTACTTTATCTCTGTTGGATGAATTAGTACTACTTGACCATGAACATTCTGGAGTTCCACTGGCCCTAATGATAGTAAGAAAATGTCAGCTTCTCCTACTCTTAACCCCAGTTTCTAGAAATCAGCCACTCTCTCCTTCTCAATGATGCCAATAGCCTCATTACCAGTGCAGTTCTTAATGTTTTGGTGAAAGGAGTTTTATTTATGCCCTTGAGAAATTTGGTAGAGTGATGATGGTTCTTCATTCACATAATAAATTCATTCTAACATTCCTATATCTCTGCATTTTCTGACTCTATCCTTAACATTTTGTCAAGGTAGTTTATGCATCTCCTCTAATTTGCCATAGTCTATCATCAGGTATAAGCTTCAAAAAAACATTCCAGTGGTGTATTAAGAGCAGCTCCAGATGTCCTTATGGCATAAGAAATGGAAAAGTGCTTTTTCAAATAATACATTTTCACTTGTCCTGTCTTATATTCTCCTTCCTGCTCAAAATCCCTGATACACTCTCACATATATTTTCCTAGTTCACTTCAGTGTGTATTAGCAAGGTCATGCAATTTTTTCAGTATGAAGGTGGTTTTCTTCTTTAGCCCATGCTATTATTTTGTTCTCAAGATAACTTATGCCCTGGCTTATTTATTGTTCTGAAGGAAATGAGGAGAAGTGAGGTACACCTTTGAGTAGAACAAACATTCCCTTGTGAAATTAACTGAACCTATGCAGTTGCATAGTGCAACTTTTTTTTAAGCAATGATTAAAGTATAATAAGATATTATCAAATATAGCGTCTCAGAACCCTCAATAAATAATTTACCATTAATATTATTCCAACAAATAAACTTTCTCTCCTCACACTGATAGAAAATACAAATTTACCTAACAATGTTTTAATGGAAATATTTTCCTGTTATATACAAATTAAAATTTTGATCTTCTGCTGTTCAATTGCATTGATATTTATCCATTGAAAATGGTCCCTAAAGTATTGATGTCAATAGCTTATAATAGTGAAATCATCCTGTATGTTATCGTGAGTATTACCTCTGGAGAGATTTCTTTCAACCATACTTATTAACAATGAATACAATTGGATTACATCCCATCCCCCATCTTGCTCAACTTGACTGACAGATACTTATTTTCCCATGAGGTAATTCACTCCAATACTGGACAATTTGAGTTAAAAATTTTTTCCTAAACTGTGATTAGATCTACTTGTAAATGAGTTCCATACCAGTCCTTATTAAATTTTCTACAGTAATCTAGGGTATTTCTTCTGTTTTCCAATTTAAGAACTGAGGCAAAGTGAATAATTACTCTTAATTCTTCCATTAGCTTTCTATTTGACATCTAATCTAACATATGTCTTGTTGGTTTTACCTTAAAAAAAAATCTCTAATCTGGCCACTTCTCACCAAATTTACAGCTGCTTAGTCCGAGCCAGTATCTTTGCATCTTTTTCTATCTGGATTACTTACTGCAGCAACTTCTGACTGATAATACTTTCGCCTATACTTTATTGTTCATAGAGAAGTCAGAGTGCCCGTTAATGCATAAGTCAGATTATGCCCGACTTCTACCCCTATGCTTGCTTCCCATCGAGAAGAAAGTGAAATGCTGGCTCTTTCCTCTAAGGCCCAATGTGATCTGGGCCCTGACCATCAATTCAATTGCATTATCTGTCATTTTTCCTGCTATAGTTGGGCCAGAGCAGCCTTTATGCTATTCTTTGACATATCAAGCATATTCATTTCTCGGGGATGTTCTTACTTTCTGGAATATTATTGCAAATTCTTCATGTGGCTACTGTTATGGGCTGAATTGTGTCACCCCAAAATTCATACGTTGAAATCCTAAACCTCGGTTCTCAGAATGTGAGTGCTTTTGGAGATAGAAAGTTTAAAGAAGCAATTAAGTTAAAATGAGATCATGGTGGACCTTAATCAATTCAGGATGTTGGCTGCCTTGTTCATTAAATCCTATCACAAGGTAGATAGATGTTCAATAAATAAGTGTTAGAAGACAAGTGCTCTGTCTTCCTACCATATCACTTACTTGTCTTCTTCCCCAGAACAAACATCTTGAATTTCTTCGATCTTCCTTCTAATGTATTCTTTTCAGAACTCTTGACATCTCATTTATATTCCCCTTTGAAATAAGAAACTTACAATGAATTATTCTAAGATGACTTTGTCACTGAGAAGATTGGGACCATTATTTATAGTGACCTAGATTAATTAACACTACTTAGAGTTGTATTTACCTTAAAACAACAGTTAATGTTCTCTATAATCAATTGAAGCCTTAACATCTTATTTTCATACAAATGAAAATACTATTCTTCTAGTCTATTCTATTAATATTGTTTTATAAAATATCTGAATATAAGGTATTGTGTCATTTAAATTAGTATTGTATCATTAAATTATCCTTAGTTCTACCCCAAATCTTAAGTATATGACCTAATTGATTAACAAGTCTTCTTGAATTTTTCCTCCACCTTTTTCCACTCCTGAATCAGTTTGTTCTTAATCTCAGTGAACCTTTTTTATCCATAAAATATCATTATCTCCACATTGTCATACTCAGCTTTGTCTCCTGTCTTTATTTTTTTAAATATATTCATTAACAACCTTATCTTTATCTTAAAAGAATGAGATATGTGCTAAATGTATGTACCACTCTTCCTTCGTCAACTGGTACCCAAAGAAATGGTACCGAAATGCCAGCTGTTACCCACATCTTTGAGATTACTACCAAAAATATCCATGAGGTCTTCTGACTGTATCATTTTCTCCATAAAATAGGGGTGTCACTAAACAGTAAAACAGATGAATTCTGTTAGGTTGTCCGCTATTTCCAGGAGTGGGTTCAAAGATGATTTATAATGCCTGGTTACCCCCAACTACCTCCATAAATCTTAGTAGCTTTCTTGTCACCAAACGTCACATTATTTCCTTAGGGTAGGTAATAGATTTTAACATCTTTAAAACCATAATAAAAAAAAGGAAAGATGAAGGCCGGGGGGCGGTTGGAAGAGAAATGAGATAGTAGACCTTTAGAGTCAGAGACATGGTTTGTCAAATCTCAGCTATCTAATATCAATTATTTTGCCTTGGGCACCTCAGAGAACAACTCTGAAACTATTTCTGCATTTCTTATATGGCACGAGTAAAATAAATTAGCATGGGTTGCTATAAAAATTGCAGATGGTATACATTGAAGCATTTAACATACTGTCTAAAAAATTATAAATGCCTAATTAATGATGATTTTTATTGCTTTTCATTTTGAAAAAAAAATCAAGAGAGCCCATATGAAACAGATTGTATCATGGCCTTGTTCATTGTAACTACAATTTTTTATTTTACTTATTTTTAATAAATGTCATGTTGCATGTCATGCTCGCAAACCTCTGTTGAAGAGTTAACACAGATTGTTTGCCATGCTCTGGAGAACATAGTCCCTCTACTCAGATCACAATAATAAGAATTCATACCCGTACACTACCTATTGACTTGTGAGGTACACCAGATTTAACAGGTGTCCTTTTTGATTACTGACAAAACCATTTAAGGAATACCAAAAGAAGAAGCCAGAGCAGAACGTGAGGCCAGAGAAGGGACGACACACCAGGATATTAATAAAAATACACAAAAATCAATCATCAGGGAATTGAAACTATAAGAGTAGATGTGTGATTAGGCAGAGTTCCTCACCTAGAAAAAATACTTACAGAAGTTAGTTGATAATCAGGTGCAAAAGGTAGACACAGAAGCAGATATAGAGAACTCACAATCTTATCAACCCACTAAAAGGTTTTAGAGGTGACAGCATGCTTTGGACTGCTAAGATTTCTATTGTATTTTAAAAGGTGAATGAGTGATTTTTCCTTTCCTCATGAGACTTACTATAGGTCTTTTGAGACTTTTCCAGTCTCTCTTGCTTTCCTGGAAATGTTTCTGTTTTGTTTCGTTATTTTCAATCCATTAACTGAACTAACCTGCATGCATCTCAGTTTCTTGCAGTGTAAAATCTTAATTAAAATGAGACAATTAGAAATCAACTAGTGCAGGAATCTTAATTCACTAATGAGCAGTTGATTTTACCCTTGTTCACCCAAGTTTCTTGAATACAGACAAGGATACATCTAGTTTTTCTACTAGTTCACTTCTCTTTCTGTTCTAAATTCTCACAATACTCCAAATCTCCAAATTTTAGTAAAAACTACATCGTTTTCCTGGCTTTAATGCTCTACTTCTCCTTTTCCTTTTCATGTTTGCATTCTTTTTTATGCTTTAATTTTTTTATTCTGTAATATTTCTTCTATCTTACCTAAAGAGTTTCCATCCTTGAATATAATTTTTTTAGCATCCACACAAAAAATCCCCCAAAATCACCTTTAACCAAAAGGACTTGCTCTTGATTGTTTATGCCTAATAATCAGCTCAGGCAGAAAAGCAAACGTTGCACCACAGTTAGATTTTGTGACAATATTATCTCTACATCAATATTGCTTAAGTCACTCTTGATAATTCTTAAAGATTTGTTCTTGACATTTTTTTCAAAAAACTGCTATGGATTTATATCCTCATGTTTCTGAATCAAAATTAGAGTTTAAAAATAAAATAAGGAACAAGTTTATTTTGCTTAGTATGACCTGAACACGTAGGCAAACAATTTTGTTCCTGTTAATCAAGGTTATATTTTTCCCTTATTTTGGCAATTTCCATTAATTCCACCTGAGGCCAGGATCTCACTGTTTCATGCCAAGATTATTATGGTGGTCTCTTTATTTATTTATTTTTTGTTTCCAGCTTCAGTTATATTTTCTCTTACACTCCTAGATTAATGATAGGAAAACACTTAGTAATCACTACCTCACTAGAATTTCACTGGCTTCCAATTTTCCCCCAAACACCCTTGCAATTCAAGCCTCTACCTTTCTTTTTGTTTCCTATAATATGGTGCTCCCCAATATAAGCTTTGTTTCAAAAGACTTATCACTCCATTGTCACTCACCAATGCCATCTTCCTTCCTTTACTCACTCTGTTTCCTCCTAACTATTTCAGAGGACACATCTAGTTCATTAATTATTTCATGGCTACTATAACCCACAATCGTCTCCCTAATTGTCAAACTTTTATTGTATGTGTCCTTTTTATTACCCAGTTAATACTTCGTTGGTCATTATTTTATGCACATTCATTTGCTAAAAATAAATAGCATATAGTAGAAACCATTTTTCTTATTTCTATTGTTCTCAGTGGTGAGCACAATAAGAGGCATATAATAGATGCTTTAATATATAACTTCTGGCTAATCAGTATCAAGCTTCCCTGAAAATGTGAATAAGGAAGGGGGCAATGCTGTCTGCCACTATTGGTATTTCCCAAGATACTCATGGCATTTTCCAACTGTCTCTGTAGAGAAAGATGAGCCTACAAGGACATTAAGTACGTCTCATTGCATTTAATGTAAAAACAAAAAAAAGGGTGGGGGGGAAGTAAACCACTAGAAATGAGGAAGAGAGAGGCGAGATTACATAGCACCATTTAGGGGATATTGAAATGTCATCCACCCTCTAAAGGTGATAGAGATTTTATCTACAGAGAGCTAAATGTTGCCATAAACCTGAATCTCACTTCAATAACTATTATTCCTGATTATAAGATTTTTCAAGTATGAATAATGCATAGATGATATGCACTTCAGTCTTCATTTTTTCTATTGTATTTAGCTTATACTTACTTGCTCCCACAGGTATTGAGATTCTGAATTCTACTTATATACATATGTATACTTGCACAGTATACACATGTACATACATATTTGGCATTTTATGCCAACAGCATTTTCCAGTAGTTATATTTTTCAAATAATTGCATTATTGAAATGACTGGTGATACACATTCAGCCCCAGGTGGCTGTCTTACTATTGAAGTGATTACAGAAAGATCGAAAAGATATTTTGCATTCCATTTGTGGTTGTCTTTTATTGAACTTGGCTAATGTAACATGCTTCTGTGATTTTAGGTTTTTAAAGTAAGTGCGGTCCCCTTGAAAGTGTTTGAACATAAGCGTGGGTGAAAAGCATGTAGCCACTCTAGTTAAGCTTTCAAAAAGTGTTTTTAGGAAAGGTTTGAAATTAAGGCTTAGGTTATAGACTTCCTTTAACATGCACAAATAATTCTCACTAATCAAGGGAATCAAGCACATATCTACAGTGCAGGAAAAGTAATCTTTAGTACTTTTGTTTAAAATATTTTTTAAAATCTCTTTCTCTAAAATAATTAAATAGAGGATTGCTAGGCATATTTGTCATCTCTCTGGAAAACTGAGAAATGAAATCTGAATTTATATAACTTCAAACATAATGAGCCAAATTCTTGTTCCATAGTCTTGTATTATGTATACATGTACAACACTGATATCATTTTGCAAATACAACAGGATAGTGAGATATGATGTTATTTGCATAGCCACAAATAGCAACATTTCTTATTTGATTATGAAATCCTGACAAATGCTTGATAGACACTACACAAATTCCCATCCTCATTTTCTTATGCCATTAACTTTTAGGTTAGTTTACTGATGCATTTATATTTTTATACCTGTGTAATAAAATTTCTTGTGCGATGTGACAACACCATTGCTTTAAATATATAGAGAAAATTAGTCTCCCTAAAATGCCAGAAACTTTCTATGGTTTAAAAACTATAAAAGTTACTTTAACATTTTATTAAATTCATAAAATAAATTAGTATTTGTTAAAGCAAAGTGTTCTACTGCTTATATTTTAAAATGAAATAAAAATAATTCATTTCATATACATGAAAAATATCTTTAGCATCTTTAAATTTTTAAGAGAATACAATGTAACAAAAAATAGTCTCACTGCAGTCTGCATAGCTCAAATTCACAGTAGTACATATAACGGCATAATAGTTATACATTTTCATAGTTATCATCATATAAATTAATATTAGTATGTACAACTGTACAATAGTACCATAGTAATGTAACTGTAATTCTTATCCTCAACTGAGTATTATAAATCCTATAAACAAAGCTTTGATCTCAAAGTTCCTTTAGACTTTTCAAATCTTTCATGCTTATACTTTACATTAAAAACACAAATACATACTTTTTAGAGAAACGTTTTATTACAACTGAAGAAATCGACTATAAGGCTTAGGAATTATTTTTTAGAAACCGTTATTTGTTAGAATTTCTCATAATGTTTAATGTCCTAAAAATGACATTAAAGAACTTTAAAATTACTTAATATGCGTTTAGAAAACCAGATTTTTTCATTCAAATATAAATGTAATTGAAGAGTTGATGTGGCATCATATATAATAATTTAGTTTTCTCTTATAAAAAGAAATTAACCCAAATTCTGCCTTTGCCTTTAGAGTCATTGCTAATTTCACTTCAACCCCTTGACTATGTGTATATATAGAGAGAGAGACTATATACAGAGAGAGAGACTATATATATATATATATAGAGAGACTATATATATATAGACTATATATATAGTCTATATATATATTCATTTATTGTTTTACAGAGGTAGAATCATAATGCATATACTTGCTTAAGATACTTCCATTGCCACTATTATTTAGATACTAATCTCCTAACATGTTACGTAAAAGATCTTGCTTGATCTAGCTTTACCTGGGGTAACAGCAGTCCTCCCTGACTGTCTATTATACAGTCATTTTGGCATTCTTCTGACCCTCAAAATTCCTGAAGTTATAACTTTTACAGGGCCTTTGCCCATGACTTTTCTTCTACTTGGAACACTTTCCATACTTCTTCATCTGAATAACTCCTATTCATTCTCCAGGCACCTTTCCCACGAAGTTTTTTTCATCCTAGGCTCATTTAGATTCTCCTGTTATATCCACTCCAGAGGTCCTGTCTCTTTCCTCAGTACCACTCAGTTCTCTTGTAATGGATTAACTCAGTGTGGTCACTTTTTTTACATATGCATCCACCACAAGTGTAAAAGCTCCATAAAGTTAGGGATTTCATACATTTTGCCTACCACTTTTTTTAAAAAAATGTGTGACTAGCCACATGGTAGACATAATAAATATTTGTCAAAATAATGAATCAATATAACTTGCATTCTCCTTTTTTCTACCTAGGATTATACCATAAATATTTTTCCATGCTTGTAAACAGTTATCATCCCTTTAAATGAATGAATCAGAATAATAGTGATAATTATGATAATAATAATACTGACATAACATCATTTACAAAGCTAATCTATATAATTAGATATTCAAAACATTAATTTTGAATTAAACATTAATCTCTGACCTTATAGATAGCATTGATAAGAATATCTTCATGTAGATTTCTGTTTTCTTCTGTTTAATTAACTCTTTAAGAAAACTCAGAAACAATAGCTAGTATAAGAATATGACTTCTTTGTATTGCCACAAGTAACTTTCTGAAAAGACTATATTAATTTACAATACCACGCTATATATCAGTTTCTCTGGAAACTCTCCACAAAAAGAGGAGACCTATTAATTTGTTTGTTGTTGTTGTTATTACAAATTGTCTTAGAAGACACAAATAGAACAATTTTGGTGCTAGTGTCTAATTAATTACAAATTTTTTGAAGGATATTTGATAGAAAGAGTATTTGACAAATTTATGACTGCTGCTGATCTTTAGATGATCAATAGTGCTGATTTAAATCCCATGTTGTAGATTTACTGACCATACAGGATCTCTGCTTCCCTTCAGGAGTCAGATAATTCTATACTGTCATCTGTGTGATTCTTGTTAACTTTAAAAAAATAATAATTTATAAATTGAGAAAGGAGATTTTATTTCTTGTGAAGGTTTACAGCCTACAGGTGGCCAAACTGTAGGCTGGGAAGTGTGTCTCCGGTGAAGACCGAAGACAGACACTTTGAAGGAGCAGGAGTTGGGGTAGAAGCTTATGCTGAACAGGTTGGCTAAACATACATATTCAACAGGTTATAAGAGGAGCTATAAATATTCATGATGGTGGTCCTGAGGCATGCATTTTGAATGAAACATCCATGCCTCATACATCCATGTTAACCTTGGAGTGGAGACTTAACATTTAAATATACTACAATTAGGCCCTATATGTCAAAAGGATTTTTCAGGACACGAAGTCACCCAAGTGTCAGCCTCTGTAAACCCGGCCAGAACCAATCCATGGTGGGTATTCTTCCTATCTGGAGAGAGTTACCAAAATCAGTTTCTTGTCTGTAATTATGGCTGGCAGAACAGAGGGTCAATTAGTCAGCCTTTGTAAGCTGAGTGAGTTGTAATCATTTTAATACTGTTTATTTTGAGGCCAGTGTTGTTTAGCTTCTAGAAAAAGAAAAAAAAGAAAAGAGAAGCCTTAAGGAGTTAGAATATAGTTTATTCTTTAAATGTAGGAGTGTGTGACTTAACCTTTGCCTGGCATGGCCTCACACCCTGTTTATAATTTGGTATCTTATTGTTACAAAGAGTATCTTCTGTCAGTCTTATAATCTCTATTTTAACATTAATGAGGGCCAGTCATTGTGTCTAAATGCCAAAGGAAGAGGGTATTAGGGGGCTTGTCTGACCTCCCATCTCATTATTGCTGAGAATTCAGTTTTAAGGCTTTTCTGGGGTCCCCTTGGCCACAAGGCAGTTTGTTCAGTGAATAGGAGGGCTTAGATTTTATTTTTAGTTTATTTTTCCAATTCTCCAGCTGAGATGTGTAAGCTACTCTAGAGGGTTAAGCTTTTCAACTTTTCCATACAGGGAAAAAAACATCATCAGTTGGTTAATTCCCCCTCTGCTTTATTCAACTTCATGTTGGTTTGCCCTATAATAAATTTATTTAATATAATCCAATCAGAATAGCATTTCCACAGTAACATTTGTGAGAATTCCAAAATCCAAAGACACTTAAGACATTTTAAAAATATATAAAATTTTTAGTCATTTAAAATAAGCACTTTCAATAGATTTATTGGAAATTTCCTAGTATGCAATTTTCATCAATGACTTCATTAAGAAAATCTGTCATCAACTTCAATTGGTTCTGCCAGTAACCAGAAAAGGTAATCCATTTACTAAGAACAATTTTACATAAATTCAGAAAATATAGCATATTAGTAACAACTACCAAGCCAAAAATACATGAGATGTTGTACATTTTGTTCTCTAATTAACGGAGGGACTAGTTACAAAGCCTAAGAAAAAACTTTTTATATTGACATCTTTTGTTTCAACTGTGCTGAAAATATGAATACTGAAAAACAGAGCATATACGTTTTATATTTTATTCTGTTATATTTTGTTTGCTCAAAATAATATAACTGATTTACCCTTATTCTGTAGTTTTAAGTATATGTCAGGATTACATATGGATTATCATCTTGTTCCTTAAAAATTAAACACACACACACACACATACAATGATTTTCAGGATTCTACTTCAAAAAAGAGAACTGGCTTTGACTTCATAAACTGTTATTACTCAGCCTTTGACCCCAGTTACCAAAGCATTTGATTTTAAAATATATTTGAAACAAGAATGTTTAAAGTACAAGGCTCATACAATTAAAACTTCTAATTTGAAATTACCTGAAGATGCGAGCTAGATTATCCAGCCCTGTCAAATTCTCAATTTCAAGATACACATTTACTGAAGCAAAATCTGTAAGTATAAAAGCTTTTTTTTAGCTTTTTCATTTTACTAAAGAAAAACACTTATGTTTCAGATCCACAAAAGTGAATCTTGAGGGCTTAGTAGACCTAACACAAGAGTGCTCTTCATTCATGGTGACTCAGGCCACTGTCTGGAGAAGCCAAGGACTCCACTTCACAAAAACTCTGCAGTATATTGATTCTCCTTGCTTTTTCTCTAAGGAAAATGTGGATTTGGAAAATATGAAAAACTGATTATTCTCAATCTACTTCAAATACAACATCAAGCATGGTCCTACTTAGCAGAAGATGTATTATTTTTCATGACCAATGGAAGAAATTGAATTTAGTAGACATTGAAATGACAGTAAATTTGTCTAAGTCAACACCTCACATATGGAAAGAAACAAACACATAACTAAAGGATTAGGGCAAAAATTAGGTCACTCAGAGGAAAAAAAAAAGACCATATACACCTTCAAAGCAAGAGAACAAGAGAATACTCTTTAAGAGAAAAGGCAGGTGCCATGGCTCACGCCTATAATCCCAACAGTTTAGGAGGCTGAGACGAGAGGATTGCTTGAGCCCAGGAGTTCAAGAACAGCCTGGATAAGATGGGGAAACCCTGTCTTTACCAAATAAATGTAAAAAAATTAGCCAGGCATCCTGGCGGGAACGTGCAGTCTCAGCGACTAGAGGGGCTGATGTAAGAGGACTGCTTGAGCCTGAGAAACGGAGTTTGCAGTGAGCCGGGATTGTGCCACTGCACTCCAGCCGGGGCAACAGACACTGTATCTCAGAAACAACACTAAACTAACCTAAAAAACTAAACTAAACTAAACTAAACTAAACGAGTGCTGCTTTCAATGAAAAAAAGAGAAGAGAAATATATCAAACACCAAATCAGATGGCAAATCAGTCAAAAAAAGATAAAAACTAACCTATTAGCATCATCCAGAGTTCAGGAATTCTGAGAAAAAGAAAAATAATGCCTGAAAGTAAAACAATTGGGGAAGCACTATTAGTACATATTCCATGCATAAAGGAATTTGTGAGAAGTTTGGAGTTCAAACTAGAAAGAATATAGCACTAAAATTTTTTTCGGAAGATGATGTTGAAGATTACAGCTATAATTTACCATTTAGGTTCAGACTTTAAAAGTATTTTGTTGTCTTTCACTCCCCAAACCCACTGCAGTTTACTCAATATGTGTAAAATAAGTGATAGAAGATATTTGTAAAGTAAGTGCACAAAATAAATATTGCGTTTAACTGTTTGGGGCAGAACCCTTATGTTGATAGAATATTCCACCATATTTTACTTTCTTTGCCAACCATTATCCTAATGGAGTAGAAATATATTACTTTATATGGCAAATAATCTATAAAAATTTACTCACTGAATTGAATCGTAAAGGAATAGTAATTAACATGGAAGATAAAAGCATGAGTTGTGTGTGGCTAATAATGTTTCCTTAATTTGTACTTGCATTAATAAAAAGTACAGTATGGAATTCGTTTTCTGATATGTAGCTTGCTGGTATTTCTTACAGTTCTGTTCTTCCCTCTCCTTTATAGGAAACGTGAGATAGATGCTGCACAATATGTGTAACTCAATCAATATAGGTTATTTGAGATAAAAATTTTACTGCTATTAATTTATTGTTTTTGATAACATGTACATGCTAATGAGGCCTGTGTGAGAAATTAGAAAATCATACATGTAATTCTTTTCCTATAAGATGATATACTTAATGTGGTTTTGGAAGATTATGTGGTTTTTGGTTTTGTTGTTCATGATGTTTTGTTTTTAAGACATTCTCTGATATTCAATCAGACTCCCCTGCCCTTCACCCCAGAGTTTATAAAGCCAAATCTTATTGGAGGAAGAAAATAGATTCCCTAAATTTCAAAACGATCACTCCTCAGATATTTAAACAATGTATTCTTAAGTCCAAGATGAAATCGTTGCAAAAAATGTGGATGATGTAATTTTACCATTTGCCTTGATATGATTGATTTAGAATATCACATTTTACCTGCCTTTACATATAAATTTTTCATGAAAAAGGAATGTAAATTTAAATAAGATGTAACGGCCTTTGTAATTAAGTCCATCTGTGTTCTAAATTTAGTACCACGGATAGTTAAGGTGAGGATACATGAGACAAAACTCAGTGTCTAACTCTGAACCCTGTTAAAAGTATTGGAGTCTATTAAGTATGCATCAACCCAGGAACACGGTCTGTTAAAAAAAAATCAGGTTTGCCGTGTAATTTTGAATTTAATATGTTACCTAAGTGTTCTGATAACTAACGTGTATAAAATTAGAAGATGATACATAATCTGCATTAATGGAAAGGTTATTTTCAATTCAGAAAACATACTTCACTTATATATGAACTATTCAACAAATACTATGGCTTATTTCGATTTTCTGTAAAATTGCAATTTCAATTGCTAAGGGTAAATATGAATATCTAATATTGAGAGTATTGTGAAACTGAACCCTGAAGATATTAAGACTGAAAACAAAAGTTATCTTTTTCTTCCAGCTTGTTATATCTTACCTCTTTTAGCCCATCTCCTGCTCCCCAGAAATCAACTTACTCAAGAGTTTTAGAAAAATAATATTAAATATTACGAGACAATTTTTTTGTTGTTATTTGTTTGTTTTTTCTTGAGACAGGGTCTTGTTCTGTCACCTACGCTAGAGTGCAATGGCACTATCTCGGCTCACTGTAACCTCTGTCTCCTAGGCTCGATTGACTGTCGCACCTCCATCTCCTGAGTAGCTGGGACTACAGGCGTGAGTCACCATGCCCGCCTAACTTTTTGTATTTTTCTTTTTTTTTTTTTTTAAGTAGAGACGGAGTTTTGCATGTTGCCCAGGCTTGTCTGTATCTCCTGGGCTCAAGCAATCCGCCCACCTCAGCCTCCCAAAGTGCTGAGATTACAGGCTTTAGAGACAATGTTTTCAAAATGTGATCTATCCCAATTTCCAACTTTGGATTAGTGTCTCCTGTTTTGTCCAATAAAGCTGATAAAAAATAAAGTGCCCAGACAGAGGAAATTCAGACCTCTGGACTTGGGATCCCCTTAAATGTCTATGTTTACTTTTTGAGGTCTTTTAAAAGACCTTCCAATAATTTGTCAAAGCCAGAATTCACACTGAAGAAAAACTAATTTAGACAAATAATTTGTTCATCAAATTTTTATTAAATACCTACTATATGGCTGGCATAACTAACTTCTAGAGATGCAACAATAAATGAAAGATGAATAATGTAAGAATCTTATATTAGAGGATCTCAAATTTAAGCAGGTCGCCTAATCGACTATGGCTGCATGAGCGAGGGAAGAATACTATTATTGGTATAGCTTGGGTCAGATGTCCTCTCCCTTCCCCATCTTGAGATGATGGCAGCTTGAGTTCAAACCACAGGACACAAGGGTATATTAGTTTAGACAGACAAAAGAAAAAAACAAAAAGGATGTGTATCAATCAGCTTCCTGTGGCTACCATAACAAATTGGTACAAACAAGGTGGCTTAAGATCAGAAGTCCAAAATCAAGACATCAGCAAGGTGGCACTCCCTACAGAGGCTCTGAAGAATAATCTGTTCTTTACCTCTTCCAGCTTCTGGTAGTTGGCATTTCTTGACTTGTTGCACCCTAGTCTCTGGCTCTGTAGTCACATTGTCTGTTCCTTTTCTGTGTGTGTTCTATTCTGTGTGTTTGTCTCAAAGCTTGCTTAGCATCCCTCTTAGAAAGAAATCCATGCATATACTTGGGGCCACTGGATAATTCCCTTGTCTCAATCTGCTTTATTGTATTTCATTATACATTTTCTGCCACATAAAATATTATTCACTCTTTTGCCTTATAAGGTAACATTCCTAGTTTCCAGGGTTTGGAACACAGCTTTTTGTGATCACCAGTTAGCCCCCACTGGGATTTAACTCCCTAGCTGACCTATATTATCTAAGTCAGTCAAGGTACCAGCTGTATCTCCAATCAGAATATGGAGCCAATGCAGGCATTATCCACTGCTTCAAAATGCCAAAAATACTTGAAATGCAGCTCTTCTTCTTAAAATAAAAATACGTAATATTAGGAATGTATTTCTTTTTATAAATACTTTATTATATTTGCCCTTTTTGCCAATATAAGCAATTGCAAAATATCTGATACATTTGTGCTAACTTTCCTGTTTCTCTATTGCATGTTGCAAAAAAAATAAGAATTATTAAATTTAAATGGCTATTCTAAAAAAATTAAGACTATAAAAACTGGTAAATGTTAAAATGGTAAACATTAGATGTATGAGAATTGTAATGCAGTCTTCAACATAAAAAATACTGTTTTGTAAAGATTGATTAGTGTTGGGTAAGACTACTAAGAATAATTATATTAGAATGATATCTTTCACCCCTTTCTCCTTTATGCAGATCTTACATTTGATTTTTGGGTTAGCTGATACTGTCCGGGAGATTTCTCTTTTCAGCTATTAAACCATTTGTCAAATTAATGGATTAGAGAACTAAAAATACTTCACTTCTAAACTACTTTGATGGCCTAATATGAACTTATTAGCTTAGTGCCATATTCCATTCATTAATTTTTACTTCCAATAGGTGTTACTTTTGAGTTGCTTTGAAAATTTCTCATAAAGGTAAATACACTTTCTGTGCTTTTCGTTTGTTTTGTTTTCACTAGATTAATGATATGCCTTTACATAACATATATTACTGCAGTTAAAGTAATTTTTCTTAAGTAAAAAGAAATACTTAAGATCACTAGAACAGCTAATGCTACATTTTTTGGAAACCTTTGGCTCTTTAATTTATCTTCAGCTTTAAAGAAGTTTGATTTGTCATTACAAAAAAAAGTGTTCATTCCATTTCTACATCAATATGCAGGTATTTGTTGATATCCTATATTTTAGTTATTCAAGTTTACATCAGCATTTGGTTCCTCTCCCACTAACTGTTTATATTTTAATGAAGTGCGATGGTTAAATCTTTCAAATAAGATATGAAAGACATTAAATATTTATAATTTATTTTATTTCTCTTCTCTGTCATTTGTGATTAATTAGGCCAGTTGTCAGCCTATATTTTGGATAAGAAACATTATTCTTTCCAAAGAGAAGTTTTCATCAGAAAAAGGATTGGGAAAAATATTGTTTGTTATCTGAAATTCAGTAGGAGGTTTTCAACTTGGGAATTTAAGACTTTGATCCTGTTAATTTTAGTTCACAAAGACAAAAATTCATAATGCATAGCCTTTAAATCTGTATGCATACACATTCTCATTAAATTCAAAGTCAGTTGGTAGAGTAGCAGGGGTGCATTAATTTTCTGAGTATTTAGACTAAATCATATCTCTGCTACACTTCTCTCAAACCAGCACCACCCTAAAGTAAATGCAGCTTTTACTGTACTACCATTTTGGTTACCTACATAGATGATTGTAAAGTACCCACTGTGATTTAATCTGACAGGAGCAGTCAGGTTGATACTATGTGTCTCTAAGGAGGGCTGTGTGTAATTAGCAATCTCTATGTTTAGAAAGATGTCTTTAAAAGATAATTTTACACTGAGAATTATGGACTTTTTTAATCTCTTGAATTATTTTATCTTTACTTTACTATCTCAACTCCCTCATCTAAAAAATCCCCAGTCATCCTTGATATATTTCAAGCAGCAGTTAAGAATTTTTCCTTTAATACTTATTCTTTGTAAAGGCCAATGGTCTTGCCCTCTTTTGAACTCCACTAATAGACACCCTCTGTGTAAATAACAGTGTCACAGTAAATTATGAATGTTCACATGAGTTCTTTCATTGATGTTCCAAAATATTACTTAAGCCCTTGTTCATTGACTTTTCAGTCTTATCCCTTATCTTACTGAACAAAATCTAAGTATCTTGAAGGCAGCAACCATGTCTTACAGAGTAAAAATGAATGCTGTAGATCCTTAGTAAATATTTATTTTCAATGAATCTCTGAAAAAAATAGTGTCTCCTTAGTAAAGAATGAAAAAGAATATGAAATCTATTTTTACATTACAGTTGAGAAGTGAATAGAAAAAAAATAGGAAAAATACACTTGCCTGTTGTTAGTTATCGCTTTATCAATGTGAACGGCTTAATTTTTATGCAGTAGTTTAGATTTGATGCATAAATTATGAAGACAATCTTGCAATTATGTATGCCACAAGTATCTAGAAGTATATAGTCTATCTTTTTCCTCCCTTTTCTCTAATAACATTCAATTACTGTGCTAGCCCCAGTTATGAATATTTATCAGTAAAGAAACAGGTGGAAAAAAATCCAAAATTTTATTTGACCATGTTTGTCTGGAAGTGACAGTATTGTTCCTTACATTAACTAGAACTGGACCCTAGAGATAGAAAATAAGTATAGTTACATAAAAATTTTAAATGTATGCACATTTAAATTTACCAATTATGAATATATACACTCTACACAATGAATAGTGGAGAATAATGAAAGTAGCAAACCATCGTATATGTCAAAGTAATTTCCATAACATTATATTTTTTTAATTAACAAATGTTATAGCTGATCTCAACATGGAATGGTGGTGGGCATTGGGGGCAGGCAAAAGGGGAAAATATTGTCTTTTTTGGAATTAGCCTGTAAAAAATCATTAACCTTGAATGTTGATGTAAAATCTATTTTAAAATTTTATGTTTAATAATTTAATGGTAACTTTAAGAAGAGCAGGAATTAGTTGTAGGAATTCTAAATTATCCAAATAAAATAAGTTACTACTTCAAATTCCTTGGTCAATCAAACAAAATGAAAAAAGAAAGCAAAAACAGGAAAGAGTGAATAAGTAATATAAAACAGGATGTCATTGCTGAGTCCAATGCATTGTAACAGTAATAAACCTGAATATGAATTAATTCTCTGATTAAGAAAATTTACATTAGGATAAAAAATTTCTGGCATACACTATTTTCTGGAGACATGCATGAAATAAAGTGAAATACAGATTAAACATAAAGATAATAAAATAGAAATGCTATTCGAATTTAATAGAATAAAAGATTCAAAAAACTAAGGTAGTAAAAAGTTTTTGTGCACTTATAATGTAGTTTCATAATGTAGAGAGCAGACACTAATATAGATGAAATGAGAAAATGGTAAATGATAATTCATGTTTAATAGAAAAACTTACATTTCCCCTAAATCAGATTAAGAACACATCTAAAACATTAACTAACAGAAAGTTTTAATTTTTAAAATAAATCATAAAATATTCATGAAAATTGGCCATGTTTCATGCCACAAAAAATGCAACATATCCTGAAGAAACTACAATTTTCAGATTTTGTGGCAAAAACACAACTAAAAATTAGAATGTGACTCTATGAACAAAATAAACAACAAATATACACACTATAAAAATTCAAAGGGAAATTTCCTTTTAACTGATTTCTTACTTTAAGAAAAGAAAAAAGTCAAGACAATAGCTTCTTTAGAAATTAATAACCATATGTCTGTTGGCTGCATAAATGTCTTCTTTTGAGAAGTTTCTGTTTATATCCTTTGCTCACTTTCTGATGGAGTTATTTGTTTCTTTCTTGTAAATTTGTTTAAGTTCTTTGTAGAATTTGCACGTTCTGCACATGTATCCCGGAACTTATAGTATAATAAATAAAAAAGAAAAAGAAAAAGAAAGAAAGCTTCTTTTGCCCCCCCCCAAAAGAAAGAAATTAATAACCAAAAAGTTTTGAATAAAAATAACCATGGAATCCAGCCAAACTATGAAATAGTGAGGAACAATTCTCAGAAGAAAAGATGAAAGTTCTATATGAAAAAAGAAAATGTCGATCTTCACTGACAGACAAAAAATCTTAAAATGGTGAGCAATCACTTTCTGGTGGAATTTGGAAAGTTGTATAAATTTTTCTAAGCTCAAACCATAAAAATATAACACACCACATGTAATAAATAAAGGAGTTATTGAGACAGATATATAAAACATTTTAAAAATAATTAGAGAATTCTGATATAAACTCATATAAATTATAAATGAATTATAATACAATTTATTTTAAAAAGGTAGAATTTCTATAAATGCCTAACTATTCTCTTCTAACTATTCTAAGTAGTTTTAAGTGAGAAGAAAGGTTATCTGTAATTGAATGGAATATTTTACAATTTGAGTTTTCTTAGGTTGGCATGACATTGTCTATGAAAAAGGTAAATAATTATTATAGAAAATTGCTATTCACTTGGGAAAAATAAAATTAGCTTAGTATATAAATGCAGCTCTCACAAACATTATGTGCAATAATTTTAAGTTATTCAGAAGAATACATGCAATATATAAGTTTAGAAGCACCAAAATATTTTATGTATGTGCACACATACACACATGCATAGTAAATTCCATTTATATTTTTAAAAGATCTATGTTAGTTATGGAGAAATTAGTGATCAAGGACAGGAGGTTAAGGAGGACTGACTACTTAATATGTCACCTAAAACTGTAGCAGAAATAGCAGGATTGCAAAAAGCATCTAATATATAGTTTCTACCTTCTAGCCATTCACACACTGTGGAAACAAGGGGAACCAAAATGAAACAATGCACAAAAAGAAGCCAATATATGATGGTGCCAGCATATGTCTCATTGGCACTCAGTCACACATGCCTCAATGGTTCCAACTTAATGTAAATTTACAGGTAGTTGCATCAAAACTTTTCTCATAGTATGTGGCCAAATCATTTCAGACAGATTCATAACTGATAGCAAAAAGAAACAAAATAACAAATTACCAAGAAACAAAATAACAAATTACCTTGAAAATACATATTCCAGTATTAAAGGATAAAAAAGGAAAAATTGCTGAGAGGCCACATAGCAGGAGGATGAAGGACAATAAACTGTAATCATTTTAACTTTTTCATAGGAACATTGTCATCTTTTAGTAAACACTGTAAATTATAATTTATGTATTACATATAATATGACTTGAGTACAGGAAATGCTTCTCTTAGGAAATGTTTTTCTAAACATAGAGCCATTTGAAAAGTGTAGAGAAAGACTCTATTAACTGATACTAAATGTAATTCAGGCAGGTGTTCCTTCCTTCAGGATGAGTGTCAAATGACAGGTTGCTACCCTCTATTTTACTAAAATTCTCATTAGCATTATCTTGGAAATGAGACATTAGCTGGTTGAAAAGCTAAAAGGTTTTTTCAGGGGAAGATGCAGTAGTAGCATATATAACACAAGCATTTCAAGGTAGAGAATATTTCTTACTTAATAGGTACGTGGGGCTTTCCATTGTTGTAGAAATTAGTTTGAATAAAATTTATCATAAAATTACTTGTAATAATGGAAATAATAGGCTAATTATAAATGAATTAAAAGTACTTAAACACACCTATGTAGTTTCTTTCCTCAATACATACTAAATAACTCTGATAAGCAAATGCTGAAATATAATGAAATTTCTAAATCCATGGCAAGTTTCAAAGATGTATACTCTCTGGTCTTATGGTAATTTCCAGTATATTTCTATGGAAATCTTCCAAAAACTTTGCAAATGGAGTATTTTTATGTCATAACTATTTATATTAAGCAAACTAAAAATGTGATATTGAAAAGAGTAATGTCCAGAAGAAATGTTGATACCAGTAATTAATCAACATGTTATTTTAGTATCCAGGATTATAGCAAGGATGCCAATTTCATTGTTATTCTAAAGTCAATGTGGTGCCTTTCTGGCAAACAAGTGATCAATTCAAGCCAAATTATTTTCTACAAAAGTTAACATATGTTATTTTTCTCCTTACAACTTTCCTCTTATCAATGGTTCTTGCAATACAACACTTAAATTAAATATTCACAATAAGCTACAACACTCTTTATAGCAACAGACTGTTGAATCAGGACTTATTTAGTGACAAAACAATTTAAAATGATGAAATTTTGAGACCAAGATTGTATGCAAACATGCCAGCTGGAGATAATATATTATAATATACTCGAACTTGAAAGAAAGCTCACAGTTTGGTTTTATAAGGGCTGGTAGATGAATGTATGCTTCATGGACATACAGTTCTGAAGAAATATGAACCTACAACATATGTATAGTATATAAATTGGAAAAGTAGCAAAAGAAATGAACTAAGTCCGAGATATTAAAAAAGACAAAGAGGCTGAGAAGACAGGGAAATCAGCATTGCAAACAGATGATTGCAGGTACTGAGACAACCACAAATATATTATATGGGATTTAGGTGGAAGAATCCCCTCTACAGATAAACTAGGGTAATAGAACTTTACAAGGATTTTAGTCGTATTGTTATGACATTATTATAAAGAAAAGAGAATAAGGAACAGAATAGCATCCCAACAGCAGGAAAAATAAAACCCTCTACTTTTCAAGTAACTAAATGTAAAAAGTGATAGAGGATATAAAAGAACAACGTAAATCAGAATTAGAAAAACTCAATGACAAATTGATCATAAAAAAAAGATTCGAGGAAAAAAAAGTAATCCAAAACAAATTATTTTAGAAAAATATTTCACAAGTGAAGGTAAAACTTGAAGAAACACAAGAGTGACTTAAAACAACAGACAACCAATTAAGATAATTAGAAGATGGAATGGGGATTTTTTTAATATGAAAGAAAGAAAAAAAAGGAAGGGAAGGGGAGGGGAGGGGAGGGGAGGAGTTAATTCAAGAAGTAAAAAATATAGAAGATAGGCAAGTAATAGAAGAATACCAAAGTAAAGGAGCAAAACAAATATAAATAAATGTTTAAAAATCTGAAATAAGAAACTACATATTGATAGGTCATGCCATGTATGTGACCTATAATGGCCAGAAATAACACCAGTTCTAGTAAGACTACTGAACTTAAGAGAATTTTTAAAAAGGCATTAAGGCAAAAATGATGAAATACTTATAAGGAAAACAGAGACTGCTACTAAATCTTTGACAGCAAACATTTCTTTTTGCCAGAAACAATGGAGTAATATATTTTAGATAACAAGGGATATAAAATATAAGCCAAGAATTTTGTAACTAGCCAAAGTTGATTCAAGTATATAGGTGACAGACAAACTGCTATAAACATGGAGAATTTCAGAAATATTGTTCTAATGAGCTCTACCCTTTAGGCAACCAAAGGATTAGAGAAATATCAATGTAAGCAGTGTTGATAATAATTAAATATGTATTTGCCTATATTTTAAGACTAAGTAATAGTCAATATAAAATGGAATGATTGTATATTCTGACACGATGAACACAAATATCAAAAATCACAGAGATGAATATAAGTAAAGTAGAATAAGCTTAATGTTTGATTTACAGGAATTGAATAGGAGTAGGACATTACTTCAAATTAGATGATATGGAGAGGGAGAGAAGTAGTAAAAAGAAGTTGCCAACGAGTTCCAATATTCCTTACAAGAAGGAAAAAAAAAAAAGAAAATAGTCCTCTCTACTCAAAAAGAAAAGGAAAGCTAAAAGCATGCATAAAGCATGAGTAGATAGGTAGCCCCTAGAATAAAATGCAATCATGCCTAAATAATGCATTAAAAACTCATTTAAGCATTTTAAAGTAGTTGCTAATAAAAGGAAATATGTTCAAAGAATAAAGATTCCAAAACCAGGTAAATATTGTCCATAATTGTAAAAAGCAATTAGAAAGCATCCTTTCAAATAAAAAATAAGATAACAAAATGTACTTAAATATGCATTCAGAACCATACCAGACAAAAATATTTTAATTAATTTTAAAAATATTAATTGGACTGTATTAATATCTGGGAGTATATATACTTTAAAGTAGGGCATTTTTCCTCATTCTTTCAAGATAACTCCTGGATCTCCAAGCATTGTTCATGTGAAGAGCATGCGCTAGTCATCAAGTCTCTTTATAAAGTTTTTCCCAAAGGTGCAACCAACAACTTCAACTTACATCTCATTAGTCAAAACTTAAACATACATCATTTATATCAGTATGTAAATCTAGAAAATGTATTGTTCTTAAATCTGAGTACAATGCCACTACCTCCTCAACTTGGATTTCTGAAACTAAGGAAGAAGGGGAGAATGGATATTGGGAACATAGCTAACATTCTCTGCCACCACAGCTTTTGCTGAGTGAATGCTGTGACAGTGAGCAGCTATCTTGGCCTCTACTCTTGTCTCTTTCTAAAGGAAGAATTGGCTCTGTAATCCTTTAATCTATAACTTAATGTACAAGGAAAGTTAGAAGGATTCAGAGACAGTGTGCTAATTGAGTCTTTTTAAGAAGAATAAATCCACATCATTCCTCACAGGGGCAAAGGGCATAAGATGATACCAAGCAAAAAAACAGCAATCACAAATTTCAAGGCCTCATACTCAGGAGAAATAAAAGAAAGAAAAGAAGACAGATACTTACAAAAACTAGTTTTAATGAAAACATATCTTTGTAAAATTCATCTGAGCAGCAGGCTTCGTGTAATCCTATTTTTAATAATAAAAGAGATTTAAAAAGATTAGGATATCTGCCAGTACATTAGGTGAATAGCTTAATTCTGGGATATACTTTTGTCTTTTAAAATAGTATATAAAATATTTAGCAGTGTATAAGGCATATGTATACATATTCACATCTATCAATATTATTATAACATATACATGGCATTTACGAAGATACAACAGTTTTTGTCAAGTTTACTTTCAATTGGGGATAATTTATGCATGACAACTTCCTTTCCACCCATTTGAGAATATTTAAAAATAATTTATTTACTGATCTTTTCTGTCAATTTTTTGGAACAAAAATCGTGGCATGCCAAGATTACAGTTCCTTTTTTTGGCCAATATCTTCAAGATCCTCTTTTTCAGTGTAATTTTACAACCTTATTTTCTCTCCCTTAGTTTTGTACATATAACATTGCTCAATTCTTCTGTCCTTCCATGATTCACACAATATTTCATTGAACTCTCACTTGCATCAACACATTACCTGTTTTCCCCTTTTTCATTTCCCTCATTGAACATATTTTACACAATCTCTAAATCTGGCAATATCCTATTCACCTTGCAATTTGAAATAAATACATTGAATACGTGTGAAACTTCAGTGTCTATGAGTAAGACATAAAAGTAAACTAATAATTACAAGAATATGCAAGAAATGTAAAATTTATAGCATATTGAAGAAGCACAGAAATAGTAGCAACTAAGTTTGCCCAAGGAATTTAAGACTACATTTAAGGAGGTGACCTATTTGTAGAATGAGAAAACATGAAACGTTTCCCAGGTAAATAAGAGTAATTTAAAAGGGCCTTGTAGGTGTTGTTGTTGTTGTTGTTGTTGTTGTTGTTGTTGTTGTTGTTTTTAGACGGAGTCTCACTCTGCCTTGCCCAGGCTAGAGTGCAGTGGTGCGATCATAGCTCACTGCAGCCTCCACCTCCCAGGTTCAAGCGATTCTCCTGTCTCAACCTCCCGAGTAGCTGGGACTACAGGCGAGTACCACCACACCCAGCTAATTTTGTATTTTTGGTAGAGACAGGGTTTCACCATGTTGGCCAGGCTGATCTCTAACTCCTGAGCTCAGGTGATCCACCTGCCTCGGCCTCCCAAAGTGCTGGGATTACAGGCATGAGCCACTGCACCTGGCTTTAAAAGGGCCTTTTAAGGGCTATGAATAACTTACATAAGCATTTAGGAATGCTTACTGAAAGCATACTGTCAAAGTATTAGATAGAATCCTGGGTTAAGAGAGAAAGTTGCTTATGCAGAATCAAGAAAGTAAAATAATTTTTAAAAATATGAGAACTTTAGCTGTATGATGTCAGAGTGGAAAGAGTCAGTAGAAAGGAACATAGTGATAAAATTCGAAAGAAGATTTAGTAATAAGGGAAGTGATGTTTTGAAGGGGAACAGATGAAAGCTCAGGGTCAGCTTTGAAAGAAGGACATATTCATTTCTTTCTGACATTATATGGTAGATAGATAAAAGTATGAATAGAGACAAAGTTTCAGTGAGGTTAAGAGGGTGATTGGCACATGGACACAGGGAGGAGAATATCACACACAGGGGTCTGTCAAGGGGTGGGGAGCTAGGGGAAGGATAGCATTAGGAGAAATACCTAATGTAGATGACCGGTTGATGGGAGAAGCAAACCACCATGGCACATGTATACGTATGTAACAAACCTGCACGTTCTGCACATGTACCTTAGAACTTAAAGTATAATAATAAAAAAAAGAGGGTGATTGGAGGGATGGCTTTAAATGATGAGTTAAAGGAACCGTCATATGCCTCCTAGATACTGTGTGTTCTTGTCATAACTCTTTAGAGGCCTATGCCCTGCAGGCACTTAAGTGTCAGTTAAATTAAATATAATGATAAAGAGACGATGGGTCTAGATGCTTGAGAATAATGGTTAAGGTTAAAGTTAAGATCCAGCGTCCTCTTGGAACTCAGAAATAAATGAAAAACAGAGTTAATTGAGAATTTAGTTGAAATTTTAGCACTAAATCTAAGTACTAAATTTCCCTGGGGCACACATATTTTGCATATTCATATTTCCAATGTTAATAATATAATATTTTAGCGTCTTTTTTTAGTGTTTTAGATCACTAATTATAACTGTGTTCTTGTGAAATAAATGCCTTAAACCCTCTGGGCCTCAGATAAACAATAGGATAATAGTAATTTAAAACAATAGGGTAATATAGTAATTTATATAAATAACTAGGATAAATAGAACAACAGGATAATAGTAATTTATCTCCACCTTTCTTCCAGCTCCTTCCAAGATATATAAATATTATTACTTAATCAAACATGTTGAGAATGAAGTATGCTATAAGGCCATGATTGCTTCTGCATGTCAACTGGCAATTTTAAAAATTTTGCTTGTAGCTAACCATCACTAATTTCTGTTTGAGCATGAGGTAGCTGTGTGATTATTTGAGAGAATTCTGATCTGCAATGAAAAACAAAAGGTCACTTGACATTTTTGTAGGTATTTTTGTCCTGTCGTATATCAGAGAAGACTGAAGGGCCAAAGGTTACTTTAGGGTGACAAGAGAAAAACTATACTTAGTTATTGTTGCAGAGAATGGAGTTAAAAAAGAAAAGGAAAGGCAATTTCTGGTTCTTCCTGTGATACTAGAAAGCATGCCTTAGTGCCTTTGGGATTCTCTCAAGGGAACTGTTATTAGATAAAGGGAAGGGTAGCTTTCCTCTCGTAATGTCTTTGTGTCTCTGGTGAATGCCAGAGGCAGGAACTTGCAGGTTATGTGAAGCTTCTGTTAATACAGAGATGTTATGATATACTTCAAGGGCTCTCCATCGAGTTAAGAGATATACAGAAACATACCTTTGTATCAAGGAGCATCATTTTTATTTTCTTCTGAAATTCTATATTTAAGTCACTTTTCAATAGAATAGCATAAAATAAAAGAGGTATTATAAAGCTATGACTTTCAATCCCTCAGCATTTCTCTGAGTTTGCTGTTTATTATTTGCCTGAGACTTTCAGCCATTTCAGAACAAAAATCTAATATTCTCTAGATGCTGACATTGGTATTTAAATTCCTCCTGCCTGAGTAGCCACTTTATGCTCTGCTTTTAATCCTCCTGTTAGCCACTTTATGCTCTGCTTTCTTTTGTATTTGGCTAGTGATATCAAAGTGCATTAATGCTTCATAAAAAACAAAAAATATCCTAAGTATTCTCATGGTAATGTTAATATCTGAGGCCAGTGGGGGGAAAATGGTTAACAGCCCATCACAATATTCATGTTATGAAATGTTGACAATTATACATTGAGGTTTTGTGTTTCTGCCTCATTTACTCAAATCTTAGGAAGTTGTTATTATTCAAGGATACTGCTTTTATTCTTTCCTTCCTAATAAATTCATTTTTTAAAGAAATGTCCAAGGCAACATTTTTTTATTTTAAAATATTTCTACTGAAGCTCCAAGAATTAGAATATTTCTTGTGTGGGCAGTTCAACGTATTTCAGATTCTTTCCTTTCAGTTTTTAACATTTTTATTGTTTTCTCATTTCACTTGGTACATTATGTGACATTTTACAGGAAAAGGGAAGATAAAACTACATGTTTAATTTTTTATATAAATCATTACAAGTAAATAAATTGAGTTTTGTTTTCTTCTAAATTATTCTTCTTAAATGGTAAATTAAACAATTGGTTTTGGCTGTCAGGATTTTTAAAAATATACTTTAGAAAGAATCTAGGAAGGTAGCCCAAGCATGTGCTCATTATTCCTTATCCTCCTACCTTTCTAAACAAACAAAAAAAAGTATTAAAAAATTATAGTTAAACTGTGAATTAACTAATGAATCTGGAGAAGAAGTCCAAGCTCACTGTGGCTTTGGGTTTTCAAGAAAGAGTGTGAGTAAATTGTCATTGTTTAGAGGTATATATGGTCACAAAAGAATTGCTAGCCTTGAACTAAACCTGTCACTCTGGAAAAAATACATAGACTGGTATTAGACTTCTCATTGCGGTATTAGAATCTAGAAAAAAGTAAAGAATATTTACAGAAACATGAGAGAAAAGTACTGCAACATTAATATTTACACTCAACCAATATATCATACATATTTAAGGGCTAAAAGTAGGTACAACATAATGTAAAATTATTCAGAAAGTATATCACTCCTGAATTTTCTGGGTGATAATTACTAGAAGACCTGCTCCACCCAAATGAAAATTAAATAAGATGAAATATCTCAAGGTAGAATACACTGAGTATGAGAAATAGTGTTTATGATAAATATAAATTTATAAAGTTTTTAAATGAATATATGCATAAACTTTATGAATATGGCATGAAAAATATGTTTAGTACCATCATATATGTTAGTACTAAATCTCTTTTAACATAATATTTGACATAAACAGATAATTCCTTAGAAGCTATCAGCAAACATTCTATGAAATGGCTAAAATCTAAAGTGCCCCTGAATGAAATTAAGAACAAGACAATAACACTTACAATTCTATATTATAATTGTATATTCAAAATTTTGGTTAATCCCAAATAGAAGAGAATACTGTGTTTGTGAGCAGTAATATTTGTAGAGATAAATAGAACTTTAGAAAACCCGATCAATCAGCCAATATTTTCCCAGGAAAGAAAAAATAAATAAATAATATGTTTATAGTGCATTTTAAAATATGGGAACAAATACCTGTTATCAAAGAAATGAAATCAACTACATCACCTATGAAAAAGAGTGGGTAAATAATATGGTATTCAAAGACAAAGACTCAGTTTTGACTAAACAAATACAAACTGTAAAATCTGCCAAGGAGAAACACACCTAAAGCAAAATGGCAAAATGTGACTTGAAAATAAATGATAGGCAAAAAAAATGGTTATTAATTTTCAATTTGATATAATGTCATTTAAGGACAAAAGCTTAAATGGTAAAAAGATGAATAATTTTAATAATAGGGCAACCCATCAAGATAATCAGCAGGACAAGACATAAACAAAACAAAACACTTTAGAAATAAACAGAGAAATTGCTAAATCAATAAACATAATAGAAAATTTTAAGATGTTTTCCTGAGCATTGACAATTCAACCAGTGGGATAGAGGAGGAGAAAGACATGAACAATTTTAATAGAAAAACTCAACAAGCTCAATCTATAACTGCATGTACATGTTATTGTACTATGTTTATAGAACAGACACAAAATCTGAATATATAATAGCCCACAAATAAAACTTTAATACATTTTCAATGTATTAACAGATAGAGGATACATCTTTTTATAAAAATACAATAAAATAAGAAACACTTTTCAAAATATTCTTCAACAATTACTTAAACAAGTTATAAACAAAAGAGCAAAAGGAAGTGTTTACATGTATTTCACATAATTCTAATAGCTTTATACTTATATTAGGCTTTCTGTTTGATAACTTTGCATTGAACTTAAAATATACCATTTATAATTTTGCTGAGGTTTGTCTTTCACCTGAAGATGCCTAAACTGTGATTCATCTATGTTAGTATTAAATCTCTTTTACTATAATATTTGACATAAAGAAGAGTATTCATCAGAAACCATCAGCAAACATGAAACATATGAAATGGCTTAAATCTAAAGTGCACCTCGATGAAATAAGAAGAAGACAATAATACTTACAATTGCTATAATACAGACTATAAGTTGAAGATTTTAAGCCATAAAAGAAAAAGACAGCAAAATAAGTTCTACTTTTAGGTCCTTGAGGAATCACCACACTGCTTTCCACAACGGTTGAATTCATTTGCACTCCCACCAGTAGTGTATAAGTGTTCCCTTTTCTCTGCAACACCTCCAGCATCTGTTATTTTTGGCACTTTTAATAGTAGCCCTATTAACATAGTTGGCCCTTTTAATATGAGATGGTATCCCATTGCCGTTTTGATTTTCATTTCTCTAATGTTTAGGGATGTTGAGCATTTTCCCATATGCTTGTTGGCTCTGTGTATATGTCTTCTCTTGAAAAGTGTCTGTTTGTGTCCTTTGCCCACTTTTTAACGGAGTTTCTTGTTTTCTGCTTTTAAATTTGTTTAAGTTCCTTATAGATTCCAGATATTAGACTTTTGCTAGATAGATAGTTCGCAAATATAATATTTTCCACTATTCTGTAGGTTGTGTGGTTACTCTGTTGATAGTTTCTTTTGCTGTGCAGAAGAAGCTCTTTAGTTAGGTCCCACTTGTCAGTTTTTGTTTTTGTTGCAATTGCTTGTGGCATCTTTGTTATAAAATCTTTGCCAGGGCTTGTGTCCAGAATGGTATTTCCTAGGTTATTGTCCAGAGTTTTTATAGTTTTAGGTTTTACATTTAAGTCTTTAATTCATCTTGAGTTGATTTCTGTATATGCTATAAGGAAGGGCTCCGGTTTCAGTCTTCTACATGTGGCTAGCCAGTTATCCCAGCACCATTTATTGAAGCACCTTTCCCCACTGCTTGTTTTTGTCAACTTTGTTGAAGTACAGATGTTTGTAGGTATTTGGCGTTATTTCTGGGTTCTGTTCTGTTCTGTTGGTCTATGTGTCTGTTTTTGTACCAGTCCCATGTTTTAATTACTGTACGCTTATAATACAGTTTGAGGTTGGGTAATGTGATGCCTCCAACTTTGTTCTTTTTGCTTAGGGTTGCCTTGGCTATTCAAGCTCTTTTTTGGTTCCATATGAATTTTTAAATAGTTTTTTTTTCTATTTTTGTGAAGAGTATCGTTGTTAGTTTGATAGGAATAGCAATAAATCTGTAAATTGCTTTGGGCAGTATTATTGATTCTTCCTGTCCACAAGCATGGAATGTTTTCCCATTTGTCTGTGTAATCTCTGATTTCTTTGAGCAGTGTTTCATAACTTTCATTGTAGAAATCTTTCATCTCCCTGTTTAGCTGTATTCCTAGGTATTTTATTATTTTTGTGCATACTGTGAACTCCGTTGTGTTCCCCATAGTCTCAGCCTAAAAGCTCCTAGATCTGATAAACAACTTCAGCAAAGTTTCAGGATACAAAATCAATGTACAAAAATCAGAAGCATTTCTGTACACCAACAATGTCCAAACTGAGAGCCAAGTCAAAATAAGTGATAAATTCTAATGAAGAAGAGACCAATTTATCATTACTTATAGACTATATGGTGGAATTGTAAAATAAGTTAAATACTAGAAATAGTATAAGCATTAGAATGTATTGAACATATGATAAAGAAATCCAAGAATATTTTACAGAAGCAACAAAATAACTGAAATGAGAAAAAAATTAAAAGATACAATTTTAACAGAAATATAAAATAACTGGAAAATTAAGTTATAGTCACTATGGAGAACAGTATTGAGGTTCTTCAAAAACACTGGAGATAGAACTACCCAGGAATCCCATTGCTGGGTATATATCCAATAGAAAGGAAATGCGTGTATGGAAGAGATGTCTGCACTCTCATGTTTACTGCAGCACTAGCCACAATAGCCAAGATATGGAATCAACCTAAGTGTCCATCAGTGGTTCAATGGATAAAGAAAATGTGGGGTATATACACAATAAAATATTATTCAGCCATAAGAAACAATAAAGTCCTGTCATTAACAACGACATGGATGAAACTGGAGGACCTTATGTAAAGTGAATCAAACCAGGCATAGGAAAACAAGTATCTCATGTTCTCACTCATATGTGGGAGCTAAAAGAAAAACTGAACTCAGGGAAATATAGAGAAGAATGATGGTTACCAGAAACTTGGAAATGTAATGGGAGAGGAGGGTAAAGAGGGTATGACAAATGAATACAAAAATACGTCTAGATAGAAATAATATCTAGTGTACAGTAGCACATTAAAGTGACTATAGTTAAAAATATTTTATATATTTCACAAAACTAAAAGAGTGGAATTGGAATGTTCCTAACACAAAGAAATGATAAATACTTGAGGTAATGGATACCCCAGTTACACTAATTGGATTATTATATATTGCTTATATCAAAATGTCACATATACCCCATAAATATGTACAACTATTATGTATCCATAACTTTTTTATTACTATACTTTAAGTTCTGGGATACATGTGCAGATGTGCAGGTTTGTTACATAGGTATACATGTGCCATAGGGGTTTGCTGCACCCCTCAACCCGTCATCTACATTAGGTATTTCTCCTAATGCTATTCCTCCCCTTGCTCCCCACCCGCAAAAGGCCCCGGTGTGTGATGTTCCTCTCCCTGTGCCCATATGTTCTCACTGTTCAACTCCCTTATGACTGAGAATATGCAGTGTTTGGTTTTCTGTTCCTGTGTTAGTTTGCTGAGAATGGTGGTTTCCAGCTTCATCCATGTCCTTGCAAAAGACATGAACTCATTCTTTTTATGGCTGCATAGTATTCCGTGGTGTATATGTGCCACATTTTCTTTATGCAGTCTAACATTGATGGGCATTTGGGTTGGGTCCAAGTCTTTGCTATTGTGAATAGTGCTGCAATAAACATACTTGTACATGCGTCTTTATAGTAGAATGATTTATAATATTTTGGGTATATACCCAGTAATGGAATTGCTGGGTCAAATGGTATTTCTAGTTCTATATCCTTGAGGAATTGCCACACTGTCTTCCATAATGGTTGAACTAATTTACACTCCCACCAACAGTGTAAAAGCATTCCTATTTCTCCATGTCCTCTCCAGCATCTGTTGTTTCCTGACTTTTTAATGATCATCATTCTAACTGTCATGAAATGGTATCTCATTGTGGTTTTGCTTTGCATTTCTCTAATGACCAGTGATTACGAGCTTTTTCTTATATATGTGTTGGCTGCATAAATGTATTCTTTTGAAAAGTGTCTGTTCATATTCTTTGCCCACCTTTTAATATGGTTGTTTGTTTTTTTCTTGTAAATTTGTTTAAGTTCCTTGTAGATTCTGGATATTACCTCTTTGTGAAATGGATACATTGAAACAATTTTCTCCCATTCTGTAGGTTGCCTGTTCACTCTGACGATAGCATGGTACTGGTACCAAAACAGATATATAGGAACAGAAAAGAGGCCTCAGAAATAACACAACACATCTACAATCATCTGATCTTTGACAAACCTGACAAAAACAAACAATGGGGAAAGATTCCCTATTTAATAAATGGTGTTGGGAAAACTGGCTTGCCATATGCAGAAAACTGAAACTGGACCCCTTCCTTAGACCTTATACAAAAATTAACTTACGATGGATTAAAGATTTAAATGTAAAACCTAAAACCATAAAAACCCTAAAAGAAAATCTAGGCAATACTGTTCAGGACATAGGCATGGGTAAGGACTTCATGACTAAAACACCAAAAGCAATTGCAACAAAAGCCAAACTTGACAAATGGGATCTAATTAAACTAAAGAGCTTCTGCACAGTAAAAGAAACTGTCCATAACTTTTTAAGAAAGAACAAAACAGAAAACATTTAAAAAATAAATAAAAAATAAACTATATGAGAGAATGTATAGATATTTTGAAATAGAAATTGTGAGAGTGCATGGCTTTTCAGATATTAAAAAGTATTACACACACATCCTTATAACTTAGAATAAAACCCAAAATCTTAACCAACGTCTATCAGACCCAGTATCACGTAGTTCCTCACTACCTCTCTTACTATTTTCGTTACTGTGACCTATTCTACTCAGGTTACACTGGCCTTACAACCATCCTTCAAACACCCAAAGATTACTTCTGTTTCAGAAATATATACTAACTTTTCATTCCAAACAAAATCCAGCCACCCCAAATAGTCTCATAGGACTTCCTTACTTCATTCAGTCATCTGCTCAAACTTCATTTGCTCAGGCCTCTTTTCCTTTTGCTTTTTTTTTTTAATAAGAAAATGGTTTTATTCTTAATTTTTAGTTCCCATACAGTATACAAATACACTTTTACTCTGATAATACAGCTTTGCAACTAGCAAAGCAGTTGCGCTAACACCCATAAATATAGGTGGGGAGACAATTAACATCCACTAATGTTTCTCTATGTAACTATTCTTTTAATATCTTTTTTAAAAAAACAGTTGCAAATAGACCACATAATATACATGGCAAAAAGGCAATTAAGTGAATCTCTTGAAACACTAAATGTGTAATACACAGAATATTATCAACATTTACATGATTCACATCAAAGTGATGACATCCTAAAATGTATTCCTTTTAAAGAATAGATTTATCAATAAAATATTACATATCTTTTAATACTCTGGTACAATACTTCATATACTGCAGGAAAATTAATTTCACACTTCATTTCCTAACCACCTCCTCAAAAATAAATGCCTTGTTTTTTACCCTACCAGGTTCTAAACCCTTGCCCAAAATTATTTTTCTATATAATGCTCACCACTACCTGACATTAGAGTTATTGCTTTATTTTTATCCTATTAGTCTCCAAAAATGAAATGTTAGTTTTTTGAGCGCAGGGACTTCTTCTATCCTCAGTTCCTAGGACAATATTTTACAAATAGTTGATGCTCAGAAATAGTTGTTGAATGAAAAAATCACCTCAGTACTAAACTTCCATGCTTAAGCCATGTGCTTGGGAGCTTTCCCTCACATTCTTCTTTTTTGGGGTCCATGGGAGAGCTACACCTCTGTTCAACATGAGTAGAATTTTTACTGACTGTGGTAAACATCTCTTCTCTCAATTATTCTTGGAAGACATAGATCCTGGACAGGTGTTGAATATTCCTTCTCTTTTTGCAACTTGCCAACCTTAGATTCTAGAGATTCATATTGCTCATAAGCTACCAGAGAAATAAGTCTTCTGAACATGAATGAAAGCTAATAATCAGATAATGAGACAGCCATGTAGCTGAGCAGAAAGACTTGGCAAGGAACATTGTGGTGATAAGCCAGGATATGTTGATTTAGGATGTAGCTCAGATATAATTCACTCTGTGTATGAGTCCATTCTGTTCTAACCATCAATGATTATTGTTATCTAGTACAGCCCATCCTCAATCGTGTCTCTGTGATTTTATTTGTACTCACAAGCTGGTGAGGATTTCCTGATTATTGTAACTAGAGTGCAGATACTTGTGAGGAAATGACAGGAAATGAGGAAAGGACAGTAGAGAGGGGCAGACAGATCATACAGAACCCTGCGGACAGTACTATAAAACTGAATCTTATCCTGAAGGAATAGTAAGCCATCAAACACTTTTAAGCCAAATAGTGGCATGATCATTTTATATTTTGAAACAATCTGGTAGCAGTACTGAGAATCAATGAGAGAAGGTTGAGTCCAGGGGCAGAGAGATCAGCTAGGTAAAGGCCTTAATTATTTCAGATGAGAAGGTATGAATGTCTAGAGTAAGTCAATGCCCCTATGAATGAAGAGGAGATGATATATTTAAAATTTGTAAAAGAGTTAAAATTGGCCTTAGGTTGTCAATTATTTAAATGGCAATGGAGCAAAAAGAGAGGCTTATGACTAAATGAAGCTTCTGACTAGATGACAGGTAGGTAATGACACCATTAAAGGACACATAAGTAAGAGGATGCTTGGGAAGGATAATTTGAGTTCATTTGTGGGTAGATTGAGACTGAGTTGTCTTTGAAACAAACAATTGTAGGTTGTATGTGATTATAGATATATGAACATATGATATACTCTGAAAATAATTTTCATGTCATTTTCCATTGGCACTGATAATTTAAATAAAAGGTATTCTTGACAAAGAGTAAAATGCAAAAAAAAATAAAAGTATAAATCAATAAAACATGTTAGAATTATTTTACCATTGAAAAATCCAAATTAACTTTGGATTTGTAAAAACCCTTCCATTATTTTCCCATAACACTAATTTTTATAATGAATAAACCCCAATAGAAATGTATTTTATGGAGAGAAAAGTTGTAAATAGATATCATATCATATGTAATAGTTTGATACTTATATTAGACTTTCTGTTGGATCATTTTGTGCTGAAACTTACAATATGCCATTTACTACTCACAACTGTGCTGTGTTTATTTTCTCTTTTCCCTGAAGATGGCTAAATTGTGGTTGATCTGTGTTGCACTAAATCTCTTTTAAATAAATCTCACATTTGACAAAAAAGATATGCTCCAGATTGTCTCTGAAGAAATACAGTAATACAAATGAATTGTCGCCTACCAATTCCTTTTTCAGTATAAACCTTTACCTTATTTCCAATTAGTCCAAGGAATCACTCTCTGGGGAAAGAAAGACACAGCAATGCTAAAAAGAACCGTAAGATTTTTGAGGTGAAATTGCTTAGAGATGGTTTAATCCAAAGCCTTCATTTTGCAGCTGAGGAAAGTGAGGCCAACCTAAGGTCACTTAAGGTCATCTAGACTGTTTAATGGCATTGCCAGACTTAGAAATACTGTCTTCTGGTTCTCAGGCTAGTGGTTTTTTATTATACTGTGCTGTTGTCCATTTTGTGACATTTCTGAAAGGGGATTCTTATGAAGTGCTTATGCATGATTCACAGTGTTTCCAACAGAAATACTTTCCCTGCAGAAAAATGCCTGCCAAGGATTCTGCTACTAAGAGCTCCCACTGGGCAAGGGGTCCCTAGACAGTATGCTGCACAAACTGTAATGAGCTACATAATGTCTCCATTCTCTAGTGACATGGAGGCTTTATAATGTAGATGTTTTTAATGAAGATTTTAAGCAAGCATTTCAGTTGTCTACTCTTTGCAACACATCCCATGAGACAGGACCCACAGCCTGTCACATTCGGCAATGTTATATCTTAGGACAACGGGGGGATATTTCCAGATAGTTGGCCTTATTTGTTTAGAGCACATTTTTTTCCTTTTTTCTTTTATATATCAGCATGTTCTTTTTGGTCCTTTCTGTACCTCAGCAACTGAACAAGGCCTCAATGTGCAAGCTTCATGCACAGCAACAGGGAAAATTGTCACTAAGTTGTCACCCCCCAGACTTCATTCAATTCTTGTAATAAATATTCTCCATTCTATGTTCCAAAAGCTATTTTAGGCATTGTTTCCTAGTGTTATCAGTTGTGCTAGATGAACACTAGCTCTTGAATATTCCAGAGTGGATTCATGGTGAATTTGTAAATTTCTGTGAACAACAACAACAACAAAAACTATCAAAACAAATGTAATATTATAATAAACAGCATCTATAGGAGATTAAAATGAGGTCCCTAATTTCTGTACAATGTTCATTTGTCTCTGGTTTGGATCACAGACTCCCGAATTAGAGTCACTTTGACTATGCTGACTTCTGTCATCCCAAAAAGTCACCATAGCAACAAATCAATGACAATAAAAGTCAATTCATTATTGTTCCTTACCATCTATAGTGTGCCAGGATGCATCTTGGGAGCAAAATTCACTATTCAGGAACTGTTCAAGTGTCTTTTTTTTATATTTCACTACTATTGTTTTATTATCCACAATAACCATGTTTGTTTCCTTAGACATGGAATGCTAAAACTATGTTAAAATGCATACTTCCTCTGGTTATTTCCCCTTGGATCACAGAGAAACAAATGGTAACCTATTCACATCAACTAAATGCCATTCTATTTATACCTTTTTTCTTTAAGTTGAATGCTCAGAAAACATATGCATTACTTATAGACTTGATTTAATGTATAATTTCTTTTGAAAATGTATTTTCATGCTGAACACATAAGCTTATTCTAAAAATTAAATACTTTAATTTTGTTACCCAAAAATATTTTCTGGTAATGGAAAACCATAATTGTGTTTTTAATTATGCTCACGCTGGGAAGATAACTTCATGGGGTAACATATTGATTTGAATATATCCTTCCTTCAGTTAATAAGTCCCTCCTTTTTTTCTTTCATGCCTATTAATTTTGAGTAGAATACATAACTCCAAACATCAGCCATTGTTACAGCACTAGACATGAAACTCTGGTTGCAATGTCTTGATACCAGTTGAATTCATGGTACCGGTGTGTGTGGGTGCGTGTGCATGTGTGTGTGTGCACAAGCGTGTGTGCGCTCTGACATGTTTTTATAACCAGATTAAAGCACAGTTGGGAGGATACTTTATGTTCCTTCTGTTGTTGCTATTATAGCACTTCACATATTTTCAGGTATTTCTTAAATGCTCTATTTGATAATTTCCAGTGTGAAAATATATGTTGCCTATTTTCTATAGTAATCAAGATAGAATAGAAAAGCTAAAAATATAAAGAAAACATTAAAAAAGTGTGTGATAAAAGCTGGAGTTAGTTACTAGGGGTTAAAATAATACAAATAAATTACCCAGAATAGTGAGTACAACTGCTTGCCCAGACACAGGAAATATATTGGATTTGGTAAAACATAGCAATCTCTATAACTAAAGCCAGAATGTTTATTAATAGATACAACAGGAGACAAAATGCAGAGGGGAGGAGAAGGAAAAATAGGCAGAAACAAAAGCGAAAATGAGATAAACAGATGGCATGGCAGCATAGCACTGGCACTATGGGTCATGCTTGGTGAGGGAATCTTAGCTATGGCCCTCTAGCGTAACAGAACACAGCAGGGAGAACTTCAGAGCCTGTCTAGGCAGGAGTAGAGTAGGGGATCAAGTAGAAAGAAAAAAAGAAAAATGGAAAGAAGGTGACAGAGAAAGAGAGAGAGAGAGGCCTAGCTAAATGAGTTAATCATTTCAATGAGCACGACCTGGAATGACAGTGAGTTAAGAGCTGTAAATTTGCTCCCAGTAGTCTCCATTTCACTTTATTCTTAATGTTTGAATATTTTTAGTGTTTAAAGATTCAGAAATATGTTTGTATTTGTATATATAAATATATTTTATATATATTATTTTTACACACTTATACAAATAATCCATTTACCCATATACATTATTGTTAAACTTATATACATAAATCATTAATATTATGGAGTTTTTGAGTAAATAGGAATGTTTTCAGGGTAATTTTCCAGGGAAATTCCTATTTTCCTTGCTGAATATAGAACTCACACTCATTCCAACCCGCATCCTCTCATCAGACAAGACCATACTATATAGTGATACTTAATGATGACCAATGGCTGTCCTTAGATATTTTAAGACTTCCAAATGTGCCATTCTGGACTCACAGTTTGTCCTTGCTCTTTTGATCTCATAGTCCAGAATTTGAGGCTGCTTCCTAAACCTTCAGCAAGTCCACCAGGGTTTCCTCACTTTGCCTTGAGGTTGGCTATATCTAGGAACAACTCTTAAATGAATTAAAAGGAGAAAAAGTCTCTTGGGCCCTTTACAACTCTAAGAGATACTAAGGTTGTTTTCTGTGCTTTTTTATTCCATTGAGTAAATCCCTCTATTCTGATTTATTAAAAACCCATATTAACTAAGTACTACATCTATGCCAGGATTTGACTACATACCCAACATACAAATGCTACTCCTTTCAACCAGGGCATTCCACCTGCTGCCACCACTACACCAACATTAATTTTCTTTTCTCAAATAATCAGTGCCTTTTCATCTTACACCATATTTTTATTAGTAAGCCTCTTCTACTTTGTGTGGTCTTCCTTCTAAGCTCTGTTCTCGTCTAGGTCTAATTTTAAAAAGAAATTCAACTAAGATATGAATACAATGAGTTTAACTGTTTGCTTGTATTACAAAATAACTTCTATACATAAAAGTAGTAATAAACTAAGAAGGTGCATGTCAGATGTCAAAATATTTGTATCCCATGAGAGTGCTCCTCAATGGGTGACCTCAGCAGAGGAGGATTTTAATAATCTAATGGATAGAATGACCCATTCTGTGGACGGCAATCAGCCTCTTTGCCCAGCCACCCCTGTCATCGCCCGATGGGCCATGAACAAAGTGGCCATGGTGGCAGGGATAGAGGTTATGCATGGGCCCAGCAACACGGACTTCCACTCACCAAGGCTGACCTGGCTACATCCACTGCTGAGTGCCCAATTTGCCAGCAGCAGCGACCAACACTGAGCCTTCGATATAGCACCATTCCTTGGAGTGACAAGCCAACTACCTGGTGGCAGGTTAATTATATTGGACCTCTTCCATCATGGAAAGGGCAGCAGTGTGTCCTCATTGGAATAAACACTTATTCCAGATATAGGTTTGCCTATCCTGCATGCAGTGCTTCTGCCAAGACTACCATCCGTGGACTCACAGAATGCCTTATCCACCATCATGGTATTCCACACAGCATTCCCTCTGATCAAGGCACTCACTAAAGAAGTGCAGCAGTGGGCTCATGCTCATGGAATTCACTGGTCTTACCATGTTCCCCTTCATCCTGAAGCAGCTTGATTGACAGAATGGTGGAATGGCCTTTTGAAGTCACAATTACAATGCCAGCTAGGTGACAATACTTAGCAGGGCTGGGGCAAAGTTCTCTAGAAGGCTGATGCTCTGAATCAGCATCCAATATATAATATTGTTTCTCCCATAGCCATGATTTATGGGTCCAGGAATCAAGGGGTGGAGGTGTAAGTGGCACCACTCACCATCACCCCCAGTGATCCACCAGCAAAATTTTTGCTTCCTGTTCCCGCAACATTATGTTTTGCTGGCCTAGAGGTCTTAGTTCCAGAGGGAGGAACGCTGCCATCAGGAGAACAACAACGATTCCATTAAACTGGAAGTTAAGATTACCACCTGGACATTTTGGGCTCCTTCTGCATTTAAGTCAACAGGCTAAGATGAAAGATACAGTGTTGGCTGGGGTGATTGACCTCTGCTATCAGGAAGAAATCAGTCTACTACTCCATAACAGAGGTAAGGAAGAGTGTGCATGGAGTACAGGAGATCCATTAGGGAATCTCATATTATTACCGTGCCCTGTGATTAAGGTCAATGGGAAACTACAACAGCCCAATCCAGGCAGGACTACAAATGGCTTGGACCCTTCAGATATGAAGGTTTGGGTCACTCCATCAGGAAAAAACTATGACCTGCTGAGGTGCTTGCTGAAGGCAAAGTGTATTCAGAATGGGTAGTAGAAGAAAGTAGTCATCAATACCAGCTATGACCATGTGACCAGCTGCAGAAGTGAGGAGCAACTCCAGAAATGAGGACTGTAATTGTCATGAGTATTTCCTACTCCTTTTGTTAAAAACATCTTTGTGCATTTATATGCTTGTACTAAGAAAATATATTCGTTTTATTTCCTTTCTTTTTTATCATGTAATGTAAGATTTATTGACTTCACATCAGCATTTAAGTATTGTTGACTTCCTGTAATAGTATTTGGGTTGGGAAATGGTGCATTTCTGGTTGCATGAAGGATAGTTGTATTATGTCAGATATTATTATGAACTTATTATTTTCTTTATTTGAAGATTATGTATAATCTCAGGAGATGTGTATGGGTTCAAGTTGACAAGTGGTGGACTTGTGATGGTTAATACTGAGTGTCAACTTGATTGGACAGAAGGATACAAAGTTCTAATCCTGTGTTTGTCTATGAGAGTGTTGCCAAAAGAAATTAACATTTGAGTCAGTGGGTTGTGAAAGGCAGACCCACCCTTAATCTAGGTGGGCACAATCTAATCAGCTGGCAGCAGGGCTAGAATGTAAGAAGGCAGAAAAAAGTGAAAAGAGAGACTGGCCTAGCCTCCCAGCCTACATCTTTCTCCTGTGCTGGATGCTTCCTGCCTTAGAACATTGGACTCCATGTTCTTCAGTTTTGGAACTTGGACTGGCTCTCCTTGCTCCTCAGCCTGCAGATGGCTTATTGTGTGATGATATGGTTTGGCTATGTCTCCACCCAAATCTCAACTTGAATTGTATCTCCCAGAATTCCCACGTGTTGTGGTTGTGACCCAGAGGGAGGTCATTGAATCATGGGGGCCGGTCTTTTCCATGCTATTCTCATGATGGTGAATAAGACTCACGAGATCTGATGGGTTTATCAGGGGTTTCCGCTTTTGCCTCTTCCTCATTTTTCTCTTGCCACCGCCCTGTAAGAAGTGGCTTTTGCCTCCTGCCATGATTATGAGGCCTCCCCAGTCATGTGGAACTGTAAGTCCAACTAAACCTCTTTTTCTTCCCAGTTTCCGGTATGTCTTTATCAGCAGCATGAAACAAACTAATACAGAAATTGGTACTACCAAGAGTGGGGCATTGCTGAAAAGATACCTGAAACTGTGGAAGCGACTTTGGAACTGGGTAACAGACAGAGCTTGGAACAGTTTGGAGAGCTCAGAAGAAAAAAGGAAAATGTGGAAAAGTTTGAAACTTCCTAGAAACTTGTTGAATGACTTTGCCCAAAATGCTGATTGCAATAGGAACAATAAGATCCAGGCTGAGGTGGTCTCAGGTGGAGATGAGGAACTTGTTGGGAACTGAAGCAAAGGTGACTCTTCTTATGTTTTAGCAAAGAGACTGGTGTCATTTTGCCCCATCCTAGAGACTTGTGGAACTTTGAACTTCAGAGAGATGATTTAGGGTATCTGGCAAAATAAATTTCTAAGCAGCAAAGCATTCAAGTGGTGACTTGGGTGCTGTTAAAGGCATTCAGTTTTAAAAGGGAAACAGAGCACAAAAGTTCACAAACTTTGTGGCCTGACTATATGGTAGAAAAGAAAAATTCACTTTTGGTGGAGAAATTCAGCTGACTGCAGAAATTTGCATAAGTAGCAAGGAGCCCAATGTTAATTACCAAGACCATGGGGAAAATGTCTCCAGAGCATGTCAGAGGTCTTCACAGCAGTCCCTCCCACCACAGGCCCAGAGGCCCAGGAGGAAAAGAAGGTTTTGTGGGCAGGGCCCTGTGACCCAGTTGCTCCAGCTGTGGCTGAAAGGGGGCAACACAGAGCTTGGGCTGTGGCTTCAGAGGATGGAAGCCCCAAGCCTGCACGTGGTGCTGAGCCTGCAGATGCACAGAAGTCAAGAATTGCGGTTTGGGAATCTCTGCCTAGATTTTGGAAGACATATGGAAACACCTGGATTCCCAGGCAAAAGTTTGCTGCAGGGGTGGGGCCCTCATGGAGAATCTCTGCTAGGGCATTGCAGAAGGGAAGTGTGGGATCAGAGCCCCCACACAGAGTCCCTATTGAGGCACAGCCTGGTGGAGCTGTGAGAAGAGGGCCACTGTCTTCCAGACCCCAGAATGGTAGATCCACTGAGAACTTGATCCATGTGCCTGCAAAAGCAGCAGACATTCAATGCCAGCCTGGGAAAGCAGCTAGGAGGGAGGCTGTACCCTGCAAAGACACAGGAGCAGAGCTGACCAAGACCATGGGAACCCATCTGTTGTATCAGCATGACCTGGATGTGAGACCTGGAGTCAAGAGAGATCATTTTGGGACTTTAAAATTTGACTGCACCACTGGATTTCAGACTTGCATGGTCCTGTAACCCCTTGGCGTTGGCCAATTTCTCCCATTTGGAATGGCTGTATTTACCCAATACTGTACCCCCATTGTATCTAGGAGGTAACAAGCTCGCTTTTGATATTACAGGCTCATAGGTGGAAGCAACTTGCCTTATCTCAGATAAGACTTTGGACTGTGGACTTTTGGGTTAATGCTGAAATGAGTTAAGATTGGGGGACTGTTGGGAAAGCATGATTGGTATTGAAATGTGAGGACATGAGATTTGGGAGGGGCCAGGGGCACAACGATATGGTTTGGCTGTGTCCCCACCCAAATCTCATTTTGAATTGTAGCTTCCATAATTCCCCCATGTTGTGGGAGGGATCTGGTAGGAGATAATTGAATCATGGGGGCAGTTTTCCTCATACTGTTTTCATGGTAGTAAATAAGTCTCACGAGATCTGATGCTTTTATAAGGGAAAATCTCTTTTCCTTGGCCTTCAATTCTCTCTTCTTTGAGACCATGTAGGACGTGCCTTTCACCTTGTGTAATGATTGTGAGGCTTCCCCAGCCACGTGGAACTGTGAGTGCATTAAACCTCTTTTTCTTTATAAATTACCCAGTCTTGGGTGTGTCTTTATCAACAGCATGAAAACAAGCTAATACAGGTCCATATGAAAGAATTAAGAAAAACCACCAGTGATTCCATTTTTGAGGGCTCTAAAGCACTGTAAGAGACATAGAAGAGTTTTACATAGAGTGTCATTATACTTGCACTCACTTCTATAAAAATATGGATTATTCTACAAAATGCAAACTCCAAATGCTTATTAAGATATACTATTCAGTAATGGAGATTGTATTAGTCAGGGTTCTCTAGAGGGATAGAAGTAATGGAATATCTATCTATCTATCTATCTATCTATCTATCTATCTATATGTTTATTAAGTATTAACTCACATGATTACAAGGTCCCATGTATTAGTTCGTTTTCACACTGCTGATAAAGACATACCCGAAACTGAGAACTAAAAGAGATTTAATTGGACTTACAGTTCCATATGGCTGGGGAGGCCTCAGAATCATGGTGGGAAGTGAAAGGCACTTCTTACATGGTGGTGGCAAGAGAAAAATGTGGAAGATGTGAAAGCGGAAACCCCTGATAAACATATCAGATCTTGTGAGACTTATTCACTATCAGGAGCACAGCATGAGAAAAACTGGCCCCCATGATTCAATTACCTCCCCCGATCCCTCCCATGACACATGAAAATTCTGGGAGGTACAATTCAAACTGAGATTTGGGTGAGGACATAGCCAAACCATATAATTTCACCCCTGGCCCCTCCAAATCTCATGTCCTCACATTTCAAAACCAACTGTGCCTTCCCAACAGTCCCCCAAAGTCTTATCTCATTTCAGCATTAGCCCAAAAGTCCACAGTCCGTAGTCTTATCTGAGACAAGGCAATTGCCTTCCACCTATGAGCCTGTAATATCAAAAGCAAGCTAGTTACTTCCTAGGTACAATGGGGGGTATGGGTATTGGGTAAATGCAGCTGTTCCAAATGGGTGAAATTGGCCAAAACAAAGAACTTTACAGGGCCCATGCAAGTCCAAAATCCAGTGGAGTAGTCAGATTTTTAAAGAGTCGCCTTAACTCCAGTTCCCAAATTTCTGATCTCCGTCTGAGACTACCTCAACCTGAACTTTATTGTCCATATCACTATAAGCATTTTGTTCAAAGCCGCCATTCAACAAGTCTCCAGGAAGCTCCAAACTTTCCCACATTTTCCTGTCTTCTTCTGGGCTCTCCAAACTGTTCCAACTACTACCTGTTACCCAGTTCCAAAGTTGCTTCCACATTTTCAGGTATCTTTAGAACAGCACCCCAATCTATGGTATCAATTTACTGTATTAGTCAGTTCTCATGCTACTGATAAAGACATACCCAAGACGGGGTAATTTATAAAGAAAAATATATTTAATGGACTCACAGTTCCACATGGCTGGGAAGCCCTCACAATTGTGGCAGAAGGTGAAAGGCACGTTTTACATGGCAGCAGACAAGAGAGAACTGAGAACCAAGTGAAAGGGGTTTCCCCTATTAAAACCATCATATCTCATGAGACTTATTCACTACCACAACAACAGTGTGAGGAAAACCACCCCCATGATTCAATTGTCTCCCACCAGGTCCCTCTCATAACATGTGGGAATTACGGGAGCTAAAATTCAAGATGAGATTTGTGTGAGGGCACAGCCAAAGCATATCACTTGTTTTGGAGTATGCATTGCATAAAGGAATAGAAATGTAACTCCTAGTCCTCTCGTGTGTTCCAAAATCACAATACTGTTAATGATGTCAGATATCAGGTAAAGATTAATGAATCTCAAAAATTTTTCTTCTCCAAACAAGAAAACAACCTAAGTAAGGATCTAAGAAACTAGATAATTTTCATAAATCTATTATCACAATATAAAAGGGGTGTAAAAAATATTAGTATAGTTACTTTTCAATTATATTCTGTTGCGTATTTCTTTTGTTCAATCTGGAAATTTCTCTCCCTCACAACTTTCTTCATTCCATCCTCCTCCACTCTGTTTCGCTCTCCATCTACCTGCTTACTCATCTAATCAATCCATCTATCCATCTATCCAAAGATCCTTTCATCTATCCTTTGCTTCGTTGTTTAAAATATATGAGGTGAACAAAAAGGGGAAAAAATGCATCTGTTTGACTTGTCTGTGTCTTTCTATCTAGAAAGAGCCTTACAGATATAAATATACATACAGATGTATGTTGTATACTTGTAAATACACTTGGCTTTTTATTTTTTCATTAATTACCTGTAATTTTTTCTTCTCTTCTTTCATGTGGATGACAATAAAAAAGCATGGTTTGACCTGGAATTTTAAAGTGTTTTGGGGAAAAAAAAACAGCTAACAAAAAAAATTTAGGAAATTCTAAAAAAGCTCTTACTTTGCTTTCTTCAGAAAGACTTTTCTGTATAATTAGTTTAGTGACAGTCCTCTATTTGAGAGTAGGGAAAAATGTGTTTTACTAGCTCTGTAACCTCAGGCACATCACTTAACCCTTTTGCCCTCCGTTCTATCATCTGTAAAAGAGGAATAATCATGGCAACTATCTCAAATGGCTGTTGTGAGGACAGAATGTGTTAATATTTATAAAGAGATTTCAATAGTGGTTGGAACACACACACACACACACACACACACACACACACAAAACCCTATGCATTAACTGCTACTTATAGTCTGAACATCTTCACAGAAATGAAAGCTAATGAGAGCAAGAGATTGGCTTTTATGTTTGTTGCCATTTCCTAGTACTAAGAATTGGTGACCAAAACATTGAAGGTGTTCAATAATTATTCTTTTGAAGAGGCAGAATAATACCCTAGTTAAGAACACTGATCATGAAGACAGATTTCCTGTACTGAAATTCTGGATCTAACACGTTTTACTGTTCAACTTGTGCAAGTTAGTTAATTATGTGCTTTATTTCTTGAATATGTAAAATGGGATAATAAAAATTCCTAACTCATACAATTGTTGAGATGATTAGATGATTTAAAATATGTAAAGCTATGACGCATAGTAAGTAGTATTGCTACCATATTACCTGATGTTAAAAGAAATCATTCACATAGTGTTATGTTACATGTGAATAGAATGTGCTCCTGGAGTTGCACAAATTAGCAGCCTTCATAAGAGCAACAAAGTTAACCATAAAAGTATGTTCTTATGAAGAGCAACATAGCTACCTGTTAATAGCCAGATGTAAAGTTATCAAATATTTTATGGCCTAAACAATACTGTTATAAGCCAACTACAAAGCACATTTCATAAATTATTTATATTATTGTATTATTCTTCAAAAAACAATTGGGTCTGTCTGAACAAAATCTTTCTGCCTTATCTGATCCTCTGGATTTGGTTTCTAGTACCTATCAGATTTATTTTTTCCTTCAAGCAGGATGACCCTTTTTAACTTTGACTTTCATTTTGGATCTATATTTTTTCCCTGTCTACATTTTCCCATGATACCTTGGTACTTTCCCAACTTCTCCAAAAATTGAATAGCTTCTGGCTGTGGTATTTTCACAGCGAATTTAATAAGATTGAGTGCAGTGTCCTACTCTTTTTGTGCTTTACCATGTCATATTGTCCATTGCCTACCTCTGTATTTAAAAGTAATATTACTTAGGAGTTTTAACTTGAGACTATCTGTCTTATTTCATAAGCTTTGAATTTCTGCTTTAGCTGCAATTTAGAATAAGGAACAATCTTCTACATAATAATGTAGATTTCATCCCCATTTAAAAGCATTACATACTCTTCCATAGGCAAATTAGGAACGTGCTGTTTTTGGCAAAATAATGATTTTGCTTCTTGCTTGGTCAAATGTTTTTTTAAAAATCAATAATTAACTACATTGTTAGAACTCAACTACAAAATTAGAATTGTGAATCTGATTGCTCATGGACCTGTTGGAAAGGTTACTACTCTGTCCTGGTAAGTATATCCCTGTATTATGGGATATACTTCATTCAAATACAATTTGAATATCCTTCTAGAAATATCTTTAGAGATAGATAGAACTTTGAAATCCCAGCTCATTAAAAATAATAGAGCCACAACCCATAAAAACTGCTGCCACCTGTACAAATTTCAGATCACCAAGGGAATTTTTCCTATAGATCATCAACTTATATTAAAGTTGCAACTTGAGAAAAAAATATTTGCTGCTGAATATCTTGGTTGAATGTACACAAAAAAGTGGATTAGTAGTGTACTAGCTTTTACCTCCCTGTTGATTCATTCTTTCAACAAATATTTTTATAAGTATTTACCAGGTGACTAGCAAACAATCAGAGGAAAAAAAAGATTACTGTTTTTATAAACTTGGCAATCAAATGTGAGAAGACAGAAAATAAGTAAGTAAATCATATGGCATATTAAAAGATGATAAATGCTATAGAGAAGAAAAATATTGATCAAGTTCAGGTATATTAGAATGCCTGTTTGGAGGGAGAAATTTGCAGTTTAATAGTTAGAATAGACTTTGTTAAGTTTATTATATTTGACTTAAGGAGGATAAGTGTTAGAACCATGGGAATATTTAGGAGAAGGGATTTCCAGATTTCCAAAAAAAAAAAAAATCCAATGCAAAGTTCCTACATCGGGACCTCATAATTCACAGGACACCAAGGAAGACAATGTGGCTGCTGCTGATGGAAGAGATGAGTTCAAGGAAGGCACCAGGTCAAGAAGGGCCTTTTATACCATTGTAATTGGCAACTGTTTAGCAATAAATGAGAATATATTATTTAATTTTGTGTAGAAAAACTTGATTATCTGACTTCCATTTTAATAAAGTCATTCTAGTTGCTCTATTTAGAATATATTGGGGGTGGGGAGGGGAAAAAAAACATTGCCCGAGTAAAAGAATGGAGATGAGTTAAAAACACACTAGTTAAAACCAGGTAAGAAATCATAGTCACTGAGACCAAGATGCTAGTAGTAACTTTAGTGAGCCATTGTTATGGATATATTTTGAATATGGGGCCAGCACAGTTACCTAATATATTGGGCATGGATTTAAAGATGGAGTTAAGAATGACTGTAATTGGCCTGGGGAACTGGAAGGATAGACATCAACTGAGAATAAGAATATTGTGTAGATTCATTTTCTTACCCAATCTGCCATAGTTCACACTGTTCACTTCCACCTTAGTGCCATACATAGAATATTAAGATTGGAGACTTTTCCACTATAGATATCAGTTTCAAATAAATAGCCCATGTAAAATCTAAAACTCACACATATATTTTAATTTACTGTTAGCTTGGAGTGTTGTTATTAACCCAGTCACTTATGGAAGGATCACCAGTGCTACTGAATACAACATTTGAGGAGTAAATCTACATTATCTCAGATTTGACTTGAATTACTGTATTTGTTGGTGGGGCTGTCCTCATTTAAGATAAACAGAAGAGTTTTGTGGGGAGATACTTATTAAAATAATACTTAACAATAAGCAAGGTACACTATAATGTTATATTATTTTTAACTCCGAAAACTGAAGGTACAAAATGACATGACCAAATTCCAGAAAAAAATGACACCTTCCCAGAATAAAGGACTCACATGACTGTTTTCATCCCTGAGGGCACCGCAGCAGCAGGAGACAATCTGCTTTAGACAGAAATGAGGACAAACCAGTCCAATTTTTAACAAACTATTAATGACCACATATAGGTTGGAGTGGTGAATTCGAATTTTAAGGAGTCTCCCACCTAAAGCAATACTATATTATCAACCAACTCTTACAGAGGGACTTCACAGAGTGCAAGGCCACACCCTTTCAAAGATTGCAACAAAGAGAAGAGAAAGCCCACCCCAAGGTTTACTGGGCTTTCATAGACTGTACTGCTACAGGTAAAAGGGGACAGGGCAGCAAAGTAGAGAGAGATCTTCAGAGGCATAAAAAGCTGGAATAGTAAAGAGAATGCCTCATAACTCCCAAAGCCCAGAGAGCCAGCTCGACTATAGATTAGATTGGCACAAGCCTTCACACAAGCAAACAGAGGAAAGAATAGGCATTTCCTGGAAGTGTCTGTGTGTGTGTGTATAAATATATATATATAATATAAATATGCTATGCTTATATTTATAACATATAAATATACTTATATATATTTATATTCATATTTATCTATATATTTATGTTCCTAAAAAAGAAAACAGAAGCAGTTATGACTTACATCAACTCTGAAAAATAAGAATGCATCCTTGGAATCAGAAAATACAAACCCTGAAAGTGAAGTACAAGAGCTTCATTAGTAACATAATGAATGAATTATAACAATAAATGAAAAACAAACTAATATCAATGATGATGACAAAACTTGCTACTTTTCCTAATAGAGGGAAAGGATAGTTTAGAGATAGTTGCAAAGCAGATTAAGACATGAAGAGTAGAACATCTGCCAAAAAGGCAAGCCAAAGTTTAAAAGAACAACAAAAACAAACAAATAATTATTTGTTCCTTAAAAATCTGCTTTGGTGCCCTTGATAACAAAATGTGTGATATATGTTTGATAGCACAGGTTGGTCAGAGAAACTTTAGTAAGGTATGAGAAAAGAACATACACAGCATTTCCAAATTAACTGAAGTGGATGTCAAATTTGAAATTTTGGAGAGGTATCTGTGCAGCATTTAGCAGAGGCTTAAAAGGACCTGAGGATCTTCCAGATTTTTTGGTGAGGAGCAAATCCATCTGACAGGGCTCACGGATCCAGGATCTACATGCTGTGATGACGAGATAACACCTCAATTTCTGCTCCAACTCTTGCTCTGCATGTCAAGAAAATTTACTCCTGCTTTGGCATCTGATCATCAACAGAGACCAGCAGGATTCATAATCTACTACATGCCTTATGTTGATGAAAAAGATGGTCTAATGTCATCAAAAATGAAATATAATGAAATAAATACTAAAGAAACATTTGGCAATTTGCACTTTCACTGTCTCTTTTTTTTTATACTTTAAGTTCTGGGGTACATGTGCAGAAAGTGCAGGTTTGTTACATAGGTATACAAGTGCCATGGTGGTTTGCTGCACCCATCAACCCGTCATCTACATTAGGTATTTCTCCTAACGCTACTCCTCCGCTATCCCCCCACCCCCCAACAGGCCCCGGTGTGTGATGTTCCCCTCCCTATGTCCATGTGTTCTCATCGTTCAGCTCCTACTTATGAGTGAGAACATGTGGTGTTTGGTTTTCTGTTCTTGTGTTAGTTTGCTGAGAAGTATGGTTTCCAGCTTCATCCATGTCCCTGCAAAGAAAATGAACTCATCCTTTTTATGGCTACATAGTATTCCATAGTGTATATGTGACACATTTTCTTTATCCAGTCTATCACTGATAGGCATTTGGGTTGGTTCCAAGTCTTTGCTATTGTGAAAAGTGCCACAATAAACATTTGTGTGAGTGTATCTTTATAGTAGAATGATTTATAACACTTTGGGTATATACCCAGTAATAAGGTTGCTAGGTCAAATGGTATTTCTGGTTATAGATCCTTGAGGAATCGGCACACTGTCTTCTACAATGGCTGAACTAATTTACACTCCCACAAATAATGTAGAAGCATTCCTATTTCTCCATATCCTCTCCAGCATCTATTGTTTTCTGACTTTTTAATGATCACCATTCTAACTGGCGTGAGATGGTATTTCATTGTGGTTTTGATTTGCATTTTTCTAATGACCAGTGATGATGAGCTTTTTTTCCTTTATTTTTAGGCTGCATAAATGTCTTCTTTTGAGAGGTGTCTGTTCATATCCTTCACCTACTTTTTGATGTGGTGGTTTTTTTTCTTGTAAATTTGTTGAAGTTCTTTGTTGATTCTGGATATTAGCCCTTTGTCAGATGGATAGATTGCAACAATTCTCTCCCATTCTTTAGGTTGCCTGTTCACTCTGATAAAAGTTTCTTTTGCTGTGCAGAAACTCTTTCGTTTAATTAGATCCCGTTTGTCAATTTTGACTTTTGTTGCCATTTCTTTTGGTGTTTTAGTCATGAGGTCTTTGCCCTGCCTATGTCCTGAATGGTATTGCCTAGGTTTTCTTCTAGGGTTTTTATGGTTTTAGGTCATACATATACGTATTTAATCCATCTTGAGGTAATTTTTGTATAAGGTGTAAGGAAGGGATCCAGTTTCAGTTTTCTGCATTTGACTAGCCAGTTTTCCCAACACCATTTATTAAATAGGGGATCTTTTCCCCATTGCCTTTTTTTTTTCAGGTTTGTCAAAGGTAAGATGGTTGCAGATGTGTGGTGTTATTTCTAAGGCCTCTGTTCTGTTCCTTTGGTCTATATATCTGTTTTGGTAGCAGTACAATGCTGTTTTGGTTACTGTAGACTTGTAGTATAGTTTGAAGTCAGGTAGCATGATGCATCCAGCTTTGTTCTTTTTGCTTACGATTGTCTTGGCTATGTGGGCTCTTTTTTGGTTCCATATGAAATTTAAAGTAGTTTTGTCTGATTCTGTGAAGAAAATCAGTGGTACCTTGATGGGGATAGCATTGAATCTATAAATTAATTTGGGCAGTATGGCCATTTTCACGATATTGATTCTTCCTCTCCCTGAGCAAGGAATGTTTTTTCATTTGTTTGTGTCATCTCTTATTTCCTTGAGCAGTGGTTTGTAGTTCTCCTTGAAGAGGTCTTTCACATCCCTTGTAAGTTGGATTCATAGGTATTTTATTCTCTTTGTAGCAATTGTGAATGGGAGTTCACTCATGATTTGGCTCTTTGTTTGTCTGTTATTGGTATATAGGAATGCTTGTAATTTTTGCACATTGACTTTGTATCCTGAGACATTGCTGAAGTTGCTTATCAGCTTAAGGAGATTTTGGGCTGAGACTATGGGGTTTTCTAAACATACAATCATGTCATCTGCAAACAGAGGCAATTTGACCTCCTCTTTTCCTAATTGAATACCTTTATTTCTTTCTCTTGCCTGATTGCCCTGACAAGAACTTCCAATACTATGTTGAATAGGAGTGCTGAGAGAGGGCACCCTTGTCTTCTCCCGTTTTTCAAAGGGAATGCTTCCAGTTTTTGCCCATTCAGTATAATATTGACTGCCAGTTTGTCATAAATAGCTCCTATTATTTTGATATACGTTCCATCAATACCTAGTTTATTGAGAGTTTTTAGCATGAAGGGGTGTTGAATGTTGTCAAAGCCCTTTCCTGCATCTATTGAGATAATCATGTGGTTTTTGTCATTGGTTCTGTTTATGTGATGGATTATAATTATTGATTGGTATATGTTGAACCAGCCTTGCATCCCAGGTATGAAGCCAACTTCATGATGGTGGATAAGCTTTGATGTGCTGCTGGATTCAGTTTGCCAATATTTTATTGAGGATTTTTTCATGTATGTTCATCAGGGATATTGGCCTGAAATTTTCGTTATTTGTTGTGTCTCTGCCATGTTTTGGTATTAGGATGCTGCTGGCCTCATAAAATGAGTTAGGGAGGAGTCCCTCTTTATGTATTGTTTGGAACAGTTTCAGAAGGAATGATACCAGCTCTTCTTTGTACCTCTGGTAGAATGCAGCTGTGAATCTGTCTGGTCGTGGGCTTTTTTTGATTGGTAGGCTATTAATTACTGCCCCAATTTCAGAACTTGTTATTGGTCTATTCGGGGATGCAACTTCTTCCTGGTATAGACTTGGGAGGGTGTATGTGTCCAGGAATTTATCCATTTCTTCTAGATTTTCTAATTTATTTGTGTAGAGGTGTTTATAGTATTCTCTGATGGTGGTTTGTATTCCTGTGGGATCAGTGGTGATATCCCTTTAATCATTTTTTTATTGCATCTATTTGATTCTTCTCTCTTTTCTTCTTTATTAATCTGGTTAGTGGTCTATTTTGTTGATCTTTTCAAAAAACCAGCTCCTGGATTTATTGATTTTTTGAAGGGATTTTTTGTCTCTATCTCCTTCAGTTCTGCTCTGATCTCAGTTATTTTTTGCCTTCTGCTAGGTTTTGAATTTGTTTGCTCTTGCTTCTCTAGTTCTTTTTAATTTTGATGTTAGGGTGTCAATTTTAGATCTCTCCTGCTTTCTCTTGTGGCAGTTACTGCTATAAATTTCCCTCTATATGCTGTTTTAAATGTGTCTCAGAGATTCTGGTACGTTGTGTCTTTTTTATCATTGGTTTCAAAGAACATCTTTATTTCTGTCTTCATTTCATTATTTACCCAGTAGTCATTGAGGAGCAGGTTGTTCAATTTCCATGTAGTTGTGCAGTTTTGCTTGAGTTTCTTATTTTATTTTATTTCTTTTTTTTGAGACGTAGTCTCGCTCTGTTGCCCAGGCTGGAGTGCAGTGGCGTGATCTTGGCTCACTGCAAGTTCCACCTCCCAGGTTCATGCCATTCTCCTGCCTCAGGCTCCCGAGTAGCTGGGACTACAGGTTGAGTGAGTTTCTTAAACCTGAGTTCTAATTTGATTGCACTGTGGTCTGAGAGACTGTTTGTTATGATTTCCATTCTTTTGCATTTGCTGAGGAGTGTTTTACATCCAAATATGTGGTCAATTTTAGGATAAGTGTGATGAGGTGCAGAGAAGAATGTATATTCTGTTGATTTGGGGTCCAGAGTTCTGTAGATGTATATTAGCACTGCTTGGTCCAGAGCTGAGTTCAAGTCCTGAATATCCTTGTTAATTTTCTGTATTGTTGATCTGTCTAATATTGATGGTGGGGTGTTAAAGTATCCCACTATTATTGTGTGGGAGTCTAAGTCTCTTTGTAGGTCTCTAAGAACTTGCTTTATGAATCTGGGTGCTCCTGCACGGGTGCATATATATTTAGAATAGTTAGCTCTTCTTGTTGCATTGATAACTTTACCATTATGTAATGCCCTTCTTTGTCTCTTTTGATCTTTGTTGGTTTAAAGTCTGTTTCATCAGAGACAAGGATTGCAACCGCTGCTCTTTTTTGCTTTCCATTTACTTAGTAAATATTCCTCCACCCCTTTATTTTGAGCCTATGTGTGTCTTTGCATGTGAGATGGGTCTCCTGAATACAGCACACCGATGGATCTTCTGAATACAGCACACCAATGGATCTTGACTCTTTATCCAGTTTGTCGGTCTGTGTCTTTTAATTGGGGTATTTAGCCCATTTACATTTAAAATTAATATTGTTATGTGTGAATTTGATCCTGTCATTATGATGCTAGCTGGTTATTTTCCCCATTAATTGATGCAGTTTCTTCATAGTCTCAATGACCTTTACAATTTGGTATGTTTTTGCAGTGGCTGGTACTGCTTGTTCTTTTCCATGTTTCGTGCTTCCTTCAGGAGCTCTTGTAAGGCAGGCCTGGTGGTGACAAAATCTCTCAGCATTTGCTTGTCTGTGAAGGATTTTATTTCTCCTCCACTTATGAAACTTAGTTTGGGTGGATATGAAATTCTGGGTTGAAAATTCTTTTCTTTAAGAATGTTGAATACTGGCCCCACTGTCTTCTGGCTTGTATGATCTCTGTAGAGAGATCTGCTGTTAGTCTGATGGGCTTCCCTTTGTGGGTAACCCGACCTTTCTCTCTGGCTGCCCTTAACATTTTTTCCTTCATTTCAACCTTGGTGAATTTGACAATTATGTGTCTTGGGGTTGCTCTTCTTGAAGAGTATCTTTGTGGTGTTCTATCTATTTTCTGGATTTTGAGTGTTGGCCTATCTTGCTAGGTTGGGGAAGTTCTCCTGGATAATATTCTGAAGAGTGTTTTCCAACTTGGTTCCATTCTCCCTGTCACTTTCAGGTATACCAATCAAATGTAGATTTGGTCTTTTCACCTAGTCCCATATTTCTTCGAGGCTTTGTTTGTTCTTTTTCATTCTTTTTTCTCCAAACTTGTCTTCTCACTTTATTTTATTGAGTTGATCTTCAATCTCTGATATCCTTTCTTCTGCTTGATCAATTTGGCTATTGATACTTGTGTATGCTTCATGAAGTTCTCGTGCTGTGTTTTCACTCCATCAGGTCATTTATGTTCTCTAAACTGGTTATTCTAGTTAGCAATTCATCTAACCTTTTTTCAAGTTTCTTAGCTTCCTTACATTGGGTTAGAACATGCTCCTTTAGCTTGCAGGAGTTTGTTATTACCCATCTTCTGAAGCCTACTTCTGTCAATTCGTCAAACTCCTTCTCTGTCCAGTTTTGTTCCCTTGCTGGTGAGGAGCTGTGATCCTTTGGAGGAGAAAAGGCATTCTGGTTTCTGGAATTTTCAGCCTTTTTGCACTGGTTTCTCCTAATCTTCATAGATTGATCTACCTTTGATCTTTGATGTTGGTGATCTTCAGATGGGGTCTCTGAGTGGATGTCCTTTTATTTGATCTTGACGCTATCCCTTTCTGTTTGTTAGATTTCCTTCTAACAGTCAGGACCCTCTGCTGCAGGTCTGCTGGAGTTTGCTGGAGGGCCATTCCAGACCGTGTTTGCCGGGGTATCACCAGCGGTGGCTGCAGAATAGCAAAGATTGCTGCCTGTTACTTTCTCTGGAAGCTTCCTCACAGAGGGGCTCCTGCCAGATGCCAGCCAGAGCTCTACTATATGAGGTGTCTGTTGGCCCCTACTGGGTGGTGTCTCCCAGTCAGGATACGTGGGGGTCAGGGAGCCACTCGACGAGGCCATCTGTTCCTTAGCAGAGCTGGAGTGCTGTGCTGGGAGATCCACTGCTCTCTTCAGAGCTGTCAGGGAGGGAAGTTTAAGTCTGCTGAAGCTGTGCCCACAGCCACCCCTTCCCCAAGGTGCTCTGTCCCAGGGAGGTGGGGGTTTTATCTATAGGTCCCTGACTGAGGCTGCTGCCTTTTTTTCAGAGATGCCCTGCCCAGAGAGGAAAAATCTAGAGAGGCAGTCTGAACACAGTGGACTTGCTGAGCTGTGGTGGACTCTACCCAGTTCAAACTTCCTGATGACTTTGTTTACACTGTGAGGGTAAAACTGCCTACTCAAGCCTCAGTAATGGCGGATGCCCCTTCCCTCACCAAGCTCGAGCATCCCAGGTTGACCTCAGACCGCTGTGCTGGCAGCAAGAATTTCAAGCCAGTGGATCTTAGCTTGCTGGGCTCCATGGGGGTGAGACCTGCTAAGCCAGTCCACTTGGCTCCCTGACTTCAGCCCCCTTTCCAAGGGAGTGAACAATTCTTTCTAGCTTGCGTTGCAGGCACCACTGGGGCATGGAAAAAAAAAAACAAAAAAAAAACTCCTGCAGTTAGCTCAGTGTCTGTCCAAACTGCCGCCGAGTTTTGTGCTTGAAACCCAGGGCCCTGGTGGCATAGGCACCAAGGGAATCTCCTGGTCCGCAGGTTGTGAAAGTCATGGGAAAAGCACAGTATCTGGGCTGGAGTGCACCGTTCCTCAAGGCACAGTCCCTCACGGCTTCCCTTGGGTAGGAGAGAGAATTCCCCAACCCCTTGCACTTCCCGGTTGAGGGGATGCCCCACCCTGCTTCAGCTTGCCCTCCTTGGGCTGCACCCACTGTCCAACCAGCCCAATAAGATGAACCAGGTACCTCAGTTGGAAATGCAGAAATAACCCGCCTCCTGAGTTGATCTTGCTGGGAGCTGCAGACCAAAGCTGTTCCCATTCAGCCACCACAGACAGTGTCTGTCTCTTTTCTTGAAAGTGAAGCACCTAACCAAGGCTTTCTTCCTCTACTCTGTCACCAAGTTGAAAGCCCATATTGGGGATGAAAAAACTGGGTGAAATGATGGGCGCAGGATTTCCTTCCTCCCTACATGTTCCCCCAAGAAGCATATGAAATTTCCCCTATTAGTTTCCAGAATGGAATTTTCCTGGCCAGCTCAGTCCCCCAGGAGCACCAAGAAATGTCTGCCCACCACGGGGTTTTCTTATGATTTTTCTTCAAACCAAGGATTTCACTCCTTACAACTAATTCCTGAAAAAAGAAATGAGTCCACTTTTGGGCTGAATTCTACAGATAAATTTTCCTCTGAAGATACAGAATCTAAGCAATAAATGTTTCTATTTATTTTCTTCAGTCATTTTGTGCTATCTCTCTTAGATTTTAACAGCTGCAAATTGAAAGATTATACACATTTGCTCAATGCGAGGGTTCATAAAATTTTAATTCCTAGGATATAATTTTATAATTAAATATTATTGATTAATTAGGATTGTATGAATTAATTATTTCTACTTTATTAGACCCCTTAGGTTGTATTTTATTGCAAGTATTGTATCATGATACGACTAAATAGCCAGCCATAAACATAAGCTATAACAGGCATTTTGCATAATTAAACAACTAGATATATTTTAAACTGTGGAAGCCATTCTTTTCCTAACTCTTTATAAAACAATTGTAAAAGTTGCTTGAACTTTTCCTAAATACTTTTATTGTTTACATAAACAAACAAAAAATACTTGGAGGCCTCAGAAAATTCTATAATTGAAAAACAATTCTTTATCCTTTCAATGAAGTGACAATTTAGAAGAGGTCAGTCTACCTAGGGGCCTACCTTTGTGTGTCAGAAAGCTTAGTAGAGCCCTTGACCTATAAATAGATCTGTCATACCCCAAGTTCTTCACTTTTTTTGGAAAAACTGAAGTTCTAGTCCTCATTTCATATTATACCTAACTAAATTATTCCTAGTAGATAGCCATGTTTGCGTGTTTCCCTCTCTCCCTCCAAGAAATAACAAAAGAAAAGTCTTGAAAGAAAATGCTGTCTTTTCTTAATCTTTCTGCCTTATTCCCGTTCTCATTCTGTATAAGATCTTCGTCTCTTATTCCTCTGGTTAGTTTCAGTGTGCTGACTTGTATTTTAAGGTAGACAGTGTGGGGTTGAAAACTTATCTTACACGGTGTTAGAGTCTTGTGTTAGGGGCTGCTGCTCTGGTGTTCTTGATACAGAGAAAGGGGCAAGTGAAAGGAGCAACAACCAAAGGGACAGGACCCTTCTCACTTTAGCTCCTTGTAATCAGCTACATTGAAGTTTCCCACTGTGGTTGTGCTAAAAGATCTGCCTACTACAACCTATGTAGCCTCTGTCAACTATACAAGCCACTTCAGATTGAGGCTTTTAATATCCTTAGTCTGCTCTGATAGCAGGGATGTATCTTCCAAAAGGGAGAAAAGGGGTAGCCTGGGCTACCTGTAGCTCACAGAGAACGCAGAAGACAGGTCAGTTTCCAACCAGCAGAAAGGAAACCGGAAACACTGGTCTGAGCCCAGCTCCTGCAGAGAACTATGGTTTCTTCTGAGAGGAGAAGAAAACAACGAAGGGATAATCAAATATTAAAACAAAGAGATGAATAAATGATGAAGAAAGGGCTAGTGTGAACATTAAGAAGACATGTTAAGGCTGGGTGCGGTGGCTCATGCCTGTAATCCCAGCACTTAGGGAGGCAGAGGCAGGCGGATCACTTGAGGTCAGGAATTCAAGACTGGCCAACATGGAGAAACCCCATCTCTACTAAAAATACAAAAATTAGTCAAGTGTGGTAGCAGGCACCTGTAATCACAGCTACTCAGTCAGCCAAGGCACACAAGAATTGCCTGAACCTGGGAGGTGGAGGTTGCAGTAAGCTGAAATCATGCCACTGAAGACCAGCCTGGGAGACAAAGTGAGACTCTGTTTCGAAAAACAAAACAAAACAAATAAAAAGCAAAAAACATGTTAGATCTTTCAGGGATATGGAGTGTTGTGGCATATGAATTGAATAAGATGTTGGTGTAAAATATTATATTCTTTAAATCTACTTATATTCCTAAATAAATGTGCATATCTTTGTAAATGTTTGTATACATGTAAGACCATTGATTAGTAAGATTGGAATTGGGGAGAATTTCAAATGTCTTGAAAAAAACAAGACATTTTTACATCTAAAAGATAAATAAAATAATAAATTAGATGTTCAAGCATGTGTTGTTGTAGTTGAATTAACTCTTACTTTTTTACTAAAATCATAGAAACACCATGTCAACAAAAGAGAGAAAGACATTTTTCTACACTATATACCATGAATTAATTTCATTTCAAACCTAGAAGACATATATATGTTGCCTTGGATAAGTTACCAAATGTTTTAGGATTTCATTTCTCAATAAAAAAATAAAGTTAATATCACAAATTGTTATACTTGCTTCATAAGACTATTGTATGAGTCGATGACAATAATATGCTTAAAGCATTTCCCAATTTTAAAGAACTGTAAATTGTAAGGCATAATTAACTGTAAGCTTTTTTGAATATTATATAAACTACTAGGGAAACATTTTTTACTATTAGCATAATATTGAGTTCATTTTTCTTGCTGAAAGAAGTCATGAGAGGAATTTGAACATCTTATTTGGCAGACTGTAAAATATTTTATAGATTTTTTGAGATTTATACCACTTACACAAACTACTCAAAGAAATGACCAGAAAGAAAACTGTCATCTTTCTGGTGGGGCTTTTTAATTTGATTGCATTATCTCTTTCTAGCAGATTTATTATAGCATTTATATGCATGAGTGTAATAAAATAATATTACAGTTTTCTGGCCAATTTAGGTCATGAAATCCCATTAACAATTGAAATATGTAGATACAAAAAATATTCACTGTGTTAATTAAATGTACATTTTATTTACTCTCTCTTTTATAAAAATCTAAGCAAAAGTTCATTTAATCATTAAGCAAAGAAGTGTGGTAATGTAGGTTAAAATCTAGATTTAAAAAGCCTTTACATTTAAGTAAATCTATAATAATATATTATTTGAGACATCCAGAAACAACTGCCAAATCAAAATTAGTTTCTTAAATAGCAGTGTATAGAAGTCAAAGTTCTGTCTGCTATAGAAATCTTGTTGAATTAAAGTATTTCCCTTAAAAGCTCCAATTAGTGGGAAAATCTTATATGAATTTATTATACTAGTCATTTAGCAAACAATTATTGAAGATCTACTGTATTCCAAACACAAAAATGGCATGCTATGATTTCTGCCCTTGAGGTTACAGCGTTGGGTAGATACTGACATTCACACAAAGATTGCAGTAAGATGGACTTAGTCCTCTAATTGAAGTCCCAAGAAGAGAGAGAGACCAATATTGCTATAGGGGTCACAGCCATTCCTGCAGAGGTGACAGTTAATCAAAGTATTGTCTAGGAAAATGGAATATATGTTCAAAGTCACTGAAGCATGAAAGCTCACATGAAATGTGTTTGGAAAATAGCAGGTAGTTCAGTGTAGTTGCAGGATAGAATTATTGGTGGGAGTAAAATATATGGCTAAGAAATGTATTTATTCAAACAATGAGAAACCAATAAAGGGATCAGAAAAAAGAGGGATCTGACCAGAATTTCCTTTTGGCAGCAGAGTTTCATTCACTTACATAATTGGATAGAAATGTACTGAAAAGACCAAAACGGTAGATACTATAACAGCCCAGGAATTTGAGGATGCAGTGAGCCATGATTGTGCCACTGTGCTCCAGCCTGAACCACAGAGCTAGACCCTGTCTCTAAAAAAGAAAATAATAATAATTAGTAAAAGAGTTTACATAATTTTAGAAATACATTATTATGGAATCTGCAAATTTCAAAAATTTTGAGGTCTAAAGGATATAAAAGAAATTTTTTTAAATAAAATTAATATAAGTTCAACTAGTTTGATATTAGCTTTAAAGAAAATTACTTTGATTTTAAAATCAAGGAAATACAGAAATATTTTCTCCAATATTAGTATGTTTATTTTCCTACTTAACTTTAAATTTTTATATTATCACTTTAAATAGATCATTCATTCATTAAAAAGTTAGGAAACAACAGATGCTGGAGAGGATGTGGAGAAATAGGAATGCTTTTACACTGTTGGGAGTGTAAATTAGTTCAACCATTGTGGAAGACAGTGTGGTGATTCCTCAAGGATCTAGAACTAGAAATACCATTTGATCCAGCGATCCTATTACTGGGTATATACCCAACGGATTATAAATAATGCTACTATAAAGACACATGCACACGTATGTTTATTGCAGCACTATTCACAATGGCAAAGACCTGGAACCAGCCCAAATGTCCATCAATGATAGACTGGATTAAGAAAATGTGGCACATATACACCAAGGAATACTATGCAGCCATAAAAAAGGATGAGTTCATGTGCTTTGCAGGGACATAGATACAGCTGGAAACCATCATTCTGAGCAAACTACCACAAGAACAGAAAACCAAACACTGCATGTTCTCACTCATAGGTGGGAATTGAACAATGAGAACACTTGGACACAGGGTGGGGAATATCACACACTGGGGCCTTAAGGGGGTGGAGGAGTGGAGGAGGGATAGCATTAGGAGAAATGCCTAACGTACATGACAAGTTAATGGGTGAAGCAAACCAACATGGCACATGTATACATATGTAACAAACCTGCACGTTGTGCACGTGTACCCTAGAACGTAAAGTATAATTAAAAAATAAAAATAAATAGATCACTCATTTCACATACTGCATGCTTTATAAGCTCAAATAATAGTTTTCTCAAACTGACATAAAGTTTAGCTCATAATAGAGCTAACAAGTTAATGGCAAAGTAAAGGCTTTAGTGAGTACAGAACTCATTAAAATTATCCAGAAGAATGCCTGGAATAATTTTTTTTAACTTGTTGAAACTAGTGGTATAGTCAAGCCATTGAAGAGTAACAACTAGCAAGTATTTTACTTAGCTAGAGAGTGTCAATGAATGGCTACTTTTCTCTGAAAATGAATATATGCTCCACTTGTGATTGCATAGCCTGGAAGCTGATGCCAAGGAGTCAGGCAAATGAACTGGATAACAGGGGAATGAAAAAAGAGCTGAGGCTGAAAGAGAGAATGAAGACGTGAAAAGATACTTGAATCATAAGTAAAGATCAAATGAAAACAAGATACTATTCTCCCTTTACCCTCACCCATTTTAGGATGGTAAAGATTTAAAAAGTTTGAAGCACCCAGCTGCCAGTTGAGTGTCAGAAAAAAAAAACCCTTATATGTTTGTGGTAATATTATATTAACATGTGTATCCAGTGTTGATCCTTTGCATACATGGAAATCACATGCTTTTCTATGACAAAGAGTAAATAGACAAATCAATTAAAGATCAGGGATTAGATAATTCTTATAGACAGGGATAGTGTTCTTTTGTCAGTCATTCTAAGCTCCATCATCCTCAACATCACTTATATGATTTATGGTTTAGAGACTTTTGATATTAATGTATTTACTCATGTGGTTCTCATTATCAGGAATGTCCTTTTATTTCTTTTGTCTAATGTACAATTTCAGCTCATATATTCTCTAGTCACTTAATATTTCACATTTGGCATTATTTTTACACATATATCTTATTCCCTCAACTAGACGGTTAACTCCCTGAAGCCCAGAAATTAATCTTAGGCATTTTAGTATCACTCAATTTCTAACACAGTGCTTTATGTAAATTTATGATTAGTAGCTGTAGTTTGAATAAATCATCACTCTTACCCCAAGCCTTGTTGAGGCTTATGATGTTAGAACATGTTGGAAGCTACTGATAAAAATGAAAAATATGCAAATCTTTCAACAAAAACTTACTGAATATTTACTGCTTGTCAACAGTGTGCAAGACTCTGGGGATACAATTTTGCACAAAATAGAAAGGGTCTTATGTTCTAAAAGATCAGAAAGATGTTAAATAATCACAGTCCTTAATATTTCATTAAAAATTGAAATAAGTTTGCTGAAGAAAAGGGAAACCGTTTCAAGGAGTTTTAAATTTTAGATTTTTTAGTGAAGGAAAATTCTCCTTTAAAACCGAGATGTTTTTTCTGATTATGCACTAAATACATTACTACAGAAATTATTTTCATCCAAATGAGAGGCCCACACTTCACTCATGGTGGACCTATGAACTAGATAAACCTAACAGACAGAAACCCACTGTGTTTCTGGCTTTTGTTGTCATTGTTTTATTTTGTTTTTTTAAGCTAATTTATTCATTATTTTTAATTGATAAATAAATGATGGATATATTTATCTTGTAAAACATGATGTTTTAAAATATATATACATTGTGGAATGGCTAAATTGAGCTAATTAACATATGCATTACTTCAAATGCTTATCATTTTTCAGTCTTAGCAATTTTCAAGTATACAATATGCTGTTATTAACTATAGTCACTGAACTGTTGTACAATAGATCTCTTGAACTTATTTCACCTATCTAATTGAAATTGTATAACCTTCAAAGAACATCTTTCTATCTCCACACCTCCATTCCAGCCCCTGGTAACTACTATCCTACTGTCCTTTACTTTTATCAGTTCAGCTTTTTTATAATAACTCCCACATACTAGTGAGAACATGTGATATCTGTCTCTTTGTGCTTGGTTTAATTCACTTAGCACAATATCCTCTGGGTTCATCCATGATGTGGCAAATTACAGGATTCCCTTGTTTTTAAGACTGAATAGTTTTTCTTTATCCATTTATCCATTGCTGGACACTTGGGTTGACTCCATATCTTGGCTATTATGAAGAGTGCTGCAATAAACATGGGAGTGCAGGTATCTCTTTGACATACTGATTTCATTTCATTTGATTATGTAACCAGTAGTGGGATGGCTAGATCATAAGGTAGTTCTTTTTTTCAATTTTTGAGAAACTATCATACTGTTTTCCATAGCGGCTGTACTAATTTACATCCCCACCATCAGTGTACACGGGGTTTCCTTTTTCTCCATATCCTCCCTAACACTTATTTTTCATCTTTTTTTATGGTGGCCATTCTAACAGGTCAGGTGATAACTCATCATGAATTTTACTTGCATTTCTCTGGTAATGAGTGAGGCTGAGCATTTTTTATGTATATACCTGTTGGTCATTTTATGTATATACCTGTTGGTCTTCTTTTGAGAAATGTTTATTCCTGTACTTGGCCCATTTTTAATTGGACCATTTGTTTTCTTGCTAATAGTTTGTTTGAGTTCCTTATACATTTAGAATAGTAACTTAGGAGATACACGGTTACAATTTTTTCTGCCATTTTGCAGGCTATCTTTTTGTTTTATCCATTGTTTCTCTTGCTGTTTAGAGCTTTCTAATTTGATATAATCCCATTTGTCTATTTTTTGCTTTGGTTTCTATGCTTTTGGGGTCTTAATCTCCCCCAAAAAGTCATTTTCCAGACCAGTATTATAGAGATTATGCCCTGTGTTTATGTCTTGGAAAGGGGGTCTTAGAACACTTTCTCTGTTTGCTCTTCTGTGTTTGAATACTGCCCAGGGGATACTCAGCTCCAGTGTCATAGATGAGCCTACACAAAATTCTTAGTTCAGCTAAGGCAAGTCATGCCCAACCAAGGGACAGAACATCCTGCCTTTTAAGTTAGAAGTGTCCAAAAATTATTAATTTGTCTCTTAGTCATCTCATCTACACACACACACACACACAAAGTCAAATACTCAGCTAATGGTTTTCCAATGTTCCAGTCACCAAAGCTTCTTGTATATATTTATGTTAAAAAAAAAAAGTCACCGTGGCTAATCACCTCATTTAAAAGTCAGATTGAACACGTGGGCATTCACATGTGTAGGCTGAGGTATATTGGCAAGGAATTGACACTCGTACTTCCCCAAAGATCTTTCGCTTTGCTTGGCTGACTCTGCAACTCCAATAAAGTGCAGCCAGACTCCAGTAAAATAAATAAAGTGAACACTTTGCCTCCTAGTACCTTTGCTGCCGTTTGCATTTCACCACTCAGCTTATAGAGATGAAACCTATTACTTGGCAGGCACCGCTTGCACAAATGAAAGATATATTTTTCTTCCAGATGGGACAGATCAGCAAGATTCATAAAATATTAATGATGAAAGCTTTGGGAATTATATATATCCCTGACCATAGGTTTCTCTTGACAGTGAAGAATTGTCAGTTTAACCCATTTTTTTTTCTGTAAGATTCCCATCAAGAACTATATAAAGGGAAAATAATACATGATTTAAGATTCAGGTGAGCATAGATTTGAGGGAAAGATTATCTTTCTGTCTTTCATTTTCTTTCATGTTTTGTGTTCCCAATCTGCAATACATTTTGCTGAGTGATGTAGTGTGGTCAATTTGATTCTTGAAGCTGTTCATGTGCTCATGAAGGAAACTGCTTTTATGAGAATAATACAGGAAGTATGCATTTCTTATTATTTAATAGAACATACAATTTAGCAATACCTGACATTTATATGATTGAAATAATTTGTTTATCTCAAAATTAGAAATTTATTGAATGTGTATTCAAAATATATATTAATGTAGAATTTCACTTTCACTTGTTAGGTTTTGTTATCTTGAAAACTTTTCTGTAACCATTACAAATCAACAATAATTTTTAGATTACTATCTCTGTAGAAGGCTTGGTCACTTACCTTTCTTTTTTTTAATGAAAAAATTTGGGGCCCTCTTTTTGAGGCAGCAAATCAATTACCATTAATCTGAAATTTTTTAAACATGTATTTTCATTTTACACAGAAACAAAGTTTACATTTATAAAATCTAAAAATGATAAAAATGTATAATTATCTTATTATGGCAACCTGATTCATTGTATTATATTACATATATTTAGGAACATATATTTAAGTATCTATGAGATATTTGAATATTAGAAATTTCTTGAAAATAATAAAATACTTCTATTAGCCAATTTATAGAAAATTCTACATGAAACATATCTCCAATTGTTTTAAAAACTCTTTGAAATATTTTATGCTAGCACAATTATTTGCAACTTGACTCAAAATATTTTTCATCATGCTATAGAGCAATAGTACAAAAAACTAACCATTTTAACAATAATGCTTCAGAAAGGAGACAGTCACACAAAAATGGATCCAAAATCAACTAAATTATATCTATTATAATTCTATCTAATACTAATTAGATATATAGTACTAATACTATATATCTAGTACAATTCTATTATTCACATTGAAGATACCACCTAATTTGTTAAATATTAATAATTAGAAAACTAAAATATTCATTTTCATTCATACTCTTTTTCTACCTAAATAGAACACATAATTATTTTGATTTGATAACAAAATATTTACAAAAATAATATATAATTTAATTTAACCAGATGAAATTATCTTTGCTTAATTACTTTTTATTTAATTGAATATCTGGCTTAATATATATATCTCTTCTCAGGTACATGATATTTTTCATCAGTGTCTATGAGAAATTATCAGCCAAATATAAACTTCATAAATCACTAATGGGATTCTAAAGTCCTGTGCCTACAGTGTGTTAAAGTTTCTAGTTGATGATAGCCATACAAAGATGAATAAGCAATTCCATTTTGTTCATCAGTCTTTCACAAAATTCATGAACTAGTTGTAAAAAATCAGATCCTGTTAAAATGTATCCTGAATTATATTTAAAGGTACATCACTAGTAAGTACAGTCAAAAGACCAATTACAAGAGTTCTGGTCGTGAACATTGTTATAATATTTTCAAAACCAATGCTGTTTTTCCTGGTTGCCTGATCATCTGGTGATCACCTCTAATGTTTAGATTCTCTTCATCGATGTTTCAAATGTATAATATTGAAAACATAAACTCCATAAACCAAACACCTTGCTGTGACCAAATACACAATGCTTGCATGGGATTCAACCGATTGTTGCTACAGCCTTCTGAATAACAAATTTCTTGGGATCTATAGTTGGGTCTCTTTAAGTTCTGCTTTTCTTCTGCTCCATGCCAGTGAATGAAATCTGGTTTTAGGTCCTAGCCTCTGTGTTCTGTGATATGACTAACTGGCTGTGAAGATAACTTCATGTTAAAAAATGAGTTTATGTGACATGAGAATCCCAAAATACCTACTACTGTTTCAAAATGTCAGTCTCCAATTGCAACTATTCTTGCTGTCTGTGGAAGCTACGGAAGAAGACAAAGAGGAAAAATGTGGAAATTCCAATGGAGGTGTTGTTGACCACAGAAGCTGACCACGGCACATTTAAGTAGAGAGAGAAATGCTGATGGAGATATCAGGAGAGCTGGAGGAATCTGTGCCTCAAGAGTATATAAATGTTCACAGTTGACTCTTGTCTGAAAGAATAATGTTTACATAACACCAAACTTTGAAAAACAACATAATTGGTTCTACTTAGAGTTACTTAAATAGCCCAAAGTAGCACTGAGTTTTTAAAAATATAAATATGTGTTTATGTATAGTGGGAAAAGATAATACAAAATAAGAATATATTTATTTTCTCAAACTACCTTTGCTTAAAGAAAATACACATAATTTTAAAGGCATGTTATCTTTAGAGAATTTTATTCGCTTATTTATTGTTTTATACCTTCACAGTTTTCTTCTGAATACCCTTGTTAACACAGTCTGGCAGACATTCAATAGCAAACTGTGTTCCAGGCAATGAATTTATACTGTTGTAACAGGAACAATCTCTTGAATGTTGTAACCTTTTATATGTGATGGAAAAATCAATAACATGGATAAATGTGTAACAGACTAGCCTGTGCACCTTTTTGGTGAAGTGAAGTTCAGTGATACGGACTGAAGTACTTTCTTAAGGAAAATAACTTTATGCTTAAGTGGAATATTATAAAATATATTTATTTACTAACAGACGTCAATAGTAATATTAAAAGAGACTTATATGTGTGTATCTCTATATTATGTTATATATAATTCAAATATTTAATTTGATACTTTAAATGAAAAATTTAACTTAATACAAAGGTATGTCTATTCTGTGACATGCATACACAGATAAATTATGTTAAAATATTTGGTCTATATTTTTCTGTCAATTTAGAAAGATTTTATAAATATGATCCTAATGCAGTTAGATGGAAAATGGCAAGTTATTACAGAGAATACTTTTTATTTTACTTTTATCAGCAAGAAACCAGTGGGTTGTATTAGTAATATTAGACTTTCTTTTTTCCAGGGTATCAACGGTTTCTGTACAGCACAGATTATGACAGCGTCTTTCTTAAGGTGAGATTCTATGTCATTCATGGTAGTATTCTAAGGTACTACACTTTTTAAATGTATTATCAAAAATATTTAATAAGTAAAATTGTCCTGGAGTAGCTACACATGCCTAAATTGAAAATATTTTCTCATCAGTTTTATGTTATTTCTTCAATAGTGTTGTTTTCATGATAAACTCTTAACAACATTTCTTGAACATTTCTGAGTACAAGCCATGTAACGTGATACTTTGATTAAAACTTGGAAATGTGTTAACCATATAAGAAAATCAAGTTAGAGAACAACAGCAAAACATTCTAATACAACTAATACAATTAAGGCATCTCTCAGAGAGTGCACACACTTGTGCAGGTACACACACACACACACACAGGCGCACACACAGAGAGGATGGTAATTAATATTGGTAACTTTCTCCTAAAATACAAGAACATTAGAATCTTACAATTCTCACAAGCCCTCCAGATTGTTGTGTTAATGAGTAGTTTTGCTCTATCTTCTTTATTATTCCAAGAGTTAGCAATTTTTATTATTGTATTATAAGTTAATTATATGAGATTTACTCACACATTTACTACTTTTTCCCACCATTTCTTATCAGACTTTACACCTTGTCTATCTGCTAAAAGTATATACTGTATCATTTCCTTTAGTAAAGAATTGTCAAGTTTTCTTTGTCTGAAAGTATTTTTATTTTACTCTTACTCTTGAAAAATAATTTCCCCCATTGTGAATCTAGATTGTCAGTAATTTTGCTTGCACCACTGAATAGTTTATTATATTGCTTCCTGGATTCCATTTATTAATGAAAACTCAATTGTTTTCATTGTAACAACTCAGACAGTTGTTACACCTGTCTGGGTAATTTGCATTTCTTCTTGCTGCTTTTAAAGTCTTCTCTTAATCTTTAGTGATCTAAAACTGGTTGTAATATGACTGGATATATTATGTATCCCACTCTAGATTTGTTAGCCTTCTTGAAACTGTCAATAGATGTTTCCAGCAATTCTGGAACTCCTCAGTCAGCATCTCCTTTAATGTAATATCTTCCATTTATTTATTTTCCATATCTCTTCCTTTTTTCACATCATTTCATTATTTATTACTTTGAATCTATATCCAGTTCACTGATTTTATCTGCATAGCTGATATATTTTCATTTAATCTTTTTTAATATTCTAATTTTTATTCATATTTTTTCAAATATGACTTTAGGTTCATGATGTACATGTGCAGGTCTGTTACATGGGTGAACTGTGTTTCACTGTCGTTTGGTATATGAATGATCACATTCACTCAGGTAGCAAGCATAGTACCCGATTTAGTAGTTTTTCAACCCTCACTCCCTCCCTCCCACACTCTCTGCTCTAGTAGTCCCTGGTGTCTGTTGCTGATATCTTTAGGTCCATGTGTACTCAGTGTTTAGCCCCCACTTATAACTGAAAACACGGAGTATTTGGTTTTCTGTTCCTTTGTTAATTCACTTAGGATAATGGCCTCCAGCAGCATCCATGTTGCTGCAAAGGACGCGATTTTGTTCTTCTTTATGGTGACAGAGTATTCCATTTGTGTTAAGAAATTCTGTTTGAGTCTTTTAAAAATTTAGTCATCTTTTTTTTTCTTGTTCTTATGTTCAATCCAAGTTTCTATTTTATTTGTGATTCTATTTACACTCTGTGTTGTTCATGATCAATTTCATTCATGGACTATTATTTTCCGTGTGTGTTTTTGCTGTTGTTTTAACTATGATTGCACACACATAAAATGTTATTTATGAAAATTCTTTGAGGCGAGACTTGAAGTTCTACTCTTAAATTTTTTGCTCCTGCCAATCACTAAGGGGCAATATCAACCCAAGACCAATTTTATACTAACTGCTTTGCTTTTGGTTTTTGAGCAAACAAATAGCATGAATTCATTCAGATCTCAGATCTTTAATAAGGATAAGTTCTTAGTTTTGCTTTTATTTTCTCCAGGCAGCACTCAGGAATGAATATTTCTTTTTAGACCCTTTTTCGCCATGAGGTTTGTTTCTTATTTTATGAGGGAGAGCATTTGCTATTATACTTTCCACTATGGGTGGGCCACAAGGTTTATCTCCTGCATTCTGTTCATCATGAAGCAGTCAAAATGTAATCTCAAACATTCTAAGGTTTGGTAGGAATTTTCACACAGGAAGCTGGCTTTGGTGATTACTTCACCTCTCAGGGTTTCTGTTTTTATTATTATCATAGTATTTGTAGAATTTTTTCTTTCATGCAAAATGAAAGATTCTTATAATGTACATACACATGTGTGTGTATGTAATTTTATTTTAATTGTTTTTCATCAGTAACTTTACTCTGGTTAGATAGATCCAATATGCAGTCTTGAAGCAGAAAAGTAAATGTTTTTGATTTCTAAAGATGCTAATACTTGATTCTTTACATTTTGCGGACAGTCACGAAGAAAAAATTATAGTGATTTATCTTTATAAACAACTGCTATGCCTAGAATAAAGAAATGTTGCAGAAAAAAAGTGCAGCAGTTCTTAAACATTTTGCTTTCAGAATATCAGTTTCTTGAGAATCATTAAGGACTCCAAAGGGCTTTGTTTTGGCGATTTTCATCTATTAATATTTGCTGTATTGTAAACTAAAATATAAATTTTAAAATATTTATTTCCTCTACCACTAAGAATAAACCGATTACCTGTAACAGAGATAGTATATTTTTATGAAAAATAACTGCATTTTTTAAACAAAACAAAAATTAATGAGAAGTTTAGCAGTGCTTTGTATTTTCGCTAATTTCTTTCGTGTATGATTCAATAGAAAACTCAATAGAAGACTGCTGGAGTGTCATACCTGCTACTGTATCCACTCTATTTTGATATCAAACATCATGTAGCCTTTGAAAACCTTCACTGTGTATTGTGACAGAATGAGAATTAAGACAAATAATATCTTAGTATCATTGTGGAAATAAGTTTGATCTTGCAGTTGTTCTCGAAAGTTGCTTGGGATCCCCAGGAGACCCCAATTCACACTTTGAAAACTACTGACTTAATAGCTTACAACAGTTTGCCCCATGAGTCTATAGGTTGCGTGGGTAATTCCACTGAACCTGGTAATTCAATCTGGGCTGGACTTGACTCATCTTACACAGCTTACTAATGTGTTTCTAGTCAGCTATTGGGTTGTCTAAAGGCTGGCTGCTCTAGAATGATCTTGGCTAAAATGATTAGGACCTCACTTCATGTAAACTCTGTACCTCTACCAAAAATGCCTTGGTCTGTTCCCATGGCAGTCAGGGAAGGGTTTCACAAGGGAGAGTTGAAGTATAAAATGACTCTTGAGTCTTAGGCTTAAAATTGTAGGCTGTCAGTTCTACTGCATTCTTTTGGTGCAAACATATTAAAAAGTCAGCTTGAACTCATGAGTGGGGAACAGATTTCACTTCTTGATGGGAGAGGTTACAAAGTCATACCAGAAATGGGGTACATACACAACATGAACCATACAAGACATTGTGTCAGTCAGTCTTCCACAACATCTTATGTTCTCAACATGGAAACAAGGTAAAGTTTTCTTTCCTCATCTTCAAATGATTTAACTCCATTGTGAATACTACAGAAATCTGTAGGGACATGTTAAGAAGTAATACTGCTGTCACCTAAAATTCATTAGTTTTGGCTCTACACTGCAAGTGTTCAGGTAAAACCATAACCTTGGGTATAACCAGACCTTGAGAGACAGGATCACACTAATAAAATACACGATAAATTGATACTGATGACAATATTAACATTACTAATTTTTAATTCACAATAAAAAAGGTAAATATTACTTGAGATGGAATTTTGTGTGGAAATCAGCAAAATCTCTCACATAGTCAAGTAACACCAAGCATGTTATGAATATGCTGTCATTAATTCACTTTTACGGAGACAAGAAATAAACAAAATACATATTTGAGCACATTTCCTCCTTACACATAGACAAATATAGAAATCAGATTGTTGTTCTCTGATTATCAAAATAGACAGTAGGAGATCAGATAAGTAAAAATTTAATAACATCAAGCTAAGAAAGCTGTATTTAGTGATAAAAATTTGGGGGTTTTGTTTTTGTGTTTTCTTTTTCTAACAGAATGGAAAATGCTTAAAGTATTTCTCTCCACCTCAAAGATAATCACACCATTAAGAGGAGAAATATCAAAATTGTATAGCTTGGCTCCCTTTCCTCTGGATCAGATGTTACATGTTCCTCAAATGTCTAGAGTCATGCAAGTAATGCATATGAGTGACATGGTTCAGCAGTAAAATGTGAAGTACTTGTGGAGAGAGAGGAGTGTAGGCAACTAGGATAAGCCTTCCCAATATAAATAGTATTAGCTTTTACTTAGGTCCAGCCAATCGCTGCAATGTAGGAATGAAGATCCATTATTACTCTATATTTTTATTTTAAAAACAAAAGAAGGTTGTCTCAGTAAGATGCCTGACCAGACACACCCAGGAGGAACATCTGCCACCAAGTGACTGAGACATAGGGAAAACTGGTGCACTATGAGCAGATCTTCAGAGGGAAGGCATTGAGGGTGGACAGAAGGAGGACACAGACCCTGGGCCAAAGGAGGAGGAGGCTGGGAACCCTGAACGGGACTACCATGCACCACAACTTATTCCTGGCCCCCAACAACTCTTGGGGAAGGGGTGGATTGAACAGGTGAGGAGCAACCTGCCCTCACCATGAACCTCTGGAATCCTGGAAACCTGAGATACCACAACACCCATGGACACTTGAGCTAGCAGGGAAAGCTGTGTAGAGAGTTGATAGGAGCAGGACTCTATCCTGTGCTGAACTCACGGGGTATGGTGTGGGAACGTCTGCAGTAAAACATAGCTAGGTCTGCTCCAGGGCCCCAACCTGGCAGAGCCCACTTGCAGTGCAAGTGATGGATAGACAACCAAGGTGCTTCCCAGGGGCCCACATCATAGCTCCTTCAACAGCTGACTGTGCCTGACCATCAGAGAGCTCCAGCAGATCGGCTGCTGCTAACACATACCAGCTCACCTGCCCCTTCCCCTGACCACAGCCTCCCCCATGCTGCTTTGCCAGCACTCACTTGCCCACTGTCACTCACCCCACTGTCCTTCCAGCGTGCACACATGCGAGTGGACCTTGCCTCCCCTCCTCTGCCAGAATATGTGTGTGCATGCATCCCCTCACACTACTGCCCACAGAGCAAACATGTGCACAGAAGCTGGCAGCCGCAAACCCACCAGCATCCCAGCCCGACCAATGAACATGTAACCCACCATGCTGCCACTGCTGCTGGCATGTGCAAACAAACATGAATTCTTCTATCACCACTCAGACAAAGCACTTTGGCTGGCACCATCCATGGGATTGTTATGGACTGCAGTCTGGAAACAGCTCAGCCCCTCCAGAACCACAGATTCCTAACCTTGAGGGTCCTGAGAACAAAGCTGGGAGCCTGGGATCATTCCCTCAAAGTTAGAGCACACAGCTCAAGAATGCTGAACTGAGCCTTAGACCCCTAAAATCTTCCAGAAAGAAATCCAGTCAACTGAAACCACCTTAGACCACAATCAAACCCTTAAGGGCAACAAAGAAGATAAAAGCAACAAAACCCATTCAAAGGATAGCAACTTCTAAGATTGAAGAAACATCAGCCTGCACAGATGAGAAAAAACCAGAGAAGAACTCTGGTAACTCAAAAAACTAAAGTGTCCTCTCACCTCAAAATGACCCACGCTGGTTCCCCAGCAATGGTTCTTAACAAGGCTGAAATGGCTGAAATGACAGAAGTAGAATTCAGATCATGGACAGGAAAGAAGATTCAGGAGAAAGTCAAAACCCAATTCAAGTATTCTAAGTGATACAAAAATGTAAAGAGACCAAATTTATTGACTCATTGACATCCCTGAAAGAGAGGGGGAGAAAGCAAACAACTTGAAAACCATATTGGAGGATGTGATGGTTAATATCGAGTGTCAACTTGATTTGATTGAAGGATGTAAAGTATTGTTCCTGTGTGTGTCTGTGAGGGTGATGCCAAAGGAGATTAATATTTGAGTCAGTGGACAAGGAAAGGCAGACCCATTCTCAATCTGGGTGGGCACAGTCTAATCAGCTGCCAGTGTGGCTAGAATAAAAGCAGGTAGAAGAATGTGGAAGGACTAGACTGGCTGAGTCTTCTGACCTCCTTTTACCTCTGCTGGATGCTTCCTGACCTTGAACATTGGACTCCAAGTTCTTCAGCTTTTAGACTCTTGGGCCTACACCAGTGGTTTGCCAGGGGCTATCAGGCCTTCTGTCACAGACTGAAGGCTGCACTGTTAGTTTTCCTACTTTTGAGGTTTTGGACTTGGACTGACTTGCTCCTCAGCTTGCAGACGACCTATTGTGGGACTTCACCTTGTGACTGTGTTAAGTCAAAACTCCTTAATAAACTCCCTTTTATATATACATCTATCATATTAGTTCTGTCTCTCTAGGAACCCTAATACAGATGGTATCACCCATGAAAATTTCCCCAACTTCACTAGAGAGGACACAATATTCAAATTCAGAAAATGCAGAGAACCCTTGTGAGATACTACATAAGATGACCATCCCCAAGACTCATAGTCATCAGATTCTCTAAGATCGAAATGAAAGAAGAAAGGTTAAATGCAGCTGGAGAGAAGGTCACTTGCAATGTGAACACCATCAGGCTACCAGCAGACTTTTTGACAGAAACCCTATAAGCCAGAAAATATTGGGGGCCTATATTCAGCATTCTTTTTTTTTTTTTTTTTTTTTGAGACAGAGTCTTGCTCTGTTGCCCAGGCTGGAGTGCAGTGGCATGATCTTGGCTCACTGCAAGCTCTGCCTTCTGGATTCACACCATTCTCCTGCCTCAGCCTCCCGAGTAGCTGGGACTACAGGTGCCTGCCACCACGCCCAGCTAATTTTTTGTATTTTTTTTAGTAGAGATGGGGTTTCACCGTGTTAGCCAGGATGGTCTCAATCTCCTGACCCTGTGATCTGCCCACCTCGAACTCCCATTCAGCATTCTTAATGAAATTCCAACAGAGAATTTTGTATCTAGCCAAACTAATCTTCATAAGCAAAGGACATGTAAGATTCTTTTCAGACAAGCAAATGCTATGGGAATTCCTTGCATCAGACCTGTTGTACAAGAGGTCCTGAAGGTAGTGCCAAATATGGATAGGAAAGACTGCAACCAGATACAACAAAAACGCATTTAACTACAGAAACCATTGACACTATAAAGCAACTACACAAACAAGTTTGTATAAAAACGAGCTAACAACACAATGACAGGATCAAATCCACACATATCAGTATTAACCTTGAATGTAACCAGGCTAAAGGCCTGAATTAAAAGGCACAAAGTGGCAGGTTGGATAAAGAAGCAAGACCCAATGATATGCTGTCTTCAAGAAACTCATCTCTCATACAGTGTCATCCATAGGATTAAAGTTAATGGATGGAGAAAAATCTGCCAAGGAAATGGAAAACAAAAAAGCAGGCATTGCTATTTTAATTCCAGACAAAACAGACTTTAAACCAACAAAGTTCAAAAAAGACAAAGAAGCGTATTACATAATGGTAGAGGAATCAATTCAACAGAAGACCTAATTATCCTGAATATATATACACCCAACACAGGCACACTCAGATTCATAAAGCAAGTGCTTTGAGACCTATGAAGAGAGTGAGATAGCTACACAATAACAGGAGGAGGGTTCAACGCCCCACAGAGCACATTAGGGAGATCATCGAAGCAGAAAACTAACGAAGATATTCAGGACCTGAACTCAACCAAATGGACCTAATAGACACCTACAGAACTCTCCACCCAAAAACAACAGAATATACATTCTTTTCACGTGCACACGGGTATACTCTGAAATTGACTGCATAATTGTCCATAAAACAATTATCAGGAAAATCTAAAAAAGCAAAATCACACTAACCACAGAATCAGACCACAGCACTATAAGAATTTAAGTCAATACTAAGAAGATAACTCAAAACCATGTAATTACATGGAAATTAAACAACCTAATCCTGAATGACTTGTGGGTAAACGATGAGATTAAGGCAGAAATCAATAAATTCTTTGAAACTTATGAGAACAAAGATACAACATACCAGAATCTCTGGGACAAAGCAAAAGTAATGTTAAGAGGGAAACTTATGGTGCTAAACAGCCACATCAAAAGTTAGAAAGATTTAAAATTAATAACATAACATCAGACCTAGGGGAACTGCAGAAACAACAGCAAAGTATCTCAACTTCAAAGCTAGCAGAAGACAAAAAATAACCAAAATCAGAACTGAAGGAACTGGGGACACACAAACCATAAAAAAAAATCAACAAAATTAGGAATTTGTTTTTTGAGAGAATAAATAAGATGGACAAACAAGTAGCTACACTAATAAAAAAGAAAGACTATCCAAATAAACACAATCAGAAATGGTAAATGGGACATTACCACTGAGCTAACAGGAAAAAAAAAAATGGGCAAGATGGCTGAATAAGAAAAGCTCCGGTCTGCAGCAACCAGCCAGATTAATGCAGAAGGTGGGTGATGTCAGCATTTCCAACTAAGGTACCCGATTCATCTCATTGAGACTGGTTGGACAGTGGATGCAGCCCAAGGAGGGTGAGTTGAAGCAGGGTGGGGCGTCGCCTCACCTGGGAAGCACAAGGGCTCGGGGAACTCCCTCTCCTAGCCAAGGGAAGCCATTAGGACTGTACCATGCACTCCGGCCCAGATACTGTGCTTTCCCATGGTTTTCGCAACACACAGACCAGGAGATTCACTCCAGTGCCCACACCACCAGGATCCTCGGATTACAGCACAAAACTCAGCAGCAGTTTGGGCGGACACTGAGCTAGCTGCAGGAGTTTTTTTTTTGTTTGTTTGTTTGTTTGTTTTTTCTCCATACCCCAGTGGTGCCCAGAATGCTAGTGAGACAGAATCATTCACTGCCCTGGAAAGGGGGCTGAAGCCAGGGAGCCAAGTGGTCTGGCTTGGGACTGAACTCTACCTGGGACACTCAAGCTTGGTGAGGAGAGGGGCTTCCGCCATTGCTGAGGCTTAAGTAGGCAGTTTTACACTCACAGTGCAAACAGAGCCATGGGGAAGTTCGAACTGGGCAGAGCCCACCACAGCTCAGCAAGGCCACTGCAGCCAGACTGCCTCTCCAGATTCCCTCCTCTCTGGGCAGGGCATCTCTGAAAAAAAGGCAGCAGCCCCAGTCAGGGACTTACAGATAAAAGCCCCACCTCCCTGGGACAGAGCACCTGGGAGAAGAGGTGATTGGGTGCACAGCTTCAGCAGACTTAAACTTCCCTGCCTGGCAGCTCTGAAGAGAGCAGCAGATCTCCCAGCACAGTGTTTGAGCTCTGATAAGGGATACACTGCCACCTCAAGTGGGTCCCTGACCCCTGTGAATCCTGACTGGGAGACTCTTCCCAGTAGGGGCTGACAGACACCTCATACAGGAGAGCTCTGTAATGGGCTGGCATCTGGCAGGTGCCCCTCTGGGACAAAGCTTCTAGAGGAAGGAATAGGCAGCAATCTTGGTTGTTCTGCAGCATCTGCCGGTGGTACCCAGGCAAACAGGGTCTGCAGTGGACTTCCAGCAAACTCCAGCAGATCTGCAGCAGAAGGATGTGACTGTGAGAAGGAAAACTAACAAACAGAAAGGAATAGTATCAACATCAACAAAAAGGACATCCACTCAGAGAACCCAAATTAAAGTCACTGACTTCAAAGATCAAAGGTAGATAAATCCACAAAGAAAGCGAAAAACCAATGCAAAAAGGCTGACAATTACAAAAACCAGAACCCCTCTTTTCCTTCAAAGGATCACAACTCCCTGCTAGCAAGGGAACAAAATTGGATGGAGAATGAGTTTGACAAATTAACAGAAGTAGGCTTCAGAAGGTGAGTAACAACAAACTCCTCTGAGCTAAAGGAGCGTGTTCTAACCAACTGCAAGGAAGCTAAGAGCCTTGAAAAAAGGTTAGATGAATTGTTAACTAGAATAACCAGTTTAGGGAAAAACATAAAAGACCTGATGGAGCTGAAAAAACACAGCACGAGAACTTCATGAAGCATACAAAAGTATCAATAGCCGAATCCATCAAGTGGAAGAAAGGATATCAGATATTGAAGGTCAACTCAAAGAAATAAAGTGAGAAGACAAGATTAGAGAAAAAAGAGTAAAAAGAAACAAACAAAGCCTCCAAGAAATATGGGACTATGTGAAAAGACCAAATCTACATTTGATAGGTGTACCTGAAAGTGATGAGGAGAATGGAACCCAGTTGGAAAACACTCTTCAGGATATTATCCAGGAGAACTTCCCCAACCTAGCAAGGCAGGCCAAAATTCAAATTCAGGAAACAGAGAGAACATCACAAAGATACTCCTCGAAAAGAGCAACCCCAAGACACATAATCATCAGATTCACCAAGGTTGAAATGAAGGAAAAAAATATTAAGGGCAGCCAGAGAGAAAGGTTGGGTTACCCACAAAGGGAAGCCCATCAGACTAACAGTGAAACCCTACAAGACAGAAGAGAGTGGGGCCAATATTCAACATTCTTAAAGAAAAGAATGTTCAACACAGAATTTTATATCCTCCCAAACTAAGCTTCATAAGCGAAGGAGAAAAAAAACCTTTTGCAGACAAGCAAATCCTGAGAGATTTTCTCACCACCAGGCCTGCCTTACAAGAGCTCCTGAAGGAAGCATTAAATATGGAAAGGATCAACTGGTACCAGCCACTGCAAAAACATGCCAAATTTTAAAGACCATCAACACTATGAAGAAACTGTATCAACTAACGGGCAAAATACCCAGCTAGCATTATAAAGGCAGGATCAAACTCACATAACAATATTAACCTTAAATGTAAATGGGCTAAATGCCACAATTAAAAGATAAAGCCTTGCAAATTGGATAGAGTCAAGACCCATCGGTGTGCTGTATTCAGGAGACCTATCTCACATGCAAAGACACATATAAGCTCAAAATAAAGGGATGGAGGAATATTTACCAAGCAAATGGAAAGCAAAAAAATAAATAAATAAATAAATAAATAAAGCAAGGGTTGAAACAATAAAGATCAAAAGAGACAAAGAAGGGCATTACATAATGGTAAAGGGATCAATGCAACAGGAAGAGCTAACTATCCTAAATATATATGCACCCAATACAGGAGCACACAGATTCATGAAACAAGTTCTTAGAGACCTACAAAGAGACTTAGTGTTGGGAAAAAGCTAAATGTTGGGAAAAAAGCTGAGACAGGGCTTGCATGTCTGACATAATGTCCAGGGCTCAGGGCATAAACCGCTCGTGGCATCTGGAATGAGTCTAGACTTGCTGGCTCCTTGCTTCTAGCTTAAACTAGAAGAACATGCTCCCCATTATCTCAACTAGCAGAATATGTCCCATATGCTTCAAAGGAAATGCTAAACCATCACACCTGTAGATCATGCACTTGCCCTTTCGACCCCCACATTCTCACCACCTATTTCTTTGTTTGATCACCAATAAAAAGTGTGGGCTTCCAGAGCTCAGGGCCTTCACAGCCTCCATAGTAGCATTGGCCCCCTGGACCCACATTCTCTCTCAAACTGTCATTTCCCATTCCTTTGACTCCACTGGACTTCGTCACCCCCATGACCTGGTGTTGGGTCTGATCACCCCAACGCTTAGACTCCCACACAATAATAGTGGGAGACTTTAACACGCCACTGACAATATTAGACAGATCAACAATACAGAAAATTCACAAGGATATCCAGGGCTTGAAATCCTCTCTGGACCAAGCATATATAATATACATCGACAGAACTCTCCACCCCAAATCAACAGAACATACATTCTTCTCAGCACCACATCCCACATATTCTAAAATTGACCAAATAATTGGAAGTAAAACACTCCTCAGCAAATGCAAAAGAATGGAAATAATAACAAACACTCTCTCAGACCACAGCGCAATCAAATAAGAACTCAGGATTAAGAAACTCACTCAAAACTGCACAACTACATGGAAACTAAACAACCTGCTCCTGAATGACTACTGCGTAAATAATGAAATGAAGGCAGAAATAAAGATGTTCTTTGAAATCAGTGAGAACAAAGACACAACATACCAGAATCTCTGGGACACATTTAAAGCAGTGTGTAGAGGGAAATTTATAGCAGTAAATGCCCACAAGAGAAAGCAGGAAATATCTAAAATTGACACCCTAACATCACATTTAAAAGAACTAGAGAAGCAGGAGCAAACAAATTCAAAAGCTAGCAGAAGGCAAAAAGTAACTAAGATTAGAGCAGAACTGAAGGAGATAGAAACACGAAAAACTCTTCAAAAAATCAATGAATCCAGGAGCTGGATTTTTGAAAAGATCAACGAAATCGATAGACTGCTAGCCAGACTAATAAAGAAGAAAAGAGAGAAGAATCAAATAGATGCAATAAAAAATGATCGAGGGGATATCACCACTGATCTCACAGAAATACAAATTACCATTAGAAAATACTATAAACACTTCTACGCAAATAAACTAGAAAATCTAGAAGAAATGGATAAGTTCCTGGACACATACACCCTCCCAATACTAAACCAGGAAGAAGTTGAATCCTTGAATAGACCAATAACAAGTTCTGAAATTGAGGCAGTAATAGCCTACCAACCAAAAAAAGTCCAGGACCAGACAGATTCACAGGCAAATTCTACCAGAGGTACAAAGAGGAGCTGGTATCATTCCTTCTGAAACTATTCCAAACAATAGAAAAAGGGGGACACCTCCCTAACTCATTTTATGAGGCCAGGGTCATCCTAATTCCAAAACCTGGCAGAGACACAACAAATAAAGACAATTCCAGGCCAATATCCCTGATGAACATTGATGCAAAAATCAATAAAATACTGGAAACCGAATCCAGCAGCACATCAAAAAGCTTATCCACCACAGTCAAGTTGGCTTCGTGCTGGGGTTGCAAGGCTGTTTCAAAATACTCAAATCAATAAATGTAATCCATCACATAAACAGAACCAATAACAAAAACCACAAGATTATCTCAATAGATGAGGAAAAGCCTTCATCAAAACTCAACAGTCCTTCATGCTGAAAACTCCCAATAAACTAGGTATTGATGGAATGTATCTCAAAATAATAAGATTCAGCTAATATCATACTGAATGGGCAAAAACTGGAAGCATTCCTTTTGAAAACCAGCACAAGACACGGACGCCCTCTCTCACCACTCCTATTCAACATAATATTGGAAGTTCTGGCCAGGGCAATCAAGAAAGAGAAATAAATAAAGGCTATTCAATTAAGAAAAGAGGAAGTCAAAGTGTCTCTGTTTGCAGATGACATGATTGTATATTTAGAAAACCCCATCGTCTCAGCCCATGGGGCTGGAGAGGAAGAATCAATTTCGTGAAAATGGCCACACTGCTTAAAGTAATTTATAGATTCGATGCTATCCCCAGCAAGCGACCATTGACTTTCATCACAGAATTGGAAAAAACTACTTCAAATTTCATATGGAACCAAAAAAGAGTCTGCATATCCAAGACAATTTTAAACCAAAAGAACAAAGCTGGAGGCATCACACTACCTGACTTCAAACTATACTACAAGGCTACAGTAATAAAAACAGCATGGTACTGGTACCAAAAAGATATATAGACCAATGGAAGAGAACAGAGGCCTTAGAAATAACACCACACATCTACAACCATCTTATCTTTAACAAACCTGACAAAAACAAGCAATGGGGAAAGGATTCCCTATTTAATAAATGGTGTTGGGAAAACTGGCTAGCCATATGCACAAAGCTGAAATGGGGTTCCCTCCTTACACCTTATATAAAAATTAACCCAAGATGGACTAAAGATTTAAATATAAGACTTAAAACAATAAAAACCCTAGAAGACAACCTAGGCAATACCATTCAGGACTTTGGCATGGACAAAAACTTCATGACTAAAACACCAAAAGAAATGGCCACAAAAGCCAAAATTGACAAATAGGATCTAATGAAACTGAAGAGCTTCTGCACAGCAAAAGAAACTATCACCATAGTGAACAAGCAACCTAAAGAATGGGAGAAAATGTTTGCAATCTATTCATCTGACAAAGGGCTAATATCCAGAATCTAGAAATAACTTCAACAAATTTACAAGAAAAAAACAACCCCATCAAAAAGTGCGTGAAGGATATGAACAGACACTTCTCAAAAGAAGACATTTATGCAGCCAACAAACACATGAAAAAAAGTTCATCATCAGTGGTCATTAGAGAAATGCAAAGCAAAACCACAATGAGATACCAAGATGCTGTTTCATGCTAGTAAGAATGGTGATCATTAAAAAGTTAGGAAACAACAGATGCTGGAGAGGTTGTGGAAAAATAGAAATGCTTTTACACTGCTGGTAGGAGTGTAAATTAGTTCAACCATTGTGGAAGAGACGGTGGCAATTTATCTAGAACTAGAAATACTATATGACCCAGCAATCCCATTACTGGGTATGTACCCAAAGGGTTAGAAATCACTGTACTATAAAGACACATGCACACGTATGTTTATTGTGGGACTGTTCGCAATAGCAAAGACTTGGAACCAACTCAAATGCCCATCAGTGATAGACTAGATAAGAAAATGTGTCACATATACACTATGGAATACTATGCAGCCATAAAAAAGGATGAGTTCATGTTCTTTGCAGGTACATGGATGAAGCTGGAAACCATCATTCTCAGCAAACTAACACAAAAACAGAAAACCATACACTGCATGTTCTCACACATAAGTGGGAGTTGAACAATGAGAACACATGGACACAGGGAGGGGAACATCACACACCGGAACCTGTTGGGGTGTCGGGGGCTAGGGTAGGGATAGCATTAGGAGAAATATCTAATGTAGATGACAGGTTGATGGGTTCAGCAAACCCCTATGGCACATGTATACCTATTCAATGAACCTGCACTTTCTGCACATGTACTCCAGAACTTAAAGTATAATAAAAAAAAATTTAAAAAAAACAACAACAAAAAACCCTCAGAGACTACTATGCACATTTCTATGCACACAAGGTAGAAAATCTGGAAAAAAAATTGGTCAATTCTGAGAGATATAACCTCCCAAATTGAACCAGAAAGAAAGTGAATCCCTGGAGACCAATGACTTCCAATATAAGATCAGTAATAAAAAGCCTATAAATCAGAAAAAGCCCATGACTAGATGGATTCACAGCCAAATTCTACCAATGTATAAAGAAGAGTGGGTACTATTCCTTCTGAAACTATTCCAAAAATTTGAAGAGAAGGGACTCCTTCCTAACTCATTCTAGGAGGCTAGCATCATCCTGATACTGAAACCTGGCAGAGACACAATGAAAACAGAAAACTTCATGCCAATATCCTTGGTAAACACAGATGCAAAAATCCACATCAAAATACTAGCAAACTGAATCCAACAGCACGTCTAAAGCTAATCCAGCATTATCAATCAGGATTCGTCCCTGGGATGCAAGGCTGGTTCAACATATGCAAATCAGTAAATGTGATTTGTCACATAAACAGAACTAAAAACAAAAACACATGATCACCTCATCAGATACAGAAAAAAGCATTCAATAAAATTCAGTATTCCTTCATATTAAAAACCTTCAACAAACTACGTATTGAAGGAATATATTAAAAAAATAAGAGCCATCAAAAAATAAAATAAAAGCCCACAGCCAACATCATAATGAAAGGGCAAGAGCTGGAAGCTTTTGGGAACTGGAGCAAGAAAAGGATACCCTCTTTCACCACTCCTATTCAACATGGTACTGGAAGTCTTAGCCAGAGTAATCAGGCAAAAGAAAGAAATAAAGGCATAGTAATTGAAAGAGAGGAAGTCAAACGATCCGTTTTTGCAGAGAATATGATTTTATACCTAGAAAACCCCATAGTCTCTTCCCCAAAACTCTTTGATCTGATAAACAACTTCAGCAAAGTTTCAGGATACAAAACAAATGTACCAAAATTAGTAGCATTTCTATAGAACATCCAAGCTGAGAGCCAAATCACGAATGCAATCCCATTTACAATAGCCACAAAAAGAAAAAAAATTACCTAGAAATACAGCTAACTAGGGAGGTGAAATACTTCCACAGTGAGAGATAAAATACTGCTCTAAGAAATCAAAGACAATATAAACAAATGGAAAAACATTCCATGCTCATTAATAGAAAGAATCAATATTTTAAAATAGCCATACTGCCCAAAGCAATCTAAAGATTCAAGTATTAAACTACAAATGGCATTCTTTACAAAACTAAGGGGGGAAAACTATCTGAAAAGTCATATGAAATAAAAAAGAGCTTGAATAGCTAAGGCCATCCTAAGCAAAAAGAACAAAGATGGAGGCATCACATTACCCAACTTAAAACTATACTTATAGGGATAGAGCAACCAAAGCAGCATGGTTCTGCTACAAAACAGACACATAGACCAAGGAACAGAATAGAGATCACAGAAATAATGCTGCACAGCTAAAACCATCTGACCTTGAAAAAAGTCTACAAAAACAAGCTATGGAGAAAGGACTCCCTATTCAACAAATGGTTCTGGGATAACTAGCTAGCCATATTTCAAAAACTAAATATAGACACTTTCCTTACACCATATACAAAAATCAACTCAAGATGATTTAAAGACTTAAATGTTAAACCTAAAATGATATAAACTATAGAAGATAACCTAGGAAATACCATTCTGGACATAGGACCTGGCAAAGATTTCATGACAAAGATGCTAAAAATAATTGCAACAAAAACAAAAATTGACAAATGGGACCTAATTAAACTGAAAAGCTTCTGCGCAGTGAAAGAAACTATCAACAGAGTTAAACAAACAACCAAAAAATGGTAGAAAATGTTTGCATACTATGCCTCTAGCAAAAGTCTAATATCCAGAATCTATAAGGAATTTAAACAAATTAATAAGCAAAAAACAAACAACCCCATTATGTAGTGGGCAAAGGACACAAACAGACACTTTTCAAAAGAAGACATACACATGGCCAACAAACATATGAAAAAATGCTCAACATTACTAATAATTGGAGAAATGCAAATCAACCTCACAATGAGATACCAACTCACACCAGTCGTAATGGCTATTATTAAAAAGTCAAAAAATGACAGATGCTGGCAAGGTTGCAGAGAAAAGGGAACGCTTGTATACTGTTGGTAGGAATGTAAATTAGTTCAGCCACTGTGGAAAGCAGTGTTGCGATTTCTCAAATATCTCAAAATGGTAATTCTACCGTTCAACCCAGCAATCCTATTATTTGGTATATACTCAAAGGAAAATAAATCATTCTACCATAAAGACACACATATATTCATTGTGGCACTGTTCTCAAAAGGAAAGACATGGAATAAATCTAAATGTCCATCAGTGGTAGAATACATAAAGAAAACGTGGTAGATATATACCACAGGATCTTACACAGCCATAAGGAACAACGAGTTTATGTCCTTTGCAGCAACACAGATGGAGATGGAGGCCATTATCCTAAGTGAACTAACACAAGAGCAGAAAACCAAATACTACCTGTTCTCACTTGTAAGTGGGAGCTAAGCATTTAGCACATATGGACACAGATAAGAGAACAACAGACACTAGGGCCCACTTGAGGTGTAGGGTAAGAGAAAGATGAGGATCAAAAAACTACCTATCAGGTACTATGCGTATTACCTGGGTAATGAAATAATCTCTACACTAAACCCCAGAGACACACAATTTACCTATAAGACAAACTTGCATATGTACCCCTGAACTTAAGATAAAAGTTAACAAGTAAATATATAAATAAATAAAATTGAATAAAGTAAAAACACAATTGCAAAGATTTCAAGAGAAATCCAGAAACTTATCTGAAATTGCTCCATTTTTGCATACTGTGTAGACCACATCAATGCTGCTAGAACGTTGATTTTCCTTCTGGTTGCTATTTTTGTGAACCTTACATCATTTGAACATTGCAGGTGTTGTAATAAAATTCCTATTTTCATGTCTTTTTCCAACTGATATATTGCTTTGTTATTGATGTTAATATATTCATACATATTCATAATCTAGTCTGACTCTTTAAATATTTATGTAATATTTTACTCTCATGCATTAAAGTGTAAGAACAATGTAAGCAAATTTAACTGAAATAAATACCACTATAAAAGGTCAGCAAAACCAGAGAAAAAGAATGCAGCAGAGACGGAAATAATGTTTTATATAAATTTCTATGCAGACCATTTTGGCCATCGTTTCACTTGGTTTATCCCACTGTGACCCTGAAAATTAAATGTGGGATGTGAATCTACTATTCACTCAGTTATTATTAGTTCCTACTTAACCTCTTACCACACTGTGATTCTAGTGCTTAAGATGCATGTATTTCATACATAATTTTGAAACCCAAGTTGACTACATTTTGTACTCAAAAGAAAAAAAAAATTATTTATAATGTGAAGAGAACCACTGACTATGATAGATTCAGTTTGAGACAGAATGTCAATCTTAAGTGTGGCACCAACATGCTACTACTCCCATATTTGATTATATGTGTTTTATGCTTTTGTTGGTGACTAAATGTAATGGTTACATGAAACACTATCACCGTAGACTCTAAGCACAATTTTGCATTCTTTCAGATATACTACATCAAACTTCAAGAAACCTTCAGCTAGTCTTTGTCCTATCAATAACAAATTAAATCGGTCACTTGGATTATTTTGGCATTGAATTTTTCTTCTGCATAAAGTTGTAATTGAACTAATAATCTTTACATTTTTTTCTGGCTTGAATATTCTGTGATTATCAGTTTTAGCCCATTTTGCATAATTTAATAATAAAATGTGCTTTGAACTACTGAGTAAATGATAAACAATTCCTTCTGGATTAGAATATAAGTAATATTCCATTGGGAACAATGCATAAATATATATACTAATCAAATTTCAGTCTTGCCTCTTTAACCTCCTTTTAAAAAGTCCCAATCCAATGTTTTACACCTAATAGATTTCTCAACAAGTGCTTGATACTAGTAAACCTTTTCAGTGTTTTTTATTGTTGGTCTTTGATACAAGTGTACCAGTGAACTTTTTCATTTAATGTGTTTTATCTCATGTAGAACTCTGTACATGTAGTCATACTCACTAACATTAAGCCATAGTATAGGCATCATCTCATATTTAGGCTATAAAGTGAAGATTTCTGGCATATACTGTCGTCTTTTCAATTCCACAATCATACTGATTTCAACTCCAGTGTCATTCTATACACATAAACATCATACAAATTGTTCACATAAATTTTTTTAACCAGTTGGCATGAGATTCCAAATGTACAAACCTAAGTACAAATTTTATTCTGTCACTTAAGAGTTGTATCTACATGGGAAAATTATTTCAATCGCTGAGACTCCTGTGTCTCTCTTGTAAAATGGCACGACCCACACCTATTGCCATCTCTTTTCTTCCTTCATTTATAAGTCTTTGTCATGAAATACGATATTCCCAACACAGGAAAAAAAATGTGTTTGATGTAATTTTTACTTGATTTTTAATGTGCTCTTTTTAATAGGCATTTGCCTAAGTCAATTGCTACTTGTTGTTAAGAAACTTAATGTTTATTATTAAATAACTGTTTCTATACTGTCCCTCCAAATATGGTTATATGTAATAAAATTAATCCCCAGACACTTTCTCCTCTGTAATAATTATACTTTCACAGTTGTTTTTAATGTTCTTGAATTACACACATTCATCAACGAATAAAGAGAAAACTCTGAGACAGGATCTAATTGCAATACATCTATCCTGTAAAGTTCCTCATTAGGTATAAATAAAGTGTCATCACTAATATCATGGGCAACAGTATTAAATTAGAAGAGTAGCTCCCTCCTTGTTGAAGAAAATGAAAATAGAGAAAATAATAAATTAATTTATAATGGTCAAGAAATATTTAAGCAGGTTCTCCTCTCTACTTTTTTGGGGGAACCCAGCCGTCTGACATTTTCTTTAAGGCAGGAAATTGTGACTAAGGAAAGAAGCTGAAACAGAAGTTTGTATTCTCATTCTCATACTGTAAAAAGATTTTACTCTGCTGGTTTTTAGCATGTTAGATCTCTGTCCAACCAGTTTACATAAGTTTGTATGTATTTAAATGTACTGTTTAAAAAGCATAGTAAGGTCAGTATTTTATCAGCAACCTTTCTGTTACAGTTTTTCTCGTGAGAGTAGATCCAGCCTTACACTCAAATTGGCTGCACACTGATGTTTAGTACTCCTTTCTTTCCCATGACTCACTCTAGAGTTTGACTCTGTCTTTTTTGATCTGATATTGACATATAACAAGTTTTCTATGAAAATTAGAAAGATGTAAACTTCTTACACAGAGCCTGGCACACACTAAAAGCTAAATATGATGGTTATGTATATAATATCGGAGATCATCAGGCTTTACTGCTTATAACATTGTCCATTAAATAGCATCAGGCATTTTACTATATTTTGTCTTTAATCATTTCAATCTTTTATAAATGTCAGTCAAAAGACCATCTCGATAATAAATACTGTAAACAATAATTAGAAAATAGAGAAGACAGTGCATACTACTCCAGTTTGATAAAACAATAAAATAGTAAGCACAATAATTACATGTACAGTGAAAATATAGATAATTGGAATATGTAATGAGATATCTTATATCATTTCTTAGTCATAATATGGATTTCCCCCACTTATTTACTTTCTCAGTGCTTTTGTTTTAATAAGGTAATCCTACCCCCAATCTTTATAATCTCTAGGAACCAGGATCAAAACCTAACCTGATTTTTCCACACAACATAGCTGACAGAATAGCACCATAGTGTATTATTACCAGAAACAATTTTCTTGATGTTCTACTAAAGCTTTCTCAAATTTTAATTAAAGAGATGGCTTTGTCTGTGTTCTCAAATGGTAAATTTATCAATTAAAATTTTAATCAAAACTGTTAGGGAACATTTCTGAGGTACACCTGGGCCTAATTTCTTGCCTTCAATGAGCCCAGAGTTTATCTGGGGAAAAAAAAGTTGTGTAAAGAAATAAGAGTAAGAAAATGTTAAAAGTGATGTGATGGACAAACTACAAGTTAGACACCAGACCCCAAAAAAGTGTTGATCACTTCTTACCTATAGGAGAGAAATCAGCAATACTTCATAGTGACAGCATCACTTGCCCTGCCATGATGAGGAGCTCAACGTATGTCAGCAGACAAAGGGCATGGTGTTGGGAATGCTGTCAATTACTAGGGCAAGAGAAGGTAATAGGAGCTTTTAATAATAATGAAAAAGATTTTGAACTTTTTTCCATCAGCAGATGGAATCTTGGAACGTCTCATGCTTGGGAAGGACATGGTCAGATTTGTTGTAAGAAAGACTGTGCAGAGGAGTGTGGCAAAGGGATCCAGAAGATGCAAGGTATTATTTAGAAAAGGTAGTTGATGGAAGATTTAACAGCATGTGTTTGATACTTTCTTGACTAGATACACTTGATTTTCAAAGCCTGGAGAATGTATACAACTTAGGTCAATGGAAAATGTATAAAATACAATATTATGTTGGTGAGAAGCTATTATGATCTATAATATTTTATACTGATGATAAATAATTACTGTATATATAAAATATATTTTTTAGAAAAAATGAAATGATGGATCATCACTGTTATTTCAATGATGAATTTAGCAAAGTGAAGTGAACTTTAGAAATTAGTTAGATCTCTGGAACATTATAGTAAAAGCTATAATGAGGGCCATGGGGCATTGAAAGCTTTTGAACTATTTGATAAACCATGACATATTAAATTATGCTTAACATATTTCAGCATTACATGTATTCACATAAACTCCAAAATGTGACTTTAAAATGGATAATTTCTCATTAACCAAACTATTTTAACTGGACCACAATTCTTAATCAGATAAAATAGTTATAATTTTGTAGTGTATATTGACCTATATTTTATGTTAATGTTTTTCATCATATGAATTTCATGAAAAACCATGTGTATTTTAAAATAAATTTTTTCTATTCTGTTCTCTGGGCCAGAAATATAGTACATCATACTATAACATTTGATCTAAGTAATTAAACATTCAATATTAGAGTAGCCAATAAAACAGAAAATTATAATTTTTAAAATAAAAATGTAACAAAATTACTTTAAAATATAAAAATTTTAAATTATCTTTAAATAATGCTTTATGCTAGGATATTTTAACTTAGTCGCAGCCATTGTCTTTGAGAAAACATGGAATACAGCAAAAGTTTAGTTATCAGAAGAGCCAACAGCCAGGAAAATACCCATGAATGTGCTTCCCAGAGGTCTCCAGGTAGCCCTTTCCTCTTCTATTATGACACTGTATGTTCAGTTTGCTTATGAAGTGAGGTACACTGTGATAGTGAAAAATTCGTTATTTCTTGAAGATTTCCTAATAATGATTCATTGTAGTTATGTGTTGTCACTATTTTTCCTTTTAGAATGTGGACCTACTTATAGTATACTGAGAACTAGTTAATAATGACTTTAGAAATGAAATCCAAATAGATTGCAACATGTGTATTTTCTATGAGGATTACCTTCCACTTAGTAAATGGTACGATACACAAATGCTTCACTGTTGCTACTTTAATTGAAAAGGATCCCTTTTAGTAATCTTCTGGACTCTAGAGAAATTATACACACACAGATTGGAAGAGCTGAGAAAGCTCATTTAACTAAGCTGTCAACAGCAATATCTCAGATCTGCTTAAATTTACTGGGGGAAGATCTATTTGAAATGCAGAAAATAAACACTGAACTACTTGTAATGTTACAGTCAATACACAAGAATATATTACAAGACTAAGGGGAGCTGGAAGTATCTCTCATAAATGAGACTACTTTTTGACCCATCAATTTTACTAATATATTTATATCAAAAAATTAGGCACAAAGATATCTTATATGAATTTTAATTGCATCATTTTTGTAAGATAGTATTTGGAACTAAGGGAGTGGGTTAAATAAAAACATGTTTCAACTAGACTATTCAGCAATTTGAAAAAATAAAGTGAATCTATTTGTGCTGATATGGAAAGATTTTCAAGATATAGTGAAAGAAACAAAAACATGATATGGTTCAACGTATGTGTTATTTTTAAATAGGTGTGTGTGTGTTTAGTATTTGTGTGTGTGTCTGTGTGTGTGTGCATGTGCATGCACATGCAGAGAAAAGGTCCTAAAAAACCAAACTATAGCAGCAATGGTAATCAGTAGTAGGAATTACAGTGATGGGAGTAGAGGAGAACATTCAACTGCTTCTATTTTTTCTACATTCTTGCATTGCTTATGTAATTAAAAATAAAAGTAAAATTGTTCTTATTTTATATCCCCACTCCTTATGAATAGGACTTGGACACTTACTTTGTTACCACAGTATTTTTAAAAATTTCGGTGTTAGCAAGAACATGAAATTTCAGGACAGGTGACACAAATACACCATCATAACTGCAGGATGTATCTATAGTATTATAAGTATTAATCATAATGTATCATTGTACATTCACTAATATTGAACCATTTAGCAGTTTAAAAACATATATGTATGTATATATCAGGAACCCTAAGCATTAATATTGAGTTGATGATTAATTACTTTCACTGTTTGAAGAGAGACAACATAGCATAATGTCTTACACCACAGTCTGGGGAGTCAGATACACCTCGTCCCAATAGTTATGAAATCCTGGAAAAGTTCATTAAACATCCCTGAAAGCTTCATTTTTTCCATAATAAATAAATAGATATGATAATATCTAGTAATTGGAGTCCTAGGAGGATTAAAATAGATAATGCATGTAGACAGTCCCACAGCCTTTCATAAAATAAGTTCCCCTAGAATTTAGAATTTTAGTGTTTCTTCATAGCTTTTATTAATAGCCTATTTTCCCTATCTTTATGTTATAAATATTTGAAACAACATATAAAAAATATTGTTTTATGAGCTTTTCAACAATGGATAAATTTTTAAAACTGTTTAATTCTCTCATGACATCTTTAGTTATTGAATATAGAAATTTAAGTATTTTAGTATGAGACTGCTAGGGAATAGCCATAGAGAAATATACTTTATGTAATTCTTTCATTTTAGTTTATTATCTACATAATGCCATGAATCAATGATGTTTCGATTACACAAGGGAAATAATGCAAAATAGATTACAAGATTGAACATAGGAAAATTGATTTTCACTGTTGAAATTATTAATTTCTTTCTAAAAAGAGTTTTTCATTGCAGATTTTTATTATGCTCTCAAACCATAACTTATTTCCTAATCAATAAGTAATTTATACCATGGGGGGAATTGAAAAAAAGATAAGCTGAAATATTGGTATAAAAATTATATTTAGGGACCTGGTAATAAATCTAGGTTATTTCTATTTTTAAATTCAGTTATTTATTTATAAAAATCACTTGATAATTTACTTTAAGGAATCTGTGACCAAGAGGAAAAGACATTTGAATTCTGGTTTCATCCGAAGTTAAGCCAAATGAATCAAGATTGTCATATAGTTGTTAATATAACAAGGTTTAATCCTAAACTTAAGAGGCTGAAAATAGAAAAAAAAAACTAGTTCGGGTATTAGAAATTTTTAAAATGTGATAACTCGAATAAAGGGAATTGACACTTTAAAATGCATTTTTAAAATGTTAATTATACCATTACTATAAATGTCCCTAGAACACAGATACTTATTCTTCACATTTGACCATTTGACTATGGAAATGACTGCTTCAATCTCATTGGGAGTAGGCTGTAGGATAGTTAATGACATTTTTCTTCTTTTATCTGAATTATCGCCAATGACATCTTTCTTCTTAAACTTGAATTACCACCTTGAGTTAACCTGAAATTACTTGTCATTCATGCACTATGATGTACAGTTTTGTGGCCTGATTTGTCAATTCAGATGTTAGAGTGCAACTTTAAGAGTCTTTATATAAATGAAAATTATATCTTCTATAAAATCAATGTAAGAGCAGTAATTTTACAAAATAGAAAGGGAAAGAAACAAAACCCTGTTAGGCTTAGAAGACAATTTTTAACTTTAGAACTAGTCCCTTCCAGAATTTTTGCTCTATATTTTTTGCATAATTTTGATAATATATACAGAATTTTAGGAGTTTTTCAAATGCATTGTTCCAAATATAAGCTATATGCATATTTTTGAAATAGAAAAAAAAATGTATTAATTGAGAAAAGACAAAAGGAAGAGTCAAAAGTAGAACCATCATTCTATTCTGTATTCCAGTTTAACGTTATTTACGCATATACAGAGTAGAATGATGATTACCTGAAGCTGGAAAGAAGGGATGGTTAATGGGTATATGCATATTTTAAAAAGTACAAAATATAGAAAGGTATAAAGAAAAAAGTAACATCCATAATTGTACAAAATGCATACTATCACTATTAATATGTCATTGTAGTTCTTTAATCTTTCTCTGTATACATTTTTTTCATAGTTAAAGTTTTACATATTAAACATATAAGAACATTTAGAGGTCTTAGATGCAAGATAATATGTGGAGGTTTTTTGATACATATTATGCTTGTTCAGGAAGAATTTTAAAGATAAAGAAAAAAATCATTTCTCAAGTTTCTCTACATGGAAGTGACCTTTAAATTGCCCAACTCAGCTCTAACTTTCTAAATGGGATAAACAAGAACAAACACTTGGTAATTATTCTTGTAGACTCCAAACTATGCAAATATTATAGTCAATTTCAGTAAGTTCATGAATGGAAAAAAAGCTAGTTACTGCTTCAAGTGGCTACAAACAACAGTATTATGTGTTCTATTTGAAGCTTGGATGCAATTTTATTATATTTATATAATAATAAATATTTGTAAAATATAAACATATGATTACGTAAGTATTTATATAATATATATAATATATTTCGTGATTCTACAAAATTTGAAGTTACAAAACAGGATCCAAGCTTAATATAAAGTCTTAAATAGTACTTAATATAAAATCTAGCTTCACCACTTGGCTTTAAAAACATGAGGATACCTAAATCCTACTGGTTTCTGGAATTTGGAATCAAAATTAAGTAAGAAAAAAAACTGCAGTCACTTTTCACCATAGTCTCTCCATTCTTGGTTCTTAATTCATCTCTAAAACGACTTGGTGGAAATTTTAATTATTTTCTAAAGAGAAAAATAAATCAATACTTTATTTCTGAAGACCTTACATACCAGAAAAAAAAATTGACTTTGCCTCTGCAAAATAAAGAGAACTTTTGTGAACTACAATTATGGAACAATAACATAACATTTCCCTTCAAAAATTTCAAGGTATTTTCTTATTATCTTCTCATTTAATAAAATTATTACAGAATAGAAGTCTGGAACCAGGCTGTTCATTTTGTTTATCATGAGCTCTATAATGTATTAACTTAAACTATTTCTGCTCAGATGGTGGTGAGATTTTAAGAAAACAGGAAAAATCAACAACTTTATAATATAGAAATGTTACACTCTGTATGTCACTTTGTTTTTTTGCTGTACTCTTACCCTCGGGTCTTTCCTACTCTTATCTTACTCCCTGTCTGTCTTCATCTCCTCTATGTAATATTCTCTGAAAACAGCCAACTCTCAAGTAGAAAAGTCTCTTATTTCCCTATTTTATGTTTCTATTATAACCTGTGCATTTTTGTAACATCATGCCTCTAACAATTTATGGATCTACTTTTGGGCACATTTACCTTCCTTTTGCCTTGCACTAGACATTAGTGCAAGAACAGGGACTTATTTTATTTTAGAGACAGGGTCTCACTCTGTCACTCAGGCTGAAGTGCATGGCACAATCATGGCTCAACCTCGAACTGTTGGGCTCAAGTGATCCTCTGTCTTAGCCTCTCAAGTATCTGGGACTACAGCTGTGCACCAGCATGCCTAGCAATTATTTTTTATCATTTTTCATAGAGACAAGTTCTCACTACGTTGCCCAGGCTGGTGTCAAGCTCCGGGCCTCAAGCGATCCTCCCACCTCAGCCTCCCAAAGCGCTGAAATTACAGACGGTGAGCCACCAGGCACAGACAGAACATGGACTTTAAATTAATCTTTACTTTTCTTTCTAGCACAATGCCATGTGCATAGTAGGGCTTCAGTAAGTGGAGATAGAACTAAGGCAATACTTAATGTCTTGGGCAATACAGACTGAGTAACCATTTAAAATGTTTTTTAAAAATTCTTCATAACAACTATCAGGAAAGTATTAAAAGCATTTCTAACCACAACATGTGTTTTTACTGCATTTCCTCTGTAGTATTTTTCTGTTCTAGTTAAGCTGCATATTAAATTGCAGTCATTGTGCATAGCACAGGTATCTGGTACCTAGTATAAACTCAATAAATGTTTGAGTGAAATAATAAATGAATGGTAATGATTTATCAATAACAAAATTCTTATTATTTTTAGAATTTAATAACAAGCTTAAGAAAAACAACACTTAAACAGGAAAATGATTCGTAATCTGAGCATTTTACTTCAATGTAAAAATATATTAATATATGCATTAAATCCACCCAAATTTGTTATTTGGTAGTACTGAATTCAAGTTAGTTTACCTGATCTATTACTGTATGAAAATGTACAGTAAAAATGTGTGGCAATATTATTGAGACAATATGTTATTGCCTTTTATACTATACTAGTGGTTGTACATAAATGCTTATACCATCCTTTAAGGAAAAATAATCATCTTATGTATTATGTCTTTTTTATTATTATTATACTCTAAGTTTTAGGGTACATGTGCACAACGTGCAGGTTTGTTACATATGTATACATGTGCCATGTTGGTGTGCTACACACATTAATTCTTCATTTAACATTAGGTATATCTCCTAATGCTATCCCTCCCCCCTCCCCCCACCCCACAGCAGGCCCTGGTGTGTGATGTTCCCCTTACTGTGTCCATGTGTTCTCATTGTTCAATTCCCACCTATGAGTAAGAACATGCGGTGTTTGGTTTTTTGTCCTTGCAATAGTTTGCTGAGAATGATGGTTTCCAGCTTCATCCATGTCCCTACAAAGGACATGAACTCATCATTTTTTATGGCTGCATAGTATTCCATGGTGTATATGTGCCACATTTTCTTAATCCAGTCTATCTTTGTTGGACATTTGTGTTGGTTCCAAGTCTTTGCTATTGTGAATAGTGCCGCAATAAACATACGTGTGCATGTGTCTTTATAGCAGCATGGTTTATAATCCTTTGGGTATATACCCAGTAATGAGATGGCTGGGTCAAATGGTATTTCTAGTTCTAGGTCCCTGAGGAATCGCCACACTGACTTCCACAATGGTTGAACTAGTTTACAGTCCAACCAACAGTGTAAAAGTGTTCCTGTTTCTCCACATCCTCTCCAGCACCTGTTGTTTCCTGACTTTTTAATGAGTGCCATTCTAACTGGTGTGAGATGGTATCTCATTGTGGTTTTGATTTGCATTTCTCTCATGGCCAGTGATGATGAGCATTTTTTCATGTGTCTTTTGGCTGCATAAATGTCTTCTTTTGAGAAGTGTCTGTTCATATCCTCTGCCCACTTTTTGATGGGGTTGTTTGTTTTTTTCTTGTGAATTTGTTTGAGTTCATTGTAGATTCTGGATATTAGCCCCTTTGTCAGATGAGCAGATTGCAAAAATTTTCTTCCATTCTGTAGGTTGCCTGTTCACTCTGATGGTAGTTTCTTTTGCTGTGCAGAAGCTCTTTAGTTTAATTAGATCCCATTTGTCAATGTTGGCTTTTGTTGCCATTGCTTTTGGTGTTTTAGACATGAAGTCCTTGCCCATGCCTATGTCCTGGATGGTATTGCCTAGGTTTTCTTCTAGGGTTTTTATGGTTTTAGGTATAACATTTAAGTCTTTAATCCATCTTGAATTAATGTTTGTGTAAAGTGTAAGGAAGGGATCCAGTTTCAGCTTTCTACATATGGCTAGCCAGTTTTCCCAGCACCATTTATTAAATAGGGAATCCTTTCCCCATCTCTTGTTTTTGTCAGGTTTGTCAAAGATCAGATAGTTGCAGATATGCAGCATTATTTCTGAGAGCTCTGTTCTGTTCCATTGGTCTATATCTCTGTTTTGGTACCAGTACCATGCTGTTTTGGTTACTGTATAAGAGCTATCTATGACAAACCCATAGCCAGTATCATATTGAATGGGCAAAAACTGGAAGCATTCTCTTTGAAAACTGGCACAAGACAGGGATGCCCTCCCTCAACACTCCTATTCAACATAGTGTTGGAAGTTCTGGTCAGGGCAGTCAGGCAGGAGAAGGAGATAAAGGGTATTCAATGAAGAAAAGAGGAAGTCAAATTGTCCCTGTTTGCAGATGACATGATTGTATATCTAGAAAACCCCATCGTCTCAGCCCAAAATCTCCTTAAGCTGATAGGCAACTTCAGCGAAGTCTCAGGATACAAAATCAATGTGCAAAAATCACAAGCATTCTTATACAACAATAACAGACCAACAGAGAGCCAAATCATGAGTGAACTCCCATTCACAATTGCTTCAAAGAGAATAAAATACCTAGGAATCCAACTTACAAGGGACGTGAAGGACCTCTTCAAGGAGAACTACAAACCACTGCTCAATGAAATAAAAGAGGATACAAACAAATGGAAGAACATTCCATGCTCATGGGTAGGAAGAATCAGTATCATGAAAATGGCCATACTGCCCAAGGTAATTTATAGATTCAATGCCATCCCCATCAAGCTACTAATGACTTTCTTCACAGAATTGGAAAAAACTACTTTAAAGTTCATATGGAACCAAAAAAAAGCCCACATTGCCAAGTCTATCCTAAGCCAAAAGAACAAGGCTGGAGGCATCACGCTACCTGACTTCAAACTATACTACTAGGCTACAGTAACCAAAACAGCATGTATTATGTCTTAACATTAAGGTGGAAACATGATTCCCAGTGTTCTTCAATATTAATTGCTTAACCAATTTTTAACTTGACTTTGAAGCACCTAATGTTTATCTCTCTGATAAACTCTGTGTAGACTAGGATGCATACAACATCAGAGATATATTTACAAAGGCCTGTGTTTAAACCGAATTGCCATTTATCATACATAGGTATGACAGCATACTTGCTATCTATTATACTGGGGCACACCACTAAAACTATCTTAGTTCAGTTTGTATTTATAGTGTAAGAATAATCACGAATATATTCTTACCTACCTCATGAGTTTTATGGAGGATTTAACAAAGTATATTTTATAGCCCTTTGAAAGACTTAAGTTATTTTCATCATCATTGTCGCTCTTCTCTTCCCCACGACAAATCAAAACAGTGTTCACAGTTATAACTTTTCTCAGAACGAGTTAATTCCTGTACTCTTGCTGACATAGTTAGTTCAATGTTTGCTACTACTGATTCTATTCTAACCAGGCCCTTTTTCAGCTCACAGAAAAAAATTTATATATATATTTAAGAGAATGATACTGTAAAAGAGAAGTTGGTAAATAAGTTACAACATAACTTGTCTCAATTAGCTTTAATATTGGAAGAGTTTACTGTCTCTTCCCAATCCTCATCTCAAGTTTTATTATTTCTGCAATCAGTGGCAGGAAATCTCAATCCTGTCAATGCCACACATTTTCTATTTATGTTGAAGCTTAAAGTGAAACTTAATGTAAATCTTGCTGGGCATCATTGTAGGATACTTAGTCTCTCTCTCTCTCCTTATATATGTAATATATTTTCTATTTCATTACCACCTATACTATAAATGAACATACAACTTGGGACTGTAAAAAAATATGAAACAGCAAAACAATTACATGTGCTCTTACCAGTATCTGAGACTTTTGTACCCAATGTAATTATAATGATGTTTCGGAAAAACTTTTCATTTTTCTGGCTTTCTGAAGATTTTGCTATGTCAGCAACATTCTTTGTGCTCATCAGAAAGTACCGAATACTGCCCTGAGGGCATATGCAGCCTTCCACAAAACAAAGTAAAAAAACAAATTGGACAAGCATTTAAAAAAGCAAGGAAAGCAAGTCAGATACATACAGTGGCACATGTCAGACAGATGAAGAGTTGACTGCAACACTTCTTTCATGTTTTCCCTGACGTGAGGTTAAGTGTTGAATATAAGCCCTTATGATTTGGGGAATGTAATTTACTGTTGTATTCTGTTGATTTTAATATAAATGATTAAATAAAATGTTACAGTTTAGTGCCTTGGGGTAGATTAACGTTGCCACTTTCATTTAGATGGGTAGAATTTTGTTTTTCTTCTTTCCCACCTCTACTTAGGGCCACAGAATAATTTGCACTGAGGAAGTGCAACCCTGAAGAGTTGAAGGAAAAGAACTGAGATCACTAATGTTTGGTGGTTTGTTGCATGTAGTCCAAGTAACACTCCAGAAACCGGAGGAATTTGTGATTACATGCACAGTCATATGCATTCTAAGCAAAGCACTCTACAGTGTAATAATTCACTTGTCATTTCATATCAGCATCAATTCCTTAATAAATGAGCATTTTTCTTGAGTTGATGAAAACTAACAAGTTCCCACACACTATCTTCCCAAGAAGAAATGTAATAACATTTGTACAACTAATACTTTATCTGCCTTCATGAGCAATGATTAGAGGTAAATAATAGAGATTCATTGTGTTCCAATGACAAACAGTTAAAAATGTTATTTCTCTACATATATATGTATATGTACAAGGCAGTGAAGATAAGTAGATGGCCCAGCAGATTCCAAAAATATCTGTCCCTAAATTGCGTGGCTTCTCAAACTTTGCACCATATCTGAATTTTGATATTAGACAGATTAGGTTACATGTTTGAGGTTCCCCCAGTACTCAGTTTTGATGCTCATCTTCTAACTGTACATAGTGTCAATATTTTTTCGTTACCTTTTTTAATATCTTTAAAGATGTTTACTTATAGCAGTTAAAAGATATTTATATTTATTATGTAATTAAACTAACAAGTGGTATTATCCTCACTTCTCACTTAAATAAGTTATAAACGAATAAAGAGAAATGTATGGTTCCTTCTTAGTAGACAAAGTTAAGTTTGATGTGCTCATTTGCATTTTTTCAATTAAAGAGCCCCAAAATAACATTACAGATCTGGGTCATATCAGGGAAACTCTTAAGCAAGTTTTCAAGAGTACCATGCTGTAGATAATAAATACAAATCTTCATGGCTGGTAGTTTGTCTTATAGCTCCGAGTTCGAGATTCCTGCAATGTAAACACATACATACACACACACACTCAAACCACAGTGGTAGTTGCAATCTTTTTAAACACTCCGCTGAGTACTCAAGTGATATAATACGTTTTTTTTAAATGTTTTCAAATTTAAGAAGATCAGAATCCAAGGTGAAATAAAACATACAGATAACAATTCTAAGAAGTAGAAAGTATTAAGAAAACTAAGAGATGTACAGATATGAACTCAATGGTATGAGTTCAAAAAAGTGAACAACAACTTTTGACTGAAATTAGGCTTCAGAGGCATCAGTAATACGGTAACATTTTGGTGACTTAAAAATTAATTTTTAAAATGAGAGAATTGATAAGAGAGCAAATCCATGGATATTAAAATGAGAGACAAATGTGGAGAACATTACTGTTCTGAAGCTAATGCACAGAAATGTAGCACATCTAAGGTGGAAAGAAATTGTGTAGAAAAACCTGTCTGCATACCAAAAAAAAAAATTTACACATAGGCCTTTGAGAAAGAATATGCACTGTGTTGCACCAATAACATCCTTCTCAGCTTTATGTGCTTCTAAGTAGTTTAATCCCTAAATTTTTCTAATCAGAGGTGGGAAATCCAGAACTAACACACAGATTGGTTTTTACTTCTGTGTTAAGTGGCCTTACCTTGAATACAGGACTGCTACCACTCAATTCTGAATTGCAAAGGTTAGTCCAACAGAACTTTCCTAGGTATCTGCTGCATTTTCCCGGGAGACACATTCAGGCACAGGGATGATAACGTTGGTATCACGAAAATGCAGTTTCCTTGGAACTATCCTGTCTGCACAAAATATTAGTTTCCACAGCTTAGGTCTGGCTTCAACCAGGGCTTTTGCCAAACAAGTCCAAGTCCTGGCAAGGTCATTCTATCTTCCTCTGGTTCCATATAGATATTTGAAAATCTTCTGGCTCTTAAATTTCACTGGGATAGGTCATTTCAACCTTGTGACAAAACTTGATGGCACAGGAACATCGCATTTGTCTTTTAGAGTAGTGTCCTAATAAACTGCATTAGTGTTTCCTTCTAGAAAAAGGATTGTCCCAGTTGAGTGCATTTCGTTGATATGTGATGGCAATTCATCAAAGATTTGGGGCACCATTACCAAAACGGGTAATTACTTTTAAGTTATGCTTGATTTCTTTTTTTCCTGTTCATCCTACAAGCAAATCTCAGTCCTTGCCTATTCTATTTGAGCCACCTAGAAGATTATGAATAATTCCACTGGCGTTCAATGTGAAATAATAGTAGTTTAGGTGCTGTGCATGAGAAAGCAATGTAGCCCATTTATTTGGAATTGTATACTTACTACCACTCACCTACCAGCTTCACGTGTCCAAAACACAGGGATGCTCAATTGTGCAGAACCTCAAAGAAATAAAAGTAATTGGTCAATAGTCCTTGAATGTGATTACTTGCTTTGCATTTACAAAATATGTGAGATTATATACAAGCAAGGCACTAAATGAAAGCACTTTAAGGTCGTTAAAAATCAGAGGGGACCATTGGAGTTGACAGCTCAGATCCCCTGAGTCACCATCTTGAAACTCTCTACATGAAGCTGCTAAGGATTTCTATTTCTTCCTCCAGTTATTGCAGCAATTGCTAAAGCTTCTGTCTCAAGCAATCCCAGACTTACTGTGGTGGCAACTGTGCAATGTGCTTCTTCCAGCCAGGTGGATTTGGGCAAAGGTTATACTTAATCTGTATAAACTTCAGTGTCCTTACACAAAGGATGCCAGACCTCTGCCTTCCGTACAGTCAAGATGGGAGATGCTCACTCACAGTGCATTCACAGCTGGTCCTCCAGTTCCTCTTCAAAGCCCAGCTGATTGGCATGACCACAGCACAAACAGCTTGTCGGGAGGCAGCAAAGGGAGACAGTGCTAGAAGCACTCCAGTTTCCAGCACACTGGGCCCCAGTTCCTTTTTTTCATTTCCTAGCGGAAAACACACACACATTGGTGCAAAAGTAATTGCGGAAAAACCGCAATTACTTTTGCACCAACCTTATTATTATTTAATGTAACCATTCTTACTATTACAAAACAGAACAAACTTTGTTTATTTCACCTCAGAAGTGAAAAAACAGAAGTAGGACACAGAGGCCGGGTGTGGTGGCTCACACCTGTAATCCCAGCACTTCAGGAAGCTGAGGCTGATCACTGGAGCTCAGAAGTTCAAGACCAGCCTGGACAACATGGCAAAACCCCACCTCTCCAAAAAAAAAAAAAAAGAAAGAAAGAAAATGAAAAATAAAGAAAAATTAGCCGGGTATGGTGGCACATGCCAGTAGTCCCAGCTACTCAGGAGGCTGAAGTGGGAGGATCATTTGAGCCCTCCAACCCAGCAAGAGATCCCGTCTCAAAATAAAAAATAATAATAATAATAAATTGTTCAAGCCCTCCACGTCCCCAAGTACTCCTTGGCGCTCCTCATTGTCATTTTTTTCATAAAATGCAGAGTACAAATAAAAACTCAGCAAATTCCAGGCCCTGAAAAATACATACTTTCGAGGGGGCATTAGGTTTCTTCCCCCAATTCTTGCCAACAGCAGGGTGAAAACAGACCGACTTCTGTACAATTTTCACAGCGTAAATTATGAGGTCAGGGGAAAGCCTGGCCTGAAAGGACCTCCCCCTCGAGCTCTGAACAGGGCTGGCTGACGTTCACACTAACACGCGATGTTGCCATGACGGTTTCTTACTGGGTTAACTGAGATCATTTGCAGGCAGCCTTCTTGATTCACATCGCAGCACAGCAAGGCAGGATTGTTACCTTTCCCGCATTAACATCCTCAAGCAGGCATCTGCTTGAAGCTCCTAGGCTGGAAATGGATCAAGATCTCTCCTCAAGGGCGGATCATCCCACTTCTGGTTTAGGGATGGAACGTCCAAAACTAGTTTCCCAGTTCCGGTTTAGGGGTTGATGCTTCAAAATTGTGATGAACAGGTAGGGAAAACCATCAGTAATGTAATGCCGTTGCCAAAATTAAAGGAAGTATTAACCGGAACTTTGATTATGGCAGTGAGAACTCAACAGGAAACATTGTGGCAGGTGAGATATTGAGGAAAAGAGGGTTTGGCATGTTTCTAATTATGAGAGAATAGAAGCTATAAACTTAGCCCTGAGAAAACTGAGCCTACCAAAAATAAGAATCTGGAAGGAGAAGCAGGCAGGAAAGGAAAATTACAGTTTTAGATGCATTGTGTTTTATTGGTCAGCAGAAAAATAGGTAAAGAGAATAGTCATTATTCAAAAACTGAGACTGGGATTCAGGAAGGAGTCCTAGCTGAAGCTCTAAATATGATTGTAGGAGAAGTCATGTAATACCAAAAATGTTGTAACAAAGAAAAAGAAGAAAAGCTTGAATAGAATGATGGAAAATGATAATATTTATGGGAGTAGGAGAGAAAAGAGTTTACTAAGAAAGTCTTTTTTTTTTTTTTCACTAAGATTCTGTGGACCTGACTGACACTAGAAAAGCCGTATGTTCTTTTTGTTGGTGGTTTGTAAACAGTAGGTAAAATTCAGGTAGGACCAGTATTAAATGGTACGAAAGAATAGTACACGTTCACAGATTTATAAGTGAATATAGCTCTATTTATATATGTATAATTGTTTATTTATATGTATAGGAATATATGCCACATTATGTATAAATTAAATGTAAATGCATGAATATATAATATGCATTTTGTATGTTAGTATGTTTATCCATATATTCATATATAATAATCTTTTATGAGGGGAAGTATAGAGTGAAAGGATTTATTTCTATTTAAAACATTACTTGGTACAAGAAATTAGCCGGGCGTGGTGGCAGGCGCCTGTAGTCCCAGCTACTTGAGGAGAATGTCGTGAACCCGGGAGGCGGAGCTTGCAGTGAACCGAGATCGCGCCACTGCACTCCAGCCTGGGCGATAGAGCAAGACTCCGTCTCCAAAAAAAAATTACTTGGTACAGTATCACTTCAAAATAATTTCAATGTTTATATTTTGAAGTATTACTTTCATGTAAATGAACATTCATCATTCATCTCTTTCTGAAGAGACAAGGTCTTACTTCTCTGTTGAAGAAGAGACAAGGTCTTACTTCTCTTTTGCCCAGGCTGTGCAGTAGTGTGATAATAGTTCTTTGAAGCCTTGAATGCCTGGGTTCAAGCAATCCTCCCACCTCAGTCTTTCAGTCTTCCAAGTAGCTAGGACCACAGGCATGTGCCACCGTGGCTAATTTTTTTTTTTTTTAATTTTCGTGGAGATGATGCCTCACTACGTTGCCCACCCTGGTCGCAAACACCTGTCCTGAAGCAATCCTCCCAACTCAGCCTCCCAAAGTGCTGGGATTATCAGCACGAGCCACTGCACCAGGCCCACCACCCAGGTGGTGGTGGTGGTGGTGGTGGTGGTGGTGGTGGTGGTGGTGGTGGTGGTGGTTGTTGTTGTTGTTGTTGTTGTTGTTTGAGACGGAGTTTCTCTCTTGCTGCCCAGGCTGCAGTGCAATGGTGCGATCTCAGCTCACTGAAATTTCTGCTTCCCGGGTTCAAGCGATTCTCCTGCCTCAGCCTCCCAAGTAACTAGGATTACAGGCGCCCACCACCACTCCTGGCTAATTTTTTTTTCTTTTTTGTATTTTTAGTAGAGATGGGGTTCTGCCATGTTGGCCAGGCTGGTCTCGAGCTCCTGACCTCAGGTAATCCACCTGCCTCAGCCTCACAAATTGCTAGGATTACAGGCTTGAGCCACTGCGCCTGGCCTCACCCAGGTCTTTAAAAAAGCATATGATTCTGTTCCCAAACAAAAACTGCTTAAGCCTTATTGAACCAGACATGCAAATGCTGCATGTATTTGGTACAGAGAAGTAAGGATATTGTTATAGCCTTGCTTCCATAACTGTGTTCTGTAATCAATAGCCTTGGATCAGAAACTTGTGATGAAGCTGTTTTTGAAAACACAACATAATTAGTAAAAAAATATGCTCAGGATTTCCCATTGGGTGTAACAGAAATAAAAAGTATCGTGGGATATGCCGTTAGCAAGCAAATGTCTATGACATTAAGGGTATATAAAGATGATGTATCATCCTGAGAAATAGTTCACTCAAATCATGATAATATAATATGAGTTACGACTTTTCAAATAAACCTAATCTGTAACAATCAACTCATGACCTTAAAAGAAAAACGTACTTGTCCTTTGTAATATTATTCCAAAACAAAGAAAAAATTCTAGCAGATAAAATGTTATTTGAACATGGAACCAAGATCTCCTGCTCAAGTAACTCATCTTCATTTGTGTGATTGCTATTTTCAGGCAGTAGCATGTGACATGGAAGTTTATATTATCAGGGTGTGCTCACCTGGTTGCAAATTTGAGACCAAAGTTTTACTTTAACACTTGGAGCTGGTAAAGGATGGTGAGTTTGTGTCTGCCATGTTCAATATAGTGTTTATTCCTAGTAATCAGTATTATTCGCAAATTATATTAACATACTTTTTTTACACTGGGACCCTAAGTTACTAATGTTTTTACAGTGTCTATGGATTTAAAATATAAGTTTAAATGGCTACCTATTGGCCCTATCCTACTACCTAGGAATTAACTTGCTTCAATTCTCTCATCCCGTTTTCTACTATACTATTATAAGCCAACAACATCTCTCTCATGTAATGTGGTTCTCTCCTCTGTTGTAATATTCTGAATTATACTGGTTGATGGTCAGGCAGAAAATATTCTTTCTTAATCTCTACCTATCATATGTGCTTTGTTGACCAAAACTCACACCAAAATTAAAATTCTAAAAGATAACTTTGGATTTTTTATATTCTCTGTCTTTGCTAATGTTTAAACTATTGAAACTATGAAATTCTGAGATAAGAATATTAATTTCCTTCACTGTGTTTGTGAAGTGAATTCATAAACCTGCGCTTATGTCTCTAAAAGTTCTTGACTTATGCAATTTACTGCTGTGATATTTGGCAATTTTTGGCCTCTTGATCTATATTGGGCTGTGAAAATTAAAGGCCCCTATTATTAGGAATTTTGACTTCTTGCATCTTCTGTGTTTCTGATTTAGAAAGTTGCTCATTGTATTATATTTCCCTTTGTGATTGTGTTGGTGTGTTTTCTGTTGCTATCTCAGAATACAGAGACTGGGTAATTTATACATACAGAAATGTATTTCTACAGTTCTGAAGTCTGGGAAGTCCAATATCAGGTAGCAGCATCTGGGTGGCTTCTGGTGAGGGCCTCATGCTACATCACAACATGGCAAAAGGCATCACAAGACTAAAAAGACACAAGAGAGTCAAGCTAACTTTTATAACAGACCCACTCTTGTGATAACTAACCCCTCCTGTGATAACCCACTAATCCATTAGCCCATTAATCCATGAATGGATTAATCCATTCACAAGGGCAGAAGCCTCATGATCCAGTCACCTGTTAAAGGCCTCACCTTTTAATACTGTTACACTGGGGATTATCTTTCAACATGGGTTTTGTGTGTTTGTTTGTTTGTTGGTTTGTTTGTTTGTTAGAGACAGAGTCTTGCTCTGTCACTCAGGCTGGAGTGCAATGGCACAACCTCAGCTCACTGCAACCTCCGCCTCCCGGTTTCAAGCAATTCTCCTGTCTCAGCCTCCTGAGTAACTGAGATTACGGGTGTGCACCACCACGCATGGCTAATTTTTGTATTTTTAGTAGAGACGGGGTTTCACCATGTTGTCCAGGTTGGTCTCAAACTCTTGACCTCGTGATCTGCCCGCCTCAGCCTCCAAAGTGCTGGGATTATAGGCATGAGCCACCATGTCTATCCTCAACATGGGTTTTAAAAAAGACAAACATTCAAACCATAGCACTAGTAGTTTTGCAGATATTTTTCTTATATTCATTTTGGTATTTAGGAACTCTTGCAGTTTTGTTTAAGTAGTTACCTTTTACAATCATCTTTATTTCATTAGTCCTGTTTTCTAACTTTGCTTCTGATGTCTGTTTTGCTTTAAATAATAGTCTGTGACTTACACCTATTATCTATATGGTGTAGATATACAAACTTAGACTACTTCCCCCTTTCTATCTTCTTGTATTTTTAATTGGGTATTTTTTGACATTATCACAATATATAACATTTATGCATTATTCTTACACCATATTCCCTATGTCTGTTTAAAATTAAATATGCAATGAAATATCAAGTGATCGAGTGATTTTTCTGAATTTCTTCAGTAATTCTTGAGTACTTTACCAAGAATTGATAACCCCAAGACATATGTGATACCACTTTAAAGATAAAATATTCAGCAAGCCTCTAAGCTACACAACCAACTCATTTACATTTGTCAAGGCATTTATAATGGAAAGAAAACCAGGTAGGATTAGATTTTTCAGCAGTAAGATAGAAAGCAAGACAATAATGGAGCAACGTTTTTCAAGAAAATAAAGGAAAGAATGTGTAGGCAAAAAATCTTATAACCAGAAATATGCTTCTTACCATGATGGAGAAATAGGGGTCAGATTTGCCTCTATCCTTAAACAACTAAAAGAAAAGCAGAATTAATAAAAGTAAAACAAAATTTAGACATTATAAAAGAGGCAGAACAAGGCAGTGATTCCTGATTGGGGGGATGGGGTGGGAAATGAGGTCATTTTCGTAGCTTACTGGCTAGAGGTTCTGGGTTGCAATACAAGGAGAGTGAACTCAAAGACACAACTGATTTCTCTGAGTTGAAGAGACATAGCTAAGATATTTGGATTCTGCAGTGGCTGTAATTCACAAGCAGATACTAGAGAGGAGAAAGCTGCATGGAAAACACAACTGCAGGGAGGGAGAGAGAGAGAAAGGGATTATTTTATGTCTGAGCATTCATTATGGCATGTGTGTGAAGAAACTATTCAAGGCTACTAAAGAATCACTGGAAAGGAACAGTTGCAATGTCTTCTGGAACGCACACAGAAAAGAAGAGTAATTCTTATTTCTGAGAGTAATTATTCTAAAAGAGAATTATTCTAAGAGTAATTCTTAACTGAAATGAAAAAGTTTGTAATATGCAGGTCATTAGATAGAGTACTCAGAAGGGTATTGCCTTAGCTGTAAGGCAAAATTAGCCCTAGACTTAAGGTTTCTCTGAGATTGGCACTCCAATAGCAAAAGCTGACAACAATATTGGAAAATAAAAAAGAAAATTACATATCAATATTTCTGAAGAACATAAATGCAGAAAGAAAATCTTAGCAAATCAACAGTATATAAAAATAATTATATAATTATTTAATGTATACTTCTATTTGGTTTAAATTACAAAATCAGCAAGTATAATCCATCGTATAGCACAATAAAGGAGAAAAAAGCTCCCTCAATTCAACAGATGGAGAAAAAATATTTGACAAAATTCCACACTTATTCTCAATATCAAACCTTATCAATCCAGGAATAGAAGCAAATGTCCTCAGTGTGATAAGGTGCATCTGTAAGAAAACTACAACTATCTTCATACCTTACATTGAAATACTTAACGCTTTCTTCCTAACATCATAACAAAGCACAAAAGTTTGTTTTAATAACTTCTATTTAACATGTTACTGGAAGCCCATTTACTTATTGCCATTGAAATAAGGCAGCAATAACAGCAACAAAATGTTGAAGTCTTAGAGATTGGAAAAAAATATTAAAACTCTTTATTGCTTGTCAATATCATGATGGTTAAATTTAACAAGGTCACAGGATCCAAGGCATCAATATAGAAAAATAAATTGAATTTCTATGTAGTAGCAGAAAACATGTTTACAGAAAGCACTTGTTATAATAGAAAAAAGATAAAATTATTAATAATAAATTTTACAGGCATGAAAGATGTCAGCATCACTGAAAAATAAAACCATTGCTCAGACAAATTAAAGATGACCTGAATAAATGTAAATAAATACCATGTTGAGAAAAATGTATTTTTAGATTCAAATAATTTATTTGTACAACCAGCAAATTCTCAAATTCTAAATAGTTTTTCAGTAGAAATTGGTTAGTTGATTGTATAATAATTTACAGACTCAACAAATTTTTAATAAAAATTCTAGATTGTTTTTGTCAAAATTGACAATTGATGATAAAACTTCCATAGTAATGCAAATGACTCACATCATCATATTTCAGATAGTAATCCAGATAGTATGATATTGACATAAAGAAAAATAAATAGAGACATATACCTAATAGAGATTTCAAACATATAACCACACATATATATCCAACTGATTTTCAACAAAGGCACCCAATACAACTGAATAAATGGGATAGAAAAGGGACTTCATCCTCTTCTTCACACCATACACTTAATTTAAGATGGTTATTATACCTACCCTAAAAACTAAAACTATAAAGCCTCTAGAAGAAAGCATATGAGAATATTTCCATGATACTAATTAGGCAATGGTTTGTTAGAATACACAAAAGCAATACCATAAAAAATTAATGAACTTGACTTTATCAACAACATTAAAAATGGCTGCTCATCGAAAAATACTGTTCACCTTTGATAAATCATTAGAGTCTGTTGAAACCAATTAGTTTTTTGTTTTTATTGTTTTTTTCTGTTTGTTTAAACACATTTTTGTTTTAAAGTTTGTCGTATGATGATATTTATACTTTATTTGAATTCTACCAGACAAAAAAAGAGAAAACTTATTCTTGTTTAAATGGCACATTCATTATAAATTATAATTAACATATGAGCCCATTAGACCTTTTGGTAAATCTTATGATACACTACCAGATCATGGTGATCTTATATTTTTTATATCCTGAAATATCTTACTATTTCATGTTAATAGAGAGTATTTCATCACATATAAATTATTCTAACTGTGCTAAAGCATAGATTGAAATAATTAGAAAATGGAAGAATGATGGACTCATCTAGGTGGAAGATGCAGTATTGAAATAAAGCCCCATTTCAGGATAGTATTCTTCACTATTGGTATTGTGCTGCCCAAAATATTGCAGTCTTTCATGTATGTAAGTAAAATTCTAAAGACATTATCCTTTAATCTGTATATTTAACCATTCATTGAACACAGTTGAAAATGCAGAATTTTTAATTTTCCTATGATAATGATAAAGAGAAAAATATAAACAGAGGAAGATACTCTTTATATTAGTCATAATTATTAGAGGAATTATATGATTCACAATTATTAGATGAATCAGATTCTTAGATGCTGTTAAAGAAAGAAAATGATTCATCATGACCCTTATTACTGATAAAGTAGACTTTATTCAAGGAACTTCATGGAGGCTAATGCAATGGGTTTTGTAGTAGGGGACAGAGATTGGGCTAAACTCTGAATACAAAAGGAAAAGTAGAAGGTTATAGCCAAGGAGCAGGATGTGAGTCAGTGGATGGAAAAATCACTAAGAGGGTAGAGTAATTATTTGCAAAAATGACCCAGTAAGTTTCTTGCTTAAGGCAAGATAGATTTGTCAGTCATTACTTGAGGGATGGTGGTGGATGAAAAATTTGATCAGATGTTGAGAGGGATGAAATATGGAGAGCAGGGGATTTTGGCTAAGCCGACTCTACAGGGTAAGTGCTAAAACTAGGCTCTTGGAGGATATGCCCAACATGGGGCCTACTTCAGCTCAGAGGAGACTGATTAAAGTTTAGTCAAGGAGAGATTCTTTGTCAGTCCCTCCTCTTGTTCAAGAAAAGAAATATTCTTTTTTCCATTGAACAAAACAAGTCTGTTTCTTTTTGAGTTATCTTTTGCTCATTGAGGACCAGCTGAAACATCTGTTGGGATATGGTAGTATAATATATTTGCTGGATGGGTTAGCAGTCAGGAATTTAATGAGGGGAATTTCTATGAAAATTAACAAAAAAATTAATGGTTAGAAACCCAGTTTCTGATTCCACAGGGCCGCCATTCAAGAAGACATCTTGATTTGAGCTTGAAGAATCTTTAGATAGGGAAGTGGGGATGGCAGCGGCAAACTGACAAAGCTTCTGGGTTTGCAGGTTGAATGTTTTCAGTGACAGCATGAAGTGTTTCCATGAACATTCTGAGTGGCCCACACAGCAACAAGCACAAAGGCTGTCCATACATAATCTGTTACAGTGATTTCCATGATGTTTATATCACATAGTCGAGCTTCAGCTTGCAGAGTTTTGAAAAAAGGGCAGTTTTACATCTCATTGACTCCAAGTCAGGAGGGTGAGAGAAAATTGGAAGTTGTAGACGGATACTGGAAAAAAGCTAGAATAATCGAGAACTCACAAGAGTGCACTATATTTTTCCACTGGAACATAAAATGTATCTCTCTAGTCACACTTATTTTTTATCAAAGATAACCAAAATGAGGTTATTCTCTTTTAAAAGACAAAATAAATCTGGTCTCATTAGATTTGACCTGATTATTTACATAAGGAAAGGAAGAATGGTAATTGACCACATAGGTCTTTTTGAGTTTTCTTTGCTGGAACTTTTCATAAGGAATCTCAGGTTATAATTTCAAAAACCTTTTGAAGCTAAGAAGTCCAGCCAAGAACTAGCCATCAGACTTCACTTCTGGTACTTACAGATTTGAATGAATTCCTGTCTTCTTGAGGTTCCCAAGATAGCCCATCTTCCCTGGGCCTGCTAGGAAGTGATCTTCCTTACTCATCTGTAAGGCTAAGAACCCTAGAAGCCAATTATTATTGGGCCAGCTTTTTCAAGATAGCTTTGTAAAAATTGTTCCTTATTATAAAGTTAACCTCAGTTCCTAACTCAGATTCTATACACATCATTCTCAAATATGACATTGCAGTCAAAACCTTATAAATATAACCAATGTTTCCAATTGTGTTCTGTTACAAGAACAGATTCTTATTAAATTCATGTAAATAACTATATTGCCAGGAAAATAAGAATACTCAATAGTTTACAAATTCTGGAAGGATCAGGGAGAAAATATTATATGTACAAAAGTATAATCTACTGATTTTTACAAGTGTAAATGTTACTGAGTAAGCAATGGCTTCTCTGCCCAATGTGGCACAAGTCTTTGAGAAAATAAAGGTTTTATCATGAGTTTATTGGCAAGGAGACACAAGGCAGTGACCAAATCTGTCTCTTCAGGCTGGTGACTGGGGCAGGTTTTATAGGCAGAGGGTAACGAGGTGTGATCTGATTTGATCTTACAACGAGATGATGCCATGAGGCATGATCCGACTGGATTGTGCCATGGGGTGATGCCAGGACTTGATCTAATTGAATTATGTCATGAGATGTCCCCTTCTTAATTCAGTCCCTGTTTCTTGGTCCTAGAATTTAGTTTCTGCCTACAGTTACACATGTGGTTCATCTGAGCATAAGCAGTTTACATAAATTGCAACCCAGAACCCATGGCAACTGAAAAATAACTCACCATTTTATTATTCAAAGTTGAACCAGATTGGGCTGGTTCTGTGGTTCCATAAATAAGAGAAAAAGGAAGGGAGTGCTTATATCCACAAAATAGGACATTTAAGAACCAACAAACTGTCAAACAAAACCATAATCACTCTTCTTCACTTCATTATTGTCCATCAGAACAAATAATTCTTGTTCTCCTTGCTCTTGGGTTAGAAATTTCATGAACCCATTGGCTTGTCTACTCTAGTTCTGAAAATCCTTAATTCAGTACTATGGTCTCTAAATTAATCAACACCATCATGAAGCATTATGGCTTGTAGCTGATTGCAAATATTTTCAGAGAAGAATCAGAATATATGTGAATGACAAAAAATTTAAAATGGAAATTAACATATAATGAGAGTTCAACATAAAAATGATGCAAATGACAAGATAATTTGGCTATTTTTGAGGCATACAATAATAATTAGAGCCACCACTGATGACATTAAACTAAGAGATATTGTGGACAGCAGGGATATTGATAAATTTCTAGGAAATTTATATGATTTCTAAAATACCTAATAATGTTTGCCCATACAAAAATATAATCTAGGGAAAGTTAAAGTATCTTTTCTTATTTGAAAGTGTCTTTTCATGCAATGCAATGTATCAATTAAATAAACCAAATTATTTTTAGTATTTCTCTTTACAAGGTGAAAGAACAAATTTTTTGACATTTTTTAGGGTCCCTTTGAGAAATTTCAAGATCAGTTCAAAAACAAGATTTCACTTAAGATTTGTTTTGAAAAGGCAACACTGTAAAACATGTAAAATACTTTAGTGCTTTTAAATTGCAAGCTCTCAGTTCTCTTAAATAATCAAGGCCAATGGTAAAGGTTAACATAAACATAGAAAACTGTCTTGATAAGACACAAAATCTTGGCTTCCTAGGAAGATTACTTAAAAGGTAAAATGAACAAAAAGGCCTTTTACTGTAATCCAAGAAAACTGGCATTTTCCACAGAAAAAAAAATCTAGTTTTGCATTAATAAAGCATTGAGCTTTCTCCCTCTTCTTCTTCTTCTTCTTCTTCTTCTTCACAAAACTTCACAACTTCACAAAACTTCGTAATGACCTAGATATTTAGTGAGTATTTATTACTTAATACAGCTTAGAAAAACATTAAAACTTCAAGTTAACAAAAATAATTTGGAAACCGTTTTCAGCAACTATATTGCAACACCAGGCAAAGCTAGCCATAATCTCAATTTACTTCCCTGTTAACTGTTTTTACAGTTAACATCATCATGTTAGGCAAGCATCACAAAAGCAAAAACCAAAGAAGTTAAACACACAGGTTTTTGGTTTTATGGCTGTCTTGAGAAATATGAAGTAATGGGCATCAAACAACTCTTCTTTACTGCATCTTTACTTGTACACTTATTCTAAGGTCGAACTGATAATTTTTTTAATCCTAAGCATCTAGAAGACATATTACCTGATTCAACTAGTAAGCCCAAGTGGAATAAAAATGTGTATTCATATTATACTGAATGTTGATATATCAGAAAATGTAGCTGTTTTTACGAAACAAACAATATGAAGCTAGTATTAATTGCCAAATATACGTCCATTTCATGTGAATTTGAAAAGCATTTGAATTAGTTTCTGAGAGTTTTAGAAATATTTACCTTATATAAGCACACATTTATCACTGAAAATTGGAACAGAATTTAAGAAATTTTAGGCCAGGTGTGGTGGCTCACACCTGTAATCCTGACACTTTGGGAGACAAAGGTAGGAGGATTGCTTGAGCCCAGGAGTTCTGGACCAGCCTGGGCAACATGGTGAGACCCCATCTCTAAACAAAAATTGAAAATTAGCTGGGCATGATTGCGGACGCCTGTAGTCCCAGCTACTTGGGATACTAAGGCAAGAGTATCCCTTGAACTCAGGAATCCGAGGCTGCAGTGAGCTGTGATTGCACCACTGCACTCCAGCCTGAGTGACAGCGTGAGAATCTGTCTCTAAAACACAAAAAGAAAGTACTAAGTAATTTGATAATACCATCCACAGATAAATCTCATATATATTATGATATATAATCATATATATTACTCATACATATATGTAATATATATTCTATATATATAGAATGGGATATATGTATATTCTGTATATACATAGAATGGGATATATGTATATTCTATACCTATATGTATAAAATATAAGAATATATATTGCATATATATCTGTATATAAATGTAATGTATACATATATTATAAGAGATCTTAAAGGTTTTATTCTGAAACTTTAGCCAGGAGTTAGACAACACAGTAATACTCTCTTATTTCCTCTACTTTATAGTTTTATTCATTGTGTTTCTGACAGATGGAACAAGTTAAGGTTACCTTCTCAATATGAGGACTAAAGCTTTTAGCCAATATTTGTGGAGAAGACACATTTAAGATTTTCTTTTGCCCATACATGCAATGTTATGGAGGCTGTGACCACATTTTAGGCAAGAAACTGAAAGAACATCAAGCACCTATCTGGATGTCTCCAAAGCCTCATCTGGATAAAATATCCAATCTATTTTTCAATCAGCCTTTTTTTTTCCTTTTTCAACCTCAGACAATTGCTTTTGGGGTCCTAGAGTCCCTTGAAAGTTATGATGGAAATAGGAGACCTAAAGTTCAGGTGACTGAAGGGCTGAAGCAGGAAGGAAAAACGTCTGGGAGGACAGGTAGACAGAGGAAAGAGGTCTGAAGAGGCACATATCAAAAGATTCAAGAAAGCTGAAGGGAAGATTGAAGGTAGTAAAAGGATGAAGGAGGAGCAGAAGCAATGGGAAGGAAGAGATCTCAGAGGACTCACTTCGGGAAAATCTTCAGTTTCCCAAAGAGATCCTGAAGTCTCAAATTATCCTTAACAAAACCATGACCACAAGAAAGGAAGTGGAGTATACGATCAGTGAGAGTTTAAGAAGGGGGTTTCCGTTGACTAAAAAGTTACCGTGGGAGAAATAGGATCAAATAGAACAGAGTTGCCTCACAAAGAACCAAGGAAAATATTTCAGCTCAGGGATTCAAGAAGTAAATTCCCACTCAAAGACAGAAACAGGAAGTAAGATTTACAATTCAGCCAGTACCTTCCTAACAGAGAAGCATGTGACTATACCAACTTCTTACAAAAAGAAACAGGACTAACTCAGCCTCTGTATAGTGTACTCAGGCTCTCTCAGCCCTCACTGTGCTTCAACAGACTTATCATTTGGAGCACTGGCTCAGGAGTCGAAATCACCAATGGCTCATCCATCAATCAACCAGAAGTGAAGACGAAAGCTTCAAAGGTAGGTGCTTGGGATTCTGGGTCAGAAGATTGGGAATCCAATAATGAATTTGATCCTATACAAGTCATAGCAGCAAAAACTGTTAAAGAAAAAATTATAACACTGGTTAAAGATGGCAATTTAGACTTTATTCAAGGGATTTCAAGGGTCTACTGCCATGGGGTATTGAAGTAGGAGAAAGAGATTGTTCTCAATGCTGAATACAACAAAGACAAGTTGGAATTTATAGCCAAGGAAAAGAATGCAAGTTAGTGGATTGAAAATCATTAAGAGGGTAGATAATTTTTTGCTAAACTGGCTTGAAAGGATTCTTACTGATGGCAGGTCAGGGTGATCATATATTACCTGGGAGATAGTGGTGGGTGAGAAATTTGATCAGATATTGAGGGATCAGATATGGAGGATGGGGAATTCTGGCTAAACTGATTTGACAGGATAAGGAAATTGTCCTCCCTTCAACAAAATTATGAGCCATTGAAATTCCCAAGTGTATAGTGTCTTGATGGTGCAAACGCAGGAATAATCCAAACTAGTGATAAGCATGAGCCTGTTAGAAATATACTAGAAATATGAAACCACAGCTTACAAGAAGGATATGTTGCAGGTTCTGGCATGATAGTTGGGGAGCAGTTGATGAGGCATCGTAGATTTGGTAGACATATACTTTCAAAATTGGAAAAATTAGAAAGAAAATCTGGGTTAGCTATGTTTAGATGCTTAACATTATTTCTAATAAAGTTGTTTTTCAACATATTCATGTTTACTCCTACTATTCATAAAATTACTTAAAATGTTATCAAATAAAATTTAATAAAAATGCTTTATTAGATCTGGAAAATATAAATTATTTACTTCTCTTCTATTTTCTGGAGTAGCTTGTGTAGAGGAGGTATACTTTTTCCTTAAAATATTTGGTAGAATTCACTAGTGAAGACATATGGACCTGGAATGTTTTGAGAGGGATGTTTTAACTGCTTATTCAATTTTATTAATAGATAAATAATTTTTCTGTGTTGCAAGGAATTTCTCCATTTTGTTTAACTTGTCAAACTTATTAGCATATTTTTTCAAAATATACCATTATCCTGTAGAATCTTTAGTGATATGACATGTGTCTCATTCATGATATTAATAATGTCTTTTTTCTTGATCAGTATGGCTAGAGGAATATATATTTTATTGATCTTTTTGAAGGACCAGCATTTGTTTCTATTTTTTCTTATTCATTGATTTTTACCTTTACTTTTGTCATTTTTATTTTGTTTACTTTTTGCCTAATTTGCTCTTTTTGTAGCTTACTTTGGGGTTAGTTTACCCTTTTTTCTAATTTCTTTTAAAATTATTTGTATTTATAATTGACACAATTTTACATATTTGTGTGGTACAGTGTGATATTTCAATGCATGTGTATACATTGTACAATGATCACATTAAGGTAATTAGCATATCTGTCACTTTAAAGTTTTTTCGGTGATAACATTCCAAATCTTCTCTTCAGGATATCTTGAAATATACACTGCTTTGTTATTAGCTGTAGTCACCCTAATGTGTAATAGACTGCAAGAACTTATACTTCCTGTCTAATTGTAACTGTACCTCTCACCAACCCAGCTTCCATCTCCCCTCCCAGCCTCTGGTAATCACTATTCTACTCTCTGCTTTTACGAGTTCAACTTTTTTAGATTTCACAAATAAGTTAGATCATGCAGTCTTTGTTTTCCTGTGCCTGGCTTACTTCACTTAACATGTGCATTCTGGTTTCATCTGTGTTGCTGCAAATGACAGGATTTCATTCTATTTTATGGCTAAATAGTATTCCATTCTATTTTATGGCTAAATAGTATTCATTCTATTTTATGGCTAAATAGTATTCCATTGTGTATGTATATATATATATATATATATATATACACACACACACACACACATTTTCTTTACCTATTCATCTGCATATGGCACTTCTGTTGATTCCTTATCTTGGCTATTGTGAATAGTGCTGCAATACACAGGGGAGTACAGATACTTCTCTAACATATTTATTTGTCTTCCTTTGGATATATATCCAGTAATGGAGACACATTGTGAACATTTGTATATAATTTCGATTTCTTTAAATGTATTGAGACTTGTCATCCCCAAATCAGGTCTGTTTTAGAAAATCTTCTATGTGCATTTGAAAAGAATGTGTATTCTGCTTGATATGGTTTGGCTGTGTCCCCACCCAAATCTCATCTTGAACTGCAACTCCCACAATTGCCATGTGTCATGGGAGGCAGCCAGTGAAAGGCAATGGAATCATGGTGGCAGGTCTTTCTCATGCTGTTCTCATGATAGTGAATAAGTCTCATGAGATCTGATGGTTTTATAAAGAGGAGTTCCTCTGCACAAGCTCTCTTTGCCTGTTGCCATCCATGTAAGACATGACTTGTTCTTTCTTGCCTTCCACCATGTTTGTGAGGACTCCCCAGCCATGTGGAACTGTAAGTCCATTAAACCTCTTTCTTTTGTAAATTGCCCAGTCTCAGGTATGTCTTTATCAGCACTGTGAAAATGGACTAATACAGTAAATTGGTAGCAGTAGAGTGGGGAGCGCTGCTGAAAAGATACCCAAAAATGTGGAAACAACTTTGGAAATGGGTAACAGGCAGGGGTTGGAACAGTTTGGGGGGCTCAGAAGAAGATAGAAAAACATGGAAAATTTTGGAACTTCCTAGAGACTTGTTGAATGGCTTTGCCCAAAATGCTGATAGGGATGTGGATGATGAAATCCACATTGAGATGGTCTCAGATGGAGAAGAAGAACTTGTTGGGAACTGGAGCAAAAGTGACTCTTGTTATGTTTTAGGAAAGAGACTGGCAGCATTTTATCCCTGCCTTAGAGATTTATGGAACTTTGAACTTGAGAAAGATGATTTAGTGTATCTAGTGGAAGAAATTTCTAAGCAGCAAGGCATTCAAGAGGTGACTTGTGTGCTGTTAAAGGCATTCAGTTTTATAAGGGAAGCAAAGCATAAAAGTTCAGAAAATTTGCAGCTTGACAATGCGATAGAAAAGAAAATCCCATTTTCTGAAGAGAAACGCAAGCCAGCTGCAGAAATTTGCATAAGTAATGAGGAGCAGAATGTAATCACCAAGACAATAGGGAAAATGTCTCCAGGTCAAGTCAGAGGTCTTCATGGCAGCCCCTTCCATCACAGGTCTGGAGGCCCAGGAGGAAAAAATGGTTTCATAGGTGAGACCCAGATTCCCAGTGCTGTGTGCAGCCTAGGGACTAGGTGCCCTGAATCCCAGCCACTCTAGCCATGGCTGAAAGGGACCAACATAGAGCTTGGGCCATTGCTTCAGAGGGTGCAAGCCCCAAGCCTTGGCAGCTTCCATATGGTATTGAGCCTGAGAGTGCATGGAAGTGAAGAATCAGGGTTTGGGAACCTCTGCATAGATTTCAGAGGATGTATGGAAACACCTGGATATCCAGATAGAAGTTTGCTGCAGGGGCAGGGCCCTCATAGAGAACCTCTGCTAGGGCAGTGCAGAAGGGAAATGTGGGGTCAGAGCCCCCACACTGAGTCCCTACTGGAGCACTATGTAGTGGTGCTGTGAGAAGAGGACCACCATCCTCCAGACCCCAGAATGGTAGATCCACTGACAGCTTGCACTGTGCACCTGGAAAAGCCACAAACACTTTATGCTAACCCATGAAGGCAGCCTGAAGGGAGGCCGTACCTTGCAAAGCCATTGGGGCAGAGCTGTCCAAGACCATGGAAACCAACCTTTTGCATCAGCATGACCTGGATGTGAGACCTTGAGTCAAAGGAGATAATTTTGGAGCCTTAAGATTTGACTGCCTTGCTGGATTTTGGACTTGCATGGGGCCTGTACCCCTTTGTTTTGACCAATTTCTTCCATTTGTAATGGCTGTATTTACCCAATGCCTGTACCTCCATTGTATCTAGGCAGTAACTAGCTTGCTTTGATTTTACAGTCTCATAGGCTGAAGGTACTTGCCTTGTCTCGGATGAGACTTTGGACTGTGGACTTTTGAGTTAATGCTGAAACGAGTTTAGACTTTGAGGGACTGTTGGGAAGGCGAGATTGTTTTGGAATGTGAGGACATGGGATTTGGGAGGTGGAATGATATGGTTTGGCTGGTTCCCCACCCAAATCTCATCTTGAATTGTAACTCCCACAATTCCCACGTGTCAAGGGAGGGACCAAGGGGAAGGTAATTGAATCACAGAGGCAGGTCTTTCTTGTGCTGTTCTCACGATAGTAAATAAGTCTCACAATATCTGATGGTTTTATAAAGAGGAGTTCCCCTGCAAAATCTCTCTCTTTGCCTGCTGCCATCCATGTAAGATGTGACTTGCTCCTTCTTGCCTTCCACCATGATTGTGAGGCCTCCTCAGCCATGTGGAACTGTAAGTCCATTAAACCTCTTTCTGTTGTAAATTGCCCTGTCTTGGGTATATCTTTATCAGCAGCATGAAAACAGATTTATACACTGCTATTGTTGGGTGGAGTGTTTCATAAATCCCAAGTAGATTAATTTATTTGATAGTGTTTTAAATATTTTTGACATTTACTGGTTTTGTATTTGCATGTTCAGTCAATTATTGAGGGAGGAATATTTAAATAGAGGACTTCGATATTCATATATTGAAAATGAATGAATTTATTTATTCTCTTTCTTTCCTTTCTTCCTCCTTTATTTATTCCCTTTTTTATCCTTTCCCTTATGTCAGTTTTGTTTAGGTATTTTGAAACTCTTATTTATTGCATGTACATTTATGCTTCCTTTGAAAAATTGATACTTTCATTAATTACTAAATGTTTGCTTTGTATTATATTAATATACCCAGTCCAGCTTTCCTTTGATTAATGTTTATCTCTATCTTTTCTTTTATTATTAACTCATTTTTTGTCTTTATCATTAAAATGAGTTTCCTGTAGATAGCTATATCAGTTGTCTATTGTTGCCGAAGAAAACACTCTGAAATTTAATGCCTTACAACATTTATGATCTCACTTTTCCTGTGACTCAGAATTTAGACAGCAGTTTGGCTGGATGTTTGTCCCTCTCTCTGTGCTTTATTTGTATTATTTCTACCGTTGTATCTTTTCTCCTGCTATTCTTTATCTACTAGCCAGTGTATTTGCATTTCGCACATAAAATTTTTCATCCCTAGAAATTGTTTTTGTTTTTATTTAAATATTTCATTTCTCTCCTTAAAATTATCATTGTTCTTCTATTTTGAGCCTATGGGACATATTTATGATAGCCTTTTTAATATCCTTTTTCTTTTAATTCTATCATCTCAGTTATGTCTTGATTTTTTTCTCTCTGATTAGTTTCAGCCTAGTTATAGACCATATTGTCCATGATTTAAATGGTAATTTTTGCTGGATCCTGGATATTGTGATTTTTATGTTCTTAAGTTCTAGACATTGTCCTATATGTTTAAAGAGTGCTGTACTTTGTACTAGTATGGAGTTAAGTTATGCAAAATAATTTGATGCTGTTGATGCTTGTTGTTAAGCTTTCATTAGGACAGGCCTAGAGAGTATTGGCCCAAATACTAAGGTAATATGCTTCTGAGTATTCTTTTTGTTGTTGTTTGTTTTGAGACAGGGTGTTATTCTGTTGCCTAGGCTGGAGTGCAGTGGCACAATTACAGCTCACTGCATGCAGGCTTGACCTCCCAGGCTTGAGTAATGCTCCTGCCTCAGTCTCCCAAGTAGCTGGGACTACAGATGTATACCAACACACGAGGCTAGTTTTCTTATATTTTGTAAAGATGGGGTCTCACTATGTTGCCCAGGGTGGTCTCAATGTCCTGGGCTCAAGCTCTCCTCCTGCCTCAGCCTTCCAAAGTTTTGAGAATACAGGCATGAGGTACCGCAGCTGGCCTCTGAGTATTCTTTTTAATGTCCAGTTTTTTAATGTCCAGTCCAAGTTTGCTGGCTGATGGACGCACAAACTTGGCTTATGGACACACAAACTATCTCCAACACTGTATAAGCTTCAGGAACTGTTTGGCCTACTACTTTTTTATGGTTCTTTCTCTAGTCTTATGAAGTTTCATGACACACATGACATACCAGTATCAACTCAAAGATTTGAAGAGCCGTCTGCAGAATTCTGAGTCTCTCTTCTGTCACTTGTTCTCTTAAATATTCTGCCACTCAAATTCTAGGTACCTTTATCTCCCCCAAATTATTATTTCTGTCTCCTAATTGGCAAGATCTCTACGTTCTGTTTGGATTCACTGTCCCTGTACTGCCTTTTGGAAACCGCCTCTTGACAGCAAGCAGGAAAAATCACAGGGCTTACCTATTTGGTTTCTTCACTTGGGGATATTGCCCTGTGCTGCCTGTTGTCCAATATTAGAAAAAAAGTCATCAACTGTGGATAAAACATAGTGTCTTCTAGAAATGCTGGGTAAAAATGTTAATACTTTCAGTTACCAATTTCTAGTGACTGAAGATGGTAAAGTTTTCACCTTCAGTAGTAGCAAATGAGGTTTCTTACTTTTTCTTTCTTTTCCATTTATAATTACCATTTCATCATTAATTTATATTTATTCAGTATTTTACTATCAATCATAGCCCATAAATTTTAATCTTCAGTTTTCCCAAAATTCCTTAATGGAAGCCTTTTCAAGCCATTTTCTATGTCCTTTAGATATGTCTCCACTAATCTTGAGAGCTTTCTTGCTTCATATCACAATAAAAATATGGACTAATCCCGGAGTCTGTTCTCCCTACTTGAAATCAGCTATTTTGTTTTCCTTTTCATAGTAATTTTGTCAGTCTGGTTTTGGGTGTCCGAGTGTTTTTTTGTTTTTTGTTTTTTGTTTGTTTTTTGGCGGCTGGGGGGGGATTTTTTTAAAAACTTTCCTAAACCAAGGTGTAGAAAATAATTCTATGTTTGAGGTGGGGGAGGAGTGTGAATGGCTTTATTAGCTTCTTTAATTTTTAACGGCCTGCAGTCTAGCATAGTTTGTTTAATAAATGACATTTATTTTGTTCTGTCTTTTGATCTTTTGTTTGCTCTGGTTTGGGCTTCTCAGCCTATTCTGCTGACAATGGGTGTAAATGTTCTCAATTAAATGAAAATTAAAGTTTGTGCTAATTGTCTGTATCATAGTTACTCTGGGGGTATACACCATGGAAACTTTATTTGTATTCTGTATTGTGAATGGATTTGAGAGGATTACAATTTGCAGAATTTGGATATTAGAATTTAGACGACTGTCATTATTCTCTAAGGACTTCTGTATTTCTTTGTCAACTCTTGGGAATTATATCCTGGGGTTTTGTTGTTGTTTTATTCTACTTCAAATTATTGTAGACAGAACTAATGGTAGCAGTGGCCCATCAAGAGTGGCTGCTGCCAAGATGCCAGCTGCAGCAGGGAGGCTGGCCTGGGCCTCCCATGCCACTGCTCAGGCAGGAGCCTCGCCCTCCCTAGGAGCCACTGCAGCTGCCCTCCCAGGTGCAGAATCCAGACTTCTCTGCGGTCTGCACCCTTGAGGACCCTGGAAGGACCCCATGCCACCATCTACACAGGCTCAGGGGTGCCTGCGTAGGCACTGGCCTCCACTACCTGGCCTCCTCCTGCTGTCTAGACAGTCCCTCCTACCACATTTGTGGCAGTCAACAAATGCATCTTGGGGACTCTGGGGTCTGCGGGTCCACAAGGTGGCTACTGGAAGCCTCTGCCTTTTTCCTGTATCTCCCCTCTCTTTTCTGGATTTCCTCATGGTTCCCACTGCAAAATACTGAGGTGACCACTCCCAGAAGGCCCTCCAAAGTACCATCTGGTCCCACAGCCCATTTTTGCAGCCCCCTCCTGACATCAGGGGCCACCTGTGTGATTAACTCATCCCCCTAGGACCAGCTGTCCCTTAACCAAATCAGGAGATGGAGAATCACACTTCACCAAGGCCCCTCCAGCCCCACTGATGAAGGCAGTGTGACTCCCATCCAATCCCTGGTCTACCATGGATAGCTCAGTGCAGTTGAGAGGCTGGACCCAATCCCTTGTAAGCCTTGCAGTATGCAAACCTGAAAGTGTTTCCTCCTCCCTTCTCTCATTTTATCATGAGGGGCTCATTTTGTCCTCCAATGGTATTGCCATTCTTCCAACTGGTCCTCCAATGGCACTGCCATTCTTCCAACTCCTCCCCATCCCTGGCCCTATATAAGATATAAAGCTCATTTCCAAAATTCTCTGCCACTTGCAGGATTCCCTGCTTTTCAGTGGTGGTCAGGATTTGACTCAAAAGTAACACGACATCCTTCCAGGAGAGCTCAATTACTTAGGTTAAGTTCTAGAAAGCCTCTATATACCTGTCAGGACCATTTGAAAACTTGCCAAGACCCCCTTTAATTTGAAAAGGGGACCTGGACCTTAATGGGGCCATATTCACCAGGCATCTGTTATTGGAGCAGTTGAGACTGGGACCTGCCTAAAACGAAGATTTTTAGGCTGGGGCAAGCTTAAGAGAGAACCCGCATAGGGAAGAGCAAAGGGGGTTGATTCCCCTGCTGGAGGCACCTCTGGGGTTTGCTTCCCTATTTCCCTGGGACCGTCTCTTGCAGCCTCTCCTGAGATGGCCATCTAGGAGGGCTTAATCAATCCTACAGTCTCGGCAAAGGTCCGAATTGCCCTGCAAGGCAAAGAAGGCCAGCACATGGGACCTTGGACCATTTGCCCTCACATTCACAGAAAAGCTTTCTTCCTGAGGCCATGTTTCTGTTCTGTGCTTCAAAGTGCTTGACACTAAGTTGGCAACAAAGGAAATGACAAAAACATGTTTGCCACAAATTTATGTACAGATACCAACACACACTTTGCTTTGTCTTAACTTTCCATTTTATGCTTTTGATGACTGAGCCAATTCCACATTCTTCCCAGTAATATCTCTAGTTTGCAACAACATCTTTAACATTTAACATTGTATATAAAGAAGAGATGGGAACCTTGACAGCCACAAAAGAGAGAAAGAAAGAATGATAGGAAAGACTGGAGGTCCAAGTGCCAACACCCTAATGGGCAGTCAGGGACTGGAGTTAGTCCAGGGGCCTTTGGATAACACCAAGGTGTAGCCTTGGCCAGATACCCTTAGTTGCCCCAAGATTTCCTTTCAGTCCTATGTGACAGCTAGATATGCATGAAAGGACACTGGATTGAAACAAAGCCAACATTCTCAACACCCAGTAGAGGTGATAGAGGATTGACAGTGTCATCCCCAGAAAGTCTGTTCTCCATGTCTTAAGTCCTGGTAGCTGTGCTAGTCGCTTTTAACTGACTGACAAATGTCCAGTATTTTTCTTTCATTTTGACTGTTGTGGAAGTTAGAGACTCCAAAGAAAGACAGTAAGAGCAGATCCACTTTTACTTACCTTTCCGCAGACCCTGGATGAGCCCCCAAAATGTTACAGGATCTTTGGGGTGTTGCTTTTCTGGCCAGAAACGTATGTTGCTAGTGGCACCTTTGTCTGCCCTTTGAAAAGGTAGGGCCACTTCTGAAGATGGCTCGCTGGTCACCACCCCTGCCATATTGTCATCAGGATGGTGAAAACTTCCAAGGACCTGCTCTGATGAAATCTCACCTGGAAACTCTGCTGCTAGAACTGTGAAGTAAACTTTTTCCTTTTTGTGGAGAATGGGGTCTCACTATATTGCCCAGGCAGGTCTCAAACTCCTGGGCTCAAGCTATCTTCTTACCTCTGCCCCTCTAAGAGCTGGGATTTGAGGCATGAGCCACCATGCCCAGACACTGAGTTCCCCCAAGGCACAGCATCTCAGATTCATGCCTGTAATGTCAGCTCTGGGCAGTGCTGACATGCCAGCTGCTTGTCATCTCAGCACCCTCCAGGCTTTAAGCGCCCACGAGTGCGGGAAGGATAACCAAGGAGGGGGCTGAGGGTGTCTTGTCACTGGCCTGCAGGTGCCCATTGGTGCAAGCAGCCTGGACACTATGGACAGTAGTGGGAGGCAGACAGACTTCTGGGGGGAAGGGGGTGGGTCCCCAGTGAAGCCCCACCTTCAGGCTGGTGAAGGCCTGAAGCCTGGGGGCCAGGCTGCCAGTCCTGCAGACCAGACTGGGAACTTGTGGTGCCTTTTCTGGGCCCGCCCATGGCTGTCCATGGATCAGTTGGCATGCGCTTCCTCCTCTCTGAGGCCCATAAAAGCCCCGTGTTCAGCCAGAGCAGAGGAGAGGATGGAGAGATGATGGAGTGGCCACCTGCAGAGAGGAGCTACCCTGTCTGCTGAGAAGAGGGTGGATCAACCAGCAGCAGAGAGGAGCTAACCTCTCTGCTAAGTGCTGAACACTTGACAGGTTGACCTGTCTACAGAGAGGACCTACCCACTGTGGGTCTTGTCTGAGTGGTTCTAACACTGAATAAAGCTCCTCTTCATCTTGCTCACCCTCCACTTGTCTGAATACCTCATTCTTCCTCGATGCAGGACAAGGACTCTGGCAAGATGCCACCAGTCACAGAGGTTTCTGATCAGAAAAGCAACACTCTGAAGATCCCATAACAGAACTACAATATTGCCTCCAAAGCATTATTTTTACCACTTCTCATACTATTTGAAATGTCATATATCACCCAAATCCTCAGGATATACATTTATGTGCATCTATGTGTGCATATTTATACACATATTTACAATTTCTACAAATTTATAAGAAAAATAACCCTTAAGAAAAATATGATCAAAGAAAATGGACAGTAATATGTATAGCACTTTCATAATTCTTTTTTAGAAATTATTTTTAGACTTATAATTATTAAGTCATATATTAAGTCTTATATATTAAGACTTTCTTCTAATTCCTAATATTTTTACTATAATTTATAAGGACCCACAAATTCTCCCTTGCATTAATTCATTGAAGAGATAAGATTTGCCAGCTATGTTCTAGGCATAGTTCTAAGATTATAGGGGACGGACATTTTTCACTTTCTAAAGTCTCCCTTACACATAAATACTTCATCATAAAGATAAACCCAAGGAGATCCATTACACAACTCTAAGTAGCTCTGTTTTCAGGTTATCAATGTGTTGATTTTACACAAAATGTGATTTTTCTAGTTTGTTAAGTGCTTCAGATATGTTTATACTTTTTTATAAAATAATGAATAATGTAAAGGAATCTTTGGTTGGAAAATATCAGAAAATAGAAGAGTAAAAATTTTTTTAAATTAGGTTTTCACGAATCTTTCTGACTCTCATTTTGCCTTTGTGTAGTACATGAATTATTTCAAACAGCTAAACTACTAAGTAGTAGATATCAAGGAAATGTTAATATAATACTATAGGATTCACCCTGATTTAACAAGAATAATTGGAAAAATAAGCAAAGCAATTGTAACCCAGAAGTTTTCAAACATATGTTTGGATTTACCCCACAGCCTTAACTTCTTTATCACTTTTCTTTACTCCACCCAGATTCCCAGTTAAATATTTTCAGTTGACACCTACTCTGAGATTAATATTAGGCCCATAATTCTGCTTTTTCTCATTTTCGTTATACTACAATATGAGAGGTAAATGTTACCTTAAAGTTATACCTCACTGATGACAGTGGACTTGACTGTTTTTCTATTGTGCTTTTGTACTGTTTCTCATCAGAGGCCTGTTTTATTTACATTATTATGACCAAAGTTCATCTTTTTTCGTCAGTAACTATGAGACTTGCTTTTTATTTTTATTTACTCTACATTAATATAAACCACTGCATTGATCTTATGTTAACATATTAATTAATGATCTGTGCCAACCTTATGTTTGAAATTGGGAACAGAATTTTAATTCAAACATTTGAAAGATGAAATTTTACAAGGACCTGACTTTTATATATGCGATAAAGAAATATTTGCATCCAAAACCAACTGCTAGTAATTCTGTGTCTCTTTTCCACAGAAGAGAATGTTTAAATTTCATCAAATGAAACATATTTTTGAAATACTTGATAAAATGAGATGCCTGAGAAAACGTTCTACAGTGTCATTCTTGGGAGTTCTTGTCATTTTTCTCCTTTTTATGAACTTGTACATTGAAGATAGCTATGTTCTGGTAAGTTTGGGAGGTTGATTGTCTTTTCTTCAAAATAAGGCATAAGTCAAACAAGAATTAGTCCCATTGTAGCCTAACTTCAATCTCAAGCTATTGGAGAAGACTTAGTTTGAGCAAAATTATAACATGTATATTGTCTATTTTTTGTATTAACCATACATCAACATTACACTTGTTTTGAATTATGTTCCAATATTTTTAATGGTGTATATTTTGTGCTCCAAATATGTACATGTAATTACAAATAAGTTAGCTATCATCACTATGCAGAATAAATATGTGGAGCCATTAAGATTTTGGGTTTTCCATTTGAAATGCATAGAATAAACAAAATCTGCTTAGAAAGTATAACTCCTTGCTTCCTCTACTTTTCTATATTATCACTGAAATTTTCAAAATTCCATTGTCTAATTAACAATGCTTTTTAATTGTGCTATTTGTATAAGTAATATTTTATTACAATGTGTAACACCTTATCTGAATTTTGAATAGACCTAGATGGCCACTCTGTTTTATATTTGTACCCACTGAAAAGATCTCAAGAGATAAAGATATTGATGTGTAAATCATTCAGTAGTTAAAATGAGATACCAAATATTGGTAGGTGATTACATATAAATAGGTTTTTTTAGGGAAAATATGACAATATGCAAAAGCGCTTATTCTGACTAATTATGAAAAATTAATATGTTAGTTTCAATTTTTTTCTTATTGTTATCATCACATCATTTCATGTCTGATGAGATTAATACAGACATTATTGCTATTCACTTTTTCTATCTTAATGGAGCCTAAAATATCTGTCCTAATTTGTATGTTATTATTAATATTTATAGATTTCAGAAAATCAAAACCTGATTACAGTTTATATATTTCAGAAATCAAAACCTTTACAACTAACAGGAACTAAAAAGTGATTTTCACATGCAAAAATGCTAAAAGTTTAAATTAGTGTCTTAACAAGAGAGAGAGTATTTCCAAAAAAAAATGCTTTAGATTATTTATTAACTATTATTTTCCAGATACTATGCTATATCCTATGAGTCAACCATATGATTTTAGTTGGTACAGATATTCCTAAGAAGTCCTCTGTAAAACATCTTGCATCCTTTATCTCTGTTCTTTGATGCTGAAATTGTACCAGAATCCTAGATTTTGACTCTGCCTAGGCTTTTTGTCTTCAAATAGTGATTCTGATGTTGTGGACCCTTAATGTTTCTCTCCACAGTCTATGCACAATGGCTGAAATCAACAAAGATTAAACAGGATTTGAGTAGGTATGATTTAGGCAAACTTAGAAAATAGGAGAAACATACTAATGTTATGCATTTTTGAATATTTTTAAAACCTATTAGTTATATGAGATATAATAAGGACAACAGAACAAGGCCCATGTGTTCTTGCTATTTTTTTCTTAAGATAATGAAAGATTGTAAGTTAACTAGAGATTCTCTTGATTAATTATTCAATTTTATAATAAAAATTTATTTCTTGATTCTGTGTCTACTGGTAGAAGTAAATAAAATCTTGTAAATCAAACACATGTTATTGGTTGGAGGCTTGCTATGTTCAATTACTTGCTGAATTTATAAGACAGTTTCCAGTGCAATTTTAATCTTTCACTTTCAACAAACCCAAAGGACCATTGAATGTGCAAAACGCCCTTATGTCTTTTGAAATAGAACCTGTTTAAATTCACCATAAAATGAGTAAGAAGTAGTAGAGTATATGTCAATTAGAAAATAAAATGCTATGTTCCTGTTTTGCAAATGTTTACAGTGCTATCTAAACATTGGTCCTAGTCATCAAATGTAGATAATATGATTTAATGAAGTAGCTCTTCTACTAAAGCTACTTTCTCAATGAGATTTCTGTGATTATATTAGGAATATATCTACTCAAATTTGCAAATCAGTCCAGGTGCAGAAAACAGATTGCTTCTTAGCTTTTAAAAATTATTATTGGCCGGGCGCGGTGGCTCACGCCTGTAATCCCAGCACTTTGGGAGGCCGAGGCGGGCGGATCACGAGGTCAGGAGATCGAGACCATCCCGGCTAAAACGGTGAAACCCCGTCTCTACTAAAAATACAAAAAAATTAGCCGGGCGTAGTGGCGGGCGCCTGTAGCCCCAGCTACTTGGGAGGCTGAGGCAGGAGAATGGCGTGAACCCGGGAGGCGGAGCTTGCAGTGAGCCGAGATCCCGCCACTGCACTCCAGCCTGGGCGACAGAGCGAGACTCCGTCTCAAAAAAAAAAAAAAAAAAAAAAAAAAAAAAAAAAAAAATTATTATTTTAAAATACTTACAAAAGTTGGAAAAAAATGAGTTAAAGCAATTGCTAAATTCCAACACTCATCCCTTGTTCTAAGTTTGATGATAGCATTTTTATTATTTAACAATTTACTATTTACTGACGGATGTTTTTTAACCAAATCGCATTTTAGCTGAATTTTGCTTCAAGGCTATAAGTTGAAAACTTTTTCAATGATTAATATTAAATTGCATTACAATTATTCTTCTAAAAATGAATAGTATCCATGGGAAACTGGCCCCCTCCAAGAATATAATGCAATTTCTTTTTAACACATCTCCCTTTTGATCTTTTTACCTGTGTTTATTTCTTTTTTAATAAAATTATCTGAACTCATTTTTCTTCTTTCTTCCCGATTATCACAATGTATGCAATTTGCTACGCACAGATATTAGTAGATCTTTCTTTTTTGTCTTCCTTTTTTAAAAACTGGGAAATAGTACTTCTAACTTAGAGATATCAGGTGAATAGTTAGAAGTAGTAAGGTCTCTGGAGTTAGTTAACAGATTCTATTCTCGTCTTTTTGTTAGAAAATCCATTTGTGGCCTGAAACCCTAGGCATATTAGCAGTTTAGCATATTTGCTTATGTATTAGAGATATATGTGCCTTTAAGTGAAAAAGGAAGCTGCACTTAGTGTAAGAGACAAACACCGTTACAAGGCAAACTAAGTAGAAGAGACACTGCATGCCCAATCAACTTAGCTTCTTGGCTTTGAGCATCTTCAAAGTAGCCACAAGGGTATATATTTAGTCTGCAGCTAGTTCATTGAATTGCATTCCCATCCAGAAAATGATTGTCATAAAGCTTTGTCTTATTACTGAGAAATATACTACAGCATAGTAGCTACAGAAAGAAGGTATCCAGGGAGAGCCTGGCTGTTCAGGTAGGTGACTCTGGAAAGCAGCCAACAAGGCTGACTCAGGTGAAAGTTGCATTATTTATTTATGCTGAAAAGTATAAAAAAGCTTGTTCCTGAGAATTTAATAAAGTGATTTCATGTAAGTTCCATTTCTTTTTATATTCTGTTATGTCCTTAAATCAGGATGAATGTACTCCATCTTATAACACAAAATTTCTAGATTTTATGTGTTAAGGATAGAATTTTTAAAGAGGTATTCAATATCCTGCACTTACCTTAGAATGTAACATCACCTAAGAATAGAATGGTAAAATGAATTTAGTGCTGTAATTACTGTACTTTTTACAGAAATTTCTTCCAGGCATTATTAATTATGTACATCACTACATTACTATTAAAATAATTGATACTAAACTGAGTCACTAGTTACATTTTGGCAGTTCTAAATTTATTTTAAACTTTAATGATGTTTTATAGGTATGCAGGTAAACACCAATGAAAATATTTATGTATAAAGAACTTAAAATCATCAGAATTCAGTGGATAGCCAATTAGTATATTTCTAAGTAATTTAGCATCTAAGGTTTAATCTCAAGTACTTTGAAAGTTTGTGGCTTTTACACATGGCATTGTGTAAAAGCCACACAAAACCACACTTTTACACATTGTGAACCTTATAAAGGACTAAAGTATTTCTTGGTCCAAATTATCAAAGGCAGTATGAAATAGAGAAATACACTATTAAAGACCAAATTTGGATTTATAAACATACTTGGATATACAGAAAAGATATTCAGAATGAATCTTGATTTAGTAAGGACCATATTGGAAGCCTCTAGTTAAGGTCCCTACTTTCAGTTTTTATTCTAAGAATAGTCACGTCTGGCCATAGATTAGAAAATCTGAGTTAGTCATCTTTTTCATTGTCACTCGAGATTGATGCGAAGTAGAAGTATTGAATGTTTCAGCTGTAAAACTTGTATCTGAGCTTTGTCTAATTTTTTAGAACAAGGCTTTAATTAACCTTTTAATGACCACAGCAAAATAATAGCAGGACCAGAGTTATTTAATCCATTTACTTTCTCTACAGTCTTATAGCTAGCACATGCCTAGCTTGACTTTCTATACTGAATAAAATAAATCCACATAAGGCCAGGTGTGCTGGCTCACACCTATAATCCCAGCACTTTGGGAGGCCGAGGTGAGTGGATCACTTGAGGTCAGGAGTTTGAGACGAGCTTGGCCAACATGGCGGAAACTCATCTCTACTAAAAAATACTAAAATTAGCTGGGCATGGTGGCGTGTGCCTGCAATCCCAGCTACTCGGGAGGCTGAGGCAGGAGAATGGCTTGAACCTAGGAGGCGGAGGTTATAGTGAGCAGAGATCATGCCACTGCACTCCAGCCTGGGCAACAGAGCCAGACTCCATCTCAAAGAAAAAAATTAAATAAATAAATAAAACCACATAGTAGAGTGCACATTTTGAGAAAAAAAAAGAGAGAGAGAGAGAAATATTTCTTTCTAATTAGGTTGTTCTCAAATGTATTCTACCAATTCTAGTAAATCACATATGAGTCAAACAAATAGTCATTTTCCTAATAGTGTATAACCAGTAAAGGCTTGATCAAATGATGATTAGATAATCAAAATTTACCATTTAGCTTATATCAAAGAAGGGCAATTAGTGGGTAAAGGATATATTTTAATCTGAATATGAATATGTTTTCTTGAATATAAACCTTCCTGAAGATTTAATGACATGCAAAATCCATCACCAAATAAATAAAAGGGATCTAAAATATAAAAGGATCGGGCATTACATCCAATAGAATCACACACACACACACACACAAACTTAACTATCATAAGAAATATTAGTCATAGATATCTACACATTACCTTAATTTGGTGCTAATGTATCCTATTTGAGGTTACTTTAGGACATATGAAAAAAATTACTGCCATAGCACCCATAACTGGCCCTTCTCAACAGCTAGATAGTAGCCACATAAGTGACTTATTTAATAAAGTATCAAAAATCCAAATATTGTGCCCACTACTGCATCTTCCTAATCATTCCTAAAGTTTCACAATCATGGAGACACTGTGTGATCTTTTATTTGAGACTGCTTGAGGAAGAGTAAATCAGGCAATATGGTGGGAACTAGCCTTAGATTAAACTATAAAATAGATTACTGTCAATTTTGAGATCCTTAAATGATTGTCAAAAATTTGAAAAGTAGCATAAAGGCAGTGGGAGTTTTCATGTAGAAATTCTTTTTTTAAGAGATTATCATTATTAATGTGTCCTATAGAAAAACAAATGTAATTGTGGTATACACAGCAAAATAGGCGAGCGAGCTACTGGAGCAGAACCTCCAGGTAAAAAATGAGGTGAGTGATGATGAGCTACAGCTTATGACGTCAGTAGTTGAGATTTATATAACCCTGCATACTATATATTGTAGTCGTACATTTATTGTGTAAAAAAGAAACTTTATTTAATCCATGACCATCTATTATTTATATATTTTCCTTGCTTCTTTCTTGGTATTTAGGAAGGAGACAAACAACTTATAAGGGAAACATCCACACATCAACTGAATTCAGAACGCTATGTTCATACTTTCAAGGATTTATCTAATTTCTCAGGAGCCATAAATGTCACCTATCGCTACCTAGCTGCCACACCTTTACAAAGAAAGCGTAAGTATCCTTAAACATTTAAATAAAGAATACATAAAATATTTTGCATTAAAATAATGATAGTTTCACATGTATAGTAAAAAGGCTTAAGGGCTTTACTAATATAATAAATTATTTGGGCAAAACTTCAATGTTTCTTCACAAATTGCCAACTACTATACTCACTGACCCAGTACACTTAATAACAAAAAAATTAAATAAAATGCCTAATCGTAATGTGAGTCTCTTGAGATTTTGTTGTAGGATGGTATAGAGTGACTAGAAAAAAATCAATTTACTTTAAAATTTAGAAGTTAACTTTTAAAAATTCCTATGTTCATATTGCTACATTTTCTAACCTCTTAACAGTTTGGTTTTATGACTTGCCACAACTTTTTAATTAATGAAACTCAGTGTTTTAGTTTCCTAGGTCTGCCATAACGAATTACCACAAAGTGACTGGCTTTTAAAAAGAGCAATTTATTCTCTCGTGGTTCTGGAAGCCAGAGGTTAAAATCAAGGTGCTGGCAGGTCCCCACTCCCTCTGAAAGTTCTAAGGGAGAATCCTTGCCCCTTTCAGCTTCTGGTGACTTTGCTTCTGGTACTCTTTGACTTTGGGGCATCACTCCAATTCCTGCCTCCATCATCAATGGCCTTCTTCTCTTTGTCTTTCTGTGTCTTTTCCTCTTTTTATAAGGACACAAGTTATTGAATTTATGGTCCACATCTAAATCCAGAATTATTGCAGCTCAAGATCCTTAACTAATTATATCTGCAAAGATCAAATTTACTAATAAAATTACATTCTGAGGTTCCAAGTAGACATGAATTTTTGGAGGAAACTATTCAACACACTGCAGTCAGTTAAAAAAATATATTTGGAGCCAAGAAGTAACATACTATATTTCTAAGACACCATAGCTTACAAAAAGTACCATTATCTAATTAGCATACCACTAAGAAAGTATAAGCATTACCAATTTTAATTATAACGCTGTTGATTTTAGTATGCAGCCTGATTTTTAAATGTTTCAATGTGTAAAATATAAATCTTAGGCTGGGTTTGGTGGCTCATGCCTGTAATCCCAGCACTTTGGGAGGCCAAGGCAAGTGTATCACTTGAGGCCAGGTGTTCAAGACAAGCCTGGCCAACATGGTGAAACCCCTTCTCTACTAAAAGTACAAAAATTAACCAGGCATGGTCGTGTACACCTGTAATTCCAGCTACTCAGGAGGCTGAGGAGGCCAAGGCACAAGAATCGCCTGAACCTGGGAGGTGGAGGCTGCAGTGAGCTGAGTTCGCACCACTGCATTCCAGCCTGGGCAACAGAGCAAGACTCCATTTCAAAAAAACAAAAACAAAAACAAAAAAACCATGAATCTTAGAATAAAATACAGTGCTATCATGATCTTAATAAATTATGTGAAGACCACAAAAATTGACCTCTCTTTTAAGACTTGTTTATGTGAGTGTATTTGTTATCACTAGGTTGAGGAAATTATTAAATTAATTTAGATTTCTTTATATCTCATTTCCTTTCATTCTACCATTTGAAATGTCTACTGTTCTTAGGCTTCTTTCTAATTGTCTAAGACTGCCATTCATTTTTCATCTCTGTTACACCACCTTTGCTTGAACATTACTGATTACCTTTTCCCATGCTAAATTTACTAATGTTTATTGGCACACATGCCAACTGCTTTCTACCAGAGGCAATGTAACACAGAGGATAAAAGAGTGAGACAGTTTGAATCCTGTTGCAGCATCACCTACTAAGTGTACCACCTTGCATGAGTCACCTCATCTCACCGTGACTTAGTGTCCCTATCTGTAAAGCAGAATGATGGTAATAGCAAACCTATCCCAAAAGACCGTTTTGAACATTTAAGATGCATATTACAGATAAAATGCCCAAACTCCTGCCTCTTATGTAGACAGCATTCCATAAGCATTGGCTATTATTAATGAAGTTTGGTGGCTTCAAGTTTAATGGTACTAGATAACATATTGTGTTTCAATAGAAGTCTGAGTTGTAAGCCAAGGTATTTAAACGAAATGTGTAAATCACAATCTCTCTGACAAACTGTTTTTGGAATGGGGCTTTTTTCAATATCATACAAACCGCATTATACAGGTGCTATATTAAAACGATGATCTTGTTGTATATAGATTTCCCCATTTTCTAAATAGTGGCTTAGAAATGTTATTCAATTCTGATTAATATCAGAATGAGCTTTAAAAAGTGAAAATATTTCAATAGAAAGACCTCTAACCCTTCTCAGAGGTGAGCTGTCTTTTCTCAGGGTTTTATTTTATTCTCTAAACATATCTAATTCCTAATTTTAGATTATAAATGTCTGAATAAAAAGTTATTCAGGCAAAATTACTATAAAGTGTGTTTCAAAATTTTTTAAAGTGGTGCTTATGTCTTGGAACAATGTAGCATTAAAGTTTTTTGAATGTGTCTTATAATATTGTTTGCTTTCTAATTAATATACTATGTACATTTCAAGATAAAATTGTGAAGTCCAATTACGAATTCTAGTACAACATAATGACAGCAAAAAAAAGAAAACTGAAAATATGTGATGTGTTCTATAAAAAATTTAAAGATGATTGAAAGACTTACTTACCCTTATTTTTCTTTTGTATCATTTGAAACTAGTTTGTCAGCCTTAACTGTGAATGCCCTTCTCTTTTTGCAAAAGAGAAAAAGCATTTTTTTTACTTTATCTTTAAAAAGTAACTTGTATGTTATCTAGGTACCTGTCTACCTTCTCTAATGGGCGTATATGAGAATATTAAGCTGCAGAACACTTTAAACCATGTTTTTAGAATTTCATCAGTAAATGTTCACAGCAATAGGGCTCATACATTATTGTGATTAAGGTGCTATTTATTTTTCATAGAAAATATAAATTATGTATTAAGCACTTACAGCCTTTATATATTTAGCTTATTACTTTAATCATAAAATGTTCTGTGCATAGTCATTTACTAGATTTACTTAATATGTAGTAAGTAGCAAGTCAAAGGAATAAATATCTTCTCTCTTTTACTTTTTCCATATTTCTAGTTCACATTTGTATTGCTTCTGAATTCTTTTTTGCAGGGTATCTTACAATTGGACTTTCTTCAGTAAAGCGAAAAAAAGGAAACTATTTACTTGAGACAATTAAGTCAATTTTTGAGCAATCCAGCTATGAAGAGCTGAAGGAAATTTCAGTGGTGGTTCACCTAGCAGACTTTAATTCTTCCTGGCGTGATGCCATGGTCCAGGATATTACACAGAAATTTGCGCACCATATTATTGCAGGAAGATTAATGGTTATACATGCTCCAGAGGAGTATTACCCAATCCTAGATGGCCTTAAAAGAAATTACAATGATCCAGAAGATAGAGTCAAATTTCGTTCCAAGCAAAATGTAGATTATGCTTTTCTGCTTAATTTTTGTGCCAATACTTCAGACTATTATGTAATGCTTGAAGATGATGTTCGATGTTCAAAAAATTTCTTAACTGCCATCAAGAAAGTCATTGCATCCCTAGAAGGAACTTACTGGGTAACTCTTGAATTCTCTAAGCTTGGCTACATTGGTAAACTCTATCATTCTCATGATCTCCCACGTTTGGCCCATTTTTTATTAATGTTTTATCAAGAAATGCCTTGTGATTGGCTATTGACTCATTTCCGTGGTCTGTTGGCTCAGAAAAATGTGATCCGTTTTAAACCATCTCTCTTTCAGCACATGGGCTATTATTCATCATACAAAGGGACGGAGAATAAGCTGAAGGATGATGATTTTGAAGAGGAGTCATTTGACATTCCTGATAACCCCCCTGCAAGTCTGTACACCAACATGAATGTGTTTGAAAATTATGAAGCAAGCAAGGCTTACAGTAGTGTTGATGAGTACTTTTGGGGGAAACCACCTTCAACAGGAGATGTTTTTGTGATTGTATTTGAAAATCCAATTATAATAAAAAAAATTAAAGTAAATACTGGAACAGAAGATCGGCAAAATGATATTTTGCATCATGGAGCCCTAGATGTTGGGGAAAACGTTATGCCTAGCAAACAAAGGAGACAATGTTCTACTTACTTAAGACTAGGAGAATTCAAAAATGGAAACTTTGAAATGTCAGGTGTAAATCAAAAAATTCCATTTGATATACATTGTATGAGGATATATGTCACCAAAACACAAAAGGAATGGCTAATTATTAGGAGTATTAGCATTTGGACTTCTTAGCCAATTAAATCAGTATGTTCAGTTTCTGAAGCAGTTCTTCCTGCTTCGTCTTTTGCTACCTTTGTCTTTTGGAGGGAAAGCAATGGATGGGATATGTTAAAAGAAACATTAATTACATTGGCAGTTTTCATTTATACATTGTTGACATAATTTTACTCTTAATACACACTTGTATTTATTTTAACGTCTGAAGTTGAATATCAGTCTATAGCTAATGCTACTTTCATTTATATTTTTAAATGTTCTTAGTTTTAAAATTTCAACTGATTGTCGAAAGGGTAATATGAAAGATTTTAAATGAAAAAAATTTGTTGGATGATGATTTTTGAAAAATAGTCACCAACTGTATATACTTCCTCAAGAACTGATAATTCATTATATCATCAGATAGCTTTTATTAAGCATCTGTGGGAATATACAGTTGGGTGGAATGATAATCTGGTTTATTTTTTCTGTAAACTTAAGTTTCCGTTGACTTCTGTACATCTACAATGAATACCTCCTCATAGAAGTGGTGTCTTTACATAATTTTTTGTGTAGGTGACACTATGGAAAAAGAAAAAAAAGACTTAAAAATATCTCTCCCCTGATTATTTATATGAAAGGGGATATTGTTCATTGTTTAAAAACATTTAATTGAGCACCTATTGTTGATAAATTTTCTGGGGGAAGCAGTCTTTTTCAAGTTTCCCTTTTGAAAAAAAAAAAGAAGAGTTAAGCTCAATATTTTCAGGTTACATTGAGTACCCACATTTAATAGAATAAATTAGGGAAGGCCTATAGTAGTTAGCTCATTCGTACAGACATTTTCAGTATATGCAGAAAATTTTTGGAAATTGATTTTATACATTTTGTATTAAAATCCATGTGATTGAAATTATTGTGATTTATCATATACCTTTTTGGAATTTAAATGGGTATATTATAAAGGAGAAAAGTAAGAACCATAGAAATTAGTTGACTTTTCTAGAATCAAAGATCTATTTCCTAGCAAGGCCAGAATGAGAGATCTGATATTCTGATAACCAGACAATGCTCTTTTTCTCGTATGATTTCTCCTGACAGATTTATGCTTTGTGTTCTATTTGCTACATGCCTGTCAGATAATAAGTTATACCATCTGGAAATAGGTGGTACAATTCCTGCATAAATAATATTATCCTAAATAATGTCCTAAATGATGCTTTTTTGGTATAAGCACCCAAATAGTAAGCAAACTTGACTAAACTTTTCCTAATAGGGATTGGAGAGTGTGTCTTTACAATGTGTCCGTTAAAGTAATTCAGGACACCTTAGTGTGTCCTAAAGACATTGGTTTTCAGAATGTCCTGAGCTTGTCTCTTCCTTTTTGTTTTTTAATGAACAGCAAAAACTAAGGGATTTATTATAAAGGGAAATGGAAGGTGCTTCATATATGTTTAAGAAACTCAAGTACGTGTTCATATAGATGACTCTGTGTGTGTGTGTGTGTGTGTGTGTGTGTGTGTGTGTGTGTGTGTGTGTGTGTGAAGGCTAGACTTTTGCTGGTAAGACAGAATGAGGAAATCTTCCTGCTCTTCCTTTTCATACTGAAACACAATCCTTAAGATTTACTGGTATGCTGTGGTGCAAACAACACTAGGATATTTTTATTTTATTCGTTCTCTGCAAATAAATGAGAAACTCAGATAAAAAATGGAAACTTTTTATTTCATTTATAAACAGCTGTTGTGTATTTTCTTTGTATTCAGCTACTAAAGTGTTAGAAGAAAAACGAACCTTTCATAAGAGGCTAAATATTAATATTTTGTGAGGCACCTAAATCTTACAGTCATAGGAAAATATGAACACTGCCACTAAATTATTATCTTTACCTTGATTTAGAGGATACTTGCCAGACACCTAAAAATGTTCTATTTTCTTTATTTTTCTTATCTTTTATTAACCGGCTAGTTGATAGTATTGTGTGTATATCTCAGAAGTTACAAATGGCATTATTTTCTTCACTGTCAATGATAAAAGGTACACAATTGTATGCCAAAGACATGTAATATCAAGAGCTAGGCAGACTCCCTGAAATGAGTTGTAACCCCTTACATATTCTTCTGGGAATGGCTTTCTAAAGATCAGCTATTGGTGTCTATCAATGTCTTAAAAATGTTTCAAGAAACATTGCTGAGGGTAGCAGTGAAGTTGGATGTTTGCTAGGAAATTATGAAAACAAATGTGACTCAGAGAGGTCATTTCACATTTTATCTTTATATCCTCTCTTTACTAAACCTGTGTTTGGATAAGTTGGTCAATCATCCAAGGATCCTCTATGTTTTCTTTACAGTTGACACTGGGTCAATTTTCTAAGGAAAACACCTTGACAAATAAAGCATCTTCATTAGAGGTCAGGAGGAAAAATAACTATTCTCTTTCAAAAGAAAATCTGAACAATTTTTTTAGCATGGCCCAATGTTCTATTTCCTATATTTAGAAACTTTGAATAAGGGTCTAGTAATCTTGTCTCAGAGGCATAGAAACAAAAGTACAGTTATTAGGTTTAACTATACTCAAACTATTTGCTATTTTTAAACATTTTTGCTGTAAGTTTATATATATATACATATATAATACATATATACATATATATAATATATATATACATATATATATAATTTTCTTTGTTAAAAATAACAATTGAAAAAGACTGGCATGAGACATGAATGGCTGAGTCATTTAATTGCCATACAAATAAAATGCTGACAGGTTTCAAGCAAAAAATACAGTATGCACCTTAAATAATGCCTCAGAATTGTATAATTTAAGCTCACTAAAAACCTTACTTAGTCTTAAAATTCTCCTTAGGGGAGCCTTTTCAGCAGTTATGGACATCAAAGAAAAAAGTATCTTGTAAAAGCACAATGAAATTTAGAAAATACACATTTTAGTGGCAATCACAAATGTCAATATAAAAGATACATAAAATATGTTAATGCAAGAACTTTTTCATATTCATTGAAAACTATAACTTTGTGCTATTTATAAAGTAGATATTTTCCAGGTATGAAAATATAATTTGGAAACCAACCTGTCGTTTAGATCTATTTCTTTCATATAGCTACACTATGAGTTGTGAACATTCCATTTCTTACTGGGCCAGTATTCTCTGGGAATTTTTATAATGCTATCATAGAAAAACTGTTCTGTATAATAATTATATAAAAAATGAAACAAACATTTTCAAATTGTAATATATGATGTGGTATGGAAAGTACCTACATTTTTAGATGCTCAAATATTGGCATATTTCATGTCAGTATTTGCCAATTTGTCAACAAGTTTATGGCAAAGAACATGATACCAGGATTAACATTGAAAACACTACATCCAGTGCCATCTAACAATTGAAGGAAACAGTGTGTAATTCTCTTCTTTTTCCTTGACAATACATCCATCAACACAGTAATGGCATCATATTACTGAGTAATAGAGCTCACACTTAAACTTTATAATATTTATTATGGGATCTACTGATAAAATGATTTACCGTTTTGTACAAATTCAACTGATTTTGGGGGGTTTCTTGTAAGATTTAATATTAATTTTAGGATAATTTTATCCTGTTTCTTTTGATTCATGATCCCAAACTTTCTAGATCTTGCTTCTGTCATTCCACGTCTTATTATGCCTCCTCAGCTTTGTGTTTCAACAAATTTTATATGCATGCCTTTTGTCTTCATGGGAGACAAAACAGAAGGTTCATACAGACTTGATTTTGACACCCAGTTCTGCATTACCAGCCTCCCAATATGAGGAAATTTACTTAACCTTCTTGAAACTCAGTTTCTACATCTGTGAATAGGAATAATTTTACCTCATATGTTTTTAAAGGTAGCAATTTTACCTTGTAGCTCCTTGTAGAGCTGGAATTGAGATAACATAAACTAGGCACACAATAAATATTTGTTTCCTTTTTATCCATGTCACGTATATGTAACAGGATATGACCCTGGAAAACATTACCAGAGGCCTTCATTGTAATCAATAACAATTATAAAATTTACTGCCCTTTAAAAATGTTATTCAGCCTACCTTTTCATATTTTGTCCAGAGAATATCATGTGGAATTATACAGACACTTTCCTAAAATCAATATATATTCCTGTCATTCTAATTTATTACTCTAGAAACCTTATCAAAAATATCAAAATTGCCCCTAGTGCTCTCATCACAAATAATAATATTCATTTCTGTTTTAAGAAATCTTGATCCATTTACATTGAAAAACAAAGAAACATAAAGTCATTTCCTAGTTTCTAAGATGTTGTTTAGAATCTACCTTAAGCTCAGAAATGCAGTCTTCAGAATCTTTTTACTTTTTTTTTTTAATGTCAGGATCCGGTTCTCTGGCATCTTTTCTATCATTGGCAAAAGTTATCAATGCACTGACCTATAAATTACCTTGGCACTGATGTTTGAAATAGGTATCTTATCTGCTAGTCTACTTTGAGTTTCATTGTTGAGTTTTCCATTACTTTGAATTTCTTTGTTCAGATTGGGGTTATTCTTTTTAGGAAGAAAAAGGCCATAACAAAATTCAATGTGATTAGTTATTGCCATTTATTTTTTGTTTGCTTTTAAACTTTTTTTTTATTTATCCCAAACAGAGGATATATCTTTTATTACTTTTTGGCATGCTTTGAAATGATTTCATTATTGCATATGTGCATGTGTGTATCTACATATGGTTAATCTCTCAATCTGTGTGTATGTATATATACATATGTGTATGTACATATGTGTATATATGTATACATACTTGAATATTATGTGAATATGTGTGTATATTTGTGTATATATATACATATATACATGTATGTATTTGTATATGTGTTGTGTAAGTGTGTCTGTGTGTATGAGAGAAAGACAGAAGGATATGCACCATTTGCATTATTTTTTAGCCTTTACACCTCCACTTATTCTTGGATTTTCCTGACACACTGTCCTCCTGGTTGTGTTCCTCTTCTGAACTTGCTTTTGCTTTCATGTTCTCACTCAAATCTTTTATACATGACATCCTTTGAAAATCACAGCACATTAGAGATCTTTGTGCATCCTTTTAGATACTTTAAATTTATTAAAAGTGTACTAGAGGAGGCCATCTCTCTCAAAACAGAATTTTTCTTTTAGAGTTTCAGGTTTATGGTTTTTATTTGAATTCTTTAACATTAAAAGATCAAAATATGAGTTGCATAGCATTCTCTTTCTAAGCTATAAAAATATTAAGATAACAAGGTTGCACTTTCCCAAAGTTCTAGTCCCTTCCACCTCATTAATCTGTTCATCACATTTACTCCAAGTCCAGGGTAGAATTTGCTTCAATAATCCCAATATTTTCTGAGATGTTTAATATCCTATTTTTAACATTGAAATTGAAATGTATGTTTGAGACCATTTGCCAGATAACTGGATCTGAATATCTTTTCTGAAAAACATGGATTTGAGACCAAAGCAGTTTTTGATTTGACTGTTGTTTCAGCTTTCATTTCACTCTGTCTAGACGGTCTCTTAGAAGATTTACCAAAAAGTTAAATTGATTATGTGAGAAAGTGATAGGTAAATTGTATATGACCATAGAAGTACAATTAAATTAAGAATATAGCATGATCAAATTTTCACATTATATTGGATTAAAAAGTACCCTAAGTAGCCATCTCCTTAAAGTAGGTGAGCCAAAGACATAATAATAAAATATTCAATATTTTTCTATAAAATACAAATTTCCATGAGGCACACATACATTAAATTTAATATAAAGAGAATCATTACTTTATTTAAGAGTTGTTTAAAGGTGCACAACAACAGTGAGTTACCAATATTCAGAACCTTAGTCTATAATTTCAATGTACTGTAAGTTACTACAGCTTTAACCACAATAGCTGGCATAACCTAAATCATTCTGCCCAAATACAGGTAATTATAGTTTTGATGTATAAAAATTACCAAAATAAATGCATATATAAAGCAATAGAGGCTGAGAGTGTTCATAATTGAAAGCTAACTATTGCAAAAATATTTTAAATATTTAATTTATAGTGCACTCGAAGTTCTGGAAGAGACGTAGGATTTGTCTCTTCCACCCTTTCCCTCACTTTACCGTTTATTATGAAGGTACCAAAAGTATGGCACAGAGATATGTGGCAGTTCCACATATCTCAATCAACAAAGCTCTAACTCTATTAGAAACTAGACATTTAAAAAGTACTTTTTTTGTAACTTCATCTGAGTCAGGTTTCTCATTGAATAATAATCTGTCAGTTTTGTCTATAGTATGTTCCAATTGGAAAATGTTTAAGGTAGTACATGCCTCTTTTCTCCATAAAATACCCCACATTTGTTTAACTATTTGACATAGTCCTATTTTTTCCATCTTTAATAATTGATAAAATTTTCCCTACTTTTAAACATATGTATGTATTTTCTGCCACACTTAAACTTTGTTATTCCACGTTGTAACTTACTTCATCAATGAGTGAAAGTATAGTTCCAAAAAGTTAGAATAATTATCTCAGATCCTTTATCATAATTGTCCAATTATCTCAGATCCTTTATCATAATTGTCCATCCTTTAATGTAATCCGGTTTTCAATACAAGTAACACTTGCATTCTTACAACTGTGCATTTTTGGTCACTAAAGGACCATGTGACGATATCAGTAGTTGTCAGGAGTTATTCACTACCCTTAGAAAATAAACTCGGTAATGTAAACTATATCCCACACTTTAACAATTAATACTGTTGAATGACATTGAAGGATTGTATCTTTTTTTAATAAAGAAGCAATATATTAAAAATAATTAAAACTCCTAAAGTCTTTTTTTTTGTTTTAGAAATCAGTCTCAATTTTCAAAAGGGCATTTGATATCTGCTAATAAAATGAACAAATAGTTTTTCTTTAAATGAAAATATCTATAAGCTTAGCTGTGTGTAGAAGTACATAATAAATAAGTTGTCCATTTTGAATAAAAATTAAAATCCTATTAATGCAGTTGTAACTTCTCTTCTTAACATTTCTTAAGCTCTAAAACAAACATAATTAGACACATTTTCTGTTGCATGTGGCATCTTTACCCACCATAATTTGGTAATCAGTCATATCAAAATCACTTACAAGAACCAACTATTTTTGGAAAAACATTTAGAAAATTTGTCACAAATTGTCAAGAAGATTTTCAAGACATATATATGAATTGTCTGTAATGTAATGGTTGGGGATATTTTCATTAAATCCATAAACCAATGTATGTATGCTGCCCTCTAACTTTCTGCTGAGTTACTGTAGTCAATGGTAAATATAGTCAAAGTAGAAAAGACACATTCACCCTGAATATTCCCAACAACCTATCTCTCATTCAATTCTGACTATTGACAAAGTACTCCTTTCAATTATTGTGGTAAGGAGGCCTTTCTGAGCATCCAGATGTGTAAAAATAACAACAGGGGAAATGTTACAAACATGAGGTAAAAGGATGCAGAGGAAAAGTTGTACTTCATGATTTTGCCTCAAGCAAGTTCTTCTTTCCTGTCAGCATTGCAAATTACCATAGCTCGACTTGCTTGTATTCAAGCAAATCAAAACTTGACTCCCTGAGAGGGTCAAAAGACAATTTTGGTACGTATCTAGTGTTTTTACTTACTAGAACAAACAGGTCAAGTTTATTCTTAATGAAGTTAAAATTTCAAATTAAACCTGAAGCTCTAGTGTTTTCCATTTTACTAAGTGGATAAACACTTTTCTGCCATGGGATGAACTACAATGAGATGTTTGAATTGATTTGGGCAATTGATTTGGGCAATGATGAGTCATGTGTTTGCTACAAAAGTGATACAAAATATAAGTGTCCTTCAAGTTAAAGCAATCTAAACCGATCATCTTTGAAAAGTTAACAACATATTTTGTAATATTTGTTTCCTAGCAAATTTTTCAGTTGTCCAAACCAAGGTAATGTAGATAAAGCTACATATTTTCACTCAGCGTACCACCAAATAACTGGGTGCCCAATAGTGTTGATCTGATGCACTACTAAAATTAGTTACCATAAAAATTATTTTCTTTTATAAGAAGAAAGTGAAATTTGTTTAATTATTTTGATATCTTTTATCCTTATGAATATATATATCAATGTTAATTTTTTATGAATAATTAAATTTATTATAAATGCACTAATTTTTCAACATTCTTCTGATTTTCATCAGTAAATTGAATAACCATTGTTGCAATGAAATTTACATATTGCTCTCATAATATGAAATTTTACAAGGTATAATTTCACTTAACACAAACAATAGTCCTCATACCACTTTTTCATTTTAACTTTAATCTCATTATTTATGTGATTAAGTTTGCAATTTTAGCCACTCATGTGTTAGGAGCAATAGAGATTGACATTATGTAGGTAGGAAAATACATTTTTAGTAACTTAAGAAACAAGTTGTACATACTATATCAACATTTCACATTAGTGAATTTATTATCTTGCTGTATAAACTTTAATAAAAACAATTATTTTTATTTAAATTATTTAAGGTTCCTCTATTTGACTTCAAAGCAAAATAATATCTGAATTGTACAAGCACTGTGAATTTGTAATAGTCTAATCACAGTCTAATCACTAAATTCAATTAGTACTTTACTAAATTTCTTACAGTATGCTCAGGACAAATAATTTATTGAAATGAGTATACTCAGGATGGAGTTATTTTCATGCAAACTTAAAAATTACAAGACATGTTTAGAAGAATTATAGCTGGATAACACTAAACATTCACAAGTTTTAAGTTAGCATAAGGGGATTTATAAGTAATGTGCCTACGTTCATAATCAATTTAACAGTTTTCACTAACTTGACCCAATAATTTAGGGTGTATTTCCAGACCACAAGATAAAACTAAATTTTGTCCATTTTTACCAGATGATTCAAAATTTACCATTTGATTCATTTCTTAATAAAACTGCCTGTCAATCTACTAGACTAAATAAGAATATAAATAATTCAATATTATTTATATAAACAAAATCAATGGAAAATGACAATTTTATCTAATTTAATCAATGCCTGTGACTTAGCAAAGATATTCAGTTCAATTTAACAATCTTTATGAATTAATATTTCCTTAGGAATTATGTAGCTAAATTATATTAATAATCCATATTTATTGAAGGGTAAAGGCCACAGAGTGAGACTAAATTATCTAGGTCCAGAGAAAAGGCATCTAGGGCAATAAGGAAACGAAACAAATATAACAAATAACTTCTAATTTACAGATCACTTAATGTAAGCTCAGCCAAGAACAATGCTTACTACATAAATATGTTCCAAGCAACTATGAGACACTGTGTGAAGATTTCATGTGCATTTCACTGTCTATTTAATAGATTAAACAACCATATAAGGTAAGAGGTATTAAAAAAGCTAAAGAGCATATGAAAAATAGGGTTTTACTAACTTGTCCAAGGTCACATAACTAATAAATGAAAGAGAGAGCATTGGATTTCAGGTTTGTGTAATTCAAAATCTATGCCCCTTATCACTATTATACATTGCCTCCTAACTATAATAATAATTTATTGAAAACCCATTTGTCTAAGATGGGATTTTCTGGATGATATGACTATATTAAAATAACATTAAATAGTTGAAAAATGAATTTAAATAATTAGTTTCTTCATGTAAAACATTTTTTTCTCATTTTTTAAACTTGAACATCTAAAACACTTGCTTCTGTAATTCCACTGAACCACAACCTAATTTCTGTTATTCCAAAAAGAAAATAAAAACTCATGGGCTCTGGGTACACTAAAAGACTCCAAAAATTATAACTTTGTATTAATCATATAATAGTCTTTCATAACACCAGCCCCAAACATACCAAACTGGTAGTTAGACAGTATGTATGCAACATTTTTTGTGTGATTAACTATGTTTCTAAATTTCAGCTATTATTTCGGATGTTGGAAAACATCAGTAAACCCCAAAGTTGTGTTTATTGGCCTATAGCTTACATGAACTGAGTGTTTAATATGTATTTGGTACTCTCCTAATCGGTACTTCCATTACCTATGAAAGTAATGATTATAACAAGTCATCATGCAAAAGAATCATCTTTTCAATATATTGAAAATGTGTGTTTCAGACTACTGAATTCTTCCCTGTAAATCTAGGATAGATCTAGGAATTGGCACTTTCAATGTATTTTAGTTAACACTGATGCAGATTGTCCATTCACTCCTTTTAGAAACACTACATTACATCCTTACAAGTCTATGAAGTATTAAAACAGAAATGACTATTATTATTGCTACTTCAGTGATGAAGAATCTCAAAGTTTGAGTTAAGTGATGTATCAAAACTCTGACCTTGTTAGTGAAATATTAAGCCCAGTTCATCTCAACATTATTAACCTCTGCTCACACTTGTCTAAATTACTAGTTTTTAAGTCTGGCTGTTCATTAACATCTCTGGGGAAGAATTTCACCCATTCCTGAGCTCCATGCTCAGAGTTATCATAATTGTTCTGGAGTTTCCAGGCATCAGCATACTTTTAAAATTCTTCCTAAGTGATCCTAATGTGCAGACAGATTTGACAACCACGGAGCAACTAAGACTGTACCACAGTAAAATTCCAAAACTTCCCATTTATCCAGTTTGAAAGATTATAGATTAGAAAACATGATGACAAGCGTAGATTATTCTGTGTTGTTTCCTGCCCTTTTTAGGTATTTCAATACTATTATTGTTGTACTGAAAAATAAAAGTTCCAGTCAATTTTTATGGTTTTGCTGGGTTTATAGAGAACACTCTGCATGCCTTCCTATTGAATCTGGGACTCTCGTTTTTGGAGAACTACGTAAGTGATCTGTTTTCCTGAGTCTTGACATATGCACCTTATTAATTAGAGACTATAAATCCACTTTTTAACACATAAAATCTAATGATGACATCTTTGTAGATATTGAAATTCAAGAATATAAACAGCATTGCCTTCAACCCACTGCTGTTTGTAAACTGAGCTGCCTTCCTCTTTCCACAAAATTAACTAAACATATTCAAGAAAGAAGGAGAAAAACTATCAGTTTTCCACAGTGGACTTTTTTTCATAAATCCTTCAAATGTCAGCATGTATGCCTTGTCTCATTTAGTCATAGCCCATATGATCCAAATCTCCAATTTATTTGTTTTTCTTTTTCCAAGAACTGGGTACTTTAAAAATTTGTCAAATTTTTAAATTTCAGATAGCTGAAACAGAACAAGTCATATTGACTTGCTCTAAGTGTTTAAAAGGTTTGAGGTTATTGATATAGGCCTCAATATATTTCCACAAATGAAATAATGTATTTACATAGAGATCTAAAAAGTGTACGAAACTTGAGATAGCTATTTGAGTCAAGAAAAACAAGGACTGTGAATAGTGTAAATTATGTAAATATACACAGATAATTCACACACACATATTCACACATAGTTCCAAGGATTCCCCTATATCAATTCCAACTCAAAATTTCTCAGTCATTTCTGGCTAAAGAGAAACATGTCCATTTAATTAAAATCACTTTTAAAAAATCTGATCATCTATTCTTTATGAGATCAATGAATACATTATTTTAATGCTCTGTCTTATTTAAAATATTTTTCTACATAGTGTTGCTAGCTAAAATGAGGCTTTTTTAAATAAATGGATACACCTCAAAATAATAATTTGAGATCAGTTTCATCTTGGACTTATATGATTTTCAGATTTTATCTGCATAAAATTAGATTTTCTGGAAAACTAATTTGTATTACTTATTTTCTCTGTATAAACCTTGCTGAAAATGAAAACTAATAAGCTTGAATTTATGGGTTTTATGTATTTTAAAACGTAATGTATAGAGATTTCTTATAATTATTTGACAGCTTCAAGATAACCAGTTTTTTCTTTAAACATTCCACTGATTAATACAAAAAGTAACATTTTTTTCATGAGATGAAATGAAACTTGTTCTTAGGCAAACATCACTTAATTAAAGCAATTTATAGTGAATACACTCAATTAACTGATTATGAACCTGCAACACCAAAAGATTTACCAGATTTGTTCACAATTTTACTGCTAGCTGATATCAAATAAGAAAAAGACAAATCAATGTTATATCTTCAGGAACTAATAACTTTTTTCATCCTGCAAGTTTGTGAATTCAAAAAAACTATTTTCAAATAACTAAGAATTTTTTTATTATTATACTTTAAGTTTTAGGGTACATGTGCACAACTTGCAGGTTTGTTACATATGTATACCTGTGCCATGTTGGTGTGCTGCACCCATTAACTCGTCATTTAACATTAGGTATATCTCCTAATGCTATCCCTCCCCCCTCCCCTGACCCCACAACAGGCCCAGTGTGTGATGTTCCCCTTCCTGTGTCTATGTGTTCTCAATGTTCAGTTCCCACCTATGAGAACATGCAGTGTTTGGTTTTTTTGTCGTTGCAATAGTTTGCTGAGAATGATGGTTTCCAGCTTCATCCATGTCCCTACAAAGGACATGAACTCATCATTTTTTATGGCTGCATAGTATTCCATGGTGTATATGTGCCACATTTTCTTAATCCAGTCTATCATTGTTGGACATTTGGATTGGTTCCAAGTCTTTGCTATTGTGAATAGTGCCGCAATAAACATACGTGTGCATGTGTCTTTATAGAAGCATGATTTATAATCCTTTGGGTATATACCCAGTAATGGGATGGCTGGGTCAAATGGTATTTCTAAAAGAACTAAGAATTTTTAAAAAGATTTTGGTTATGTAATTAGAGTGCACAATAGAATAAAACAGCCAGGTTTTATATTTTCACTGGCAAATGATAAAGAGACAACTTTGATTAAATACTCATAATTTTTATAAAACCTCCAAAGTTTCAAAGTAGGTAGATGATGGGTAATAATTAAATAGAGTGACAGTGTTATATGCCAGGTTAAAAAAAAAAGAGACATGCGGCTTCATCCACAAGCTTAGCAAAATATGAGAAAGTAAGAAACTGTGGCCAAATCAGATAAACATAAATGAGAATAAGTTGTAGAAACTGACCTTCAAGTTAATAATTAAATCAGATGGTATCATTTTCCTCCATCTGGTTATTATTGTTTAGATTTTTAATAGTACAAAAATAAATGTTTTATGAATTATTTTGGATGCAATTACAGTAAATAACCATAATATAAAATGTCTCATAATAGGAAAATAATGCCTGACACTTTTAATTACTTAACATACCTTTTTATACATTTTTTAATGTCATTTATTTGGCAGCTATTTAAGGAGTGCCCTCTGTATCCTGGGCCATCTCTTTCTATCCAGAGTCCTACAAGTCACCTTGTATCATTATTAGGATATAGTATAAAAATTTGTCCACTTTTAAATGGAGAAATAATACAGATAAGTAAAAAAATGATGTAATAATTTGAGTTCTGTACATGACTCAGAGACTTGGACAGAATTGACAATTCTAAGTTTTTAAGTTAAACCAAAGCTGAAATTTCTAATCATTTAGAAGCTAGGAAAAGTTCTGTTTCAAATTCAATTGATCACTTCATGAACAGTTTGTTCATAATTACTTCTTCTCTGCCTTTCAGCGTAGTCTTGTTCAATTGTTCAGAGTGTCCTTTTTTTTTTTTTTTTTTTTTTTTGAGACAGAGTCTCACTCTTTTGCCCAGGCCGGACTGCAGTGGCACTATCTCCGCTCACTGCAAGTTCCACCTCCTGGGGTCACGCCATTCTCCTGCCTCAGCCTCCCGAGTAGCTGGGAGTACAGGCGCCCGCCACCACGCCCGGCTAATTTTTTGTATTTTTAGTAGAGACGGGGTTTCACCTTGTTAGCCAGGATGCTCTCGATCTCCTGACCTCGTGATCCTCCCGCCTCGGCCTCACAAAGTGCTGGGATTACATGCGTGAGCCACCGCGCCGGGCCCAGAGTGTCCTTATTCCCAAGTTCGTGATTTTCATAATAGTAAGAGAACAAAAAACAAATCTTACAAGCAATAAATTTTATAAATAGTCTTCTCTTAAGATGCAGAACACCAACATGGCACATGTATACATATGTAACAAACCTGCACGTTATGCACATGTACCCTAAAACTTAAAGTATAATAAAAATAAACAAATAAATAAATATTCAACACCTCACTCTAATTGGAAAGGAAATGTGCCTACAGAAGTTAAAGCACATTCTATGAGTTTTAATCTTAGGTGCCAAGAAGGATCCATGACCTCCACATTTGACAGAGAATAGAAAGACTCCACGGTTTTCATCATAATCCAAGGGAGGTCAGTAATAGTTTATTTGCATTTCTCGAGGGCTCTCTGGGGCCTCACTATCTTACATAAAAGTGAGTTTAATCATAGGACTTTCAGACATTAGCCCACAGATGGGACATATATTTTGGGATGGAGAACTTTTAATAAATCACATTACCTAGGTGGCCTCTCATTCTACTTCTCCATATGGCAGACTCTGTAGGAAAAAAAAATGCTTCCTATAATGTTTCTTCTTTACCACAGAACTGTCAGAGGAAACAGCCGAGAAAAACTTAAAACTAAGCTACAATATTTGGCAAAAATAATGGTAGTTTTCAGAGGAGAAGCAATTTTTCTGGCGTATATGTAGGATAAGAGTATCTTACCTTCCTTAAATAATGTTATCTTTACCAGTAAACATGATGTATTTGCCTTAACCTAGTCAATTTCCTTTACCTGAATTCCCTTAAGTTTAAAATCATAATTTTTCAAGATAAGGTTCTAGTCTTAGGAATGTTGCTTAAGAACCTGAAATAGAATGATACTATTATTTCATCCTGGTATTAAAATCTCTAAAATTTTCTACAAAACTAACATTCTATGTGTTCTGTGGCCAATGTGATAATAAATCCTTGCATAACAACAGAGAAAAATATCCTATACATTTGTCTTACATTTTTGCAAAATAAAGAAAATATTTTGGAATTAAACTAATTTCAAAATCCAAGAATTTCTATGAAAGAATTTTTTAGCAGTAACCACAGATGAAAAGAATATCATTTAGTATCTCTTCATAGTGTCTTTATAACATAATCTAATCATTGGTGTTTTATAATCTTTCATAATTTTTCATATATTTGATAAATCCTGATGTTGGGTTTATTTCTGTTGAAACACCAGTAATTGTTTTATGTCACTTTGACTTTTTTCTATAGTTTTGTTTTCTGCTTGTTTATCTAAATTATCATCATAGTTGTAATCTGAGAACTAGGCAAACATAGGTACTTTTGACTATCACTTTGGGGTGATACTATTTACCCAATATGATTTTTTCCCATTTTACTCTTGAAGTATCCTGTTGCTTACTCTTTTGTGTATGCATACATTTGAAACATATGACCTCCCAAGCATTCTACTTTCTCTTATTTTACTTATTGTGTTGGCTTTACTGTTTATGTATGATTTAACATAAATAATTATTTTGTTTTCTCTCTCCCATCACCCACCCCATTTACACGTTACAACAAGACTTCATCAGCCCTGGGGTCATGATTTGAATTATATTATCTGTGCCATTAAACAACCTTGAGCCTCAATAATATCTGTTCAGATTTTTTCAATGGCTATTGTTCATTGATAATTACATTCTGGGGACATGCCAGAATGAAATCTCATGGTTTCTCAGCCACAAAGATTTGTTAAGAATCAAATTCAAAGGTATTTGACTTGGTATTTATGATTCATGGCAAACCCAAGCATAATCTTTAGCAGATCTTTAAGCTTCCTGAGCTTATAAGCAAACTCTGTGTGTGTCTGTGTGTATGTGTGTGTGTTCCTATGTGGGTAAATTTTTCTTGATAGCATCTCTGTGCTTTCATCATTATCAAAAAGTTTCAGGACCCCAAAATGGTTAAGAAACACTGACTATGTGCTAGTTACATTTCAAGAATATATTTCTACATAAAAATGTTGTATTTATTCTAAAGGCAAAAGCCATGGAACAATGTGTACTTTTAAAATATTTATGAGGAATTAAAAATTCAATTATTATAATTTTTCCATTTTAAAATTTTAGGATGTGATTTTGTAATAGCCTCCAAAAAACATTTAAAGCACCCAAGTAATTAAACTAGTAAAAGTTCCTTATAAACCAGAAAGCAAAACTATTTTCCAAATGGGCAATAAAAATATTACTTTTGCATGTAAATAGTTGTTTAAGTGAATTTATTGTTTATATTAATTAAATTCTTTTGGACAATTTGCCACTTAAAAAGATCAGTGTTTGAACTCTAGGAAATACTTGTTTATGTAATTTTTTTTGCAAGTAGGTAAGAAAAGTATATTTCATTATCAAATAGCTACCCTGCAATACTAACATAAACAGCTATTTACCCATTTAGACTTAACTATTCAGTCAATTACACAACAGTCTTACCATGTTATTTAATGAGTGGAACAAAAATAAAGGTCTTTATAACAGATAAAATATTTCATTTATATAATGAAATAAAATATCTTGGGATTAATAAAAATAATGATTTTTTTCATCCTATGTAAAATGTAGTTGATAGCACTGATATATTAATAATGTTATGGGTGAAGTTTACAGTTCATTACAAGTTGAATGTACTTAAACAATCTACATCCTTCACTCCTTCATTCAATCATTTAATTCAGCCATTCCTTATTTGACAAATGTGATTTGTCAAATCACATTACTAAATGTATTATACATTTAGTAATAACCATACATATCATGTTGAATTGTTGTGAGGATAAAAAAGTAAACAATGTTCAATTATTGTTAATATTTTATTTTATAATTAATTATAAAATTTTATATAATTATATAATTATATAATTAATTATATAATTTTACTTCATTGGATGTTGTAAATTGCTCTGGTTTAGCCTTTAGACATTTGAATCAAAATGGTCAAATTAGTCTCTAAATTCAGACATTGACTTTGTTCTGCAGATCTCAAAACGAAAGATATGTTGGGATATTTAGACCAGAATGCATGTGAAAATACTACATGAATGAATGTATTTGACACTGATCTTGAGATGACAATCTACAGTCCTACAATAATTATTCTAACTCCATGTTCTCTTTCGTGCACACTAGCTAGAGCACATCTCACCCACTGACATTGGAATCTATCCTTTCGTAAGTTATTTTTAACGTCTTAGGATGACTTTTATAAATTGAAGATTTAAGAGTTTCTAAGGGGACTGTAGGTATATTCTACTGTTGTGTTTACCACATGTTCCATTCAGATACACAAAAGAAATGAATAAAACTGGACATAGCACACAGTCTCACTGCTTTGATGGGCAATGATTTTTGACAATGGGTAATTAACTCTTACATCATTAAGTTCCATCGTCACAGAATAACCTTAGAATCCTAATAAAATCCCACGGCTTCAAATTGTATTTAATAGCTGCCAATCCAAGCCTCCTGACTATGCTAATCTATTATTTAGAATAAATGAAAAGTGTGTATCAATTTGCCTATTATAATACAAAGTGGGAACTCTCATGCCAACAAGGTTAGGCCAGAAAAATTCAAATAAATTGGAGATGTGTTTTGATACATTTTCTTCCGTTGCTCTTATTGTATCTGACATGGAAATTTCCTTAGGGTGAAGTTTATATAGTGACAAGCATATACAATATTCTTGAGGTATTAGGCCACAGTCAGAAAAAGAGAATATAGGAGGAATTATGTGGTAGAGGATGATAAAAGATTAGAAGTTGAAACTATACCATATATAATTTTATATATATACATAATTATCTTGATTATAACCTAAATTGTAAAATCTCAATATTATTAGTACCATCCCCAGACACATTCCCTTTGTTTCTTAAATTTTTACTCTCCAAAAATGGGAATCACAGAAACAGAAGATGCTTAAATGTTCATGTTAGGCATTTTTTTCTGAGCTCATAAAAGATTATTTGATCATTTAATGTGTTTTTCTCTCCAATAAGACTGTAAAAAGTTCAGTGTTTCGAGGCTGCTAAACAATGCCCATAGAGTTGACAGTCTCAAGAATGACTGGAAAATGATGGAGTTGGATGCTATAGGTCATACTTTATAAATCTGACTGAAGGAGAATTAGAATACTAATGAGAGTCAACAACAATTTTCTTACCTGCTCCCAATTTGTAATTCTTGCCCTGGTGGCACATATATTACAAGGAGAATATTGTTTTCAAATTTATAGTCAGAAAGTCATTTAGGTGACTGACTTTGTTTTTTAAATAGTAAGTTGACTGTCTTGTTTAAAAATGCATAGTGCCCTGGAAAGTTATGTGAATACAATGATTTATTTTAAGTAAAGGGTAGTTTTATAAAATAAAGTGCCAAACATCATATAAATAAATATTTACAGGCTCAGTATCAATCAAATCAGTGGTAAGAGTGAATTTTTTCAATGTATGACTTTCATATCAAATTTTTTTTTGGTGATTCAGCTTAATAGGAGTTTATGGTATGGGCCCATTCACGTTATATCCAAATAAACAAAAATTATCTAGAGTTGTTCATGCCATCATTTCCTTCAGCACAGTCTTCAAAGTAGTTTTCTCATTACCCACTTTGAAAGATATTTCCAAGGAGAGGATAATGCAACCCATTCTATATGTGAATAATGGGTGGGACACAGGCCAATAATCATGATCCAAATTAGTCTGAAAATCAAAGGAGTAAGGGGAGAAAAAAAGAATGAAGGATTAATTGATTTGCTGAGAGCATGTCACATGCTAATTGTTGTTTTACATTTTTCATCTATGTCTCTCATGTGATTCAGACCACAAATCTGTGTGATAAGTATTGTTATCCTTATTCTACCAATGACGACACAGTAGTGAAGTCATAATTCAGACTTGAAATTCTGTCTTCTCTCAATTTTCATCCCAAAATTAGATATCCTCGATGCCAGTTCGGATTCTCTTATTCAATGAGAAAATCACTTCCTTTTCGGCCCTTGTCATCTTTGTCTGTATAACAAGGGGATAAGACAAAGACGTTTGATGAAAATTTCTTCAAGTTGTATCATGTTTTTATTCTTAGTGGGTAGTCCTTTGTAAGTCTGCATACGGCTGGCTGGTGACACAATGTGGGCACCATAGACCGAAAAATAAAATTACTGAAAAGGCGAAGTATACTTTCCAAAAATTAGACTCTAATCAATGTAGTCCGTGCAACAATTTTCTTTAATACCGAATTGCATTTTATATAGCTATTTGCACAGATCTTCACAATAAAACCATAAGAAAAGGAGAATAGGATATTATCTTCACAGTTCTACAGAGGAGTAAAAAAACTGACCTTGATCTAAATAAGTTTAGAGGTGGATTTTAATCCTTTAATAAGCAAAAGACATATAATAAAATTGATAAATGACAATATCAATACTTTATCTAAAAGTAATTTCATAAAGAAACAAAGCCAAAATTGATTCAGTTAACATAAAAAAGAGTTAACCCAGAAGAAAACAATGAATATTGATCTCGATTTCAGCAAGCAGAAAATAAAAAAAAAAAAAAAGCAGAAAAAAGTGAGAAATTGTTAAGGTGAGTGAAAGATGAGCGGCGGTTGCTCTGAGAAACTACAACACAACTTATTTATTCAAGTGGCTGGGTCAGATTTAAAGATGTGATTTCAATAACTTTTTTGAATAGAGTGTTGTACCTTTGTCTAAAGTAGTAAAATTCATTTGAATTAAAGCTGAATATGGGTTTTCCTCCTCAAATCCAATTCAATTCCAAGGTTTGAAATTGCAGGGGCTCCTGAGAAGAAATGGCAAAAATAAAAAAGAGAAAGAGAGAGAAAGGGGAAGAGAAAAGGAAAAAAGAAAAATCTATAACTTGAAGCCCTGTAAAGCAAAGATTTACCAAACTTTAGATTTTATACCCCCTCTTTTTTCAGCATATCCAAATAAATTTACATGATCTTATGAGTGTAAATCTTCTAGTCTTCATGAGATTTTTCCAGCTTTTCTGCCTTTTAGATTGACATTTCTAGTTGCTTAAGGTTTCTTCTTCAAAGCAATGGGTATAAAACATGTGATTATTATTAAACAGTTATGGAAAATACCATCTTTATTCCACCACTTTATCAGGTAGAACTTGAAGGTAAAATAAAGTTTGGATGCTGAGTCTACATGTATTGTATTGTATTGTATTGTATTGTATTGTATTGTATTGTATTGTATTGTATTGTATTGTATAGTGGTTACCAGAGATTTAATAACATAGCAGAAGTAACTGAATCGCCTCCTCTGCCCTATGCACTTGTATTTTTTTTATTTCAAAAATGCCAGGAAGATAAGTGTATGCAAAAATATAAAGTTTGTAAAATTTTATACAACTTAATCTATTTGATCATTAGTTAAGTAAGCTTAACTAAATTAAAAATGTATTTTATTGCTACTTTTTTTAACTCTCTAAAGAATACATTTATGTTTTTGAAGGAGCTTTAATTTAGTAACAGTTAATCTTTTTATTAATTTTAGTAAAAATAATCATACCCTTTTAATAATAAAAATTAAACTTTAAGTCTTTAAAATTGCTAGTTGTAAGTGAATTTGTCAAAGATTAATTCATAGTTGCCAACACTTACTGAACAGGTAGATAAAATTAACTTTGTTTATTTAACAAATAACTTGGTGCTTTCTAGTTAGTTTAAAAATATCAATAATTGTTTCCTCACATGTATTTATGTCCTTCCTTCACAGCATATAGTCAACCATAGAGACTCAATGTAAAGTATTATGATAATTTATATGTCTGAGAAAATAAGAAGATTGATTCATTGAAAAGTTAAATGAATTTGAGATACAGGTATTTCTGACTGCCTAGTTACACTGTATGAAATACTTTAAAAACTGGCCAGGCGTGGTGGCTCATGCCTGTAATCCCGGTACTTTGAGAGGCCAAGAACTCCTGAAATCAGGAGCTCAAGACCAGCCTGACCAACAAGGTGAAACTCCATCTCTACTAAAAATACAAAACATTATCTGAGTGTGGTAGAGCACGCCTGTGGTCCTAGCTACTCAGGCGGCCGAGGCAGGATAATCACTTGAATCTGGGAGTCGGAGGTTTTGGTAAGCAGAGATTATGCCACTGCACTCCAGCCTGGACAACAGAGCAAGACTCTGTCTCAAAACAAAAACAAGCAAACAAACACACACACACACACACACACACACACACAAAAACACTTAGAAAAACTGTAAACAATTCAGTCTTGTATTTGGAAGAATGGTGACTTGTAAATTTTGCTGTACATTAATGACAAGTCTCTCACTCAAATAAAGATAACCTAAGTAAAATAATTTATGTCAGATGAAAACATTCCAAATTTTCTTGGAGAAAAAGCAACAAAAGCCAATAAATAAAGGTGGTTCCCATTACCTATTTAATTATTTAATATCTTAAACTATTATTAAATGCATGCACCACCTGCACTACCCTGACCGATTAACCCCTTAGCTGAAGGAGTTCAGTTTGTATTTTTACCATATGATCTGTCTAGATTCACTCTTTTCAGGATTGATAGATTTTTTTTTTCTTTTTTCTTTTTTTTTTTTTTTTGCTTTCTTATTCAACTCTACAGTAAAAGAAAATCTGTGGTTTTATTTGACATAACAGAGCTATCTTCAGCCATAGCTAGAAGGAGGATAGTAGGATAAAGGTCAATTTTTGTCTTCCTTCACAGCTAACAGATATATGTAGCATGCTTAATAATAACTCTCAAAGTCTGTTGCTCAACCTCCCAAACCATTAATTTCCTTCTAGCCACTGCTAGAGTTCATGCATGTCATGAAAGGAAGGCTAGAGGGACAATTTCTGTATGCATATCTCTGGCCCATGCCCTTCAATGAGACCCAAATATAATTAATTTCTGGGATTTTTGCAATAAATAATATGAGATGACCTCATTATAGAATGAGGGGCAAGATCCTTGGCCTTGGTCTTTCACAAATAATATGACTTTATTTACAGATGAAGAAAATAAAATAAAAATTAAACATAAACTTTCCTCAACTTCCTGCTTTTAGCCCAGGTAGCATGTTATTACTATTTCTTTTATAAACAACTGAGTTCTGACTAACAGTCTTTAAGAGGAGCTGCTATGAGGAAATATAGATAATAACAAAATAATAACATATTTTTAAAGCTTTGCCAGCAGCAAAGGGCTCGCATCTACATACTCTCATTTTATGTGTCCAACCAATGGTTCCACATAGCCATGAAATCAGCTGTTACAATAGGAAGACCACCACTGAACAGTTTTGTAACTCATTTCAGAATTGACTTTGGTATGTGCTTATTGGTGTATTTCTGTGCTTGTGTCAATTCAACAAAGCTTCCCAAGCAAGGTTACTTCAAACATTACTTGGGCCACGGTAAAAGAAAAATAAAATTCTGTTGATTCAGAGTCACCTTCAATCTCATGTCATAAATTATGTTTCTCTAGTCTTTGATATTGTTTCACATGTGCATGATTAGATTGGTTGAGGATAGACTTTGGGCTCATGATTTATTGACTAATTATGTGGTTTTCCCACTGTAGCTTGGGTTAAATCTTACAAGACAGGCTGAAAACTGAAATTGTTATGACATTTTTGTTTTCTCTACACCATACCAAGTAATGCTGTTTGATTGAATCAAATATTTTCTAAAGACTAAATGTAATCCAAAAAATGATCTGTAAATGTTCCCAACAGGTGTCCCAAAACCATATTTTAGTAAGTTTTTCAATTGGTCCAACAGTTCTATAAATTTTACCTTGAGGTAACTAAAATGGAAACATAATGAATATATTATCTCTATTGTCTAAGGACAAACAAAACACCGAAGTTATTGAGAATCAGATTCCCATGTTAGCATAAATGAGTCACCTAGTTTTTTCAACAAAACCAAGTAATAAATAAATCAACACTTTCAGTTTTCTGCCAGTGTCACAGATGGCAGCCAATTGGTTTGATTAAAAATCTGATGCTTGCATGTTTGCATAGTAAAAGACAGGGTTTTCAGGAAAAAATCATTATACTTCTCACTGTGTTCCACACAATGTTGAAGGTTATGTCCAAATTTGAAAAACAAATCCAATTAAACTAGCTACCATACAAATATATCTTTTGTTATTGAAAGAGTGATTTCAGTCGTGATTTTTCATTAATCTAGTTTTGTAAAAATCAGACTTCCTGTAAACCAATTGAAAACCTCTACATTTTACTATATGTATTCATGGACTTAATTTCATCAAAAATACCAATATTCTCTGTGCCCTAACAAGTGTAATTGCACTAACCTTGTAGTTGATATTTACTGATTGAAATGTATATACACAAAAATTATGTAAAACTGATTATCTAGAGGTTTCTTCATTAGCTAGCACAAATAGTTATTGTAAACCTTTGTCCTGTATTTTTTTAAAGTCTGCAACATGGTGAACCAGTATGCTTGATGGCTTTAATACCTGTGTCTGCAATTTATTATTCATTTGAAGCAACAAATTCAGAATTGTTTGAAATTATGAAGGCTAAACAGCATAAATACATTGTGGTTTCTTTTATAAATATTTGCTTTCATCTTCTGAATCTTGTACTTGTCTCCAAAAGAAAAAAAAACAGATGTTATTTGTCTTAAGCTAACTATAAAGGTCATAAATGAGAGAATTTTATGATTCACTTGAAATGGGGGAAAATATTTATTCTATTCTTTCATTTTAAATCACGTGGTCATAGAAATAAAAATTTCTATATGAGTGAAAAATAGATGAACAAGCACAAAACCAGAAATGATTAATATGCTGAATTAAATGTTATACTAAATAAAAAGTAAAAATTGACTCAGAAAAATAAAATAACTGAACTTTCAAAAATTAGAAGAGATTTTGTGAGGATGATTTAATTATAGATACCTGGATTAGTTCCACCATCTAGTGGTTGAATTTTACACTTCCCAATATGAATGCCCCAAAGAATTTTTTTCCCAGTGAGTTTTACTTTGAATATACTTTGAAGTTCTGAATGTTTTATAAAAGTGTATGAAAAATTCTAATTATATGACCAAATATTTACTTTAGAAAGGAAAAGCACAAATATATTAATTACAATAGCATTATATAAATCAAAATTTTAATTTTGTTTCATTCTCGTTACCATTTTGCTTTATGAGAGTATTAGAAAAGAAAAAAAATAATTAAAAAAGAATGTGTGGCCAGGCACAGTGGCTCACGCCTATAATCCCAGAATTTTGGGAGACCGAGGCAGGTGGATCACCTGAGGTCGGGAGTTCGAGACCAGCCTGACCAACATGGAGACACCCCGTCTCTACTAATAATACAAAATTAACCGGGCATGGTAGCACATGCCTCCCAGCTACTCAGGAGGCTAAGGCAGGTGAACCGCTTGAGTGCAGGAGGCTGAGGTTGCAGTGAGCCCAGATCGAGCCACTGCATTCCAGTCTGGGCAACAAGAGGGAAACTCCATCTAAAAAAAAGAAAAAGAAAAAAAGTCACACAAAACAGTAGTCAATATTTAAAAATTTAAATAAAAACATGAATGGAGTTTGCTATCAACAATACTGTTTATCAAACTCCTTAAAGGTAACTATGCCTAATGAAGAGTAAGTTGATTAAGCTGCATAGTAACTTTTCTCATGATTCATCAAACAGACATTTGTGAAGCTGTGGATGTTTTTGTTGGAATTGAAATAACCCTGCACTGATGTAGGGGCAGACAAAATTGAATCTGAATTTTCAGTATTATTTTAAATTTTAAATTGATGGTTAAATTGAACCACTATTTTAACAAATTTCCAACTTGAAATTTCGATTATTCATTCTTATATGAAGTGTTAACAGAAAAATCATCTTAACTTCTTTGCAATCTCAAATTTTATTCCATTTTCTTTCTTGGCGTGTTCCCCAAAAGATGACCCAATGACTCTAATCCTACCTAACTTAAATGTTAGGAATACCTGTTCCTCTTCCTCCCATATTTTCTTCAGGAGTCTGACTTGTTAAATAAAGCCAGAGGAATCTCTGTCCACAAAACAAAACCAATCATCAGAAAAATTAGGAAAATATTGAGGGACTACTGCACTGCTGAGGCCACCATAAGACTGCATTTGCTTCACTGAATTAGCAAACTGAATAAAAGCCACCTGGCTCTCAGAGGGAAAAACAAAGGAAAGATGGAACACAGGCATACACACACACACACACACACACACACACACACACACACACACTTAAAGTCGCATGCCTGAGCAATAACATCTCTCCTCAATTACCCTCAGATTTTATGTTGTCTTCTTGCTCTTCCATACCACAAGTGATGTTTATGTAACAAGAACAAAACAAGTAAACAAAAAAAAACACACATAAAAATGTAAAAGAGTAACTATCCAAAGTTCTGATGAATGTATGATACTCAAATATATATATATATCTCATTAGTCATGACCTCAATGTGCTACTTGAAACTGAAAACACTAGCTTTAGTATTCCAGGGTAAAATTTTCTACTCTCAATAATATTACCGAGCTGAGAGTGATTACTAATGGTTGATCAGTCAATAAATGAGCCACCTATTAACAAAGCCAAAAATACATTTGGATTGGTAAAAATTGCACTACTGCAAAAAAAAAAGCTATGAACTGTTTAGCTTCTTTCAATACAATAACAGATAATATTTAACATAAGTTCCAAGAACTAACCTGTATATAAGGCCAAAATGAGATTCAGGAAATTGTCAATATGGGCCATTGCTAGGGTCACCATACATCCTGGTGTTCCCGGATTAGTTGTGAATATTTCAATTTGTGATACATCCCAGCCTTTCTTTCTTCCTCTATATGTCCTAATGTTTATAAATAAGGATATATGATACTGTGATGCCCTTACTAGTAATGAAAGAAACTATTAATCAAAATGAAACCTTTATGTTCACTCCAAATTTTAGAAAGAAAACACAAATATGTTGCTAATAGTAATATTTTTTCTAAAAAATTCAACATTTATTATATGATTTTTGGTCAGTAGACATCCAATTAAAATTTGGCAATTTACCATTCTCATCAATGTTTGAGTATTCACATATGGATGTAAAGATTTTACTTTCTAAAACAAGGTTTAACACAAAAACAGACTTTGATCATTAAAATGCCTTATTTCTTGATTATTTTCTTAAGAAAGGAGGCAATTCAAAGTTTAATAAACTATTTCTTATTAACATATCCAACAGAGTTTGTGTTATTATGCAACTGCACAATACCTTGGAAAAGTCATATAAAAAAGAATTTTTTTCTTTTCTTTTTTTTTTTAGAAATAGGAATTTCATGGGGTTAGCTCAATTATGAAGCCTTAAAATAGAATAACCATTGTGATGATTGATTTTATGTTAACTTGACTGGATTAAGGGATATCCAGATAGCTGGTAAAACATTATTTCTGGGTGTGCCCATGATGCTGTTTGCAGAAGAGATTAGCATTTGAATCAGTAGACTGAGTAAAGAACATCACCCTCGACAATGTGGTTGGGCATCATTCAACCTGTTGAGACCCTAGTTGGAACAAAAAGGCAAAGGGGAAATTTGTTTTTTTCTTAAGGGGAACATCTGTTTTCTCTTGCCCTCAGACATCAGAACTCCTGGTTTTTGAGCCTTTGGGCTCCAAGACTCACAAAGATCCCCCAACCTCCACCTCTGCTCCTGTTCTCAGGCCTATGGACTCGGGCTGAGTAACACTACCAACTTTTCTTGCCCTCCAGCTTGTAGATGGCATACTGTGGGGCTTCTTGACCTCCATAATCATGTGAGCCAATTTCCACAATAAATCTTCTCTTATTAATCTATATATGATATACAAGTTCTCTTGATTCACTTTCTCTAGAGAACCCTAACACAACCATTTCCTAATCATTCTAAGTGTGACTTTCCTGTGTTTTCAGCCTGTGAACACACAGAAAGCACTGAGCATCACTAGAGAATCAGTAAATTGAAATACCAGATAGACTAATTGAGGTTCTTGATTGTAGCTCCACTGTTTTATGCCTAAGGAGTTAATCCTCCTTTCAGTCTTAAAATATGGTTTATAGGATCCTGGACTTAAAATAACAACATATGTTATTTTCTTATCTCTTGTAGTAAATTTATGTATCTGATCTTATACAGGCTTTCTGATAGCAACACCTACTTTTACCTCCAGATGGCAATATAATGCAAATAATAAGCCAGGCAAACATGAAGGTACTAATTTCACTCAATGAATTATTATCTTTCTAGCTTTCTTTTCCCACAAATATATATTTTAAATGTTTGTGTTTGATTTACACGTTTTATTCATATTTATTATCCTCCCATCAAGCCTTTGGGGTTTTTCTGTTAGGTTATATAAAAAACTAGAAAAACTCTTCTAGCTAGAAGTAATTCTCTTCTAGCTCGTTTGTCACAACAGGAATCAACTATTTGTAATTTTTAATTTCAATAATGGATATTATAATCCTAAGAGTAGGAGAAATGTGTCTGTTTTAGAATTATCGTAAAATTTATTTACTGCACCATTTTCTAGAATAAGAATATTTATTTTTCATTAACTTACCAAGTACAGTCTATTTTTCAACATAATTAAAAGACAATAGTTTATCCTTTTCTTAAAATCTACTAAATATAATCTCATTCTTGCTAATTACAAAGGCATGTGTTATGATACAAGTGTTCTGGAATAGGTGGGTTTGTACCTCAGAATGGACAATGACTCTCCTTGTAGGAAATTGAAAAGACAGGTCTCCAGAGTTACTGGAGCTCCTCATTCCATAACCATCACCACCTCCACCCCTGCCCCATACAATAAGGTTTGTGTGACCTTCTTGGTTCTCCTACACATTCCTCAAATCTATCTATGTTTATTTACTTTTCTGTTCAAACATTTCTAAGAGTTAATTTTAACCTTATTTCAATGGTTTAAGAATGTTTAAGACATTGGAGAGGACTCCTATTCAACATAGTACTGGAAGTCCTAGCCAGAACAATCAGGCAAGAGAAAGAAATAAAAGGTATCCAAATAGGAAGAGAAGTTAAACTATCTCTTTGCTGATGTTGTGATTCTATACCTAGAAAACCCTAAAGACTCCATCAAAAGGCTCCTAGAAACTGACAAACAATTTCAATAAATTTTCAGAATACAAAATAAACATTAAAAAAACAGTTGCATTTCTATACACCAATCACATTCAAACTGAGAGCGAAATCAATAACACAATCCCAATCCCATTTACAATAGTCACCACCAGAAAACAAACAAACAACAAAAACCTTAGGAATACATCTCACCAAGGAGATGAAAGAACGCTACAAGGAGAACTACAAAACACTAGTGAAAGAAATCATCGATGAAACAAACAAATGGGAAAACATTCCAAGCTCAGGTATTGAAGGAGTCAATATTGTTAAAATGTCCATATTGACCAAAGCAATCTGCAGATTCATGCTATTCCTTCAAACTATCAATGTCAGTTTTTAGAAACTGGAAAACACTATTCTAAATTCATATGGAAAGAAAAAGGAGCCCAAATAGCCAAAGCAATCTAAGCAAAAAGAATAAATCCGGAAGCATCCCATTACCTTATATCAAACTATACTATGAGTCTACAGTAACCATAACGGCATAGCAGTGGTACAAAAATAGGCACATAGACCAAAGGAACAGAAGAAAGAATCCAGAAATAAAGCCACACTCCTGCAACCATCTGATATTCAAAAAAGTTGACAAAAATAAGCAATGGGGAAAGTGCTCCCTATTCAATAAATGGCATCAGAATTACTTGGCTATCGACATGCATAAGAATGAAATTGGACTTCTACCTATCATCATATACAAAAATTAACTCAAAAATTTACTCAATTTAAAAGTAAGACCTCAACCTATAAAAATCCTAGAAGAAAACCTAGAAAATACCCATCTGTGTATAACATTACCTGATTTACATTATTCAGGTAATTAATATAAAGAACAAAAGACGAGCTACTATATTCAGTACTTACTTCTTCATTATGTTTTTAGGTTGATAGACACATACTGAAGTAGCTATTTGCTTCACTAAATACTTAAAACAATGTTAAATTAAACTCTGCATTAAGAGGTTTGGAAATAGCCTTCTTTATGCTGGAATTAATCTGTATATACCTTGTGGAAGTGAGGTATAAATGGAAATACTCTAGCTACTACTCTTGGTCACTCAAATGCAACTATTTATATACAGTTATCAATTTTAAAAATATTAGAAAATGCTTCCATTTAGAATTGTAGAAATCTATTAAATAATGTTGCACTCAATTGAAAAATGAGAAGAATCTGGATAATGTACACAAATCATAACTTTTTGTGAATCCATCAGAGAGAAGAGAACAGAAAGCAACCAGGAAAATGGAGCTCCAAAAGGAAATATAGACACATTAACCTTCTGTAGGACATGGGAGAAAGAGATGACCACTACATGCCCATGAAAGAAAAAAATCAGCTAAAAATTAAACAAATTATTAAAGGCCAAGTTTGCATGAAAATGTCGATTCTCAATAGCTGAGATTCCCAGACATAAGGGGAGTTTGCAACTAGGTGCTCACTAGAAAGTTGAAGGTAATACAAAAGAACAGGAAAAGCTTCTTTTAGTGTTGCAAATGTGCAAATAGCATTTGTCTGCTGTGGGGATTCAGGAAAAGGAAACCTGCCCACTTCAATGGATACTTCCTTCTTATGCAAAAATCCTAAGCCCTGGAGGAAGGCAACTAATTCTTTTGCCACCAGATAATATGCAAAGAGCCACTGCTTCTATGGAAGAGCAGAAACAAAATTGCCTCTCCGGTAGGGAAAAGCCTCTGGCTCTCCAGACATTGCAAAAAACCCAGTGAAACTGAAGAGCTGAAGATAAATACATATTTTCATTGGCTGAAAGGCCAAGAAACTCTCTTGGGTAAAGAATCATACAACAATAACAAACTGTGATCTACTACCACTGAGGCAGGAATAGGAGACTCCCCTGCCCAAAATCAACCAGAAATAATACAAGGTACTGTTTGGCTTCCCCGGAGAGGAAGGGCAGCAGTGCTGGAGCTAGATCTTGGCAAAAACGAACAAACAACAACAACAACAACAAAATACTCTCTCTGCTACTGCAATAAGCTTAGCAGCCCCTAACAAGCAACAGCAGTTTAATGCTGGGAGAAGGGCAAGGGCATAAAGTATGTAAAGAAATAAAGAAGTTCAGCTGGGCGCAGTGGCTCACGCCTGTAATCCCAGCACTTTGGGGGGCCAAGACAGGCATATTATTTGAGGTCAGGAGTTCAAGACCAGCCCGGCCATCATGGTGAAACCCTGTCTCCACTAAAAATACAAAAATTAGCCAGGAGGTACTGGAGTGTGCCTGTAATCCCAGTTTCTCCAGAGGCTGAGGCAGGAGAATCACTTGATCCTGGGTGGCGGAGGTTGCAGTGAGCCGAGATCGAGCCACTGCACTCCAGTCTGGGTGACAGAGTGAGACCCTGTCTCCAAAGAAAAAAAAAAAAGTTTAGAAGTTCTGAGATTTTACTATCAAGCAAGCTAGTTAAGCATGCTACAGTTTTATGGATGCTAACAGAAGATATGAGACTCCTGGGTTAGAGCCAAAGAACTTTATTACTCCCAGAACAACAAACAGTATTTGTTTCATTTTAATGGTTGCCCTTGCCCTTGCTCTCCCTCCGCTCCAAGTCTCATGAAGAATACATGGAGCAACCTGGTCAATCCTACACATGCAGTGGGTTTGTCTCACAGATGAGGAATGTTGAGCTTAGGAAACTTCAATCTTTAAAAATGGGCTGCATAAAAGGGAAACTTTATTATACTAAACAGTAAGCAAATCTGTCCTTGGAGGACATCCAGTCCTCCAAGGCTGTTGGCTATACAAATATCCAAGAAAACGCAGTTGGAAAAAAAAGTCTGCCAGTGCCTCTACTCACAAGATATGCAGAAGTGCCAGAGACCGATGTAGTGCAGTGGCTGATATAGGCATGAAGATACTATTGATAACTGAAGTAAAGTAGGGACACTGAGAAAACACTCGCAGCACTACAAGCCCTACACTAAATTCAAAGTAATACAGTTCACTGCTGGAGAAACTTGAAGTCAGTGGTATACTGAGGATAACAATAACAACAATTAAATCATAACCAAGTTTTATTACTAATTAATTCAATTAATATACCAATGATCTGACAGAAAAACAGATGCATTCATTTCTATTTTTTTCCCATATTCATGTAATCTGAATAAGTGCTATGATACAGCCCACTAGCTAAATAAGCAAGATCAATATGGTGAATCAGCATGCACCTGTTTTTCCTACAAAGCATGAAAAATGACCTAAAGGTAATCTTGATTAATATTATTGTAGGAGTTATTAAGAAAGTATTTTAGGCAGATAGAAAGGAAAAGGGGTCCTTGGGAAGTTTTCATTTTTTAAAGCACCTCCAGTAAAGTTTCTTGTAAAGCCCCAGCTCTTAGAGTCAGGCCAGCAACTTTTAATATGCAAATACCAGGCGTTAGAAACTGGGTCCACCCAACATCGCAATTCCCATGGCTTTCTTGCCTTTGCCCTACACGTTACTGGCAACGTGGCTGCCTCCATGTATCCCCCAGGTATCCCCACGTGTGGAGAACATCATGGCGACCTGCATTTGCGTATTAAAAGACTGCGGTGGGTGGGCCAGCTTTTTCACTGGCTACGTGAATGACATGCCTAGTCAAACCAATCTCCTGAGCCATATGCGAATCAGACCCCGCCTCCTCCAACCACTACATATATACCTGGCTGGTATCCGTAGCAGGTGGGCTTCTGTCTCTCAGCTTTGGAGTCCTCCTCCCTCTCTGTTCCTGGGCAGGTTCTTCTTTTTGTCTTCCCCCTTCTTTCTTGCCTATTAAACTCCCTGCTCCTTAAAACTTCTCCACGTGTGTCCATATTGTTTTTTCTAATTCGCCTGGAGATGAAGAACCTGGTGTTTCTCCACTCATCAGAGTTGTATCAATATTATTTTAGGGGAAAAAAATCGGAAGCTATGTATATAGATAAAACTAACATTCACATCTGGTATAGTACATAAATTTTTTAAAATCTCATGGAATATGTAGGCTTCTTAACAACTGTTTTATGAAACACTTTCAAATTACAAAGAACCTATATTTGCAGAAAAATCTTTACATTGGTTTCTTTTTGAAATAGTTATGCCTTCAAATTCAAAGTGAGTTAGGCATACACAACATAGCAGGCAAATTATCTATTAGAAAAGTAAATGCTATTGTGTCCGGAATTGGTTCCTTCCGGAGGGTTCCTGATCTCACTGACTTCAAGAATGAAGCCACTGACCCTCGTGGTGAGTGTTACAGCTCTTAAAGTTGGCGCATCTGGAGTTGTTTATTTCTCCCGGTGGGTTCGTGGTCTCACTGACTTCAGGACTGAAACTGCAGACCTTCCTAGTGAGTGTTACAGCTCTTAAAGGTAATAAGGACCCAAAGAGTGAGCCGCAGCAAGATTTATTAGGAAGAGCGAAAGAACAAAGCTCCCACAACAGCGAAGGGGACCTCAGCGGATTGCCACTGTTGCTGCTGGTGGCCAGCTTTTATTCCCTTATTTGGCCCTGCCCACATCCTGCTGATTGGTCCATTTTGCAGAGCACTGATTGGTCCATTTTACAGAGTGCTGATTAGTTCGTTTTTACAGAGTGCTGATTGGTTCATTTTACAGAGTACTGATTGGTGTGTTTATAATCCTATAGCTAGACAGAAAAGGTCTCCAAGTCCCCACTGGACCCAGAAGCTCAGCTGGCTTCACTTCTAATACCATTTTTTTTTTTTATTTTTTATACAATTACGTATAAGCATGAGTCTGTATCTTATTGTTAAAGCAAACTAAATGTGGCCTGATAAGGACTCCGTACTTCTATATTTGAGTCCTTGTGTAACCTAGCTTAATAGACAAAATTGAAAACCTAACTTCTTAGCATACACCTGTAACAATAGCTGAGTGTTGGCCAATCACAGCTGCCATACTTCAACCACTCATAGACTGGTGAATTTTCAAACTGCATTCAAATGAGGCAACCACAGAATTGTAACCAATCTCACTGTTTCTATACATCACTTCCGATTCCTGTACGTCACTTTACCTTTTTTGTCTATAAATCTGTTTTGCCCATGAGGCATCTCTGGAGTCTCTGTTCTGTGAATCCGCTGTGATTCTGGGGGCTGCCTGATTCACAAATCACTCATTGCTCAATTAAACTCCTTTAAATTTAATTTCGCTGAAGTTTTTTTTTTTTTAATCACTATATAAAGTGCCCTTTAATGGTGTAACACTTACTCTGATGGTGTTAGGTCAGATTAAGTGTTACACCTTTAATGAACACGTTCTGAATGATAAATCCTGACTATGGTAGGTGTCTCTTCCATTATATTTGCAAATTAACAGATAAAGCAGCCTATTCAAATACAAAGAAATGTTTACTTCTGACCTTTAACAATTGAATTCAATTTTGTGTACCTCTACTAAGTTGAAAAATAAAAGGATTAGATTTTTTTAAATGGGGCCAATTTTTTAAATCAATTAAAAACTACTTTTAATCTGCATTCATAAGAAAAATATTTCTTAGCTAAGGTTTAAGTTAAATTCTCACCTCAATAATGCGTATTGAGAAATATTTCTTAAAATATTTTAATAAGATGCTTGAAAGTCATCTTAAATAACAATATATTTAAAAGACTTAATTTTCATAATGAAAAATTACTGCCTTATATAATTTAATGAAATGGTGAAATGGTTCTTTTTTTTTTTTTGAGACAGAGTCTCGCTCTGTCACCAGGCTGGAGTGCAGTGGTACGATCTCGGCTCACTGCAACCTCTGACTCCCTGATTCAAGCGATTCTCCTGCCTCAGCATCTGGAGTGGCTGGGATTTCAGGCACGCAGCACCACACCTGGCTAATTTTTGTATTTTTGGTAGAACCTGGGTTTCACCATGTTTGCCAAGATGATCTCGACCTCCTGACCTCGTGATCTGCCTGCCTCGGCCTCCCAAAGTGCTGGGATTACAGACTTGAGCCACCAGACTCAGCCAATGAAATGGTTCTTATGTAAACCTCTCTCTCAATTATCTTTGCTAAGGTAGTTTTGTTTTATAATTTTTAAATATTTTACATAAATTATTTCCTCATCCTGAATGCCACTAAAAGTGTAATATTTATTTTATTATTATTATTATTATTATTATTATTATTTTGAGATGGAGTCTTGCTCTGTAACCCAGGCTGGAGTGCAGTGGGGTGATCTCAGCTCACTGCAACCGCCACCCCCTGGGTTCAAGCCATTCTCCTGCCTCAGCCTCCTGAGTAGCTGGGACTACAGGTATGCACCACCATGCCCAGCTAATTTTTTGTATTTTTAGTAGAGAAGAGGTTTTGCCATGTTGGCCAGGCTAGTCTGGAATTCCTGGCCTAAAGTGATCTGCCCGCCTCAGCCTCCCAAAGTGCCGGGATTACAGGCGTGAGCCACAGTGCCCAGCCTAATGGTGCCATATTTTAATAACAAAAGGAAGAAATCACTTTCTCTGTCTTTTTCTCTTCCTGTCAGAAATCATGTTTAACATTCATATAAATCATTTAAGCGTTACTTCAGACTTCCACCTGCAATAGCACTTCATGTTGCAGGATTATGCAGAGCTAAACCCACTGTCACAAAATAACCTGGAGTTACTGAGTGTGTATAAAACCCATAGGAGGCTGCAATTCTAGGCATACTAGCAAACTTAATGAATTTGCTTATATATTGATGACACGTGCCTCTTTGAGGAAAAGAAACTGGACCCACTGAAAAAGAGAAGTAACATTACATAACAATGTAAAAAGACACTGAATGCCTTACCAATTTATCCTCAACTTCAAAGTACCCTCTAAAATACTATAAAGTCTATACAAAGTCCATTAAATTAACTTTTCATTCAGAAAATAGTTTTCATAAAGTTTTGTTATTTCCTGAGACATACACAACAAATAGTAACTATAGAAGGAAAGTAGGCAGGGAGATTCTGGCTGCTCAGATAGATATCTTTAGAAGAAGAATAATCACATTCTTTATCCTGAAAATTTTTTTAAAAACTTAGATTTTAGAATTTTATAAAATGTTTTGATTTTGTCCAGGGCTGAGGTTTCATTTTACTTTCCTTAGAAGCTAAATAAGTTAGTTAATTATGGCTTCATGGATGCTAGCAGAAAATACGAGACTCCTGGTTTAGAGTCCTGTGCCTTATTACTCAAGGCATAACAATTAACATAAATGTCAGTTTGTGTGCATCAGTTTCCCTGGTCTCCAAATCCCATGGAAATTGTATGAAGGGACCCCAAGAGATGCTATGCATGTAGTCGATTAGTGCAGCAGCGGAAAAATGCTAAGTTTGGGGGATCCACTACTTTTACAGAAAGCAGTACAAAAGCTTACTTTTTGTTCCAGAGACATGACTTTATTTTTCCAAATTGCTCACTACAAATGCAAGCCTGAGAAATTGTCCAGGTAAAGAGTGGTCAGGGCCTTTCATTCTTGGTTTATGCAGCAAGACATCTACAAGTACAGGAAACTCACGGAAGAGTGTGCTGCTTAATTTCCAAATATCCAGGGGTTTTCCAGGTAATTTTAATAATCCAGGCAGAAATTGTTATTTGAAGTTCTAGTTTAACTACCTGTGGTCAGAACTAATCATCAAGGGATTTCAGTTCTATAAAATTTATTAAGACTCTTAGGGCCCAGAACATAGTCTATCTTGGGAAACATTTCATGCACACTTGAAAATAAGAGTGTATTCTGCCAATTTCACATTTAAAGCTCTGTAAATACCCATTAGGTCCAGTTGGTTGATAGTGTTGTTCAAGCATTCTATATCTTTACTTATTTTCTCTTTTCTTTTTTTTTTTTTGAGATAGAGTTTCACTCTTGTTGCCCAGGCTGGAGTGCAATGGTGCAATCCAGGTTCACTGCAACCTCCACCTCCTGGGTTCGAGCGATTCTCCTGCCTCAGCCCCTCCAGTAGCTGGGATTAAAGGCATCTGCCACGACACCTAGCTACTTTTGTATTTTTAGTAGAGATGACGTTTTTCCATGTTAGTCAGGCTGGTCTCGAACTCCTGACCTCAGGTGATCCACCCGCCTTGGTCTGCCAAAGTGCTGGGATTACAGGCGTGAGCCACCACGCCTGGCTATCTTTACTTATTTTCTAACTATTCTATCAAATCTTGTGATAGAAAGGTTGAAACCACCAACTATAGTTGGAACATTGTCTCTTTATTTCTGTAAGTTTTCACTTGATGTATTTTGGAGCTCTGTAATTAGAAATAAACACATTTATTATTATTTATTTTTGATAAATTGACACATTTATTATGACTAAACATTGCCCTGAATCTTTGGAATATTTCTTGTTCTAATGTCTTCTGTCTGATATTAATAAAATTATTGCAACTTCCTTATGAATTATCTTTGTATAATATATATATTCCACCTTTTAAAATTGTATCTCAATCTGTATATTTATTATACATCTGAAATGGATTCGACAGCAGGTGTTACTTTTCTTATCCAGTCTGACCTTCTTTCTTTTTTAATTGGCATGTTTAACTAGTTAAGGTAATATTTAATTTCATTAGGTTTTAGTCATTCATCTTGGCATGTATTTTTTTTATTTACCTCGCCTGTTCTTTGCTTTTTTTCTTTTTCTCTCTCTTTTTTTTTTTAACCTTTCCTGACTTCCTTTTTTTTCTTGGAATGTGTATTCTTAAAATTATTTATTTACCTCTATTGGATTATTAGCTATATGTATTTACTTAATTTTGTATTGCATGACCTGGAATTTATAAAATGCATCTTTTATTTATGAGGGTATACTTTCAAAAAATAAGAGTTTATGGATTTTTTTATTTTTTTTGATGGAGTTTTTGCTCTTGTTGCCCAGGCTGGACTGCAATGGCACAATCTCAGCTCACTACAACTTCCGCCTCCCAGGTTCAAGCGATTTTCCTGCCTCAGCCTCCTGAGTAGCTGGGATTACAGGTACACACCAACACGCCTGGCTAATTTTTTGTATTTTCGATAAAGACAGGGTTTCACCACGTTGGCCAAGCTGGTCTCGAACTTCTGACCTTAAGTGATCCACCCGCCTAGGCCTCCCAAAGTTCTGGGATTACAGGCTTCAGCCACCGCACCCGGCCTATGCATAATATTAAAACGTCATTCAATGGCATACTTCCGTCTCCTTATTTCATTATTTTTGCTATTGTTGCAAAATAATAATTAATTATTTTCATTAATTAATTAATTAATTTCACAAAAATTAATTATTCTCATTTTTGTTTTAAGTAGTTGTAGTGAGTTGGACAGTGTTCCTCCGAAAATATTTACCCCAATTCTAATCTCTGCATCTGTAAATGTGACTTTATTTGGAAATAGGGTTTATTGAAGATATAATTATGGTAATAACCTTGGGATGAAGTCATCCTGGATTTAGGGTTAGCCCTAAATTCAATGATTGATATTCTTATAAGAGAAAAGAGAGGAAGAATTGAAACAAACCCTTCTAAAATTCCACATAAAGACCAAGACAGAGATTGAAGGATGGCCACAAGCAAAGAAATGCAAGGATTGCCAGCACCCACCAGAAGCTACAGGAAAGACATGAAATAAATTCTCCCTCAGAGGCTCTAGAAAAAGGACCCTGCCAACATTTTTATTTGGACCTCTGGCCCTCAAAAGTATAAAATAATACATTTCTGTTATTTAAGCCATGCAGTTATGACAGTCCCAGGATACTAACACCATATCTTCTCCTAAAGACATGCTATCTTCTAAAGATATGTTTTAAATAAAAAATAAGTATTTAATATTAAACCACAGATGTACCATATCTAGCACTCTTCATTCTTTTGGGTAGATCTAAATTTCCATCTATTACTTTCCTTTAGCACACGGTGCTTTCTATAACATTATTGTAGGGCAGATCTAATGGCAACAATTTGATTCAATTCTTCCTCCTGTAAAAATGTCTTCATTTTGCCTACATTTTCCATAGACCTTTTTTTTGGGTTGTCAGATATTTTTCTCTTTTACCATGTTAAAGTAACCATGTTGTTCCACTGTCTTCTGGTTTGCTGTTCCTTAAGGTATCAGTGATGACTCTTACCTTGTTTTCCATTCTACGTGTATCTTTTTCCATCATCTCCTTATGTAATTTTCCATTTCTATTGAGTTTTCAGGAATCTGTTTGAGATATGCCTTGATGTGGTTTGTTTATTTTGTGCATCTTGCTTAAGGTTTGTTGAATTTCTTGTGTCTTTGGGCATTTTAACTTCTATTGCTACATTACAAATTACCTCAAACTTGATGGCTTCAAATAGCAATTTTATTTGGCTTACGATTTTGAGAGTTCAGAAATTCAAGAAGGTCAGCTATTTCTGCTTGAGTTATCTCATATGGTTGCAATGAACTGATTATTTTTGTTGCAGACATGTACAGTCATATGCCGCATAACTACATTTTCAGTCAGTGACAGATAATATGCAAAATGGTGGTCCCATGAGACTATAATGAAGCTGAAAAATCTCTATGGCCTAGTGATGTTGTAGCCATTGTAGTAGCTGTTGTAACATTGTAGTGCAGCACATTATCTTTTCTATGTCTAAATACCCAAATACCATTTTGTAACAATTGCCTATAGTATTTCATACAGTAACATGCTCTACTGGCTTGTAGCCTAAACACAATAGGCTATACCATTATAGTCTAGGTGTGTAGTAGGTTATACAACCTAGATTTGTGTAAATACACTCTAGGATGTTCACAAAATGAAAAAATTGCCTAATGACATTGTATTAGTCAGAGTTCTCCAGAGGGACAGAACCAATAGGATACATATACATATATAAAGGAGCATTTATTAATTATGAACTCATAGGATCACAAGGTCCCACAATAGGCCATCTGCAAGCTGAGGAGCAAGGGGAGCCAGTCCGAGTCCCAAAAACTAAAGAAATTGGAGTCCAGGAAGAAAGATGTAGGCTGGGAGGCTAAGACAGTCTAGTTTTTTCATATTTTTACTGCTGTATATTCTAGCCTTGCTGGCAGCTGATTAGATGGTGCCCACACAGATTAAGGGTGAGTCTGCCTTTCCCAGCCCATTGACTCAAATGTTAATCTCCTTTGGAAACACCCTCACAGAAACACCCAGAATCAATACTTTGTATCATTAAATTTAATCTTGACACTCAGTATTAACTATCACAAGTTTACCCTTTGTCAACTTGAACCCATACACATCTCCTGAGATCATAAGTAATCTTCAAATAAAGACAATAGTAAGGTCATATTTATGCCTAACATAATACACCTATCCTTTCTACAACCAGAAATGCACCAATCCCCAATCCAAATACTATTACATAAAGTTAACAATACTTAAATGCTGATATGAAGTCAATGAATCTTATGTCACATGATAAAAAAGAAATAAAATGAAGATATTTCCTTAGTACAAGTGTATACATGCAAAAACATGTTTTTAACAAAAGAAAGAGGAAATACTCATGACAATTACACTCTTAATTTCTGTAGCAGGTCATGTGGTTATAGCTAGTATTGATGAGTACCTTCTTCTGCTACCCATGAATGGTGCCACTTCCACTTCCAACCCTTAATTCCTGGACCCATGAATCCTGGCTATGGGAGAAACAGCACTATATATTGGTCACTGATTCAGAGCATACATAGCCCTCTGAAGAACTTTGTCCCAGCCCTGCAAAGTATTGTCACCTAGTTGGCATTGTAATTGTAACTTCAGAAGGCCATTCCACCATTCTGTCAACCCAGCTGCTTCAGGATGATGGGGAATATGGTAGGACCAGTTAATTCCATGAGCACGAGCCCACTCCCACACTTCTTTAACTGTAAAGTGAGTGTCTTGGTCAGAGACAATGCTGTGTGGAATACTATGACAGTGGATAAGGCATTCTGTGAGTTCAAAGATGGCAGTCTTGGCAGAAGCATGGCATGCGGGATAGGCAAATCCATATCTGGAGTAAGTGTCTATTCCAGTGAGGACAAACCTCTGCCCTTTCTATGATGGAAGAGGTCCAATATAATCAACCTGCCACCAGATAGCTGGCTGATCATCCCAAGGAATGGTGCCATATGGAGGGCTCAGTGTTGGTCTTTGCTGCTGGAAAATTGGGCACTCAGCAGTGGCCCTAGCCGGGTCAGCTTTGGTGAGTGGAAGTCCGTGTCGCTGAGGCCATGTGTAACCCCCATTCCTGCCACCATGGCCACTTTGTTCATGGACCCATTGGGCTATGACAGGGGTTGCTGGGGAGAAAGACTGAGTGGTGTCCACAGAATGGGTCATCCTATCTGCTTGATTATTAAAATACTCCTCTGCTGAGGTCACATGTTGGTGAGCACTCACATGAGATACAATTATCTTCACAGTTTTTGACCACTCAGAGAGATCCATCCACATACTTCTTCCCTAAGTTTCTTTGTTGCCAATTTTGCAATCATGCTTTTTCCAAGTCCCTGCCCATTCAGCCAAATAATTGGCTACAGCCCATGAATTAATATATAATTGCATATCTAGCCATTTCTCCTTCCATGCAAAGTGCACAACCAGGTGCATTACTCAAAGTTCTGTCCACTGGGAAGATTTCCCTTCACTGCTGTCCTTCAGAGATGTCCTAGAAAGGGGCTGCAGTGCTGCAGCTATCCACTTTCGGGTGATGCCTGCATATTGTGCAGAATCATCTGTGAACCAGGCCCTAGTCTTCTCTTCCTCTGTCAACTGATCATAGGGAACTCCCCATGGGGCCATTGGTGCAGGCTGGGGGACAGAAGGCAGGGTGGCAGGAGTAGAGGCCATGGGCATTTGGGCCACTTCCTCATGTAACTTACTTGTGCCTTCAGAACCTGCCTGAGCCCCATTACATTGATGAAGAAATGCTGCTGTGCATGAACCAATTTGTGGCTAGATGGTTAGAAATCACACAGTTCATTATAGGCAGTTTGGTTCACATTGTGACTTGATGACCCATAGTCAAAGGTTCAGTTTCCACCAAAGCCCAGTAACAGACAAAGAGCTGTCTCTCAAAAGGAGAGTAGTTATCTGCAGAAGATGGCAGGGCCTTGCTCTAAAATCCTAGAGGCCTCTGCTGTGATTTGCCTATGGGGGACAGCCAAAGGCTCCAAACAGCATCCTTATCTGCCACTGACACCCCAAGCACCATTGGATCTGCTAGGTCTTATGACCCAAGTGGAAGAGCAGCTTGCACAGCAGCCTGGACCTGTTGCAGAGCCTTCTCCGGGAGCTGGGAATTAGAATCCCTGTGTTCATCATTTTCTTTCATCACTTTGTCCACTAAGCTTAGGAGCTACCAACCAGCTTCACTATGTTCCTTGGCTCTTCACATATGGTCAACGGTATTATGAATAGGGTCACTAAGCTCCTTGCCTCTCATGAGCAGTGAATCAGGAGTGTTAAATGCATTATTTGTGCATAACTCTCTAAACAGTTCACACAAAAGACTATCAGCATTCTCCATACTATTAGAAGTAGAGTCCTTAGCATTTTTGGGTCTAATCATATTAAGCAGCCAACTCCAGAAACCCCAAAACCAACAAAAGAACCCATCCCTTAATATTCTGTTCTCCTAAAATCACTCCTGATACCAAAACCTGTATTAGGGTCCTCTAGTTGGACACAACTAATAGGATAGATACATATAAATAAGGGGGAGTTTTTAAAGTATTAACTCACATGATCACAAGCTCCCTCAATAGGCTGCCTGCAAGCTGAGGAGCGACAAGAGCCAGTCCAAGTTCCATATCTGAAGAACCTGCAGTCCAATGTTCAAGGGCAGGAAACATCCAGAATGGGAGAAGGATGTAGTTTGGGAGACTAGGTCAGTCTAGTCTTTTCACGTTTTTCTGCTTCCTTTACATTCTAGCTGTGTTGGGAGCTGATTAGCTTGTGCCCACCCAGATTAAGGGTGGGTCTGCCTTTCCCAGCGCACTGACTCAAATGTTAATTTCCTTTGGCAACACCTTCATAGACATACCCAGGATCAGTACTTTGCATCCTTCAATCCAATCAAGTTGACACTCAGTTTTAACCATCACAGACATATGTCTCAGACCATATCTTTCATTAAGTGACGCATGACTATACAGCCCCAACTAGGTTGATGTCTAAATTTGCTCACTCACAAAGCCAACAATGGGAATTTGTGGCCAGCTGGGAGCCAGCTGGGTTGTTTACCAGAGCATGTACATAAGGCCTCTATGGCATGGTGGAAGAAGGATATATTAGGATTTTTACATAAACTTTGCTTCTCCTGGAGCAAGCATCACAAAAGAATTAGGCAAAACTTCATCATTTATCCTAGACATCACAGAATTTCACTTGCCCTATACTGTTGGTTTAAAGAGTTAAGTCCAACATATTTAAGGAGAAAAGATATGTACTCCAACACTTTAAAGAAAAAGTGTCAAAGAATTTTAGTTACATATTTAAAGCTACCATGGTGGCATTAATATTTTAATCAAATTTGAAAAGTATTATTATCTATTATAACTTCAAATATTTTTGCCTCTCCCCCTGGGACTCCAATTATACGTAGGCAACAGTGCTTTTACTTTTCTCCAATGGTCACAGAGGCTATCTTCATTTATTTATTTTTTTTCAACCTGCACTTTCAGTTGAACAGTTTCTCTTGCTATTTATTCAGGTGACCACAATTTTCTCCTTCAGTGTCTAATCTGCTCTTATACGATCCACATACTATCCTGTGAATTTTTTAATTCAGCTATTTTCTGTTCTAGAAGCTGCATTTTCTCAGTGTCCTTTTCCAAGAACACTGAAAAACAAGAAACTATATATAAAATAAAATAATTTTCCATATTTACATTGCATCCAAGAAAATTGTTACACTAAATTATTCATTATAAAATATCTTCTGTGAAGACTGTAAAATTTTTTGTGTGTTATGTTGACAGTGTTAAAACATCTTTTTATTTTCCGATTATAATACTTGTTATTTCTTTTCCTTATTTTATTGAACTAGGTAGAACCTTCTATATAGCTCTTAATATAAGTGGAGATAGTGAATCTCTGCATCTTATCCATAATTTTAGAGAGAAGTGTTTCAGTTGTTCAACATAAATATATAATATATTTTATGCAGCATTTTGGGCGTAGTTTTTCTTTTTTTTTTTTTTTATGAGATGGAGTCTCACTCTGTTGCCCAGGCTGGAGTGCAGTGGCACTATCTCAGCTCAATGCAACTTCCGCCTCCCAGGTTCAAGTGATTCTCCTGCCTCAGCTTCCCAAGTTGCTAGGATTACAGGCATCTTCCATCATGCCTGGCTAATTTTTGTATTTTTAGTAGAGATGGGGTTTCACCATGTTGGCCAGGCTGGACTCGATCTCCTGACCTCAAGTGATCTGCCCGCCTTGGCCTCCCAAAGTGCTGGGATTACAGGCGTGAGGTACCATGCCTGGCTGGGGGTAGATTTTTTTATTGAAGTAAAGTATCTGTAATTTGAAGTTTGCTAATTGCTATGGGCTGAATTGTATCTCCCAAAATTCAAAATGTTGAAGCACTAATTTTTGAAGATATAGTGTCTGAGGGATAATTAGGTTTAGATGAGGTAATGAGGACAAGGCTCTCATGATGGACTTAGTGCTTTTGTAAGAACAGGAAGAGATACTAGTGCTTTCTCTCTGTCTCTCAACTTGAGGACATCAGGAAGGCAGCTGTCTGCAAGTTTGAAGAATATTCCTCGCCAGAAATCAAATCAGTGAGCCCCTTGATCTTGGACTGCCCTGTCTCCAGAACTGTGAGAAATAAATGTCTGTTGTGTAAGCCACTCAGTCTATGGTATTTTGTTATATCAGCCTAAGCAGACTAATACACTAAGTGTTTTTTACATGAATTGCTTGAATTTTATTAAGTTCTTTTTCTGTACCTATGGATATGAATATTAATATTTTACTGATATTTGATACAGAAGCAACAAGCAACTAGGAAATTAAACTATAAAATGCCACCTTAATAACATAAAAAACACCAGATGACTAGAAATTTGACATGTACAATGAAAGCTACAAAATATTGCTATGAAACGTTAAGTCCCAAATAAATAAAGAAGTATACCACATTTCTGTATTGGAAGATTCAATATTTTTAATGCCAGTTCTACCAAAATAATGAATGAATAAGATGTCTATTAAAATTTCAGCAAGCTTTTTGAGGAAATTGACATGATTCTAATATATATTTGGAAATGCAAATAAACTATAATGGCCAAAACAATTTTTAAAGGAATAATTTCAGATAATATTTATTCGCTGGTTTCAATATGGCACAAGGTAGACGTACATACCAATAAAACAGAATAGAGAGTTCAGAAACAGATACATTGCTTTTAATGGCAAAAACTGCAATTACTTTTGCACCAACCTAATATTTTTAGAAAATGATGCTGTAACTATGCATATGCACAAAAAAAAAATCTTGACCATTATCTTATGCCATACCAAAAATTTTTTGATGGAGACCTCCCCCCCAACACACAAACACTCTCACAAATACTAGAACCATAAGACTCCTATATGATAAACTTAGAATATTTTCACAACCTGGGAGTTATATACACATCTTGTTTTTTAAAATAAGATGTGTATACAAACATACATACATAACACTAACAATAAAAAATAAAAAAATGAATTGTACTACATTGCAATCTTTAAAAAATTTTCAACTAAAACACCATTAAATAGGCAAGTCATAGACTGGTAGACATATTAATAATTAATATACAGCACTCCTTCCTTATCTGTGATTTAGTTTTTTGTGGTCTCAGTTACCTGCAGCAAACCATGGTCCAAAAATATTAAATGGAATATTCTAGAAAAAAAATTCTTAAGTTTTAAAGTGCACATCATTCTGAAGTAGCATGATGAAATCTTGTGCTATTCCACTCAATCCCACCCAGAATGTGAATTATCCCTTTTTTCAGCATAGCAACACTGTACATAGTACTCTTAGTCACTTAGTTGACATCTCTGTTATCAGATCATGGTATAACAGTGCTTGTATTCAAATATCTCTTATTTTACTTAATAATGACCCCAAAGAGCAAGAGTGGTGATGCTGACATATCGTTATAATTGTTTCATTTTATTATTAGTTGTTATTGTTAATCTCTTACTGTGCCTAAATTATAAACTGATCTTTATCATAAGTATGAATGTATAGTAAATATATATATACATGGTTCAGTACTATCTATGGTTTCAGGCATGCAGTGGCAGTCTTGGAACATATCTCCCTCAGATTGAAGGGGACTACTGTATCTGAAAAAGAACTAATGGCTTTGTTACAGTTTCTCATTCCTGTCTTTTTAGAGATCTGAAAAGAAAAAGGTAGGTTGTTTCTAAATATTATAAAGGGTTTATTTTAGTGGAAAGAGTATGGGTTTTGTATTATATAGCTTGCAGTTGAATCCTATTTCTTCCATTACCTAAGTAAGTTAAATTTGGGCACAGTGTTTAATCTCTCTGCAACTCAAACTTATCAGCTTTTAATATAAAATAAGGATGATAATATTTTCTTCATGTGATTTTTTTCATGAAGCATAAAATTAAATAAATGATGTAGGTTAATAAAGCTAGTATTCATTTAGGGCTTGCTACATGCAAGGCATTATTTTAAGCTATTTCTATTCTAATTTAATTATTGCAAATAATTATCTTGACTTTCAGTTAATGTTGGTTTCACAAAATCACATAACAATAAAGACTTGCAATGAAGCTGAAAGTTCATTCTTTGGTACCAAGGGTACCAAGAATCACAGAGAGATAGAGAGATTATATAAAATTAAAACATTTTATACCAATGCTTAGAATGTCCTCGTGTTTCTTTAGGCTCATGATTATGTTAATAAAACTGCCCACTGGCAAATGAAAAGAAAAGAAAAAAGCATCCTTTTCAAATTAGTAAGCACACATTACTAATATGCACAATGGAAAACTAGCAGTTTTCACTGTCAACTCCACAAATATTAAACAACAATAGAAAAATATTATGAACAACCTTTGTAAAAGAATTTAATAATTTAGAGAAATTGAACCAATTCCTGGAAAATTACCAATGACTATAATTTACCTTAGATGAAGTAGATAACTTGAATAGTCTTAGAACTATTAAAGATATTTAAATAATAGTGTATAACCTGGAAAAAAAAAAAAGAGAAATAGCCAGGTTCCATTGGTTTCACTGGCAAGTTTTTCCAAACATGTAAAGAAGAAATATTGATAAAATATGATACCCATTTATTCCAAAAAATCTTATCAAGCTAGTTTTAGAAGTCAACTCTCAAAACTTGATTAAGAGAATCTACAAAAAACATAAAGGTAACATTATAATTCATAGTGAAAACTGGAAACTTTTCTCCTAAGATCAAGAGTAATACAAATACTTTTCTTATCACTTCCATTCACCCTTTCCTGGAGGTTCTAGCCAGTGGAATAAAGCAAGAAAACAAAATAAAAGTCATATAGTTTGGTCAGCCAGAACTAAAAATTCTCCTATTCACAGCTGACATAATTATCTATGCAAAATATTCAAGAATTATTTTAAAATCAACAAAATAAACTTCCTAGAATTAATAAGTGAGTTTATGCAGATCTTACGATACAAGACAAACACATTAAATCAATTGTGTTTGTGTATATTAGCAAGGTACAAAAGGACACATAATTTTTTTAAAAAAAAATCATTTAAAATTACCCCAAAAGCAAAATACTCAAATGTAAATCAAAAAAAAAAAGAAAGAAATTCTGTAGAATTTACCGTTGACAGCTGATTCCAAAATTTATATGGAAACACAAAGGAACTACAATAGCTCAATCAATCTTGAAAAATAATAATAAAGTTGGAGACATCACATTACCTGGCTTTTCTAGTTACTACCTAAAGAAAGAACAGTTGAAAGAAAATTAATTTTTAAATACAGCCCTACTTTCGTTAAGTTTAAAAAGGTAGATATTGTGTGTAGCTTTAAAACATTTTAATGATCCCTATTTTAATAGTTTACCTTCTGTTAAAAAATAAAATATTAAATCGGCTACCTGCATTAGATTTTTTAAAAAGTAAATAAAGCCTACACTTGCCTAATTCTTACAAAAATTTCTCATAATTTTCATTATAACAAAATATTTTTGAAAATTATTTAATAAGTTTTCTATTTATATTAATATGATATGACTAAAATTATCATGAGATAATATTTTGTTGGACATAAAATAGGTATTAAATCAATACCTAAAGCCCTCACCCCTTGAAAAAGTAACAAAACTGTGAGGGCCAGGATGTTTGTATTTGTGAAGATTCAAAGATAATTTTGACTGTAGAGTCTGAGGGAGATTTCTGATTCCCAAGCCAGTAGTCTTTTCCTTGTATTCTGATGTATCCTAAAGACATGAATGGTTTCTGTTCATTTTTGCCGCATTAGTCTCAGGTAATAACAAAAGTTTCAGGAAGCAGAAGTATAAATCTTCAGTGAGTCACGGTATTGAGTATTGTATTAATTTTTAAGTGCTCTAAATGATGCACTTGTGACATACATAAATTAGATAAGAAGCAATTCTAACTAAATTAATTTTGAGGATCTAAAGTTATCTCAACAGTAATAATTCCCAGAATATATTTCAGGAAACTTAGTAAATCATGAAGACTATGGTTTTATATTGTCTTAATTTTGTCACATCTGTCCTGATTGTTGATTGAGAAAGTTGAAGGTGTTTGCTCCATTAATGAAGCAACTTAAATGTATATTTTGATACATATAAATATGCACATAATATTTGTTGATGGAGACCAACCCCAAAATGTAGTGTTGCAAAGTTCTAGTCTGCTTTTCTCCCTAATATTCTTAACATTGTCTTTTATACACTGAGTTTTCACAATCCCAAACAGATTTTAGGATATTAATACTCAAGTCACACAAAACAAACCACTATTTATTGGATGTCAATCGTGAGAAATCAGTCAAACATCTTGACATTTAATTTTATAGCAAATATGTGAATACCACCTTGAAACTACTTGTTTTGTTGTTAGAGGGGTTTTGTCAAGAGATTAAATATTAAAACTGAGGGGTTTTGTCAAGAGATTAAATATTAATATTTGACATATGTAGGTATCTGAGTTACTACTGACTGTTGTCCTTCATTTTTATGTGGAAAATATTTCCCATTATATCTGGACGTTTGGATTCTTAGGCCTTCTACAGATTATCTTTTGCTTAATATCCTACATCTTAATTATTTTCATTATTTAGTGCTCTACCTATGTAGATGAAATTATACACATTTACTGTTTAGTGTTATCAATAAATTTTCATATATCTGGCCACCCAAATATTAATTCTTTTTATAATGTAGACTTCCTTATATGACCCTTGATTTTCTGGGTTTTTTTTTGTATGCTTCCACACAACCACTACTGTATCTAGGAAATTCTGGATAATTGCCTCAAAATGACTATCACATGAAAATATGTATTCTTAACGTATCAACAGAAGTTAAATAATTACAACTTTAATTTCCATATAAAATATAGCTCATACATTTTATTCTTTCATCAAAATGAAATTCATTTTAAAAAATGAATTAATAACAAAAGTACATAAGTGTGTTTTTATAGTTTTAAAAATTGAGGTTCTTAACACAGTAAACTTAAATCTCTGATGATTAAGGCTTTTTAATCTGATACTCAGCTTTTCATAGCTGGAAATTTACAAAAATACTACTTATATTTAACATTATTCCTTTAAAAATTGGTCTTTTCAGCCATTATAAATATACTTAAAAAGTATAAACTATAGTAGAGTATGCATTTTTGGTTACAATGATTGGGTTAGATATACATTTAAAAATTGGTAATAAAAACATTTTGAAGTTCATTATCGGTAATCTTTGAAGTATAAATTTGTCAAAAATTAAAAATATATCTGCATGAATGATACAGTGACATATATTTGTTATAAAGCAAATGTATTTGTGAAATCCTCAGAGCTACATAATTATATCATTCACAAGTATAAAGAACAATAATGAAACTGGATAGGTCAGATAGACATTTAAAAGTCATAATATGTAGAGAAGGGAACACACATAGTTATACAGAGCTTCAGGTACCATTCTATACTGCATATTTTCTAACTTGTTAATATCTATCAAGATATAGTACCAGAACTATAAACGTTGCTCCTGGTATCATGTTGTAAAATTAAAACATTTTATATCAACGCCTGGAAATGTCCTCATGTTTCTTTAGACTCATGATTATGTTAATAAAACAGCCCACTAGCAAATGAAAAAAAAAAAAAGAAAAAAGCATGATTTTCAAAAGTCCATGGAACATTTACCTTAGTAAGGCAATAAGGTAAGTCTTAACAGATTTCAAAGCATTGAAATAATTCAGAATTTGTTGTCTGACTACAGCAGAGGTAACTTAGAAACAAAAAACCACAAAACATACATATATGCATACATACATGCTACCTACATATTTATGTACGTTATTTTAAGCGTTCATTGGCAAAATCCAACAGGAAGTCACTTGTCAAAGGGAATATGGAAGATGCGATTCTGGAGAATGGATGGGAAGCTGTGGAACTCTTGGCAATAAGCAGCATAGCAACATTCCACCTCATCACTGCTTAAATCTTCTGAGAGAATTTATCATTGTTTTATATGAGATTAGAGAATTGAGCCCCTTTACTATACATTCATTCTGAAAATGTAGATAATTGAATTCAAAATACTTTAGATTTGAATAATTGTCACTATTTCCATTATATTCTCTCTAGAAAACCTTTTTGCAATTTTAAACAAAAGACATATTTATTACATGAGGAAATGATATACAAATTATACATCCATATTAAATTATGTTCATATCAATAAAAGAGTATGTTCAAATATTCATGTCTCATTCCAGGAATGAAAAACTAATAAATTTGCTCTAGTTACCATTGCTTTAAATAACAAAATCCCTATTGTAACAATAAGAGGCTCAGAATTTTCCTATTAAATAATTTCAATGAAACACTCTATCATTACATATTAAAACTGCAAATTGTTAAACTATAATTACTATAGTTTAGTAGTGAACTATGATAGTGAATAAATTTCATAATTTTCCCTTGTAATTTCCACATAGACAGTTTTTGCCTCAGTGACTAACCTAACAAACAAACATTCTGATTAACCACTTGAACAGAAACAGTTTTAAATCATGAAAACTAAAGCAAAATGAAGAGAAGCAAGAAATCTTAATAGGAACCACATAATATATCTAAACTCAATTGAGAAGTGACAAAGATATATTTAATATACTGTACATTCAAAGAACTGAAAGAAATTTAAGGAGCTCATTTCTTCCTTTCACTCTCTTACTGTCTCATCTCATAAGTAAAACATTAATTATCTACACAGCAATGGTGATGACCTAAGTTTTAAAGTTCTATTGTATAATCTATGGTTTAATCTCATTCATTAAATGACTTTTGTTGAGACATTGAATAATTAAACAGCAGCTTTTATATGCAATACTTGAAATTCTTATTTCTAAAACACAATATGTGTTTTTCTTTCCAAATCAATGGTAGACTGAATAAAGAATATGTGGTATATGTACACCATGGAATACTATACAGCTATAAAAAAGAAGATCATGTCCTTTGCGGGGATATGGATGGAGCTGGAGGTCATTATTCCTAGTAAACTAATGCAGGAACAGAAAACCAGATACTGCATGTTCTCACTTATAAATGGGAGCTAAATGATGAGAACACACAGACGCAAGGGGAGGAACAGCAGACACTGGGGCCTACCTGAATGGGGAGGGTGGGAGGAGAAAGAGGAGCAGAAAAAATAACTATTGGTTACTGGGCTTAGTACTTGACTGACAAAGTAATTTGTACAACAAACCCCCATGACATGAGTTGACCTACATCACAAACCTGCATGTGTACCCCGATCCTAAAATAAAAGTTAAAAAAATAGTAACAACAAATATTTTATTTGGCTCACAATTCTGATGGCTGGCAAGTTTAAGATTGGGCATCTGTACCTGGGGAGAGCCTCAGGCTGCTTCCTCTTGTGGTAGAAGGTAAAGGGGACTCAGCATGTGCAGTTCACAGGGTAAGAATGGAAGCAAGAGAAAGGGGAAGGTGCCACGTTCTTTTTAAAAACCAGCTTCAGTGGTACCAATAAAGTGAGAGCTCACTCACCCCTGAAGGAGGAAATTAATCTATTCCTGAAGGATCCATTCCCATGACCAACACATCTGCCATTAAGCCCCACCTCCAACATTGGGGACCAAATTTCAACATGAAGTTTGGAGAGGACAAACATCCAAACCATAGCAATATCCAAAAGTTGAAATTATGGATTAATTTTCCATTTATTATCATGTAAAACCCCTAAAGTGATGAATAATTTAGATCTACCTTCAACACATATTCCAAATTTCCTTTTTCCCCTTGACCAAATCTTCTGTTAGACTATGTAAAATAAGTGGGCTGATGGGGTAACCCCAACTTTCATCTCTGAGGGAGATTAGTATCTGGTCACCATTTTTTAACAGTTTGTGATTTCAGAACTTGTACTGGGCAAGTATATCAATAAATTCCCCAGGGCATCCATTAAGTAGCAGCAGACTTACTGCCTCATAAAATTCAGGGTCATTTATTTCTGGCAGTGTTGTAACTTTGCCTGCTGTTGTACAGGTGCAAGGAACTTAAAGTGAAAAGTATCATTCAGACTTTTAAATTTAGTAGGACTCTTACTGTGTTACACATTGAAAGCATTCTTCTCTCTGGAAATAGGACTTCTCAAATGAAAGATACCTAAACAGGAAGGAATAAATTCCCCAAATTACAAATGGATAACTTGGAGTGATCATGAGAGAGAACACCAACCCTTGGTCCTGAACCAATGTGTGCTTATTGAGGACACAGTACCACATAATGGCCCTGAGTGGTGACATATGCAAGTAGTCAGGACTAGTTGCTTGTGAAACTCATTTGTCCTCTCTAGACCTTTTTGAGCCTGATCCCAAATGTGTCAAGTCCATTTTTCCATGTTTATGATAGTTTATTGCTGCTTATGTCTTCTGACTTGGTAAATCTTCAATTGGTTAGCTTACAAGGGGCAGTTATGGCCATATGGTCAGTTAACTCGTGGTTAGATGCCTGTCTCTGCCAAGACTCAGTAACATGCAGGGCTCTGTTATTTGGATGATACACATTTCCCTTCTGTATTTAGCATGGCCTTTCTCCAGAAACCTAGGGGTCTAGGATGTAATTTTTTAATGGCACTTATCAGATGTTTCAGATGGTAGCTTTACAACAAATACTTCTAGTAAGTATCATGACATATTCTTAATTGTAAGGCCCAAATAGCAGGACTGCTTATACAACGTTTTGGACTGCTACAGAGCCCTTTTATTGTTCTGGGTCTAATATAAATCTGTTAGTTTTCCACATCACTCAGTAAATAGATCAAAGCCATATGTTAACTCTAAAGCCAAAGAAACCTACTAATTACATGTCTGTCTTAGAAGTAGTATAGTGTTGAAGTATCAATAATTCATCTTTCAATTTGGAAAAGAGGTACCAGAATGTCCCAAACTACTGAATCCTAATAATTTTACCAAAGTGTCAACTCCTGAATCTTTTGAAATTTTGTCTCCCACCCTCTGGAGTGCATGTGTTACCAAGATTCCCAGAGGATTTGTGACTTCATGCTCATAAGGTCCAATAAATTTAATATTCAAGAAAATGTATAGATAACCAATGTTCCATTAGACTATACCGTGACAGAGATTAGGTGAATTAACGAAGCCCAAAGGCAAGACCATGAATGTATATGTTGTCCATTCCAAGTAAATGTAAGCTGCTGGTTTTCTATCCTAAAGGATATTGAAAATAACATATTTTTCAAATTAAAAGCCATGTAACATTTACCAGAGGCAATGTTGACATGCTCTAGTAAATATACCACAACCAGCCTTGCAGTTGTAACCTCTCGGTTGAATCTGTGATAGTCCACTCTCATCTGCTACGGTGCACTCAATCTTTAAAGGGACCTAACTGGTAAATTAAATAGGATGATGATGGAAACCGCTACTCTTGCATTCTCTATGACTTTGAGGGTAGTACTAATCTGTATCATTCCTGTTGGGATGCAATGTTGTTTTGATTTGCTCTCTTGGCTTTGTAGCAGGACGAGCCACAGACAAAACCCCTCACACACTGAGTTAAAGAAGGAAGAGCTTTATTCGGCCGGGAGCATTGGCAAGACTCATGGCTCAAAAACTGAGCTTCCCAAGGGAGCAATTCCTGTTCCTCTTAAGGGCTTACAACTCTAAGGGGGTCTGCGGGAGAGGGTTGTGATCAATTGAGCAAGCAGGGGGTGCATGACTGGGGGCTGCATGCACCGGTAATTAGAACGGAACAGAACAGGACAGGGATTTTCACAGTGCTTTTCCATACAATGTCTGTAATCAATAGATAACATAACCAATTAGGTCAGGGGTCGATCTTTAACTACCAGGCCCAGGGTGTGGCGCCGGGCTGTCTGCCTGTGGATTTCATTTCTGCCTTTTAGTTTTACTTCTTTCTTTGGAGGCAGAAATTGGGCATAAGACAATATGAGGGGTGGTCTCCTCCCTCAGTTTGAGGTTGCCCATTCACGTTTCCATAATTATTTCTTCTCCTAGATCTTTGCTCTATGGAGGAAATATAGCTCTTGTACACTTTTGGTTTCATGCTCCAATGTTTCTAGCTATTTTCAGTAGGGAGTAAGCAAAATAACCTAATTTACCTCCCAGTTGAGCTACAAACTTCTCAATACTGTTAAAAGACCAAATCAAATCAGAAAATATATTTCAAAAAATTTTGAATGCCTTTGAATCATGTCCCAACATAGTTGAAATTCAGTTTATTTACTTACGTCAATAATTTTCAAAACTCTTTCTTTATTCTAAAATATGAACACATTGCAGATCTTACATAAAATGTTAATCTTCACATGCGACACCAAAGACAGGGCTCCAGCATAAGGTTTAGTTACTCATCTGCAATTTTTTTAGATATAATGGAGAAATCTACTTGTATAGCTCTCAGTGTCACAGATTGTGGCTCATTAGCATGACTGAAAATTTTATTTTCAATCACAATAGTCACATGTAATTACAAGCAAAAGTAGAGTTTTAATAGAAAATTACTGTAATTCCATTAATCTTTCTTTCATAATTTAAATGCTTTGCCCAATTTTTTAAAAAATACAATCCCTCTGAACTGCAAATCAGTTGATTTCTTCCCTTTTTTATTCGGGATATTGCATCTGATTTTTTTTTTTTTTAAATGAATTCGACTTTGTAAAAAACAAATTTTAATTAATCAGCAGCTAGGGAAAAATACTTGTAATTGTATTTTCACAAAGATTTATGTGTAGCAAAGATGGTAACACTCAGTATGACCTTTAAAAATGCCATTCTGCTGACACTCTTGTCAAAATTTGCTCTTTGGAAATTTACATGTATGAAAATGTGATAAGTAGTGCTCTAGCAGCATCACAGAGATCTATTGTAAGCCATGGTTCTGTATTATTTTAAAGCTCTGAAAATATCAAAGAAATGTACTATATACCTTATTATCTGATTTAAAAATTATCCATTAAGAACATGATATTCAGGGTTATGAAAATTTAACAGTGTTAAGATGTAAACGTATAAATAGTATTATTTAAAAATGTTAATTTTTTGTATTGATACTTGTTTATGTGTTTCAGGGGAGGAGACTAGATAATAATTATTTGGTTTGCACTAACTTTATGGTACTTTACAACAGAAACTTACAATTAAGAAGTAAATAAACTGTGAGGAAACAGCCAACAAACTGTTCTAGTCCTGTCCTGTATTTTAAAAACATGGTTGTTTAAAGCAAAGTATGTCTGTGGTATTGAAATTCAATGGAGAGGTATTTTTGTAAGAAACCACTGTTTGGCTAATCTAAATCTCACATTAAAAATCAGTCCAAAAATAATAAAATGACTAAACTTCCAAAAGAAATTAAATCTTAAAGAACATGTTTTATCACAGTTTTATGGATTAGGAATACCACCTAGTGGTCAAAAATAGTTATGCTGCCCTGATACTTCTTTAATGTAGATGCCTCATATCTGCTTGTTCCTCATTAATTTTATTCCTCTTGAGTATATTTTTAATTTTTTTGTAATTTTAGAGTTTTGACTTTCAAAGGAAACCCATGGTAACATATTTACCTAAAAGGAAAATGGCAAAACTATATCAGAATATATGAAAAAATGTACAGCTTTAGGTACTTCTGGTTTACATAAAGAAATTTTGATAAAATAAAAATGAAATGTTCAAGAGAGTAACAACCTGACAAAAATATACTAAAATGTAAGTGCAATCTATTGTTCAATATTTTGAAAAGTGGAATGAATAGGAGCTTAATAGGAGCTTAATTATTATCAAGGTTCATAAATATCTCTATGATAATTTAAATTACTAACTGACCCTAAATTTATTGCCCTCTATATAAATATGTATAGCTATCTACTTCAGATACATAGAGACCATTGTAGGCTGAATAATAGCTCTCAAATATATTCACATCCTATTCCTAGGAACCTGTGAATGTTACTTTATATTGGCAAAAGAAACTTTGCAGATGTGAATAAATTAAGGATTATGAAATAGGGAGATTATCCTGGATTATTTAGTGGACCTGGATTATTCTGGAAGGGAAACAGGAGGAGTAAAGTCAGAAGAGATGGCTACCTAATGAAGTAAGGAGAAATTGGAGTAATGGGCTTTGAAGATGGAGGAAAGGCTACAAGATGACAAACCATGGAATACATGTGGCTGCTTGAAGCTGAAAAAGACCGGGAAGCAGACTCCTTGGTCCGAGACTCCTGAAGGAGCTAGCCCTGCAGATACCTTGACTTACCTGATATGGTTTGGCTGTGTCCCCACCCAAATCTCATCTTGAATTATAATCTGGGTTGCAAGCCCCAGGTGTTGAGGGAGGTACCTGGTGGGAAGCGATTGGATCCATGGGGGCAGATTCACCCATGCTGTTCTCTTGATAGTGAGGGAGTTCTCATGAGATCTAATGGTTTTATAAGGGGCTCTTCCCCCTTCACTCTCTCTTGCCTGCCACCATGTAAGACATGCCTGCTTCCTCTTCTGCCATGATTATAAGTTTCCTGAGGCCTGCCGAGCCATGCGGAACTGTGAGTCAATTAAATCTCCTTTGTTTATAAATTACCCTGTCTCGGGTGGTATCTTTATAGCAGTGCAGAAACAGACTAATACACCTTTTTAGACTGATTTCAAACTTCCGGCCTTCAGAACAGTAAGACAATAAATTTGTGTGGTTTAGGCTAGTGAATTTGTGGTAATTTGCTACAACAGCAATAGAAAACAGACAGATACTTTGCTGCAAATCATGAGGTCTCTCTTTGTAGAGTGGTGACGGTTTTCATTATAGTTGAAATAGCCCTGTGATTTCACCAAGGATTTTGATGCTGTACATATTTACTGTTTAGTCATTAGCATTTCATAAGAAAAAAAAAGTTTATCAAGGAATTTTACTGAAAAGTTACTCATTTTGAAATCCTAGTTCTCTATTAGTGTGGCTTATTAGAAAAGTTGTTGACAGAATTTTTCACTGAATTCTTTCTTAGTATTGGTTAGTTCATTAAAGGTCTTCATTAATTGTACTGCCAAATATTTTGCCAGCATGTTTTCACCAGAAAAAAACTCACTGGCCCTGGTCCCACTGTGCATGTCAGGAATATAAATTTTTATCCTTCCCTTATTGTATTCTGGACTCTCTCTTGTTAAAAAGTGCCCACATTAAACAGTTAATCAGTAGAGGTTTTAGGAAACCCTACACGGCAAAGAGCACCAGGGCACTGCAAATGCTTACAAGAATTCCTACGCAGGGTAAATTAGGAGGTCCTATGACATGGTTTTTCCAAAGACACAAGAAGCCTATAAATACACACACACACACACACACACACCACCACCACCACCGCCACCGCCACCGCCACCGCCACCGCCACCACCACCACCACCACCACCACCACCACTTTTGGAACCTAAATCCCTTGAAACAATTTTCTATTTGTATATCTCTTACCAGACTGCTTGATATCCTGTTTGGGGGGCATGGGGGAGGCTAATTTTGGTAACATGTTATTATTTGCAGTGATTTGTCAGATTGAGCAACTGGGGATTGCTTACTTTAAGTGGCACCTCTCTCTCAAAGAATTTCTAAAATGGCACTGTTGGGCCTTCCTAGAAGGAGCAAGGATATAAAGACATCTGTTTCATTCATGGGAAAATTGAGAACTTTTTTTTTTAATGTCTAATGTTTGAACTCATGGAAGGAGAAATCCTCTTTCTATAAGTTTGCCAGCCCACCTATCCATCTATCCATCCATCCATCCATCCCTCCTTCCCTCCGTCCATCCATACATCCATCCATTCATTTAGTCATTCCTTCACTTATTTAATAAATGTTTATTATGTTTTAACAAATTTGACTTCCCTGGACATATACCAGGTTTTCTAAGTATATTATAATTTCCAGGGTTTCCTTCTCTACTAAGCCTCAGAAAATCATATATAAAATATATGACCTTATATACTAGTTGGTAAGGAGATGAACAACTTAAAGGTGGTAGCTTTATAGCTTATTTTGTACTGTTAAACTTCATTAAATGAAAATTATTTTTATAAATAAAATTATTTTTATTCCAATTTGGACACAAATAAATATATAAATATAATTTTTTAATTTTAAAATTCAAAATATATAATGTGATATATGGTCATTATTCATTGAGCTCAAATTTTATTGGTTATAATATTATGCAAGAAATGCTGGCCTACAATGTTAAAGAACGAATTGGCATTTCTCTTTTCATATGAGTTGAAAAATTTGAATAGGGGAGACTATTCAAAGCTTGGCCAGATACAGCAAAAAGATAGAGAAATAGGGGATGGGGAGACTATTTTGTATTTGTATTTTGTATTAGCACCATTTTCTTATGGTGGCTCAGCAAGGGAATTCTGAGCTAAACTGAGGGCTCCTTGCAATTAAAAAGAAAAATATTTATTTAGAATAAAAGCCAGAGTTATTTAGTAGGGCACATATTCTTATTAAATACTGTCTAGACTGTATAGTCTTTATAAAGAAATTAATATCCTGTTGATGCTGTATGTTTGTCTTCAAGTATGTAAGCAGAAATTTAGCCATAGTCACTGCTAGTGGGAAGGGTCTGAATTATTTCCCCTCCTGCCTTCCACAGAACTAGTGATTATCTCTCTAAGCAGATGAGCAGAGAAAATGAAAAAAGAAAGTAACATTAAAATGTATTCATCTCTTCTCTCTTTTCAGTATTTGTTGACTGTTAAGGCTTTCTGACATCAAAGGTTATAAAAGCTTTGCTTTTCATATCTGTTGTAACCACTAGGTGGCAATATAATGCAAAAAATAAAAATATATTTTAAACGCCCTCTTTAGATTTGCTTATCGTCACAGGTAGTCTTTTCCGTGCATCTCTGAAATTTGTCTATAATTCCAAAATTAGATCCTATAATCTATGCACCTATCTTTGTATCATTTTTATTTCTCTGTTCACATCCTTGAAATTATGAATTGTGCAAGAAAACCCATCTGCCTTATACTCCTAAATATAAGATTATTTATAGATATACAATCACAACAATAAGTTATGCTAATGGCAACTTTAAAATGCCATATAAGGTGATGTAATAAAGATTATTGGAATGTGTAAAGATAACTTATAGGTTCTCTTTTTCCGGTACGATCAGGAAATGAAGTTGTGTTTTTTAGTTTTTAAAGAGAGTAATTAACTTGACTATTTTCCAAGATAATTAAAATGCTATAAAAATATTCTGTATTTTTATCTCATCTTTGATTATTCTAAAGGAGGTCCATGTGAATTAGGCCCCAGGATTTACAATGCCTCAAAGTAACTGAGGAGCAAAGGTTAACTCCACAGTCAGAGAACTCGAAGCTTTTGAATATACTGACATCAGGCCTGGCGCGGTGGCTCACTCCTGTAGTCCCTGCACTTTGGGAGGCTGAGGCGGGTGGATCACGAGGTCAGGAGTTTGAGACCAGACTGGCCAATATGGTGAAACCCCGTCTCTACTAAAAAAATACAAAAATTAGCTGGCGTGGTAGCACCTGCCTGCAGTCCCAGCTGCTCGGGAGGCTGACGCAGGAGAATCGCTTGAACCCGGTAGGCGGAGGTTGCAGTGAGCCGAGATCGCGCCACTGCCCTCCAGCCTGTGTGACAGAGTGAGACTCCATCATCTCAAAAGTAAATAAATAAATAAACTGACATTAAGTTTCTTTATCTATAGCACAAATGTGTTTAAATAACCTGCCACTCATCAAAATATCTTTAATTATCTATTATTCTTTTAAATTTATATACCAATAGTCATTCTAACCTATTTTCACCACCATAAAAGTATTGAAGTAAATGGAGACAAATTCTTGATAAATTATTGTGACGCTCCTTTCTAAGGCAGATGATATAATCTTGCATACAGAAAGCCCTAAAGATTCTACTTAAAACATCACTTAAAATGAATAAACAAATTTAGTAAAGTAGCAGGATACAAAATCAACACAAATTATTTGTGACCCTATACTTTAACAATGAACAATCCAAAAAGAAAATTAAGAAAACAAATCTGTTTACAATAGTACCAAAAAGAAGAAAATACTTAGGAATTAACCAAGGGAGTGAGAGACTTGTACAATGAAAACTACAGAACACTTATGAGAGAAATTAAAGAAGACATCAATAAATGGAAAGATATCCTATATTCTTTAATTGGAAGACTTCAAATTGTTAAGATGTCAATACTTCCCCAAACAATTTAAAGATTCATTGCAATCCCTATCAAAATCTCGACATTGTTTTCTAAAGAAATAGAAAAATAAATCCTAAAATTAATATGTAACCTAAGGGGCCTCAAATCACCAAAATAATCTTGACAAAAAAGAACAAAATTGGATTACTCATACTTTCTTATTTCAAAACTTACTACAAAGCTACAGTAATCAAAACATTGTGGTACTGGAATAAAGACAGACTTACAGTCCATTGTAACAGATTAAAGATCCCAGAAATTAATTTTGGCATATATGGTCAAATGACTTCCTTAGTGGTGCCAAGACCATTCAATAGTAAAAGAACAGTAAAAGTGGTGCTGGTAAAAAGATAACTTACAGAAGGAAAAAAAAAAAACAAAAAACAGCTTTACAAATCACATGTCTCGTAAGGGACTAACACCTATAATCTGTAGAAGACTCTTAAAACAGCAACAAAAACCCCAATTCAAAAATGGACAAAGGACTTAAATAGGTAAATATATTTTTAAAAATCAAGTATATTTTTATGAAGTGATAACAAATTAAGTTATTGTTTATAAGAACAATAACAATATTATGTAGAAATAAATTTAACAAAACATTGCAAGAGCTCTATGCAAAATTATCTTTTTTTACTTTTGAGGGAGATTAAAGGAGTGTTAGAAAAAAGATATGCCAGGTATGTGGATTATAAAATTCAATATTTTGAAGTTGTTCATTTTTCTAAAATTGATCTACAGATTTAATGCAATACTTATAAAAATCCTTACAGGTTTTGTTTGTATGTGTGGTACTTGACAAGCTAATTCCAAATTTTTAATGGAATACAAGGGTAACAAAAATAACTAACATTCTTGAAGAAGAAAAAAAGGTAGGAGGGTTTGTTTAATGAACAATCAAGATTACTACTAAGTTGAAGTGATTATGAGTGTGATATTACTTCAAGGATAGAAAATTGCTAAATGCAACTGAGTAGAGTATTACACACTATAAACTAAGTAAGTGAACACTTAATTCATGATAAATTCGGCACTGTAGAATAGTGGGGAAGTAAAAGCCTTTCAATAAATAATTCTGGGAAAAATGAATACTCATCTGGAAAAAAAAGAAAATTCATCCTTTCTCTACATTGATACACAAGTAATTTCAAGGTCAATTTGGGATATAAATAGGAAAGGCAAAACACTAAAGCTCTTAGGAGATAACAAAATAAAAATTCACAAGATGATGGATGTTGTCTTAAAAACAAGGATTGGCTGCGTGCGGTGGCTCACGCCTATAATCCCAGCACTTTGTGAGGCTGAGGTGGGTGGATGATTTGAAGTCAGGAGTTCAAGACCAGCTTGGCCAACGTGGTGAAACCTCATCTCTACTACGAATACAAAAAGTAGCCAGGCATGGTGACACATGCCCGTAATCCCAACTACTCGGGAGGCTGAGGCAAGAGAAGCACTTGAACCTGGGAAGTAGAGGTTGCAGTGAGCCAAGATCACGACACTGTACTCCAGCCTGGGCAACAGAGCAATACTCCATGAAAAAAAAAGAAGAAGAAGAAGTATAGAAGTATTAAGCATTAAAAATATTTACAAATATTTTACAAATACATGACTACATTAAAATTAAAATAATTATTTCTTTTGAGCCACCATTTTAAGAATGAAAGATGCCACAAATTAGATTAAGAATATGTTTATAGTGCATATCATCAATAGAGCATGTATAGTTTTTTCTTATTGATTTCTAGGTAATTTTGTCACCTAGGAATCAAATAGATAAAAAAGATTTCACTACAGAACAACAGGCAAGAGACTTGAACAGGCACTTCAAAATAAGGATATTAAATGGACAGTAAAGATATGAAAAGGTGTTCAACCTTATTAGTTATCAAGGAAATGCAAATTAAAACCAATATTCAATACCATTGTGTACACCTGAGAATGGCAAAAATTAAAAAGACTGACAGGTCTTTAATAAGACCATAGGTGAAGATACAAAAGAATTCTTATACACAGCCAGTGAAATTATAAATTGTCATAACATCTTTACAAAGTAGTTCAGCTTTCTAGTAAAAAAAATAAAAATGAAAATAATTAGTAACAACAACAACAACAAAACCCTAACGTCCATCAAGGGAAGAATGAATAACATATATTATGAATTTCATTTAGAGATAAAAATAAATGAATTACAGTTACATATAAAAATATGGATGGGCTGGGTGTGCTGGCTCAGGCCTGTATTCCTTTTAAACTTTGCTTATCAGATAATTTTCCAAACTTTGTGTGAAATATTTCCTCAGAGCAGTGGGCCCAGAGGCTTGCCAAAAATAAGCAGTCTGACAAATAAATCCTAGAGAAGTTAGGGCAGACTCAGCAAAGCATGAAGAAGTGTCAGACTGTGGGACTGATTGGTGAAATTGGTTTCCGAAGTTCCCAATTTCTCACAGAAGGCACAATGGGGTAGGTGGACATCATACTTCACTTGCTTTATAAGAGTTTCATTGGGTCATTGGAAACTCCGAGGAAGGAGGGGATAGTAGGGGGCACTCGAACTTCTTGCATTACTAACGATGTCACCATGAAACATCAGCCTAATAACCTTGTAGGGCTGCTAAAACTACCTTTTGAAAGCTGTATCTTCTGCATTTTACATCTCAATTTGAGGTACAATGGCCATAGGAAATGACTTATATTAATGACCAGGCATCAAAAATTGTGGAGTTATGTTGAACCTACAATGTAATGAGCAGTTCCAGGACATGACATTGTTTATGAGCAGTATCTTGAAGAAGTGGTCACAATAGGCCTTGTGGAGCCTACTTCATCAAAGAACCCAATAAAAAAAGAAATTAATATTTCAGTAAACTATCGTTTCATGTAAATACACTGGACTAGGCAATACAATAAGTGTGTATACATTAACAATATTTTCTACTGAATTATTCTATTTAAATAGCCTTGAGTGAAAATCTACTGAAAATATTTCATTTTTCACATATGTATTTTGCTATCTTATAAATATAGTCAATGACAGCTGACTTGATCTATTTCAGGCCACCCCATCCTAGAGGTAAAAATTGGATCACTATTATTATTTAGAAAAAAATCTTCAAAATATACCAAACTTCATATTTGATTCGATTTTCCATTTGATATTAAAAAATTGAAGTCTTTCTTCACTTTCTATCACTGAGCTATGGAAAGGAGAAAAGCCTTTTTTTCCCACTCCCAAGTTTGCATAAATTTTCCTGCTGTCTTATCAAATCACAGATATTTCTTTCCTTTACATATTTATGGCAACTTTTCTGACCCATGGGCCAGAGTATCAAGCTGTGTGATTCTACCTCTTTCTCGTTTTATGAGTATGACCTTGATACAGAGGCAGATTGCTTAGGTGCTGTGTGTTCTAGCTTTTAGTCACAGATGATGGAGGTGGCAAGTTTTACATCATTACCAATTACTCCTCTGGATTGATGCAGCATGCTGATTACTTCAATAAGTGATTTACTTCAGAAATCACCTATTGCCAAAAGCATAGAGATGACCTAGATTGCATTACAGCCCACCACAAAAAGATGGATATATTCCTTTCAAAGCAGTTGGCAACAGTGTTGTGGACACTTTTCAACATTGCATTTTGCCGAAGGATTCAAGTAGAACTGTGTTCTTATTTCAAAGACTGTTTCGGTTTGCTGGGAAGAGAGAAAAATAAAATTCACAATAGTCTTGTATCAAATCATAGATTTTCTTTTTTTGAAGTTGTCATACTCCTTTGTAGTTCATATAAATGCCCAAATGCCTGTTGGTTCTTTGTCCATAAATATATAGGGATTCTGACTCTGGTCTCAGCATGTTTTCTTACTACATTATTTTTCAAACTGGGATGAGAAAAAAACTGAACTAAAAATGAAAAGGTCATCAGTGGCTGGTGGAAAACAAATTAGTTTGGAAAGGTTAGCAATTCTCCAGCTGAAAGCTTTTTTGAAAGTTTCCATTCAAAACACCTCCATTCCAAACTTTCACCTTCATAACTCTAAACTTATGACACAGAAACATACGCACACTGTTATGCAGGAAATGGATTTTCAGATTTTGATTGGAATAAGAGAGAATGCTTATTACAATATAATAAGGTGAAGCTTATCCTATATTACCTTCTTATTTTGTTCTGAAAGGTATTGATGTTTTAGTGTTTCCTTTAAATCATGAATTTTATACTTCTGTCTTCCATACAGTACTTTCCATACACCCTAAGACAGCTGAATAATTATATTATAAATTACTGTGATTATAGTCATTTCTCTCCAATAAAGCTCAATGTACAATCCTAAGTTCTCTTCTCTGTATTATCTTCCCTTAATTAATATCAGTAATGCATATGGCATCAGTGATTATATGAGTATGGTTCTTGATTTTATAATTTTGTATCTCTAGCTTGATCTCTCCTTTGAATGCTGTATCTCCTGTCCAATCACTTACTAGACAATTGACATTTGGGAATATCAGACAATGTCTCAAACATATACAAAACTCCATGTGAGTCAGTGTCAACTTCTGAACTGTGACTTATCTACCTATTGTTATGGGTTGAAGTGTATCCCCCTAAAAAATCATATGTTGAAGAAGTATTAACCACCACCCTCCCCCACCAAGGAACTCAGAATGTGAACTATTTTGAAAATAGGTTTATTGCAGATGTAATTAGTTAAAATGAGGTCTTACTAGAGTAAGGTGAATCAATATGACTGGTGTCATTATAAGAAGGGGAAATTTGGACATAGACACTCACAGGGAGAACACCACATGATGTTAGTGATGATAAAGGCAGAGACCAGGTTGATGCTTCTACAAGTCAAAGAACACAGAGAATTGCTAGCAAAGCTCAGGAAGCTAGGGAACAGACACAGAACAGATTCTTTCTCATAGCCCTCAGAATTAGCAAGTCCTACTGACACTTTGATCTCAGACTTTTAGCCTCCAAGGCTTGTGAGAAAATAACTTCTTTTGTTTAAACCACTCAATTTGGGATACTTTGTTACAGAAGTCCTAGAAAACAAATACACCTACTCATCCACCGAAATGAAGCAACAACCACCCCTAAGCACACAGCAAGTTTATTGGGCAGTGCTTGGACAGGGTTTCATAAAAGAAGTCTCTTCCAGAAGGAGACCTTCCAGCCATCACCTGAAAGGGGGATAGGGCAAGGAATTTGTCAATAAGTTAGAAGAATCAGATAAAGTGTTTATGTGTTTAGGTGATGCTGGGCAGCAACAAGATGGTGTTGGGGAAAAAAAAAAGCCAAACTCTAAAAAATTTAAAAAGGTTTATTCTGAGCCAAATATAAGTGATCATAGCCTGGGGCTTGGGGAACAGCCTCAAGAGGCTTTTTTTTTTGTTTTGGTCTGGGAAAGTCTTTATTTTACCTTCATGATTGAAGGATATTTTCGCTAGATAAAGTCTTATAGGGTAAAATGTTTTTGTTTTCTTTCCTTCAGCACTTTAAATATGTCATGACCCTCTCTCCTGGCCTGTGAAGTTCCCACTGAAAAGTCCACTACCAAATATTGGAGCTTTATTGTATGTTATTTGTTTCATTTCTCTTGCTGCTTTTAGTATCTTTCTTTTTATTTTTTGAGATGGAGTTTCGCTCTTGTTGCCCAGGCTGGAGTGCAATGGCGCAATCTCAGCTCACCGCAACCTCCGCCTCCCAGGTTCAAGCAATTCTCCTGCCTCAGCCTCCCAAGTAGCTGGGATTACAGGCATGCACCACCACACCCGGCTAATTTTGTATTTTTAGAAGAGACGGGGTTTCTCCATGTTGAGGCTGGTCTCAAACTCCTGACCTCAGGTGATCCACCCGCCTCAGCTTCCCAAAGTGCTGGGATTATAGGCGTGAGTCACCGCACCTGGCCATCTTTTCTTTATCCTTGTTCTTGGGGAGTTTGATTATTAAATGTCTTGATTTAGTCTTATTTGGGTTAAATCTGTTTGGTGTTCTATATTCTTCTTGTACTTGGATATTTATGTCTTTCTCTAGGTTTAAGAAGTTCTCTGCTATCCCTTCAAAAAAGAAAAAGAAACAAAGGACATGTAAACTGGAAAGGGAGATGTCAAATTTATAATATAATCTTATATTTAGAAAAGCCTAAGTACTTCACCAAAAAATCATTTGAAGTTATAAAACAATTTAGTGAGGTTGCAGGATACAAAATTGACATACAAAAAATCAGTAACAGTTCTAAATGCCAATAGTGAACAATCTGAAAAAAATCATTTACAAGGGCTACACATAAAATAAAATGCCTAGGAATTAACAAAACTGTAAAAGATGTCTACAATAAAAAACAAAAAAATTGATGCAAGAAATTGAAGAGGACACAAAAAATGGAGAATATTTCATGTTCATGGATTGGAAGAATCAAAATTGTTACAATGTCCATACTACCTAAAGCAATCTATAGATTTACTGCAACCTATATCAAATTACTAATGACATTCTTTACAAAAACAAACAAAACAATCCTAAAATTTATATGAAACCATAATAGACCCACAACAGCCACAGTTATTTTAAGCAAAAAGAATGTAACTGAAATAACCACATTATCTGACTTTAAATTGTACTATGGAGCTATAGTAGACAAAATGGCATGGTACTGGCAAAAAAAAAAAAAAAAAAAAAAAAAAAAAAAGACATAAACCAATGGAACAGAATAGAAAACCCAGAAACAAATCTAAATATCTACAGTGAACTCGTTTTTGACAAAGGTCCTAAGAACATACATTAGAGAAACGACAGTCTCTTCAATAAATAGTGGTGTAAAAACTGCATATCCATATTCAGAGGAATAAACCTAGATCTTTATCTCTTGCCATATACAAAAATCACATCAAAATGGATTGAAGATATAAATCTAAGACTTCAAACCATGAAACTACTACAAGAAAACTTTGGGGAAACTCTCTAGGACATTGGTCTGGGCAAAAATTTCTTGAGCAATACCCAACCATCACCGGCAACCAAAACAAAAATGGACAAGTGGGATCAAATTTAAAACCTTCTGCACAGCAAAGAAAACAATCAACGAAGTGAAGAGTCAACCCACAGAATGAAGAAAAATAATTACAAACTACTCATCTGACAAGGAATTAACAACCAGAATATGTAAGAAGCTCAAATAATCTATAGGAAAAAAATCCGGTAATTCAATGAAATTGTGCAAAAGATTTGAATATACATTTCTCAAAAGAAGACATACAAATGGCATACAGGTGTGTGAAAAGGTGCTCAACATCACTGATCATCAGAGAAATCCAAATCAAAATTACAATTAGATATTATCTCATCCTAATTAAAATGGCTTTTATCCAAAACACCACCAGTAACAAATGCTAGTGAGGATGTGGAGAAAAGGGAATCCTTATGCACTGTTGATGGGAATCTAAATTAGCACAACCACTACAGGGAACAGTATGTAGTTTCTTCAATATCTAAAAATAGAGCTATCATACAATTCAGCAATCCCACTGCTAGGTATATGCTCAAAAGAATGGAAATTATACTGAAGAGATCGATATCATTATAATGAAGAGATAACTGCATGTTATGGGTTGAGTATTCAAGTTACCAGTGGTGAATCCATATGGGTCTGCAGCAACCTCAATACTTGCTTCCTCAGGAGATAATTTAACTGAGGGGCATAAGGCAGAAAAACAGACAGAGGCAAGTTTCAGAGCAGGAGTGGAAGTTTATTTTAAAAAAGATTTAGAGCAGAAAAGAAAGGAAAGTACATTTGAAAGAGACTCAAGCAGGCGACTTGAAGGACAAGTGCTGTGTTTAACCTTGATCCTAGGACTTTATATGTTTGTCCACTCCTGGTGTCTTGCTCCTCTTTCCCCATGACTCTTCCGTTAGGGTGGCCTGACCGCATGTGCCGTGCCCTCCTTTTGCTTGGGAGGTGAGCATGCGCAGTGTGTTTAGGGAGTTGTATGCATGCCCATCTGAAGCTTTCTTCCCTTTTCTGGTTGAATGCCCCCAGAAGGTCATACTCCAATATTTTGTCTCTTAATGCACATGCCCAAGCTCACTTGCCCAATTCCTGAGATTTTACTGGAAGCATATTACCAATGTAAAGTGTTTTTATCTGTTTGGGAAGTTGCCTCTCCCTGGTTCCTGCAATCAATTATCACTTTAGTGTGGCAGCTGTGGGCCATCAGGAAATTGGCCCTCCCTGGGGCTGGCTGCCAATTATCATTTTTAGAGAGGCAGTGTGATAACTGCTGAGCTGTCACCTGATGGTCACCTGACATTCCTGGTGGGTGAGTGCGGGGAGTCCTCTCCTGCCCTGCTCATGCCTGACTAACTACCTGTACCATGCAATCCCATATTTATTGCAGCATTATTCACAATAGCCAAGGTTGAGAATCAACCAAAGCTTCTATCAACAGAGAAATGGATAAATAAAATGTGGTATATATACCCAATGGAGTACTATTCAGCCATAAAAATAATGAGATCCTGTTATTTGCAACAACATGGATGGAACTGGAGGTCATCATGTTGAACAAAATAAGCCAGGAACAGAAAGATAAACTTCACATATTCTCACTTACTTGTGGGAGGTAAAAATTAAAACAATTGAACTCATGAAGATGGTAAAAGAATGGTTACCAGAGGCTCGGAATGGTAGTAATTGGTGTTGAGAGAAAGTGGGGATAGTTAATAGGTACAAAATATAGTTAGAAGAATAAGACATAGTATTTGCTAGCACAACAGGGTGACTGTCATCAAAAATAATTGTTTATTTTTAAATAACCAAAAGATTATAATTAGATTGTCAGTTAACACAAAGGATAAATGCTTAATGGTGATGGATACCCCATTTACCCTGATGTGACTATTAAGCATTGCATGCCTCTATCAAAATATCTTATGCACCCCATAAATATATACACCTATTATGTACCCATAAAATTTTTTTTTAATTTAATTCTGGAATATTGCTTAATTACTTTGTGGGGAAAATAATATTGAGACAAATTCTTAGCACATAGAAAGTTAGCCCCATGTTTCTTTAAAAGTAACTTTTTAAAAATTTACTTTGAGTTCTGGAATACATATGCTGAACATGCAGATTTGTTAAATAGGTATATATTTACATGTGTCATGGTGGTTTGGTGCACCTATCAACCTGTCATCTAGATTTTAAGCCTCGCATGCATTACGTATTTGTCCTAATACTCTCCCTCCCCTTGCCCCCCACCCCCCGGCAGGTCCCGGCGTGTGATGTTCCCCTCCCTGTGTCCATGTGTTCTCAATGTTTAACTCCCACCTGAGTGAGAACATGCAGTGTTTGGTTTTCTGTTTCTGTATTAGTTTTCTGAGAATGATGGTTTCCAGCTTCATTTATGTCCCTGCAAAGGACATGAACTCATTCTTTTTTATAGTTGTATAGTATTTCATGGTGTATATGTGCCACATTTTCTTTATCCAGTCTATTGTTGATGGGTCTTTGGGTTGGGCATTATCCAGTTTATTGTTGATGGGCATTGGTTCCAAGTCTTTGCTATCGTAAATAGTGCTATAATAAACATACGTGTGCATGTGTCTTTATAGTAGAATGATTTATAATCCTTTGGGTATATACCCAGGATTGATGGGGATTGATGGGTCGAATGATATTTTTAGTTCTATATCCTTGAGGAATTGCCACACTATTTTCCACAATGGTTGGACTAATTTACACTCCCACCAATGGTGTAAAAGCATTCTTATTTCTGCACATCCTCTCCAGCATCTGCTGTTTACTGACATTTTAATGATCACCATTCTAACTGGCATGACATGGTATCTCATTGTGGTTTTGATTTGCATTTCTCTAATGACCAGTGATGATGAGCTTTTTTTTCGTATGTTTGCTGGGTGCATAAATGTCTTCTTTTGAAAAGTGTCTGTTCATATCCTTTGCCCACTTTTTGATGAGGTTTTTTTTTTTCCTTGTAAATTTGTTTCAGTTCCTTGTAGATTCTGGATATTAGACCTATGTCAGATGGATAGATTGCAAAAATGTTCTCCCATTCTGTGGCTTACCTGTTCTCCCTGATGATAGCTTCTTTTGCTGTGCAGAAGCTCTTTCGTTTAATTAGATCCCATTTGTCAATTTTGGCTTTTGTTGCAATTGCTTTTTGTGTTTTAGTCATGAAGTTCTTGCCCATGCCTATGTCCTGAATGGTATTGCCTAAGTTTTCTTCTAGAGTTTTTATGGTTTTGGATTTTATATTTAAGTCTTTTATCCCCTTACAGGTTTTTTGCCTTTATTTTGATGTAAAAAAATTATCCTTCTGGATTTTTTTTTGGTGCCTTCCTACATTTTAAAAATTACTTACTTTTATTGATGCATATTGGATATACATATTTTCAGGGTACATGTGATAATTTGATACATTCATATAATCAAATCAGAGTAATTGAAATATTTCCTGGAGCTGAGTTAATTTAGGAGACAAGTGAAACACAGGGGTAAAGGAAGCAGCGGGAAACAGCCTCTGAGCTTGCTGGGTCCCCAAGCAGGCCATTCCTGACTGGCATCACAAGGATCCTTTGGGAGGGTGGCCAGAGGTGCAGGGAAAGCGTGACAGGGAGAAGGAACTCTCCAGCTGAACTTTGTAACAATTTGAACTGGTCTGAGAAGCCTCCTGGCCAGAACTCAGGAGAAGACATGAATCTAGCGTGCAGACTCCATAGGCAGGGGAAGAACTAAAGCCCTACTTTCTTTCACAGCTGGCAGACAAGTAGCCTGGGGCAAGTTCTCAGCCCTGCTTTCCCACTGCCTGGAAATAGACTCAGTGCTGTTGTAGGGGCACAGTGAGAGTGAGACCAGCCCTTCACTGACTGCCAGCTTTCCCCCACTTCCCTGACAGCCTGCATGACCTAGCAGAGGCAGCCATAATTCTCCTATGTACATAACTCCATTGACCTGGGAACCTCATTCCCATCCCCCATAGCAGCCACAGCAAGACCAGCCCGAAGAGAGTCTGAGCTCAGACACGCCTAGCCCTGCCCTCACCTGATGGTCCTTCCCTACCCACCCTGCTAACTAAACAAAAAGGGTATGTACCCTCGGGAGTTCTAGGGCCCCACCCACCACAAGTTTTTCTCCATACTACCATAGCTGATGCTGTCTGGAAAGTACCACCTCCTGGCAGGAGGTGGCCAGAGGCCAACCAGCACAAAAATGAAGCATTAAACCACCAAAGCTAAGAACTCCAGAGTCCATTTCACCCCCATGCCACCTCCACCAGAACAGGTGCTGGTATATTCTCTCAGAACAGGCTGAGAGACCCAAAGATGGTTCACATCACAGGACTCTGTGCAGACAACCCCCAGTACCAGCCTAGAGCCTGGTAGATTTGCTGGGTGCCTAGACCCAGAAGACAGCCAACAATCACTACAGCTCAGCTCTCAGGAAGCCACATCCATAGGAAAAGGAGGAGAGTATTACATCAAGGGAACACCCCATGGGACAAAAGAATCTGAACCGCAGCCTTCAGCCCTAGACCTTCCCTCTGACAGAGGCTACACAAATGAGAAGGAACCAGAAGACCAACTCTGGAAATATGACAAAACAAGGCTCTTTAATATCACCCCAAAATCACACTAGCTCACCAGCAAATGGATTCAAACTAAGAGGAAATCTCTGATTCATTCTATGAAGTCAGCATCACCCTAATACCAAAACCAGGAGAGAACATAACCAAATAAGAAGACTACAGACCAATATTCCTGATGAACATAGGTACTAAAATCCTTAACAAAATACTAGCTAACCGAATTCAACAACATATCAAAAAGAATATCCACCATGATCAAGTGGGCTTCATAACAAGGATGCGGGGATGGTTTAACATACGTAAGTCAATAAATGCGATACAGACATAAACAGAATTAAAAACAAAAATCACATGATTATTTCAACAGAGGCAGGAAAAACATTTGACAAAATCCAGCATCACTTTATGATTAAAACTCTCAGCAAAATCGGCATACAAGGGACATATCTTAATGTAATAAAAGCCATCTATGACGAACCCACAGTCAACATAATACTGAATGGGGAAAAGTTGAAAGTGTTCCCTCTGAGAACTGGAACAAGAAAAGGATGCCCACTCTCACCACTTCTCTTCAACATAGTATTGGAAGTCCTAGCCAGAGCAATCAGACAAGAGAAAGAAATAAAGGGCATCCAAATCAGTAAAGTGGAAGTCAAACTGTCACTATTTGCTTATGATATGATCATTGACCTTGGAAGCCCTAAGGATTCTTCCAGAAAGTACGTAAAACTGATAAAATAATTCAGTAAAGTTTCCAGATACAAGATTAATGTACACAAACCAGACAAACCAGTAGCTCTTCTATATGCCAACAGTGACCAAGGGGAGAATCAAATCAAGAACTCAACCCCTTTCACAATAGCTGCAAAAAACATAAAATACTTAAGAATATGCCTAACCAAGAAGGTGAAAGACCTCTACAAGTAAAAATACAAAACACCGCTGTAAGAAATCATAGACGACACCAACAAATGGAAATACATCCCATGCTCATGGAGGGGTAGAATCAATAATGTGAAAATGACCATGCTGCCAAAAGCAATCTACAAATTCAATGCAATTCCCATCAAAACACCACCATCATTCTTCACAGAATGAGAAAAAAAATTCTAAAATTCATATGGAACCAAAAAAGAGCCTACATGGCCAAAGCAAGACTAACCAAAAAGAAAAAATCTGATTTCAAACTACTATAAGGCCATAGTCACCAAATCAAACTACCTGATTTTAAACTATACTATAAGGCCATAGTCATCAACTCAAACTACCTGATTTCAAACTATACTATAAGGCCATAGTCACCAAAACAGCATGGTACTGGTACAAAAATAGGCACATAGGCCAATGTAACAGAATAAAGAATGCAGAAATAAGCCTTAACACTCACAGCCAACTGATCTTCAACAAAACAAACAAAAACACAAAGTGGGGAAAGGAAAGGACACCATTTTCAACAAATGGCACTAGGATAATTGGCTAACCACATGTAAGAGAATGAAAGTGGAATCTGATCCCTCATCTCATACAAAAATCAACTCAAGATGGATTAAGGACTTAAATCTAAGACCTGAAACTGTAAAACTTCTAAAAGATAACATTGGATATCTTTTAGATATCAAAGATAACATTGGATATCTTTTAGATATCAAAGATAACATATCCTTCTAGATATTGGCTTAGGCAAAGATTTCATGACCAAGAACCCAAAAGCAAATGCAATAAAAACAAAAATAAATAGCTGGGACTTAATTAAACTGAAGAGCTTTTGCATTGCAAAAGGAACAGAGATAAAACAGAAAACCCACAGAGTGGGAGAAAATCTTCACAGTCTATGCATCTGACGAAGGACTAATATCTAGAATCAACAGTGAACTCAAACATATCAGCAAGGAAAAAACAAACAATCCCATCAAGAATTGGGCTAAGGACATGAATAGACAATTCTCAAAAGAAGATACACAAATGGCCAACAAACAGATGAAAAAATGCTCAGCATCACAAACTATCAAGGAAATGCAAATCAAAACCACAATGCAATACCACCTTACTCCTGCAAGAATGGCCATAATCAAAAAATAAAAAAAAAAGAGATGTTGGCATGGATGTGGTGATCAGGGAACACTTCCACACTGCTGGTGGAAATGTAAACTAGTACAACCATTATGGAAAGCAGTGCAGAGATTTCTTAAAGAGCTAAAAGTAGAACTACCATTTGATTTAGCAATCCCACTACTGGGTATCAACCCAGAGGAAAAGAAGTCACTATACAAAAAAAAAAAACAACTTGCACACACATGTTTATAGCAGCACAATTAGCAATTGCAAAATAGTGGAACCAATCCAAATGCTATCAATCCACTCATTGATTGATATAAAGATATATATGCTATCAATCAATATAAACCATCAATCAATATATGCTATCAATCAATGAGTGGATAAAAATCCACTCATTGATTGATATAAAGATATATATGATGGAATATCACTCAGCCAAAAAAAGGACTGAATTAACGGCATTCACAGCCACCTGGATGAGACTGGAGACTATTACTATTATTTTAAGTGAAGTAACTTAGGAATGGAAAACCAAACATTGTATGTTCTCACTGATATGTAGGAGCTAAGCTATGAGGACACGAAAGCATAAGAATGACACAATAGACTTTGGGGACTTGGAGGGAAAGGCGGGGAGAGTGGTGAAGAATAAAAGACTACAAATAAGGTGCAGTGTACACTGCTCGGGTGACGGGTGCACCAAAATCTCACAAATTACCACTAAAGAACTTACTCATGTAACCAAACGCCACCTGTACCCCAATAACCTATAGAAAAATAAAAATAAATAAAATAAAAATAAAAGAATAAAAATATGTAATTGATAGCTCAAAGTTAGGATATATTTTAAAGGAAGAACTGACAGAATTTTTTGACATTTTGAAGCATAGGGTTTAAAAGAAAGAGAAATTTTGACAGTCAAATCACTGGATGAAGAGTATCTACACAGAGGAAAAGAAGTCATTATCCAAAAATGATACTTGCACATGCATGTTTATAGCAGCACAATTTGCAATTGCAAAAATATGAATTTTGCCGATTAATCAACCAGTGGATAAAGAAACTGTGATATATATAGCTATACGTGTATATATATACATATATATACATATATATGTGTGTGTGTGTGATGGAATACTACTCAGCCATGAAAGAAATGAATTAACAATATTCACAGCGACCTGGATGAGATTGGAGACTATTATTTTAAGTGAAGTAACTTAGGAATGGAAAAGCAAACATTGCATGTTCTCACTCATAAGTGGGACCTAAGCTATGAGGATGCAAAGCCATAAGAATGACACAATGGACTTGGGGACTTGGAGGGAACGGGTGGAAAGGGATTGAGGGATAAAAGACTACAAATTGTGTGCAGTGTATACTGCTTGGGTGGTGGACGCACCACAATCTCACAAATCACCACTATAGAACTTAATCATGTAACCAAACACCTGTTCCCCAATAACTTAAGGAAATAAAAAATTTAAAAAGAAAGATTAAAAAAACAACCAAGCAATAACTGACAAAAAAATTTCACCAGCATAACTACCGAGTTTTGATGTAAGAGATTGGTTTGCATGGTTGTATAAAATCTATGAGGTAGAAGATCAAACCAAGTCCGATAGACACTTTATTAAATTGGTATCTCAAAGTGTTACATGGTCAGAAAAAATAAATAAATAATGGAGTCAGCACGGTGGCTCAAACCTGTAATCCCAACTCTATGAAAGGCCCAGGCAGAATCCCTTGAGGCCAGGAGTTCAAGCTCAGCCAGAGCAATGTGGAAATACGTTGTCTATTAAAAAAAAAAAAAAAGTCCTGGTGGTGTGTTCAGTCCTATTTACTTGGGAAACCAAGGTAGGAGTATGACTTGAAGACAGTAATTCAAGGTTGCAGTGAGCTATGATGGTGCCACTGCACTCCAGCTTGTGCCGCAGAGTGAGACCCCAAAAAAAAAAAAAAAAAAAGAAAAAAATTATACAATTTGTATTATATGACAACTTATTTTACCTATATATTTTTCATTATTGCATGTATATGAGTATGTAGATACATATACCATTTTCATTACTATAGTGTTGTAAATATTTTATGATTTTTTCTATTGACTTATGGATTAATATTGTATTTCTAAATTTCTAAACTTGAGGATTTTTCTGGTTATAAATATTTCTATTTATGCCTAACTTAATTAGATTTTGAACATGCAATGAGGTCTGTGTGACTCTTTGAATTTTGGCAAGGCTTTTTTATGGCCTAATATGAATTAAATTTTTAAAAGAAATGCTCCAAGTGTGCTTGAAAAGAATACATACTTCCCAGTTTTTGTGTGAGAAATCACCTCTATGTCCATTAGATATTTATAATTTTTAAATCTAATTTTTTATAGTGATTTGGTGTGTATTTATCTATCAAATATTGAAAGAGAGGCATATCAGTTTCCTATTGTTGCCCTAATAAAATGATACAGACAGGGTGGCCTTAAGAAAAGGAATTGATTTTCTCACAGTTCTGGAGATTAGAAGTCCAAGATCAGGTGTTGGCAGGTTTGGTTTTTCTTAAGGCCTCTCTCTCTGGCTTGCAGATAGCCACCTTCTCCCTGTGTCCTCATATGACATTTCCTTTGTGCACAGACATCTCTGTTATCTCTTCCTTTTCTTGTGAAGACAACAGTCAGATCGGATTAGGACCCACATTTGTTATCTCATTTCACCTTAATTATCTCTTTAAAGTCCTTCTCTCTAAATACAGCCACATTCTAAAATACTGGCGGTTGGGGCTTCAACATATAAATTTTGGAAAAAACACAATTTACTCCATAACAACAGGTAGTAAAACCTACCACTTTGTTGCTGGATTTATTGATTATCTTTGCAGTTCTGTCATTTATTTTGCCTCATACATTGAAACCAATGGTTTATTCATGTTATTTTCATCATTTTTTACATTAATATTTTTATTGATATATAATTTATGCAAAATAAAGTTCACCTGTTTAAAGTTTATAGTTTATAATGGTTTTTTGTCTATTTACAGAGTAGTACAGGCTTTACTATAATGTAATTTGAGAACATTTTCATCACTCCAAAAGAAACCTTATACCCATTAGCCGTCACATCTCCCTTCCGTAAGTCCTAAGCAACCACTAATCTATCATATTTCTCTATGGAATTGCCTATTTTGCATATTTTGTATGATTGGAATCACGTAACATGTTATTTGTAACTCACTTTAATATGTATAACATTTTGAGTTATACTATATTTTGTTTACCTATTCGTCAATTGATGGAGAGCTGTGTTTCCCCTATTAACTATCATAAATGCTGATGGTATGAACATTTGTGTGCAAGATTTTGTGTGGACACGTTTTCATTTCTCTTGCCTATATATATCTAGGGGTAGATTAGAAACCTCTTTTCACTGCCTGTGCCATGATGATCCTCCCTGAGGAACAAGTTGTTAGGGAAGGAAGAATTGGAGTCATCATCTAGCTGCCACCACTGCCCAGTATATATCTTCAGCAACGCAGAGCCAGGTAAGACGGGATCTGACCATGTTTTATTTGTTATTGAGTCCACCCAAAATAGCAATTCCATACTATTTAATAGAAAGTTGGGGGATATGAAAACTACCACTTTGCTGTTGAGCCCAGAAAAATTACTCTTTCAGCATACAGAACTGTGGAGGAATGGGTGCAGCTCTGAGTTCCAATGACATGACCTGCCCCGCTCTTACCAAGTTCTGTAGATGTGCTGAGTAAATGCCTCTTAATTTGTTACAAGTTCTTCAATCAATTTGGATAGATTTTGAATATTTTATTTTTCATGTTTTTGATACCTTTAATAAAATGTCTCCTTATGGGAGAGGTTTCATAGAAAACGTCACATCATCATTCCCAAAGTCACACCACAGATGACTGATTTATTTTTCATTTCCTATTTATTTTCTGTTTTTCTTCTCAAGCCATCTTCAAGATTTATTGAACTTATTTTTCCCCTTTATTTATCTCCTTTCCATGTTTTTTTTTCTTTGCCAGTTTACAAATTACTCTATACCTATTATTTTGGTGTATACTTTGAGTCATACATCAATCGATGTATTTAGATGTTCTGAAATAATTCAACAACTTAAATATTTTAGCCTCCAACTCCTTTCTTTCTAATATGAAGATGCTGATGAGTGTTTTGATTCAATCAAAAGTTTGCCTTTTTTAATCCCTCAAAGTTTATACTATTACTCTCCCTAATGTAGTCTATTGGCGTTTTGATTTAGCTCATATTTACCAATACCTTTACTCACCACTTCTTCTTGCATCCCAGGTATTTTAATAGAATTATTTTCTTTCCAAAATTATTTTCTATGCTGTCAAAATCTCTAAATTAAAGAAATGATCGTTATTTTTTACTTGCTCTTGAAATGTTCTATTACTGGGCACAGAAATCTCAGCTGAGAGTTATTTTTCTTGACACGTTAAAGACGATTCACTGTCTTCCGACTTCTATTGTTACTGAGAATTCAATTCAGTCTATTTACCAGTTTTTAAGTGATTAGATTATGTGGAGTTAGAAATAGTTTGCTGCTTCTAAGAGTTGTTTGTGTTCTGTAGTTTCACTAATAATTGTCTGTATATAAATATTGTTTTATTCATCCTGCTTGGGAATCCTTAAACTTTCTGTAAGTGCTTAGAAATCTCTTTAAATTTGTCTGTGCCTCACATTTTCTCAATCCTCTGTTTCTTAGGTTCTATGTCATATTTCCTATTTATGCTGCATTGTAGAAATTTATTTTACTTTACATTTTAGCTGCTTTGGTTAGTCCTTATCAGGGGAAGCTTGTCAGTAGGAATGATTTCTGGTCTATGTGGTGAAGGATTTATAAGGCAAAAGGAGATTGGGAGGTGATTTGATCATAATTTTAGCTTTAATAAGAGAAAATCTTAAAATTACAACCAGCTTAACAAAACATAAGTGTTTTTTCTTTCTCATATAAAAATCCAGAGGTGTATCATCCAGGGCTAGTGAGGTGCCTCTGCTTCTCAGTGACTTAAGCTTCTTCCAAGTCGCTGTTGTGCCACACTTTGTGTGTTTCCCCAGACCTTATGGTCCAAGAAGGCATCTGTGTTACAGGAGGCAGGATTGAGGTAAGATGAAACACAGGGTAAAAAGAATTTCTGTCAGTGCTCTGTTCATGAGCATATCCCTTTGCCTGAACTTATTCATCTGAAAAAAACATGTAATACTGAAAGGTATTATTTACACACAGTTGGAAGGATGTCTTTATACTGGTGTTTGCAATGCTATTCACAGTGTCTCAGAAAGTAGGTACTCAAGAAGTATTTGTTAATTAAAAGAAAATTTAATTAATTTTAATAACTAGACCCTTTTTTGCATCTTGATGAAATTGGTATCAAAATTCTTTGGAAAAAAAAAAAGAGTCTGAAAACAAAACAAAGCTTTAAGACTTAAAACCCTAAATAATGATGTTCTCAGAAAACTAACCTGGCCTTGGTACTCATCCTGGTGTCTTTGTGATTATCACTCAGAATTTCATGAAACTATTTTGGCAACTCTATTATTTGGTTGTATTTGGGCACATTTTAGATAGCAAGAAGACATTTTAGAAGGAGAAAAGTGAACATATCTAAACTGCTCTCTATGTTGACAGTTTTCCCTTGATTAAAATTTGGTTAGGAGAGCAAATGAGTCGAACTGCTTACCTGAGGACAGTTAAACAGCCAGCTTCCATCTACTAGAAAAGTGGTAAGTTCTTCAGTAAGCAGGAATTAGCTTTACAAGCATGAAACAGGATACTTTAACACTCACTGAATTTAAATCCAGGGACATGAAGGCTTTTCTTGTAAATGTCAGATATCTTTTCTTTCATTAGACTGTCCCATGCTGAAGGTAGCCTCACAGTACATTGCTTTATGCCTCCTTCCAAAGTTACCAATAATAATATAGCAAGAAATAGTTTAAATTCCTCACTTATTTTTCCCCAGGACCCTGCTGAGAACACTCAAAAACTCTTATGTAGATTTATTTATACATATTTCCAGCTGTTAGTATTTCAGTACTCATGAGAATTCTTCTCCTAAAGTCTGTATATTGAATGCCCAATAAAAGTCTAATGTAATTTTAATTGGAACAAAGTAGACATCAGATGCAGTCATTTATGAAAAGCTTGGAAGCACTAAAAGATTTTCTGTCATAGAAAACCTAACTTCAGTTAGACTGTTGTTTTTAAACAGAGAAAACTTATTTTGGGTTGGTCCTGGTTAGAATAGCAATGCCTGGTGGAGGGAGTCAATTTGTTCACCAGGGTAGGTGGGCTCAGTAAGAGGATATTAAGCCTGGGATGCCTCCTGGATGAATTTCAGACAGCTAGGGCAGCTCTTTCTTGAGGACTTCAATGCATGTGCTACTTATCATAAACTGAGCTGGATAAGCAAATTTCTGACAGCGCTAGTTCCATAGACGACAGTGGCACTCCAATTTTTGGTACAGCCTCATTACCATTCTGAAATAGAAACCAAAAAACTGCTATACATAGAATATTAGTATTCATACGGGATCTTACAGTTGGTTCTTTTTTTTTTTTTTTTTTTTTTTTTTTTGAGATGGAGTCTCGCTCTGTAGCCCAGGCTGGAGTGCAATGGAGCTATCTTGACTCACTGCAACCTCCGCCTTCTGGATTCAGGCGATTCTCCTGCCTCAGCCTCCTGAGTAGCTGGGATTACAGGCGACCCCCATTACGCCCGGATAATTTTTGTATTTTTAGTATAGACAGGGTTTCACCATGTTAGTAAGGCCCATCTCAAACTCCCGACCTCAGGTGATCTGCCCGCCTTGGCCTCCCAAAGTGCTGGTATTACAGGTGTGAGCCACCGCACCTGGCCACAGTTGGTTCTATAAAGGGGCAGACTTGGGTCTTTCTAAATACATCTTCTTAGAGGACTATCCACAAAAGAGATGGGTGAAGATGAATGACTGCAATCATTGCCTACCTTAGCTAAGCAATGATTTATTTATTCAACAAACATTTTCATGAGCGCATACTATGTGCCAGGAACTAAGTGAGGGATACAGATATGAACAGGGCATAATATTTAACTAAAGGAAGTTTGAACTGTCTTCAGAAAAGCATGCAATCTATTATAATACCATGTGGTAAATCTGCTAACAAGGACATACATAAGGTATCACAGCAGTACAGAAGAGGAACAGCAGTGAGACCTAACTGAGCTTTTGGTGGTGAGCTGTAGGTTAGAAAACACTTCCAAGTAGTAATATTTTGTCTTAATCTGAAAAGGATGAGACGTTATCAGGAGCAAAGAGCACAATTAATAAACAGTAAATGCACATAGTTCACCATGCGAGAATGAGAGATTATGAAGCCAGAGAGTTAGGCCATATCATTAGTGTTTGCGCATTTCATGCTAGAGGTTCTGTGGCTTATTCAGACATGTTTTTACACTTAAATGAATTCAGAGCATAAGGCAAAATCAGGTTTACTTTCATTATAGTTTTTTATATATTTTTTTGAAAAGGGGTCTCACTCTTGTCACCTAGGCTGGAGTTCAGTGGCATGATCACGGCTCCCTGCAGCCTCAACCTCCTGGGCTTATGCAATTCTCCCATCTTAGCCTCCTGAGTAACTGGGACTACAGTCGCACACCATCATGACTAACTAATTTTTTGAAGAGATGGGGTTTTGTCCTGGTGCACAGGCTGGTTTTGAATTCCTGGGTTCAAGAGATCTGCCCACCTCAGCTTCCCAAAGTGCTGGGATTACATGAGTGAGTCACCACACCCAGCCTCATTATAAAGTTTTATCAGTGAACACAACATGAAAAAGCCTTTCTACTATTCTGATTCTGTTATGTGAAATATCTGAATGATTTATTACATCATATTCCTCTGACTTCAAGAGTACTTCTCTACTATTAACAGTCATTCAGATGAAAACTGAAAAGAATCAGTTATCACAATGAAATTAGCAGACTTCCCATCTCAGTGTGGAATGAAGGGTTTATGGGCTAAGAAATCAGGGGATGCAAGCTAAAATACAATATTCTACAACAAATTCTCTCAGGGATGTGGAGCAACATAAATTCTTATTCATTGCTGTTGAGAATGCAAAATGGTACAGCCACTTTGGAAGATAGGCAGTTTCTTATAAAACTAAACATACTCTTAAACCATATGATCTAGCAATTGTGTTTCTTGTTATTTATCTAAAGAAGTGAAAACTTATGTCCACAAAAAAACCTGTACGAGAATGTTTATAGCAGCTTTATTCATAATTGCCAAACTGTGGAAAGACTCAGACGTCCCTCACTAGGTGAATGGCTAAATAAATTGTGGTACATTCAGACAATGCAACATTATTCAGTGCTAAAAGGAAATGAGTGGTCAAGCCATGAAAAAACATGGAGGAAATTTAACTGCATACTGGAAAGTGAAAGGACTCAGTCTGAAAAACTACATACTATGTGATTCCAACTATATAGTATTCTGGAAAAGGCAAAACTGTGAAGACAATGGAAAGATCAGTGTTTGCCAGGGGTCAGGGTGAGGAGAGGGATAAATAGATAGAACACAGATTTCAGGGCAATGAAAATACTCTGTATGATATTATAATGATGCATACATATCATTATATATTTTCCCAAACCCCTAGAATGTTCAAGACCAAGAGTGAACCTTAATGTAAACTACAAACTTTAAGAAATGATGATTACAAACTGATATAGTTCTTAAATACAATTATATTATTTGTAATTCATTTATCAGTCTGGTGGGGATATTGATAATAGGGGAAGGAGGAAGAAGGAAACTGGAACTCTCTTTTACACCATATGCAAAAATCAACGCCAGATGGAATAAAGACTTAAAGGTAAAACTCAAGACTATTAAAACCCTGGAAGATAACTTAAGAAATATCATTCTGGACATAGTGACTGGCAAAGGTTTCACAATGAGGATGCCAAAAGTAATTGCAAGAAAAGCAAAAATTGACAAAAATAAAAGTAAAAAATAAAAAATTGACAAATAATTAACTAAAAAATTAAACTTATGAGCTTCTGCACAACAAAAGAAACTATCAACAGAATAAACAGACAACAGAATAAACAGAATGAGAGAAAGTTTTGCAAACTATGTGGCTGACAAAGATCTGATATCCAATATCTATAGAGAATTAAATTTACAAGAAAAAAACAAACAACCCTATTAAAAAGTGGACAAAGGACATGAACAGACAATTTTCAAAAGAAGCATGTGAAGAAAAAGCTCAATATCACTGATCAACAGAGAAATGAAAATCAAAACCACAATGAGATACCATTTGACACTGGTCAGAATTGCTTTTATTAAAACATTTAAAAAATAACAGATAGTGGTGAGGTTTCAGAGAAAAGGGAAAGCTTATACACTGTTGATGGGAGTGTAAATTAGTTCAACTATTATGGAAAGCAGCGTGGTGATTGCTCCAAGAGCTAAAAACAGAACTACTATTTGACCAAGCAATCCCGTTACTGGGTATATAGTCAAAGGAATATAAATTGTTCTATCATAAAGTCGCTTGCATGTATGTGTTCACTGAAGCACTATTCACAATAGCAATGACATGCAATCAACCTAAATGCCCATCAATAATAGACTGGAGAAAGAAAATATGGTACATATACACCGTGGAATACCATACTGCCATTAGAAAGAACAAGATCATATCCTTTGCAGGAATATGGATGGAGCTGAAAGCCATCATTCTTAGCAAACTAATGCAGAAACAGAAAACCAAACACCACTTGCTCTCACTTATAAGTGGGAGCTAAATGGTGACAACCCATGGACACAGAGAGAAACAACAGACACTGGAGTGTACTTAAGGGTGGAAGATGGGAGGAGGGAGAAGATCAGAAAAAAATAACTACTGGATACTAAGATTTGTACCTGGATGATGAAATAATCTGTACAACAAGACCCCATTACACTAATTTACCTATGTAACAAATATGCAAATATACCCCTGAACCTAAAATTTAAACAAAAGGAAACCTCAGGAACTTTTTCTACAACATATGCAAAATTAATCCCTGCAGGTGCTGTTATATTTCATATCTTAGGTCAGGATTTTATTGTTTGGGGCTGTTGCAAGATTTAGAAGATAAAGTAGATTTAAGTATGATTTTTTAATAATCAAACAGAAAAATCTTTGCTTCTGACAGAATTAATAAGCAACAATATACAAACCAGCAAGATGACAACATCAGACAAATGTATCAGTATATCATTTTAATTATGTAAACAATGAAACAGCTAATGTTTTGTTACTATTTCTTGTGTGCCAGGGGTAATTCTAAGTGCATTTTGTCTATCATCTCACTCCATCCTCAGAATAACCCTGTAAGATGTGCATTGCTATGGATGAGGAAAATGAAAGCCCAGAAAACTTCCTGTGTCACACAGCTAGTGAGTGACAGAATTGAGATTTGAAACCAAGCTGTCTATGTTGAAGCCATACCATCTCCCAGTTCTCATTAGCTGCAGTCAAAGACACTCTGGCTGGAAAATCCAGTGACAGCACATGGAGTGTGTCCATGTCCTCTGGCATGCTTTCTGTGCTCCTGGAAGGACTGTCCTCTGATACAACCTTTCCAAGGGAAATTTGGCATTATGTATCAAAAGCCTTACCATTTATTCTTCAGAAACTGAACAACTGTTGAAACATGTGTCTTTGGTAAGGTCAATTGAGACAATGTAAACAATAACCAAAAAATAAAAATGACCTACTGTTTAGCACAGGTGATTTGGTAAATAAATGGTGGCACATTTAAAAAAAGAAGAAGAAAGAAATTAAACCCTTGTCTTTTGCCATATACAAAAATCAAATAATATGAATCAAATACTTAAATCTAAGACCTCATACTATGAAACAATTAAAAGAAAACACTGGAGAAACTCTCCAGGAAATTGGTTGGGGAAAAGTTTTTTGAGTAATACTCCAAAAGTACAGGCAACCAAAGCAAAAATGGACAAATGGGATCACATCAAGTTAAAAAACTTCTACATAGCAAAGAAGACAATCAACAAAGTGAAGAGACAATTCACAGGAGAGAAAATATTTGCACATTACCCATCTGAAATCGGATTAATTACCACAATATGTAAGGAGCTCAAGCAACTCTATACGAGAAAAAAATCTAATAATTTGATTAAAAGATGGACAATAGATCTGAATGCACATTTCTCAAAAGAAGACATACAAATGGCAAGCAGGTATATGAAAAGGTGCTCAACATCATTGATCATCAGAGAAATGCAAATCAAACTACAATGAGATATCATCTCACCCCATTTCAAATGGCTTTTATCCAAAATAGCAGCAATTATGAATGCTGGCAAGGATATGAATGCCAGAGAGAGGGAAGCCTCATACGCTGTTGGTGGGAATGCAAATTGGCAAACCACTATGAAAAACGTATGGATGTTCCTCAAAAAACTAAAAATAGAGCTACCATATGATCCAGCAACCCAGCTGCTAGCTATATATCCAAAAGAAAGGAAATCAGTATATTGAAGTGATATCTGCTTTCCCATGTTTATGGCAGCACTATTTATAATAGTCAAGATTTGGAATCAACCTAAGTATCCCTCAACAGATGAATGGAAAAGGAAAATGTAGTACATATATACACAATGGAGTACTATTCAGCCATAAGAAGAATTAGGTTCTGTCATTTGCAATGGCATGGATGGAACTGAAGGTCATTATGTTAAGTGAAATAAGCCAGGCACAGAAAAACAATCTTTGCATGTTCCCACTAATTTGTAGGAACTAAAAATTAAAACAATTGATTTCATAGGCATAGAGAGTGAAAGGATGGTTACCAGAGGCTGGGAAGAGTAGTGGGGTTGGGGTGAGGGAGGAGGAGGTGGTTAACATGTACAAAAATATAGTTAGAATGAATAAGATTTAGTATTTGCCACAACAGGGTGACTACAATCAATAATAATTTATTGTATATTCAAAAAGAACTAAAAGAGTATATATAATTGGGATATTTGTAACACAAAGTAATGATAAATGCTTTGGTGATAGATACCCCATATACTCTAATTCAATTATTATACATTGAAGGCCTGTATCAAAACATCTCATATGCCCCATATATACATACACCTACTATGTACTCGCAAAAATTAATAATTAATATATAAAGAAACTGCTTCAGAGGCAAAAGTTTCTCTCTGACTTTGTCCTATTCTCCTGTTTCTCTTCCCTCCTTCTTCCCTGAGGGAGGCCATAGAAACTAGGATCCCTCTTCTGCAAGGTGAGTCATAGAAAGTAGGCTTTTCCCCTAAAGCCCACCATAAAACCCCAAAATATTGCTCTTTCCTCCACCTTTCTGTGTAAAAACTGGCCATTAAATTGACCTAACTTGTTTGATTGTAGGTCATAAGAACTTCATTTCAGAAAGGATGCTACCCCATACCTAGAATAAAAAAGTGCTGCACAGAGAGGCCAAGAAGAATATAGACATACAGGCCTTGCTGGCTTTTCCCACTCAATGTGCTGGCATTAGATCATACCCTTTTTTATTCTGTCTTTTTTATACAATTTTCCATACTTTATTGAACCAAAGAATAAAAATGGACAGTTTTCTCTGTATCTTTGGGTCTTCATACTGAAGGCTTGCTTTTCAAATAAAACTATGATCAAGTAAATTTTTATGCCTTATCTCCTATTAATCCATCTTTTTTCAGTTTATATTTCAGCAAACCTTCAGAGGATAAAAGGGAAATTTTCCCTTTATTCCTACAATAGACACAAAATCTATTTATGTCACACATAGATTACTAGGTGGAAAGTAATTCTCTAAAAATAGCTAACAGCCAGATATTTCCCATATATTACTGTGTATCACAGTTACCCAAGTAGCTTATTACAAATAAAAATACCAAATTTTGACCAGGTGCAGTGGTTCACACCTGTAATCCCAGCACTTTGGGAGTCTGAGGCAGGAGGATCACTTGAAGCCAGGAGTTCAAGATCAGCCTGGGAAACATGGCAAGATCCCATCTCTACAAAAGGGAAAAAAAAAAAACTTAGCTAGCTGGGCATGATGGTTTGCAGCTGTAGTCCCAGCTACTATGGAGGCAGAGATGGGAGGAAAGCTTGAGTACAGGAGGTTGAGGCTGCCGTAAACCATGATCATTCCACTGTACTCTAGCTTGGGCGAGTGTGTGAGACCTTGTCTTAAAAAATAAACTAATAATAATAATAATAAAAACAAACTTCACTCTCAGAAATTCTGATTTACTAATTCTGCAAGGAAGTCACAGAATTTATATTTTTAACTCAGATGAAGAAGCCAGCCTTCATTTGAGAAACACTGCTCTAACAGTCTGCGTTCAACAGTAACAACAAGCTGCACTTAAGTTTCCGGCTACAACTTGGAACTCCTGCTCTCCATTTCTAAGTAAGTTCAACCTGGCACAATACTTTGATAATGTTTAATGAGCCAGCTTTATTTGCCTCAGGAGGCCTTTCTCAGGGAAGAAACTACATGAAAAAATAAATGAACCTTGTTTCTAATACTTGCTGTGTAATAAATTAGTGTAGCTTTAAAACATGCCACTTTACTACTCTGTACATTAGTATGTCTTAGATGAAGTTAAATATATCATGTGGGAGTTGTCACCAGTCTCCCTCCTCTCCAGGCAACCAAAGTGAGCATGCAATTGCTGGCACACACATTCCCTCTTCACCCTGACGAGAAGTTGTTTCATCTGGGTCTTTATGGTACAGATCAGCAAAAGGGCAGAGAAACCAGAATCTGAAAGGTAGGGGAAGAAAGACATTGCAAAAGAGGTTGTAGGCTCCTTGCGGAGAGAACCAAACTGTCTCTTAGTTTTGAGATGGTCATTGTAAATTTGTCACCCAGAGGAGGAAAAAATGATGCAAGATGGAAGGAGAAAGGAAACTAGAGAAAAACTGCTTCTTTGCAATTTTGTCCAGAATTAATTCTGATAAAAATAAATACAGCACAGAGATATGTTTCCAATTAAGATTTATTTATTTATTTTTTTCGAGATGGAGTCTCTCATTGTCACCCAGGCTGGAGTGCAGTGGCATGATCTCAGCTCACTGCAACCTCCGCCTCCCAGGTTCAAATGATTCTCCTGCCTCAGCCTCCCGAGTTGCTGGGATTACAGGCACCCACCACCATGCCCGACTAATTTTTGTATTTTTAGTAGTGATGGGGTTTCACCATGTTGATCAGGCTGGTCTCAAACTCCTGACCTCAGGTGACCTGCTCGCCTAGGCCTCCCAAATTGCTGGGATTACAGGTGTGAGCCACCGTGCACGGAATATTTCCAATTAAGATTTTTAAAAAATATAATCTGTCACTTGAGTAAATTTAATCAGAGTTAATAATGATTCAACACTAAATGCCAAACTTTCAGAAGAGGACTTCTTTTTTTCTGTTAGTGTAACTTAAGGCTCAAATTAGTATCCAGTTGATATTTGAATTAGCAACTACTTTTAAGTTCTTTAGCCTTGCCAGTGCCTACGTGGGCAAGGTGTGCTCAGCACAAGGGTTTCCAGAAGAGAGAATGGTGGAAGATAAAATATTGTCCATGCTCTGCTGGCCTAGCTGTGCACATAGACACAGGGCTGTATCCTATCCACTGGGAGGAAATGACATCTTATTAAAAATTTGGTCTGGTGGTAGCCTTGATCTTTAAGAGTAGTTTTTGTTTGTTTGTTTGTAAGCATCTTTCTTTGTTTTTTAAATCTATATAAATTTCAGAAGTACAAGTGCAATTTTGTATATTTTTATCATGTGTATATGTGCACTATGCATATATTGTACAGTGGTGAAGTCTTGGCTTTCACTGTATCCATCTCCTAAATAATGTATATCATACCTGTTAAATAATTTCTCATCAGTCACTCTCCTACCACCTCTCTACCATTCCAAGTCTCCAATGTCTATCATTTCACACTCCACGTCATGTGTACACATGATTTAGTTCCTGCTTCCAAGTGAGAGCATGCAATATTTGATTTTCAGTTTCTGAATTGTTTTACTTAACATAATGCCCTCCAGTTCCACACATGTTACTTGCAAGCACATGATTCATTGTTTTCATGGCTGAGTAGTATTCCATTGTGTATATACCACGTTTTCTTCATCCAGGCATCCGTTGATGGCCAGTTAGGTTGATTCCATATCTTTGCTATTGTGAATGGTGCTGAGATAAACATACAAGTATCTTTTTGATATAAGGATTTCTTTTCCTTTGGGCAGATACCCAGGAGCAGAGTTGCTGAATCAAAGGATAGTTCTATTTTTAGTTCTCTGAGAAATCTCCATACCGTTTTCCAAAGAATGTTTTCTATTGTTCTGTTATTTGTTTTCTGAGAAGTATCAAGTTTGTTTATTTGTAATACATATCCACAGGAGATAAAAAGCAAGCATGAGTACTGAATTTTTGAAAACTTTCTGAATACATTTTTAAAATTCAAGATTTTGAAAGAGACATGTGTTTTATAATACCAATTATTGTATTTCACAAATAATATTAATTTATAATACTAATATTAAATAAACATTACATAAAAAGCCGAATTATTTTTTCATATGCAAATAAGTGGGGATGAATAGTAGCTAACCTTTTCAGCTGTTAAAAAAGTAAGATAATTTTTATATTTGTTGTAGCATATGTATAAAAATATAACATAAATTTAAAACTTTGTTGCAATTTCAGTATGACTTTTAATTATTATATTTTGCATAGAAAACATGAGTTTATTCATGGGAGAAACAAAAGAAATGTATCTGTAATAAAAGAAACATATTTGAAAGATAATGTTCTAAAGTCTTAACATAATTTTTTCTTCATTCAGTTACTAATATGTACATGATAAAAAAATGAGAATGTAGCGAAATGCTTAATTTGATTACTTATATAATTAGCAAATTAATACCAAATCATTGAAAATTTCATTTTCAGGGATGCTGTGTTTGTGTTTTTCATCTGTCAAAAGAATCTAGTTAAATATTTTTTCATTCTTATTCATACAGAATTTCAAATATGGAAGCTCACCATTTAAAACTCAGGTATGTTGCCAATGGTGTATTCTACTAAAACACACAGCAGCATAGCAACAAGGTAAACACACTTGACTTTGAATTCAGGTTTTTTTTTTTTTTTTTTTTTTTTTGAGACGGAGTCTCGCTCTGTCGCCCAGGCCGGACTGCGGACTGCAGTGGCGCAATCTCGGCTCACTGCAAGCTCTGCTTCCCGGGTTCACGCCATTCTCCTGCCTCAGCCTCCCGAGTAGCTGGGACTACAGGCGCCCGCCACCGCGCCCGGCTAATTTTTTGTATTTTTAGTAGAGACGGGGTTTCACCTTGTTAGCCAGGATGGTCTCGATCTCCTGACCTCATGATCCACCCGCCTCGGCCTCCCAAAGTGCTGGGATTACAGGCGTGAGCCACCACGCCCGGCCTGAATTCAGGTTCTTATACTACCACTCAGTTTGAAATTGGGCAAGTGACTTAATCTCTCTGGAGACTCAGTTCTCTTACCTGTAAAATATTCTTAATATCTACTTTAAAAAATTACTATAAATAATATGTACAATAAAACAAAAGTAGGATGTTGAAAAGCAGTGAGAGAGGAGACATCCTTGCCTTATTCCTGATCTTAGTGGGGAAGCTGCTAGTTTCTTATCATTAAGTATACGGTTAGCTATAGGTTTTTTGTGGATATTCCATATCACACTGAGGATGAACCCCTCTATTCCTCGTATACTGAGAGTTTTAATCATGAATGATTCCTGTATTTTGTCAAATGTTTTTCTTCATGTACTAATATGAACATGGGATTTTTCTTTTTTAACCTGTCAATGTGATAAATTACATGAATTGTTTTTCAAATGTTGAAAAATATTCATACACGCAGGTAAAGGATTGTTATGTCTGTTAGAAGAATTGATTCCTTTATCATTACATAAGAACTCTATTTCTGATAACTTATTATGTTGTGAAGTCTGTTCTGTGTAAATTTACTATAGCTACTCCTGCAATAAGAGAAATGTGAAGAAAATTCTAGAAACATAGGACATTTGATTTTATAAATTATATTATAAATATTGTTATTTCTCCTGAGGTGGGTGTTTAAAACAGATATTTCATACAGTATAAAAATTTTCAACAAAATTTGGATAAAAGTCTGTGTTTGATTGGAAGCCTTCAGGCTTCAAATGAATGAGGTTAGAATGGCAAAAATCAGAATTTAAATTCAACTTTTACATAGCTCAGACTATCTTAGTGGCAACATCTCAAACAGCACAAATATAAAGAATAATCTTCCTAACTTGAAATATTAAAATAATCTCAGTATCTTTTGTTTATTCTTTCTTCCTACGTGCAAATTGCAGTTTATATTAGTTCTTTTCATATTTTACAAATCCATTTCTTTCCATTGCAGCTATAGATGATCCTGAACTTACAATGTGGTACATCCCAATAAACTCATCATAAATGGAAAATATCATAAGTTGAAAATGCATTTAATACCCTTAACCTAATAAATATCAGCTTATCCTAGCCTGCTTTAAATGTACACAGAACAGTTACATTAGCCTGGCCTGGGCAAAATCTTCTAACACAAAGCCTATTTTCTAATAAAGTGCTGAAATTCTTATATAATTTTTTGAACACCATACTGACAGTGGAAAAACAGAATGGTTGTATGGCTACTCAAAGTATGGTTTCTATTAAATGTATGCATATTACTTTCACAAAGTCTGCTCTATCTAAATTTACTATAGTTACTCCTGCTTTCTTGTCAGTAGTGTTAGCATATTATATAATTACTATCAATTTACTTTTAATCTATACGTGTCTTTATATTTTAAATGGGTTTCTCATAGATAACATACGGTTGGGTCATGTTTTTTGGATCCACTCTGACAATATCTATCATTTAAATGATTCATTTAGACCATGGACATTTAAAATGATTATTCATATGGTTGGGTTAATATCTATTATATTTGTACTGTTTTCTATTTTTGTTCCTGCTTTTTAAATTTTTCACAATTTTTTTCCTTTTTTGGTTTTAATTGAGAATTTTATATTATTGTATTTGCTCCTCCTTTTAGTGTATTAATTGTATGTATTGTATGTGTTGTTTTTTTTTCTCTATTAGTGGTTGTCTTAGAGTTTACAGTATATATTTACAACCAACTCAAGTTCATTTTCAAATAACATTCTACTGCTTCATAGGTAATGTGAGTGCCTTATAAGAACAAAGCAATCGGGTGGGCTCGGTGGCTCATGCCTATAAACCCAGCACTTTGGGAGGCTGAGCCGGGAGGATCATGGGGTCAGGAGATCGAGACCATCCTGGCTAACACGGTGAAATCCTGTCTCTACTAAAAATACAAAACATTACCCAGGCATGGTGGCAGGTGCCTGTAGTCCCAGCTACTCAGGAGGCTGAGGCAGCAGAATGGCTTGAACTCGGGAGGCAGAACTTGCAGTGAGCCGAGATTGCACCACTGCACTCCAACCTGGGCAACAGAGCGAGACACTGTTTCAGAAAAAAATAAAATAAAATAAAATAAAATAAAATAAAAAAAGAACAAAGCAATCCTAATTTCTTTCTTTCATCTTTTGTATCATTGCTGGCATTCATTTCACTTACACATAAGCATATACATACATATTTGGATGCATTGTTATTATTATAATTTTGAACAAACTATTATCTGACAGATCAATTAAAAATAAAAAAGTAGTAGTTTTTATGTTATGTACCATTATTATTTATTCATTTATGCTCTTCTTTTCTTATATAGATCAAAGTTTCTGACTGATATCATTTTCCCTCTGCCTAAAGAACTTCCTTTGACATTTCTAGCAATGCAGGGCTACTGGCAACACATTTTTTTCAATATTTGTCTGAGATCTTTATTTCCCATTTACTTTTGAAGGTAGCTTAATGGGGTAAGAAATTCTAGGTTGATGATTTCTTTTCTCTTAACACTTTAAATATTTTCATTCATTATCTTCTTGCTAACCTGGTTTCTGAGGGTGTCAGATGTGATTCTTTGCTCTTCTACAGGCAAGGTGTTTATTTCTCTTGTGTCATTTTTTGGGATTCTTTTTTGGGTTTCTTTCTTCATCTTTGATTGTATTTAATTTGAAAATTTTTCCTTTCCTTTTCCTTTCCTTTTCCATTTATCCTGCTTGGTGAATCTGTGTTTTGATATCTGACAATAATTTGGGGAAATTCTCAATTATTGTTGTTTCAAATATTTCTTCTGTTCTTTTCTCTTTTTCTTCTTCCTTTGGTTTTCCCCCTATGCATAAGTTACATTTCTATAGTTGTTCTACAGTTATTGAATATTCTGTTCCACGTTTTTTCAGTCTCTATTTTCTTTGCTTTTCAGTTTTGGAGACTTCTATTGATATATATATATCAGAGGTCCACTGTGGGATTTTGAGATGGGGTGTGTGGCATAATTTAATTTATGCCTCTAAAAAGAAAGGTAGTGTGCACTCTGGGAGGCTGAGGCGGGTGGATCACCAGTGCCATTGCACTTCAGCCTGGGCAACAGAGCAAGACTCCTTCAAAAAAAAAAAAAGGTAGCGTACAAATATTATTCAGTCATAAAAAAGAATCAAATCCTGTCATTTGCAACAACATGGATGGAACAGGAGGTCATTATGTAAATGAAATAAGCCAAGCACAGAAAGACAAATTTGCATTTTCTCCTTAAGATGTTGCAGCTAAAAAAGTGGATCTCATAAACATAGACAGTAGATTGGTGGTTACCAGAGGCCAGGAAGGGTAGGGGGAGGGGGAGATAAAGAGATTAATTAAAAATAATAAATGGGCACCAACATACAATTTGATAAATAAAATAAGACCTAGTGTTTGATAGATCAGTAGGATGACTATAGCTTGCAATAGTTTATTGTATATTTCAAAATACCAGAAGAGAATAATTCAAATGTTTCTAGTATAAAGAAAAATATTTAAGGTGGTGGACATCCTAATTACACTGATTTGCTCTTTACAAATTATATGAATGTATTAAATTATCACATGTACCCAGAAAATATGTGTATTTACTGTGTACCAATGAAGAAGTAAATCAAAATTTGTAAAAAGGTATATGCTATGTGGATATAGATGAATGAAATTGATACCGGGGTGTGAAGCTGGGAAGAAAGGGCCATAGTTCAGAGGGAAATATGGTGGCTTACGATAGTAATAGTGAATGTGACAAGACACAGGTTTAAGATGTATTTTGAAGGCAAAGCCAACAAAACTTCTTAGTGGACAAAATGGGAGATGTATATTAAAAGAATAAATTAAGAATGACTATTAGATTTTTAGCCTGAGCAGGGATTAGGGCCATTTACTGAGAAGGAGACATGAAGAGGTGCCCCTGATAAGAAAAGAAAAAGTTCTTCCATCAAAATGGAAGGGGAGAAAAAGAATGAAAGTTAGATGCAGGGAGATGGTTATACTTGATAGAGAGGGAAGAATGATAAAAAATGTTTTCTTATTGTTTTTAATTTTTGGAGAAATAATTGAAAAGTCATCAAATGAAGTTAGGAGAATGAAAAATGTTGGAATTCAAAGAAGAGAGGGTATGAAACAATCATCACTGAGAATCAGAAGTGAAATTTATTAGACAAATGTAACAGGAATTCTGGGCAATAATAAGGATCCACCTGAGATTTGTGATTAAAAATTTTAAGTGTGGTTTTCAACAAGGCTGAACAATTTCTTTCAGTTATCTTAAGCTTTTTCAGTGAGGTCAGAATCAGGAGAGATTTAAGTTTAACTGCTAATGTTTTGAGAAACTTATATGATTTAACACAGAGGGTTGAGGGTAACAAGGGAGTCATTTTAATTTTGGAGCAAAGTAAGCTAACTAAAGAGGAAGATAAGGTCATAATTAGAAGACGAAGAGTAAAAAGACGTGGGACAATGGGTTGGGCAGAATCATAGATGCTGTAGTGAGAGTACTAGCTTATGTGAACTGGAGAAACAAGATGATGTTTCCAGAATAGAGTGCTTGAAAATGAGATTTTGAAAAGAATGAATTTATTGGTAGTGAAGTGTTCTGTGATATGACCATGGAAGTGACTGGTTGATATGAAAAGGTTAAATGTTCGTTATTGGAGGTGAAGATGTTCAGAAACTGAGAGAACAATAATTATTCAAAACACAGTAGATGAAATTGTCTTATGCCCTATATTTCAAATAATCCATAGTTTTTAAAAGGGAAAGGAAAAATGGTATAGTAGTGACCAGAATACATACCTCACTTCCAGATAATGTTACCACATATTGTAAAAGTCAGTCAGGCATTGAAAAAGCTATTAAGAAAACAATGACCATGAATTTCATAGAATAACCAATGAAAGGATTTAAAGGGTTGGAAAAGAGTGGGTGTTGGCTTAGAACAGAGTTTTGATGATGATGTATGACCTAGTAGATTTGAACTTTTGTTAACTAATGAAGTAAACAGGGAAGTATATCATCTGATGAGTACTTTCTTATGGGAAAGTTGGCACTACTGTTACTACTAATAACTGTTAGTGTGTTATTAATATATTCAAGGCATCATTCTAAGCATTTTATATGTATATATATATATATATATATCAGCTCATATCATCCTCCTGCAAACCTGATTGTTGTCTACATTTTATGATTCAATAAACAAGGAGGCTAAGTAAGTTGTCCAATACTGCTTAGTGCGTAATGGAGCTGAATCTAGGCATTCTAGCTGCAGAGAAGACACTTTTAATCATTATGAAATAGCTTCCTTCTTATAAGCAGGACTTTGGGCACTTTCAATTATGAGACTAATGGGATGGTAAGAGATGGTGGGGTAGTAGTAATGAGAAGTTGTGATTTTACAAGAAAATCTCAGAGATCTATAGATTTAACTTCTTTCAAGAGTAATATTAATCCTCAGGGAGGGACAATATTCTCAAAGGGATATGGAGTTGTAAAGGCTTCTTAATACTAGAACAACTCAAGATCTGATTTATCCTGCATAGATGACTGTGGGATAAGTTGCAGCCTTGTGAGGAGAGGACTTCCTAGACCACTATAAAAGAAAGAGTCAAGAAAGTCACTACTAATGATGACTTGCAAAGGCTTTGAGGGCTTCAGACACCGTATGTGTGATCTTAAAGAAAATTTAAAGGTGTTATTTCAAGCATAGCTTTTGCCTCAAATATGTCCTCCCAATTGAGAAAAATGTTAGTCACACAAATATCTCAGTGAAGTTAAAAGTAAAACTATTATTTACTAGATCAAAATGCAAAAGGGGAAAAATTATATAAAAAGTACCTCTATAAAGAACTAAATCTGTAGAGAAACATATGATTTTGATGGCTAGTTGTCTTTTTATTAGCTATCAAGTTCATTTAACAGACAAAAAATTCAGTTCAATGTCATTCATTAAAATAGGAAGAATTAACAATAGTTCATTAATCAATCTTTCAGCTGTTCCTATTTTATCACAATAACTTTTCCTATAATTGAGAGATTCATGAGGAAGTCTTGAAAAGAACGTATGTTTCTTTCAATTCCATAAAACATTCAGTCAAAATAATAAAAGAGGCGCTATTACTTTGTTTTGGGTGAATGATATGCAGGCTAGGCTTTGCTGTAGTACTTTGAGCTCATAAGCTGGTATAAAATATCAAACATTTTGACTGTTTAAACAACTCAAGATATGTTTTGCAAAATTACAAAACATTATACAGGTGACTTAATTAATATCTACTCCAATTATACACAACACATCATGCTGAAGATTTAGATTTATTTGAAAACACTTAGTCTAATTTATATTAGTGCAGAAAAATCACATTCAATAAACCACAATTGTAGAAGAGACAGATAAGTGTGTTTGTCACATTTTCACACAAATATAATTTGATATTTAATTAAGGGATGATGAATCACAATCACATGTAAATAAATGATTTATTCTCTCAGTAATAGTAAGAATCTCTTTTGAGTATGTAGGGTCTTCTGGGTTTATTCTCATACAGCTGCCGTTTCAGAATATAAGGAATTTTTCTCTTTATGACTTCTTCCTTTCCATTTTTGTCATTTCCAGTATCAAGAATATCTTCCTGGATTAACTGCAAGATAGAGATAAAATAAGTGAAACTTACATGAATAAACTCTTTTGTTTCAGAGCATTTTTCTACATTCTATCTCATTTGCTGTTAAGACAGCAAGACATATGTAGGTGAGATACGAGATACATGAAGTTCAAAGAAATTGTTTTTTCAAAGGAGAGACGGCCATTCAGTGGCTGAAATAGTATAAGAACATGGTAATTCTGACTCAGTTCAGTATTCTTCCTAGTTCACCAGGCTAGCTCTTTTAAAAAATTTCTATAAACTTTACTAACTATATATTTCAAGGCCGTACACTAATCCAGCCCTTTGAAGAAAAGCATCAAATAGACCTTTGAGTACTTTTCAGGCTTCAATTTATGATGGAAACACCAAAAGGATGAAATATATAATATATTACAATAAATATAGTTTTTGATCTGGTAAACCAAGTTTGGCCACAAAGGTAACAAAATGTTATATTCAATTAAGTCAGTTACTGATTTGACATGAAAACCATTCCAAGGATCTAATTCTCAATAGAGGGATGAAAGTTGCTTTATCCAACTTCGTCAGTTGTAGAAATCAACATATGGGAAAGCTCTGTTTAAATGATAACGATCTCTTTAGATGCTGGTGCTTAGTCACTAAAGCAAGCTCAGATTCAATAACTTAAGGGAGTTAAGCACCATGTAGAATCTTGCCTAAAATCATGAGGCAGGAGTATGCCCCATTCTAACATTAAGCATAATTTTTTTTCTAAGAATATGGCTCTGACTCAAAAATTTCAGTTACCATTTAAGAAATCTGTCCAGAGTTTAATATACAATTTACAGAAACTTTAAAAATATGTTAAAGATAAAAATTTTCTTTGTATTTTTGGTTGTCTTCTAATTTGAGGGGTCACTATAACAAATACTGATAGGGGACTAAGTTTTAAATTGCAATGCATATGAATAAAATCTTACAACCAAGTATTTTATTTCAACTCACAGCTATTCAATTTCAGAGGAGAAAAAACAGCTACTGTCAGACAATCTAGTTTCTTAATCTTTAGTTTTTTTGTGCATAGTCTGTAATTACTTGTACTATGCTCAGAAATTATCATTTTATTTTAAATCACTCAATAACATTTAAAATAGGGAAAAGTTTTAATCTTATTTGCACTTGATTGGTCTACATAATAGTTTACTGAGGTTTTTTTGGATAAATAACATATAATGGACATCTTCCTATATCAAAATATGTATTTTTCAAGTTTCTTTGACCTTAAACTTTTTGTTTGTTTGCTCGAGATGGAGTCTCGCTCTGTCGCCCAGGCTGGAGTGCAGTGCCGTGATCTCAGCTCACTGCAAGCTCCACCTCTCGGGTTCAGGCCATTCTCCTGCCTCAGCCTCCCCAGTAGCTGGGACTACAGGCGCCGGCCACTACGCCCGGCTAATTTTTTGTATTTTTAGTAGAGACGGGGTTTCACCGTGTTAGCCGGGATGGTCTCCATCTCTTGACCTCGTGATCCGCCCGTCTCGGCCTCCCAAAGTGCTGGGATTACAGGCGTGAGCCACCGTGCCTGGCCAAAACATATTTTAAATACTAAACAATTTACCAGGAATTTAATTAAATAATCAATAGTAAATTAAAAACTGGTCTTTTCAGTTTTTTGTTTAGAAATTATCTTTTTGCTTACCAGTTATAATAAACACTAGAAATTCTGCCTGCACTTCTTCTTATCCACAGGGTAGCTCTTTGGTAGTCAATCGCAAGTTTGTTAAATTAGCAGGGAAGACACCCTCAGATCCCCAATGTTAGTGTAAATCCAGAATATAAAATATTGACCAAGTTTCTCTTAGAGGTTAATTTGAAAGAAATGTTTCCCTTGTCGAAAATTTTTAAAAATTTGTTTTGATTTTGTTAAAGAATTTATTTTTCTTCCCCCTTCTCTTCTTTATCCTGACATTGTTCTATATCTTTCCAAAGCTGTAATTTATCTTTCAGAGCAAAATATATCATTGAAGACAATAAATTGTAAAGCATTTTGCAAGTACATTATTACACACTAAGTTTTGTGTGTATTTATAAACAAACACAGAACCGAAAGGTTTCCAAATAAACTGAAATGATGGGGATATATATCCTTACTATATATACCTTTATATAAATTAAAAAATATTTTTATTTTCCTAATATATTCAAATACAAAAGGTTCCAGATAAAACTGGAATAATAGGGATATATTAGGTTGGTGCGAAAGTAATTACGGTTCTTGCCATTACTTTTGATGGTAAAAACTGCAATTACTTTTGCACTAACCTAATATATCCTTATTCTATATTTTTATATACATAAAATATATTTTTATATATTTTATTTATATATATTTTAAATATATGTAAATATACATAAAAATATATTTTATATACATAAAATATACATAAAAATATATTTTATATACAAAAATATACAAAAAATATATTTTATATACAAAAATATACAAAAAATATATTTTATATACATAAAATATACAAAAAATATATTTTATATACATAAAATATACAAAAAATATATTTTATATACATAAAATATACAAAAAATATATTTTATATACATAAAATATACATAAAATATACAAAAAATATATTTTATATACATAAAATATACATAAAATATACAAAAAATATATTTTATATACATAAAATATACAAAAAATATATTTTATATACATAAAATATACAAAAAATATATTTTATATACATAAAATATACATAAAATATACATAAAATATACATAAAATATACATAAAATATATTTTATATACATAAAATATACATAAAAATATATTTTATATACATAAAATATACATAAAAATATATTTTATATACATAAAATATGTTTTATATACATAAAATATACATAAAATATACATTAAATATATTTTATATACATAAAATATACATAAAATATATGGTATATACATAAAATATACATAAAATTATGTATAATATATTTTACATACATAAAATATATATATAATATATTTTACGTACATAAAATATACATAAAAATATATTTTACGTACATAAAATATACATAAAAATATATTTTACGTACATAAAATATACATAAAAATATATTTTACGTACATAAAATATACATAAAAATATATTTTATGTACATTAAAATATACATAAAAATATATTTTATGTACATAAAAATATATTTTTATTTGCCTAATATATTTAAATACAAATATTTATGTTTTATTCCAGTTTTACTTGGAAACTTTATATTCTGTGTTTGTTTATAGATCACTACATATGACTTTGTGTTTCTAAGACAACATTTTGAGTTGCTTAAATTTGTTAGACATGCCACCACCTACAACAACAAAAATTGTCTAAACATGCCATCCACTTAAGCATAATAAAAACATGTGGATCAAATCTGCCTTAAGATATATCCTCTTTTTAATATTGAAGAAAAACATATTTTGCTGAGTTTCAAATATTTGAAGGACACTTTGAAGATCTGAAGCAATGTTGACTTCAAAACATGGCTTGTTCTTCTTCAATACTTGTAACTCTTCTTGTTATGATTATGATTGGGAATTTAAGAAATTAATATAAATGAGAGCTAACTAGTGTAACTATAATCATATTAATATTTTGTTATTGCTATACCTCCCAGTGTTGAAAAGCCCTGCTGTGACAGATTTTGTGGAGCTGGTATATTGTCAACATTGCTTCCAAGCTAAAGCCATCTAAAGCAGTAGGAAGTTTCCTTCTTGCAACAAGCTCCTCTTCATGAACTTCTCCTGTTTCCTCAGCTGGGCTGTTCAAATTATTTACAAGACTGCAAACATTTAGCAGAGTCATCTTCCAAGAGGGAACATGTGCTTTACTAATCTGAAATATATTAAAAAAACCCCTGCAATTAAAACTTGTGTTACATGAGCAAGAAATGAATTCCTAGTGTGCTAAACCATCACATTTAGGGTCTAATTGCTACTCCAGTCTAATAAATATAGTGTTATTTATTTAGTAACATCAGTTCACAAAGTTGTATACTGCCAATATCTCATAACTTCTGTTTAATAAAATGCAATAGTTATATTCACATATACATGCACTTATGTGTGTACACACAGAGCAAAGTAAGAAAGCAAGGAAATTAAAATGATGGCAGAAATATATAAATGATATATATATCACAGATGAAAAATTAAAAATAAAAAATTATTCTGTCTCTATTACATTTCAGCTTAACATGTAATGGAGCAGTGACAAAGATGGTATTATTAAATGTGGACAATTACAAAGTATGAGGCTAGTAATGCATTCCACACATTAATAATTGTTATGGGTAGCATCACAGATTATATAGAACCTTCATGTATTAACTTGCATCTGGGAATTAGGTAAACCTATACCAAGACACCAAGACACCTAACTTATCCCATTTTCTAACACGGACTATTAACTTCAGTTGTCTATTTTTGAACTGAAGAGGTTGTAGCCATTGGTATTCTGATTGAGTACTAAACAATGAGAACACATGGGCACAGGAAGGGGAACAACCCACACCGGGGCCTGTCAGAGGGTGGAGTGGAGGAGGAAGGGCTAATGCATGCTAGGCTTAATACCTAGGTGATGGGTTGATAGGTGCAGAAAACCACCAAGGCATATGTTTGCCTATCTAACAAACCTGCACATCCTGCCCATGTACCCCAGAACGTATTCCTAGGTACAGATTGGAATTTTAAAAACTGGCTTTCAAGACCCCAATAGAGGAGTAATAGGGCCCAGGATACAAAGTTGTATTTGGCTCAATTAAAAAAAAAAAAAAAAAGAACATGTAAAAATAACATGTTTGTTATAGGGAGAATTTAAATCCAGACATACAATGAAGAGTACAGTTTAGTAATTCCTAAATACATTGTAGAACGGTAAATGTCTAGAAGATTACGAACTGCAATCCCTGCATTTAAAAACAAGGAAACACAGGTAAGCAAGGTGAACTAATCCACTTGCTAAAGATAAAATATTTAATAAGTCACTGTTTCAGGATTAGATCTCAATGCTCCTGCTTACCAGTCCATTGCTATCCCCTCTATACTACATTTCTTTTGCAGGTTGTCATGAACTTTTATTTCTAATTTAGGAACACCTTTTTATTTCCCCCAATATAATAAAAAAGGCAAAGAGCTCACTTTGTTTTCATTTAACTTGAGACCAATATACCTTTCATCATACCCAATGTAAAAGGCATGGAAGCAAGTTCCTTTAAAAACATTTACAGGCAAGTAAATATGTGTGGCAATTAATTAAAATTGCAACATGCTGATTGATAGAATTATAATTTCTTTGCCTGTCATATCAACACCTTTAACTTCTTTTAACTAAAAGAAATTTTTTTTTTCAAAAAGGAAATGCCTCTCAAGGAACTTTTCAATCTTGATGAGAAGTTATTACTATGGGAAAAGGATACCATGTTTATAATGAAAGTTCATATGTTCTTCAACTCAGGGTTAAAGAAAAGAAAAAGTTACCTTTGATGTATGCATATTGGTCAAGAAATCTGCTTCTAATGCTTTCATTTCCTCTTCTGAATCTGAGTAAAATCAAAATCAGGTTTACTATAATTACATATCATATAATTATATCATAATCTACAGATTTTAGGTTAATCTAAAAAAAAATCTTAGAGGTTAGTGTCTTTCTTATGTATTTTCTTAAAAATAGTAATCCTAAAAAACAAATTATAGTTATACTTTAGCATAATAGGAAGCTAAAATAGTAGAAGCACTTCTAAGAAAATAAGCATATGATTATTTTTCAGACAGCTATTGATCACTGGGAGTTGTTTAATCTTTGAATTTCAGGCTTTAAAAATGTGATTACATTGTATAACACATATTTTACCAAATATGCTAGAGTAGCTTATTTCTTACCAGCCACAGTTTACATATATAGAAAATATGCATATTAACATTTAAAAACACAACATAATGAAGACTATACAAGAGACTTTTTCAAGACAAAACCAAAGGGAATTGCTTACTGATAATTTTAGAATAATAAAGATACTGAGGTTTACTTAACTTGAGATGTTTTTTACAAAACACACGTTGAAAGAATTGTATTGTACTTTAAGAGAATTCAAAATTATGTATCCTCAATTTTTTCATAGGCATTTAAGGAAATTGTTTAAAGCAAAAGTGGAGCTGTTCAACAACACATGTACAACAGCATTGAAAATGGATCTCTGGATTTTTAAAAAACTCTATCCAAGTTTCTGTTAATGAATATTTTACAGAGAAGGAAAATTTGGAAAATACTATACAATAATAAAAATAAAGTTAAAAATGACTCTATCTTCCTTGTACTACACACTCAGTAAAAAGAAATGCCACAATTGGAGAACCCATTGGCTTAATTTTACCTAGAACCTAAATTATACAAGAGATCTTTTCTCACTATTTGTTAGAGACATAATCTGTTTTAGGAATTTATGAACAATGTATACCAAAATCCTTATAACTATTGCATTATTACAACAAGTAGTTTCAAGTTAATAAACACAGTGCTTAATCAATAACCCAGTTTTTCTTCCAGAAGTATGTGAATCTTTAATCTCATATAACTTTCAGATAAAATCATAATTATAGAAAAGTTTGTTTTTTCTCATAAGATTTAAAAAGTAGAAGCTGAAAGTTATGTTCTGATGATTAAAATAAATTTAAAATTTTGTATAAATCACATTTATATCTTCTTAGATTTTAATTTCATAATTTAAATCAAATGATAGCATGAGTTTGAGTTAAACATTTCCATGTCATATTTATGATACATAAAAGCACAGAACAGGTTAAATTATTTTTGCTGCATTTGCTTCCTAATGTGTTCTTTTCCCTTTGAAGTGTTCATTGTAATATTTCTTAAATATTAAGTAGAGCCTTTTGCAATGGTTGTAATATTTCATGTTATACCTTTCAATTTAAGTCTTATTTTCAAAGTGAGTTATTCGTAGATACTTAGGACTATATAACTTCTTTCAAACCACATGCAAAACACTCTAAAGTCAAATAATTTCCATCAATATAAGAATACCAATTTTCCAATTGTATTTTGTATTAACTTAAATGGCATGGAAAAAATGCCAAACAGTTATATTAATAGCACACTTATTAGACTATGCAAATTCTGTTCTCAAAAAGGATCTGGAATATTTTTGTATTTTTCTAGAAATAATTTTCTACAAATAATGCTTCATTTTTCACTAAGTATCAATTTTCACTTTATTTGTTATCTTAACACAAACAAGAAAATAATACGGGGACTATTACAAGGGCGTGAGGGCCACCGCTTCCTAAGAGAATGAATGAGGATGAGAGTAAAACATTTTGAATGGAATGGGATTTAATGATGGGTTTGCAGGTTGACAGCCACTGCCTCTGTATTTCTCATTAGATAATGATCAGCCTAATTGAAAGTTTTGTAGGGTTTTTTTCCCTCTAGTTGTTGAATTCCAAAGGAGGTCGTGCAGTGTTTCATTGAAATCCCTTTTATTGCTTTGCAGATTTTAAAAGAGAAAATACATCTCTCAGTAATCATAAAGGCAGAGAAAGAGATACTCAGTTTCTGTCACTAAAAGGTAAATCCTGAATAAAAGGGAGCAACTCTTCTCCCCAGATACATTAACATAAGTAGCAACACACTGCAAAAGAGAAAAAAGAAATCACTTCAGGGAGTTGTGAAATTCTGTTTTGCTTACCTGAGCACAGACTCCAGGAGCTGAAAGCCAGGAGTAGCATGCATACAAGCTGGATTTTCATTCCTGCCATCATCTTTCAGCCTTCTAACAAGCCAAGTCCGTAAAAGTCAGAAGCACACTGAAGGGGGCTCTCTCTAGCACTTCCTCTTTCCTTCAGCTGGCTTTGAAAGTGAGTGAACTATGAGAGGTGCTCTGGCCATTCCCCTATATATATAAGCAGGAGGATGATGTCATTGATTGTACAGACATTATCTTTGCAGGATGTGCCCTATCTTCACCTCCATCCCTCCCCTCTTTGCCCTGCTTTCTCCTCCCCTTTTCCTTTGTCCCCCCTGCTCTCCTCCCCCATTTCTGAACCTTGAGTGAAAGTGACGATCTTCCCTAATTGCTGCTGCTGCTGCTTTGGATTTCTGACGCACAGAAGGAGTCATTCAACTGCACTGACATACAGCATACATACAGCATACTGACAAAGAACCCCCAGTATCATCCTTTTCCCACTTCTCATTCCCCCACTCCAAAAGTTGTCATTTTGATTTTGTGAAACATGAGATCTGTTATTTCTAATTTTTAAGGAAAATCTCCAGGATGAATGCATGAAATCAGTGATTCCTTAGGCTTGGAAGTTCTTGAAGAGTTAGGGTGCTTCTCTGGTAATTCAAACTTCTGAGCAAATGTTTAGTGGTTCCAAAACTAATACAGGTTTTAAATAATCCATGCTGGAATAAGATGGAATAGAGACAGAGAATCAGTTATAAAAATTAAGCAATTAAGTTTAGAGAATAGAAAGAAAATCAATAAAAAGAAATAATAGATCCAGGGAATAAGATATTATTTCCTAACAAATAGAAAATATTTTATTGTAAGTAATGAGAGATGACTGAACTATGTGTGCTGACTTTTGGTTGAATGTATTAGAAAAACAATTTCATGTTTATAAAATCCAGCTCTAAATTACTTACATTCTAGCAGGTAAAAATTTGTGTTGTTGTATCACTGACTTTTTTTCTGTACATTATCTCTTTTTATGCCTATATTTTTCTGCTCTTTTTGAATTCATTCTTGATGCCATGTCTCACTCTTTGTATAATTCCCTTCTCAACAGTTTTTACTATTGCATCGGCTTTCTTTCCCTGTTATAATACTCTTTTCACCATAAAAAAAGAGATTGTACTTTTGGAAAGGAGACAATCCTAAATAACCACCATTCACCAAAGTCACTTTTCTATGATAGTCTTCATGTATTTCATGAGTTACACTGATACCCATTCTTTGTCTGAGTTCTCAAAAGAAAATTGTTCAAAATGCCTTTTAGAGTAAAACTTTCTTCTTGTAGTAAGCATTTCAAGATACATGGGGTAATTTGACAAGTCAGTGCTGTTAGAGATGTGAATATTTGAATGTAAAGTTGTCTGAGTCTTGTTTAATTTTTAAATAAATCAATCATGTAGTAACAGTTGAGAAAAAATAGGATTGGTTCCTATAGATAATTGATTTATATTATACAATCTATGAGTTTAACTTTTTCACCTTTACCCAAAACTTAAGCAAAGCGATTAAATCCAAACATTTAATAATTACTTAGAATAGCAAGGAGTCTTTCATATAATACCAGAAATTTAATAATAACTGATATATTTATTACTTTTAGTTTGTTTTCTGAACTTACATAAAACACAATATTGAACATACTCACATGGAGGAAGGTTTCTGTAAAGTATTTAGTTGACAAATGTGAAATACATACGTCTAGATGTTTTCTGCTTTCCTACCATTAGGGGGAGCAATGGAAGCTTGAAACACTTGGTTTTCACTTAACAGAGTCTCAGTGAGGATTTGTGCTTACTTTCCTGTTACTATCAGAGCATCTTTGTGACAGAATCCTCTTAAAGCCACTTTGATTAACAAATCGGGAAAATTATATATACTTTGCATGATAATTAAATTAGTTGTTTTCTCTGCTTTTGAATTGCAAATACAAAGAATGATCTTTTAAAATGTGTGATAGCAGTCTAATAGTAAAAAGGAAATGTGATTCTTATTTTCCTCAGATGATTTCTTCAATATGTTGACAAAATTGATCCCTAATTAATTAGAAAAAAGGGGGAGAAGAATTAATGGAAATTCATTTTAAATATATAACATGGATATTAGTTGTTAATGTGAAAATTGAGATATGTGATAAATATTCAAGAATAGGGGAAACATTAAGTTATGTCAAATAATTCAAATTCAAATAGATGCTATATGCTACTTTTCTTTTGGGGAAAAAAGATGTATAACTTTGGTAAAATTATGATGTAGATAAACTTTGACCTCTAATTGGTATTTTCTTTAATGTGTTAGGCTTTTTGTTTCTTGCTCTAATCTAATGCCTTCAAGCTACACATAAACCAATAAAACAATTTGTTGTAGGGATAAAGGTTAAGTATGTATTTTTCCACTTAAAAAGTACCCTACGAACTTCCTAAATGATGCCTTTAATGCAGGATTGTAGACACCTTGCTATGGAGATGGGTGAACTGTTTTTATTTTAAAGGCTTTTTACCCCAGATCCTTTTTCTTTTTTCTTTTTTTTTTTTTTTGAGATGGAGCTTCTCTCTGTCACCAGGCTGGAGTGCAGTGGTGTGATCTCGGCTCACTGCAGTCTCCACCTCCTGGGTTCAAGCAACTCTCCTGCCTCAGCCCCCCGAGTAGCTGGGACTACAGGCACACCACCAGGCCCAGCTAATTCTTGTATTTTTAGTAGAGACGGGGTTTCACCATGTTGGCCAGGATGGTCTCGATCTCTTGACCTCATGATCCGCCCACCTCGGCCTCCCAAAGTGCTGGGATTACAGGCGTGAGCCACCATGCCCGGCATACCTTAGATCCTTCTAAGGGTTACCTAGTTCTTAAAATATCTGATAAAGATTTTAAGCATTGTCCTTTAATAATATTCCTGTGTTGGCCTTCTTAAGTGGATGTTACCTGTTAGGTACCTGTTGATTACAACATCTCTAAAGTAGGTAGATTTCTAAGCTTGTACTGTTACTTATGTCAGACCTTTATTAGGTAATTGCTGAAAATAATCAACAGAGACACCTGAAGAATTGGCAGTTAGAAAGAGTGGTCTGTAAGCTTATTTTGTTTGGAGAAGGGCAAGCTCTGGAACCAACTGATCAAGGGTTGGTTTTTCAGTTCCTTATGGTTTTTTCCTATAGCTCTGGTGACTTTAATACCTCATTAACAGCTTCCAGGATTTTCCAATCTTTTGGTAACCTAAATACCTGAAACTTGGCCTGTTGTGTTTTTACAACCTGGAATCTCCCCTTCACCTTCCTATGATCATCCTGTATTTTATGGCTTAATCAACAAAAACATTTCCAAGTTTGAGTCCTGAAAGTAGTCTCGTCTACTTCTATTTTTCCTAGTTTTCTGTTAAATGCTCCGTAGTTTGTTTATACAGTTTATGGTAAACTGTAAACTGCTAGAAGGAGAACATTCTGACTTCTAAGGTTTATAATCCATAAGTGATCAATACATACTTACTAAATTAAATGAAAATACTGATTACGTTTAATTTCTTACATGCCCTTTCCATGTTTTAATTTTAAATGTTTCTTTCAGCCACACCTTTTAACACTCTTTTGTTATCATTAATCTTCATATTTTATGTGAGCTTTTATAGTCAGTTTTCTCAGCCTTTTCTCTCATCATCCTTTTCCTCTCTGACTGGAAATGTTAACTTTAAAAAAATCATTCAAGAAGATTGTCCTTGGATCATGTACAATCATCAGCTGAATGTTTAGATAAATTGTGAGTTTGCTCCATTTCTATAAATGAGTCTATCATTTGAAGCTGTAACTCTGATTCATCTGAACAAATAATGATGTCAAAGTCTGTGAACCCAATTGATTTTTCTGTTCAATTAAAGTATATTTTCTAGAAATACAGATGGATGTGTGCATGCATACACCCACATAGGATGTGTATAACCCAACCTTGGAGATTTAGGTAAATGTAAACAAACGTTCAGTTTCCCAATCTGCATGTAACCTTGCTTTGCCCATAATCCTTACAAATTCCTAGCTCATTTCCTTTCAGCTCTTCCTATCTCTGTTATTGCATCCATATAGGTAATTAACCTGGAAAAATTGATGACTGACTTCTGTAGTCAAAGCATATTTTGCAACTTAAACCGTAATTACAAAATACGGTTTGCTTGGGACTTACATGTTAATGAGTTACTGTATTTAACTAACCATGCTCCACATTGCAGCCATTGCTGACTTCACCTATAATCTTGCTTCTCGTGTCTAGGAAAAAATGTAAATACTCACAAAATCACCACCCATTATGTGTAATGCTCAGGTAGTTTTCCTTATAGGTCTCCCTTTTGAATAAGACCAAAATAAAAGTATTACAGAAAAAAATGTTCCTGACAAATTTCTTCTTTCATGTTTCTTAGTTTTATAAATTAGTGTAATTATCTAATGTAATAAATGAGACAAATTCTTATTATAAGAAAACTTTCTCTTTTCTTTTTTAATATTACAAAGTCTAAGAAAATTTCCATAGCACCTGCAATACCTGAAACAGAGCAGATGTACTTGAGCTACCGTCTATCAGGAGCAAATTCAGTGAAACACTTTTTTTCTTTTTCTCAAGAAGATATTACATGTTAAATTTGGAATGTAATGGTTTTATATTATTCATACTCCTTGGGTTTATGATTCTTTTTAAATTTACTGTGCTTTCCCAGTGAATCTGATAAGTCTTATGGTTTTGAATCCTATCTATTTCCTAATAACCTCCAAGTTTGTATCTCTGACTACTCAAATTGTATATGCAATCACCTCATTAGCAGCCCTACTTGGAGTTTCATTAGGCAGACTTATTGTCTAAAGTAAAACTTTTGATTCCTCCAAACATCTTTCTAATAATCTTCTGCCCCTCTAGAGTTTTTCATTTCAATTATTAGAACCATGATTTACTGAGTTGCACAGATCTAAAAACTAGAATCCATTTACATTGTTTCTCTCTCCCCTCCACTTCCAAGCTAGCAAAACCCCCTGGGGTGCAGGTCTGTTCCAAAATATATTTCAAATCTAACTACTTTTCCTTATGTCATTTTTGCCACCTAAGTCCAAGCCACCACCATCTTTCTCCTGCGCTGCCATAATAACCATTTGAGTAGTCTCCCTACAACCTTGATCCCTTTCAGCTTTCAAAAACTCCAGAAAAGTTTTTAAAAATGTAAATCTATTCCTGTCATTCTCTGCTTAAAACATTCTAAAGGTTTCCTCTTGTCATGCCTGATGATGGCCTATGCTACCTGAGTGGGTTTTGTCTTCCTCTCTATCATCATATTCCACCATTCTCCCCTTCTGTTCCTATGTTTCAAGCACATTGGTCTTCTGGCTTTTGTGCAACATGCTAAGCTTTTTTGTTAAAGATCTGCAATGAAAACTGTGATTACTGTTCATCAAATATTCATTCCCTTACTCCTCCCAGAGTGGATGAAATATACTTCCTCACTCTTTGACTTTAACTTAGGAAATGAGACTTGCTTTGGCCAGTGGGATGTTAGTAGACATAAGAAAAAGACAGACTTGATTTGTGCTTGACACATAGGGCTTTCCCTTTCTCTCTTCTGCCATTGCCATGAGAAACTCTTTTCTTTTCTCAGATGATCCCAAAATGAGGAGGGACATATGGAGCAAAGCTGCCCCAGCTGACTTGCACACCTGCAATGTAAGGGAGAGATTCCCGAGCTTAAAGCAGGGTTACCCTAGCTGATTCAGAGACATGTGAACAGAGTTAAATAATTTGCTTTAAAGTAATTGACTTTTGGAGTCACTTGTTATACACCATTTTTGTGGCAATAGCTGACTGATACAACCATTTATTTTAAAACCTATTTCACCACTATCCCCATTCAATCTCTACAAGTCTTTATTTGTTCATTTATTTTTGTCTTTTGTTAATAAAAGCATGGATATTCTTGTCTTGTTTCCCTAAATTATCAGAACATAAATAATTCTCCTCATAGTAATCATTCGGTAAATATTGACAATATGCGTTAATGAATTAATCGAATTCCAAGAATCCCTCCCTGATGGTTTTAGAATAAGCTACCACTCCCTCACCTCTCACAAGGACATTTTTATTCTCCAATCTGTGAATAATAAAATCCAGGAAACCTCTTTCGGAGAAATTCCTAGCAAAATGAAATAGTATGAAAAAATGCTTCCTTTCAAAGATTCTTGAATATTGATTTAATTTCAGTTGGAATTTTCTAAGTTGTCCTTGAGGAAAACTGGGTGTACGGTGTTACAGAAGGCCCCAAATTTGGTGAGCCAATTTGTGCAGAAAGGATAAGTACCGGCAAGCTGTCAGACAGAGAAGACTATAGTCAACATTAGAGCATTCTGAGTCTAGAAGAAACAGCCACTGTAACCACTACTACAGATCTAGGAGTAATCTAAAGAATACTTTTCAAATTCATTATTGAAAACCTACTATATGCCAGGTTAATTTTATTTCATGTAACATAGCATACCGTGAAGCAGAGTTCACAGGATATTATTCCTATTGTGCAGGTTAAAAAAAATAAGAGATACAAAGAGTTTAACTAAGGACAATGGGACTTACTAAGTAGAGTATGGGTAGGACTGCAATGTTTTCATTCCAAAGCAACAGCTAATCTTTGTAACATTAATACCAGACCCAAGTAATAAGTCAAAGAAAATCTTGTATTAACATGCTGTATAAAATATTATGCCAAACAAAGTATAGGCTAATACTTTTAACTTGAATGTACATTTAGTGAAAAAATTAGGTGTGATTTTAATTCCAATTCATCAGTTTAACCATGTTTTTCCACCTTTTCAGACTTAGCTGTATTACACATATTAAACAAAAACACAGACCCTTGATCTCAGAATCCTTCTTCTAAACACAGAGATCATGAAGAACCTAAATGGGCTCTGAATGCAATGAGTTGTCGTGACTGGGTAGAAGACAGAAAGTATGCATAGAAGAATCAGAGAAAAAGTGGGGTTTTAGCCTGAGGGGAGTCAAAGCTTGGTGCCTGGGAAGGAGAATATTTCCCACTTTGTACTCTAGGTGGCGGCACTAGTATGTACAGAATGGAAATATCAAGCAAGAACTCACAGTACTAGACCATATTTTAATGTCATCATAATTCATTGACCCAGAAAACGTAAAACTGAAAATGGCTGTATGGAGCTAGTCTCATACTTTCATTTTTCAGAGAAAGAGACAGAAGTCCAGATATTCTAGATGGGTTACAAATTTCCTTCACCTTCCGACTCTTAATCACATAGGTCCTAACTGCTCTGAGTCTGACCTCACTTCTTTTCTCAGGGGAAGGATTGATTCTCCAACATCGGTCAAGCTACTTTGAGAAATAATTTATTCTCTGTGAGTTTCTGTATAGCATCCCCACAAGTTGGAACACATCAAAGGGATTAGTCACTTTGAAATAGGCTTTCTTTTTGGACAGCCTATTTTTTGTCTTTATTCAGCAGAATGTCTTGCTTTTGGCACAATCAATTCTGTTGCTATCGTCCAGTAAACACAAATCTTTTAGCTCCTAGATCATGGAATCTCTACTTGGATAAACTTTTGTTTTACTATGTAACATCATCACCTTTTTTCTAAGTCTCTCTGGCCCTAAAGTTGAATGGACATGGTCATATGTCAGATAACCATACTCAAATACCTACAAGGACCAGGCAGGTAACATATCCTATTTAGGTTCTGTTTAAGGGGATCATCTCTGTGCTCCTGAGCTTCAGATGATTTTTCTCCACAAGAAAGTACAAACTGGGGTGGAGGGGTGGGGCTGAGGCCAAGGTGGCCCACTAGAAACAGCGGCGTTGGGAGACTCCCATCTAAAAGAACCATAATAAGTGTGAGAATCCTTTACCGGCAACCAAGGTATCCAGGTTCTCTCATCAGAACTGACTAGGAGGCTGGCATGATCCACAGAGAGGAAGAACAGTGTGGTGCAGTGGCCCACCTGAGAGCCACATGGGGCAGGGGACCCCCTACCCCCAGCCAAGGGAGGCGGTGAGTGAGCATGCTACCCAGCTGGGGAAACTGTGCTTTTCCCATGGTACTGTGCAAACCATGGATTGGAAGATCCCACTCATGAACCCACACCACTGGGGCCTAGCGTCCCAACTCTGGAGCTGCGCAGATTCTCAACAGCCTCTCAGATGGAATCTGCTTAAGTCTACCAAGCTGCCAGCACCACAGCTGCAGCTGACTGCTGTCTAAGCCATTCGAGCTCCTTGGGGAAAGGGCAGCAGCCAGCACTGGGACTCACAACTGCCTAACGTGCTAAGCTCCCTGGGTGGGGGAAGGGCAGCATTCATCTCTATAGCTCCAGACTGCATTTTCCCCCTGCTGGAGTCCGGGAGGCTGGACCACTTGGTCCCAAGATGTGTCTCCCACAGCCCGACACTCTGACTGTGGCAGATGGCAGCCAGACTGCCTTTTCAGGCCTGACCCTGACTCATCCTTCCTCACTGCGTGGGGCTTCCCTGCAGGAACTCCAATAACTCCAGCCAGAGGCTCAGGGACAGAACCTGGATTTCCCTGGGCCTGAGCCCCTAGTGGGAGGGGTGGCTGCAGTCTCTATGGACCAGCAGACTTAGCCTTTCCTCCTGGTAGTTCTGAGGAATCTGGGCAGCCCAAACAAGTAGGTTTTCCCCCAGCGAAGCACACCCCTTCCACCAAGGGACAAAGTGGTTTACTAAATTGGTGTTGTTTCCCATGCCCCCAAACTGGGTGAGACCCTCCAACAGGGGTTGTCAGACACCCTATATAAGACCAACCCTACTGGCATCAACTTGATGCCCCTCAAGTTCAGAGATCCCAGAAGAAGGAGCAGGCACCCATCTTTGCTCTTCTCCCAACTCCTTCAGTGACATCTCTGGCATGGGGATGAACCAGATGAGTAGGGCCTGAAGTAAACCCCCAGCAAACTGCAGCAGCCCTACAGAAGAAGGACCTGACCATTGAAAGAAAAGCAAACAGAAAGTAAGAACAACAGCATCAACTACAACAAAAAAAGCCCCCACAAAAACCCCATCCAAGTGTCAGCAGCCTCAAAGATGGAAACTAGACAAACTCATAAAGATGAGAAAGAATCCACTAAAAAATGCTGAAAACCCAAAAAGCCAGAGTGCCTCTTCTCTTTCAAATGATCGTGACGTCTCACCAGCAAGGGTGCAAAACTGGACAAAAGATGAGATGGACAAATTGACCAAAGTAGGCTTCATAAGATGGGTAATAAAAAACTACACTAAGCTAAAGGAGCATGTTCTAACCCAAGGCAAAGAAGCTGAGAACCTTGATAAAAGGTTAGAGGAAATGCTAACTAGAATAACTAGTTTAGAAAGGAACATAAATGACCTGATGGAGCTGAAAAACACAGCATGAGAACTTCCTGAAGCATACACAAGTTTCAATAGCCAAACGGACCCAGCAGAAGAAAGGATATCAGAGTTTGAAGTCCACCTTGCTGAAATAAGGCATGCAGACAAGACCAGAGAAAGAAGAATGAAAAGGAATGAACAAAGCCTCCAAGAAATATGGGATTTCATAAAAAGACTGAACCTATGATTGATTGGAGTAACTGAAGGAGGCAGGGAGCATGGAAACAAGCAGGAAAACACACTTGAGGATAATACCCAGGAGAACTTCCCCGATCTGCCAAGACAGGCCAACATGCAAATTCAAGAAACACAGAGAACACCACTAAGATACTTCATGAGAAGATCAACCCCAAGACACCTAATCATCAGATTCTCCAAGTTTGAAATGAAGGAAAAAATGTTAAGGGTAGGCAGAGAGAATGCAGGTCACCTACAAAGGAAGCCTATCAGACTAACAGTGGATGTCTTGGTAGAAACTCTACAAGCCAGAAGAGATTGGGGGCCAATATTCAACGTTCTCAAAGAAAGAATTTTCAACCAAAATTTCATATCCAGAAAAACTAAGCTTCATAAGCAAAGGAGAAATAAAATCCTTTTCAGACAAGCAAATGCTGAGAGATTTCACTACCACCAGGCCTGCTTCGCAAGAGCTCCTGAGAGCAGCACTAAATGTGGAAAGGAAAAATCAGTACCAGCCACAGCAAAAACACACCAAAATATAAAGTCCAATGGCACCATGAAGAAACTGCATCAACTAACATGCAAAATAACCAAATAGCATCATGATGACAGGATGAATTCACACATAACAATACTAATCTTAAATGTAAATGGGCTAAATGCCCCAATTAAAAGACACAGACTGGCAAATTGGATAAAGGGTCAAGACCCATTGGTGTGCTGTATTCAGGAGACCCACCTCATGTGCAAAGACACACGAAGGCTCAAAATAAAGGGATGGAAGAAAATTCACCAAGCAAATGGAAAAAAAAAAAAAAGCAGTGGTTGCAAGGTTGCAATCCTAGTCTCTGACAAAACAGACTTTAAACCAACAAAGATCAAAAAAGACAAAGAAGGGGATTACATAATGGTAAAGGGAACAATTCGACAAGGAGAGCTAACTATTCTAAATACATATGCACCCAATACTAGAGCATCCAGATTCATAAAACAAGGTCTTAGAGACCCACAAAGAGACTTAGACTCCCACACATTAATAGTGGGAGACTTTAACACCTAACTTTCAATATTAGATCAACAAGACAGAAAATTATCAAGGATATCTAGGACTTGAACTCAGCTCTGGATCAAGTGGACCTAATAGACATTTACAGAACTCTCCACTCCAAATCAAATGAACATACATTCTTCTCAGTGCCACCATGGCCCTTATTCTAAAATCGACCACATAATTGGAAGTAAAACATTCCTCAGCAAATGCAAACAAACCGAAATCATAACAAACAGTCTCTCAGACCACAGTGCAATCAAATTAGAAATCAGGATTAAGAACCTCACTCAAAACCACACAATTACATGGAAATTGAACAACCTGCTCCTGAATGACTCCTGGGTAAATAATGAAATTAAGGCAGAAATCAAGTTTTTTGAAACCAATCAGAACAAAGAGACAATGTATCATAATCTCTGGGACACAGCTAAAGCACTGTTAAGAGTGAAATTTATAGCAGTAAATGCCTACATCAGAAAGATCGCAAATTGACACCCTAACACGACAATTAAAAGAGCTAGAGAGGCAAGAGCAAACTATTCTAAAAGCTAGCAGAAGAGAAGAAATAATCAAGATCAGAGCAGAATTGAAGGAGATAGACACATGAAAAACCCTCCAAAATATCAATGATTCCAGGAGCTAATTTTTTGAGAAAATTAACAAAATAGATAGATGGTTAGCTCGACTAATAAAGAAGAAAAGAGAGAAGAATCAAACAGACACATTAAAAAATGATAAATGGGATATCACCACCGACCCCATAGAAATACAAACTACCATCAGAGAATACTATAAACACCTCTATGCAAATAAACTGGAAAATCTAAAAGAAGTGGATAAATTCCTGGATGCGTATACCCTCCCAAGACTAAACCAGGAAGTCAAATCTCTGAATAGACCAATAACAAGTTCTGAAATTGAGGTAATAATTAGTAGCCTACCAAACAAAAAAACCCCAGGACTAGTCAGATTCACAGCCAAATTCTACCAGAAATACAAAGAGGAGCTGTTACCATTCCTTTTGAAACTATTCCAAACAATTGAAAAGGAGAGACTCTTCCCTAACTAATTTTATGAAGCCAGCATCATCCGGAATCCACAACCAGGAAAAGACACAGCAAAAAAAAAAAAAAATAATAAAATTTCAGGCCAATATCCCTGATGAACACTGATGCAAAAATCCTCAATAAAATACTGGCAAACTGAATCCAGCAGCATATCAAAAAGCTTACCCCACAATCAAGTTGGCTTCATCCCTGGGATGCAAGGCTGGTTCGACATATGCAAATCAATAAACGTAATACATTACATAAACAGAAACAAAGACAAAAATCTCACAATTATTTCAATAGATTCAGAAAAGGCCTTTGATAAAATTCAACATACCTTCATGTTAAAAACTCTCAATAAACTAGATATTGATGGAATATATCTCAAAATAATAAGAGCTATTTATGACAAACCCACACCCAATGTCATATTAAATGGGAAAAAGCTGAAAGCATTCCCTTTGAAAACTGGTACATGACAAGAATGCCCTCTCACTACTCGATCATAGTTTTGGAAGTTCTGGCCAGGACAATCAGGCAAGAGAAAGAAATAAAACATATTCAAATAGGAAGAGGAAGTTAAACTGTCTCTGCTTGCAGATGACAGGATTTCATATTTAGAAAACCCCATCATCTCAGCCCCAAAACTCCTTAAACTGATAAGCAACATCAGCAGAGTCTCAGAGTACAAAAATCAATGTGCAAAAATCACAAGCATTCCTATACACCAACAGTAGACAATCAGAGAGCCAAATCATGAATGAACTCCCATTCACAATCACTACAGAGAATAAAATACCTACGAACACAGCTAAAAAGGTCTGTGAAGAACCTCTTCAAGGAGGACTACAAACTAGTGCTCAAGGAAATCAGAGAGGACACAAATGGAAAAACATTCCATCCTCATGGATAGGAAGACTCAATATTGTGAAATGGCCATACTGCCCAAAGTAATTTATAGATTCAATGATATTCTCATCAAATTACCATTGACATTCTTCACAGAATCAGGAAAAAACTACTTTAAATTTTATATGGAATCAAAGAGGACCTCATATAACCAAGACAATCAAAAGCAAAAAGAACAAAGCTGGAGGCATCACACCACCTGACTTCACACTATCCCACAAGGCTACAGTAACCAAAACCTCATGATACTGTGTACCAAAACAGACATACAGACAAATGGAACAGAACAGAGAACTCAGAAACAACACCACACATCAACAACCATCTGATCTTTGACATACCTGACAAACAGACCAATGGAACAGAACAGAGACCTCAGAAACAACACCACACATCTACAACCATCTGATCTTTGACAAATCTGACAAAAACAAGTGATGCGGAAAGGATTTCCTATTCAATAAATGGTGCTGGGAAAACTGGCTAGCCACATGCAAAAAAGTGAAACCAAACTCCTTCCTTATATCTTGCACAAAATTTAGCTCAAGATGAATTAAAAACTTAAATGTAAAACCCCAAATCATAAAAATCCTAGAAGAAAACCTAGACAATACCTTTCAGGACATAGGCATGGGCAAGACTTCATGATGAAAATGCCGAAAGCAATGCCAACAAAGCCATAATTGACAAATGAGATCTAATTAAACTAAAAAGCTTTTGCACAGCAAAAGAAACTATCATCGGAGTGAACAGGCAACCTACAGAGTGGGGAAAATTTTTGCAATCTACCCATCTGACAAACGTCTAATATCCAGAATTTACAAAGAACTTAAACAAATTTACAGGAAGAAAAAAGCAAACAACCCCATCAAAATGTGGGCAGAGTATATAAACAGGCACTTCTTGAAAGAAGACATTTACACAGCCAAGAAACATATGAAAAAAAGCACAACATCACTGATCGTCATTAGAGAAATGCAAATCAAAACCACAATGACAAACCATCTCATGCCAGTCAGAATGGCAATTATTAAAAAATCAAGAAACAGGCCAGGTGTGGTGGCTCACGCCTGTAAATCCCAGCACTTTGGGAGGCTGAGGCAGGCGGATCACCAGGTCAGGAGATCAAGACCATCCTGGCTAACACAGTGAAACCCCGTCTCTATTAAAAACACAAAAAATTAGCCAGGGGTGGTGGTGGGCACTTGTAGTCCCAGCTACTCGGGAGGCTGAGGCAGGAGAATGGCGTGAACCTGGGAGGCGGAGCTTGCAGTGAGCCGAGATTAGCCACTGCACTCCAGCCTGGGTGACAGAGCGAGACTCCATCTCAAACATCTCAAAAAAAAAAAAAAAAAAAAAAAAAAATCAAGAAACAATAGATGCTGACGAGGCTGTGGAGAAATAGGAACGTTTTACACTGTTGGTAGGAATGTAATTTAGTTCAACCATTGTGGAAGACAGTATGGCAATTCCTCAAGGATCTAGAACCAGAAATACCATTTGACTCAGCAATCCCATTACTGGGTATATACCCAAAGGAATATAAATAATTCTACTATAAAGACACATGCATATGTATGTTTATTGCAGCACTATTTACAATAGCAAAGACATGGAACCAACCCAAATACCCATCAGTGATATAGACTGGATAAAGAAAATGTGGTATATATACACCATGGAATACTATGCAGCCATAAAAAATGGGGACATGGATGAAGCTGGAAGCCGTTATCCTCAGCAAACTAACACAGGAACAGAAAACCGAGTATCACATGTTCTCACTTATAAGTGGGAGTTGAACATTGAGAACACATGGACACAGAAGGGGAACAACACACAGCAGTGCTTGTTGAAGGGATGGGGGTGAGGGAGGGAACTTAGAGGGTGGGTTGATAGGTGCAGCAAATCATCGTGGCACACATACCTATCTAACAAACCTGCACGTTCTGCACATGTATCTGCTTTTTAAGAAGAAATAAAGAAAAACAAAATTTTTGTTTTGTTTTGTTTTTTTAAGACAGTCTCACTCTGTCTCCCAGGCTGGAGTGCAGTGGTGCAATCTCAGCTCACTGCAACCTCCGCCTCCTGGGTTGAAGGGATTCTCCTGCCTCAGCCTCCCGAGCAGCTGGGACTACAGGTGCGTGCCATCACGCCCTGCTAATTATTTTTATCTTTATTTTTAGTAGAAATGGGTTTTTACAGTGTTAGCCAGGATAGTCTTGATCTCCTGACTTCGTGATCCACCTGCCTCGGCCTCCCAAACTTCCGGGATTACAGGCGTGAGCCACTGCCCCCGGGCCACAATTTTTTTTTTTTTTTTTTTTTTCAGACAGATTCTTGCTGTCACCCAGGCTGCGACCTCTGCCTCCCAGGTTCAAGCAATTCTCCTGCCTCAGTCTCCCAAGTGGCTGGGACTATAGACGCGTCCCACCACACCCGGCTAATTTTTTGTATTTTTAGTAGAGACGGGGTTTCACCGTGCTAGCCATGATGATCTTGATCCTGACCTCGTGATCCACCCATCTCTGCCTCCCAAGGTGCTGGGGTTACAGGTGTGAGCCACCGCGCCCAGCCCACAAAGTTTTTTTTTTTATAAAAGAAAATAGAAACCAAGAAAGGCAAATCTTCCAATTTTCAGGATTTTGCACAAAATTGTATTTTATGAAAATCTTACAATCTTTAAATGCTAATCTTTAGTTCAATTTATTTACAACACTATGCAGACAAATTGGAATGTGCAGCTACTGGCCATGTGCGGTGGCTCACTCCTGTAATCCCAGCACTTTGGGAGGCCAAGGCAGGCAGATCACAAAGTTAGGAGTTTGAGACCAGCCTAGCCAATATGGTGAAACCCCATCCCTACTAAAAAAAAAAAAAAAAAATTAACTGGGCGTGGTGGCGGGCTCCTGCAGTCCCAGCTACTCGGAAGGCTGAAGCAGGAGAATCACTGGAACCCAGGAGGTGGAGGTTGCAGTGAGCCACAGCACTTCAGCCTGGGCGATAGAGTGAGATTCCATCTCAAAAAAAAAAAAAAAAAAAAAAAGTGATGTGTAGCTACTGAGTTCTGCCTCAAGGTTCACCATTTTGCTAGTTTCTCATTTAAATCCTATTTCTGTAACTTTCAGCCTCTGGCTTTAGATTTTAATTCTCTGGATCTCTCTCATCACCTGTAAAATAAAATAATAATAGTTCTCTAAAATAAAGTAATATGGATCATATTTATTCTTATATAGTATGCATATATTACAAAATGTGTTATGTAGCAGGCATTCAATAAAAGTTAGCTTACACATCCAACAGTAAACTAAACTCGCCCCTCTCATTTACTCATTTTTCCTCTTTTACTTTACATTTACATACTTTAATCTCTTTAAATCATTCCGGGATATGTTTGCAAAATCTTAAATCAGATTCCATCTCAGAGATTCTATATGAACCTTATTTCTCTTCCTTCTCTCCAAAGTTGAGCATCTTTTTGTCTCTTTGCTTTCCAATATTGAGGTCTTTTAGTGTTAGTTTCATATGTATCATTTGTCCCTCTTTGGGTTATTTTTTAACTGAGGTAAAATTTGCATCCAGTGGAAGGCATAAGTCCTAAGTATAAATGTTGATGAATTTTGACAATTGTATACATTTGTGTAATTCAAAACCCCCCCAAAATTGGGAAAATATTCACACCTGAATATTTTCTCATGCACATTCTCAGAGAATCCTCTGACATCACAGGTAAGCACTTAAATTTGCCTATTTTTAATGTTCATATAAATTGAATCCATTTTTGTATACTTTTTAAGTGAGTGTCTACTGATGTTCAATATAATGCTTTCAAGATTGCTTTATGGTACTACACATATCAGTAGTGCATACCACTTTATTGCTGAGTATTATTCCATTGTATGAATATACTGTAACTTTATTTGTTCTCCTGTGCAATTAACATTTGTGTTGTTTCTAGTTTGGAGCTATTATGAAAAAAGCTCTTATGAAACTTCCTGCACATATAAGTATTTTTCTGGACATATATTTTTATTGTTCTTGTATAAATACTTAGAATGAAAGTGCTGAGTTTTAGAGTAGGTGTATGCTCACGTTAGTAAGAAACTACCCAAAAGTTCATTATGGTGGGTCCTTTTAAAGTCCTTGCTAACATTTGGTGTTACCATTCCTTTATATTTTAGCCATTGTAGTTGTTGTAATGTGTTATTTCTTGGTCTTCAATTTCATTTTTTATGACAATGTTGAACTCTTTGTCTCATGCATAGTGGCTATTCTTTGTTGTTGTTGTTGTTGTTGTTGTTGAGACAGGGTCTCACTCTGTAACCCAGGCTGGAGTGCAGTGATGAGATCTTGGCTCACTGCAGCCTTGATTTCCTGGGCTCAAGCATGTTTCTCCCTCAGCCTCCAGAGTGGCTGGGACTACAGGAGTGTGCCATCACACCTGGCTAATTTTTGTATTTTTTGCAGAGATGGGGTTTCTCTATGTTGTCCAGGCTGGTCTCGAACTCCTCGATTCAAGCAATCCACCTGCCTCAGCTTCCCAAAATTCTGAGATTGATGGTGGTGGTGGCCCATCTGAAGCAGCTGCTGTGGGAACATCAGCTGCAGCAAGGGAGGTGCAGTTAGAGCTGTGCACTCCATGGAGCTGGCAGGAGCAGAGAGCAGGTGGGAGCACTGCTCCCTACCTAGTTGGGTGGCGGGAGGCTTGTGCTCCAGGATGCAGCAACAGCCACCCATACATGGATGGCATGTTAATGGCAGGAGACAGACAGGTTCCTGGGTGGAAAGTGGCAGGTCCCCAGTGAAATTCCACTTTCAATCCAGGTATACTCTGAATCCTGGGCCTGGGCTGCCAGTTCTGAGTAGAGTTTACTGCCCAGAGTGAGAACTTACAGTGTTTTCTCTGGGCCCACCCATGGCTGCCCATGAACCAATTAGCACACACTTCCTCCCTTCTGAGCCCATAAAAACCCAGACTCAACCGGACATTGGGACTACCACCTACATGAAGGAGCTACCCACTCCTGGTCTCCTCTCCACTGAAGGCTGCACTCAACAGTACTACCTACATGTGGAAAGGAGCTACCCACTATGAGTCTCCTCTCTGCTGAGAGCTGGGCACTTGTTGGGATGCACTGCCTGTGGAAAGGAGCTATTTTTGTAGGCTATTAGGAGCACTAATCAGAAATAATAAAAATGGTCAATTGATTCCATCAAACTTAAATACTGGCTCTTTGAAAGACATTCTTATGAAGATAGATAAGCTGCAAACTGGGAGAAAATATTTGCTGTGCATATATCTGAAAAGAGAAACCTCATAACAATAAAAAGACAGCCCAGTTAAATAATGGGCAATGATCTGAACGAACACCTTCCTAAGAAAAATATGAGTAGCCATGGCTGGGTGCAGTGTCTCACACCTGTAATGCTGTCACAGGATCCTTAGGGTGCCACTTTTCCAGCTAGAAACCTCTGTGGCCAGTGGCACCTTTGCTCTTTTGGTCTCCTGAGGGGTGTTCCTTTGCTCAGTGAAGCTCCTCTTCACCTTGCTCACCCTCCAGTTGCCCACATACCTCATTCTTTCTGGATGCAGGACAAGTACTCAGGACCCATTGAATGGCAGAACTGAAAGAGCTGTCACACAAACAGGACTGAAACACCCCCCTGCTCATAACTTTGTGGGTGACAAGAAGGAGAGAAGAGGGAAAGAGAGAAAAGCTGCAGTTGTCTTAGTTTATTTCCACACTGCTGATAAAGACATACCTGAGACTGGGAAGAAAAAGAGGTTTAATGGACTTACAGTTGCACATCGCTGGGGAGGCCTCACAATCATGGTGGAAGGAAAGGAGGAGCTAGTCACATCTTACATGGATGGCAGTGGGCAAAGACAGAGAGCTCGTGCAGGGAAACTCCCGTTTTTAAAACCATCACATCACGTCAGACTTATTCACTGTCACAAGAACAGCGCAGAAATGACCTGCCCCCATGATTCAATCATCTCCCACTGGGTCCCTCCCACAACACATGAAAATTATAAGAGCTACAAGATAAGATTTGGGTGGGGACACAGAGCCCAACCATATTAGCGGCCCTTCGGGCAACCCAGACCTAGGAGCTCCCCAAGCCAGAGCTGTGACACCCTCTTTGGGGCTCTGCAGTTCCTGGCAACCCCAAGCTTCTCGGTGCCACTGTGTTCCCTGGTCCCTGCAGTGGAAGTCAATTGCAGTGCACTTGCTTCAGCTGCAGCCTCACAGGGAGCTGGTGCCTGTGTGGTGCCTGGAGCTGCCCACCCCGTTGAATCCAACATGCCTGACTGTGTGCAGTGGCCAGACTCTGTGCTTGCTCACACAACCCTTACCACTCCACACCTGGCTCACCCTTGGCAGGCATGGGATGTGGACTGGTAGCATGAGCCGAATACAGGCTGCCAGGCCGTGTGGGCAGAACAAGCTCAGTGGGCGCAAGAAAAACTCAGGCAAAAGTGCCACCGGCCACAGAAGTTTCAAGCTGGAAAAGCAACACCCTAACCATCCTATGACAGCATTACAGGTGTGAGCCACTGCACCCAGCCATGGCTACTTTTTTATTTTTCTTTAGAAAAGAAAAATAAATGTTCAGATAATGTTCAGATCATTATCCATTGTTTAACTGGCTGCCTTTTTATTGTTGAGTTATGAGGTTTTTCTTTTCAGATATATGCACTGCAAATATTTTCTTCCAATTTGCAGCTTACCTATTTTCATAAGAATGTCTTTCAAAGAGCCAGTAGTTAAGTTTGATGGAATCAATTGACCACTTTTATTCTTTCTGATTAGTGCTCCTAATAGCCTAAGAAATCGTTGCATACCTCAATGTCACAAAAATGTTTATGTTTGCTTCTAGAAAGTTTACAATTCTAGCTTTTATAATTTAAATCCATGAAATGATCTCAAATTAATCTTTGTGCATGCTGTTGAGGTCAGGTTTTCATTTTTATATTTCATTCCTCCACATTATTTGTTAAATAGATATTGTTTCCCCATTGAGATTATTTGCTGCCTCCTTTGAAAAACCATTGATCAGATCATGTAAGTTTACTCTCTTTGAATGGTCTCTTTATGTGACCTTATGTAAATAATATAGTATTTTGATTACTGTAGCTTTGTAGTAACTTTAAAATCAACAAACTTAAGTTCCTCAGCTTTGTTTTCTGCAAAATCATGCTGGTTTCTGTTTATTCTTTACATTTCTACATACATTTTCAAATCAGGTTTTTTGTTTGTATTTTAAAAGCCTGATTTTGATTGGGATTGCATTAAATCAAATTGATTAATTTGAGATAATTGATAAGTTCAATGTATTTAGTCTTCTCATCCATTAATATAGTATATTCTCCATTACTTCAGGTCTTTTTAAACTTAACTTCTGCTGGGCATGGTGAGGCACATCAGTAGTTCCAGCTACTTTGAAAGCTGAGGCGAGAAGATCCCTTGAGCCCAGGAATTCCAGGCTGCAGTGAGCAAGTTTTATTTCTAATTGTTAATTGTTAGCATATAGACAGCAAAATTATATTTATAAATTGTCATTCTACCCTGCAATGTTGTTAAATTCATTGATTAGATCTATTAGCTATGTCTTTGTAGATTCCCTTGGATTGTCTACCTAAACAACCATACTGTATGCAGATAAAGACACTTCTTTTTTCTTTCTTTCTAACCCATAAGTCATTTAGTTATTTGTTGTTGTTTCTTGCTGAATTGGCTAACACTTCCAGTACAAAGGTGTTGATCAAGTGGTGAGAGCAGAAATCCTTGTCCGATTTCTGATTTTAAGTGGAAGCAGTTAGTATTTTACAATTAAGCATTATACTAACTGTAGTTTTTCTTTGTATTTCTAGTTTGCTGATAGGTTTTTATTTTTAAATCATAGATGGGTGCTTAATTTTATCAAATGTTTTTGCCACATGTATTAAGATTATCATATGAATTTTGTCCTTTCTTTTTATTATTTTGATAATGGTTTCAGCTAATTTTTAAAATGTTAAATCAACATTATATTGTTGGGATAACAGCATAATGTCATGTCTTATACTATTTATATAATGTAGAATATATTTTGTACTTTGTTAAGGATTTTTACTTGTCTTTTCATAAGAGATTGTGTTCTGTGCTATTTGTTCCTTGAAATATATACAACTAATATTCATATCATAATTAGTCTGGCCTCAAAATTATTTGGGAAGTGATCTCTTTTCTTTTATAGCTGAAACATTTGTGTAAGACTGGTATCATTGCTTTACCATTAGTTAGAGTCTACCAGTGAAAATATCTTGGCCTGGTGGGAAAGTTTAGACTTGTAAATTTTTTTTTTTCAAACAAATCTAGGCCTATTCATGTGTTCTGCTTCTTTTATCTAATCTGTCTTTCATCAAAAACTAATCACGGAGGATGACAGAAGTTTTCCTCTGCTTATTTTTAAGCCCTCTAATGTGTGCCTACAAGATGTCATGGTGCACCACAAATTACTTAAGACTTGGACAATCAATGGCTTAAGAAAATACAAGTGATAAAATTCACACATACCAATAATTATCTTTCAACATGATCACTCTAGGAAGCTCTCTACTAATTCTGACAATATGTTCACAATACCAGCTTGAGATGCTGCCTCAGATAAGTATCTTTGGTTTCAAATGCGTTAATATGATCTGGGTCGATAATCCTTGTTTTAGAAACTTGTATCCCTTTTTGGTTTTCCTATATTATCTAAGTCATCAAACTTATTGACATATATTTACTCATAATGTTTAGTTATTATATCATATTTTCTGTAGGATCTATAGTAACATTCTCTTAATCATTTCTGACATTGTGTTTTCCTCTGTATTGTCTTGACGAATTTTGCTAGAGATGTATCAATTTTCTTCATCTTTTTATAAAACTAGGTTTTGGCTTTTGTTGACTTTATCATTTACTCTTAACTTTATTAATTTATATTCTTGACATTATTTTTTATCTTCTGTAGTTGACTCTTAAACAATGTGAGTTTGAACATACGGGTCCACTTATGTACAAATATTCTTCTGCCTCTGTCATCTCGAGACAGAAGGACTAACCATTCCCTTTCCTCCTCCTCCTCAGCCTACTCAACATAAAGATGATGAGGATGAAGATGTTTATGATGATCACTTCTACTTAATAAAGAATAACTATATTTTTTATTCTGTGTGATTGTCTTAACTTTCTCTATCTTACTTTATTGTAAGAATAGAGTATATATATATAGCATACAAAATATGGATTAACAGACTATTTATGTTATTGGTAATACATACTTTGTCATAACTTTAACTGAGTAGGTGAAAGATCTGTACACTGGAAATTACAAAAAATTGATGAAAGAAATTAAACAAGGCACAAATAAATTGAAAGATGTCTTGTGTTTCCAGATTTAAATAGTTAATATTGTTAAAATGTCCATAGGGATTCCTTTTTATCCTCTTCACTTCTCATCGCTTGCTGTGCTGGCCTATGCCCTCTGTCTGTGTGTCTCATCAAAAGCCATATGTTAATCTCAACAGATGCAGAAAAAGCTTTTGAGAAATTCAAAAATTGCTTCACGATAAAAACTCTCAACACGTTAGGCACAAAGGAACACGCCTCAAAATAATATGAGCTATCTATGACAAACTCACAGCCAACATCACACTGAATGGGCAAAAGCTGGAAGTGTTCCCCTTAAGAATTAGAATAAGACAAGGATGCCCACTCTCACCACTCCTGTTCAACTGGAAGTCCTAGGCAGAGCAATCAGGAAAGAGAAAGAAATAAAAGGCATCCATATAGGAAAAGAAGAAGTTAAATAGTCTCTCTTCACTGATGTTATAATTTTATACCTAGGGAACCCTAAAGATTCTGCCAAAATAATCCTAGAGCTGATAAAACAATTTTACTAAAGTTTCAGGTTACAAAATCAATGTACAAAAATCACTAGCATTTCTGAACACTGATAATGTTCAAACTGGGAACCAAAGCAAAACGCAATTCCATAGCCACACAAAAACTAAAATACCTAGGAATAAATCAAATCAAGGAGGTGAAAGATCTCTCCAAGGAGAGCTGCAAAACACTATTGAAAAAAGTCAGAGATGATACAAACAAATGGGAAAAAATTCCATGTTCATGTATTGGAAGAATTAGTGTTGTAAAATGGCCAAACTACCCAAAGCAGCCAGCAGATTCAACTCTATTCCTATCAAATTACCAACATCACTTTTCACAGAATTAGGGGAAACTATTCTAAAATTCATATGGAACCAAAAAAGAGCCTGAATAGCCAAGGCAATCCTAAGCATAAAGCTGGAGGCGTCACATTACCCAACTTCAAACTATACTACAAGGCAAAACAGTATAGTACTGGTATGAAGGCAGACACATACATGAATGGAACATGATAGAGAACCCAGAAATAAAACCACACACCTACAGTCGTCTGATCTTCAATAAAGTTGACAAAAAAATAAGCAATACAGTAAGTACTCTATAGTCAATAAATGGCACTGCAATAGCTGGCTATCCATATGCAGAAGAATGAAACTGGACTCTTGCTTATCACCATATACAAAAATTAGCTCAAGATGGATTAAAGACTTAAATGTAAGATCTAAAACTATAAATATCCTAGGAGAAAACATAAGAAATATACTTCTATACATCACATTGGTCTTGGCAAAAAAATTATAACTAAGTCCTCAAAAGCAACTGCAACAAAAATGAAAACTGACAAAAGATGTCTAATTAAACTAAAGAGCTTCTGCACAGCAAAACAAACTATGGACAGAGTAAATAGATAAGTACAGAATGGGAGAAAATATTCACAAACTATGCATCCAATAAAGGTCTAGTATCCAGAACCTTATTATAAGGAACTTAAACAAATCAACAAGTAAAATACAAATAACCCAATTTTAAAAAATGGGCAAAAAGCATGAACAGACATTTCTCAAAAGAATACATATAAGCAGCCAACAAACATGAAAAAATATTCCACATCACTAATCCTCAGAGAAATGCAAATCAAAACCACAATGACATAAGTAACACCAGTCAGAATGGCTTTTATTAAAAAGTTAAAATATAACAGATGATGATGTGGTTATGGAGAAAAGTGAATGCCTATATATTGTTGATGGGAATGTAAATGAGCTCAGACACTGTGGAAAGCAGTTTGGAGATTTCTCAAGGAATTCAAAAATAGAACTACTACCTTTCAACCTATCAACTCCATTACTGATTATATACCCAAAGGAAAATCAATTATTCTACCAAAATGACATGTCCAGTCATATGTTTATCATATTGTTACTCATGATAGCAAAGACATGGAATCAACTCAGATGCCCATCAATGGCGGACTGGATAAAGAAAATGTGGTCCATGTATACCATGGAATACTACACAGCCATAAAAATAAACAAAATTGTTTCCTTTGCAGCAACATGGATATAGCTAAAGGTCATTATCCTAAGCAAATTATTGAATAAACAGAAAACCAAATACCACGTGTTCTCACTTATAAGAAAAAGCTAAACATTGGGTACACACAGACATAAAGATGACAACAATAGACACTGGGAACTACTGGGGCCTGAGGGGAGAGAGAGGGGCAAGGGTTGAAAAACTATTTATTGTATACTATGCTTACAACCTGGGTGATGGGATCGAATGTGCCTAACCCTCAACTTCATGCAATATTTCCATGTAACAAACATGCACATATATCCTCTGAATCTAAAATAAATGTTGAAATTAAACATAAGTGGATTGCGGGCTCAAAATTAAATCCACACATTTATTACAGCCAATTGATTTTCAACAAAGATGCCAAGTATAACAATAGGAAAAAGGCAGGTTTTTCAATAAATGGTAATGGAAAAACTGATATGAACATGCAGAAGAATGAAATTAGATTCTTATATCACACTGTATAAAAAAACAGCTCAAAATGAACAAAAATCTTAAATATAACACTTCAAACTCTAAAACTGCTAGAAGAAAACATAAGGGAAAAACTTCATCATATTGGTCTGGGCAATGATTTCTTTAATAGGATGCCAAAAAAAAAAACCAGACAACAAAAGTAGAAATAGACAAATGAGATTATATCAAACTAAAAAGATGCTTCACAGCAAAGGAAACAATCAATATAGTTGTATTAGTCCATTCTGACACTACTGTAAAGAGCTGCCTAAGAGGGTAATTTATAAAGGAAAGAGTCTTAATTGACTCAGAGTTCTGCAGGGCTGGAGAGGTCTCAGGAAACATAATCATGACAAAGGGGAAAGTAAATATGTTCTTCACATGGCGGCAGGAAGGAGGATTGCAGAGCAAAGTGAGGAAAGTGCAGAAACCCTTATAAAACCATGAGAACTCACTCGCTATCATAAGAACAGCATGGGGAAACATCCCCATGATCTAATCACCTCTCCACGGGGTTCCCTCTCCCAACATGTGGGGGTTACAATTGGGATTACAATTTAAGATAGGATTTTGGTGTGGACACAGAGCCAGACCATATCAATAGTGAATATGCAATTGATAGAATGGGAGACAATATCTGCAAACTATGCATCTGTAAAGGTGCTAATATCCAAAATATATAAGTAACTCAACTCAATACCAAGTAAATAAATAAGCCAATTAAAAGATAGGCAAAAGGGCCAGGCGCAGTGGCTCACACCTGTAACCCCAGCACTTTGGGAGGCAGAAGTGGGCAGATCACCTGAAGTTGGGAGTTTGAGACCAGCCTGACCAACATGGAAAAACCCTGTCTCTACCAAAACAAACAAACAAAAAAACAAAAATTTATCCAGGCATGGTGGTGCATGCCTATAGTCCCAGCTACTAGGGAGGCTGAGTGATGAGAATCGCTTGAACCCAGGAGGTGGAGGTTGCGGTGAACCAAGATCGCACCATTGCACTCCTGCCTGGGCAACAAGAGCAAAACTCTGTCCAAAAAAAAAAAAAATATGCAAAGGACTTGAATAGTTATTTCTCCCAATGAGACAAAATGCCCAACAAGTGTAAGTGTGTGTGTGTGTGTGTGTGTGTGTGTCTGTATGTAATGCTCTACATCAAGGGAAATGCAAATTAAAAAATTAAAAACACAATGAGATGTTGCCTCACACCTGTTGGAATGACTACTATAAAAAAAAAAAGATAACAAATGTTGACTAGGATGTGGGGAAAAAGAAGTCCTCACACAGTTAGTGGGAATGTAATTATGGAAAACTGTACGGAGGTCTCTCAAAAAATAAAAAAATAAAACTGCCATCTGATCCATCAATTTAACTACTGGGCATATATCCAAAGGAAAAGAAATCTGTATTTCAAAGAGATATCTGCACCTCTATGTTTATTGCAACATTATTCACAATAGCTAAAATGGGGAATCTACCAAAATGTCTATCAACGGATGAATGAATAAAGAAAATGTGATAAATATACACAATAAAATAGTATTTAGCTATAAAAATAAGGGAATTATATGGTTTTTGACAGCATGAATAAACCTGAAGGATGCTACATTAAGTGAAATAAGCCAGGCACGAACGGAAAAATACTGCATAATCTGAAAGAGTTGAACTCAGATAAGTAGAAAGTAGAACGATGGTTACCAGGGACTGGAATGGTTTTGGGGGTGGGTGTTTGGAAATGTTGATAACAGGACACAAAGTTTCAATTAGACAGGAGACATATGTTCAAGAGATCTCTTGTACAACATATTGGCTATAGTTAACAATATATTGTATTCTCGAAAATACTGAATGGATGTAAAGGGTCCTTATGACAAAAATAACTATGTAAGGTGATACATATATTAATTAACCAAGTTAGTCATTCCACTATGTATGTATACTCCAAAAAATATTTTGTAAATAGTAAGAACATACAATTTTATCTGTTGATTTAAAAAATAAAAGTAAAATGTAGCAATTTTTAAAAATATACTAAGATCTTTACTACAGTGTTTGCTTTCACACGTTCAGGCCAAGACATTCTTTCATTGCACACAAGTGGTTATAATCAGGAATTGTTTTGTGAGAATGAAGTCAGCAGAAAGGCTGGTAAATAATAAGAATGTTTTCTGGCACCTGGTTGTGGTAATACAGTACTTTATCTCCACATTAATAATAGCTGGTATTTATGGAGTCATTGTTTTCTTACAGCATCTCTATGGGATTCAATTATATCCTGCTTTACAAATAGAGACACGGAGGCCCAGAGTTTGAATAAGCAGTTTGTGGTGGAACTGTGCTTCAAACACATGTAGTATAGCTCAAGAGTCCAAGTTCTCAACCATTCTGCTATAAACATATGCAGGGTCCACAATATGTAAGTACCTGATATATAGATTCTTGGGATGGCAATACTTGTATCGAGATTGCTTGGGTGCAGCACTTCTTTCTCTCTCTTTTACTCTGCTTCCAGTGTGTGGCCAATGTCATTTTAACTAAGGCATTATTTATTTAGATGTGATAATGGAGTCAATCATGTCTCAGTGAAGTTTTGTCAGGTGGCTTTGAATAACTGTTCTTAATTTATTATTGTTAATGTACAGGGAGATTGCAATCTGGAACACAGTGGATGGCGTCTGCATTCAGAAATGTCATATTTGATTTTAGATTTTTAAGAATATAATTTATTACCATTCATTTAATATGACAAGATTTCACTTTTGAAAAGTCAGATTTTTAGGATTTCTCTCTCGAAAAAAAAATCAGAAACTGCAGAAATAATGGACCCATGTTCCACATAGGGGCAATCTGCTAGAGCTATTTAGGTCACTATATTCATTAGCATAACCTGTTTAACACCCTTCGGAAATTTAGTTAGAGGCCATTGATATGTAGTTTCACTTGAAAGAAAAATATTCGCTGACATCACTTTGTAAAATTGTCTACAGATCTACCTTATTCTTTTAAACATTTGTATCAAAAGGTCCATAATTGGGGTGTGTTTTTGTATTTAAACATTCACTTATTAAAGTACATTCAATATATTTCTTTATACAAGAGGCTGCCTATTGTAATTGCTAAAAGCACAGCTTTATATCTCTTCTCTGCCTCTTAGTAGCTTTGTAACCCCAAGCAAGTTATTTCACATCTCTCTTCCGAGTTTCCCTTATCATAAAACAGATTTGAACATGAGCCTATCTCATAGGCTTTTGTGAACATTAAGGCAAGTGCCTGACATATAATAGATAGTTGTTAGACAATTCATTTTTTACTATTGCATGCAATGATGCCAAAATATACCTTCTGGGGCATTTACAATGTTGAACTCCTTTAGGTTAGATTTTTAGAATTAGAACCATTAAGTAAAAAAAGAAAGAAATGTGCACTTTAAAGTTTTACAGATGTAATTTTGGAAAATTATTCCCCAAGCAGGGAGTTTCAATTAAATACACATCAATAGTGTGTGCCTGGTAGATAATGGGGAGGATTATTCTTTTAAAATTTGGCCAATCTAATGTTTAAAAAGTGGCTTGCTTTTGTTGTTTTATGCTACCTTTCTCTGATACCTACTAAGTCTAATTGTAACAGTTATTTAACTCTGTGTAACAATTTACTCCAAAACTTAGCATCTTGGAACATTTATTAACTAAAGCAGTTTGTAAGAGTCAAGAATCTGGGAGCAGCTTTGCTAGATGCTAAGGCCTCAAGATGTCTCACGAGATTGCAGGTAAACTGTAGACCAGGGCTGCCATCTCTGAAGGGACTGGAGTATCTAAATTGACTCCTATGGCTATTGGCAGGGGGCTTCAGTTCCTCACCATGTGCACCTCTCCATAGGGCTGGTCACAAAATGGCTTCCCCCAGAGCAAGACAGAAGCCAGTCTTTTAAAACCTAATACTGAAAATGATACACCATTACTTCTGCCAATATTTGTTAGAAGCTAACCCACTTTTATTCATTACAAGTATTTTAATAAGACCTTCTACACTTGGCCAGGCACGGTGGCTCACACATGTAATCCCATAACTTTAGGAGGCTGATGAGGGTGGGTCATTTGAGGTCAGGATTCAAGACCAGTCTGGCCAACATGGTTGAAACCCTGTCTCTACTAAAAATACAAAAATTAGCCGGGTGGTAGTGGTGCATGCCTGTAATCCCAGCTACTCGGGAAGCTGAGGCAGGAGAATTGCTTGATCCTGGGAAGTAGAGGTTTCAGTGAGCCGAGATTGACAAATGTGAACAGCTTACCTGCAGTTCTAGCTTTTTAGCTGCCCTGCTTTCTATTGCTCTCAAAGGTTTCAATCTCAAAAACTAGGTGAACAAAGTCAGATCTGCGACCACTGCCCTAACAAGCTCAGACCCCTGCAAGTGCAGAAGAAGTAACCTTAAGGTCATGTAGTCAAACATTACTTCCTGATGTTCTCTCAGAAACTCGCACACTTAGCTAGAATCTGAAGATCCATAGTGGTTGTATTTTGAGTGGTTTCCAGAAAAAAATCCTTGCTCATAAGCCTGCAGGTTTTTCTGTTGAACTCTAGTGAGAAAGCTGTAACCTGAGAAATTTCTTATGTCACAGGATCCTTCGGGTGTCGTTTTTCTGGCCAGAAACCTCTGTGAACAGTGGTATCTTTGCCGAGTTTTGCTTAGGTCCACTGGGCTTGTTCTGCCCACTCAGCCTGGTAGGCTGTGCTCGGCTCACGCTACCTGCCTGGATTCCATTCCTGCTAAGGCAAGCCAGATGTGGAGTGGTGAGGTGTGTGAGAGCAAGGGAGCATGGGGTCCGACCACTGCACAAAGTCAGGCACGCTGGCTACTGCAGTGGATGGGCAGCTCCAGGTGCTGGCATGGGCACCAGCTCACTGAGAGGCTGTGGCTGGACCAGGTACACTGCAAGCAGCTTCCATGGCTGACACTGGGGAATGTGGTGGTGCCGAGAAGCTTGGAGACTCCAGGACCTGCAGGGCCCCAAAGAGAGAGTAACAGCCCTGGCTCGGGGAGCTTCCCAGGTCTGGGGTCCCCGAAGGGCCATAGTTCTTCTCTCCCCTTCATCTGCAATGTGGTGAGCAAGGAGTGTTTCAGCCCTGTTATAGCTCTTTCAACCCTGCCATTTGGCAGGTCCTGAGTTCTTGTCCTGCCTCCAAGAAGAATGAGGTATGTGGACAAGTAGAGGGTGAGCAAGTTGAAGAGGAGCTTTACTGAGTGCCAGAATAGCTCAGAGGAGACCCTGGAGTGGATAGCTCCTCTCTGCAGGCAGGTTGTCCCATCCAGTGTTCAACTGTCAGCTGAGAGGAGGCATTGGAGTAGGTAGCTCCTCTCTGCAGGCAAGTCATCCCATTGTCTCCCCAATTCTGGCTGAGTCTGGGGTTTCTATGGGCCTCAGAGGGGAGGAAGTACCTGCTGATTGGTCCATGGGCTGCCATGGGCGGGCACAGGAAAAAACACCACAAGTTCCCTCTGTGGTCCAGGAGACTGGCGCCTGGCCCCCAGGCTTTAGGCTTTCCCCAGCCGGAAGGTGGGGCTTCACAAGGGACCCATCCCTTTCTTCCTTGGAGCCTGTCTGCCTTCTACTGCTTTCTATGGTGCCCAGGCTGTTCATGAAGAAGGTCCAGGCAAGCCAGTGCCGAGCTTCCCTCAGTCCCCACTTGGCCTCCCTCTTGTGCTTATCAGAGCCCAAAGTCCAGAGGGGGCTGAGACAGCAGAGGTCTGGCATGTCAGTGCTGCCCCAAGTGTGTACACACCCGACTGGGCTGTGACAGCACCGGGGCTCAGCCCCAGTCTTGCTCTGAGATCAGAGCGGTGCCGAGAGTTGGGAGAGGCCAGGCAGTTGGAGCTGACACCTTCAAGCCTGCTGAGGCATGAAAGGGGGTATTTCTGGATCCCCAAGACTTAGAGATGCCCAGGTCCTCAGTCACGGCTGGGGTAACTGCATCTGGGCCCGGAAGGGCGGGGCTCCCGCCTCTTTCCGGCCCCCAGGAGCACAGGGAGGCCCAGGTCTGCAACTGTGAGTTGGGTGGCTTCAGCTGTGCCCAGGAGGGCAGACAGGAGGCCTGCTCCCAGCCTCCAAGAGCACAGGGAGGCCCGGGTCCGCAGCCATGGCTTGGACAGCTGCAGTTGCTCCCAGGGAGCTCCTGCCCTGCCACCTCGGTAGGGCGGGGTTGCCACTTGTCCCTGGCTCCCGCTGGCTCTGTGGAGCATGCAACCCCGGCTGTGCCTTCCCATTGCAGCCTGAGCCGTGGCAGCGGCTGCTTCAGATGGTCTGCCACTGCTATTACTTACATTTGGATTTGGATCACTTTTAGCATCACTGGTATCTTTTCAGTTCAATAGGAAACCTTAATTCATTGAAAAATTCTGTAACATTGCTGCTCAAAGGGTAAGTGTGGATTCAGAACCCTGCGCTTCCCAGGAGGCTCCTAGGTGCAGGTGCAAATCATCCACCTCTTCTTCCAGAATACAAAAGCATAGTAAGAGGGGGTAGTTTTTACTCAAAGGGCAAATGGTACTATGGTGTCCTTCTCCAAGGAAAGTCAGCCCAATTTCATCTGCTTCATATTATTGGTGTATTAGTCTGCTGTCATGAGCAAATGACACAGACTGGGTGGCTTCAACAACATAAATTCATATTCTCACAGTTCTAGAGGCTAAAAGTTCGTAATCAAAGTGTCCAAAAATAGTTTCTGGTAAGGGTTCTCTTCCAGGCTTGTAGATGGCCACCGTCTCTGGCTGAATCCTCACACGACTTTTTATCTGTTTATGAGTAATGAGAGAGAGAACTCTGCTGTCTCTTCCTCCTCTTGTAAGAACACCAACCCTATCAGTTTAGAGACCCACCCGTATGCCCTCATTTAACTTTAATTATTGCCATAAAGGCTCTCTCTTTAAATACAGTCACATTGGGTTTAGGGCTTCAACATATGAATTTTGTGGAGGACACAATTCAATCAGTAGCAATTAGTATTAGTGCTCTGATACATATGAGCCTATGATGTTCTCCATATCATAAGGAAATAAAATTTGTACAGTGTTGAATTCACATTACATTCACAGAATCTTTAATAAGTCTTAAAAAGGAAAGAGTCCCAAATCTACTTAATAAAAGTAAAGTATCACTTAAGGAAAATTTCCAAAGGCAATTAAGTGATTATATTATAATTATAAATTATTATTTTTGTTAACAGCAATAGGTTGGTCTTGATTTGGTTTTGATTAATTATTCAATCATCACATAGCTCTCAACCTCACTTTTCTTATCTGTAAATTTGAGATTCTATTTTCTTTCCTGCTCAGCACGCTGTGACCAAATAAGACACCAAATATAAAAATGCCTATGTAAAGCACTACAACATAATATTATATCATTTACCATAGAAGGTGAATGTATATTTGATGGTGTTTATATACCTATATGCACATATTTTATGTTATGTGCATATTTTGTGTTTTATAGCCTTCAAAATTTCTTCAAAGTAGAGCAATTTCCACCAGTAGCCAGGCTTATATGGATTTATCTCATTAGATACATTAGATACATACTCATTAACACATTAGATACATTAGATACATACTCATTAATAACAGTCATAGCTCCTAAGTGAAGACATTTGGCCTTTTATTTAGGACACAGGTATCTGGCCAACATTCAGCCAGTTAGCTACTCAAATATTAAGTTTAATTTATTAAAATCTATTTTTAATGGAATCGCCTATTGTAACTGGATGGCTAATTATACTATCTGACTATATGTAATTACTTCAAAGCTTAGTAGTGCCATTCTGAACTTCTATAGAGAATCAAAAGAGCATTGATACCATAGAAACCTAGAGTTGAAAGGGAATCCCTGCTTCTGAGATATACCTAATCCATTCAAGATAGTTATTTCTTCTATGCTTAAAACCTTTTAGAGAGGTTAATTTACAACCCATGACACCTACCATCCATATTTAAAAGGCTTTGTGAGAGAAGCCTCATCCATTCCAATTTTTAGAGACAGTTTCCTATTACCATGAGCAAATTTAAGACAGGAACGAACTGCTGAAGATAGGTACATGTAGATAATGATAATAATTGTAGTAGCTCTGGTATTCAATTTAAGAATTTATTTTTACTGACTTTTGGGGGCTTTCCTACTTTTTGTTGTAAATGGCTTTGTTTTGCACAATGCCCTTTTGCCACAACCTGTTGTCCGAAGATTCTCACTCAAATTATGGTCCTACCCTCTGGCCAGCTCTAATTATTTCTGAGTTCTTCTCTCTCTTTTCCATACAAAAGAAGTTCTATTTTATTATTATTTGCTTGATTGAGAATGGGATTTTGAGTAAATCAGATAAACTGATTGATTATAACAAGCTCTCTAGTATGTTATTTCCTCACAGGTTACCGTGTAAGTGGCGACAAATTGGCTCACAGTCAAGTATCTGTGTAATCAGAAGAATTTCAGCTCTGCTGTTCTTTTTATGAAGGCCCTGGGGACAACTGGCTCTTATCACAGATGCCTATTGTAATTATATCAGTAACCCAATTTAATAATTAAAATGTGAAAAGTAAATTTCTAGCAATAAGAAGAGAGCTCATCTTTATAAGAGTTTTTTAGAAGAAAAATTCTCTCAGACTTATATTTAATAAGAAAATGAGGTTGCATTATTATTATTTTCTCCATTTATCAGATCAGAAAACTGAGGCTCGGAAGGTTAAATAATTTACCCAAGGTCTCTACTAGGAAGTGACAGAGCTGTGACATGGATCCTTGTCTGTACAGCTCCAAAACTTAACACTCTTAACTCTCACGCCATATCTGCCGCCCCTTTAGTGAAGTCATGTATACTAAAGCTAAAAGTCAGAAAAGCTTGTGTAATAAAGAGCCTTGAATGATAACCTACAGAGTTTGTGCTGAATTCTAAGAGTCTTTAAAGGATTTAAGATGAAAATGAGAGTGATATTTTTAAAACTTTAGTTTTATAACGTATTGCAGGAGGAAGAAAATCAAGACATTGATGTAAACGGTCAGGGAGCTGTACAAAGACTTTGCTCTCCATTCTTTGCATGCATTAGATCAGCCCAAATAGTTGTGAAATTTAATTGTCAGAAAGGAAATTAATACATCTTCATATGGGTCAGGTGCAGTGGTTCATACCTGTAATCCCAGCATATTGTGAGGCTGAGGCAGGTGGATCGCTTGATCCCAGCAGTTCGAGACCAGCTTGGACAACATGTCAAAACCCCATCTCTACAAAAAAATACAGAAAATGGCTGTGTGTGGTGGTGCATGTCTATAGTCCCAGCTACTCAGGAGGCTGAGGTGGAAGAATCACCTGAGTCCCTTAGGTCAAGGCTACAGTGAGCCAAGATTGGTGTCACTGCACTCCAGCTTGGGTGACAGAGTGACACTATCTCAAAACAAACAAACAAACAAATAAGACTTCATATGGTAACAGGCCGGGTCTCTACCAGACTACATGTTTTAACAATGCCTAGCTTTTGATATCAAGTCAACCAAAGATTAAATAATTTTCATTTAATTGCGGAGAATATACATTTATTCTTTTTCAGGTATAATATGTCATCTTCAATGTTGATTTTTCATATGTTAATCTATTTGAAAGGGAATACATCTTTTCTATCTATTTTGTCTGAGCTTCATGTCATAAATGAATGAAAGGACATTATATTTTCTACTATCAAACATTTTTTGCACATTTTATGGTTTAAGAAAAGTAGAAATTATATGGATAAGTAGCCATTTTTCTTCTATAAAGACTTCTTATTTGTTCAGAAAAGGGATTAATGTATTCTCATAGTTTTTCAGGATGTAATTTTCAGGAAGCCAAAACATGAATTTCATACAATTATGTAGCGAGCAAGTGACAAAATTGACTTAACTCATTAGTGAAGGATCCAGCAGAATTATAAAGCTGGTCCAAAAGAGAGTAAGAAAGACTGTTACGGATAAACAGTGAATTAAAGACAGAATGCTGAAAGAAAATTAAATAAATGTAAAGTTGGTTGATGTTCTACAAGGCAATAAAACTACAACTTTTGTGTTATCTTTCCTACTAGATAAAATAATTAGTATTGCTACTGAACAACAAAATTTACTCTTTTTTAAAAAAACAATTTAACATCTAATCTCATGGACTCTCAGCCTAATAAAAATAGTAAGTAAGAAAAAATGCATTCTTCCAGAGAATCATTGAAAGGGTCTATTAGACAATAGTCCATTATATCTTTGAAATAACATGCAGTCATCCATTTGTTTTATTTTCAAGTGTGAGATAATTTATCCAACCCTATAATAAAAATAGTACTTAGGTTAACACTATATGTCAGCGATTGGTACGCATTATTTCATTTAGTTCTCAGAATTAATATCAATTAGCATAAGACTTTTTCTGAAACTTATTATTTTCTTCCAAGAAGTTTTTATGAGAAAAACTTGAATGAGAGTTTGAATATTTTGAAGGTTATTGCTCTACATAGCCAAATTCATTTCTCAAAAAAGATATGCCAATTTTTAATATTTATGCAGAGTAGTATACTATGATCATCATATGAACACTATTGAGCATCATCATTTTAAAAAGTAGTCAATTTGGTAGATGTGAAACAAAGTCTTGTTTCAATGTAACTATACAATACCTAGTTACTAGTGAAGGTTACTTAAAAGTACTAGTACATATACGGGGTATATATTTATGGGGTACATGAGATATTTTGATACAAGCATACAGTGTGTAATAATCACCTCAGGGTACACGAAGTTTTCAGTTCTTCAAGCATTCATTATTTGTGTTTCAAACATTTTAAATTGTACTCCTTCTGTTATTCATTATTCTAAAATATACAACAAATTATTGCTGATTGTAGTCAATTTTTTAAAGCATGGTTTTAACTGGACATGGTGGAACATACCTGTAGTACTAGCTACTTAGATGAGAGACAAAACGATTTCCTGAGTTCAGGAGTTTGAAGCTGTAGTGTGTAACAATTGTGCCTGTGAATAGCCACTGCACTCTAGCCTGGGCCACACAGGAAGATCCTAACTCAAAAAAATAAAAAAATTAAAAATTAAAAAAAAACAATGGTTTCGTTACTTTCTTTTAAGATTGCTTTTGCTTATTTTTCTATTAAGGCATTAGTATTCATGTTTTTTTTATTCCTTTCCACTTCTACTATCTGAGAGACATTAACCCTTTGTGCTTTTTCTTTCAGCTTTATTAAGGTATAATTGTCAAATAAAAATGGAATATATTTAATGTGTACAAACCCTTTTATGTGTAATTCTTATACATCAAAGAGCTTGTCATGAAAAATATTAACAGGGCATTTTGTGTGAGGATTAATGACACCTAAATGAAACTCATTTGTGATAACCTGAAACTCAACACAAGATTATGCTAGTAAAGACATAGTATTGTTTCCTCATTCCCCATTAAAACTCTTTTATTGAAAAATATAGTACACATATGTATATAAATAATGTTACTAAGCATGGAGAACCGAAACTAAAGGAAACAGGGATATTTGCAAATGTGAAATTATTTGCAAATTGACTGCAACAATTATATTAATAAGTAAACAGTATAGCTTTAAGGGATTACATTTTGAAGAACTTAGAATAACTAGGTAAACTTCCATAATAGTTTAAATCATTTCTTGTGAGGTGCTAGTAAAACAAAATCAAGAACGGAAACAGAAATACACCCAAGATTATGTAGCTTATGTTGCATGTGAAGTGCATATATACATAGCATGTAATACATATATATATATACACACACATATATATACTTATGTTTACAAAGATGAAGATGTTTATACAGATGTTTATACATGTATATATGTGTACATATATACATATATATACACAGAACATGTCATTACTATTTTTGGTGTCTTGATTTTCTCTGGAATCACTGACCATATCAAATTAAGATGGGTATGTATTTTTTAGTTATCCTAACTCCCAGGGATATAAAAAGGTAACTAAACTTTAACATTGGCTATTGTAATGTTTTTCACTTCATAATGATTTGGGTGCATATATGGATATAATATATGATTTATTATATAAAATTATAAAGAAAATATTATAAATAATGAAATAGTATAGGACACATGTGTATATGCACATACAGAAACATGAAATATAGATGAATAGAGAAAGATTATGATAATAAATAATGAAAAACATGATTTATCTGAGCACTGCATAAATCAGTGTGTATCAGAATCATGGAAGACCTTGAGATTATTTTTTTGTTTGGTGTTGTTGGGGGTAGGGGATAAACTCCCAAAGTAAGTAGGAGCGATTCATATTCTTTGCCAAGGCTCAGAAAGAACTCACAAGTTTGTTGGCTTTCCTTTCCCTCCCTCCCTCATCGTCTGCCTGGGAAGCCCATGATTAGAAGCCTGGCGGGGTGGAGGGTGGTGGGGTGGTTTTAGGAGGGGCAAAATCCCAGTAAAACACGTCCATGAGAAAGCTCTCCTGGCCCTTGCCCCTAAATAGTGCTTTCCCATGAGTGCCAGGTACCTGGTGGGAGCTGCGCTGGGCCTCCCACAGGCACCCGAACTCTCCCATCTCCATTCCTCTGCCCTGCTTCTGGATTCGAGCTCTCCTGGGACCAGATGAAGCCCTCCCTCCCTTAGACTTCCACTTCACATTTCGAGCTCCAGCAGATCCCCTCGGTGTGTCTTCTTTACTCCTTGAGGGGCAGGAGCAGTTTGCTTTTCCTCTGAAATTCCCAGGGCTCTAAAGGCCCAGTGAATGTCAAAGATGGGGTAGGGGTCAACATAAACGCCTTGGGAGTCAAACACTAAACTCCAGCTGGTTCCTAGACCAAACTGTGATGCATCAGCCCTGGAGCCCTGTGGTCCTTCAGGTCCTTCGACTTTTGCAAGATGAACTTGAGAGTGTGGAGCAGGGGCCTGGAAGAAACTCTTAAGACCGTGAACTCAGGGACTTAACAATTCTAAGTGGTCTGTGAGTCCACCTTGATCCGGTTTCCAGCTTCCCTCTCCCTAATATATTTTAAAGTCCTGACACCCTGGCAGGGGATCTGGGGTCGAATGAGTTGGCAAAGAGAGTTCTCAGCAATCCCTCATGCTTGCCATGATCAGATGACTTTTCACAGACTGGAGCTGACCAGGAGTTGGGGGATATTTACTTTTAATCCTTTTATGTGTGTTCAGTACACCTTGTGTGGTTGGGTGTGGAAAGCGGGGGAGGGGGGATTTCCAGATCGAGTGAAACTCCCGTTCCATTGGTATTACCATGCTTGTGGGGTTGGCAGTTCTTTAAGTCTGCAAATAACTACAGAACACAATAGAGTCCTCCTCCCTTCCTCTCTCTCTCTTTCTTTTTTTTTTTTCTTTTCCTGCTTCCAAACGCCTTCTTCGAGGCTGAAGCTGGGCAGGTCTCCAGAGGTGCAGCAGCCACAACAATCCCGCAGTTCAAAGTTAAGCAGCAGTTGCACAACTTCCAGCAACTTTCTCAGCCGGCTACTAATGAGCTGAAAGCCAGGAACATCCGAGGAGAAGAGAAAGCTTCCAGCCCTCCTCCCTTCACCCTGGAAATCCAGACACCCCCACCCCCACCCTCAGATCACTTTAAGATAATTTCTTTATTCGTTTGCCCGACAGACCATGGCTCCCTTTGGAAGAAACTTGCTAAAGACTCGGCATAAAAACAGGTAAAGTCAAGCGTGTGAGTAAGTGTGTGTGTGTCTCTGTGTGTGTGTGTGTCTTGTGTGTGTACTCTGGACCCTACCTGTGAAAGTATGTGTTTTGTGGTTGTTAGATTCTGATAAAAAAAGGCTTCGTGGGGACACAGTCCTAGCCTAAGGAGTTAGGCTAGTATGAATACCTAGATAGTAAGGATATTCTCCCAGTATTGATGATGGGAGTGACCAGCTCAAGGATCGCAGAGAATAAAGAGTGATTATATTTGACTCCTTTCTCCCCTTTTGACCAGTCCTGTTTCCACAACTAGCAACATAAACAGTTTCTTTTTTTGTTGCCCTGGGCATTTGAGGGTAGTACAATAAAAAGTGTCATTTTGTTTCAACAGAACTTTAGAATATTGTAGAAATAATTAAAACTTTGATAAAGATGTAACTAGTATTTATAGCCACTAAGTAGGATGAAAAATAAAACTGCTGATACAATTCAGAAACAATGCTTTGGCTCCCCTGAGAGTGAGGCATTCCTGAAACCTGGAATGTTCCCAAAGTGGAAACACTCTGGAGAGAAACTTTGTTTGAATTGATTCTTTAAAAAATCTTTGAGAATTTTAGGTAGTTTTAAGCACTAAAGAAGGATTCAAGCAGCTATCCTCTCTAATCCTTATTATTACTGTTTTACTTTGATTTGATTTGATATTTCAAGCTTGAAATGCCCATAGTATAAATAAGTTACTCAAAACACACATACACACACGTATTTTTCTAGGGACAGTATGTCTGTCTTAGTCTTATTAAATATTTTATTTACACATCAAATGTTACGTTTTCATGCCAAAAACTTGAGAATAAATTTAGACATGGGCTATATTTTTTTAAAAATATATTTATTTTGGCATAGGGGATTGTCCACCACTTTTCTCTCAATCATGCCTGTTTGTACTTGTCATAATTTGCTCAGTGCAGATTCAAAAGGATACAATTACATGGTAGGAAATGATATAATTATTTTAAAGTGTCTACATGACAATATAGAGTAATACAACTTTAAAGTAAATCTCCATACTTTATTTTGCGCACACATGTCTACTTTGAAAATCCTGTTTTTAACTCATTCCAAATGTATTCATGATTTAGGTGACAAAATTTCCTTTAGAAAGTAAATGGCCTTAATAAATACTGTAAAAGTTTCTAAGTAAGCTTTATTTTCTAATAATTTGACAATATTTCACAAATATGCTATTTATGGTAATTAAAGATAATGAAACTATATTAAAATAAAGTGGTTTGAGTATTTAAAATTTGTGTTTTGATGGTGACAATGCATTTTAAAATATTCTAGAATATTCCAGAAAAGCCTCCCCCAAGCCAAAAATAAAAATACTCTGTTTTTTAAATGATATTTTTGTAGTGGTATTTTTGTAGTATTATTTTGGCATTTGTTTAAATGTCATCAAATGTATAAAAATACTCTGGAAAACTTTATGGTTTCATAAATCAAGTTGTGTTTCTGGCATACTATCCCTGTAGTCAGGGCTTTCTGTTTGTTTGTTTGAGGTTTTTTTGTTTTGCTTTAGCAATTTGAGATTTCTGTCATTGGTATGCCAAATACAGGGCAATAAAACTTTGCATGCGCCCCTGAGTTTCCCTCAGGGAAGTGCATTCTTCAATTTCATTACATCAGTTCTGCCACTCTACTATCTACTCTACCTATAAAACTAGCTTTCTTTCGAGGAGGTGAGTATGCAAACATTTTTTAAAAGTTTTCTATGCAAAATTATGAAAAGGTGAAAATAAAAATAAAAAAGAGAGTTTAATAGTGTTGAATTTCAAGTTTCTCAGAAAATGGAATGGCTCCTGAAGATGATGCTTTGTTATAAACGCAAGTGTTTTGGAAAAGGTGGCAATAGTAAGGATATGGGTAAGCTTCTCTAATGAAAGTATTTCCCTTTACAGATTTGTATTTTTCAATCCTTAAGAAAGATTTAAACCACAGCAGTGGTCTAGGACACAAAAATATGGGTATTTCAAGTTAAGCAGTGAAAAGATCACAGAGTGTATTGAAATAGAATTAATATTTGTTTTGGTATTTACTAATGCTATATACAGGGTCTTTTGTTTTGTTTTTTCACCTTAGCAGAGGTGAGACCACAGGTGAAAATTATTTGCAAGATTAAGTTTACTCATTTTGTTTACAGTTTCCATAATGATTTGAATAACCACATTCTAAAGCACAGAAACAAAATATCTTTTCTTAAATGATGAGTGATTTATCCTTTCTTGGAAAATGTGATTTATGATAAGACAGTTATCTGATAAGAGTCACTATATTCTTCAAATACAGACATATAAAATTTATTGTACAATGTAAAGTAAGAATTTGGATAACAAATATATTTATATGCCTTATGATATATAACAGACAACAATAACAAAAAACTACTTGAGCATAATTGCATCTTTATCAGCAGGAAAATATATGAACTGTTAGAAGGAACATTGGGGATTAAAGATCATAAAATTTTGAGAAAGTCTGCTTACAGAATTTTTCTGCATGCTATTCTCTGCCTCTCTTTTCATTTTTGGTCACTCTTGGAGTGATATTTAATTACCCAAAATTGAACCTCATGAGATAGTACTATAAATGTGCTTATAATAAATGGATAGTTGAGAGTTTTAGAGACAGACAGGATGCAATTAAAACTTCAAAGTATGAGGCAATACAAAATTTTAGAAAATACAAACCATAAAGCTTGGAGAAGGTGGGGTCATATCTGTCTAGACACCATTGTGTTTTCATGTCCAGGACAGTGCCTGCCATGTGGTAGACCTACAATACAATTGTTTATTCAGTTTTGTAAACTGAATTATAATTTTTACTCAAACCATAAATATACTAATTATTTTATTCTCTATTCATCATGTGACATCAGCTGGTATTATATAAAAGTGAATACTTTTTAAAGGGTTAGTTGATATTTAATATAATTCAAAACCTAAAGAGATGGACACATAATTATATGGATTTTGAAACCAACCTAATCTTATCCTACTACATAATTTTTTTTCTAAATTTAAAGATTATTTAGTTCAACAATTTGGGAAATAGTATTCAGGAAATTTGAGAATAATAGATGCCTAAATATAAAGCCTAAAAAGTTTGTATGCCCAAATATAATCAGGCTTTTCATTTCAAACTTTCATAGAAAGACATGGAACCAACCTAAATTCTTTCTGTTTACAATGAGAGTTAATCTTTAGAATTTTTCTAATTGTAGTAATGTTTAATTGGAAGACTTCGGTTTTAAGAGAATCTGTTGCTTTTAGGAGATGAATTATTTATTTTGATTCCAGAAAAACAGAATATTCTATGACTGAATTCCAAAGATTCTTGATGCATATCTTCTTCATCAGACTTTTTGTTCAACATGAAGAATACAAATGTTTGAGAGTCTAGATATTTTTTCAGTAAGCTGTTCAAGTTCTGAAAGTGTTTTCTAAAAGTCGCTAGGGAACCAGTGTTCCTCACATAAAAGCTAAAGTAGTAAATAATGAAACACCAGTCCATTTGAGATTCATGTGGACATTCAACAATTGGATTTAGATTATGAACCTATTTACCATTCACATAGATTCCATTTGTGAATGTGATTGTCTTTATATTAGATTAGGTTTTCAAGGTAAGGATTGTTTTAATGTTAATGTGTCTAAATAGCAATCAGAAATTTTGTAAAAGTTCAGATAACTAGAATGTTATTATAAACCATTTTTTGGAACACTTGGTTGTAAGGTATGATTTCTTAGTGTTTTAATTAATAAGATTTGGAGACAGAGAATTGGTTGGTACTTTCACCAAACCTTGCTAGAAGCATAACATTACCATAATGAAATAGTGTCCAATGTATTTTTCAAAATAGGAAATTAGAATAGTTTGCATAGGTGATTTGTAAGATAAAAAATAATGAATATAAAAATATTGAATCCAGTTTAAAGGGCACTTAAAATTATTTTGAAGTGCTATTTAGTTTTCTCTCATTTTCCCTTAAGTCATCTCAAGGGTTCCCTTCGGCTTTCACAAAACGTACTGATATATGAATATCCACCACAGGCTGTAGCAGACATGCTTGTAATATCAACCTAAAATTAAAAGACTCCAAAAAATTTGCTTGTCCTGAATTTATTAGCATAAAATATTATAGCTTTATTGTTTTATAATTGATACATAAAATTTGCATTCCAGGTTGCTTTTGCATCAATTAGAACATATTTAGACAACAGTTCTTAAGGCCAAGTACATTATATTGTCACTAGAAGTAAATCATTCAATGATTGCTTCATCGGAAGAAAGAATTAAATTTTGTGGTTAGGGTAAAAGTTGCTGACAAGAAGGATGTCTTCTCTCTGTTATTAGAAGTATGGTAATTTGTGAATTCTGCAGAGTGGGAAATTATTATGCACTATTTTGTTTATCCTTCCAATCAAGATTTAAAATGTATCCAAAATTGTATGGAGAAGTGCCAGATATTTGAGTATGTAAATCTTCAAAATTCTCAGGAGTTCCTGAAAGTGATTTCCCCTGATTATACCTGGTAACTTAAGTAGTTATTAGTTGGCAGTGGATAGCTCATTAGGAACAATGACTGGAATGCTTTATCCCTGACAAAAATATCCTGAGAGCTGTGCCAAGGGTAAAATTGAGCTCTAGGTTAAACCTGAATTGTTTTTCAAGAAAATCTAAGCCAGCTTTGTACTACATAAAATGTATTATCTACAGTGTCAGTGCCTGACACATGTCAAGGCGAGAAGTACTTAAATTAATTTTTTGGAGAAAAGTTTTAAAAAGTTTGAAGCTGTCTAACAATTTAATTTAGATAATGTGTTCGTTGGCTGTATAACTCAGGAAGTTTTGATGTTATGTTATTGGCATGTAGTTCCAGGAGATCTGATGATAACTCTAAATAATTCACAAATATGTGGCTCTATTCTTTTGATAGTAGTTCTGAAAATGAAATAAGGTTGAAGTAAGGGTATGTGTTTACCTCTTGCAGGTGTATATGAATACCAGTCCTTGACAAGGAATCTCTTTGCCTCTTACATATCAGCTTTCTAAAATGAAACCTCATGATATCTGCACCATGCATATGTCAGAGGAAAAAGTTCAGCTTACTTCTGCATTCTAATGACTTTAATGTATGGTTGCTTAATTAATTTCTTGACATCCAAACACAACATTGGCAAAACACAACATTGATTTCTTAAGTGCTAATTCTTTACTATTTTTAATATATTGTGATTCCATTCTTGTAGAGTCTGTTGTAGTACTACACCTTCTAGAGAAAGTTTGTGTATTTGTTGGATAAAATTGAAAGTGATTACTAATATAAATGATCATACAAGTACAAAGTATTTATGCAAGTGGAGTAGAGCCTTGGGAAGATGTTTAGCACTGGCAGTAATAAACAAGATATTTCAAGTATAAGAATGAGCAATGCAAATTAAATCTGCTGACAAACAAGGAAAATTATACTCAGAGGTTTATATCTTCAGACTAGAATGCACCCTGCTTTTATAAATGAAGTGATTTAAACATTCTGTTAAAAAAATCATTGAGTATAGGTCCAATCAGAGCAGGGACCTTGCTTGTATTTTTCCTTCCTAGATAGCCAGAGAGTAAGTGCTCAAAAAATATTTGTTGATTGAATAAAGAAATTCAACATATACTCTTAAAATACAGCTGATCAGTAGTGCATTTATGTTAAGTGGATACATGGGTAACTTAAAGAATGAATCCATAAATGCAAGGTTGACCTCTCATCTTCCTTGCTCCTAGGCCCAGCTCCTGGCTTTCAAGTGGTAAAGGGCCATGTCTAATAAATAGATGACATACAACTTTACCAGACTTTTGGTAGAAAAACAAATCAAGAATCATGGTCATTTGTTCTTCTCTATGGATGCTCTTACCTCCCCTCATCCCCCTAGAACACAGCCAGGTATGCATATGAGTGAAGTTGGGTGGGTGAGACTGAATGGATTCCACAGACCTCACTGTTGAATGTGGAGCATATCTCCTACTCATTTGAGATAGTTTAGCAACACAGTTATAGGAATGTTCTGAGTGGCTACCTTTTAATTTTGTTTCTTTAGGATGGGTAAACTGTGTTTAGTACTGTACCAGACATGCAAAGACAAAACCCCATTCCTAAGAGATTAAACTCCTAATTGAGAAAACATTATTATAGTAAAATAGTTCATGCAAGAACTTTTTTAAAATCACTCTTCCATGGAAAACTATCTTTGACAGGGTAGACAAAATCATAATTTTTGCAATACAATTAAGAAAATTAGAGTACAATCTCTTGGAGTTGATGAAGGCTATTCCTCTGTAGAGTAGGTGCTCAATAAATGTTGATTAACTCTATGTAGAAATATTTAAGAGAGGAGTAAATGGAGGTAAAGGAAAATAAAATGAGCATCATCATAATTAGCTAGCATTTATTAAACTCCCACAGGCAACAGGCTTGAACAAGAGAAGGGAATGCAATAAGATTTAGAAAAATATGTAGGAGGGGGCTGAATCATACAGGGCTAAGACTGACTCACATATGATAATCAAAAGAAAAGAATCCAAGAAACGGGCAGTAATATGGTCAGTTTGGCAATCCATAATCTTAGTTGAGTTGGTGGAAAACAATATTTTACAATTACAATGGAAGTATTTAAAATAATTTTGTGTATTTATATAACATTGTCGGTTGAAAGTCAATGGCAGTTGACTTCTGTTTATTCTAATAATCACATTAAATTGGTCCGTGTATCAGATCTTGAAATTGAGTAACTCTACCATTTTATGAGTCTTTTAAATTTTATTTCCATTGATGCAGATAGTGGTCCAACTTCAGCAAATTTTCAGGCTCATTAATTATGGCGTATGACTGCTAGAAGCTTTGTGTGAGAGGCCTATTGATATGCCCTCTGGTGCATGTTTATTGTTCTCAACCAATGGTTGGGACATTTTGTAGCCACCTCATATACCTTTAGTTACTCTTAATGCTCCTTATTTACTCTGATCCTTTTCAGTCCCACTGGAATCCCTGAAATTATGGTTAAGTGTGGTAATTTAGCATTCAGTAGAAGAGCGTTTGTTTTGGGAAAACACAGTCTTCCACAGTAAAGCCTAAAAGGATATCTATTTCAGCTCTGTACATAAGATCTTGTGTTTTTCTGGAAGATAAGAGAGATTCTATTGATAAACCATGGACCTTTTTATGGGGTAGACATGTAATAACTACCTTCTCATATGGAGAAGAATTATACATGATTAGTAAAAACACTTAAAAGGCCATAGTAGAATTTTGAGGTTTCATCTTTGTTAATAGTGCAGGAAACTACGCACATTACAGAGGTAGACCACAAAGTAGTCAACTTTGTTCCTTGACTGCCTGTTCTTCCAGCAGTGAAAGTTGAGGAATTTCTTCCTAGAACTATAATTAATAGCCATAAGACATAGACTAAGTTACTGTTTTAACAATGTTAAGCAATTTTTGTGGTTCTACTTTTAATTAGGAGAACTTGCTGTAATCACAATTTAGAAGATTAAGTAAAATGGTTGACTGTGGAATGTATTGTTTTACAGAATATGCTCATAATATTTTATTTTTCATTTTTGTGGGTACATAGTAAGTGTATATATATATTTATGTGATACATGAGATATTTTGATACAAGCATACAATGCATAATAATCACATCAGGGTAAATGAGGTATCTACCACCTCAAATATTTATCCTTGTGTTACAATCTGATTACACTCTTTTAGTTATTTTAATATGTACAATTAAATTATTACTGCCTACAACCACACTGTTGTGCTATTAGATACTAGAAAACCTATTTTACCATCTCAGAAAAAAATATACATGATGTTCTAAGTAGATCACAAATCTCACTCTGTCAGACTTGTGATCTACTTAAATACACACACACATACACACATATATATTTATATCGAGTTATATTGTGAAGTATTAATGATAAATCAGGTATGGATTAGGTTTTTAAGGAGCTTGCTGATTAACAAGACACACAAGCCATATGTAAACAATTGAAATACAAAACAAGCATTTTAAAGTGTCATAATATAATCCATATGTTGAATAATAAATATTTATTTACCTTGTAGTATGTGCCATATATTTTTCTAGATGCTAAGGATAAAGTAATGAGAAAGATAATCAAGGTTTTTCCTCTGATCGAATGTATAATGCAGTGGTAGATGGACAGACAATGCAAAAACAATATGTGAATTAGACATTTGAGATAGTAATTACTGTTATCAGGAAAAACTAGATTCATGTAGTGGAGAGTGGTCTGGGAAGAGTTGGCTTGTTAGTTAAGACTGTAATGAACCAAAGAAATCAGGCATGTCAGGCTTGTGGTAGAAGACTGTTTTAGCCAGGTTGAACAGAAGGTATAAAGTAACTGAGACAGAATATGGTTTGGAGCTGTGGAAAACATGAAGGAAAACCAGTTAGTAAGGGGCTTACGAGTAGGGAATGTAGTTGAGGACCTAGATGGAGTATGATTATTTAGATATTTGTGGATTATAAGGGATGTTGATTGTACTTTAAATGCAAGGGAAATCCATTGAAGGGTGTTAACCAGGGGAATTATAGAATCTTATTTACATTTTTCAAAAGGTCAACTTGCCTAGGATGTAGAGAGGTAATTGTACTAGGACGAGGAGTGAAAGCAGGGACTCTAGTTGCGGTGACATTACAGTAGTATAGGCAAAATATGATGACTAGTGTAATGATAGTAGAGAAGGAATGTAGGTGACAAAATTGATACAGTTTAGAAAGAGAACTTAAATTTGTACTGAGTGAGTGAAGATGAAAAATGAGGGATGATTCTGAGGGTTTTAACAGGGATGATTCTGAAGATATTTGTCAAACAGAAGATGTTGGGAAGAATGTGTGGAAAATTAGTGATTCTTCTCTAGCCTTGCTAAGTTTCAGATGCCAGTTAAATACATAAAGTAGAGGTATTCAGTAAGATATTGGGCCTGAAGCTCAAGACTGAGATAGAGTGGTATGTTAGGTGACAAGGAGAAGCAACCTCTGTGGGTTTTACAAAACAGCGTCTATACTAGAATCTAAATGAGAGGGAAGATTAGAATATAAAAAGTTGGGAAAAAGAATATTGTAGGTAAAGGAGAAAGAGGAAGAAATGTAAAATATTTGGCATAATAGTATCAGCGAGTTTGTGAATGGCCAAACAGATTATTTTATTTTTTAAATTTAATTTAATTTTTCTTTATATTGTGGTGGGAACCATTGAAGGGCTATGAGCAAGAAAATGATATAATCATTATGTCACATAAATATTAAACTTGAAGAAATATATTTAAAAATATTGGAAGGGATGGGCCAGGCGCGGTGGCTCATGCCTGTAATCCCAGCACTTTGGGAGGCCGAGGCAGGCAGATCACGAGGTCAGGAGATCAAGACCTGGCTAACACAGTGAAACCCCGACTCTACTAAAAATACAAAAAATTAGCCAGGCACGGTGGCAGGTGCCTGTAATCCCAGCTACTCGGGAGGCTAAGGCAGGATAATGGCGTGAACCCGGGAGGCGGAGCTTGCAGTGAACCGAAATCGTGCCACTGCACTCTAGCCTGGGCGACAGAGCGAGATTCTGCCTCAAAAAAAAAAAAAAAAAATATTGGAAGGAATGGAGAAAGAATACGAGTGGGCCAGGTACGAGGGAGTTAAAGGACTTTCTTAAATAGAAAGAGAAGAATGATTCAAGAGTCACCATGGAGGCGGAATTTATAGGAATTCAAAATTCAGTGCATGGGGCCAATATCAGGATGGAAAAAAGAACCATTCGTGACTAGATTTTGGTTCTGAGTAACTGGAGATACATGTGTGTCATCATAAAGAACAGAAAATATGGCAGAGATAGGCTTGGTGAGGGAAGAACATCAGGGTGAAGAGTGAAGAAAATTAAGGTGTGATTTGAATGTTTCTAAATATTCCACCAGTAAACACCTGGTGTTTGGACACATTGCACCTGACATGGGACTGTGAAAGCAGCCTTTCATCCAACCCACTCTCATCCCTCCTGACAACCATATGGGGCTGATTAATACAGAATAGTACAGTGCACCTGGAGTGGGGCTTTCAAGGCAAAACACAAACTGGTTTCCCAGTCAGGGCTGTCAGGCTGACTAATCTTATATTAATCACAGTCAGGCCACATAAGGCAGTCACCCTTTTAATGATCCTTTAATCATTACCTTTGGTTGAAATTGCTTTCAAACATAGCCATTATTTCCACTAGACTGTAAGGGTGTGTGTGTGTGTGTGTGTGTGTGTGTGTGTAAAGATCACATTATTTTTACCTTTTGATCTCCTAGAGAATGGTACAGAGAAAACTTGTGTAGATATTGAAGTTCAATAAACATTTTATTATTTAAATAAATACAGTGCAGATTTCTGGGGCAGCCAAATTATCTAGGACAAGAGTTGTCAAACTTTTTGTGTAAAAAACATAATAAATATTTTATATTTTCCCAGTCATAATGTCTCTATCTCAACTACTCTGTCCTTGTAGTATGAAAACAGCTATAGATAATACATAATGAAATTGATGTGGCTGTGTTTCAATAAAACTTTTATTTACAAAAACAGGTGGTGGGGCAGTTATAACCACGAGGTCCTTAGTTTTCAGACACTTGATCTAGATTATTGACTGAGAAATTCCCTTTATATATCTCCCTAAAACTCCCCCTTCTCATCTCTACCCCACTCCCAAGTTTAATACCTACTGTATTAGGCATTTAGACTTCAAAAGTGAGACTTAGCCCAGGACTTGACTGGCAAACTAGCAAAAAAGGATGCATTATCCAAAGTACAAAGTGCTGCTACTAAGTGTACATTAGATTTTGTAGAAGTATCAACATGGTGAAACCCTGTCTCTACTAAAAATACAAAAATTAATCAGGCATAGTGGCACGCACCTGTAATCCTAGCTACCAGGGAGGGTGAGGCAGGAGACTCACTTGAACCTGGGAGGTAGAGGTTGCAGTGAGCCGAGATCGCACCACTGTACTCCAGCCTGGTCACGGAGTGAGACTTCCTCTCATAAATAAATAAATAAATAAATGAGCACACATTTCCATTTCGGTTTGTGGGAGTGGGGTTATTCAGAGAAGGTCAGAGAACTTTCCTGAAAGCAACACTTAACACCTAAAGCAGAGTAAGAGTTAGATGGAGAAGGGATCAAAGAGTGTTTCAGGACAAGGCAACAGGTTATGGAAAAGCTCGAAGTCAAAATAAAAGCGTGGCAGATGCAGTCCATTCCAGTCTAGCAATCAATAATGTAATATGTGTAACAGCAGGTTGTTCTCATAGTAGATCTGTCAGAGATCAGCAAGAAGTAAGGAATGGCTAACTCAATGTGTATATTAATTAATGCTTGGCTATGAGTTAGAGGAGTCAGATTATGGAAGCAACCCTAGGAGCAGACAAGAGATAGTGGGATAAAGAGAGACAGAGACAGGTTTAAAATGCAGGACTTAGAAATAGTTTAAAGATTTCAATAAAAAAATTTAAAAAATAGATTTGCAGTTTAAAAATGACAGTCTGGTAAGATTACGGGGCACAAATGTGAAGGGGAAAGATTTTATAACAACCTACGATATCTTACTGCAGTAATATATAGTAAAACAGAGTTATCTGAATTGTGGTAGGGGTGATGAATATGAGGGCAGATATTTGGGATATTTAAGAGAAAGGATAAAACAAACAGTGATTGGTTGTTAAAGTAAGAGGAGAGAGGCAAAGGAAAGTGTTTAGGAAAACTCAGTTTTCAAGCTGGGTAGACAGGTGGGGAACACTATTTTTGCATTCACTATAATTGCATTCAGTAGGATGGGAACTCAGGCAATGGAATAGTTTGATATTTTAGAGAAGAGTATGATGAATTAGTTTTCATGGGTCAAATTTGAGGTGTCTGTAAGTTATGAAAATGAAAATATCAAGATGCAAAAAAAAAGAAGTTGGGAATATAGGTCTAGAGCTCAAGGTCGTAATAGTTAGATTTGAGAACCATCATCATACAATTGGTTTACAGACTGCAACTATTATTGCAGTCACCCACAAGAATGTGTATAGTGAGACAAGAAATGAGTCACAGTCGAAAACCTAGGGGATGCCAATTGTATCACTTACCACTTACTGCACAATAAAACACTCCCCAAATTAGTGGCTGGAAGAACAATTTATTATTTTCCATAATTCTGTGGGTCAGCAAGACTGGTTCTTCTGCTGGCTTCACCTGGGCTCTCTCATGAGCAGCTGATTGGCTGAGGGCTCAGTTCAGGTAGAGCAACTTGATTTCGATGGTTTGCCTCTTTTCTCTCCATGTAATCTTTGAACTCAGGCTTTTTCATCAAACAGCAGTCTCAGGACTGCATTCCAAAAAGAATTAAGCAGAAGATACAAGGCTTCTTGAAGCCTGAACTCCAGAACATGCAAACATGGTTTTTGCCACATTCCATTGGTCATAGCAAGTTCCAAGGTCTATTCAAGGGGTGAAGAAATAGAGAGCTTCTCTTAACGGGAAGAACTGTCAAGTGTTTGTGGCCATGCTAATCTTAACTTGCATGACATCCACATCTATTGACTATGTGGAAGAAGCAAGGTGCATGTGGGATCTGGGAAGAAGCAGCTGGAAAAGCAAAGGAAGATCCATGTGAGAATGGCATCGTAACAGTCAAGGAGAGGAAAGCTGCAAGAATGGGAGGAGGAGGTCACAATGCATTATGTTACAAAGAGGATATGTCAGATCAGTTCTGCAAGTGGCTATTGGGTGTGGCAGTTAAGAGATTTCTGATAACCCTAAGAAGAAAAGTGGCTACTGAGGATGAGTGGAGGCAGTAGACATTTTTTTTTTTTTTTTTTTGAGACGGAGTTTTGCTCTGTCGCCCAGGCTGGAGTGCAGTGGTGTGATCTCAGCTCACTGCAAGCTCCGCCTCCCAGGTTCACCCCATTCTCCTGCCTCAGCCTCCCGAGTAGCTGGGACTACAGGCGCCCAATAACAAGACCGGCTAAATTTTTGTATTTTTAGTGGAGACGGGGTTTCACCGTGTTAGCCAGGATGGTCTCGATCTCCTGACCTCGTGATCCGCCCGCCTCGGGCTCGCAAAGTGCTGGGATTACAGGCGTGAGCCACCGTGCCTGGCCGGCAGTAGACATTTTGTGGTGGGCTGAGGAGTTTCTGGAAAGTGATGTACTAGAGAGAATAACGATGGATTGCTATTTGGTGTGTGAAGGAAAGATAGTGGAGGGGAATATGTGGTCAAGCGAAGGTTCTTTTAATGTGACAAGATAGTAGAAAGAACCAGAGAAAAAGGCAGAAGATAAAAAGAGTTTACGAAGGGGTGAATTATAAAGCAAAGTCCTAGAAGAGGTGGCGACAGTAAAATTCAAAGCATATTAAAGAGTTTAAAACCTAGGGAAGAAAAATAAAGGCACAATACTTTTGATATAGATGATTAGTATTTTTCTCTTATCAATAATGTTCCCAAGAATAATATCTCTCCTTTTCCTTAACAAAATAGAGTGGCAGGCCCTGATATACTCTCGTTTCTACAAGTTAATAATTTTCTTTTTCTCTTCAAGAAATTTATTTGTGATTAATGTAAATAGTTGATTATTCAGATGAAGCTTCCAACTGGAAGTTATTTTATTGCAGTTCATTACAGGGTATATTCAGAAAATGGAAGTCAGGGATAACGGGGCTCACCTCATGTTTTCAGCTATCCAACTGGATAACTGAAATTCCTGCATATGACTTATGTCCTTCAAGTTTACCAGCTTATCTCGGAATACATTTAGAGGGGAAGAGCAGGTGGTTGCAGGTAAATATAAGCTCAAAATCATTATCATTAGGAAATATCTTCCACTAAGAAGGCAAAGCCAATGTGGATTCGGCTGTCAAAAGAAAATCTCTTACTAATAGCTGAAATAACGATAGTTATCAGTAAACTAAACATTAAGGCTAGGTGACTTTCCTTTTAATAAGCACTTTTTTTTTGTTGCGAAATATTTCTTTACAAAATACCAATCAGTAAGGGCACTTTAGCAACCTCCCAGGTGCAGGTACACCCGAATTTCCAACAAGATTAGATATTTTCTCACCATTTCATCTGGTAAATAACACATGTTAAATATTTACATTTGGACTATAATCAATTTCCGGAATCTGAACTATGAGCTTAGTTTACTTAACCCCAAGTAGTTTCCAATACACATTCTTTACACATTCTCTTCCCTTTACCCTGTTCATGGGAATTATGTTCTATAGCTACCCGGCCACTATGGAATGTCTAGGGTTTTTCTTATCCCGCATGACTGGTTTATAATATTACTTCTTCGAAAATTAAAGTAGCATTAGTAGAGCACAGAACTAATAAATACAAATAAACACACACACACACACTCGTATATACACAAACATATATATCAAATTTTAATTTTCAAGATAATTTTTTCTTTTGTTTTTATTAAGTGATGACTGTCCTAGGTTTTCATAGAGTCATTAATTTTCTGAAAGACTCCAATTTTCAAACTATTTTTAAAAAATGTTAATGGTTTGTGTTTGGAGGAAACTATTTTCATAGCACTATATTTCATGCTTTATCTATCAAAACAGTGATTCAAATTTCCTTAGCAACCTAAGAAAAGAGCTGTATTATTTATGAGTTCTGTGTTTATCTCTCCCTAAGATTGCAGCTCTATGATCCAAAAACTAATGTTACTTCAGAAGACATTTGCCACATACTGTGTAAAATTAATCAGTTAGTTTTGGGCCAGAGCTTCCTATTTCATGTGTGGCATATTTGCTTTACCTAAAATGCCTTCATTTTTTCTGAGGTGATTATTTTTTAAGTGTAGAAAATAGCCAAACAAACTTAGAATTTATTGGTCAATGTAGCTTTTTTTTTCTTTTATTTTTTATTTATTTATTTGTTTTTTGTTGCCAGGCTGGAGTGCAGTGGCGCCATCTTGGCTCACTGCAACGTCTACCTCCCGGGTTCAAGCAATTGTCCTGTCTCAGCCTCCCAAGTAGCTGGGACTATAGGCCCGTGCCACTACGCCTGACTAATTTTTGTATTTTTAGTAGAGACAGGGTTTCACCATGTTGGCCAGGATGGTCTGGATCTCTTGACCTCGTGATCTGCCCACCTCAGCCTCCCAAAGTGCTGGGATTATAGGCATGAGCCACCGCGCCCGGCCTCAATGTAGCTTTTAAAGGCTGAACAAGTTGGGGAACATATCATGCTTTGAAACTTACTAGAAATAAATTGAACAATTCTCTAAAACTTAAAGAAGACACTCAAAGGTGTCCTAGATTGATGTTCAATACGTATTCCTGAAAAAAATTTTTTAATGTTTTATGTAAGAGATCCCATCAGCATTTTAATAGAATATATGCAGTTATACATTATTTACATGAGGGAAATATTATTTAATTTCTTGTTAGCAAATACAGGTGACTTCTGAGGAAAAAATGACATTTTTCATTTTATATGGTAAAAAAAGTTGAATTTGTGCATTATAGATGTTTCATGTAAACCTTAAATATTGTGAAATGTTGTGCCAAGGTCAAATACATTTAGAAAATTGTACATACTGAAATCATTTTCCTTTTCTTGGGGCTTTATGATGTAACAACATCATATTAAATGCCCTCAGAATTCCTAAAGTGAAGAAATTTCACTGTGTTCATCCAGGGGTTGGCAAACTTTCAGTAAAGGACTAACAGTAAATATTTTAAGGTTTGTGAACCATAAGATCACTCTCTGTCAGATGCTCAACTCCATCATTGCAGCATGAAAACAGCCATGTACAATATGTAAACAAATGAGCATGGCTGGTTTTCAATAAAACTTTATGGACACTGAAATTTGAGTCATATGTTTTTCATGTCTAAGCTGGTTATTTTCCTTTTAATTTTTAAAAACATTTAAAAATGTAAAACACATTCCTAGCCCATGAACCATACAAAAACTGGTGGTGGCCTGCATGTGATCAAAGGGCTATAGTTTGCCAACACTGTGGTAGCCAAATAATTTCCAAATTTATTTGAACATCAAAACATTGACTTATCACCTATTTATTGAATAATGAACAAGTCTAAAGAAAACTAGAAAAATAACTGAACCAGTTATCCTTTTCAATTTTCCATTTCCAAAACTAGCAGAGACATTTTAGCTTTGTATATTTAAATATCTAGACAAGGTACTAATTATTTACAAATATGAACTTGGCGTTCTGCTGGTCTTCATATAACCACATTATTGTTGTCTTCTTTCTTTTGGTTTTTCTAAAGCAGACAGGGAACTAGTCATTATAAATGCTAACTATCTATCAGTCATTGGCTTAGGAACTTCACATATATTGTGTAATTTAATATTTATCACAAACTTGTGATTTGGGTGTGTTATGTAGATGAGAAAATTGAAGCTTAGATGTGCATAATGATCTGTCTGTACTTATTCATTCACCCATCCATAAAATGGGCATAATTTTAGTACATCCTCATTGGTTTGGATTAAATAGGTTTGAACATGTAAAGCACTTAGAGCATAGCACATAGTAAGTGTTCATTAAATATTGGTATTTTTTATTAGAAAATAATTAAATACTAATTGTCTCCAGGTGCAGGAATGAATAGGTCATTTTAAATTTTCGTATTTAAAATCCATATTTTGCTAATTTTTACGATAAACATTGTAGTATAATCAAGAATAATTAAAGCGGCCAGGCACTGTGGCTCGTGCCTGTAATCCCAGCACCTTGGGAGGCTGAGGCATGAGGATCACTTAAGTATGGGACCAGCTCCAGCAACATAGTGAGACCCTGTCTCTAAAAAAAGAAAAAAAAAAATGCTTAAAGCAGTAAAAATTGCCTAGTATGTGAAAAAGCCAGTAATCAAACATGCATGCATTTGATTCCTTCCAAGTTACTCATTATATTTTTTTGTAGGTTTACAATACCATGAAGAAACTTTGTTTAATCCAGTTTTTAAAAATATTTTTAGAAATCTGAATTGAACGGGCAATTCAATATTTATTCCGGTGTTCACCACAGAAATTACAAAATAATTTTACAGTTCCTTTTTTTTTTTTTTTTTTTTTTTTGACGGAGTCTCGCTCTCTCGCCCAGGCTGGAGTATAGTGGCGCGATATCAGCTCACTGCAAGCTCCACCTCCCGGGTTCACGCCATTCTCCTGCCTCTGCCTCCAGAGTAGCTGGGACTACAGGCGCCCGCCACCACGCCCGGCTAATTTATGTGTTTTTAGTAGAGACGAGGTTTCACCATGTTGGCCAGGATGGTCTCGATTTCTTGACCTCATGATCCGCCCGCCTCGGCATCCCGAAGTGCTGGGATTACAGACGTGAGCCACCACGCCCGGCAAGTTTTATAGTTCCCTTTTAAACTGCTTTAAAAAATTAGGAGACTGTGTATGATGAGCCACTGGATTGCAAGAAAATCAATTATTGAATATTGCATTGTAGATAAGCTTCTATATTGATAATACATTGATGTAGTTGATAAATATATATTGTCTTATGTTTTTATGCCAAAAAAGCAAATTTTCTCAATAGGTTCAAATCGAACTCAGATATTATATTTTGTTTTCAGAAAAAAACTTACTAAAACATATTGATTATTATATTGGATTTACTAGAGAGTTCATCAGTGGTCTGACTCAATTATAATTCATTTATCTAAACTTATTTTACTCCACTTATTAGCTGAGGGTAGCATTGAACAAACAATCTCTTGTGCCTCAGTTTTCTAATCTGTAACATGGGTTTGATAATACAACCTATTTGATATGGTTGTAATGAAAAGTGAATTTATATGCATAAAGCATTTACAACACTTGCTGACATTTACTAAGCATACAATAAATATGAGTTATTATTATCCAATGTATCTTTTACCTATCCTCAACTGTTCTTTAGTTATCTTACTATTTTTTAAGTAGCTGTGCCTCAGCTACCATGCCCACATTAATCATGTTAAGGCACAGTTTGAATAGGCCTCCTTTACAGACAAGATCTAAATTACCACCTTCATCCCACATTAAATCTCTTGAAGCTCTTTCTACAAAGGGTTGTGGAAGTTGTGAATGAATTGAAGGTATTGAGGACAACTTCTATGTCTTTTTTATTATTTATTAAAGACTACTTAACTTTATTGTTGTTTTTCTTCTCTGAAATTGTATAGTACATTTGTACAGAGCATATCTTATGATTTCTAGTAATGCTTAGTGTGGTCTTGAATTTTAAAAATTTATTTCTCTAAACATGTACTTTTTTCTTTCCAGCTATGTGACAATTTTCTGAATATAAAGATCACTTTATCTTCCATTTCTTTTATAACCTTAATACCAAATCATATTTGTTAAAACTGAAGTTCCATTAACAAATACATGTTGAAACAAATTATAATAATTTATATACCATAATTTAAAATGAACAATGTATTTGGAGGTAAAGTAACCTAGAATAAATGCAATTTACTTATATAAAAATTTTTATTAAAAATTGTACATTTAAGCATTTATTCTTACCCAATTTTCTCTCTAAATTTCTGCTTGGGTTTGGATTGCTTCTTTTCTCTAATTACAAAGACAACTAGTCATATTATACAAAAGATATATTTTTCTCTTACATAGTCATAATAAAGCTAAATTAATTTATTAGGTAAACCAATTGTAGTTGCACTCTAATAACTGATTCGTGGGAAAAGATAGTATTGAATTTAAAAGTATGATCTCTTAGTTTGAAAATGGCTGTGACATTGTATTTGACTCTTTAACATCTAAATGGATTATTCATGGCATCTTAAAACACTTTAAACTTCATAATTGGTATAGAGCTGGGTTTGCAAACTCAAATACAAGTTTACAATTTCTGGAACAGGGATTAAATTTAGTAAACTTGTTCTTTATAATTAAACACATCTTTATTATTTAATGTATTATATGCTTTCATTCAAAGCAGTATGAATTTCTACACATTCTATACATTTAAGCCTGAGATAAATATACTGAAATATAATATCTTGTCTTCTTATTGTTTTATAGCTCCCATTCCTAACTCTATTTCCGAACTTGGCATCTTTGAGTTATTCTATCTCCAAGTTTTGTTTGCTGGCATGTTTTTAATATGAATGCCATATACAGTGAGCTGGTGAGGTTTTCAGTAGGCTGGACCTCATTCTCCATAAGACTCAGTAACTTATTTGCATAAGATGTTCTATCTAGAAAGGATTTTCATAACTGGCTTAGTCATTTATATTTTTCATAAAAAGTTTAATTTTTATGGAAAAGTTATTAAAATCTGTGCTTACTGCTTTGTCAGCTTCTCTGACCAGAAATCAATTTTTTTCTCTGTATTATTATTTCATATTGCATATGTTAGAATATCAAACACATATAGGTGAATAATATTTTGTACTAATTCTGGTTTTGTTTCATGCTATGACTTTAAATTGTGTGATGATATTAGGGTAAAATCAGCTTCCATCTACTGAGGATTATATTATTATAAGTGTACTGATATTTAACTGAAATTTTGAAGGGAATTACGTGTATTATGTTTTAAGAAAATATTAGAAAGATAATCCCCATTTCTCTGTGGAAAGAAAATTTCGGCTGAAAACATTTATTTACCCTCTACAGCATGAAAAACATCAGGCTATGACATTATCTTAGCTTAGCCAACTACTGATAAAATGTAGAATATTAGTAACCATTGCTTTTTTTTTTTTTTAACTTTTAAGTTCAGGGGTACAAGTGCAGGTTTGTTACATAGGTAAACTTTTGTCATGGGGGTTTGTTATACAGATTATCCTTTCACCCAAGTATTAAGCCTAGTACCCATTAGTTATTTTGCCTGAACCTCTCCCTCCTCCCACTCTCTACCCTCTGAAAGGCCCCAGTGTGTTGTTGCCCTCTATATGTCCATGTGTTCTCATCATTTAGCGCCCTCTTATAAGTGAGAACATGTGAGTACTTGGTTTTCTGTTTCTGTTAGTTTGCCCAGGATAATGGACTCCATTTATATTCATATCCTTGTAAGGACATGATCTCATTCTTTTATAGCTGCATAGTATTCCATGGTGTATATGAACCACATTTTCTTTATCCAGTCTGCTGTTGATGGGCATTTAGGTTGATTCCATGTCTTTGCTATTGTGAATAGTGCTGCAATGAAATATGCGTATGTACATGCATTTTTATATCTAGCCTCTATAAGGAACTTAAACAAATTTACAAGAAAAAAACCAAACAATCCCATAAAAAAGTGGGCCAATGACATGAACAGATACTTTTCAAATGAAGACATACATGCGACCAATGCGTCATATGAATTAAAGGTCGACATCACTGATCATTAGAGAAATGCAAATCAAAACAACAGTGAGATACCATCTCACTCCAGTCAGAATGGCTATTATTAAAAAAACCAGAAATAACAGATGCTGGCAAGGTTGTGGAGAGAAAGGAATGCTTATACACTGTTGGTAGGAGTGTACATTAGTTCAGTCATTGTGGAAGACAGTGTGGCAATTCCTCAAAGACCTAAATTCAGAAATCCCATTAGACTCAGCAATCCCATTACTGGGTATCTACCCAAAGGAGCAACCATTGCTTTATATTCAGCAATCAGAAAGCACAAATAACCATATTTTTGTTTAGAATAATGCATGTCACCAATTCACATGAATAATGGTGACTTTGTGACCATATTAGATTCCAGAATGTCTTCTGGACAACAAAAGCAAAATATTATATTCAGTTTAATTTTATTGCTAAGCTATTTTTCAAAGGCTGTCCCTGACTTATTTAGACCTATCTTTTATGCCTACAACTCCCCTAAACCAGAGGTTTTTGGTTTTTTTTTCTCTCTCTCTCATTTCGTACAGTTGTGTGTGGGGTTTCCCTTTCACCTTGTAAAGACTGCAAATAATTTCTTGGCCACCTCTTTCCTTAACCTTTGAGTGCCTAGAAATCTTCCTTCCTAATTCTGATCTTTGTTTGTCCCTTCTGTCCAGGACAGAAATAACAACTTCAAGGAGGGCATATAAGAGAATTGCAATAACCTATTGTGCTGACTCACAGCCCTACCACAACCATCACTGCATGGGTCTCCACCATTCTGAGTATGTCATGTCATCCACACATCTTCTTTTTATCCCATAGCTCATTTCCCATATATAGTGGCCATATATTCAAATACAATTTCTTAATCAAGAAGAAAAATTTACAAGGCTATGAATGGAAGCCTTTCCATGAACTAAAATTAATCTTATTCCTTAGAACCAGCTCTGGAGTTAACAAAGGGAGGCCCAGTTGGGTAGAATTAATTATAGCAAGCATAAAGGTTGATGATGGGATGAAAAGGAGCAAAAAAAAAAAATTTCTATTCATATTTTGTTAAATAGAATGCCACCTTTAATCATGTTTTAGACTACTTGAGATTGGTGGGTCTCCCTGGCTTGCTATTTTTGCTTTAATAAATTTTACTCTTAGATTCCCTAGAAGTGGTAAGAAAAAGGGGTACAAGGGGAGCTATGATGAAAATATGTTTTATTTTAAATCTGGAACAGGGCTTTTCAGCAGTGCCACTATTGACATTTCAGGCCAGATAATTATTTGATGTGAGAGGCTGTCTTGTGCATTGTAGGATATTTATCTTCCTGGCTTCTACCCACTGGATACATACTGTTTGGTTTTAAATCTGGAACAGGGTGTGTCAACAGTGCCACCTGATGTGAAAACCAAAAATGTCTCTACACATTGTCACATATCTCCTGGGGGCAAATCACCCTTGGTAGGGAACCACTGAGATAAACTTCAGTTTAGAGAATAAACAATGGTAATAAGAAGGAAACAAAGACCAGTTTTGGGAAGCTGGCCAAGACTCAGATATGCCCCCAAAGCTTCACAGGCCTTATGCTTCAATCTGATGGAAGTTTCCATCACAATCTCTAGGCATAGGTGCCACCAATAGCTTGAAACTGAAAAGGTCCAGACTCTGATTTTCAAGCACGAAGTCTTGTTCTGCAGAGACTCAAGCAATAAAAGCATTTCCCTTGGAATCACTCCTTTACACAGTAGCTAGATTGTGTTAGTATTATACTTTCCAGGCTGGCCTAGGAAATAAAGAGTTATTTCATATGTTCTATGGAAAAATACATTCAGAGTTCTCAATATTTTCCATAAATATTTACAGATTGCATCCTAGTCTTCATATAATGGGTTTTAGAAGCATATCTTATAATGTAATTATTCTTAATTAATAATTTACTATTTTATTTATTCTTATTATTTTGAAAGGGTTTGGTATTCATCCTGCTAAGTTTTATATATAAAATTTCAGCCAAAGTTTAGTGTTTACTATACACTAGGAAGAAATTTTGCTCTTTGATTGATTTTCCAGACCCCAACTTTAGTGCCTTTTATCTTTGGATCACTGAATAAAGATTGCCAAATTATATCCATTTATCTTCATTTTTCTCTACCTCCACACTAAATTCTTTTTCTGTAAATATAAATTCTGTTGAATCTCCAATTTGATGTTACAATATCATAGACAATATTTTATCTTAAAACTTCAAGATTTAAACTTAATTTATTTCTTGATGCTTTGTGCTTAGTCAATTAAATTATTTTCAAAGTATATTTGATTGTATGAATCTTGCCTTTTTATTACAAGCCAACTCATTTTAATTCTGTGTAATTTTTTATGTTATTAATGCTAATTATCAATGGAGAACTATTTTAAGCTTTTTCTTCATAATAGAGTCAATGTAAAAAGTTTCATATTCAATTTTTCACTAATATTTCAGAATGAATATGGAAAAATATCCCTGAGGCTAACACATGTTGTTGAAAGTTTCATGTAGTATATAAATCCTCTTGAATTTATGATGAAGATATTCTAAAAAGGCAAAACCTGAATAATTAAACTGGTGTTGACGAATAACCAAGTATATATCTATCTTTTCAGTGAAATGTGCCTCATTAGCACAAATTTAGTCAAAATCAGAAAACTATAAATCAGGGGAAGATTAAAAACATTCTTGGGCTCATCTTTGATCCAAAGTGTATACTAATGATTTTTAAAACGCCTCTTATTTGGTTAAGAGTTATTTTATTTTGGTAGAGTTCATGCCAATAAAAAAACAGACTAGTTGAAACAGGTGAAAAAACATTGTGCATAGGTTAGAAAATATTTATAAAATAATATTGCTAACTACTATAGTAAGTTCAATAAGATTACTGAATAAGAATACTAAAAACACTACACCATTCTCTGTATTAAATAATAATAGTGGTAATTTTATTGTCATTCCTAATAACCTGTATTTATACAGTATATTTTCCACAATTTTCCAGTTCTATTACTCTTATTTTTATTTGCAGAAATATGCCAGACATCTATATTGCAGTATTATAGTGAAGAATATATAGAATTAGAAAAAAAGATTTAGCTAAATTTTTAAAATCTGATAGTAAAAACTAAGATAAAATCATAAATTTAAATTTTCAAGTTCAATCGTTCCTGCTATATATTTTTCAAAATATTTACAAATGAATCTCATCAATATTTCAGGGGATATTAAATTAAAATGTATATTATAGCATTATGAACTTTAAAACATTTCTCTTGTGTATATATTAATAATTTTCAAACATACTATGTGATTATAAACTATCTTTAAAATAAACAGAAGTATGCTAAGCAACAAAACAAAATATTTCTGTGAAAACCTTAGGATATATTTAATATTATCAAATTTAATAAGGTATCAAAAACACATATACAACTAAGAATAGTTATGTGCATAAGAAATTTCATAAATGTATACTACATATAGTTGTAGCATAATATGTGCATATAATAGTGTAACAAAATCTTTTGAATGATGTTTTGAATTGCTTTTCATTCAATTTCCAATAACTAAAAAGATAATTGTGTGGAGTAGTTATGAAATTGTGGGAGTCATAGTTTAGATATGACTAAAAGAGCATTTTCTCTTTTGTTAGGAACCATTCTTGAAATGGACAAACTAGTTCAAGTCAAGTCCAAACACAGCTATGATCTTATTCAATTTTGAACATATATTTCATTGTACAACTTCTTAAGTTTTATTGATTGTGATGAGTTTTAATCAGAACCAAAATGTGACATACCCTAATTAACACTGAGTAAGATGGTACTCTGAATTTTTATTTGTTCATTGTTTTTCCTGCTTAAAGTGGACATCTGGTGAATTACCTTGTTATATGTAATGGTGTAGATAACTGATTCAAATCTTTCTGACCATATAATTTATTAAAGAAAGTTCATGGATAATAAGCTATTAGGATGCTAAGTACTATACTTTGAAGCCATGACCCGATTGAATTCTGGCTTATGAAATTTTATATCTACTTGCAAATTGCGAAGATAACAGTTATCAAGTTAACCTAAAATTCAAGACCGAAACTGGCATAAATTGTGAGTGTGATAGTTACTTTATTCTGTTAAATGTACACTTTTTTGAGTAAATGCTTTTCCTCTATAATGTAACACAGGAGTAATAAATTTGGAATCCCATAATCCAGGAAATCTCTATTTTATAACCAGTTAATTTAAACTAACCTACACTTGCAAACAATTATGGTATTCCTATAGAGGTGCCCATTAGGATATCCACCAGTTGGTTACTCCCTTCCAGAGTATCTAGTGAGGATCACTCCTGGAACCAACATCAATATCAATTTTATCATCTGCCTTCAGTCTCAGTCCCTATTCCTCTAGTATTCCAGAGTCAGATACAGGGGATTCTCTCAATGCTTGCCTTTATACTGAATGTTCAAGAAGAAGATAATAGAATTAAAGGGAGGCAAAATTATACCTTACCTAAAAGCATTCAACCCAGGAGTTTGATTAACTATAGTAGGTAAAACATTAATTTTATGAGGAAAAGTGCATTGAGTTCCAAGTGTTAATTTAAAAATAACTATTGACACATAATCAGTTCATATAAATTGGAAAATATTTGTAAGAATAGAAAATGGACATGAATCTTGGGATATGAGATTTCATAAATTAGAAACAAAATAAAGCAATGTTTATCTGCTCAGCCCCAACAAACACACACACACAAAGTAAAACAGAACAAATAACAATTTTACACATGCAATATATGTGCATATTTTATGCAATCCCCTGTTGCATTAGAATCAGAGGTTGTGTGTCTCAACTACTAGATTTGAATCCATTAGTTAAGAACTGTTTGTTACATGGTATTACATAACGAACCAAGCTATCTAGTCTAAATTTGTATGTTTAAACTTTAGTTGTGTTTGCGTTTGTAGATATTATTTCTACTAAATAGTAAATTTTCAAAGATTGAGATGGGAACATTTTATTTAGGCCCAGTTCGAGTGTTAAAATATTTATTTATATCAGACGACTGGATTTTCATGGGGCTGTGATCAAATGAAAGTGTTTATGTCTATAAAGTAATGATTATTTAAGATTTCTAAACTGGTTTAATTTTGATGGATATTTATTCCATATCCTTTCTATATTTTTTAATTTTTTTAACTTTATGAAATGATGCTGAGGGTCATAAGTCTATATCAGTCTAGCAACTGGGTGCTACTAATGTAATAAGGAATTTAGCGCTAGAACCACCAATAAACAAACAAAACGTTCCATTCTCAACCCTGGCACTGTTTCCCACCATAAGAGAGAAACATTTTCTTGTAAATCACACATGTCTTTGTATCATACACATTTCCCATGACAGTGCCAGCCACAGAAGAGGTGCTTAACAAACATTTGTGGAATAAATGAATAGAAACTCAGCCGCAGCCACATTATAAAATAAATATGGTTTATTTTAAATAAATCCTAAGTCTGCTATAAAGGAGACTCTAGGCTTGGTGAAGCATATAATAGTTATGAATGATTTATTGCCTGAATTCAGTAATAGATGGTTATTACTTTTAAATGTGCTCAGAAGAAGTTTTAAAAATTGTTCTGTTTGAATGATTGTAAAATTTCCCCGAAATATTGAGAAATAGCTGACTGCAGAAAATAGAAGGACATTCGGGGCAGATTTAAAAAAGAAAAAAAGAAAATGATAGTTTTGGTGCCAGTCAGATTGTGAGGTTATTAATAAGGCATTACTTTTTTAGTAGGTAACAGAACCAATGTGCATGATGATCATTAGTGTTCTTTCCATATGAGCTGAAAACTGGCAGATCTCTGGAGGAGGCCACAATACACAAGAATTTGATCCTTCCTAAGCAGGAAGGATTCCAATTGGAATAGGGGTCATGGGAGTATTGGGGAATTGTCACATACATCATCATCATCATCATCATCATCATCATCATCATCATCATCATTATTACTATTCTACTATTAAAAATGAATATATGCTCAGTTTCTGAGTCTCCTTCAGAGCTCTAGTGTAGGGATGAAGAATTTATATGTCTGCTACAGGAAATAGGGACTACTCTGAGGAGACAACAACAGAGGTTTTTGGTTACATGAGAGTTTTGTCAGCTAAGGGAGATACCCAGGTCAGCCAGAAATATTTTATTACTGCATCAACTATAGAACAAGATTTGACTAAAATTAAAAAGGCACAGAAGAGAACAATTTCTGCACACATTTCTTTATGGCTGCCTAGTGGAAAAAGTTCTTCCTCGATCATTTGAGTGCTCTAATGGGGCACTGTGGTTCATTCCATTGGTATCAAAGACTAATTTAAGTTCTTGCTAAAAAAGTGGTTCATATTATTTCCAAATTAATCCACATATCTAAATTATAAAACTTATAAATTTGTTTTTATAGTGTAGTTGTTAGAACTGCGGACTCTGGAGCCAGTTTTCTTGCTTATGTTTGAACCTTCATTGTACCACTCACTGTGTGACCTGAGGCAAGCTACCAACACCTCTTGTGCCTCTCTTTCTTTATCTGTAAAATGGGGATAATATTTTTACCTTCCTTACAGAATGGTGACAATTAAATTACTTAGTACATGCAAGAGATTCGAACAGTGCCTGGAACATTTTAGATACTTTATGATTGATAGTTACTATCTTTAATGCTATTTATTTTGAACAGGGTTTCTTTTAGAATTTAATCTTAAATACCAAAAAATAACATAAAACAAATTTGTCCTTAGTTTTAACATAATAACTATTAGCATTATAAGGTTGATAATTATGACCACTATTTAATTTTATTTTTACCATTATTTATTTTAAAATAAAATTTTGTAATTTAACATGCAATAAGTACATAGAATATTGTTTATTGCTTTTCAAATATCCTAGTTGAAGTAAATTAACTCTATGTGGTACAAAAAATGTTATACTAATTTTGGATATTGCATGCACATAATTAAAACATATTAAGGTAAGGATTTATTTAGAGCTGACTTGTGCTATATAGCCATAACACAGTAAGTTAGTATCACTTACTTAAAGAACTTACTTGTTTTTGTTTAGACAGTATTTGTGTCTTATATCTCTACTAATCAAAATATGAAAGTAAGTTTGGTATTCTAATTTCTAACCTACTCTTTTGCTACTTGCAATTATTAAATGATGAATTATAAACATTGTCAAATATCATACTTACTTCAAAATATAATACTCAGTATTGAGTCATTAAGTGCAAAATATTTTATAAGAGAATTAACACAACTTGGTGTGATTTTTTGAGTAATAAACTATAACATTTTACTTCCTCCATGTGAATACTTATATTTTCCTGGAAATTTTTTGTTAGGAGTTGGACCTAATCTTTAGTGTTACTTGGCATCCCTGATGTATCTTTCACCTTTAGTAATAACTTTTTTACTTCATGTGAGTCAATAACCAAAGTATAAGAGTTAGTTAATTTAAAATAAAGATAGCAACATAGAATTAATCACTATTGCTGCCAAAACATAAACACTATAAATTCTAAATGTTAAATTATTATAGAAGGCAGGGAAATTTTCTTTGGTAAGTGGTCCCTGGAGTCATATCCTTTGAGTGCACTATATAAATAAAGTGATAAATGATTTGACTTAACTTTCACAAGAAGCCAATTACTACTCAAAACTGTTATACCATCATAAATCACATTGTAGCATAACTAATTTCATGTCATTTGTTTCTTAGCATTCTTTTAAAGAGGCATTATGAAAGACACAGTCAACTTGATGCATAGTCATGATGGAAAGTATGATCTTAAAAATGTTCCAATAGGTATGATCTAGACATCATGGAATTTTTGCTTCTTTTACTACCTGTGTCATTTTTTCTCCAGAGAACTGAAGTGTTTTTTTCCCCTTGACCTTCTATAGAACAGAGAAAAGTACTATCAAGCCCATATATACATGTATATTTACATAAATACATGTGTGTGCCTCTCCGTGCTGGGTAGGGGGGATCTATCTGTCTAATCATCTATATCCCAACTCTGATTCCTTTATGATATCTGTACTGTTAAAACTCTAGTCCAGGAAATCATCATCTATTTTCTAGACTGATGGAATAGGCTTCTTGCTTCTATTTTTTTCTATTTTCCAGTCCATTTCACAAACAGAAGACAGACATATGTAAAGCATAAATTAGTTTTACCTCTACTTAAAACTTTCCAGTTGCTTTAGCTTAGGAAGGTGTTAGCTAACACTTTCTTTGGCTTCCCCCTTCTCTAAAGTAGGGGATGGAGAAAGGAGATGTTGCTTTTCTCCATCCCCTCTGTTGCCTATTATTTAATCTCTCCTTCCCACCAGCAGCAATTTCCAACTCTGCTATCCTCAGCTTTCAACTACATTCACAGTATTGCTGTCCCTAGATCCTTATACTTCTGCTCATTGTTCCTGGAATTCTTTCCTGAGAACTCTGATTGCCTCTTTTTGATAATGGATATCCCTATTCAAATGTCACCTCCTTGGGGAAGACTGTCCTAAGCACTTTAAGTAAAATAGTCCGCCCTTCTTCCAGGTCGTTTTCTATTCCTTTGCCCCATTTAATTTTCTTCATAGCATTTACTGTGATTTGATATTACATTAGTTACATATTCATGTCAGCATTCTTGTCTTCTTTGTTTATTACTATATCCTTAGTATCTTCAGGTGTGTCTGGCATATAGTTGGCATGAAATAAACAATTGTTAATGAAAAAGAATGACGATTTTTCCATTTTGTACTATTTTTAACTCTATGATTTCACTATCGCTACCTATGCTTTAATTAAAATAGCCTCAGTTTTCTTGAATGAAAGTTTGCTCTTCCCAGAGCACACTAGGAAATAAAAAGATAATTAAGATTCTTTCCATGGTTTTTATATTTTTCTTGCATTATATCTTCTGACTTTTTTTTTTTTTTTTTTTTTTTTTTTTTGAGATGGAGTCTCACGCTGTTGCCCAGGCTGGAGTGCAGTGGCACAATCTCCACTCCCTGCAACCACCGCCTCCTGGATTAAAGCAATTCTCCTGCCTCAGCCTCCTGAGTAGCTGGAATTACAGGTGTCCATCACCACATCTGGCTAATTTTTGTATTTTTAGTAGAGACGGGGTTTATCCATGTTGGCCAGGCTGGTCTCAAGCTCCTGACCTCAGGTGATCCACCCGCCTCGGCCTGCGAAAGTGCTGGGATTACAGGCGTGAGCCACCACACCCGGCCAATCTTCTGACTCTTATTCTCAACTTAAAAATGCTTCTCTCGGCCAGGCGCAGTGGCTCACGCCTGTAATCCCAGCACTTTGGGAGGCCGAGACGGGTGGATCACAAGGTCAGGAGATCGAGACCATCCTGGCTAACATGGTGAAACCCCGTCTGTACTAAAAATACAAAAAAAAAATTAGCCGGGCCTGGTGGCAGGTGCCTGTAGTCCCAGCTACTGGGGAGGCTGAGGCAGGAGAATGGCGTGAACCCGAGAAGCGGAGCTTGCAGTGAGCTGAGACCGCACCACTGCACTCCAGCCTGGGCGACAGAAAAAAAATGCCTCTCTCATTAAGGGTAAAAATCTAGAAAGCATACTAATGTTAAACCATCTTTCTGAGTTTACACAGGCAATGACAGAAATATAATGTGCTTTTGTTTTTCTTTCAGATCTCCAACTAAAGACATGGATTCAGAAGAGAAGGAAATTGTGGTTTGGGTTTGCCAAGAAGAGAAGCTTGTCTGTGGGCTGACTAAACGCACCACCTCTGCTGATGTCATCCAGGCTTTGCTTGAGGAACATGAGGCTACGTTTGGAGAGAAACGATTTCTTCTGGGGAAGCCCAGTGATTACTGCATCATAGAGAAGTGGAGAGGCTCCGAAAGGGTTCTTCCTCCACTAACTAGAATCCTGAAGCTTTGGAAAGCGTGGGGAGATGAGCAGCCCAATATGCAATTTGTTTTGGTTAAAGCAGATGCTTTTCTTCCAGTTCCTTTGTGGCGGACAGCTGAAGCCAAATTAGTGCAAAACACAGAAAAATTGTGGGAGCTCAGCCCAGCAAACTACATGAAGACTTTACCACCAGATAAACAAAAAAGAATAGTCAGGAAAACTTTCCGGAAACTGGCTAAAATTAAGCAGGACACAGTTTCTCATGATCGAGATAATATGGAGACATTAGTTCATCTGATCATTTCCCAGGACCATACTATTCATCAGCAAGTCAAGAGAATGAAAGAGCTGGATCTGGAAATTGAAAAGTGTGAAGCTAAGTTCCATCTTGATCGAGTAGAAAATGATGGAGAAAACTATGTTCAGGATGCATATTTAATGCCCAGTTTCAGTGAAGTTGAGCAAAATCTAGACTTGCAGTATGAGGAAAACCAGACTCTGGAGGACCTGAGCGAAAGTGATGGAATTGAACAGCTGGAAGAACGACTGAAATATTACCGAATACTCATTGATAAGCTCTCTGCTGAAATAGAAAAAGAGGTAAAAAGTGTTTGCATTGATATAAATGAAGATGCGGAAGGGGAAGCTGCAAGTGAACTGGAAAGCTCTAATTTAGAGAGTGTTAAGTGTGATTTGGAGAAAAGCATGAAAGCTGGTTTGAAAATTCACTCTCATTTGAGTGGCATCCAGAAAGAGATTAAATACAGTGACTCATTGCTTCAGATGAAAGCAAAAGAATATGAACTCCTGGCCAAGGAATTCAATTCACTTCACATTAGCAACAAAGATGGGTGCCAGTTAAAGGAAAACAGAGCGAAGGAATCTGAGGTTCCCAGTAGCAATGGGGAGATTCCTCCCTTTACTCAAAGAGTATTTAGCAATTACACAAATGACACAGACTCGGACACTGGTATCAGTTCTAACCACAGTCAGGACTCCGAAACAACAGTAGGAGATGTGGTGCTGTTGTCAACATAGTTCCAATGGCTCCTTTCTGACCTGCTTTCATGTTTTAATGTTTGTTTAATTTAATAGGAAACCTCATTTTAAATATAACACTCAAAAAAATGTAAATCATATTGTAGTATTCAATAGTTAATAAAAACTCGAGAAATGTGTTGTTTCTGATGTGAAATTTCCAAAGGAACTTTAATTATTGCAAGTTCAAGCAATGAACTATTTATCACGAATGCAGCACAAATAGCTTGTCGTTGTAGAACACAGAAATAATTTGATGGGAATCATATGATAATCTTCCTTAGCGTCTGTGGAAAACGATTTACATAAACTTTAAAAGCAATCCTCAATATTAGACAGTCCAAATATTCAAACATGAAGAAGTAGAATTAAAATGTGCTGTAATATATATTTTTCCAACACTGTATAATTGGAATTTTTAAATCTGTAAAGTATATGGGAGCTACTGTGTTGTAACTGCATTAATTCAAAGTTTGGTTCTTTTAATTGATCCTTGATAATACAACGTATCATGTATATCACTTCCTGAACCCTTCTACCTGTTGAGGCCTATGAAACAGGCTGCTGTTGGGACATGTATAAATACTGGCAGGGAATCAGACACGTATAGGGTACAGATGAGGCAGGGCCAAGTGCTGCATACAAACAGCAATTTTTATAAAGAAGCCTCAATTTATTAAGAGCTATGTGTGGATGTTTGCTATCTGGCAATTCAGATCTCCTGACCAAACCCATGTTCATTCACTGAGTGAGGTATAGTGTGGGTTACAGAGAAAATCAGTCATAGTGTTATTTGTTTATGTCCTATCTACAAAAGTTGCAATGATGGAATTTGGAACCCTTCTGTGGATAAAATAGAATCTGCTATAATTATTAGCATTTTGTCTCTGAACCTACAGAGAGGAGACCACATGGACAAAAGACTTATTCTGCTATGCTATAACTCAGATTGTCTTATTTCTTCATCTAAAGTGCTTAAAAGAGACTTAGTTCCTAAAAAAGTACCAGCAAAATCCCCAACACACTAGTAAGAATTCAAGAAATTGAAGGGATTATTTAGGTCTTATCTTGACTGACAATCATTATTATGGCCTACTATGCTTGTGTTTTAATTAGAAATGTGCTTTCTTCTCTCTCCCTTCTTTGCTTACTTTCTTCTTATTTGCCTTCCTGTCTGCCTTACTTCCTCTCTTTTCCTGCCTTCATCTCTCCTTCTCCCGTCTTCTTTTTTTCCTTTGCTTCCTTCCTGCCAATGAACACATGATGCAATCATAATGAAATAATTATTTTTTATTGTACTGTTAACTGAGTACTGCTGCAGTTTATTTTTATTTAGCTGATATCTTTCCTGTGTGTCACTGCACATGTAAGTAGAAATATTATTTTACTTAGTTTTAATATGTGGACATTGGTTAAGGGTCCCAATCCTTCTCATTTCTTCTCTTTTATTCTTTTGCATACTTTTAGTGCAGGTTTTAACTCAGTTTTCTTATTGTTTTACTTTCAAAATTTGAAAAGTATTTAATTTTTTAAAGCAACTTTATTGTTAACTCATTTAAAAAAATATATTGCTCCTTAAATCTTCTTAACATATTTGTTCCTGCCTTCTCCTGTCTTTTAACTCATCTTTGGGAAGACATTTAGAATTTTCTGATTGTTTCAGTTTCGTGAGCATTTATACTATCATTTCTTGTACCAAAATAGATATTTTCAGGTCTTATTTCAAGTTGGCTGGTAAGAAAAATAGAAATTTCCATTCTATGGAAAAATACAGTGATAAAGAGTAATAATTCTGGCATCGGTTACATTTTTTTAAAAAAGATAAAATTGAATAGTCATCTGTGAAAGGAAAGTTCACCTGACTAAGAGTCCATAAAATTATTCAACAATATAAGCCACTGACATATTCATTGTTCACTAATGGGGATCAAATTCAGAAGATCATCGTAAATGATAAACCCATTGTATCATTTTCCTACAGTGGAAGTCATCTCTTTGAATTATTCTTATCTTTAGTGAGAAAATACTGAAAGAACATGCTTATCTATTTGACTAATTATCTGAATTCAAGAGGTTCTGATAAGAAGTAGGCCTGGAGAGATAATTTCATCTTAGAAACTTTGAATTAACTTCTGCTTTTATACAGTTAAGCACAGTAATGCATTTAAGGCTCAATTCTTCTACATTTTACAGTAAATAATGTTTGTAAGTCTCAGAAAGCAGTACCATTGCTTTTTAAATTCATTTCAGAATTTCCATTTGCTCATTAGTTATACAAATGTATTTGTGCGTTTGATCACTACAATCATTAAGTTTTAATCCTTCATCAGCTACCATGGTGAACCTCTTAATTTACAGTTACATGTTAATATATTAACACAAATAGAAGTACTGAAATACAATGCCCTCATGTCTGGATACTGAACTATTTGTTATTAAATTAAGTGAGAATTGGAATTATAAGTATAGAACTTGATAGAAAGTGTAATGTTATTATCTATAGAAATGTTAAAGTATAAATTCTTGAGTAATCTGACAGGTTAACTATGAAATTGCTATATGCAGCTAGAAGAAACAAACCAAAGCTGACTATTCTTAATTTCTGTAACAGGACCTAGATTCATCCTTGGTCATCCTTCCACTTGGAATTCTCCTTTTTATCCTTCTGCAATGCTCTGAAATCTTACCCTTTCCACAGTCTTTTTAATGTGCTAGCTCTTCTATGATATACGTTTGTTCCATTCAATTAGTTGGAATCTCATCTCTGAACCCAGAAATATTTTAGAGGTACTTCTCATAAGAAGCATTTTTATTCTGGCTTACGCTATATATATTTATGCACTTACCTAATTCCCCTCCTTCAATGAATTCTATTTTTTTTTTCCTTGAGACGGAGTCTCACTCTGTCGCCCAGGCTGGAGTGCAGTGGCGCGATCTTGGCTCACTGCAAGCTCCGCCTCCCGGCTTCACGCCATTTTCCTGCCTCAGCCTCCTGAGTAGCTGGGACTACAGGCGCCCGCCACCACGCCAGGCTAATTTTTTTGTATTTTTTTAGTAGAGACGGGGTTTCACCGTGTTAGCCAGGATGGTCTCGATGTCCTGACCTTGTGATCCACCCGTCTTGGCCTCCCAAAGTGCTGGGATTACAGGCGTGAGCCACCGTGCCCGACCAATGAATTCTTATTAAATTACTTTATCATCTGTCTTGTTAGCCTTACTCTTTCCTATTAACTTCTTTGCCCCCTGCTCCCTTTTTGAATTGAGTGGCTAAATTTTAGAGGTTTGTAGCTTTTGTGTGTGTGTGTGTGTGTTTTATAGATGGTAAATGATGCTTGTACATTTTGTACATGAATGAATACGTATTTTAGCAGACTTAAAACATTAACAGTAATTGACCTTATACATTTTGGGAAAGAAAAATTAAATCTTCATGCTACTACGATTTTTTTAAATGTGGCATCAATGTTTATTTTTAATAATAGTATTACTGACTTAATAAACCCCAAATGTCTCTTTAAGCTGATTTAATGGTTATATTATAGAATTTTTTATTTCATTGTGTGCTTATGAGAAAAAACATATTTTAGAGTTGGGTTTTAAATGGTAGACACAGAAAGTAACTTTAAAATATCCTAAACAAAATATCTATTTCATTTTTCTTCTTAAGTAAAATAACAACACCTCATTAGTGTGTAGAAGCTATTCTAATCCATTAAAATTTTATTTTTATATTTATTTAAATATCTACTGTACATGACAAAATATATTTCTGTGGCTGCCTTTTATAATTATTTTCCAAGTAGACATAATCTATTTAAAACATATTTTTCTAGTGACAAAGAAATACATTTTATCCTGATATATAGTTTTTAAATACTAGGCTATTTCTTTTCATACTGCCTGATTGGTTTAATAAACATGATGTGACAAATATTAAGTATATATCATTTTATCATGTTGTAACTGATCCAAAATAATAAAAGAAATAATTATACCTTTCTTGTGATATTGTTTTGGGTGGTCTTTTATTTGGCTGTATTAAAAATAAATCTTCTTTCAGGTTGAATTATATAATTGCTATCCTTTTTTTTTTTTTTTTTTTTTTTTTGAGACAGAGTCTAGCTTTGTCACCCAGGCTGGTGTGCAGTGGTGCGATCTCGGCTCACTGCAACCTCTGCCTCCCGGGTTGGGTTCAAGCAATTGTTGAGTCTCAGCCTCCCGAGTAGCTGAGGCTACAGGCACCCACTACCACGCTTGGTAATTTCTTTTGTATTTTAGTAGAGACGGGCTTTCACCATGTTGCCCAAGATGGTCTCGAACTCCTGAGCTCAGGCAATTTGCCCCCTTGGACTTCTAAACTGCTAGGATTACAGGCATGAGCCACCACACCCGACCGTGAATTATATAATTGCTAATATAATGCACAATTTATTTTAAGATTAGTTATTTCATGAAAACGTAAATATACAGGAAGTAAGATTGAACAAAACTATTTATTAGGTTTTATACATATTTCTTCCAATTTATTGTGGAAGAATATGCAGACTCTTCCTCATATTTTTCTTACATAACTCCTTACTCATTCTGAGATGTGGTTATTCTGGAGATGGCCCTATATTGTTCATATAGAGATTCCATACTGTGTTCGATAGCAGCAGGGAAACTCATTGTATCAATTATAATAATTTATTTAACTAATCCCCTCCTTATAGGCATTTGGATGTTTTCTGAAAATTTACTATTATAAACAACGTCATTCTGTCAATGCATTTCTGTAAGACTAGATTGCCAGATGTAGGAATATTGGCTTAAAGGGTAACAGAGGCATTTTCAAATTTAATAAACATTGACAAATGATCTTTATAAAAATTAATCTTTTACTACCCAAGTTGTTAATGTACTCTTCCCACCCACAGAGTATGCTATTTGTCTTTTAATTTATCTTAAAGCAAAAAATTAAGTTATATAGTTGAATGTATGGATAAGTAACTCGTAAAGTGTTTTTTGGTCATTTTTAAACAGGCCTTCACACTGCATGATAAATAATTTTTAAAATAATTTTTGAAATAATTTCTCTGATGCTTCTTTAGAGTGTATTCATGCTTTAGTTGTAAACTTTCAACCATCTGAAATTAAGTTCGTTACATGCTTAAACTTATGGAGATAATTGAATCTTGTTTAGGTAATTACAAGTTATTCCACATTATTTGCCAAATAACGTTGTGCCACTGTTTTTAAATACCCCCTTTATTGTGAACCGTATTCTGGTACATATTTTGAATCTATTTTTGGATTTTTTCTGCCATCCCATTGATTTGGCTGTGTATTCACATTCAAGAGCTACATAATTTGAATTATTGTGACTTTATAATCCTTTTAAGATTTGGTATATTTTAATTATTTATATATTCCTATTACTCGTGTTTGTTTTAAAAAATTTTCCTGTTCTTTATAAATTTTGCAATATTTATAATCATCTTGCACAGCTACAAAAATAGTCTGTTGGTATTTTAAATTGAGAGCGTGCTAAATTTATGTATACATTTAGGGAAAACTGACTACTTTAATATTGAGACTTACTGTCTGAGAGCCTTATGTGTTTCCTTTTGTTCAAGTCTTCAATTGTGTCCCTCAGCAGGATTTAAAACTTTATTCTCTTCTTGCACAAGCAATATAAGATTTATTTCTGAATTTCATACCTTTTGTGTTACTGTCATAAATTAGGTTTGTTTCTCCTCATTAAATTATTCAACTGATAATTGTCTTCAAGTTAAAATTTGGAAATTCCCTACTGATTGCTTGTTTTAAGCCCTCACTTCAGAACTATATTTTATCCACTGAATTCAATAATTTCACTGAATATAGTAGATTAATAGTACATTAATTCTTTATAGTGTATTCATGCTTTAGTTTTAAACTTTCAACCACATATTCAAATGATTCTTGCTCTCATGCATGTAGACTTTCTTTCTTACATTATTTTGTATACCAGCAAAGTGAATTGAAAAAGTTAGGAAATTCTCTGAAATTTCAAACAAACAACTATCCTTACCCTAGAAAAACAAATTAACTGACTAACAAAATTAAGATCAAAACACATTTGAATGCAAAGAAGTCTAAGATTTTTACTAATTTGCATAGGATAGAATACCTAAATTTAATTAGTAATATTTGTAATGGCCATGACATAAATAAAAATAGAATATCTAGTAATATTGTATCATTAGTCCACTTAGGAACTTTATGAGGCTACGAAATGAATGTTTGCATAAGAAAAATGCTTAACCTGCAGAGTTTCTCAGCTGTGGCATTATTGGCATTTTGGCAGGAGAGTTTTTTGTCTGCTAGACTCTCCCATTAACTGAAAAACATTTAGCACACCAGGATGCCTCCTACAAACTGGCAATGGTACTGCTATATACTGGGACAAGCAAAATTGTCTTCGTCTAACCCCTCCTCTCATCCCTAATGTTTCCAAGCATTCCCTAGAGGCTAGTATTGTCCTTGGTTGCAAATTATGAAGTCTTATGGGAGTTCAATTATTGTTATAATAAAATACCACTTATCTTTTAAAAATAAAATTAAAAGAAGAGTCAATGACATGAGCTTGGTATATTAAGTACAAATGCACAGAACAATCTGCTTAAAACAAAGGAAGGAGGGCCTTAGTAGATCAAGCCCAATAATAATTTACGAGACTGAGACATAAGCATAAAGATGGGAGACAATTTAGGTTTTTTCTTGAATGATGATTGACATCATCCTCATTTGCCAGGAATTCAACAGCCCAAGTTGATTTCAAAGTCTACAGAATCTTGTTAATATGCTTCCATAGGTATGGTGCTTCAGAAAGTGCTAATCAAATTATCAGATATCGAAACAGTTGTCTTAGCACAAGTATTCTATAATTTCTGCTAGGATGAAATAAAAGTTCCAAAAGACTCAATTTGGGAAGAATATTTTTCTTCAGTTTTGTTTAATTCATACCTATAGGGGTAGTTAATGATAAATTAAAACACTAATTATTATTCTGAGATGAGAAAATGTTGCTTACAAGTTACTACTTAAAAATTCAAGCAACGGCCAAACAGAAAAGAAAAAGACTAGAGGTTAGAGAACAAGTAGCAGTCATAAATACTAAATACGTCTATAAGGCCAGGTGTTGTGGTTCACACCTGTAATCCCAGTGCTTTGGGAGTCTGAGGCAGGAAGATTGCTTGAGGCCAGGGGTTTGAGACCAGCCAGGCCAACATAGAGAGACCCTGTCTCTACAAAACAAACAAAAAATCAAGACTAAATATGTCTATAATGACTCTGGTCTGTAAGTATCAGAATTTTAGGTATTTAGTTCTCATTTTCTCAGCATTGTTAGAGTTTATGCATTTCTATCATGTAACAGCCCCACCATTCCTATTATTGAAGAACTTTCCATTTGAAAATAAAGTGAATGAAATGGCCTTCCTTGATAAGTAAACCCCTAGATTTACTTACGGCAATTGGTGTAACATATTGGAAAATAATTTGGAAATAATAGTATAGATCAACAATTCACAGCTTTCAATCAGCATTCCTACAATTCATAATAAGTAGAGGGAAAATATTCCAAAATTTGTGAAAACATATATGCATGAAAGTATTTGTCTTAGCTTTATGCATAACAGCAAATTAAAATCCTGATAATACAGGAGGTGTTAAGTAGGTTCTCGGGTATTATTAGAGTAAGGTCAGATTACTGAAATTTATAAATATTAATATTTCTCATTATAAGAATACAATAGTAAAATCTAGTTTAAAAGGAATTATTTCACAAATGCCTGTAAACAAACTATGTTAAAAATAAAAACTGCATACCTAAAAGCAAATCCATATGAAATTGGAAATGCAAAATTTTTCTGCAAGTTTTTGTTTTAACTTGATGATTTTAGGGATGACATATTTCTTTTCCACTATAAATATATTTCAAAATACAGGATCTTTATAATTTAAAAACTTTAAAAGTGTTTCCTATATAATATCCTTCTAACTTTCTTGTTTCTTTGCTGAGGCTCTTTAAAGGCTTTTTTGAACATCAAACAGCTGCAGCGTAATGGGTAATGTCAAAGTCAACTAACAGAGAACTGGAAACCTGAAGGCTGTAAACAATTTGAATTCTAGGATGTCAGATTCCAACCTAGAAAATAATTTAAAATAAAAAAATTAAAAAGCTAAATTAGATAACCTTTAAGGTTTTCAACTTGGTCAAATTATATTGAATAATTCCTTCAATAGATTTGGTACGTGCACAACAAATATTAGGTTTTTATTTATTGCACATGGCTCTATTTATTTTATTTTATTCTTTATAGAACCACCTTAAGAAGAGGTTAAAGTAGCCTACTAATTGAAAAAGGAGGGAGTTAAAACTCAAAACTCTGCTTCTCCTGATATGTTCACTCTTATCTCTCATTTCTTTCCAGATTAGTTAGGGTGGGGCTGTAGGGTTGTTATTATTGGCCATGATAGACAAAAGAGTCATGATTATGTTAGCCAAACAATGTATGGCTAGGGAAAAAGGGACATCATTTGTGTTTCCAGAACAGAAAAAGCTATTCTGTAAATAGAGGTGGAGAGAATAGTAACTTGTATTGTTTATTTTAATATCTCTAGTGTCCAACAGAGATTGGAACCTAATATTTGCCAATACATGTTAATAAAATTAGATATGTAACAAAAGGGCAAGCATAGTGCCTGGAACTTTATAGTTATTCTATAAATGTTAACTCTTATTATTGTAAGTAATGAAAGAAAAGTTAAATGTCTAGTACGGGTAAAATATTGCTTACATACTTTATTTGAAATGAACACCACTTCCTCTCTTTCCTGTTTCCATCACTCAGGGCAAATACATTGGTACTTATACAGATATAAAATCAAGGTATGGTTTTTCGACTTCAAATACTATTTTTGAAGTTTTAAAATTTATTCTAGGCTGGGAACAGTGGCTCACGCCTGTAATCTCAGCATCTTAGGAGGCTGAAGCAGGCAGATGACGAGGTCAGGAGTTCGAGACCATTCTGGCGAATATGGTGAAACCCTGTCTCTACTAAAAAAAAAAAAAATACAAACATTAGCTAGGCTTGGTGGCACGCACCTGTAGTCCCAGCTACTCTGGAGGCTGAGGCAGAAGAATCGCTTGAACCCAGGAGACGGAGGTTGCAGTGAGCTGATATCGCACCACTGCACTACAGCCTGGGTGACAGGGTGAGATTTCATCTCAACAATAACAACAAAAAATTATTCTAAGTAGCATTTGTCATATCCCAGACAAGGGAACAGAAAAGTTTTATACATTTTCAGAACTGAAGCTAAGATTTTGAAATATTTGTTAGTATCCTGTGAAATTTGCAAGTCACTGTTCTCAAGTAAGTTCAGGTGCATGGCATGGTGATTGGTAATAATTGTTTTGCTTTCCAAGTACAAATCTTATCACAAAACCTCTAAATTACCTGAGACGGAAAGAGCCCGAAGATGGATATCAAAGCTACATATCCCTCTTTTAGCATCCACGCATACCACCCCACTCCTGAAGTAATCGTCCAAAAAATTATAAAATACCAAAATGTCAAATAATGTGAGGAACAGCAGTTTCACAAAGGATGAGGGTGGTAATGGTAACTGGGATTTATCATTCAAAAGTAAGACAGACTAAGGAGGAAAATATCCTGCATTGGAGATTTAAATTTAGGTCAAGCCAAGTCATGAGTCTTTTGGAGGTAATTCCCAAACCTGTTTCCACAACAAACTCACAAAAAGTACTTGTTAAAAATGCAGATTCCTGAACTTCACCCTGGTGAATTTGATTGAGGTGGTCTGGATTGCAGCCCTAACTTTTGTGATTTTAAAATCTAGCCAAATGATTCTAAAGAAATGGCATTAGAGTGTGGTTTATTAACTCACAGCAGAGCTGATGACTAAACACTTTACCAAGCTAAATGAAGGGATGTGGAGAGAAGCATTCCTAAAGTGATGCATAGAGCTCATTGACCTGGAAGAAACATAAAAAGCACTAGGTCCCAAGCCAAGGGTAATTGGGAAACAGAAATGTATTAAAGGGCTGATCCGGAGACTCCAGGTGCCCAAAGGTTATTGTCTCTTTTTCAAATAGTGCCTAATCTAAGATGAAAATGATGGAATAAATTAGACCACTGTGGGAACTCCTGTTATCATATAAGTACTGCAGATATTTTTTATGTGTCTTACACTATTTTCCTGAAATATGACATTAACAGGGCTAGTTAATTGTCCAAAAGTGTCGTTTTTCTTGGCTCAAATTAAAAGTAATTTATTCTACAAAATAATTAAGACAAGTCTCCTTTAAGAAGCCGGACATATTTGGTTCAAATTTGGGTTCAAGCCCTAGTTACTTGCATGATTTTAATCAAATTATTCAACTATTCTGTTCATGAAGTTCTTCAACTGGAAAATTGTGATAATAATAATGCCTAACTTTTTGGAATGCTTTAAAGATAGGAGATGTAGCATGAAAAATACTCAGCATCTCACCTTGTATAGAGTAGACTCTTATTATTATAGCAACCATTATTAGTCCAATATTTTCTTGATTTTATAATGAAGGATGCATCACTATACATATGTCAAAAATATGTAAGTGCCCATCAGTTTGAACAGTAGGTTTTGCTGCAGTTTCTGCTCTTAGCTCTTGGGGATTATTTATAGGGTAACTATCTGTTCATTCTACTGTTATTTCATTTGAGTATTTATGCAACTTTCACTCCATCATAAAAGTTTATTTAATATATTTTACTACAGTCCATCGTTGAAATAAAAATTTGTATGTGGATAGGAAGAGAACAAAAACAGAGCTATGAGATCAGCTATAACACAAGCATTACAAGCAATGTATGTGTTCTTCCTTGAAGGATGACCACATTTATACTTAATTTGGGGCAATAGCCAAAAGTTTTCTAATATGATAAGACAGATAAAGTTGCACTGTATATGGTCATTGAAAAGATTTTCTATTCACAAAACAGGCTGAGCAATTAAAGGCAGTAGAAACATCCAAGTACCCCAGAATAGACCACAGAATTTTCCTTTTTTTTTTGAGACGGAGTCTCCCTCTGTCACCCAGGCTGGAGTGCAGTGGTGGTGCAATCTCGGCTCACTGCAAGCTCCGCCTCCTGGGTTCACGCCATTCTCCTGCCTCAGCCTCCCGAGTAGCTGGGACTACAGGCGCCTGCCACCACGCCAGGCTAATTTTTTTGTATTTTTAGTAGAGACGGGGTTTCACCGTGTTAGCCAGGATGGTCTCGATCTCCTGACCTCGTGATCCGCCCGTCTCGGCCTCCCAAAGTGCTGGGATTACAGGCATGAGCCACTGCGCCCAGCCAGACCACAGAATTTTCAAAGTTAAGAGAGGTTGATGTAACTTATGTATTATAAAGACTATCGCTCAGGTATCAAATGACAATTTGTCAAAAAAAATCTGCTTTATTTTTAGAAAAAAATCATTTTTCCAGTAATGCTTAATTATGTTGAGGAATCAAGTTATGGCCAAGGAGAATTGCAGATTGTTATATTCCATGTTTTTCTCAAAATAAAGAAATAAAGGTCGTAAATACTTGTTATGAAAACCAATATTTTATATGCATATGAATTAATCATAATTCTCAATGCTTAAAAGTAATATAGAACAACTTATAAATTCTTAATGAGAACACTTAGACTTAAATTGCTAATATAACATAGAAAAAAAGGTACATGATTGTTGGCTAAAAATACTACAGCATGTATTTCTTTTATTCTTCAAAAACTGTTTTTAGAAAAACTGTATTATTATAAGTATAGTACAGATACCTTATTATTAAACACATATTTTATAATAGATAACATCAAGAGTGTCACATCAAAACTTCAATTTCCAAAAAATGCAAAAGATTGTAACAAAAAAAGTATTGTGTAAATCTATCAATCAGGGAAAAATTTAAATTGCTATGCAAAGGAAAACTTGCTACGGCAAGTGTAAAAATTTATCTCAGTGGTTTGTGTTGTTTTGTCTTGGTACTCTGTGTAAGTCATTATTTTTGTTTATTTGAAAAAAATTGCTTAAGAAACCATAGTGGAGTAGAGGATTCAAATTTTAACAAACGGATGTAAAATTAAAAAAAGTGATCAAAAATGAAAAATAACCCTGCAATATTGAGTTTTGAGACTTATAAAGTGATAGTAAGCAGGTGGCTCCTAGTGAGAAGTTAGCAATGGATTTTGAGGTCATACATTTGAATTGAATTGTTCCTTTTCTGAGCTTCACTTGAGTCATTATCCTCAAACCTCATTAGCATTCTTTTCATGCAAAAGTATTGTTTTATAATATTTTGGAGAATAAAAAAGATTCCATGTCCACCTATCAGAAAAAAGTGGAGTTGAGAGAAGCTGGGGAAAGTAACATGCTGAGCAGAAAACAAATCATAATATGGGAGAACCCAGTTAATGGTTAGAAGTGGTATGTGTACTATAATCATTAAAAATATAGTGTCCTGTATTATTTTTATTTTTCTTGTTTGTATGTGGAGGTTGTAATTGCCATTTAGGCAAACAAACTTTTAAAGGCATCTGGTGTGCATTTAATTAACTCTACTGTTCACAATGGGCTGTTCGTGTGAAAGATATATAACGCAGTTATCTAGTCTCTTTTGTTGCATCCTTCCTTTTTGCTTCTCCTACAGAATGTCACATACAATATACCTGTTTATTAGTTAGATACAAAGTTCTTCATTGATAAGCCCAGGGAAAAGTAAATATTAATAAGAATTTAAAGCTTTATTCTATAGTCTTGGAAATATTTCTAATAATTAGAATTATTATTAGAAAAATGTATTAAATCAATGTTTCATATGAAGTGTTTATCTTCAACATGAAATACACTACATATTACCACTATTTGTAACAAGAGCTTTCAAAGACTCTCCTAAATATTCTTTCTAAAAGTATTTCAATGAAATAACTTACTATTTGAGGATTGTTTTAACAACTACAAAACACAGATAACTTAAAGTCTTCATGATTCTATGATATTAAGCAGCACCAATAATTTTGTATCTAATAGGGGCATATTTGCTAAGAATTTGGTAAACAAAATTTTAAATGTCATTTTTTAAAAAATTATACTTTAAGTTCTAGGGTACATGTGCATAACGTGCAGGTTTGTTACATATGTGTACATGTGCCATGGTGGTGTGCTGCACCCATTAACTCGTCATTTACCTTAGGTATATCTCCTACTGCTATTCCTCCCCACTCCCCCCACCCCACAACAGGCCCCAGTGTATGATGTTCCCCTTCCTGTGTCCAAGGGTTCTCATTGTTCAATTCCCACCTATGAGTGAGAACATGTGGTGTTTGGTTTTTTGTCCTTGCGATAGTTTGCTGAGAATGATGGTTTCCAGCTTCATCCATGTCCCTACAAAGGACATGAACTCATCCTTTTTTATGGCTGCATAGTATTCCATGGTGTATATGTGCCACATTTTCTTAATCCAGTCTATCATTGATGGACATTTGGGTTGGTTCCAAGTCTATTGAATAATGCCACAACAAACATATGTGTGCATGTGTCTTTATAGCAGCATGATTTATAATCATTTGGGTACATACCCAGTAATGGAATAGCTGGGTCAAATGGTATTTCTAGTTCTAGATCTTTGAGGAATCGCCACACTGTCTTCCACAATGGTTGAACTAGTTTACAGTCCCACCAACAGTGTAAAAGTGTTCCTATTTCTCCACATCCTCTCCAGCACCTGTTATTTCTTGACTTTTAATGATCGCCATTCTAACTGGTGTGAGATGGTATCTCATTGTGGTTTTGATTTCCATTTCTCTGATGGCCAGTGATGATGAGCATTTTTTCATGTGTTTTTTGGCTGCATAAATGTCTTCTTTTGAGAAGTGTCTGTTCATATCCTTCGCCCACTTGTTGATGGGGTTGTTTGATTTTTTCTTCTAAATTTGTTTGAGTTCATTGTAGATTCTGGATATTAGCCCTTTGTCAGATGAGTAGATTGCAAAAATTTTTTCCCATTCTGTATGTTGCCTGTTCACTCTGATAGTAGTTTCTTTTGCTGTGCAGAAGCTCTTTAGTTTAATTAGATCCCATTTGTCAATTTTGGCTTTTTTGCTATTGTTTTCGGTGTTTTAGACATGAAGTCCTTGCCCATGCCTATGTCCTGGATGGTATTGCCTAGGTTTTCTTCTAGGGTTTTTATGGCTTTAGGTCGAACATTTAAGTCTTTAATCCATCTTGAATTAATTTTTGTATAAGGTGTAAGGAAGGGATCCAGTTTCAGCTTTCTACATATGGCTAGCCAGTTTTCCTAGCACCATTTATTAAATAGGGAATCCTTTCCCCATTTCTTGTTTTTGTCAGGTTTGTCAAAGATCAGATGGTTGTAGATGTGTGGTATTATTTCTGAGGGCTCTGTTCTGTTCCATTTGTCTATATCTCTGTTTTGGTAACAGTACTATGCTGTTTTGGATACTGTAGCCTTGTAGTGTAGTTTGAAGTCAGGTAGCGTGATGCCTCCAGCTTTGTTCTTTTGGCTTAGGATTGACTTGGCAATGCAGGCTCTTTTTTGGTTCCATATGAACTTTAAAGTAGTTTTTTCCAATTCTGTGAAGAAAGTCATTGGTAGCTTGATGGGGATGGCATTGAATCTATAAATTAATTTGGGCAGTATGGCCATTTTCACGACATTGATTCTTCCTACCCATGAGCATGGAATATTCTTCCATTTGTTTGTGTCTTCTTTTATTTCGTTGAGCAGTGTTTTGTAGTTCTCCTTAAGGAGGTCCTTCACATCCTTTTTAAGTTGGATTCCTAGGTATTTTATTCTCTTTGAAACAATTGTGAACGGGAGTTCACTCATGGTTTGGCTCTCTGTTAGTCTGTTATTGGTGTATAAGAATGCTTGTGATTTTTGCACATTGATTTTGTATCCTGAGACTTTGCTGAAGTTGCTTATCAGCTTAGGAGATTTTGGGCTGAGACAATGGGGTTTTCTAGATATATAATCATGTTATCTGCAAACAGGGACAATTTGACTTCCTCTTTTCCTAATTGAATACCCTTTATTTCTTTCTCCTGCCTGATTGCCCTGGCCAGAACTTCCAACGCTATGTTGAATAGGAGTGGTGAGAGAGGGCATCCCTGTCTTGTGCCAGTTTTCAAAGGGAATGCTTCCAGTTTTTACCAATTCAGTATGTTATTGGCTGTGGGTCTGCATAAATAGCTCTTATTATTTTGAGATACGTCCCATCAATACCTAATTTATTGAGAGTTTTTAGCAGGAAGGGCTGTTGAATTTTGTCAAAGGCCTTTTCTGCATCTATTGAGATAATCATGTGGTTCTTGTCTTTGGTTCTGTTTATATGCTGCATTACTTTTATTGATTTGCATATGTTGAACCAGCCTTGCATCCCAGGAATGAAGCCCACTTGATCATGGTAGATAATCTTTTTGATGTGCTGCTGGATTCGGTTTGCCAGTATTTTGTTGAGGATTTTTGCAACGATGTTCATCAGGGATGTTAGTCTAAAATTCTCTTTTTTTTGGTTGTGTCTCTGCCAGACTTTGGTATCAGGATGATGCTGGCCTCATAAAATGAGTTAGGGAGGATTTCCTCTTTTTCTATTGATTGGAATAGTTTCAGAAGAAATGGTACCAGCTCCTCCTTGTACCTCTGGTAGAACTCGGCTGTGAATCCGTCCGGTCCTGGACTTTTTTTGGTTTGTAAGCTATTAATTATTGCCTCAATTTCAGAGCCTGTTATTTGTCTATTCAGAGATTCAACTTCTTCCTGGTTTAGTCTTGGGAGAGTGTATGTGTCCAGGAATTTATCCATTTCTTCTAGATTTTCTAGTTTATTTGCATAGAGGTGTTTATAGTATTCTCTGATGGTAGTTTGTATTTCTGTGGGATCTGTGGTGATATCCCCTTTATCACTTTTTATTGCATCTATTTGATTTTTCTCTCTTTTCTTCTTTATTAGTCTTGCTAGTGGTCTATCAATTTTGTTGATCTTTTCAAAAAACCAGCTCCTGGATTCATTGATTTTTTGAAGCGTTTTTTGTGTCTCTATCTCCTTCAGTTCTGGTCTGATCTTAAGTTATTTCTTGCCTTCTGCTAGCTTTTGAATGTGTTTGTTCTTGTTTCTCTAGTTCTTTTCATTGTGATGCTAGGGTGTCAGTTTTAGATCTTTCCTGCTTTCTCTTGTGGGCATTTAGTGCTATAAACTTCCCTCTACACACTGCTTTAAATGTGTCCCTGAGATTCTGGTATGTGGTGTCTTTGTTCTCGTTGGTTTCAAAAAACATCTTTATTTCTGCCTTCATTTTGTTATGTACCCAGTAGTCATTCAGGAGCAGGTTGTTCAGTTTCCATGTAGTTGAGTGGTTTTGAGTGAGTTTCTTAATCCTGAGTTCTAGTTTGATTGCACTGTGGTCTGATAGTTTGTTACAATTTCTGTTCTTTTACATTTGCTGAGGAGTGCTTTACTTCCAGCTATGTGGTCAATTTTGCAATAAGTGTGATGTGGTGCTGAGAAGAATGTATATTCTGTTGATTTTAGGGGGGAGAGTTCTGTAGATGTCTATTAGGTCTGCTTGGTGCAGAGCTGAGTTTAATTCCTGGATATCCTTGTTAACTTTCTGTCTTGTTGATCTGTCTAATGTTGACAGTGGGGTGTTAAAGTCTCCCGTTATTATTGTGTGGGAGTCTAAGTCTCTTTGTAGGTCTCTAAGGACTTGCTTTATGAATCTGGGTGCTCCTGTATTGGGTGCATATATATTTAGGATAGTTAGCTCTTCTTGTTGAACTGATCCCTTTACCATTATGTAATGGCCTTCTTTGTCTTTTTTGATCTTTGTTGGTTTAAAGTCTGTTTTATCGGAGACTAGGATTGCAGCCCCTGCCTTTTTTGGTTTTCCATTTGCTTAGTAGATCTTCCTCCATCCCTTTATTTTGAGCCTATGTGTGTCTCTGCATGTGAGATGGGTCTCCTCAATACAGCACACTAATGGGTCTTAACTCTTTATCCAATTTGCCAGTCTGTGTCTTTTAATTGGAGCATTTAGCCTATTTACATTTAAGGTTAATATTGTTATGTGTGAATCTGATGCTGTCATTATGATGTTAGCTGGTTATTTTGCTCATTAGTTGATGCAGTTTCTTCCTAGCATCAATGGTCTTTACAATTTGGCATGTTTTTGCAGTGGCTGGTAGCGGTTGTTCCTTTCCATATTTAGTGCTTCCTTCAGGAGCTCTTGTGGGGCAGGCTTGGTGGTGACAAAATGTCTCAGCATTTGCTTGTCTATAAAGTATTTTATTTCTACTTCACTTATTTAGCTTAGTTTGGCTGGATATGAAATTCTGGGTTAAAAATTCTTTTCTTTAAGAATGTTGAATATTGGCCCCCACTCTCTTCTGGCTTGTAGAGTTTCTGCCGAGAGATCCACTGTTAGTCTGATGGGCTTCCCTTTGTGGGTAACCCGACCTTTCTCTCTGGCTGCCCTTAACATTTTTTCCTTCATTTCAACTTTGGTGAATCTGACAAATATGTGTCTTGGACTTGCTCTTCTCGAGGAGTATCTTTGTGGTGTTCTCTGTATTTCCTGAATTTGAATGTTGGCCTGCCTTGATAGGTTGGGGAAGTTCTCCTGGATAATATCCTGCAGATTGCTTTCCAACTTGGTTCCATTCTCCCCGTCACTTTCAGGTACACCAATCAGACGTAGATTTGGTCTTTTCACATAGTCCCATATTTCTTGGAGCCTTTGATCATTTCTTTTTACTCTTTTTTCTCTAAACTTCTCTTCTCACTTCATTTCATTCATTTGATCTTCAATCACTGATACCCTTACTTCCAGTTGATTGAATTGGCTACTGAAGCTTGTGCATTTGTCATGTAGTTCTCATGCCATGGTTTTCAGCTCCATCAGGTCATTTAAGGACTTCTCTACACTAGTTATTCTAGTTAGCCATTCGTCTAATCTTTTTCATGGTTTTTAGCTTCTTTGCGATGTGTTCGAACTTCCTCCTTTAGCTCGGAGAAGTTTGATTGTCTGAAGCCTTCTTCTCTCAACTTGTCAAAGTCATTCTCCTTACAGCTTTGTTCCATTGTTGGCGAGAAGCTTCGTTCCTTTGGAGGGGGAGAGGCACTCTGATTTTTAGAATTTTCAGTTTTTCTGCTCTGTTTTTTCCCCATCTTTGTGGTTTTATCTACCTTTGGTCTTTGATGATGGTGACGTACAGATGGGGTTTTAGTGTGGATGTCCTTTCTGTTTGTTAGTTTTCCTTCTAACAGTCAGGACCCTCAGCTGGAGGTCTGTTGGAGTTTGCTGGAGGTCCACTCCAGACCCTGTTTGCCTGGGTATCAGCAGCAGAGGCTGCAGAACAGCTAATATTGGTGAACAGCAAATGTTGCTGCCTGATCATTCCTCTGGAAGTTTCATCTCAGAGGAGTACCCGGCCGTGTGAGGTGTCAGTCTGCCCCTACTGGGGGGTGCCTCCCAGTTAGGCTACTCGGGGGTCAGTGACCCACTTGAGGAGGCAGTCAGTCCATTCTCAGATCTCAAACTCTATGCTGGGAGAACCACTACTTGCTTCAAAGCTAATAGACAGGGACATTTAAGTCTGCAGAGGTTTCTGCTGCCTTTTGTTTGGCTATGCCCTGCCCCCAGAGGTGGAGTCTACAGAGGCAGGCAGGCCTCCTTGAGCTGCGGTGGGCTCCACCCAGTTTGAGCTTTCTGGCGGCTTTGTTTACCCACTCAAGCCTCAGCAATGGCGGGTGCCCCTCCCCCAGCCTCACTGCTGCCTTGCAGTTTGATCTCAGACTGCTGTGCTAGCAATGAGCGGGGCTCCATGGGCGTGGGAACCTCTTAGCCAGGCGTAGGATATAATCTCCTGGTATGCCGTTTGCTAAGACCATTGGAAAAGCACAGCGTTAGGGTGGGAGTGACCCGATTTTCCAGGTGCCGTCTGTCTCGGCTTTGCTTGGCTAGGAAAGGGAATTCCCTGACCCCTTGCACTTCCAGGGTGAGGTGATGCCTTGCCCTGCTTCAGCTCATGCTTGGTGCGCTGCACCCACTGTCCTGCACCCGCTGTCCGACAAGCCCCAGTAAGATGAACCCAGTACCTCAGTTGGAAATGCAGAAATCACCTGTCTTCTGCCTCACTCATGCTGGGAGCTTTAGAGTGGAGCTGTTCCATCTCGGAACCTCCTAAAATGTCAATTTAACTTAACAACAATCTCCCACCGTGATTTCTTAAAAAGAAAAAACCTGATATAGGAAAAGAAATTTAAATGAAAAAGATAGAAGCAGCAAATTTCCATTCCATTTGGTAATCGTAGGAAATATTAGAACATTTATTACCTATAACACATGAGAGGAGAGCTTCAAGTGGCTTTATTTATATATCAAAAAGAAAGATAACTCCAGAGCCTGAAGAAGATGGAGGTAGTCAGATTATACAAATTTAAAGCAAAACAGTTTTAAAAAGGATCAAATGGCATTTAAATTAAGATGCATTTTAGACATGGATTTTGACCTAATATATGGGGTGAGTTTCCAGAAATCTTGAGAAACATTTATAACATTTTTTAATATCTGTGAATAATCATCAATAACATTTAACCATCTTCCTCTAATATTACTTCACTTTAGTTAAGCTAGAGAGGAGGCAATTTATGACTGAACTTTGGCATGTAAGGAGTTACATTTTGAATATGGTACAGTTGGAAAGAGACTAGATCCTACCTTTATCTTAATGTATAATTTTAAAAGGATTATTTTAGCAATGAACATGTTGGATATACAAGTAATATATCATTCTTAGGTAGAAAATTACATGGCCATTATTTCACACACAAAATAATGAATTGCAATGACTGAGAATGAAGAATCCTCTAATTACTATAAAAATAAAAAATTATCTGCTTATTTTGAACTTAAAATCTTTCAGACTTTTCATACATACACAAAAAAGCAGACTCTCATATCTAATGAAGTTAAAGTATGTGATATGAGTTAAATATTCAAAGCCTGATGCAACGATGTGTCATTACAAACAGACTTAACAGCATTTTGTGAAGGTCTCTGTCACCATGGAAGCTCAGCTGAAACTGGCTCTGCAAGTTTTTGTCTCCACTTTATTGCACCTAATACCACCATTAGCTAGGCTCAGGGGTAGTCACTAATTTAAGCTTTACCCCACTACCTTAAATTTATAATTAGAGCCCATGCTTAGTGTTCATCATTCCTCATAGATACAAATTAAATGAGGCTTGAAGAGTGTCTGCTTTGTCCATGCTAAGTGAGTAACGAGTTTTTATGCATAATGCCAAGGAAATTTTTCTAGGTGGTTAGAACAAGAATACACAAGTCAGGAAAAGAAAACAAGAAAAAAAGATTGATGATAGCTTTCCTAAGCAATCAGTGCTCAATTGTCAAATATGTGAATCACCTGGCTGCTGCTTTCTCCTCATTTTGCCTGCATTTTGAGAGATTTAACAGTTAACTCTGTTAACCAGACATCAGTTATTCAAATTGGCCTTTTCAGAATCTCCTTAGACTCATTACTCTACCAACTACTCATATTCAATGTCTCCAAGATCTGTTAATTTTTGTCATGTATTTCTCAGAAATTCAATCTTTCTTTTATCAGAGTCTTTTTTAAGTTAGGTCTGGGAGGAATTTATAAGTTTATGTACTCCAAATCCATCATGTTACAAGATCAAAAAGAATACCAGACAACTGAAGGTTTTTAGATAGTTCATAGTGAAATTATTACTGAAATTAAGACCTTTGAACTCTCAGAGTGCTTTTTTTCTTCTTCAAGTTGCCTCAAGGAAAGTGGATTCCTCACATTTCTCTGTTAATGCAATACTTACTGTCTTAATTCTGAAAAATAATACACTCAGCTTTAGCTAAATTATAACATTTTCCTTAATTATAATATTCTCTTTCTTAGAAAAAAAAATGCATAGAAAGTATCACATTGCCTAGGAAGAACTTGAGTCTGGAGTTTAATTCTCCTGTAACTCACACCAGGTATCCATAGAAACAACGAAGGGACAGTTGCAATATCCTATTTATCTTTGTTGAACTATCTCTTCATGCTCAGTCACTAGAAAAATGCCTACAATTGACAAATGTTTAATGAACATTGATTGAATTCAAATTCATTAGTCATTTGACAACTAGCAGCACAATTAGAAGATCTGTATCTTTTCATCTGTTTCAACAAACGGTTCACATTTTCCTGTGTATCTCCTACGGGAAAATACCAGTTATTTCCAAAGTAGCAAAAAAGAAATGGATATAAATATTATAAACATTGGGCAATATTTATAGAAGCATTATTCCTTATATAGCATTAATTTTAAAATGTTTCCTTGTTGGTCTGTTGCTTTATTGCAGTGAATATATTTAAATTGCCCATGATTTATAAGCACTGACAGAAATGTACCTCATCTATGTAGAGCCTTCTTAGTGATGTCTTTGCACTACCACAGTGTTTCTTCAGTGAGTGCATTTAGTCACTCCAAACTGGTGATGGAAGTGAAAGATGAGACTTCTTCTTTATGGGAACCACATCAAGTAAATCCTATCATTCATTCATTCATTCACTCAACAAATGTTTGTTGCTAGTGGCTCTCAGTTTTTTCCATCCTTTCATCTTTAAGAGAGGAGTGACACAGGGACATTCCAGAAGTTATCTGTGAAGCTACCCTCTGGAGCATGAGTCACTGTGAGGAGTTGGCCCGCCTGTTTCCCTCACCCTACCCTTGCTACCACTCCCAAGGGACAGCATGGGAGACAGAGTTCACTCAAGGTGACAAATCTTCAAACCAATTTGTTTATTCAGGCTCTCCCAGTAATCCATTATCATAGATAATTAAGAGTTGACTGTACTCTAATTATAACAAAGACATCCTGAGGTTTCGTCTGTAACCTAAAACGCACAACTGAGGATGGGCGAGGAAGCTGAATTTGGATAGACCTGAACTTCAGGTAGCACATTTAGCAAAGAGAGTCAGAGGAGGGAGAGTAGATCATAGTATAATAAATGATATGAAAACAAAAACAATTATGACTAAGAAAACAAAATTATGGGTGGCTGTTAACAGCTCAGCTGTGGGGTCCCCACTGCCTGTGCCATGTGCTGCTTTTACTCTCAGAGTGCTACTTCCTGTTGGGCAGTGAAAGTACCGAAATTACACCTTTTATGTTCAAGCAATGGTTTGTGTAGCAGGTATTCTGCAGAATTTATAGACTGCACAACAAATGTCCTCTGTGTCTATGGGAAGCTAGTCACTTTTGACTGTACAGTGAAACCTTCTGTTGCCTGTGTTGATTAGGAGTTAAAATCCCAAAGTAACTTTCTCATCAACATGACTTGATTTTGATGGAAGCCTCCAGAAACAGAATATGAATGTTTCAATTCTACCAGCTGCATGAGGTCCTGTCCTCAACGGCATTATGCTGCCAAATACATGATAAACACATTCATGACTTGGGTAACTACTTTTTTCAAAATGCTGCACTGAAATTGGGCTGGAGGCTATAAGTGGTCTATTGCTCTGGCTCTAAGCATCACCCTTGGTGGCTTTGGAGCAGACCATTTCCACCTCAACCAGTGGCAAGAAGGCCTTGGCAAGCTCTTCAGCTTCAGTGGCCTGGAAATATAGACACTAATAGACATCTTGCTAATTGGAGTTGGCTACATTGGACCAGCAGATGGCTCTTGATACATTTAGCTTGTGATTATGTGCTTTGAAGAGGAGTAATGTTTAGTAAAAGCCCTTTTGCCTGTAGGAGTTGATGTGGTGTGAGTGATGTATTTGTATATTTTTAATGTGCAGCACTTGTACTTTGATTGTCTTGATGAAGTAAAAAAGAGAAATGAAACATTGAAAAAATTAGAAGAAGAAACAGAATATTCTAAATATTGGAAGAAACACACCTACACAATATTTATAGTATATACAGTAATAATCTCACTTTAATACAGCAGTTTCTTGATGCTTTACAGAAACCTCAAAGTATATTTCATTCATGACATTGGCCAACCATCATAACTCATATGAAAGAAAGTTAAAAACAATTTACCTACATTTTAGTGATGTTGAAACTAAGACACATCAGTTATTTTTCTCCCAGCATTTCCGTATGGTTAAAATTGTAGGCAGAGAATAAGATCCAGTTTTAAACCATATCTGCATTTTGATTTCCAGAAATTATTTTAATTGATTTTTTCCTTTCCTTGTTTTATTTTTTCTTCTCTCTCTCTCTCTCTCTCTGTCTCTGTGTGTGTGTGTGTGTGTGTGTGTGTGTGTGTGTGTGTGTGTTTTAATACTGGAAGTTATTTGGCTCTGTTCTTTCAGCCACAAATTAGAAGCTCCCACAAAAATCCTCCGTAATTTAGACTTACAAAACTTTGATCTGTACTCTGAAGATTTTGTAATTTATTTAGCAAAACCCATTCAACAAATATTTGATGAGCCCTACAATGAATATAATACATGTTAAGTATGTGGTAGTAACAAAAGAAGTATGATTCAAGACGGGGCACAGTCCCTAAGAGCTTGTTGAGGAGGCAAAACACACAACCATAAAAGAGTTGAGTGAAGATGATAAAAAATAACAACACAAATTTTAGAACTATATGGAAGGAAAAATCAGGAAAGGTAGTTAACATTTTTGAGGACTAATATTTAGCTAGGAACTTTGCAATTACTATCGTATTTCAATTTCAAACTCTGAGAGAAAGATGTCATCTCAACCTTACCGGTATAAAAAAACCCAAGCAACCAACCTGAGACCAAAAGAGGATAAGAAAATTTCCCACTATAACAAGATCAGATTTGAAACTAAATCAAAGATCTTATTTTGGTCCCCGATGGACTTGGAAAGTTGAACATAAAGAGAGAGAGAAAAAAAACAGTATAAGCAATGGGATAAAAAGATGAGTGAAGAAGCAAAAGATCTGAGGAGTCTAGACTTGTTAAATGAAACAGGCTTGGGGACAGTGAGAAATAAATATTGCATGAGCTTGTACTTAATTTTAGTAGCTAACAAATTGGCAATAATATGATGAAACTGTTTTCTGAAAATATTATTCTGAAAAGGTATACTGAATAGATACAATTGTAAAAGTCTAAGCAGGAGGCAATATGGCATTAACAGGTCGCTACGGTTGGGGTTATTGAACAAAATATATGAGATGCTCAGTAATATTATCTGTAAGAAAGCATTTGAATATGTCGGTTATAGCGGAGCTAGAAGACAAAAAATAATATAAAATTGTAAATTCATCAGAACTTAGTATGATCACAAACAGATAAAATATTACAGATTCAGATTTGTTGATTTCGAGGCATTGTTTGAATTGAAAAGTCAATTGCTATAAGCAAGAGAAATCCACAGAGCAGTGACTTAAGCCTAGGCTGTTCATTATAATGACTTTAAGAAGATTATAAAGATCCCAATATATATGCTATACCCAGATCAATTAAATCAGGATACTTGGGGGTAAATATAATCATTAATAATTTTAAAAATCTTCCCAGTATGCAGCCACAGTTAAGAAGCAATACCATAGAGCATGAAAATTGAAGGTATGGATATGAATGAGATCAGCAGGTGGTGGAGTATGTAAATACACACTGTAGAATCGTGAATCAGCGAAGTAGACAAACAGGAGACCACAGAGAGGTAGGAAAAACTGAATAATGCAAGATCCTGAGGGCCAAACAAGAAAAGAAGCCAAATAAGCAGGGATACTCAATAGGCCAACTGTTCATACACAATTAGGATGAGAACTGAAAGAGGTTTCAGGTTTGTTGAAAAGGAAGTTAACTGCTGGCTAGAGAATTAACTTTCAGGAATGAGGTGAATATCATATTATAATTAATTGAGAGAATGAGTGTTGAAAAAGGGGAGCTAGTTTGTGCGAACTAGTTTTTGGAAAAGAAGTGGTCTGGGGGCTGAGGAAGAAAGAAATGAATTGAAGTAATTTGATATTTCCTGATTTTTTTACCTATGAGCAGTTAAAACTGAAGGGAAGGAAGTAAGAAATAGAAAAAGATTAAACATGTAATCGAAAGAAGACCAATAAAATAGAGTCCTGGAGAAAGTTAAGGAACAGTGAGATGCAAATGCATACAGAGGATTAGTCCTGGCGAACAGAATAGCGCCATATTCTTGGATAATAAAATGAATTAGGAAGAACGACTTTTTTGTGTTGTTTTGTTTTGTTATTTTTATTTTTTAGTTTTGTTTTATTTTTGACATTGCCTTTTTCACATGTTCTAAGAATGACTTTGAATTCTCTAAAAATTAGAACACATGGTCATTTTCTTAGGGTTTCAAAGTGGGATAAGTACTTTTAGGAGAGTTAAGAAGGTCTGGGATAGTTTATGTGCAAACTTTGGTAATGTTATCAAGAAGACACACACACAAAGATTTCAGAGTAACAGTGAGGGCTCAGTAGGGATGCCTACTTTATTAGCATAGCTTTGAGACTTCTTTCAATAAGGTTCTGCTCTTAGGGAAATCGGGGGTAGGGTGATTGTGAAGTAAGTTTGCTGTGCATATGATTCATATCTGGAAATTGACAAGAAGGAAAGAGTAGAAGCAGGCCCATAGTTTCTGAGAGATTTTATAGGAGTAGTAAGCCTATTATGAAAATAGCCAAGCCTGGAGTTCCAATTGGTTACATTGATACACAAAGCCAAAGTAGGGAAAAGAAAGAGGTGCATGTAAATACTGACTGTGATGACCAGTAATGGGGAATTTGTTCAATCAAGTAAAAAAGTGAAAGAAGTAAGATAAAAAATGTAATAAAAGAGAAATATTTCATAATTTATGCTTATACAATGTAAGTTAATGTCAAAATACCTTGGAGACTAAGAAGTAGGGGCCACGAAGGTCACTAAATTTAAAGACTTTAAGACAGGTGATGCTGTGATATTAAAATATCTGCATAGGCTGGGCGCTCACACCTGTAATCCTAGCCTTTGAGAAGCCAAGGCGGGTGGATTGCCTGATCTCAGGAGTTTGAGAAAAGCCTGGGCAACACAGTGAAACCCTGTCTCTACTAAAACACAAAAAATTAGCCAGGTGTGGTGGCATGCACCTGTAGTCGCAGCTACTCGGGAGGCTGAGGCAGGAGAATTGCTTGAACCCAGGAGGCAGAGGTTGCAGTGAGCCGAGATCACGCCACTGCACTCCAGCCTGGGCAACAGAGTGAGACTCCGTCTCAAGAAAAAAAAAATCTACATAAAGGGTTACAGTCTAGTCTATATATAGAATCTACTACAATAAACAACATACAATGCATTCAAGGAAAATATTTTGATATTTTTACACTAGCATTTGCCAGGAATTGTTCACTGAAATATTAGTCAGCTCTTTCAACAAACAGAGTAAAGCATGTCCATGGCCAACAATTTTGGGAAATATTGTATCCTACTCTTAGGGAAACAGGAGCCTAGGATAGCCAAGGTGACACCATTTTAGAATCAACTAAATCTTAAAGACTAGCAAGATGCATTATTTGCCAGTCTTAACCCATGGTCCTAAGATGCTTATAGTTGAGGAAACAGCCTAAATATACCTACAAGGACACACTCCTACAATGGCAAAAAGTCCAGATGTCCCAATACCCATAACAATATGTGCTTTTAAGATATTTATAGTTATGCTTTGATGTACTTACACACTAAAATGTCAAAGATAGTTTTCTTTAAATCAATAGAATAATAAATACTGTCATGCTGTCAGCCCAACTGCATGTAGTCACAGCTTAGTTTAGTCTTTACATAGACAAGACCACAACAGAAGAAAAACTTAAAGCCAATGTGTTTCTTTGCCTGCTTTGTGAGGACACCCTACTCTGTAATGGGTGTCCTCAGAAAGGGGATGCCCGTTAAACTAGCAATACAATGTCTCTTCTCACTGCACTCTGTGACTCTATTTGAATTCTTTCCTATGTGGGATCCAAGAACTTTCTCTTGGGGTCTGGATGAAGACCAGTTTTTCTGGTAACACTACCACCTAGTATTGGATATTTACAATGAACATTAGTAGATTACAGATCTGAGAGGGTCTAATGTCAGAATACACGCAAATAAATACACAATAACAAACTACCGCAACAAAACCTGCTTCACTCAAGCTAAGTATGTCCAAACTTACTGGGTTACTGAACTTCTTTTTTCTGTTACACCTAAAAGATCCACTAAAATAGCATTTTATAGAACATATTTGGAAAGTGACTTTCCTAGTTTGAATTTAATTGTAGTTTTAGCAATTATTGTCTTAGATTAATTAGGAAGTAATTAAATTAATCTATTATATTTTATTTTCTTCTGCCTTTATTGGTTTAAGTAGTCAGCTATCTATTTTTCCTTTAATTCACTAGACAAATGTCAATTTCCTTTATATTTAATTGTACATGAGTTGAAGCACGTATTTATGTACTGGTATTAGAAGAATATACAGACACTTGTATTTTAAAAAAATATGAGAGCATCATGGATAATTAGTCTTTGCCTTAAAATATTAATAGATACAATATGAGAGAGGATATCATAGTAACAAGAATTCAGAAAAAAAAATGTTAACAGGTCCATCAACCATGCACTTTTTTCTATGCAACCACATACACACTCACACACACAGACACACACAATATAGTAGACACACACAATACATGAGATATAATGCATGTGCATACACTGATTTTTGTAATATATTATATGAAAAATGTAGACCATATATCAGAATGTTAATGAAGGTATTTTACGTAGAAATTGGTTTCATTTGGCCTGATTAAGTATTCTAACTTTTCAAATGTTACAATAATTAAATGGAAAGCTATTAGAATGAGGAAGCTCTAACACTCTGTGTTCCTTCGCTGTCTGCTGAAATAAACTCCTAAAAACTTTAATTTGCCAAAGTTTATCTTTAACACTACAATTATCATCTTAAAACCACAAGGATTATTTTAAAAAATCAATTTGACCACATGTTCCACTGAGAAGGGAGTTCAGTCCTGGCTTAGAAAGGCTGCTTCATATTTTCATAGGTAATTATAGACAACTGCAACACAAATGTGAGTCTGTCCCATCTGCAGGCCCACACACAGGCTAAGAGGTAAGCTAGTTGGTGTTATATATAAAATGGTGTGGCCTCAAATCTGTAGATATGCAAAAATATATGATTAAAAATGAGTTTGGAAAAGAGAAAATGTTTTTATAGACAAGTATTCAATTTACTTCCAAACAATTTGAGAAGCAAATATTCATTTCAAATGAATAATAATTCAAATGTAGGCTAAAGTTTCTTAAAAGAATAATTTGAGATCAGGTATCCTGCTAGGCTGAACAATATAAAATCACTGCTACTAAACCATTAGTTTTCACTTAGCTCCAACTAAAACTTAAATGTGCATGAAATCAGGATGCTAATCATTTACAATAGAATGTATCATTAGTTCCTGTGTAGAAAATAACTTAAAACAAGAAAATAAATATTTTTGTTGTTTAGGATTGCAAACATCATTCTCTTGTTTTCCCTTTCTTGTTTTCTTATATCTAATGGTAAAGAGTTCCAAGGACAAACAATAGTTTGAACTGTGTCATACTGAAGACGCATAATTAAGCTCTATTTGTAGTTATACACAGAGATATATCCTGCTGAGTGATAGGGGAAAGAAATACAGTGGTTTTCTTTCACAAATCTAATGAAATGAAGGGCTGGGCCAGGTTACAGTAAACACTTAATTACATAGAGATTTTATGCAATTCACCAATCGCAGCAAAGGGGATAGTAATTGCTTTCTTTCTAAGGTGAAATTATCTTGAAATAATTACTCTCTATTTTCAATCCCAACCTGATGAAAACTGAACATGCTTTACTTGTTTCCGATTTTCTTTTCCTTGTCAAGATATTGATCACCCACTCCTTTTCAAGGAAGTGTAGAATCAGAAATTCTAGCATAATGATGCTGGTTTTGTGGCTTCTAAATTCAATTAGCTTTAGCTATAGCCAACTCTTTTCCCATAACAAAAGCCCCTCTTGAGTTCCTTGTTTTTACAAATGATCTATTATTGTGTCGTAACACAAATCTGCTAAATTAAATTTGCTGAAGTATAATAGCAATCCCTAAAGCCTTGATTATCTTTGGCATTTTTTTTATTTTTTAAAAAATTGGTATACAAGGTCTTAGATAAATAAAGAAAAAGGAAAAGTTAGTATATCACTGTGGGAAAAAATTCCAGTTCATCAAAGGAAAACAATAGTGAGTCACAAAGAAAAAAAAAATTGGCCATAAAATTAGGTGACAGATTGTGTGGGCAAAGAGTAATCTCAGGGATGTGACCAAAACAAAAATGAACAGAATAAACTATCAAAAAGGCTCTACAACAGATAGCAAATGGAAAGTTCCACAGATAAGCAATTTATTTTAGAAACAATAAAATACTATGTGGGAAGACAATTGAGCATAATAGACAAACCAAAGCATATTTAACCTTTGCATATAATAGATTCTGGGATTTTTAAAACAACTTATATTAAGAAAAAATGAAAAAGTTTTTTTTTTTTTTTTTTTTTGAGACAGTGTCTCGCTCTGTCACCTAGGCTGAGCGCAGTGGCGCGATCTCGGCTCACTGCAAGCTCTGCCTCCGGGTTCACGCCATTCTCCTGCCTCAGCCTCCTGAGTAGCTGGGACTACAGGCGCCCGCCACCGCGCCCGGCTTATTTTTTTGTATTTTTAGTAGAGACAGGGTTTCACCGTGTTAGCCAGGGTGGTCTCAATCTCCTGACCTCGTGATCCACCTGCCTCGGCCTCCCAAAGTGCTGGGATTACAGGTGTGAGCCACAGCACCCAGCCAAAAGAATGAAAAAGCTTTAAGGTGCTTTGATTGTTCCCAGATCTGGGTGATGATACCTTTCACGATTAAGAAAAAAATATTTTGGAAGAAAAAATCCTATGCTAATGATAAATTTCTACATTTATCATTAAAAAAGAACAAGAATTTTTACCTTTGAAGTTCTATGTGCAGATAAATATATGCAAAATTACCTTGTCTGTATTAGTGATCTATTGCAGCATAGCAATTTATCCCAAGACTTGGCAGCCTAAAACAATGCAAATTTATTTTTTTAGCTGTTTTTGTGGAACAGAAACCTAGCAACAGCTTAGTTAAGTTCTCTCCTTTAAAAGTTCTCACAAGTTTGTAATCAAGATGTTGGCTAGGGCTGTGGTCTAATATGAAGAGTCAAATTAGCAAGAATACACTCTCAAACTCACAAACCTGGAAGAAAAATAAATAAATGTCATATTTACATCAAATCACACATTTAACCCCAATGTTAGAATATATAAAATTTACTTAGAATAAAATCCACGAATTCTGAAATGAAAATGATTGAAGTAATGACAACAGTTAGAAATGATTATAAATATATTTAAATGCTGCAGTATGGAAATAAATACTGCTATTCTATTTTTTAATTCATTTATTCTTTTATCCAGTAAATATTTTTGAGCACCCACTTGCTTCTGAGGATATGGTAGTAAACAAAACAGACAATATCCCTGGCCCAATGTAGCTTATATTATAGTGAATGGAGACAGAAAATAGGCAAATAAGAATTCAATGTGTTAGCTGGTGATATTTGCTCTAAGAAAGCAAAGTATGTTACAGGAGTATAACTAATTTTATATAGGATACCCTCTCAAGGTCCCTCTGAAGAAGCGACATTTGTGCAGATATCTGAAGGAAGTAAATAAGCAACATCTGTAAATAATGGCACAGAGCATTTGAGACAAAGAGAAGAAAAAGCATATGCCCTTATCCGTGGGCATGAATGATGTGCTCACAGAATAGTCACGCAAAGTGGGTGGCTGGGAACATGGTTAGAGTGATTTAGTAATTGGAACTCTGAGAGATAACCTTGGGCTAGAGTGTGTAGGAAGAAACTATAAAGACATAGGGGAGGCCGGGCGCGGTGGCTCACGCCTGTAATCCCAGCACTTTGGGAGGCTGAGGTGGGCAGATCACGAAGTTAAGAGATGGAGACCATCCTGGCCAACATGGTGAAACCCCGTCTCTACTAAAAATACAAAAATTAGCTGGGTGTGGTGGCAGGCACCTGTAGTCCCAGCTCCTCAGGAGGCTGAGGCAGGAGAATCGCTTGAACCCAGGAGGTGGAGGTTGCAGTGAGCTGAGATGGCGCCACTGCAAACCAGCCTGGTGACACAGCAAGACTCTGTCAAAAAAAAAAAAAAAAAAAAAAAAAAAGACATAGAGGAGGCAAAATCTAAGTTATATTTTACTAGCATTCCTCTGGAAAATATGTGTAATACAGAAAGTGGAGGTGGGGTGTCCAAGACAGTAAAACACCAAGAGTTTTACTAGTTAAGACTCTACTGAACTACCTACTGAAATGATCCAGGTATCCAGTAAAAGATGATAGAGGCTGAATGAAGGTGACAGCAGTGGAGATGATAAGTGATCCAATTTGTGGTATACTTTTATGTTATGGTGAATTTTTTCCTGAAAAAATAGATGTGGTGAATGAGTACAATAAAGGTGTTTTATGCAGATACGAAATTGATTAAATAAATCCCTAACTTTGCTTTGATGGAATTTTTGTATAAACAGCTTGTATAAGTCTGCTTTTCATGCTGCCAGTAAAGACATAACTCAGACTGGGAAGAAAAAGGGGTTTAAGGGCTTACAGTTCCACATGGCTGGGGAGGCCTCACAATCATGGCAGAAGGCAAGGAGGGGCAAGTCACATCTTACATGGATGGTGCCAGGCAAAGAGAGAGAGAGAGCTTGTGCTGGGGAATTCCTCTTTATAAAACCATCAGATCTTGTGAGACTTACTATCACGAGAACAGTATAAGGAAGACCTGCCCCCGTGATTCAATGACCTCCCACTGGGTCACTCCCATGACGAGGGAATTGTGGGAGTTACATTTCAAGATGAGGTTTAAATGGCGACACAGCCAAACCATATCACAGCTTAATATTAATTTTTTTAAAGAAAATAATATTTTTATTAAAAAGAAAAGTGTATATTGCCTTCTAAAATCTCACATGCTGTTTATCTGATTTAGAATTATTTACAACTTTCAGACTAAAATATATATGCATATTTCTGAAAGATTTCATTTCTCATGAAGTGTTCTGTGAGATGTCTATTTCAGAGATGTTTTGTAAGGTTGATTCACATCAATTTTTACTGTTTACTTTTACTATAGGAAACATCTTTAAAAAGTTTCGATGGGTGGTGCTTATAGTATATACTTAGGGCAAATGTCAAAAGCTTAAGAATCAATTAAGTGTCCTGGAGCATCAACTTGACATGTTCACTCTATTCTTTACTATTGATTTACTGCCTGTTGGAAAAAGATAAATTCATAAAAGGAAAATAAATATATTTTTATAATGATTAGAGTTTTAATTCCTGGAAGCTTCATCAGTTAGTGCAGAAACAACAAATATAAAGGAAGCTATACATAATTGAAAGCAATCACACTAATAAAGATGAGTAAGTAATTGTATCTAATTTAACTCATGGAATTACTTTTTAAAAATTTTTCTTTTTAACTATTGTAGTGTAATTACACTTACACTAAATTTAAGGTTGAGAAAATTCACAATCAACCATATGATCTTGGTGATGTTTCATCACTTCAAACCTGTATCTTTTATCTGCAAAAGGATAACATTGGGGTATATGACAAGTGAGGCCAAATAATATAATTAATCAATTTTATTATGAAAAACCCCAAAAGTTAATTTATAAAAATGTATTGATTCAAAATTCATAACTGCACATAATGAAGTTTCATTTGCTTTATTTTTAAAGCTTGCTAAGTTAGGCTTTTGTTAACGTATTTATTCAACAATTATATATTTTTATTGTGCTAATATTTTGCAGAATCAGATATGAAGTCCCACCCATTGCCCCCCAAAAGTCCTCAGTTTTATTCAGGGAATATGTGAGAAAATAAATAAATTCATTACAGTAGACTATGAGAGTACTCTAATAGCATGTGGTCAAGTGTGGGTATTTTTATTAGTCAGGACTTTGTAGTTGCCAGTGACAGAAATCCAACTATTAATAACTTACTTATGCAAAAGCGGAGCTACATTGGAAGGATAACAAAGAAGCTCTCATAATCAATGGAAATTCTATAGGAAAGTAGCCATCTCTGAGGACCTCGGGGTTTGTAAAAGAAATTAAACTCTGCCAACACTACTTTTCTACCTGTCTTTTCTCTTTACTTGGCATCATTCATTCTCCTACTGACAGGCTGTCTCAAATGATAGAGACTATAGCCACTAACTTACCCAGGCTCACATGTTTCTTGCTCTATGTGCCAGGAAGAACAGAGAGTTTCCATGTTGGTACAATAAGAAAAATCTCAGAAAGGGATTCTCGTTGGACGGGCTACAACAGTCCTAGACCAATATCAATTGCCACAGCAGTGGGTACACTGTGACTTTCCTCCTACACATATGTCCTCCTACTTCTTGTGGGAGGTCAGGAAAGAGGTCTGAATGGAAAACAGCAGTAACAAAACACTAATTAACCCAGTAGCTAACCCAGAATATGGAAATTCAGTGGTAGAAGTATTTGAATCTCATCTAAAAGAATGAAGAGTAGGAGGAAGAAAGGCACATTTTAGACTATGGGAATAACGTATAAAGGCATGGAAACATGAGAACATGTTAACTCTAGAGTTCAGGACAACAGTTGTGTAGGCTGCAGTGACGAAGTGGGGTGCTGGTAGGGGGTAGTAAGAAACAAAGTTGGAAACGGGTTGGGTCACATTACGCAGGGACTTTAGTTTCATGTTAAGGTTTTGGAATTTCCTGACTTTGATGCAAGATGATTGAGAAAGAAGGCCAGGAAGCAATTCGACAAAACTGGTTGAATCTTGAATTGAGATAATCGAAAGAGGGAGCTAGAGAGGAAATGAAGAGAGATTTTGCAGTATAATAATTTGAAAGGAAAGGTAAAGTCTAGAATGAATCTCCAGATTGCCATTCACATTGAAAAAATGGTACTATTGGTAATGAGAGATAGAACACCAGAGGAGGAAATTTAACTGACTTCAGAAAGCACACTTTTTAAAGACTTTAGAATAAGAAATTTCCTTAGAAATTTGGACTGCCTTGAGACTTCAACTTGGACAGTATGGTCAGTTCTAGTACTTATATTTTTTGCTTCTGTATCACTCACATTTTAAATTATTTTTTACTGAATATATCCTTGATTGGTTTGGTTTCATATAATGGGATTCCAAATGGAAGTATTTCAACCTGTGAGTTTTATTATTTAAAGCCTTAGAACAAGGGGAAGGGTATGAAATGTAAATCAAAAGCTTAATTAGTTGATTCTATTATGGGATTGCCTATGTATGAGTTGTTGTGTGACCTATGAAAGATAAATTTGTTATTTTTTAATTGAGTCATTTTTTCTGTAAAAGGAAAATTTATCTTCAAAATTCAGACATATTTTGAGTATTTGCTTGGAGGCAGGCTGAGAACTGAGACTGTGAGCCAAAACTACACTGAAAGTAGCCCCATAGAATTGTACTCTAAAAACAGCCTATGGAAAAGAAAAAAAAGAAAGAAAATAAAAATCCGACCTTTAATTGCTCTCTGCTTGTATGCTCCTGGAGGGTTGGAGTTTGGTGGATATTACCATCTTTCTCAACAAGTTCTCTTTCTGACATATTCAAATTAGTCGTCAGTCACCCAAATTTTTTGTCTCTGCCTAGGCTTATGCTTAAACTTTATTTAAAAGCTTTCCCCCACAGAAAGATGGTGTGGACACCTAGAACAGGAATAAACAATAATATGAACTCACATCTACACAGTCCATATTATGAACCAGGCACCGTCTTTAGCACTTTGTACATACCCAATCTTTTCACCATCACAGCAATGATATGGGATTGGTTTTTTATTTACTTTTGTCATTTGTTGTGTGAAGGTAAGCATTATAAGGTAGGTATTATAAGTTATTTGTCCAAAGTCTTAAAGGCAGTGAGTGATAAAGTTGAGGTCTGAACATAAGTAGCTGCTTCTAGAATCTGTGTCTAACCACTATGGAATTCTTCATCTTGACAGGCAAGAGAGTTTGATGTCACTGGGTTTCTGCAGGACTGGGGAAGGTTGGGCAGTAAGGTGCCCAGTGTCTTCGATTGATGGTACATTATTTCTCACCTGCTGCATTTATTTCTGAAAGGCTCTACCCCAGGAAAGAAGACATATTTAAATGTACTCTTATAAAGAACTATTTGGTCACAGTCTTCCTACTTCAGATTATTTTTACTGTATGTTATCAATTTAATCCAATGACAGGCAATGATATTTGAGGAAACCTTAAATATTAGAATTCTGGATAACTTCCTAGGAACAATGGTACTATGTATTACATAATTGTTTGTTGAAAATATATGTTGACAGTGAAATATTTACAAATAAAACATTTATGCTAACCCAGATTATTCCAGTCTTTTGTCAGAAATGAATTAGTTGATATGTTTTCATTTGTTATTATTATCATAACAGGGATATTCTCTGTTGTGGGGAATGTATTTATTATTTATGCAAAAGCTCTGTTTTCAAAACCAGTCTAACCAAACATAACGTGGGTCTAATGAACACTGTGTACATAGACAGGTCCCACTTGGTTTCTTTGCTTTTCTTTCCATGTTGTTTTATGATGTTGACTGGGAACCTTTAAATGTTGGTTTATTCTGTTTTGTCACCATATAAATACATTTAAATACCAATAGATTGGACATATTTTAATTATGTTATTCAATAAAGCATGCAGTTGATTCAAATTAGGCTGTCATATTGAATTATTATCTTGCATTACCTGATAACCATTATTGCCAATGTGCATATTATATGACAAATGCCACTACTTGATATTTTTCCAAATGCATATTATTCAGCTACCACACATTTGCAGGGTTCCTATTACATAGCTTCCAGTGAACAGAATTACTGATGCTAATTTCCACGTAATATGATTTAAAGGTAGCACAGATTTCAAAGGAATTCAAAATAAATTAGGATATGTATTCATCATTTAATTATATTACATTATATATTACATTCATGTATTAAGCAAGCTTTACATTTTTCTTATTATCCAATTATAGGTTATTTTAGAGCATAGAACAAAGTTATAGGAGAATACTCTAATTCTTTGAACTGTGAAAGTAAAAAGGGGCTTTAAAAAATGGGTTTTGTTTTGTTTTGGTTTTGGTTGTTGATTGGGTTAAGTACAAATAACTTAAAAATCCAAAAAGTTAGATCTTCTTGTACATAAATAAGAGAGGGTAAATACAATTCTATTTACATGTAATCTAGACAATATTACCAAAAAAATAAGTGAGGGGAGATGAGTTCATACCTCATAAGCTGGAATACAATTGTAAGAGATCTTGAAAGACTGTATTGTCCATTGCGGCCTTTGCATGTTTTTGTCCCCCTCCTTTCTCAACTGTTCCTTCCCACTTAATTTATACATGAGTCAATGCCTAACTCTTCCTCCTCACCTTTGTTACATTTGAATTGATCAATAAACAGCTACAAATTCACATAACAATTTCACCCTCTTCTCAGAATTGATATTGACCAACTATTTCCCAATTAGCTGAATTTTGTATAATCCCTTTTGCTAAAGCTTTATAAAATTCCTCCTTCCTTCTCCAAGACAAAACACTCCTAGTGAGCATCCTTGTTCCTGGCATTTTCAAATAAAGGCTTAGGCTAATGGTACTCTGATTTTTTTCCACAAAACGGACAGAAAATTGAACAATATGTTCGCCTAACAGTGTTGTAGGAACAAAATGACTTTCTATTGATATTGCTACCAATTAGTAAGTTCATCAAGAACAAGGAGGTCTTCCAGTGGAAATGGAGTGATGTCTAATTCAACAAAATTAACTTAGAAATGTTCATTGAAATGAATACAGCATTGGAATCTTTACTTACCTGGGGGCATGGTTGCTCTCAAAAGGCAGGGTAAGAAAAGTACAGAAATTAAAATACATAAATGAATAAAGATGAATTGTTGAAATTGATCAAAATCGGGACCGCTTTGCTTTTCTCATTGGGATCTGTTTTTTTTTTATTTGGAATAATTATAATAATTGAACAACATGTGGAAAACATTGTTAATCAGGTCTCTCAGTTACAAGTGACAAAAGCCTACCTACTCAAACTACATGAAGCAAATATGATTGCGTCTGTGAAGTTGTTAGTTGAAACTTGTTATATATGTTCGTCAGCTATTCCTGGGTGAATTGGAGAACATTTAAAATTCTGCTTACTTTTGGCCGGGCGCGGTGGCTCACGCCTGTAATTCCAGCACTTTGGGAGGCTGAGGCGGGTGGATCACCTGAGGACAGGAGTTTGAGACCAGCCTGGCCAACATGGCGAAACCCCGTCTCTACCAAAAATACAAAAATTAGCCGGTCGTGGTGGCAAGCGCCTGTAATCCCAGCTACTTGGGAGGCTGAGGTGGGAGAATCGCTTGAACCTGGAAGGTGGTGGTTGCAGTGAGCCGAGATCGTGCCAGTGCACTCCAGCCTGGGTGACAGAGCGAGACTCCACCTCAAAAAATAAATAAATAAATTCTGCTTACTTTTGTTGGGGAGCTCGAAAGTACCAGAATCAAATATGAATACTTTGCTAAATGGCGTAGTGCATATCTCTTGATTTTGTCTGCCCTTGAAACCTCCGTCTTTGGCAACTATTTACATTTCTATTTCTTGCAGTAACTGTGGACCTGTCAACCATAACATCCCAGTCACTCCCAGATTTAGGAGAAGGCTTATGTTTTAGACCTTATCAATCAGACTGTCTCACTGTCCTGTCTAGTGATTGGGTTCCAGGATGGGCACATAATTTAAACTAGGCTGAGACATTCTTTCTATGCTAGGAAGGTGAAAAGTTATTTTCTTGCTGTTGGGTTCCCATTGCAGGAAGGAGTTTAAGAACTCTCACCACCCTTCCCCACCACATGAATGAAACCTTTCTATAGTAGCAGAGAATGTGGCCAAAACACAAAGAGAAGCAGGACAAGTACACTTCTAAGAATAGAACATGAGCGCCAGATCCACTCTTATGCCTATGTTACTTCCACACCTGTCCTCAGTTTTTGTGAAATTGACCCTTTTCTTTTCAATTTCTCTACTTTGAGTTAGGTTTCTATCAAGTAAATGTTAAAGAAGTTTAATACACATAAGATTACCTGGAACATTTTTCACCATTACTTTAGTAGTCCAGTATATAATTCTTTAGCAGTACGTTTGGTGATAATAATAACAATATTAATACCAATATGAAAGATGTCTGGCATTGTGGGTACATGTGAAAGTGGGTGGAACTACACACACTGTGACAGATTTACAAAACACTAGAATCAAAATAAGATAATTTTTGTATGGATATATAGCCAATACATTCTTATGACTGCCTTGTCTATTCACAAAATATCGATTTGTCTTTCTGTTATTTATTAAATTATTGCAATATTTAAAATATTGCAATTAATCTACTTGGAAAATCCAAGGAAAATAAGCTTGAATAATGTTTGGTTATTTTGGTAGAGACGGTGACTGCACTCCTTTCAATGTCTTTTTGATACATTTGTCTTTCCCAAACTCCTGTCCTTAATTGAGATCTTTTTAAAAGTCTATTACACGGTGTGCCCTACTCATTTAAATTGACTTACAAAATACAGACTCTCAGCCAGAATGCATGTGTGGTGATTTGTTTATCAATGATATATGGGACTGTTATCTTTGGAGTGCTAATTTAGTAGTCCATCCCATCTCACAGTGCCTTCAGGATTCCATAGAGCTCTCTCACAAACAAAAGCAATTACAAACATATTTCTTCACTATTGACATACTGTATTGACGTAAGGATAGCTGACGCTGTGCCTCAATCAAGGACATCTTGCAAAATCAGGCTGTGTAGAGGCTGATTAACAATACAGCTTGTCTTTGTAGGATTTTATAGGGCATCATTCTGTAGTGTTCTTTGAGGGTTGACTCAGTTCTGACTTTATACTTTCTTATAAACAAATCAATATTTTCCATTGTAATGATCTCAGCAATAATGATCTGTATCCTACAGAACATAGTAAATCATTTATATGACATACTTTGTTCTAGAGCTATTTAACACCTTTCTTCTCCGTGGTACATCCTGTTTTTCAAAAACACCTCACTCTTTATTTGCAAAAAGAGGAGCAAAACAATTTTAATGCAACCAAGAAATTTTTACTAGAAACTAGTTATTATATAGAGAAAATGTTTTTAAAATTTTTATTTTATTAATAATGATTCTATTTCACATCTTCAGACTTCAGTTCATGGTTTCTGTTTTGCTTTGTTTTGTTTTTATGAGACAGGTTTTCACTCTGTCTCCCAGGGGGCTCACCTCCACCTCCCAGGTTCAGGTGATTCTTTTGCCTCAGCCGTCTGAGCTGCTGAGATTACAGGTGTGCACCACCACCCTCAGCTAATTTTTGTGTTCTTAGTAGAGACTGGGTTTCACCATGTTAGCCATGGCTGGTCTCAAACTCCTGGCTTCAAGAGACCTGCCCACCTTGGCCCTGGAAAGTGCTGGGATTATAGGCGTGAGGGGCCAATTTATTTTTTTTATTTAGACTAAAATTGAAAACAAAGCAAGTGCAAATTTTTATTGATTTCACCAAGTATTCTCTTTATTTCTCTCTTTCTTTTTCTCTTTTTCCCTTCCTCCCCCTCCCTCCCTTCCTCCTTCCTTTTATTCTTCCTTTTTTGTCCCTTTGTTTCATTATCTCCTCCTCTCTTTCCTTCTTTCATACCTTTGCTCACTTACTTTTGAAAATAGTCATGTCCCAAAGCAAAGAAGAATTCCAATGTTGTCATTTCGATGAACATTTATAAATAACTTTTTGATAAATTAAAGACTGTGACTCCATTTCTACTACAAGACCTCATTGTTCTTGATCAGGTTCCTAATTTGTAACAACAGAAATGGAAAGTCATCTTGGTGCTTCATTTTATGTTTAGATGTTTCTTATTTAAGAGTTGTAATTCTGCAATCAGCACTCTGGCTTAGCCCATGCAAAACAAGACTCCTAGTGGGCTGAAGGTGAGGAAGGTGGGTAATTTGACTTTGACAGCTGTTTACATATCCACAAGATGACACAGGTGAATGTAGGCTGTGATGTGCTAGTAAAAACCAAACAAAAGCCTGGTTTGTAGCAGTTCTTGATTTCTGTGGTGTAAAATATACCCACCGTGGCCAATTTCTAACTATCAAGCTAATGTCACAGAACACAGAGTTGAGAATAGATGCTGAGAATTAACTCTCAGAATCCAGCATGAGCTTGCTCCAGAAAGTCACTAAATAAGGGCCATGAAGGGAGGAACTGCATAGTAACTACTGGCCTCTCTGCTTCCTTTATGGTAGACCACATTCTATTCAATGGAAAACTGAAAGAGATATTTACAAAAATCAGTACCAACGTCAAAGGGAAGAGACAGACAGAAACAAGGTCTTCTTTCACAAGCAACCCTGAGGACTTGATGCTTTCATACTCTCAAACTTGAAAAATACTAAATATGTCACCATCTTCAAATATAACTTGAAGTAATTAAATTTTACCTGAAGTAATAGATTCAGAATATATTCCCAAAAGTACATAACAGCTTCCAGACTGACTATGACTTAAGAATCAATGAAGACAGAAAAATAATTAGTAAAGTTCACTTAATAATTACTTTCTTTAGAAATGGCATAATTTGCAATGAGCCTGGTAGTTTCATCTTTAAAAATAAAGAAAAACAAAGAAGGGAAATATTAAGAAGAAGTTTAAGAATAAAATTATAAGAAGTTGAAGCATAGAGTTCAAATAAATTAAAAGACAATTATCTTTGACCTTTACTAATCAATGGAAAGGTTCTTCAATAAATTGTATCAAAGTTTACCTGTATTTCTCAAAAAGTGGTTCATGAACCATCTGTAGCTATGATGATAGTTGCATATAGAAACTTTTGAAACATGCTCTGCCCTGTTGAATAAGAGTATCTCTTTTTGAGAACTTAAAATCTGTCTCTTTTATAAACTTTCTATATGAATATTAGGCATTCTGAATTTTGAAAACCTCTACAATCACTATAAAGTGTTAGAATTATAACACATATCTGTAACTCATTTTTTAAAATTATACTTTAAGTTCTAGGGTACATGTGCACAACGTGCAGTTTTGTTACATTTGTATACATGTGCCATGTCATATCTGTAACTCATTTTTTATCCTAGCAGTATGATAGCAGGTATATTATTTACTTACTGAAAGAATCGTGCTTTTATTTGGCTAAAACTGAGTTAAAAATAATTGCACTGAAGTTGGCAGGGCACAGTGGCTCACGCCTGTAATCCCAGCACTATGGGAGGCCGACGAGGGTGGATGACGAGGTCAGGAGATCGAGACCATCCTGGCTAACACGGTGAAACCCCGTCTCCACTAAAAACACAAAAAATTAGCCGGGTGTGGTGGTGGGCGCCTGTAGTGCCAGCTACTTAGGAGGCTGAGGCAGGAGAATGACGTGAACCTGGGAGGCGGAACTTGCAGTGAGCCGAGATCATGCCCGGGCACTCCAGCCTGGGTGACAGAGCAAGACTCTGTCTCAAAAAATAAATAAATAAATAAATAAAAATAAAATAATAATAATAATAATTGCACTGAAGTTTACTGTAGTGTAGCCAAAGACATAACTGCAGTGCCTTTGGCCTTTATTTACTGAAGTATAGTGAATTTCCCTGGAAGTGGAGCAGGAACCAAAATTACATGCTAAAGATGACAGATCAGGAGCTAGTATTAATCTAGGTCCCTGATGATTCCCTTAAGCAGCTGCATGAAACTTAATGGCTTACTTCCTAACTCTTATTAACTGAAAAAAAAAATCGTATTTGTTTTAGCCACCGTGGATAGGTCTGATATAGAAGTAACCAAAATCCTAACTAATACAGACATTGATATCATACCAAAATAGTAGAAACCATCATAGGAAGAGATTGAATTAGGTGAGAAGTAAATGAACATTATTTAGTGTCTATATTTATGTGTGGAATAAAAACATCTAGATAATTCAGTTTTACATGTTTCTTTTACTTCCTTTAATTTTTTTTTTTTTAATGGAGTCTTGCTCTGTCACCAGGCTAGAGTGCAGTGGCATGATCTTGGCTCACTGCAACCTCTGCCTCCTGGGTTCAAGTGATTCTCCTGCCTCAGCCTCCCTACTAGCTGGGACTACAGGCTTGCACTACCACACCTAGCTAATTTTTGTATTTTTAGTAGAGACAGGGTTTCACCATGTTGGCCAGGATGGTCTCGATCTCTTGACCTCGTGATCCGCCCGCCTCAGCCTCCCATAGTGCTGGGATTACAGGTGTGAGCCACTGCACCTGGCCTACTTCCTTTAATTCTTTAGAAGTTAGTCTACTACTGTTTATTTTATTTTAATTATCTCCTTTTTAGAGCTCACAATCCAGAATGCAAAATCGCAAATGTCTGATATTCTCTTCCACTTAACTACAAACTTCTCAAGAACCTACAATAAAATGTACATAATTTTAATTCTTGTCTAAATATGACACTCTTGGTTGGTATAAAGTTATACCAAAACACAAAAGGCAAAATACATTTTTAAAAAATGAAAAGAAATTCTAAGTTAACAAAGAAAGAAATCAACTTTTTCAAAGGAAAATTTTTAAAGACTCTGTGAAAAAAGGTATAAATTATGAAACTGATAATTAAAAAAATGAAGTATAGCAAAATTTGGCAGGAGAAAATTTCCCAGGTATCTGATATAACCTCTTGAAATATTAACAGCCACTGTAATTTATCAGAGACTTTTGGATACAACATTACATCTGGAAACTAAAAGTTAATCAATATAGAACATTGGGTTGAAATCCAATGAATTTATTTTTCATATTTCTTCACAAAGTTCTTTTGTATTTAAAAGATATTCTATCCAATTGTCCTATTATAATCTGAAATGAACACAGTTGCTGAGAGGACTGCTGAAAAAGCAACAGATATGATAAACACTTCCAAAGTGGTGTGGGGAAAGACTCACCAAAGCTCTAGTTAGGAAGAGACCTGTGTCAGCACAAAGGCTACAGTGCTGTATCAAACAAAAATTCAAAATAAAATACCATTAATACAGGATTGGGAATGGATTTAACACTTTTCCTAGTGAAAGGATATAAATGTAAATACAGATGTAAATACAAATGACCTAACTATATCCTGCTTTTGCGGTACAGGACATCTCCAGACCAATTCTTCTCTGGGGCAGATCCTAAGTTCTCAGGTAACACCTCACTTCCTCTCTATTGAGTTGAAAACAAGGTTTATAGGTTTCTTCAGATTTTATGCTCCCAAGATGTAGGAGAGGAGAAAGAGAAGTAAACATCCTATTCTGTTATCAAAATGAAACAATTCTTATATGAACAATTGTCTTGCTAATACCTCTTCTTTGGCAAATTCTAGTGACTTATTAGAGTAGCACATATTTACCCTCTTCTTATCAAAAATCTCATCTGCTTTGGTTTGGTTCTTAGCTTTAGTGTAAAAGACAGCAAGCGTCTTACTCTAGGGCAGCACCAAATGTGGGAAATCACTGTTTAATTACATATACTTACTCTAAAAAATTATAATAGGAAACTTTTAAAAGGCAAGCCTAGAGAAATGATAGAACTTTCTTATTATCTTCAGTAATAACTCCTGAAAGAAGAACAGGGTGACAATAAGCCTTAAGTGTTCTCTCAGGGGAAAATACTTTATGCTCAATTCTCATGTTTCTATTTGGAGGAACATTCCTGGAAGTCATACTCTGCTTTCACTTCCATCCATGGAAGAAGAGGGACTAATATGATTACAGAATCTGAAAGGAGCTGAGCCTGAGACCCTGCCTTTCTTCTTTGGGTCAGCCTGACTGGTCTGATCTTCTTTTGGAGAGGTCTGCTGTCCCCAAGCTGCCTATATTTACCAGTGGATAAGCCTGGCTTCTCACTTCCATAGACGTAGCATTGGAAATGACTTAATGATATTCACTTCTGCTTTATGGATGAGGCCTACTCCAGACACAAAGGAAACTAGTGGGGATATACAGGGATTTTATAAGGCACTCAGTTGGGCCCTTACTTTGCATTCGTATTAGAGTTTCTTATTAACTGAGCTCTTAGGTGAATCACAATTTCTGTAATAAGTATTTTAATGATCCTATTATCTAAACCCATTTTTGACTGAGTTTCCTATTTCCTACCCATGTTTGCTTATTAGCTAAGGTTTTTGAATCTTGAGTTCAAATGTTCTCATAGTTTAGGGCCTTAGTAATTGTAAAATGAGCTCAATGGCTTCAGTGGTCCATCAGAACTTGTGTGAATTTCTTTTTCTTATGTTCTTAGATAGAATTCTTGAGTTTCAGACTCTGTTTACAAATTATAAATCATATTTACATACTACTTTGTTTTATATCCATTGATTAAGCTCGTCAGTTGTGCCTTCTCTTGGTCTATGTCTACTAATCTGTCCTTAAAACAACTGAACTCTGGTCTTACAGGCAGCCTTCTGAGCCATTTTTCTTCTGTTGGTTCTCTTCTCTCTCTCTCTTTCCTTCCTCCTCTTTGAATATTGTCCGAATGGATTACATCCAGTCTAATGGCTTGAAATATTAGGCTTTACCAAATCTATTTCATCACCCTCCCTTTCTTTGTTATACCTGTATTTCCTACTGCCTATTAATCATTACCACTTGAAAGTAATTCAGGCACCCGAAGCTTAAGAATCGAAATCCACTCTCATTATTTTCACCTGTAAACCTGTTGGGCTTTTATCCTCCTCCTCTCCTCTCCTCCTCTCCTCTCTCCTCTCCTCTCCTCTCCTCTCCTCTCCTCTCTCCTCTCCTCTCTCCTCTCCTCTCCTCTGCTCTCCTCTCCTCTCCTCCCCTCCCCTCCCCTCTCCTCCCCTCCCCTCCCCTCTCCTCCCCTCCCCTCCCCTCCCCTCCCCTCTTCCTTTTCTTTTCTCTTTCTTTTTTCTTTTTTGAGACAGGGCGTAGCTTTATTGCCCAGACTGGAGTGCAGTCATAGCTCTCTGCAAGCTCAAACTCCTGGTCTTAAGCAATGTTCTTGCCTCAGCCTCCTGAGTGGCTAGGGCTACTGGCACACACACAATTGCCCAGCTAATTAAAAAAAAATGTAGAGATGAGATCTCACTATATTTTCCCAGGCTGGTCTCAAACTCCTGGCCTCAAGCAATCCTCCTGCCTTGACCTCCCAAAGTGCTGGGGTATAAGCTGGAGCCACAACACTCAGCCACTGTTCCTGCTGTGTTTTTCCCAACTCACCTACCTTTGCCCCTTCCCAATCTCTAAACACGATGGGTTTATTTACCAAAGCTGTAAATCATCATCATTCTTGACGTACTCTGCTCTTATCCATAATTCTATGTCCTTGGCTCAGGATCTTATCAAATACAATATCAAAGAAAATTCTTTCAGTACAATTTTATAAGTATATTGTTATTGAAGGATGCTGCGGCAAATCTCAACCCGCAAGTATCAATATTGAACCTAGATTTATATAAAAAATAAGATGACATCAAATTATTTAATCTAGTTTGAGAGACAGTATATCGTATCATAAAAAACTACTTAAGGAATGCGAAGCATTGTGCAATAAAAGTGCATAGGAAGCCACATAGCTGACGAGTAGAGGGTAATAGAAGAGGAGTTAAAACTTCGGCCTATGACTAAAGGTAGAAAGCTCTATTAAGAAGCTTTTTGGTGAAATTTCTAGACAAAGATTGTTTTCTCAAAGGAAGTAGCACATTATTTTTCTTATAATAAAAAATGGCTATGTGTGATACCATTCCTGGTATATGAATGTGTTTAAAATATTTTGGGATAAAAAGATAGATTTCTTATGCTTTGCCTTCTTTCCAAAAATTTATATACCAATTTGATAAATTCTATTTAACAGAAAATTTACTGTCTGTAAATTTTCATAATTTTTAATGGATTTTTGCTATATGCAGTTTAATGGATTTTTGCTATATGTAGTTATCCTTGCAGAACAATTGCACTTTATTAAGGATACAAAAATTATCAGAAAAACTATCTGATGCACTTTAGTGTCTTTATAAAAGATTGTGCTTTCAAAAATGTGCTGCTCATAATGAGCACAAAATGATATTAATTTCTTAATAATTCTTACACATTTTGGATGGGATTGGAAAATTATTAGAAATATTATTTATGGTATCTGAAAAATACATCAAGTGGTTAATATGAAAAGTGGATAATGTTTGGGAAACTTAGTAAATGTATCAGGGAGGCTGGGCACGGTGGCTCACGCCTGTAATCCCAACACTTTGGGAGGCCAAGGTGGGTGGATCACGAGGTCAGGAGTTCAAGACTAGCCGGGCCAAGATGGTGAAACCCTGTCTCTACTAAAAATACAAAAATTAGCTGGGAGAGGTGGCACACACCTATAATCCCAGCTACTCTGGAGGCTGAGACAGGAGAATTGCTTGAACCCAGGAGGCAGAGATAGCAGTGAGCCGAGATTGCGCCACTACAATCCAGCCTGGGTGACAGAGCAAGGCTCCATCTCAAAAAAAAAAAAAAAAAAGTATCAGGGAATACAAAGGTGGCTACAGAAGGGTAGTTAGGCAGCATGTTGAAGCAAGGCAATGAAAACATGAGGAGTGGCCGTTAATGACAGGTAGGGCAGGGTGAAATAATGAGGTATAAGCTATTCTCCAATTTCTTTGGACATATGCAAGAGGCATATAGGTCATTAGACTGCAATTCTAATTAAATATAGGCCGTAGTATATTGCTTCGTTTTGTTTTAAATCATTCATAAATTTAAGAATAAATAAAATAAAGATAATGAATTAGAGAAGATAAAAAGATATTCTTAAGTTAAGAAAGCAAGAGAAATTAAGGAGTGGGTAAAAGCAAAAGTAATTTAGGATAAACAATTTGTTAGATTCTAATGAAATAAAAGAAATTACACTTTTAATATGACTTATTTGCTCTGTGTATTAAATGTCACATTAATTTTAAAGATTCTTTAAATATTGCTATTAACATTTATTAATCATTAGGAGCATTGTGTTCAAGTTTTTTTTAAACTGTTAGAATAGCAAATAGTTTGAGTTTTTATTTTTGTTTTTATATTTAAAGTCATGTAGCAAAGGGAAAACAGGAGATAAAAATATAGATGAAGCCATACAAATAATTACCTATCAACTTCAGATTGCATAAATATAATGAAAAAAAGGTTTGTTTTCTTTCTTTATGACATAAAAGGAAATAAAGGATATATAAACAATAATGTAGTCACATAATTTTTTAATGCCACAACATTAGAAAATATAATTTCATTATTAAAAGTAGAGTAAAATTCTGTCTTTGAAAATAAATGTGTAATCTTAACCAAATAATTTGATACCATTTAATTGTTGCTAAGTTTCTTTGAAATTCCTAGAATATTCTATGTCTATAGTAAATCAAAATTCCAATCCCTAGGCACAGAAGAAAGATGATTCTTGACTATGTGTCTCCTTGATTACCAAAGCAGAGGAACCTTCTAATCACAGTGCATTCCCACATACATTGTAACCAGGAAGACATATTTTATACATACCCAGTGTAAATGTTAGAAAAGTTCTAAGAAATCAAAGACCACATTTTATTTTATCATGTGTCATCAGCGTCTACCATAATATCTGTATTAGTTCATTCTCGCACTGCTATAAAGAAATACCTGAAACTGGGCAATTGATAAAACAAAGAGGTTTAATTGGCTCACAGTTCTGCAGGCTGTATAGAAAGCATGACAAGGAGGGCCTCGAGAAACTTACAATCATGTTAGAAGGTGAGGGGAAAGCAGGCATGTCTTCACATGACCAGAGCAGGAGGGAGAGAGAGTGAAGTGGGAGGTGTTACACTCTTTTAAACAACAAGATCTGCTAAGAACTCATTAGCTATTATCTGTCATGAGAACAGCAAGGAGAAATCCACCCCCCATGATCCAATCACCTCCCACCAGGCCCCTCTCCAATTAAGGATTACAATTCAACATGAGATTTGTGTGGAGACACAAATCCAAACCACATTATTCCACCCCTTGCCCCTCCCAAATCTCGTGTCCTTCTCATACTTCAAAATACAATCATGCCTTCCCAATAGTCCCCTAAAGTCATAACTCATTCCAGCATTAACTCAAAAGCCCAAGATCCAAAGTCTCATCTGAAACAAAGCAAATCTCTTCCACCTATGAGCCTGTAAAACTAAAAAACAAAACAAAACAAAAAAACAAAAAACAAAAAAGTTAGATACTTTCAAGATACAATGAGGATATAGGCATTGGGTAAATATTCCCATTTCAAATGGGAGAAATTGCTCAAAACAAAGGGGGCAGAGGTACCATGCAAGTCCAAAACCCAGTGAGGCAATCATTAAATATTAAAGCTCTGAAATCATCTTCTTTGATTCCATGTCTCATATCCAGGGCATGCTGATGCAAGTGTTGGGCTCCCAAGGCCTTGGGAAACTCCACCCTGTGGCTCTGCAGGGTACAGCCTTGGTTGCTGCTTTCATGGGCTGGTATTGAGTCCCTGTGGATATTCTAGGTGTACAGTTGAAGCTGTCAGTGGATCTACAATTCTGGGGTCTGTAGGATGGTTACCCTCTTCTCCCAGCTCCACCAGGCAGTGCCCCAGTGGGGACTCTGAGTGGGGACTCCAACCCCAGATTTCCCCTCTGCATGGCCCTAGTAGAGGTTCTCCATGAGGGCTCTGCCTCTGTGGGAGACTTCTGCATGGACATCCGGGCTTTTCCAGACATCTTCTGAAATCTAGGTGGAGGATCCCACCTAGATTTTTACACACTGTGCACCCACAGGCTTAACACAACATTGAAGCTACCAAGGCTTACAGCTTGCACTCTCCCTCTGAAGCAATGGCCCTATCTGTACTTTGGGCCCTTTTAGCCATGAGTGGGGCTAGAGTGGCCCTGATGCAGAGTGCTAAGTCCTGAGGCTGCACAGAGCAGCAAGGCCCTGAGTCTGGCCCACAAAACCATTCTTCTGTCCTAGGCCTCCAGGCCTGTGATGGGAGGGGCTGCCAGGAAGGTATCTGAAATGCCTTTGAGGTGTTTTCTCCATTATCTTGGCTAGCAACATTTGCCTCCTCTTTACTTATGCAAATTTCTGCAGCCAGCTTGAATTCCTCCCCAGAAAATGGGATTTTCTTTTCTACCACATGGCCAGGCTGCAAATTTTCCAAACTTTTACACGTTGCTTCCCTATTTAAATGTAAGTTCCAGTTTTATGTCTTTTTTTTTGCTCACAAATATGAACATAGGCTGCTAGAAGCAGCAATGCCACATCTTGAACATTTTGCTGCTTAGGAATATCTTCTGCCAGATATGCTAAATCATCACTCTAAAGTTCAAAGTTTCACAGATCACTAGGGCAAGGGCACAATGGCTCCAACCTTTTTGCTAATGCATAACAAAAGTAAACTTTGCTCTAGTACTCAATAAGTTCCTTGCCTCCATCTCAGACCTCCTCATCTTTGCCTTCTCTGTCCATATCACTATCAACAGTTTGGCCAAAATCATTTGACAGGTCTCTGGGACCTGTCCAAACTTTCCTTTGTCTTCCTCTCTTCTGAGCCCTCCAAACTATTCCAACCTCTGCCTGTTACCCAGTTCCAAAGCAGCTTTCAGATTTTCAGGTATTGTTACAGCAATGCCCTACTCTCAGTATCAATTTTCTGTATAGTCCTTTCTCACACTACTATAAAAAAATACCTGAAAGTGGGTAATTTATAAATAAAAGAGTTTTAATTGGCTTATGGTTTCACAGGCTGTGTGGGAAGCATGGTTGGGAAGGTCTGAGGAAACTTATAATCATAGTGGAAGGTGAAGGGGAAGCAGGCACATCTTCATATGGCCAGAGCAGGAGAAAGAGACCATGAAGGGGGAGGTGTTACACACTTTGAAGCAACCAGATCTGGTGAGATCTCATTCACTTTCATGAGAATGGCAGGTGGAAAATCTGCCCCATCATCCAATCACCTCCCATCAGGTCCCTTCTCCAACACTGGGGATTACAATTCAACATGAGACTTGGGTGGGGACACAAATCCAAACACATCAATAACTAAAATTAAAAAATTCATGGAATGAATAAATAAATAAATAAGTTCAAATAATTTACAGGTTTCCTCCTTACTTCTTGTTTGCCCTTATCTCAGAATTATCATAACTACATAACTGCAAATTTTACTGGTAAATCCCATACTTCTTCAGTTTTAAACAAGATATATTTCCATTTGATGTATCAATGTGAGAAATAAAGAAAGAAAAAGTTTAAAATTATTTCATGAGAAAGAAGGAATTTTGATGCCACCATGATAAATGGGAACATCAAATATTGGCAAAAAATACCGTTCTGATTATTTTTATACAACAAAAGTTTTAGCAAAATAAATATATTGAAATTTCAATAATTTTTACCTTTTACAAACCTTTCCAATAGCAAATGAGGGGTTTTTAAAAATTTAATTTGGGGTTTCAAAAAACTTTAATTTTCTAATCTGTAATTGAAATGCTTTTACAAAATCGTTCTAAGTCATAATTACCTGTTTAAAGGGTTATGACATACTAAAAATTATCAAACTTAAAAGTCTAACATACTAAAGGAAGGTCTATTATTTTTTCAGATAGTATTTAAAAGTTTGGGATTTTATTTTAATTTTGTAAAGAATAAAATCACCACTTTAAATCAGTCAAGCATTTCAGACAGCATCATTATGTTAATACATGTAAAAATAATGAACAATAGCTCTTTTATTATTGTGATAATACAAAATGATTCATATTTATTAAAATTCAATTGATGTAATTTATCAATTTAAAATTTTAAATGCTCTTAAAAATAAACAATAGGCTAAAATTAATTTTCATTCTCCACAAGATAAACGCACTATACTAATTTGATAAATTTAAAAATCTCTGAGAAAATCCTTCATAATACAATTGTCTTTTCCAAATTAGCAATTGTGAATGCTTGAGAAATAAATCTAATGATTAAATGTGTTAATACCACTTTCTGCTATTATTTTCAATAATAATAGCAGAGTATGAAGAGAAATGAAGAATGAGAAATGAGATTTCGTATGAAGAAATGAGAAATGAAGCAGGTATTTTCCTTATGAATTTCTTAATATCCATGAAACTGAAAATGCTATATAAATACCAATTAAAACATCACAAACCAATAACTTTATATATTACCGTAATATAATTTCATTATTGTTTAAAACAAAACGTGATGGATTATGATTCATCTAACAATATAAAAATAAGAAAAGCTAGGACTTTGTTTCTTTTTTAACAACTTCAGTTACTTTAATATACATCTAGCTTAAGAGTTTGTGTTTTGCTATATAATAGATAAATTAGCTACTAATTTATGCATCTCTCACCTCTCTTTACATTACCTTAGCACCTATCAGCTGAGGGGTGATATTAAAATATTGAAATGTACATGTGCCAATGTTGCTGTGGGAAAGGAAAAAAGATGTTGGTACACAGTAGTAGTATATACCATCATAAATGAAACAATTTCACTCTTTCATGTTAATGATTTTGCTCCCATGTTAAAAATACAAAAATAAAAAATAAATGTAAGAGGTACAGCAAGACATATTCCTTGATCATAATCCAAAAGGAATGCAGCTCTGAAGAGAATTTTTCCTCAAAAACTAAGAAGAAATAGACACCTGAAAAAATATATATATTTTATGAAGTAATCAAAGTGGAGAATATTAAGACATAGAAAAAATCTAGAAAAAACATAGAATATCGAAGTCAATTTGCTTATAAGATATAGGTTAATAGATTAGAGATAAATGTTTTAATATCCTAGCGGGTAGAACTAGTACAAAGCAGTAATGTGTTGTGGATTGCTTAACATCACTTGCTTGGCACAAATATTTGATTATTAGTTAAGCTGATATTTGCTTCTCAGCAGCTCTGGATAATTTTTCGTATACACAAATGCAAATATTGAAAGTTGAAATTACTTGGTAGAATTTTGTTATAAATTGTCATCTTGGTGAAACAGAATATGATCACATTATTATTTTAGGTCATCACTGAAATGAAAGCAATGATATTTAAAAATTCCTCCCAAAAAGAGACAAGGATATTTTTCAAAATAAACTTTTAACTTAGTAGCAGTTTTATATTTACAGAAAAATAGAGATGGTAGTGCAGATTTCCCTTATATCCAACAACAGTTTCTCTGTTCCTTAATTTCGTACATTAATAAAACAATTTGCTGCAATTAATCAACCAATATTAAAGTCTATATTTAGATTTCCTTTGTTATTATCTAATATCCTTTTCTGTTTCAGGGTTTTATTCAGGAAATCACATGACGTTTCGTAGTTATGATTTCTCTTAGTTGTGACAGTTGCTCGTTCTTTCCTTGTTTTTGATAGACTTGTCAATTTTTAAGAGTACAGGTCAGGTATTTTGTAGAATGTCCCTCAATTGAGATTTCTTTGATCTTTTTCTCATAATAAGAAATGGTCATGTGTTCTTGGGAGGAAGGCCACAGAGGTCAGGTGCCATTTTCACCAGATTGTATCAAAGGTACATAATATAAAAAATGAATTATCACTTTTGATGTCAACCTTGCTCACCTGGCTAACATCGTGTTTGTTAGGTTTGTCAGGATTTTCTACAGTAAAGTTCCTTTTTTCTCCTTTCCTGTTCCCTACTGTGCTCTTTCGAAGGAACTCACTATATGCAGCTTCCACTTAAGAAGTGAGCAATCATGCTCCAACTCCTTGAAGCAAAAGTATCTACATACATTACTTACAATTCTTCTACATGGAAGAGTTGTCTATTCCCTCCAATTTACTTATTAAATTATTTATATGCATATAAAATTATATTTATTTTATGCTTTGGGCTATGATCCATTTCTATCTTATGTTTTTGCTAAAGTTATTCTAGCTTTGACCATTGGGAACTCTTTCAGTTAGCTCCTCTGTCCGTCCCTTTGACAAAGTCCCATCATTGTGTTTGTGTTGGGTGCTTCCTAACCTTCTGGCACTACGTGATGCTCTGAAGTCATCTTGTATATTTTCTGACCCTGCAATCAGCCAACTCTCCATTTATATTTGGCTTTTGTGTCTGTACTTGCATTTTGTACTCACATTACATACGAGCACATCTAATGTTTCGTGAATTGACGTTGAACAAAATAATGAGAGCACACCGTGCAGCTCTGACTCAGAATTTGAGCCATTGTCGAGTTTTCCCCTCTTCTTTAACTTTATTTAACTTGTCGGTTTGAGCCAAATCCCTGGGAGAAATAAACAGATTTCTCAGAGGGCCAGACTTTTTCAAACAAGAGTTTGGACTAAGCAGACTTACCTATAGCAAAAAGAGTGACATTAGAAAAACCTGCCAAAAGAATGATTAATTTAACAGGGTAGAGATAATTGTCAATAGAAGAAAATGATCTTTAAATAATTGTTAACAGAGAGAGAAACAGTAGTCTCAAAATGTGCATTTAAACTCTTAACTAAATTTGATACACTTGAATAAGCCTATTTGAAGAAAATCAATAACTGGCTTGGTGAATTAACAATTATCAATGATTTAACATTTGACTAGAATTATTTAATTCTGTAGAAAGTCACTTCACACAATCTTAACAACAAAAACACTTTTAAAGTCGTCTAATTTAATGTCATAATATCTTAGATAAGAAAACTGAAGCTGGTAGAATAATCAAGATAACAATAGTAGTTAAAAACAAAACTGGAAACTGCAATTCTGAATTTCAATTTATGATACTCTCTATTACCTCGTGGTTTAAAATTATACTGCTATTTTTGATCACTTTATTTTCTAATTTATGCTATCACAGTTTCTTCTAGAGATAGTGATATATATGGGCATATGGAGAAAAAGAAGAGTCATATTAAGATAATTTCAGAAATAACATAGCTTTCTATTAATAATATTTCAAATAATATTTAAAACAAATTTTAAACAATATTAAAATAAGGACTGCATTTGAACACTTCATGTTGGAGGTAAACTACTTTGGGTAAAAGCTTTTTTAAGTGAGGTATTTAGATTACAAAGTGTTTAAAAATACTTAGTAAAATATCTTTGGTGAAATAATATGTGTGTGTGGTAGTACATCCTGACAGAGAAAGGAAGCATTTCTCGGGTCTGTTCTACAAAGTGTGCTACTTGCTTTGTTTTTACCCAAGATGAGCACTAAAACTATGACTGCAGACACCAAGTTGGCTCATCTAAGGAAAATGGAAAGCTCTGCACCGGAATTTACTAATTCAAGCAGGTCCAAAACATACAGATGTCAATACTGGGCAAGTCAGTATCAGTCAGACAACAAAATTATCAGGTATAAAGTATGCATATATTGAGAAAATTGGGACTTTGATCACTCTAGCTGTACCTCACTGTTAGTCACACCATGAATCTTTTTAGAATCATGTACCCCTTTTGAAATGACTTATCACTTCTGGGAAATCTTAATTTCTTAAATGTATGACATATATTCTTATTTTCTTCCACTGTTCTTCTAGTTACTATTTTCCTCTTGAGGTCTAAAATTTTGTATTATTTAGTGTTCGGTTGTGCCAATCCTATTCTTCAATTTCTAGGAATTTTTTCATCTCAGAATTTGAAAATTTTTTCATCTCAGAATTTGAGCACATTAAAGGGATGGTTTTCAAACAGAGTTTCAGCCTTGACCCATGGAAAAATTCATTACATAAGTTCATTAGGTGACTATATATATATAAAATATATATATGTGTGTATATATAACATGTGTATACACATGCACACATACACACACCGAGATATGTATAAGTGATGTATATATACAGTTACAGGTATATATGTATGAATGTTTGCATATATATCAAGTTACATATATATGCACATATGTGTGTGTATACATATATAATATACATACAAAGATGACATAAATGTGTCTTCATTCAAAATATTTACATTTAGTACAATCAGTAATGTGGCTAGGTGTAAATCTATGAACTTGATATTTGCTTATTGTCTTTTTTATTCACTGGTCTTTTTTTGCTGCTTTGTTTTGAATTTGATGAGTATGCTTTTAATGATTCTCTTTTATTTCTTTTGCTAACTCATTAGCTACAATTTTTTTATTTTTAAAAATTTTGAATATGTTAATAATTTTGAATATGTTAATATTTAGAGTTTACATCTTTAAGTTATGACAGTCTAGTTTCTGATGATATTATACCACTTTATGCATGATATAAGAAATTAAAAATCATGAAGTTCTCTTTTTTCACTTCCTGAACTTTGTGCTATTGTTTTACATGTAATATTAAACCCACACTAATAAAGTTAAGCAGCTGAATTTAAAAATACTTCATTGATTTTACCATAGATATAACTTAGATTTCTGGCTGAATTTATTTCTGCTGAATTTGCTATGGCTATATTCTCCAAACTAAATTGTATAAAAGTTGTAACTCAAAAGGAGAAATCTGCAAATGTGTATGTGTGTGTTGTGAGAGTGTGTGGTGGGCCATCTCTGCAAACCAATAGAAGTAATTACCACATTTATATCACAACATTTGGGCTCTGCTCTATCAATAATGGTCATTGATTAAATAATTGAAATTGTTTTTATTTTTATTGTTTTATTTTTCTAAGAAATGGAGTATAATACAGCAGGTGCACCTCACATTCTATCATAGTTTCAATGAAGATGAACTGAGAAAGCATTCAAAGATTGTTTAGCAACTCATGTCATTTCTTACAGAATTAAAATAAAAAATAGCAGTCTTTTAATAAATATTTAATCAGCAGTGGTTTTCAAAATAGATGTCCAAATTAAATCACTCTGCATCAGCCCCTTTGCTAGGAGTTTTAAAAAGTGTTGATGTTATTTAATCCCTAACATGAACTAAAAAAGTAAGCACTATTTACTCCCATTTTCGTAGATGAGGAAATGGAAGTGCTGAAAGAAAATATAACTTGTCATATCTTCTAAACCATATTCCACATAGAAATGCATACTATATTCACTGGACAAAAAAGAGTTCAAAGGTTCTATCACTCCAGTGGAGGGCCAAAGGTTTAAAGATAGCTATATTTTAGCTTTGTCAGGGGATGTTTTAAAGGAAGGAAGCCAGGAAGCACCATTAAGAGAATGTTTGTATAGTGTTCTGTGATGGCAGAAAGGTTTTTTTGTGACCATTCACTAATTAGGCAGCCCTTTATATACAGAATTTCCTTTGGGAAGTAAATAAAACCTGCCAAGAGCCAAGAGCCAGAAAAAAATTAAAAGCAGAATTGAAGTGATCATCTAGCCATAGGAAATACTAGTACAAACACGGCTAAACAGAAAAACAGGAAGCTATGTGTTGGGGGAAAAAGAGCTATAGCATTGAAAATAGGTCATGGAGAGCTCAATCAACATGAAATTGTGCGAAAGAGAGAAACAGCAGAGTGCAGTAATGCTTTTAAAGAGCCAGACTGTGAAAGTGAGCAGCAAATTTGGGTTACGGGATAAATGCATGTTGATTAAGTTGCAAAGGAAGTCTATAAGGCTTCCTCAAACGACATAAGTAAACAGCAGAAAAATAAAAAACATACTGAAATATGCACACACAGCCTTCTCAGATTAATGAACTATTATCACTGAGATATAATCAAACAGCCTAAGTAAACCTACCTCTACTGTTTATATGTATAATTGGTTCTGTTTTAATTTATTTATAAATCAATTCTGTTATTTTTTCCCCTCCAAACACATTGCTCTCATATTCTTAGAGTTCTTTTGAGAAACAAGTTTTTATTTTATTTTATTTTTTTGTAGAAGAGCAATTTCTAAATCTAGGTGGGACCATCCTCATAATTGTGTATTTGGGTGAACTCCCTGTACCCCACTACCTTCCCCACTAGAGCTCACAAAAGGGAAACTGCATTCTGAAAGCAGGTGTCCGCATAAACAGACCATAAGTTTACAAAGACAAGTTCTTTTTGCACGTATAAACTTGCAAATATTAATGGGAACACATTGTATTTTAAAAAGTACTCTCTAACCTTACTCCTTTAAATTTCTCTTCATATTTTAGTCATGACAACTAGTGCTTTAGATACTCTATTTGATAGAGATGCATTATAAATCAAAATTAATCAAGTTCTAAGTAGTTTTTAAGGCTCTCTTGCTCAGTAACTCAATATACCACATTGATGGCCCCTGATTAATTTAATTGCACACTGTGTAAGTTTCATATAGTTGTCACAAAATTACAATATTCACAAAGTAAAAAATACATGCAAAGAAATAAATTATATAAAAGAGATAGGAATATTGACAGCATTATACTACCTAATACTCTGTGAATAATTCTATAAATATCCAAGGAAGATATCTGTGTGGTGGAATTAAAACATAATTTGAAAGGTTTTAATAAATTTTACCTGCCCCAACATATTTGAAAAAGGCAAGCCAAAACATCAACCTGTAATTCTGAAATAGGTAGGTATTAATAAGTAAACAGAGAGCTCTAGAATATATAATAGGTGTAAACTGCACTGCATGTATAGTGTAACTGAATTATAAAAACAGCGCACATAGGGTTATGTCTTTTATTTTCAAATATGTGCATTTTATAAAGCATAATAATAAAATATTAAGACTAATATGTTTTTCTGAATTATCTGTTATATGGTGCTTTCTTTTGCAGTTCAAATGATATTTTAAATTACATATTTAAATCATAGAAGTAATAAATGCAAAAATTATGGTAGGACATGAGAATATTAAACAAAAAATACCATTTTGATCCCTGCAACTCCCTAGAGGCTGCTATTCTTTATAAGAAAATGGTTTCTGGCCAGGTGCAGTAGCTCACGCCTGTAAGGCCTGAACTTTGGAGGTCAAGGTGGAAGGATCCTTTGAGCTCAGGAGCTAGAGACCAGCTGGGGAAACATTGTCTCTACAAAAAATAAAAAATTTGACATGCCTCTAGTCCTAGCTGTTCAGGAGGCTGAGGTGGGAGGATTGCTTGAGGCCAGGAAATCGAAGCTGCAGTGAACCTTGTTTGAGCCACTGCACTCCAGCCTGGGTGACAGAGAAAGACCTTATTTAAAAAATAAATAAATAAATAAATAAATAAATAAAAGAAAAATAAAAGAGTTTCTGTTGTTATTACTTTTATAGTTACCAGTATAAGTTTAAATTTTATAATTCTATTTACTATTTTATAACATCCTATAACATCTGTTGGCTGCCAACTATGAAAGGTGAACAATTGATACACTTACACTAGAACAATTGAAGCACTTACACTATCTCTTACTGCCCTTTTCCACCACAGCTTCAGGTTGTGGTTATTAAATTTCATTTTCTGTGGCAGTGTTTAAGATTTTAAATTTAGTACTTATATCCATATTCTATGATTAATTAATGTTAATGATTATGTGTTAACTCCCTACTATAAAATGTGATACTATTATAATTTCTGTATTTTCTAATAACTCTCCTTTTAATATTTCACTTTTAGTTACTTTTAAATTTTAAAGGTTATTTTAAGGGATATTTTCCAACACCAACAACTAATACTCTGATTCACCAACTAGATGTTCAACAATTCAGTTCAATTCTAACACCAACTACTCAAAATTAGTGCAGATTCTGTTATTTAAGGGCTGAGTTCCAAAATACTGCCCCCAACTTTAGATGCTGGTCTCAAGTCCCAGAGGTCCATACTTCTGATGAACCTCCTCCTAATGTTTGATAATTTGTGAGGGTGGTCTCAAAATTCAAGAAGATTACAAATCAATAGCCAAATCAGGAGGTACATAGAACAAGGACAGAAGGGTCTTGGGCTGAAAGCTTCTGTTGCTGTGGAGCTGGCCTGCCACTCAGCATGCGTATGGGTTTGTCAAGTCTAAGGCTCATCACATTTTAAGAGTCTATAGAGCTTAATCTCCAGCCCCCTTCCACAAGGTCAGAAGGTGAGATTAAATTTTCCAATTATTCTGATTATTTTGAAGTGATCTAGGGATGTCACCCTAAGTCACCTTATTCACATCTCCAAATCATGTGAGGAGCTCAGTGCCAGGATCCAGGGACAGATCCCAAATATATTTCTTATTATACCGTAGTTATTAAAAATTATATTTTATTTGGTAATGGTATTAAGTATTAATTGCTGGATTTAGTTTACACAGCATTTGAAATTTATAAAATTATTCGCTGTAAAAGCAATAGCATGACTGGAAAGCAAATACAGGAAATGTAGTCTTCAATCAGTGAAATTTCCTGTGGTAATGAGAATCTTCCAAGTGGCAGGGTGGACTGGATCCTCTTTTAATTATTTTAGAATTGGTTTATGATTTCTGTGTTGTATATACACATATTTGGCTATAGCATGACATTGCATCATATTTTCATTTAGTGTGCTTTGGTAGTGAACTGTGTATACATACTTCAAAGCATGCTTATTTTTCTTCATATTTCATTAAGAATTCAATGGTGTATAAAATTTTAGGACCACCTATTTTTTTCTCCTTGAGCTGTTAACATATCTTTCAATAATATACAACTATCTAGCTATTGGTATTTCACCTGAAAGCAGTCTGATTATCATTCGTTTGTTCATTCATCTGGCAAATACTTACTGAGTTCTGAGTATGTATAGAAACAAATGTTGGTGATTCAACAATGATCAACAGTAAAAAAAAATTCTCCTTGGGAAACTCTATTAAAAATATTGACTTCTGGGTGCTGTGATGACAAATTGAATCCGAATATCTGGCAGTACAGCTTGAGAATTAGTACCTTCTTAAAGTTATCCATCTGATACTAACAGTCAATCCAAGGTTGAGAATCACTGCTAGAAGGAGATTGAGCCACTTTGCTCTATCATCTCTATCTCATACAAAACCCTTCTATTTCCATAAAAGTAAGAAAGTAAAGGACAACAAATGCTGAGAATGTTCTTTGGCTTTTTTGTTTATTTTATTTTAATCTTTGTGTGTACATAGTAGGTTCATATAGGTATTTATTTATTTATTTATTTGGTACATGCAATATGTTGATACAGGCATACAATGTGAAAAGTGCACATCACGGAGAATTGGTTATCAATCCCCTGAAGCATTTATCCTTTGAGTTACAAACAATTACACTCTAAGTTATTTTAAACTGTACTATTAAGTTATTATTGACTATAGTAAACCCATAGTGCTATCAAATATATAGTTTTTATTTAGCAAATAAAAGCATTTTATTCATTCTTTCTAACCTTTTTTTTACCCACTAACCTTCCCTACTTCCTCCCAAGACCCCCACTACGCTTCCCAGCCTTTGGTAACGATCCTTCTACTCTCTATCTCCATGAATTCAATTGTTTTGATTTTTAAACGCCACAAAGAAGTGAAAACATGTGACATTTGTCTTTCCATTCCTGGCTTATTTCACTTAACATAATGATCTCCAGTTTGATTCATGTTGTTGCAAATGACTGAATCTCACTTTTTTTATGGCTGAATAGTGCTCCATCGTGTATATGCATTACATTTTCTTTATCCATTTATCTCTTGATGAACACTTAGGTTATTTCCAAATATTAGCTATTGTAAACAGTGTAGCAACAAATGTTAAGAATGCAGATATCTCTTCAATATACTGATTTCCTTTCTTTTGGGTATATACCCAGTGGTGGGATTGCTGGATCCTATGGTAGCTCAATTTTTAGCTACTGCATAGTGGTTGTACTAGTTTACATTCCCACCAATAGTTTACAAGGGTTCCCTTTTTGTCTTTTCTTTTTTTTTTTATTATTTATTTATTCATTTATTTTTGAAATGGAGTCCCGTTCTGTCACCAGGCTGGAGTGCAGTGGCGCAATCTCGGCTCACTGCAACCTCTGCCTCCCGGATTCAAACGATTCTCCTGCCTCAGCCTCCTGAGTAGCTGAGACTACAGGCATGCCACCACACCCACCTAATTTTTGTATTTTTAGTAGAGACGCGTTTTCACTATGTTGTCAAGGATGGTCTCAATATCTTGACCTCGTGATCTGCCTGCCTTGGCTTCCCAAAGTGCTGAGATTACAGACGTGAGCCACCTTCCCCGGCCGGGTTCCCTTTTTTCTACATCCTCTCCAGCATTTGTTTTCGTCTGTCTTTTGAATATAAACCATTTTAACTGGGGTGAGATATTATCTCATTGTAGTTTTGCATTTCTCATTTGCATTTCACTAATAATCAGTAATGTTGTGCACCTTTTCATATGCCTGTTTGCCATTTATATGCCTTCTTTTGAAAAATGTCTAGACAAATCTTTTGCCCATTTTTGGATCAGATTATTAGATTTTTTTCCTATAGAGTTGTTTGAGCTCCTTATAAATTTTGGTGATTAATCTCTTGTCAGATGGGTAGCCCTCTGCTGGGGCCTTATGGAAGGAAAGCCCTCTGCTAGGGCCTTATGGGGTCAGAGCCTCCACACAGAGTCCCTACTGGGGCACCACCAGGTGCAGCTGTGAGAAGAGGACCACCATCCTTCAGACCTCAGAACAGTAGATCTATCGACAGCTTGCACCCTATGCCTGAAGAAGCTGCAGACACTCAACACCAGCCCATGAAAACAGCAGGGAGGGAGGCTGTCCCCTGCAAAGCCACAAGAGTGGAGCTGCCCAAGAGCATGAGCACCCAACTTTTCCATCAGTGTGACATGAATGCTGGATTCAAAAAAGACATGGATTCAATAAAGATCATTTTGAAGCTTCAAGATTTGACTGCTCTGCTGGATTTCAGACTGGCATGGGGCCTACTGTACCTACGTTGTTCTGGCCAATTTCTCCCATATGGAAAGACAGTATTTACCCAATACCTGTACCCCCATTGTATCTAGGTAGTAACTAACTTGCTTTTGGCTTTACAGGCTCATAAGTGGAAGGGTCTTGCCTTGTTTCAGATGAGACACTTGACTGTGAACTATTGAGTTAATGCTGAAATGAGTTAAGATTTTGGGGGACTGTTGGGAAGGCATAATTGGTTTTAAGGTGTGAGGAAATGAGAGTTGGGAGGTGCCAAGGGTATAATAATATGGTTTGGCTGTGTCCTCACCCAAATCTCATCTTGAATTGTAGCTCCCACAATTCTCACATATTGTCTGTTGGAGGAACCCAGTGGGAGGTGATTGAATTATGGGGTCAGGTCTTTCCTGCACCGTTCTCGTGATAGTGAATAAGTCTCACAAGATCTGATGGTTTTAAAAAGAGGCATTCCCCTGCACAAGATCTCTGTTTGCCTGCTGCCATCTATGTTAGATGTCACTTGCTTTCCTTGCCTTCTACTGTGATTGTGAGGCCTCCTGAGCCATCTGGAACTGTTAAGTTCAATAAAGCTTTTTCTTTTGTAAATTGCCCAATCTCGAGTATGTCTTTGTCAGCAGTGTGAAAACAAACTAATTCATCCTAAAAATATAACCTGTCCTAAAGAGGAGAATATCAGAGCTATCTAATTCTTCTAAGGTTTTTATTTAATACAAAACCCATAAAAGCACAACTGTGAAGAATAATTAAGAACTGTTTGGTCCTAAGGAACTCATTGTTGAGACAGCAGTAGCTAAGGCACAGCAAAAATCTTAGGTGGTAGCCTATTGTTATGGCCCCCCTTATAGTCTAAGATGCTTTAAAAAGAGAGAGAGATTGTTTAATTCTGGGATCTTCTGGACTCCGAAATCCCAAAATACTTTTCTCTCCTATTTTGAAAAGTCCTCCTGGGAATGATCCATGGAAATTCCTCCTCGGAAAGTATCAATTTCCCTGTGATGTTATTCTGACCATAATCACTGTACATCCTTGGATTTAGCATGAGAAGTAAAATTCCATAACCAAGAGCAAAGTATTCTACCTGCTTCATTAAATTATAGTAATATTTCATTACATTAAAGGAGTTGAAAGCTTCCTTCCTTCCTGTGTTTTGATTTCCATTGTCTGAAATTTTTCACATTCTTAGCAAAAATTGTGTCCATCTTTTAAATTTGACTTTAATACAATAGAGACTTAAATGGTCTGTTAGCCTGACTGAACCTCTATTTCTAATAGCTACCTTTCAATTTGCTATGCTCATTCAAAAACTTGAGTCTGTTTTTCATCCATTTCAATGTTAATATGCACTCTTGTGGTTCCCACTTTGAAGTCAGAGGGAAAACTTTTGCACAGAAAAAATGCCTTTGGGGAATACAATAATGCAAATTCTTTCTCAATTGAACATAAAATATTTAGCACAGCCCAGAAATTTTAGATATAAAGTCTGCCTCTTCTCCTTTTTTTATAAAGAGAAAAAATCTTCAAATTTCTTTTTCACATTTCTAGTCAATACTGTTAACACGATGAAGATATCTTGATGTTATTTTTAAAAATGAAAATTGATGTTATTTTGCTATAGAAAATGGTAATTTGAAACCATTATCTATCTACTAACTACATTTAAGAGTTTACTTTTTTCTCCATTTCTTCCCTTAATTATCGTCATTAGTATTTTGTTTAAGTACTTAGACACATTTTCAACAGGAAATATAAATAGGAAAAAGTAGACACTATTTTATTATGCTACAGGTCTAATTTACTGCAATTATAAAAAATATTAAATAATACTAAGCTGCCACTGCAGCAAGCTTAATTTACTCAGTTATAGAAATGAATGCATTAATTATCTCACTAAAATAAAAAATTAAATGGAATACAAAAGATATAGAAGATACAAAGGTAATTCAAGCATAATAGTAATATTACCATTTATACTTAGACTATGCAGCACAGTTTCTTTATGGTTGATATGGAATAAAAATCATTTTGTATCTATCATTAACATTTGACATATTATTATTTTCATACTGGCTCAGAACACTCCCTTGGCAAAGAGGCGTTAAGTTATTAAAAAAAAAAAAATCTGGAACATTTAAAGCCAAAAGAACCCTGACTGAAAGGAAATCTGCTCTCTCTGTTAAGTGCTAACTCTCCTTTAAGCATTTTTTAGTATGCCAAGCACACCATCTGTGCTCAATTACTTGTTGTTTTGTAACCTCAACATCTGTTTATGAGAAAATATGTGCTTGCATACATTAAAGACTTACTTTCCATACAAGAATTTGAAAGTTTTTTATGTTAATCCACATGTAATTTATTCTTCATTTTTCTTTGTGTTCTCATCTGAATAATGAAAGCTAAAGTATTAGAACATCTGAAAAGCAAAGACTAACAAACCCATGTAACACAACATGAATGGAAAATACAAATATAAACTTATATAATCTTCAGTAATTTTATTGTATATAGACTTAAATTTTATGCAAGTAGTCTGGAAATATCAGAGATCTTTTACTACAAAATTTTATCCCCAACTCTGTTGTATCCATAACTCAATAAAATTACTTATATGAATGTAAGAGACCTACTCACATAATATTTTCTCTGCTGTAAAACCTTTACTTCTCATTTTTCATCAAGGGAAATCTGAACTTTATGATGGGTACCCAATCAATTGTCACCTCAATTAAACATAATTTTCCAACTTTACCCACATATGTTAATCCAGTTTTTACTACACATAATATGCAGTTATACTTTTGTTCATTTTATTGGAGATTATTTTTATTTTTGTCAATGTTATAATTGCACATAAATAGATTTATGCGATAAATCAAATAAAATTAAAAGACATAATAAAAACTAGAAACACATTCTTTAGCTCTTACTTAACCTAGGACCTCTTTCCAGAGACAACTATTTTCAAAAGTATCATTTATTTTTTCCAGGTATTTTTAAATAAAATAAAAAACATTCTTTAAGTTTTATTTCCCAATCTATCAAATTTAGACATCACTTCTTAATTTATGTTATGTTATGTAATGGTTTAGGTACATAACATAACTTATGTTAGGTAATGGTTTAGCCATTTTATTTCAGGCATCTTTCCCTACCATTCATTAAACCAATGTAGTTACATCATAAGTGTGCATCAAATCAACAGACAGAGCTGATTTTATTTTTATGTATAATTATGGTTTGTATTCAATCCAAGAACTATAGGCAATATTTATTTGTATATTCCTATTAAACCATGTTTTTCTTGACATGAATAATTGCATTTCTTTCATTTGTTTAGATTTTTATGCATTAATTGTTATTTTTCTTTTCTAAATACACCAACAGATTTGTCAAATGTTGGGGATGATATTCTCAAATGCTCCAATATATATTGATAACAGATAAATTGCATTTTTAGATTTTGCATGCTGTTCTGAATGGTTATCTTCTGTGATTGATGCTTAACTGTCATCTTGGAGATCTGCTCTCCTCAAGTAATAGAACAATGGTGCTGGATGGATTACCTGTCCTCCAGAACTTGAGTATACTTTCTTGGGTTACTCCTTGTTTGGTTGATGATCATCTTTTAATAGCTAAGTGCTTAGAAATTAAAATTTGTATATCCTTCCTCACATTAGGAAAAAATGTCACCAACTTGGAAATGGGCAAAATATTATTGTGTGTTCTCTTTCAGTGAAGTGCTGGGCATTGTCTGGCAAACACTTTCAGGGATGGCCTGAACTATACAGGTATGTTCCTGTAAAATTCTTTTCATTAACTAACCTATTTTACAATTGCATAGGGGTAGAAATCAAGGTGTAGAAAACTGACAGTCATTCAAATTATTTTTTTCCTTAGCAATGCAAATGAGTTTGTCTAGTAGGTAGAGATACAACTGATTTCTGCCTTAGAGAAAAGATGATCCTAAACATTAACTCATACTCCTCTAGTGGATAAAAATTTGACATATTATGCAAATGACATATTGCTATTATACAAAAGATGTGTGTATATATATATATATATATATATATATATATATATATATATATATGTATTCAAATTCTCCTTTGAACTGGCGTTATCTTTTTTTTTCTATTTTTTTGTAGAAGTGTAGTCTTGCTATGTTGCTCAGGCTGGTCTTGAACTATTGGCCTCACGTGATCCTCCCACCTTGGCCTCCCTAAGTGCTGGGATTACAGATATAAGTCACTGTGCCAAGCCTAAACTGACTAATAAGGAGAAATAAAATCTTTGACTTATTTTATATATTAATAAAAGTCACATTTTTATCTTTTATTATATTTTGAAAAGTAACATTTGTATCTGAAAATATTTTGTTACAATCTCCCACTAGATGGATAGCTATACAAGATAGAATAATTTTCTTTCAGTGTTTTTAAGGCATTATTTCACTGATTTTTAGCAGATCAGAAACTTTATATCTTTTCCATTCACATGCCTTTGTATATCATCTTAATTCTTTCTTTCTGGGGCTTTTAGGGTCTTCTCATTTTTAAGAGTCTTCTTATTTTTCCTGGTGTAAATTTTCAGAATCTACTGGGTATTCAGTAGTTCTTTGAGCCTGAAAATTCAAATTTTTCTCATAAATATTCCTTTTTCTATTTGAGACAACATGGAGTAGTGTTTATAAATGTAAGCATTACTATTAGGCTATTTATTATTATTATTTTGTAAGTTTCTGTATTCATATTCTTAATTTTCAAGAATTATTTCTTTTAACCTGACTTTTTCCTTCTGGCATAGTCTTTTTATGACAGAAATACATTGTCTACAGTTATGACTAGAATGGTAATTGGACAAAAAAAGATACAAAAACTTAGCATTAAGAGAACTTTTGTAATTCACAGGACGTGTAAAAATGCTCATTTTAGCTACAGTATCTGGAAAGAGAAGTGGTAGGAAATGGGGTTGAAGAGGTAATATGTGGCTAGACAGTGAATGAGTTACCTTCCCTATTATGTCATTATCCCTATAGTTTATCAATCTACTTTTTTTCTATCATGGTTTGTTGCTTTAACACAATTTCATCTTATCGTAATTTCTGTTCTTAAAACTTAGTATTTAACATTAATTTTCTGCTTCTTAAAACTCAGATTTACTCCTAGTACACTTATCTTGCCATCCAAAAATTGTTTTCCATTTGAAAACAAACTTTCACCGTTGTTCCTTTCACCCACTCCCACTCTGCTGCCCAGCTTTCTACTCTGACATTTTACTGAGCAGTCTGGGCACTTACACCAGTTTTGTATGTCACAAATGATGTGATCAGGCAAACTACTTTAACTCCCTGGCGTCATTTCTAACATCTATGAAATGTGGGTAGTAATTCTTACCCTACAAAATTATAGGTAGTATTATTTAATGTAATGCCCAAGTTAATTGGCACGCACCATCAAAATCATCATGGATTCTGCACGTTGTTTAGCAAAAGATGGGGTAATCAATAGGATTCCCATAAACATCATCTTAATGAAAATACAGAGTCCAGAATGAAAGTCCATTTGGGAACAGATTTAGGAAATTATGGTTCCATTAGCACAGAGTACTCAAACTGCATAAATCATTTCTGTCCCATCGGTACACCAATGGCAGGAGCCCAACATGAAAGGGCTGTCAAGATTCTTATAAATTATCCTGCCTAATCTTTCATTTTTCAAAAAGTTATGTTCTATACCATGCAATTTAACAACAAATTATATATGGTTTGCATTTTTTGCTAGGTTCAATTGTATATTAATCTCATCTTTTAAATTCTTTAAAGACTGGAGCCTAATTTTAATTTTTTTATCCCTTAGAGTTTTTTGCAGAATATTAAATGAGTGCATTTAGTTGTAATAATATTTATTAACTAGTAGGTGACAAATGTTTATCTGAAATTAAGAAAAAGAATCCTCTTCCTGCTTTTTAAAGGCAAGGGAATGTTTATTCTGGACTCTAAGGTATGGAACTGTGGAATGTTTCTGTTGGTAGAAAAAGATTAGTCTGGATTCACTGAAATATAGTTGTAAGTCATTCAGTTTAAAGAAAGGTCCTGTCTTTTTTCTTGGAACAGACCAGAAAAACAGTGTTGCTGTCCCCTTCAAGGCCAGAGTGATGGTAGGCATGGCAGTCACCAGCTAAGTTTAGTTGTGTGCAGCAGAAAGATAACTTCATTAGCATCATTTGTAAAAGTCGGTGTGGGAGCACCAATGAGGCCTAGAAGAAAGAAAGCGTGGAACCTGTTCTAAGCGTTTATCATCCTGAGGTACTCTCAGAGAATTAATCAAAATCATTTGAGTGAATGAGTAATTTCTGGTGATGAAATTGAAAGGATCCAGTGACATTATTACTTGGAGTATAACATTATATATATATTTATATTAATTATACAGAAATTAATGGATGTACAATTTTTATCCTGATGTTTTTATCATATTGAGATAATATGAGCATGTTCATTAAAGACTTTTTATGCATATTTTCAAAGACTGTATAATATTCTATTCAGTAAACCATTGCCACTACACAACTTTTTTTTTGTAAAAAATGAGTTATAACTATGTCACTGATTATGTTATTGGGTAAAAGTTTATGTTTTGTGGTCTCAATGTATATCAAATGGTTTTCTCAAAAAACTAGATTATTTCCATTTTCTTTCCTTCACCATGTTTGAAAGTATCTATTTCTTTACAAGTTTACCAATATTTAGTGTTAAATACATAAGCATTTTTACTCACTGTAGAAGTGAAAAATAAACTTCTGTCTTGATAACAAAACTGGAAAGAGCTTTTGGATTCTTTCTCCTTGGGGAAAGTTTAAAATTTTTCAAGGGTGGGAAGAAAGGGTTACATATTTATCTGAATGGCTAAATGGGCAGTGCAGCAGACTGCTTTTATTTACTAATACCTTTTCTTTTTCAACAAGTATTTTAGTTGTGAACATTGCTGCTTAGCTAAAGACTATATTTCCTATGTTCTTTGCTAGATTGAACCACATGATTACTTTCTCACAAATGAGGTGTGAACAGAAGTGATTATGTGCAAGTCTCTTCTTATCACTTTTTCCCCTTCTCCTAGGTTGAAATTAGGACACATAAAAGAATCTAGAAATAGTCATTCTGTACCACTATAAAGAAAATGTCTGTTGAGGATGTCAGGGTGTTAGCCTTGAAAAAGCTTGTTAAAATCCAGATGAATGTGGAGGTGACATAATAGCCCTAGATTGCCTAATCCAGTTTTGCCTACAAAAAGAAATAAACTTGTATCTTATTTAGCCTCCTTGAATTTGCTCTGTATGTTACAAAAGTGATCAGATATCCTTATTAATTAAAAGGAGAAAATTAGAGAAAAAAATAACTGGTTGATTCTAGAAAATGTCAATGTTTGGTCTTTGTATCTATTTTTAAAACAGTAATTTTTTATATTATATTTTATTGTGTATTTTAATATATTTATGTTGAATTTTTAATTTATAAATTTCCTTGGATATTTTTACCATTTTACTCTTCCAAAGGAGCTTTAAAATCATTTTGTTCAGTTTTCATTGTATTAAATTGGGATTTATATAGAGTTGACCTTAGTTTTTAAATATTATCTTCCTACATTGAAGTTATATATTTTGTTAGGAAAAATATACAACTTCCTATTATATATTAATATATTAATGTATTGCTGTATATATATTAGTAATGTATAAATGTATTATTACTACATTAATACTTAATGTATTGCTGTATATATATTAGTAATGTATAAAATTTCTTATTGTTTAGTTGTGAAAGTTATATCTAAGCTATTTTCTAAATGTTTTCTGGAGTATACATGTGTACACTCATATTTGTTTAACATTTATCCAACACAAATAGTTTTTAAATTGTTTTAAACAATCTGAGAAAATAATTTGTTTGTAAATATGGATATTTCGAATCCTTTTCTTTTTTTAAGAGTTCATTTTTGTTTTTTATTGTTTTTTTTCAATCAGAAATGTCTCAAATTTTTTCAACTGATTTTTAGACCTGTTGAGATGGTCATTTTAAAAGTGTGATCTGTCAATATTTTAGTATATTTCCCAATATAAAATGAAGCATTTTGGGTTGATCATTGTTATGGACTGAATTGTGTTCCCCCTCGAAAAGATATGTTGAACTTCTAGCACCCAGTACTGCAAAATGTGATCTAACTTAAAAATAAGATCTTTGTGGATGTAATTAGTTAAGATGAGGTTACACTTGAGTAAGGTAGGACTTTAATACAATATGACTAGTGTCATTATAAGAAGATGATGAAAAAACAACTATCTGATGAGAAGGCAGAGACTGGCATTATTCAGCTGCAAGCCAAGGAATGTTTAGGATTGCCAGCAACACCAAAAGCTTAGTAAGCCTTGGAGCAGATTATTCCCTAGAGCTGTGGAGAGAGCATGGTCTTACTGACATCTTGATTTTGGACTTCCAGACTCCAGAGCTGTGAGACAATAAATTTCTGTTACTTAAAGCCACTCAGTCTGTGGTACTTCATTAAGGGAGTGCTAGAAAACTAACATACAATGTTTAGATCGACTTTCAAAATTTTGCATTATAAAAGATGTGATGTTATAGAGTATTTTTTCTTCCTGTGCTTCTGAACCTGTCCCTATAAACTATATAAAGTTAATCAGAGAAAAAGAAAGGGGAAAAATTGAAATAAACCAAACATACAGCACATTCAATATTAAGCATTAGGTCAGCTCACTCTCTGACCTCCTTCCTCACAGTTGTTTGCAGCCTGTTGTCCTGGAATTGTGCAGACTCTGTCACAAGATTATAATGACTGTTAACTCCCCTATAGATAACAACGTGAACATTGTGAAATGTTAAGTTTTTCATGTGAGATATTCTTTCAAGTCCTATATACTAGTGAAACTACTGACATCAGCTGGTCTGAAGCTGATCTGAAGAACCCCTACGAGGAGCTGACTCACTAAAGAATGAAGTTTCCACATCCTGATGATTCTATCCCACACATCCCTAACAATCAATGACTCCAATTTTCCTGTTTTTCTGCCTCCATGATCCCCTTAAAAATCTGTATTAGTCAGGATTATCCAGAGGAACAGAACCAATAAGAGAGAGATATATGTATATGAGTTAGCTTACATGCTTATGGGTGAAATCCCAGGATAGGTTGTCTGCAAGCTGAAAACAGGGAAGCTGACAGTGCAGCCTTCAGTCTGAGAGCCCCTGAGAAGCGGCTGGTGCAAGGCCCAGAGTCCAAAGACCGAAGACCAAAGAACCCGGAGTCTGATATACAAGGGCAGAAGAAGAAGAAGTGAGAGTTTGGCACAGGAAGAAAAAGCAAACCAGAAGACTCAGCAAACAAGCTTATCCCCCTTCTTCCACCTGCTTTGTTCTAGCCATGCTGGCAGCCAACTGGATGGTGACCACCCATATTGAGAAGGGTCTTTCTCTCCCAGTCAACTGATTCAAATATCTATTGGTCTCCTCTGGCAACACCCTCACAGACACATCCAGAAACAATACTTTACCAGCCATCTAGGATTCCCTAGACCCAGTCAAGTTGACACCTAATATTAACTCTCACAAAACCCCAGCCCAGAACTCCTTAGGGAGACAGATTTGAGGGTCTCCGCTCATCTCTTCACTCAGCCACCCTGTGATCATTAAACTCTTTCTTTGCTGCAAACTCTGAGGTCTTGGCATATTGGTCTGTTACTGTGCAGCAGGCATACAAACCTGTTGGTCCTGTAACACTTACTGAAATGTCAAAAGAGCTTTCTGTTTTAAATATATATATATATATTTAAATATTGCTAAAACCCAACTCTAATGCTACACACACTGACAATATAGTGATCATTACATCATATTCAAACATAAGCATATGCATTTGTGTCATTTTAAGAATTCAAACACCATAGTATTGACTCACTATACATTTGCTACTTCAACACCTTTTGTTATTATCTCTCCAGTTATTCTACCCTACGGTAGAAGAACGAAACCCCAGGGTCTTCGTGTTGAGTAACATGGGGAAATAGAAATAATATATATGGGAAGATATGAAACAATGAAAGGCATTGTAAGTTTATGTTTTTAAGACACTCTATTGATAAGCTTAGTGAAAATCTAGTAATGAAACTGGACAAGCACACAAATAATGTAAATCAGTTTATGGTAAGAACTACATGGATGCTTTGAACTACTATAGGCTTCCAAAATAGAAAGCTATAACAATCACAAGTGATAATAATTAGGGAAAACTTTACAAAAGTGATGACATTTTATTTGTGTCTTACTGAATGGGAGGAATTTTACTAGATAGTTATAGGAAAATAATATATTCCAGATGAACAAACATTTGGAAGAAGTATGTTTTGGAGCATGTCAAAAGATAAAGGAAGAAAACAGGGTGAAACATAAATGTGATGGTTAAATTTATTTGTCTACTTGTTTAGCCATGGTGCTCAGGTATTTTGGATGCTTCTGTAAAGATGTTTTCGGATTGAGTTAATATTTAAGTTGACGGGCTTTGAGTAAAGCAGAGTAAAAATCTCCCCAATGTGTGTGGGCCTTTTCTAATCAGTGGAAGGTGTGAAGAGAACAAAGATCAACCTCCTTTGAGAAAGAAGTAGTTCTGCCAGCAGATGACCTTCAGATTTGAACTGCAACATTGACTATTATGTGATCTCCAGTTTGAACACCTTCAGACTTGAACTATAAGATCAGCTTTTCCTGGGCGCTATGGACTGAATTGTGTCTCCTTAAAATTTATATGTGGAAGATCCCAACAAATACATCCCCAGTGTGAATGTATTTGGAGATGGGCTTTTAGAAGGTAATTAAGGTTACATGAAGTAATAAGGGTGGGGCTCTAATGGGATAGAATTTGTGGCTTTATAAGAAATGGAAGAGAGAGATCGTAATCTCTCTCCACCATGTGAGGACACAGAGAGAAGGTACAAGGCAGAAAGAGAGCCCTCGCCGTAATCTGAACACTGATGAACTTCGATTTTGGGCTTTTTAGACTCCAGAATTGTGAGAAAGAAAACGTCTGTTGTTTAATCCACACACTCTGTGATATCTTATTATGGCAGCCCAAGCTTACTTATACCAGGTCTCCAGCCTTACAGCATTTTGACTTGAACTGCAACATCAACTATTCCCTGTGTCTCTGTCCTGTTAGCCCACTTTGCAGTTTTGAGACTTTTCAGCCTTTGTAATAATGTGAGCCAATTCCTTGAAAGAAATTTTTCTCTATGTATATACAGATCTTATTTATCCTGTTTCTCTGAAGAACTCTAATATTGTGGGGGTATAACAAATGTAGAAAGAAATAACTAAAAGACCCACTGAGATTATCATAAAAACCTTAAATTTCAAGTTAAGAAGCTCAGCATTCATCCTAGGAGTTCTGGAGATTTCCAACCATTCAGATTTTCATATTTTTTTTTTCCTAGCTGAAGCAGACTACTAACCATTTCCAAGTATCTTGTATGCAAGATATTTATGACTTTTTGACAGTCTACATGCTTTTGTATCTACTCAGATTCTTTTCTTATTTCCTCTTTTTTTTCCACCTAATCATTAAGTCATCTACAAATGACTTTCTTTTTTTTGTTGTTGTTGTTTTTGAGACAGAGTCTCACTCTGTTGCCCAGGCTGGAGGGCAGTGGTGTGATCTCGGTTCACTGCAACCTCTTTCTTGGGTTCAAGTGATTCTTCTGCCTCAGCCTCCCAAGTAGCTGGGACTAAGGGTGCACGCTGCCACGTCCAGCTAATTTTTTGTATTTTTAGTGAAGGTAGGTTTTCACCGTGTTGGCAAGGCTGGTCTCCAACTCCTGATCTCAGGTGATCCACCTGCCTTGGCATCCCAAAGTGCAGGGATTTACAGGCACAAGCCACTGTGCCCAACCTTGTCTATGACTTTTGATGATCTCTCAGGAAGAATCTTTTTTATTTTTTTCCTTATATTGCTTCCTCAATCATGTAATCTTCTGTTCTCTTCCTTCTGTCTGTGTCTATCTACACATCTCTTATTTACATCATGAATTATATTACTTTTATAAGGTTCCAAGTTTTATTTTTCTTATCTCTATAATATTTAGAAAATGACACAAACCTCCAATGATTCTTGATTTGGAATGATGAAAAGCTCTAATTAAAACTTCAAGACCAAATTCAATTAGTTTCTAATGTAGTTACAGTTATTTGACTTTGGTGAGTAGATGAGTTGGCATTAGAACAGAGGAAAGGCAGAAACATCAGTTAGGAATCAGAGAGATGAGTCCAGGTAAGAGTCACTGAAAGTCTAAACCAAATTGCAGCAAAGAAAATGCAAAAGGTAAGAGGAATGTTCTGAAGTTGGAGTAAAGGACTGGAGTAAAGCACTGAACTATGTGTGACATAAAATGTTAGAGTAAGAGTCAGGTCAAGAATATTTTATAATTAAGTGACTTTATGCCTTTATAAATGCGATTTCTTCAGACAGAGAAGCTCTTTTTTTATCCATGTATCTTTTTACTGACAAACTGACATCAAGATCAAATTTAGTGGCCCTCTCTTCTAAGACCACCCAGTTTGAGATTAAAGGCATCTTCCAACACTTTAGATTGGTTTCCTGTTAGACTTATAGGTATTTCCTTAGCATGGTTTTGTATCATAACCACAGCATTCAGCATTACACAGCTGGTTAATTATCAAATTACTCCCAGGATGAGGCCCAAATTTTATTTTATTTTTATTTTTGTTTTTTTGTACCTTACTTCTATAATAGCTTGGCTCCAGGCATAACATAATGGGATAAAATAAGACAGACTAACATGTGAAAATGTTAAATGTATAAGATAATTTATGAGGAAAATTATCATTAACATAAAAGAAATAATTTAGGAGTAAAAGTTTAGTAGAATTTTGACTTCAGTTTTATTTCTCGAGTTTGACATGATGGCAAGATACGAAGTACACGTCTAGTCATGTTACTGGACTTTAAAAAACCCATTCATGTAGCAATATAAAAAGGCCTTGCATTTCAGATGATACAGTTTCTGGAGGAAATATTTTAAGTATAATTTACATTGAAATGACAGTTGAAGCAGAAGGACAGATTGTGATCACCAAAAAATAGGGTGAGAAGAGTGGATAGTTAAGAAGACAGGCTTAATCAATACCTATGTTGAGAGCGTCAAGATAGAAATGCACTAACTGTGGTAACAATGTCTGGAGAATAACTGGGTAATTGGAACTGAGTAGCCCCAAGGAAGTTAAGAGGAAATACTAATAGTACAAATTTCACCACAAAAAAACTCAGAATTTATAATTTGTGGGTCAGTAGTAATTTTTGAAAAAATTATATTTCAGAAGAATGATAATATGGTATTACCTCTTTTGGCAAACTTTTAAAATCAATCACTTTTTATTATAAATCTAACATAATCGTAAAACAGAAAATACAGAGTACAAAAATGGAAAAATATCCCTAATCTCCAAATGCATGCACTAGCGTATGTAATTTTTTCCTGGCTCCATTTATTTGATTCCTTTATGTCTCATATTCTCTAAGTTATTCAAAACTTGTGTGGTGGCAGACCCTAATGTGATCCTTCAAATGATTCCTATCCTGGCATTTACTCCTTTGTGCAATCCCCTTCCACAGGCAGGACCAGTGACTTTCTTACAACCATAGAATACAGCAAAAGTAAAACAATGTTACTCCCATGATTCAGTTACATAGCATAGGAAACTTGAGATGTCACTATTGTAATTATGCTATTATATAATGCTCCACCTTAGCACACTGGAGCTAAAAACTCTCCTTGAAACTATGTTGGAGAAGCTCACAAGGCAAGAAACTGGGAGTAGACTTTGAGAACAGCCGGCAGGCTCCAGGCTCTGAGGGTATCTTCCTGCCAATAGCCAGCAAAAACCAAGGACCCTCAGTCATACAGGAAAACAGGAAATAAATTCTGCCATTACCCACCCAGAATGAGCTTGGAAGTGAAGTCTTTCCAAGTGATCCCAGCACTTTGTGGGGCCGAGGCAGGCGGATCACGAGGTCGGGAGATGGAGGCCATCCTGGCCAACACGGTGAAACCCTGTCTTTACTAAAAATCCAAAAATTTAGCCGATCGTGGTGGCGGGCGCCTGTAGTCCCAGCTACTCGGGAGGCTGAGGCAGGAGAATGTCATGAACCCTGGAGGCGGAGCTTGCAGTGAGCCGAGATGGCGCCACTGCACTCCAGCATGGGCGACAGAGGGAGACTCCATCTCAAAAAAAATAAATACATAAAATAATAATAATAATTAACTCAGTTATTACTATGAGTTTATTGTGTGTCTACTTATGTATCTATGCATATATCTATTTATATTACATTATAATATATACATTAATTTTACTTTATATTAAATTTTTTTCATAGTATTAATTCACCATTTGTAGGATTACATTATGTAATGAGAGAGGGTAACTATTCCAGAATTAGCAAATCTCTTTTAATTTAAAATAATGTTTTATAATATCATATTATTTGTTTCCCACTGAAAGCTAACTCATTATCCTATTGACATTTGAAGCTTCATGGTGTTAGTTCATTAAATGACATATTCATTTAAAACCATTTTCTGAGGTTTGCTGCATAAGCTCTTATCAAACTGGTGAAAGAGAGCAATGGAGGTAAAATATTCAAAGGATGTTGGATTAAATTTAACTGTTGTAGAAGGATCTGAAGTTTAAGATGAACTATTCGAACTTTGAGAGGTATGAAAAGAAAAGCAATAATTTCTGATAATACTTTCAAATCTGATTAGTATATTAGTGTAAATAAAGTTAACAATGTAAAAGAGGGAATATATGACAATTTCTTCTACTTGCAAGAAAAAAATATGAAGCGGTGGCAACTATGTTATTATATAATGTCTCAGTGCAAGAACTGATTTTGAAGCATTTTTTTCCAACATCACAATGCTTTTTCTACTTCATAATTTCACTAAAATTATATAGCTGTCACAAAGTCATGGTTTGTGAACTGTAGTAATACGTTCTAAGAGTATGTTGTCATCTTCCCATTAGCAATCATATGATGGCTGATATTTTTTTATAAGTAAATTATTCATTTAATGTAAGACTTTAAAAATTAATTGGCCCCCTAAAAAGATTTACATGATATGAATAATTCTAATACTGGAAGATTTTATTTTTTTATGATTCATCTTAAAGTTTTAACTTCTATATATGCATACATATATATAAAGACATATGTGTGTACATACCTACATATACATATATAGTTAGATAGCAAAATGCACACATCTTTCCTCCCACGATTCTTCAGTCTAATAAGTCATTCATGTCCCACAAACCTTAAGTTACTTCAGATGCCATCATTTTGCTCATCATTGATATCCAACCTGATTCATATCTACATAGCTCTAATATCAATCTCTTCTTTGTTATCATTGTTCTTTCAGATTACTGAAATAGTCTCCTAAGAGTTTTTCCCATTCCCAATTTTTCATGACACTTGAGTCAGATCAGGCCACTAAAGGCTGGCTAATATTCAAGGCTGGTAAAAATTAAGTTATGTTGACCAATGAAAGATATGATACACACAAATGGATATCACTTCCGGTGTCTAATTCCCTATTAGAGTAGGAACAAATTTCAGTGGTCAATGCATGAAGAGAAATAACAAGATTGAACGTTAAGGCTAGTAGTTGGAACGAATAATGAACGCATAAAATAACGGGCATAGTTGAGTGTAATTATAGTATGCTATGCAACTCAAAACTTTTACTCAATTACATGAGGAATTATAACAAGGAAGGTGACCAAAAGTTTTATACCTTTACAAAGTATTGTGTCTAAGAAAATGAATGAAAAGAGCAAGAAGTCGGATCAAAAATACACGCCAATAACGACTTTACAAGATAAAACAAGTAATTTTCAAAATTGTTGGACTGAAATGATAATAATATATACATAAACAACTCTAGATATGGTCTCTCTTCCTTTTGTCCCTAAATGCTACTTTTAAATTTTCTTTATAGTAAAAGGTATAAATTGTTATTTTTAAAACATATACTATCCCATTCAATTTAAATAACAATTCTATAAGAAATGTATTATTTACATTTCAGAGGTTACAAAACTGAGGCCCAAGATCACACAAACTGTAAGAAATAGAGGGACCTGGGTTTTTTAAGAACTAGAGAGACCTGGGTTATGAATCATAGTTCCGTATGTAAACTTTACCAAGCCATGTAACAAGTACTATATAGATTAGTAGTTCTCAAGTGGAGTCATTTTGCCCTCCAGAGAACATTTGGCAGTGTCTGGAGATAATTTTGGTTGTCACAGATGGGGTAAGGAGGTTTTGCTGCTGACATCTAGTGGGTAGCGGCCAGAGATGTTGCTAAATATGCTACAATGCACAAGACAGTTCCCCACAACAAAGAATTACATGACACATAATGTCATTAGTGCTGAAGTTGAGAAACTGAAATAGATATTATGTCCTGATAATACAATAATAAATATAGAATGTCAGAGGAAACTATAGATTATAACTTGAGAGATTCATAGAAAAAGTAGGGAAAGAAAAAATATTGAATTAGTAATAATAAGACAAAGTAAAGACAAAGCTCAATAAAAGCTTACCTATGACTTTATGAGAAAAGTTTTTCAATATAATAAAGTAGATCAAGAAAATTCTATGAAAAATTTCTGCCTTCTCAAGATGGAAAATGTGATTTCAATCATTTTAGAAAGAGCATTTACAAATAAAATGTAATTGGACAGGTATTTTTCTTTGTAAAGTATACATTTCCTCTATTTATAGACATTGTAAATTGTGAAACACATCACCCATTTCTTAGAAGCTCTATGAAAAAACAAAATATACATATTTAAAAAGACAACTAGAAAAGTATAATTCCGTATAACATCAGTTCACTTTAATATCACAGGAGATCTCTTCCTTACTCCTAATCAGTCTAAATGATCATCTGAATCACTTCTAGGAGTTTGCACAGTGTAAGCTGACAAAGCCTGTGCTTATTATCTTGAAATTATATGCGTCTTGAAGAATTGATTGTCATTGTATAGCATATCAAATAATTCCAGAATTTCATGTGTATTTCTTATTTAGTAAAACTCATTATTTTTCTCTTCCATGCTGGAAGGTAAACAGTTTATCTTGAAAATCAGCTGGAAACTTTTGACAGATACTTCACCAATGCCTGAGTGACAGCTTTCTGCGACACATCAATAAATCTTTGGCCTTCCCAAGGTTTATAAATTCTCTGATGGTCTGAAGAGATTTGGCTATTTCTACTTTCTAAACTGAATTGCTGGACTATGATAGAGAATGATTGGTATACACAATAGTTTTAATTTTAAGAATACTCCATAGCATAATCGTTGGAATAAATTTTTAGGCACAATTAGGGATTCAGGTATACTTTAAACTAAATTTTGCCATCTTTTCAAATAATTAAACTGAGAACAATTGGATGAGAACATGTCTTCAGCACCCTTCCCTTCTAATTCATCTACACACACGCACACACAATGACAATAACAACCAGAGAGTCAGCACTGACTTCTTAGCCACTAGATAGGCAGAAATCACCTTACTTTGATTCCAGTTTCAAAAATGTTTAGCATTTTAATAGAACAGACCTAGAAATTCAACAAATAAGGTCTCTTATCTTTCATTAAATTAACATAATTTTAAAAGCAAAATTGTGTTGGTTGAAATGATTTATTACGTGATCTTCCATACAATTAAACTGTATGGTTAAAATAAAAATACATAATTTGTATTCAGCATTAATTTATTATATAACACAATTTTATTCTAAAAAGACACGCATTCCTACTGTAAGAGAAGTATACCTCATTTAAAAAGTATAGTAGACTATCAAAACTTTCACAACCTTGCTTTAAATACTGTAATGAATGAATCAACAATTATATTTAGACAGGCCAAGTGTGGTGGCTCACGCCTATAATCCCAGCTCTTTGGGAGGCCGAGGCGGGCAGATCACTTGAGGTCAGGAGTTCAAGACCAGCCTGGCCAATGGGGTGAAACCATATCTCTACTAAAAATACAAAAATTAGCTGGGCGTGGTGGTGGGCGCCTATAATCTCAGCTACTTGGGAGGCTGAGGAGGGAGAATTGCTTGAATCCAGGAGGTGGAATTTGCAGTGAGCTCAGATGGAGCCACTGCACTCCAGCCTGGGTGACAGAGCAAGACTCTGTCTCAAAAACAACAACAACAACAACAACAACAACAACAACAAAAACCCAATTATAACTAATTATAATTTTTGTCTAAACAAAAATAAAAGCACATTAAAGTAATTATAGTGGCTCAAATAGTTGTCTTTGGGAAAATTAAAGCTATCCTTAGAACCATGTCAACAAATTTGCATAGGACTTACACATTTTCAAACTGTTCTCTTTGCTGTTTTTCATAATATTGTTAGAGGTAGTCAGATAATTTTTTCCAATTTTTTTCCTTTGAATCTTTTCAAAATGCTAAACTTCAAGATTGCTTTTCTTGGTTGCCATTAGAAACATTGACAGTTACTATAGCATCAACTTAACAATTACATATTTTCAAGATAGCCTGGCAACTGGAAGGTGACTGTAATGATTTAAAGTTACTTAAATTATACCTCTGTAAGGTTATTAATGGTTATGCTTTTGACATGTGTATTATTGACATATTTAACATATGGAAAGAGATGCAAAATGGTTAAGTGATTCATAAAATCTATACATACAAGCTTTGAGGGTGACTGTATATCTAGAAATAAATAATTGAATGATTTTAGTATTATATGATCCTAAGAGTATACTATCAATCATTTTCAACTTTGTAAAAGCCTGGTCTCTAATTCTAGGCCAATAATTAATGTCATTTCAGAGTAAAATTGTGTTATATAATGAACTAATGCTGAATACAAATTATATATTTTTATTTTAATCATGTAGTTTAATTATATTGAAGATCATGTAACAAATCACTTCAACCAATATGTTTGCTTTTAAAATGATGTTAATTTAATGAAAGATAAGGGACCCTATTTGTTGAATTTCTGGGTTCATTATTTTAAGATGCTAAATATTTTTGAAATTGGAATCAAAGTAAAATGACATCTGCCTATCTAGGGGCTAAGAAGTCAGTGTTGACTCTCTGATTGTTGTCATTGTCGCTGTGTGTGTGTGTGTGTGTGTGTGTGTGTGTGTGTGTGCGAGTAGATGAATGAGAAGAGAAGGGTACTGAAGACGTATTTCATATTCTCATCTAATTTCCTTCAGTTGAATTATTTGAAGAGGCGGCAAATTTTAGTTTAAATTATAGAAATTGGGCCTGAAAATTTATTCCAAAGATTATGGTGTGAAACATTCTTAAAATAAACAACTATTATATATAACAGTAATTCTCTGTTATAAGCCCAGTAATTCAGTTTAAGAAGTAGAAATAGCCAAATCCCTTCAGACCATCAGAGAATTCACAAGCCTTGGGAAGACCAAGGATTCATTGATGTGTCAGAGAAAGCTGTCACTCAGGCAATGATGAAGTATCTGTCAAAAGTTTCCAGCTGATTTTCAAGATAAACTGTTTACCTTCCAGTATTGAATGGAAAAATAATATGAGTTTTACTAAATAGGAAATACACATGAAATTCTGGAATTATTTGATATGCTATACAAAGACAATAAGTTCTTCCAGATGCAAATAATTTTAAATATATATATACTTAAGTATATATACATATAAAATAGCTTCATATCAATATAAATTAGCTTTATTTATATTAGCTTGAGATACATGTATTTATACGTAGATATAGGTATATATACATCTTAAAAGGAAAACTTCTACCTTATCTGTGTTATTAAAACAATTATTTAAGCTTTATCTCAAGTCAAATTTGAAATTATCACCACACATTTGCTATTAATCATAATTCACCAACTTTCCTTACTTTAATACCTTTTTCTATTTTCTTATACAGAGAATATACAGAAATGACAGCTATTTGGGGACAAGCAATATAATATATTTAAGAAACACCTTCCTCACTGTTGAAAAAGTGTTTCTGCACCAACCTGGGTAATTTGCAGACTGACAATTTCAATTATTTTTAGTTCACTTACATATTTCTCATGAATGAATTACCCTTTATATCATGCTCCCCAAAAAGGTGAAAACTAAAGAGAGGTGGCCCATTTATTTGTGTAGTAAACAAATGAGGATGGTATGCTAATGACTCCTATCTTAATTCACCATTACATACAAGGAAGAAGACTGAATTGTGTGAACATTATTTTTCTGTTGGTAGGTAAGGTTGATAGTAAATTTAGTGCAATGGCTCTTCCTGAACTATGACAAGAATGAACTGGCTCCAGAGTAGATTTGTGTATGTCATAAGCCATCCAGATGTATGAGATGTAATGTTAACTGTAGCAGTCTACATTTTTATCCAGGATTCAGAGAATTCAGAGACTTGTTTTGTCCAATATAATTTTAGCAGAAGTTATAAAAGCAGAGGTTTGAAAAGTACTTGCACTGTTGGTGATCCTCTTTTGTGCATATTACATCACAATGAAATAAAACGTCCAGCAAGCCAAATATTGCATATGGGAAAAAAAAGTAGGGGTAGAACTCAATCTTTATCAGTCTATTTTCAGATGCCTGAATGCCATCAGCTGAGATCAGCAAGACTTTTAGCTGAGTCCAGCCAAATCTGCTTACCCTCAGTTGACCCCCAGACTATGAGAAAAATTATTGTTTTAACCCATAGGATTTTGAGGTGGTTTATTCAGTAGTATTGGGGTGTGTGTGTGTGTGTGTGTGTGTGTGTGTGTGTGTGTGTGTGTGTGTTTGTGTGTGTTTTGTGTGGGTATGCATGCTTACTAACTGACACAGTGCTGGATAACTTACGGAACAAGGAGTGTAAGAGTGGGATCTAGCATAATTTATATGTTAATGACTATGAAACCATTAAATATATTTAACGCCAGATGTCATGGGTAAAAGACATATAGAAGGAAGAGCAAGATATGCATGAGAGGAGGAATCAATAGTCAACCAACAAGAACAGTTTTAAGTAAAGCAGAACAGTCTTAGAAGCAATGATAAATTTGAAAACAATTGTTACATTTACAAGCAACCTATAATGTCACTCCAACATCACTGGAGAAGACCTTTGTAACAATATGACTTAAAGGGAAATATTTTTGCATGCATTTATATGGAGTGGCTGTATGGTAAAATATAAAGAGCATGTATTTTGAACTAGATTAAAAATAAAGCTCTTCAATTTTCTACTCATGTAGCTTTCAAAAATCTCATTGTTCTCACTGCTAAAATAAGAATACTTCATTTATACGTTTGTTGTATAGACTAATGAGATATGCATAAAACCTTTCTCAATATAGAGTACTCATTGTTATTATTATTCCTGGGACTGGGTCAGTGCCTACCTTATAGTTGATCCTCAATAATTGGTAGTGACAATTATTATTTTGTTTTTGTGAGAAAGAAAATGTAATATTCTGTTGATCTATGAAATGGTAATTAGGAAAGAAATATTTATAACAGTAACAATGTTTCAGATACAGATTGTATAGCTGAGTTTGAATGATGAGTGATTATAAAGTCATGTTGAAGGATGTCAAGACTTTTCCGCAGTAGTGTACTTGATCTGATATCAGACAAAAACAAGCATGGTATAAACAGAAGAAAATGTTATGACACATTAGAAAACAATTCAGACCTATAGAGACACAAAGCAAGAACAATAAGATAGCAACACAATGAATAAAATTATTCAGCCTTTCATCTTAAAGAACTCTGGATTTTTTTTCCAATAACACAAAAAAGTAGGAGTGATAGAACCACACTTTGGTTATACTCACTTGTTTATTGCAATACATAAATTAACTATTGGTCAAGTTGTATATGGTTCACATTTACATGTAAAATAATAAGGTCTGAATACCAGACCTTATTTAAATTTATGTGTTTTTTTTTTTTAAAACTGCTGACTCAAGAGAACTCCTCATTTATAAAAACAGACATTTATTATAGGCTATACTAATACTCACATAAATCATAGCTATCATTTATTTAGCATTCCTTATATGCTAGACACCTAACTAAAAGTTTTACATACATTATTTAGTTTATTACAAAGTTCTAGATTTTACCTATGAGAAAAATAAGGTTTCCAGAGAGTAAGGAACTTAATGTCACAGAACTATTAAGTAGAGGAGTCAAATTTAAATTTAGATTTGATTCTCTTCAAAGCCTGTGCTCTTCATTACCAGCAATTGTAGTTTTACCCCAAGTAAAGAGATTTTGAGTATAAAGAGTGCCTATTCCACTCTTTTGTCTTCATGCTATTTTAGCTGGATTTAGTTATTATACAAAAATCATGTAAAAAGCTGTAAACAAGGATAACACATGTGTGTCCAGAGAAAGTTGAAGAGGTAGAGGATGTCACTTGTCCTTGGACAAATTCTACACTTGAATTGTGCCTCCCAGCAGTACTCTGACCCTACTGACCATCTTCTCTTTGTTGGAACACTTTACTTTCTTTTTCAACTGTTTTTTCAATTAATGCAATTTTTATCTTTCACTAGGGCCAATTTAGTCTGATTAAAGAGGTATACTTCTCTTTTTGGACATTTTCATAGGTCTGACAATTTTTCAATTTTGCTCTAACATACTAATGATGGTTTAGTTTGCCTTAGATGAACCAAGTTGCAATTTTTGTAGATCATTATACATTTTTTGTTGTAGTTTTTGAAAACAGAAGAAGGAAAAAATATATTTACTGTAATTTCTTTGTGTTAGGGTGGGATCCAAAGTTAGCCTATTTATTTAATAAAAGCACTGGCAAAAACTGTCAAAATAAGTTTTTTAGAAACCTAAAAGTTAACCAACAGTTTACAAGAACCTGAAAGTATTTATTTAAGACAAATGGCTAAATATAGAGAATAGTAAACTATATTTTGTTTGTAATTATCCCTATTCCCATCTCTCTCTCTTCAGCTCTGCACTAGCCTTAGAAAGCACAGCTCCACCACTATGGTGAAAACAAGCGTGCTAATATCAACTGAAGGGGACATCATGAGATTGGAGCTCCTCCAAAACACCCATCTACTTAAAATGGTCATTTACAAGAGACTGAAGGTATGTGCCCCTTCTCCCATTTATATGTTGAAGTCCTAACTTACAACGTGATAGTGATGGTATTAGTGGGTAGGGCCTTTGACATGTAATTAGGTCATGAGGCTGGATCCCTTATAAATGAGTAGTGCCCTTATGGAAGAGATCCTGGAAAGCTCTCTCATCTTCTTCTGCATGTGAGGATACAACAAAAAGTTGGTAATCTGCAAACCTAGAAGAGGTTTCAAGAGGTTGAAGTGTCCCAATATATTCCTGGGAATCTAGAAGGAACATGCGTGTATGAGGTTGTTTATGCACCCAGGAAATATCTGAGAAGGCCCTAGATTCTCACCTCTGGCAGACTATGAGGCACTGGGAAAGAAGAACTGAAGGTTATGTTACAGTTATAAATTGGGTGCCTGAGCACTGAACACACACCATAACACACATTTAGCCCATTGAGAAATCCAGAGGGACATAATTGTTCATGGAATGATGTGGTTTGGCTCTGTGTCCCCACCCAAATCTCATCTTGTAGCTCCCATAATTCCTATGTGTTATGGGAGGGAACCAGTGAAAGATAATTGAATCATGGGGGCAGCTCTTTCCCGTGCTATTCTTGTAATAGCAAGTAAGTCTCATGAGATCTTATAGTTTTAAAAAGGAAAGTTTGCCTGCACAATCTCTCTTCTCTCTTGCTGCCACCATATAGGAAGTGCCTTTCACCTTCTTCTATGATTGTGAGGCTTCCCCACCCATGTACATCTGTGAGTCCAATAAAACTGTTTCTTTTGTAAATTGCCCAGTCTTGAGTATGCCTTTATCAGCAGTGTGAAAACAGACTAACACAGAAAATTGGTACCAATAGAGTGGGCACTGCTGTAGATACCTCAAAATGTGGAAGCAACTTTGGAACTCAGTAGCAGGCAGAGATTGGAACAGTTTGGACAGCTCAGAAGATAGGAAAATGTGGGAAAGTTTGGAACTCCCTAGAGACTTGTCAAATGGCTTTGACCAAAATGCTGAGAGTGATGTGGACAACTCCATCTGAAGTCGTCTCAGATGGAGATGAGGAATTTGTTGGGAACCGAAACAAAGGTGACTCTTGCTATGTTTTAGCAAAGAAACTGGTGGAATTTTTCCCCTGTCCCAGAGATTTGTGGGATTTTGAACTTGAGTGAGATGATTTAGGGTTTCTGGTGGAAGAAATTTCTAAGCAGCAAAGCATTCAAGAGGTGACTTGGGTGCTGTTAAAGGCATTCGGTTTTAGAGGGAAACAGCATAAAAGTATGAAAAATGTGTGGCCTGACAATGTGATAGAACAGAAAATCCCATCTTCTGAGGGATTTTTTATTCAAGCTGGCTGCAGAAATTTGCAAAGTTATGAGGAGCCAAATCTTAATACCCAAGACAATGGGGTAAATGTCTTCAGGTCATGTCAGAGACCTTTGCGGTAGCCCCTCCCATCACAGGCCTGCAAACCTAGGAGTAAAAAATGGTTTTGTGGACCAGAACCAGAGGCTCTTTGCTGTATGCAGTCTAGGGACTTGATGTTCTGCATCCCAGCCTCTCTGGCCATGACTAAAAGTGGCCAAGGTACACCTCAGGCCATGGCTTCTGATGGTGCAAGCCCCACACTTTGGCAGCTTCCATGTGGTGTTAAGACTGCAGGTGCACAGAAGTCAAGAACTGAGGTTTGGGAACTTCTGCCTAGGTTTCACAGGATGTATGGAAATGCCTGGATGTCCAATTGGAAGTTTGCTGCAGGGGCAGGGTGCTCATGGAGAACCTCTGCTGGGAGAGTGTGCAAGTCAAATGTAGGGTGGGAGCTCCCACACAGAGTTCCCCATGGGGCACAGCCTAGTGGAGCTGGGACTAGAGGGGCACTGTCTTCCAGACCCCAGAATGGTAGATCCACCAACAGCTTGCACCATGTGCCAGGAAAAGGTGCAGACACTCAATAGAAGTCTGTGAAAGCAGCCAGGAGGGAGGCGGTACCCTGCAAAGCCACAGGGACAGAGCTGCCCAAGATCATGGGAACCTCTTGCATCAGTGTGACCTGGGTGCAAGACATGGAGTCAAAGGAGATCATTTTAGAGATTTAAGATTTGACTGCCCTGCTGCATTTCAGACTTGCATGGGGCCTGGAGTCCCATTGTCTTGGCCAATTTCTCCCATTTGGAATGGCTGTATTTACCCAATGCCTATATCCCCATTGTATCTAGGAAGTAGCTAACTTGCTTTTGATTTTACAGGCTCATAGATGGGAGGGACTTGCCTTGTCTCAGACGTAACGTTGGAGAGTGGACTTTTGAGTTAATGCTGAAAACAGTTAAGTCTTTGGGGGACTGCAAGGAAGGCATGATTGGTTTTGAAATGTGAAGACATGAGATTTGGGAGGGGCCAGGAGTGGAATGATATGGTCTGGCTATGTGTCCCCACTTAAATCTCATCTTGTAGCTCCCGGAATTCCCACGTGTTGTGCGAGGGACCCAATGAAAGATAACTGAATCATGGGGGGCAGGTCTTTCCCATGCTGTTCTTGCGATAGCAAACAAGGCTCACAAGATCTGATAGTTTTAAAAAGGGGAGTTTCCCTGCACAAGCTCTCTTCTCTCTTGCTGCCGCCATTTAAGAAATGTCTTTCACCTTCTACCGTGATTGTGAAGCCTCTCCAGCCATGTAGAACTGTTGAGTCCAATAAACCTCTTTCTTTTGTAAATTGCCCAGTCTCAGGTTTGGCTTTATCAGCAATGTGAAAATTGACTTAAACATGACATTTAAGGAAATCTATGCACTATAAATAGCTAGTCACCAAACTAATCAAGCAGAGACTTCGGTGGCTATACATGATGATAAATATTGACTTACAAAATTAATTCAGGAAAGCCATTAGGCAAATAAAAAGAAACAACACCAAAAGCGATAACAAATAGCAATAACTATAAACAATGAGAAAAGGATAGAATCTTATTTCTAGAGTTGTCACATTATATTTTTAAAATGTCCAATTTTCTACAAAATTTATGACATGTAAAGGATCATGAAAGTTAGATACATATACAGGAATAACAAAGAAATAGACAGAAATTGCCCATGAAAAAGCACATCTGTAGGACTTACTAGACAAAGATGTAATCAGTTATTTTAAATATGCTCAAAGAACTAAAGAAAACATTGTATAAAGAACTACAGTATGAGAATACTATTTCAGGAAATAGAGAGTATCAACAATGAGATAAGAATATTTTTTAAAAAGATATCCAGTAGTTGAAGAGCATTTTAAGTAAATGAAAATGCACTAGAAAAACTCAACAGCAGATTTGAACTGGTAGAAGGAAGTATCCGTGAATTTGAAAAATAAGTCAATTATACTTATTTAGCCTGAGGACACAAATTTAAAAGTAATAAATAAATATAAATAAGCAAAAGCTCAGAGACTTGTGGATACCAACACATTCATAATGAGAATCCCAGAAGGAATGGCTATTATTTAAAATTTTATAGCCAAAACTTCTCACATTTGATGAAAAACGTTAATCTACACATTCAAGAAGCTCAATGAACACCCAATAGAATAAACTGATAAAGATCAACACAGACATATACAAATCCAACCATAAAGAGCTAAAAAAGAAGAGAGGATCTTGAAAAGTGCAAGGAAAAAGTGCCTCAACACAAAAAAAGAGATGTACAATAAGATTGGTGTATGGTTTCTCATTAGAAACCTGGAATTCAAAAGGCACTAAGATAACATCATCAAAAGGTTGAAGCAAAAGACTGACAACCAAAAATTCTATATTAGCTAAATTATCCTTCAAAAAATGAAGAAGACCTTAAGACATTCCCAGATTGAAAACAAAACAAAACAAACAACCAAACAAAAACAGGTAATTTTTCACTAGTTGTCTTGCCCACATGAAACTCTCAAGGGAGTCCTTCAGGCTGAAGTGAAAGGAAACAATACAGTATCGCCAAACAAAATAAATAATGAGCACTGCAAAGAGCACTGCATAGGAAAGCAATATTTTTAAAGCATAAATATATTTTGTTTGTAACTCTTTTTTCTTCTAAGTTGTAAAATAACTGCATAAGCTAATGCTTATGTTATGGTCTGAATGTTTGTGTGCCCTGAAATTCATGTGTGAAAATTTAATTACTAATGTGATGGTTTTAGAAAGTGGGGTATTTGGAGGTAATTAAGTTTTGAGGGTCAGCCCTCCCAAATGGGATTAGTGTTCTTATAAAAGAGGCCCCAGAAAGCTGTCTTGCCCATTCTACCAGGTGAAGACACAGCTAGAAGGCACCATCTAGGAACCGAAAAAGAGGCCCTCGCCAGCCATCAAATCTAACAGAACTTTGGTCTTGGTCTTTCCAAAACTATACGAGATAAATTTCTATTGTTTTTGAACTACCAGGTCTGTAGTATTTTTTAATAGCCACCCAAGTGAACTAAAAGAGTATACATGAAAATATAATGTATAAGGATGTAATTTTTATGGCAATAAAAACAGAAATATAAGGAGACGATGGAACTATATAGGAGCAAAGTTTTTGTATATGATTTAAAGTAGTTGGTATTAGTCCAAACTAAATTGTTATCAGTTTTAGTTATAGTTCTTTGGGAAATCACTAAGAAAACAATGCAAAAATGTGGTAAAAGAAATATCGGCAGAATTAAATTTGTATACTTAAAAATACTTATTTCACCAAAAAGTAGGCAATAAAAAATAGAGAAACAATGACATCATAAAGTAATAAGACAGAGAGAAAATAAGTAACACAATAGCAGATACAAATCCTTCATTATCAATAGTAACATTAAAGGAAAATGGATTAAACATTCCAATCAAAAGGCAGAAATTGGACAGAATAGATTAAACAACAATAACAAGATCCCACTTCAAAGGTATATGTATATTTAAAAGGATGGAAAAAGATACACCTTTCAAGCAGTAACTAAAAGAAAGCTGGAGTGGCTATACTAGTATTAGACAAAGTAGACTTTAAGATAAAAATGGTTACTAACAATAATGAAAAAATTCCAAAATATATGAAACAGAAACTAACAGATTTTAAGAGAAAAATTTAAAAAAATAAGAATAATAGCTTGAGGCTTCAATACTCCACTTTTAATAGTGGATAGAACAACTAGACAAAAGAGCCACAAGGAAACAGAAGACTTGACAACTGTAAACTACTAGAACTAATAGACATCTATAGAACATTCTATCTAACAATAGTAGAGTACACATTCTTCAAAAATGCACATGGAACATTCTTCAGTACAGAAAATTCCCAGGATTCAATTGTTGGGAGCTATAGAAATAACAGTAAGGTAGGGTTTTTTGCTGTAATGACCATGTTATTAAAGTCTAATAGTGAAAAGAATGTGAAAGTATATAAAGACCAATCTACTTTGAAGAAAGAAAATTTTAAAAATAAATTAGAATATGTATTAAGAACAAGGAAGTTCATTTGAGGTTGTAACTTCTGTTGGCAACATAACAATGTTGTGTGCTTGAAATTTTTTTTAAGTTAGTATTAAGTTCATTGTTTTAATCTATAAATAAAACTGAGAAGGAAGGCTTAAGTCTGATTTACCAAAATAATCAGATACTATTCATTGTCTGATAAATAATACCCATGTAAAGCACTCACAAATCTGAAACTGAAGTTACTTTTATTTTTGTTACCCTTTTAAGTGCATGCCTAGACAAATGTAGTAAGTTATCAAAAATAGCACGTGTAAGTCCATGAGAACCCCTGGGAAAGGAAAAACTTGGAACACATAGGTGTTTCTTATTCCAAGATCTCTGTAATAGAGATGAACATTCCATTTTTTTTTTTAAGTTACACAATACCAAGCTGAATATCGCTGCTCTAAACTCATGCAATCAAATTTCAGCTGGATTCTTTTCTCTCTCAGTTGGAGTAACGGCTTAAATTTATTAATTATTTACCATGTGCTAGGCTCCTACATGCTGCTGCATTTAATCCATCGATCCTTGATTGCTGAACCTTATTATCATTTCACAGATGTAGAAAATGAGGCCAGAGATGTTAAATATCTTGCACATGTTCACACAGTGAGGTAAGGCCAGAATTCTTATGCAGGTCTGCTTGATTGAAGAAAAATATGCTTTTCATTATTTGACACTATCATAAAATATTTTTAACCCTGATTGACAGCTTACTATGTTATACACCACAGCTGTTCCAAACTTCATCTACTCTTTTCCAGATTCTTAACATCCCCCTTCACATTACTCAAGGCAGATAATTTTTTACTCAGACCAAGTTCAAATGCTTCTCTCAGCTTCCCTCAACATAACCTCAAATTGCCTGGCATTTCCAAACACTCTCTTATTCTTGGTTTTCTTACACTCAATTTATCTGTTCTTCATCTGTCTTTAAGATCAGCAGTTACTTTTCTGTTTCTAATAACCTTTATCATCCTTCATGTTCTGTTTTCATTTGGGTTCTCCCAGAAGCAGACCATGAGGCAGTGTTGAGTTTAAGAGCACAAGAAGTTTATTTTGTAAGTGATATCAAGAAACATTACTAGGGCAATGATAAAAGAAAAGACAGTAAAGCTTTTGTTATTAGGCAAGTTCTTTCTGATAGTAACTTAAAGTTAAACATGTCAGGGTACTGGCATAGCCAACGTAGACAATGTGCTTCAAAGTTATCCTATCCAAGGTGCAAAGGAGCTGGAGTATTTATGTACTAAGTTCCATCAAATAGTGGCTGAGGGCTGGGGGTTGGAGGGAAACTCTCTGACACTACTAACCTATAGGGTGAGCAAGCATAGCAGATTCTGGAGACAAGAGAAAACTCTCAAGCAAAGTAATGCAGGGGCTAGATGTTGGAATTTAGTCAGCTATATATCCATCTGATTAGTGGGAGGGGATATAGGTATGGTACTGACAGTATATTTCTATGCTGTTTAAAAATATTTACTGTTTGCAACTAATGATAAGTTTAAATAATCATCATAGTTTTCTATCAAAAACTCACATTGATTTATGAGGATATGAAAAAGATTCAGTTTCTTCTGTACAGGCTCCAGAGTGGCAGCAGCTGCGGTGGCTTGGTACATGGTTGTTGACGTCACCCTTGCATGATGACTCCTGCCCAAACAGCACTTACATGGAGAGGAGGATGGACATATGGGTGGAGGACACATGGCCCAATCCCCTGGAAAGAAGGACTCTGACTATTGTGTAATCTCGGGGAAGGGAGTGTGCCAGGAACAGGGAGAAGGAGTGTGTGTGAGCAAAGGCCTCTGGAGGCCCAGGATTCTGCCCAACTCAACAGCCCCAGAGGGCAGTAGATCCTCAGGGGAGGGCTCTCTCCCTGCCCCCACAATGGGCTCCACAGCAGGTGGGGTGTGGTACACAGGAGGGAGAGGTTCCAGAGGCCAAACCTAGGGTGAGGGAAATAATAAGAGGCCAGCAGGACTGAAGGTCAGGCCCAAGAGCTAGGCAGGTGCCAAGAGGCCAGCATCTGTGAGGTTGGAGAGACTCTTGATCAGGGGTGGGAGTCATTTCTGATGTCAGAGCCTTCGGGTGACAGTTAAGAGCCAAAGAAAGATAAAATAAAATACTAATCAGTTGCAAACATCAAATATTTTTCTTTGTGTCCCTTTCTACTTTTTGCTCACTCCTTTTATTTTTGTATCTAGATTCTTTTCCTGTTCTCACCACTTAAATATAAATATTTTTCATGAATCTGCCCATGATGATTCTCATTTCAACTCTTACCCTTGGCAATCTCGTGGTTTCTATTAAATCAGTGCAGATGACTCCCACATCTAGCAATAAATTTTAACCCCATTTTTCATGTCCCAGGATGCAATTTTAAGTTTTAAACTTCCACCAAAGGCTCTTCCTCTGCATTTAGTGCCTCAGGATGTCCAAACTTGAGGTCCCAATCTTCCTTAGAAAAACTTCATATTAAAAAAAAAACTGCTTACATGTTCTTTCTATTTGAATTAACAGGAAATTCCTAATAATCTTTAACACCTCTGCTTACTGACACCAACATTGAATCAGTTACCCTTTTCTGTAAATTATCTTCCCATAATACCTCTTTTTCTATTTCTTCCTCTTCAGTTTCCAGTTACTATACTCATTCAGACCCAGGGATTTCATTATCCTTGACTTGGCTATTTGGCTATTTCAATAGCATTCAGACTCCCCTTTTTAAAAATGTTCCATGTCCGCTTCTGCTAAATAGATTTTCTTAAAGCACAGCTTTGATCATGTCATTTTTCCCACTTAAAAGTCTAAGATGCTCCCTATTGCTTGTAGAGTATTGCTGTAATTGAAAGAACATGAGCTTTAGGTCAAGCAGAACTGGTCTAAATGTCTGCTCCACTGCATATAACTGTGTGGAATTGATAGAACTATTACATTTTGTGGGTTTCAATATCCTCATCTGTAAACTAAGAATAATTATACCTTGTTAATAGTGATGACATGTTAAATAAGGTTATATAGGACGCAACTTTTAAACCACCCAGGCATGCTGTAGGCATTCAGTAAATAAATTATTTTCCCAGTTTTTGAAGATTCAGTAGCCTGGAATTAGAAGTACTTTAATAATGACAGAATATAAAAGTTACTAAACAAATTAAAAACAGAGTCAATAAATATTCAGGTGTTTGTTTTTCTAATTATGGGAAAGAGCTTACTAGACATAAAAGCAATGGATAAATAATAGCAACATATTAATGGCTTGGAGTAAAAAAAATTAACAAGAGCTCTATATTGAAAATAATCAAAAAGTGAAAAAATTAAATATAGTAGTGACATATGTATTACATATAGCAAGCAAAAGTTAATGGCTTTTCTTTAAAAAAGACTCTTACAAATTATCAAAATATAAATACCACAATAGTTGAAATGTATGGATAACCTGAGCTGGTAATTCAAGATGGTATATTATCAATAGTTAATACGCAGTAGTAATTTAAGTGTGTTGTCCAAAATAGCAATAGTGCTACATTTGAGAAATCCTGATTTAGATGATGACTTAAGTAATATTATGTCCCCCAACAAAAAAAAATCATTTTTAGTTTTTAAATCCTTGGTAATCCTAAGTAATTTTTAATAAACATTTAAACATCATTTTAGCAAAGTTCTAATTATTTAAATTCTTCTATTCCGTTTTAGTATTTTTCACTGTAACATCCAGTCATGGGTCCTAACACAGCTTCTGAGTCAGCATAGAGAAGACAAATCTTTAACTCAAGTATCTTCTTTCTACCAATTAAAGAAATATATTATTTTTCTCCCTGTAAACTCTAACAAAGGCCCCTTTTCTTCAATGACTACATGTATTAATTCATTTAAAGTCCATTTTTATCATCGCAGCATCCAGAAATACCATAGACTTCCAGAAAATGTTTGACTGTCATATCTGTGGTTGAAAATAAGTACCTTTAGTACAATGTGAGCAGAAGAGGGTAGACATATATTTAGGTTAGTATTTTTTAATTAGAAGCAATTTTGTCTCCCAAGAAACATTTGGCAATTTCAAGAGATATTTTAGATTGTCATGACTGAGTAATTGCTATTAGAACCTAGCAGAGACCAAAGATGCTGGAAAACATCTTGAAATGCACCTTATACCTTCAACAATCAGAATTATCTGGTCCAAAACAGTGATATGCTGCAGTGGAGAAATCCTAATTTAGATGATGGTTTAAGTAATATTATGTTCATAAAAATAGAAAAAAAACCCTTTTTTTATTTTTTAAAAACCTTAGTAAATTTTGTCTTAGGGAGAGGGTTATAGATGTTATCAAGCTTTGAAAAAGATTATTCTCTGAATAGCTAAAGGTTCATTAACAAATTTCCCTCTGGAAAATTGCTGGCTTCAGCTATGATTTTCTGGTGCAAATGTTACTTTACTCTCTTCATGAATAAATTTGCATTCAGTTAGAGAAATAATTCATTTGCTTTGTAATCTTGTCTATGGTATAATTATTCTACTAGGTTGATGCAAACGTAATTGCAGCTTTGGACGGTGACTTTTAAGTCATTGTAACTAGACTGAAACACATCTTTATTAATCAAAATGGGAACAATTACAATCAACACATTTTTGCCAATGAGAAATAAGTTTGTTTATTCTTGTAGTAAAAATCTGTGCTTCAGGATTTGACAAACTTTTGGAAAGCATTTTCTGCATCTTGCTGGTTGTGGAAACATTTTCCCTCCAAAAAAGTTGTCAAGATACTTTAAGAAGTGGTAGTCAGCAGGAGGCTGAGGCAGGAGTATCACTTGAACCCCAGGAGGCAGAGGTTGCAGTGAGCCGAGATTGCGCCACTGTACTCCAGCCTCGGTGACAGAGCGAGACTGTCTCAAAATAAATAAATAAATAAATAAATAAATAAATAAATAAATAAATAAATAAAAATAAAAAAGTGGTAGTTGGTTGGCAAGATGTTGGGTGAATACGGCGGATAAGGCAAAACTTCGTAGCCCAATTCATTCAACTTATGAAGTGTTGGTTGTGCCACGTGCAGTCAGGCGTTATCGCATAGAAGAATTGGGTCCTTTTTGTTGACCAATGACACGGCAGATGTTGCAGTTTTCAATGCATCTCATCAATTTGCTGAGCATAATTCTCAGATGTAATGGTTTTGCCAGACATGATTCAGAAAGCAGTAGTGGATCAGACTGGCAGCAGACCACCAACAGTAACCATGACCTTTTTCTGTGCAAATTTGGCTTTGGGAAGTGCTTTGGAGCTTCTTCTCAGCCCAACTGCTGAGCTGGTCATCGGCAGTTGTCATATAAAATCCACCTGTTGTCATACATCACAATCCAATTGAGAAACTGTTTGTTGTTGTGTAGAATAAGAGAAGGCAGCACTTCGAAAGGTTGATTTTTTTTATTTTGGCTCAGATCATGAGGCACCCACTTATCAAGCTTTCTCATCTTTCCAATTTGTTTCAAATGCCAAATAACCATGGTCGACATTGAGTTCCTTGGCGACTTCTCGTGTAGTTGTAAGAGATCGCTTCAATGATTGCTTTCAGCTGGTCATTCATTGTTAGCTTCTGATGGCTGGCCGTGATGCTCCTCATCTTCAAGGTTCTCGTCTCCTTTGCAAAACTTCTTGAACCACCACTGCACCTGTATATTCATTAGCAGTTCCTGGGCCAAATGCGTTGTTGATGTTGCAAGTTGTCTCCACTACATTATGACCCATTTTGGACTCGAATAAGAAAATTGCTCAAATTTGCTTTTTGTCTAACATCATTTCCATAGTCTAAAATAAACATAAAACAAACAGCAAGTAAAAAGTCATTAGCAGAAAAACATAAAGGAAGAAATGCTCATTAAAATGATGTATAACATAACGACATTTATTTAAGAAAGTATTCCATTTTCAAATGGCAAATTCCAACAATGCAAGAACCACAATCACTTTTGCACTCACCTAAATGCAAAAGTTCCTAGATTGGTGGGCTTCAAAAGGAAATTGGTTTTACATCAAGGGATAAGCAAAGCAACAATTTGTAGTTAAATAGACTTGTTTGGCAGAGTTCTTGCCAAACATTCTTAGAAAAATTATTGTATCTGAAAATTACTTTAATTATTTGACTATGAGGAAAAGATATGTAAGATGAATGAAAATACAAATATACACCTTTGTGTGCAATCTGCATAAAGAATCAGAGTCGCAATGTTAACTTAATATGTCCTGGGTTTTATTTCCTTGGTCTGAGCAACAGTTCCTAAAAACAATGAGAAATATATGTCCCTATTCTTATAAAACAACCTGAGACCAAAACAAAAGTTACTTTAAACCAATGATCCTCAAAGATTTTCTGATTGGCAATTGGCTGAGTTATTATTTGAAGACCTGGAATCATTAGAATGTCTGGGTTGTGATAAGGGGTTGTGGAGACCAAGGTTTTATCATACAGTTGAAGCCTCCAGGTAACAGGCTCTAAAGAGAACAGATTGTAAGTATCTCTTACCCGACTCAAAGAATCTGTTCTATCAGTCCTAAGGTCTGTGTTGGTGTTAATGGTAATGAGGCATGTTGGACTTCTCCTTCTCATGATAGCCTGAACTAGTTTTACAGGTTAACTTCTGAATGCCCTTAGCTGAGAGGAGGGTTTCATTTATATCATCGGGGCTTAGAATTTTATTTTTGGTTTACAGGGTCTTAAAATAAGTAATTAAATTAAAATGAGATTTTAGTGCAGACCCGAATCCAATATGACCACTGTCCTTATAAGGAGAGAAAATCTCTGTACAGAGAAGTACAGAGAGAAGATGATGTGTAGATAGAAGTAGAAGACAGTTATGTACAGCCAAAGAGGGAGGACTCAAAAGAAAACTGCCAATCTTTTGATCTCGGACTTCTAAGCTTCAGAATTCAGGATAATAAGTTTCTACTGTTTAAACCACTCATTCTGGGTGCTTCGTATTGCTTCCCTAGCAAACTAATACAATGTTCAAACGATACTAATCTTCCAAATGGGCTATTCTTGAATGAGTGTCATAATTTTTCAGTCTACGTAACACAGTAACTTTGAATACTTTTAAAACATTTCAATAAATTGTTGCTTCATGTTTCAGAGGCCCAATTTAGATTTTTAAATCAAGGAACACATTTTTTTTTTCAGTTCTGCAAGTTGTAACAGATACGTAGAGTTATGATACCTCTGCCATAATAAAGTTAAAGAACAGTTCCATCACTCCCCAAAATTCACCTATGACTCTTGGTAGCTGTTATGTCTTGGATGTTTATCCCCTCCAAATCTCATGTTACAATGTGATCCTCTCTGTTGGAAATGGGTCCTGGTGGGAGGCGTTTGTGTCATGGGAGCAAATCCCTCACGAACAGTTTGGTACCATCCTTACAGTAATGAGGGAGTTCTTGTTCTGTATTTTTGTGCACAAGGGCAAGTTGTTTAAAGGAGACTGGCACCTCCTCCTTCCTCTCTCTTGCTTCCTGTCTTGCCATATAACATGTTGGCTCTCCTTTGCCTTCTCCCATGATTAGAAGTTTCCTTAAGCCCTCACCAGGAGCAGGTTCCAGCACAATGCTTCCTGTGAAGCCTTTAGAACTAAAAGCCAATTAATCATTTTTATGAATTACCCAACCCCACCCAGGTATGGGTAATTTATAGGAACAAACCTCAGGTATGGGTAATTTATAGCAATTTTATAGCAACAAAAACAGACTAACCCTGTAGTCAACCACATCCCTATCCTTCTCTGTTTCTACCACTCTACTGTTCTTTCCTTATACTTTTGTTTTTCTAGGATGTCATATGAGAAACCATTCTTTGCCCATTATTTAACTCTTCCACTAAAACCAAAACCAAAACCAAACCAAACAAAAACAAAAAGATTGTATAAACTAAAGTATTTGTATTAGTCCATTTTCATACTGCTATGAAGAAATACCCAAGACTGGGTAATTTATAAAGAAAAAGAGATTTAATGGACTCACAGTTCCACGTGGCTGGGGAGGCCTCACAATCATGGTGGAAGATGAATGACAAGCAAAGGCACATCTTACATAGCTGCAGACAAGACAGTGAGTGCGGGGAACTACCCTTTATAAAAACATCAGATCTCATAAGACTTATTAACTATCACAAGAACAGCATGGAGGTAACTGCCCCCATGATTCAGTTACCTCCCACTGGGTCCCCCATGACATGTGGGGATTATGGGAACTACAATTCAAGATGAGATTTGGATGGGGACCTAGCCAAACCATGTCAGTATTAAAAACAAAAAATATGCTGAAAATTATTTACATGTTACAAATACTTATAATTACTCAGCTGTGGTTTCTATCACAATCAGTAATTGAACATTTAATTAATAATTTGCATTATTTGATCTGGAAACTGTTAGTTCTGTTGTTAGCTAATCTATAGTAGTAAGCCTACATTCAAACTGTAGCTGATTTCATATGCATATTTCAACTATAAAATTGTGATTATTTTTGAGTATTTACATACTTTTCATAAATACAATATGATGGGCAGTTTTCAATATATAGTATGATATAATGTATGATATGATATGACATGGTGTAACATAACATATACCATATAATTAATATGGATTAGTACATAATTAATACATAATCAGTATTAGTTATATATTATTTTTAAACATATGTATATATATTTTATTTAATATTCAATAAGCTATGTTGGTAGATATTAGCTCTATTTTACAAGTTAATAAAGTAGTTCTTAGAAAGGCTTAAATTGCTAAGAGGTTTACTATATTATGTGACAGAATAAGTATCAGACTAAGATGTGTCCAAGTTGAAAGCTCTTGTTCTTCATGGTGTATGAATCACATGTACTCTCTATTTTCTTAGTATTTGAGCCCTGTGAATTTTCTTATCATTTATCTTTCTAGTTACCCATCAGTGTGCTTAGGATTCCTGATAGATATAGCAGAATCCAATACACAGGATATATTCTTAGGTAAAACTTTTGAGAGAAATAAATAAAAGTCCTGTTGGAGTTTTATGGAAGCTTTATAACATCAGCATTATTGCGCCCAGGGTATTGGGCAAGGCCCTCTTTGGTGAGGGTCTTAAGCCCCACAATCAGAAAGGTGGGGGAGGACTGGGGCAGGTAAAAGGAGGGCAGAAGAAGATTGGACAGATTCTGTTTCCTGAGGACTGTTCCAAGGCCTAAAATATCCCCCATTATAACAAAAGTTTATAACAAGTGATATGAAAGTTATAAACCAGGGACTGTAGACAAAAACATATATGTGTATATATATATATGTATATACATATATGTATATATGTGTATATATATATGTATATACATATATGTATATATGTGTATATATGTATATCTCATAACTACAGAAAGCTATGTAACTCTAGATATGAGTAGGAGTATCCAGGTTAGACATACAGATTCAAAAATTGTCAAGACTCCTGTTATTGCCAAAACAGTATGTCATCACAGGAAGAAGTTCATTTTAGATCTGTCAGTAACTGAGTATAACTCTATAAACCATCTAAACCTTGGCTAAGGTTTAGAAGACTTTGCATGCAGGTTATAGCATTTCATCTGAAAATATTTACTATTTAATTGAATTTTGTCTTGAATATATGACTTTTCAATTGTTTTTTGCATTAACCTAGTTATTGTAATTATGATTATTGTAAGTTTCTTACATTTATGTTGTCTCGCACTTATGCTAAAATTCGGAAACACTTAGGAAAGCAGTTTTTAACGTGTGGTTCACAGAACTATGCAGTTCCAAAGACCCTTTTAGAGAAGTCACTGAGTCAAAGCTATTTTTTTAGCACTATTGAGACACTGTACAATTTTTCATTGACAGTAAAAAAAAGTAATGATAGGCTTGTACCTTAGCATGAATCAAAGTAGTGGCACAAAACTATATTGCTAGCCATTACATTCTTCACTGCCAGGTATCCACACGGTGGCTTCAATAAAAAATATCCCTGATTGAAACATAATAATTTTATTTGTATTAAAATTTACCCTTAAGTACGTGCTTTTTCAATTTTGTGTGATGAAATTGGAAGTATTAGTGCATACCAGAGTAACAGGGCTGCCTGAAAGAAAAGCACTTATGTGATTGAGTTAAAAGCTGAACTAAGGGCTCTCTTTCCACCCAAGAAAGATCATTTGTACTTAAAAGAACAAATGGTTGATCAACTATGGTTATTCAGATTTGAATTTTTGGAAGATATTTTCTAAAAAATGAATCAAGTTAGCTTTGCACTTTGAACAACTGAGAGTATGTGTAATCATTGACAAAATCTGAGCTTTTAACAAAAATTAGAATTCTAGAACAATGGTACCACCACTGTGATTGTGACAACTTGCCAATACTTGAAAACTTACTTGATGGGATCAGCGATGATATTAAGGAATGCGATGTTAAAATATCATATAATGTCTATTATCATTTGAAAGATCTACATAACCCACATTTTCCAAATATTCATGCCTAACGTTACAAATTCATGCATGCATCAAAAATCCATTTGCACTGCAAGATAGAGCATTGAATTTTAATCTAACAAGTGAGTATCAAAGCTTATTGATATTTTAGATTCTATGTAACGGCTAACCTTCAAAAAATTACAAATATTCAAGGCTTGACTTCATAAAAAATGAATAGTTTCAATTAGCTGAAAAACCTATTAAAATAATCCTCTTTTCCAAGTACATTTTTGTGTGAAGACCTTTTCCTTTTTTACCAAAACAACATTTTTCAACCAATTAATGTAGTGGCACACTATTAGTCAATTGTATACTGCCATAAATAACTGCCTGAGACTGGGTATTTTATAAAGGAAAGAGGTTTAATTGACTCACAGTTCAGCATGTCTGGCGAGGCTTCAGGAAACTTACAGTCATAGTAGAAGGCAAAGGTGAAGCAAGGCACCTTCTTCACAGGGCAGCAGGAAGGAGAATGAATGCAGGAGGAAGTACCAAAGACCTGTAAAGACATCAGATCTCATGAGAACTCACTCACTATCAGAGAGCAGCATGGGGGAAACCACCTCTATGATTCAGTTACCTCCACCTGGTCTCTCCCTTGACACATGGGGATTATGTGGATTATGGGGATTACAATTCAAGATGAGATTTGGGTGGGGACACAAAGCCTAAACATACCACCCACCTATCCTTTTATTGTTAAGCATTAAAGAGATTTGTAAATCTGTAAGGCAATGCCAATCTTTTCATTAAATTATTTTGCATATTTTGGAAAAGACAGTATAACTCCCCACAAAATGTGCTATTTGTGCTAACATGTAGTAGGTTTATCAATCCTGTTTGTGAATAAATAAATATTTTAAAATAAAAGATACACCTTCTAACTTCACTCTGTTGATTTCATCTCTCTCTGGTAGACATAACATACTAATTCTTACTGCCAAAGCCTCAACTGATGTTTTTCTCTTGCCCAAAGTATTTCTTATTTTCTCTGTCTGAGGAACTCTACCAGTCCTTTAAGGTTAACCTTACTTATACTTCCATGATTACTTCCTTATCCACTTTTATAGTGTACAGTTCATTTATTCAACATATCTTTATTAATCATCTACTATCCTATATTCTGAAGTAAAGCTGTGAACAAAATATAAAACTTTCTGCCCTAATAAATCTTACATACTATTAGGGAGAGACAGATTAATTTTAAAAAGATAAGTCTGTAAAATATATAATATATTCACTGACTCTAAGACTTGAGGAGAAAACTAAAGCAAGAAAGGAGTATCATGAGCATCTGGAACTGAGGGGGATTGATATTTTTGACTGGCTTGCTAGAGAAGGTGACACTGAGCAGGTGGCATTTGAGGAGAGACTTGAAAGGGCAGAGAAGGCAGGCAATGTATATAGGGGAAAAGAGTATTTCATCTGAGGGAGTAGTAGGTACACAGGTTCCACTGTGGGAACATGTTTGACTTGTGCAAGAAACAGCAAAAAGAGTCGGTGTGGGAGGAAAAGGGTAAACCAGGAAGAGAGTCACAAGGGACAGATCAAAGAGATTACTTAGGAACCCAAAACCTTATAGAAGCTTAGTGATTTGCATGGCAGTGGAAGGAGTTCAGCAGTGGATCTAACTGTGTTTTAAAAGGATAACTCCAATTTCTACATGGAAAACAGGTTACAGTGGCAAGGATAGAAACATGGATATATTTAGAAACTTTCAGCAATCCAAGGGCATCAGGGTAGAAGTAGGGAGGCTAATGAAAAGTGGGAAGTTTATGGCAATATTTTGAGGCAAATCATATTCTGTGGGATCTGTGATACGCTACCAGATGAGTAAAGATGGTGTTTTCATATAATGAACTTCAAATAATGAAGTGGGACAACTATAGCTAGAGCAGGTTGATGGGGGGTGATGCTATGGGGTAGTTGAAAGAGGAACAGGGTTAAGGGGGAAAAAGACTAAGAACCGTGTTTTGAACCAGTTAAGTTTGAGATGCATGTTAGACAGCCAAGTGTAAAAGAAACAACTGGATGAATATGTTTGCAGTTTAGGGGATAGGTACGAGTGGAAAACAAAATTTGAGACTAATCTGCATACAGTTGTTAGTAGGATATGAAACTAGATGAGACCACACAGGGAGTAAATATAAATAGAAAACTGTAAGTACAGAGACAAGGGGTCCAAGGACTGAGCCCTGGAACATTGCACTGTCTACATTTTGGGGAGATAAGGAGGAACTAGGATAATAAACTGAGATAGAACTACCCCAAAATTAAGTAGAAAACCAAGTGAGGGTAGTGTTCTAATGCAAAAAGTAAAAAAAAAAAAAAAAAAAAAAAAAAAAGGACAGTATTTTATTTCTTTTTTTTTAAAAAAAACATAAAATCCAAATATGTAATCTCAAAAATGTACACACACAGAGTATTTAGAAGGGGTGGGAAGATCTACTGTCCTCGAAGTACCTGTGCAGGAACATGCAACACAGGAAACACACATTTCATCTCCTGTTGAGTCTCCTTCCCAAAAAAGCAAAAGTGAATACCTAATTATAAAGCCCTGAAAACTATACTAGACTTGTATGTACAGCTGTGAAAATTTCAAGTCTAATATGTTTTATCCTATACTCCATATTTCATCCTTTTATAAGAGCTTATCTTAGGGCTTCTCAGCCCTGAGATACAGTAGTGAGCAAAGCAGATAACTATACCTGCCGTAATGAAGTTTATATGGAGTATATATTTCTTAAATGTGTTTTTTTCTTAAATGTGTTTTTTCCCAGCTTTACTGAAGTATACTTGGAAAATAAAAATTTTAGATATTTACTGTGTACAACTTGATATTTTCATATACATATACACTGTGGAATAATTGCCAAAAACAAACTAATTAACATATCTATCATCTCACATAGTTATGGTTGGTTTTTTTGTGGGGGATGGCAAGAACACTTAAGATCTCCTCTATTAGCAAGTTTCAGGTATATGATAGAAAAAAAAGACAATATTTTAAATAATGAAAGATTCTGGGCCAGGCGCGGTGGCTCACACCTGTAATCCCAGCACTTTGGGAGGCCGAGGCGGGTGGATCACGAGGCCAGGAGATCGAGACCATCCTGACTAACATGGTGAAACCCCATCTCTACTAAAAATACAAAAAATTAGCCGGGCATGGTGGCGGGCGCCTGTAGTCCCAGCTACTCGGGAGGCTGAGGCAGGAGAATGGCGTGAACCTGGGAGGTGGAGCTTGCAGTGAGCAGAGATTGTGCCACTGCACTCCAGCCTGGGCAACAGAGTGAGACTCTGTCTCCAAAAAAAAAAAAAAAAAAAAAAGATTCTGATGAGTCAAACAGTATAACTCAGAATTCATAAATTCATCTCTGGATTGAACAGTGCAAAAGCCAGTGTTGACACTAGTAACTAGTTTTGATGGGGTACTGGAGATGAAGCCCTGAAGCCGACTTAAGAGGAAATGTAAGCAGATAAAGTGGAGACAATGAGTATGGAAAATATCTTCATAGAAATGTTATTATAAAGACTAGTAGAAAATGGATAACATTTGCAAAGGGAATGGAGTTAAGAGGGTATATATATGTATATAATTTATTTTATTTATACAAATACATTTTATTTATTTTATTTATATAAATATATATATTTTAAACAACGGATACATAGTAACATATTTGTCAGCTGATGTGAAAGATCAAGTAGGGAAGAAAAAACGGTGATATGCAAGGGATTAGCTATAATGATTTACTGCAGAATTTAAGCCTAGTGAAAAGGAATCATGGCCCGGAGAATATATGGGACTCCTTCCACAGGTATCAGCATAGAATACCAGTTAAGGGCCACATCACCTGGTTTAGAATTCCATTGCTGCGCTTAGCAATTTGACAGGCATGTTATTAATTTTCATTATCTCACATTCCTCACCTCTCAAATGATAATAATTAACATGATAATAAAACCTATTTCAGAAAGTTGGTGTGAGAAATAAATGGGTTAATATTTGTAAAGGGCGTAAAAAAGCAAGTGCTCTGTCATATATGCATAGGTAAAGCCAGACAAACGTTCCTAGATACAAACACAAATAAATTCCTTAGTTATCTTCCTCATTATATGAATTCCTATTATTCATTTAGTCCAAATCACTTTGCTGACCATTCACTAGCTGTCTCCTATACTGGTAAAACATTTGCAACCTGAAACTAGACCCCTGTGTTAGAAAGCAACAGTGAGAATTTTGGCCCTGGTACTAACTTGTTGCATTCTCCATTTTATTGTAACTCAGACTCCTCAGCTGTAAAAAGAGAGTGAAAATAAATCTATTTCCTAGTGTTTTTGAGAAATAAATGAAATAAGGCATGTAAAGCACATTACCCAGTACATGTGACCTGGAATGTACTCAATTAAGGCTATTAAAATTGTTATGTTGCCCTTAGATTTTGGCAATCTGTCTGGTATTTTGATCAACATAAATGTGCTATGGGAAAGAGGGAAATACACTGAGATTAGGTTTCTTTCTTTTTCTAACCTCTCCTATTCTTCTTATCTATATCTCATACTGAAAGATAAAACTTTGAAAACATGATATTGGCCAGAGGATGAAAGGATTTGCATAATCATGAGAGCAACAGACTTCTTAGTCCAAAACAATCATCATTGTCAATGATGTATCCCATAACATATTTAGCTACTGGATTGGCATACAGACAAAAACATTTATTAATAACAAAACTACATTAATTGTTTGGGGATTTTTGTGCATTTGTGTAAGAGAGTTGGTATTTTTTGAAGCTAACGTCTACATATGACTCAAAAATTTGATAAATATAAGATTAAATTAGTAAATGCATATGTGTGAAGATGATTAAATATGAAAGAAAATAAAGTATCTACAGAGGTAACCAAGCAGCAGAAAAATCAGTGGTTCAGAGACACTCAAATTTTTGTTTATATAATAATTACTGATGACTAAGAGTTATCATACTAAGAAATAAATAGACCAATTGCACACTATCTTCCAGCTATTCCAATAGTGCATTCTGCCTTCTTCCATACCGAGGTTACCTCAATTTGACTGACTCTGTGCTAGGTTGTTAGTCTGGAGGAGAAATTCTGAGTTGGCTAGGTAATACACAATTAAGAAGTAAAAAAGAATTATCTTAGGTAAAGAGGAAACTTAGGATTTTTTTTTAACATAGCTGTTATCTGAAAAACATCTTCAAGGATTTCTCGAAACTGAAATTCTTTCTTGTATTCATGACATTTAAATAACCTTAATTTGAGTGACAGTAGAAAGAGAATTTGGAATGAGAAGAATGGGCAGTGTTCTTTATTGAGTGGAGATATGAATCAAAAAACAGGTCTGTAATTATTCACTACAGGGAACACTGGGTGGATGCATTCCCACAATAGAGAAATTATAGTTCAATATAATTAAAAACCATTTAAAAATCATTTTCTCTAAGTAGTAAACAAAAAGAAAAAAATAGCAACTTGAGGTGGGATTGCTGTAAATGTCAGTTGAATTCGACCTGATAGAAGATGAAAGATATCAGCATCAAACAAAATTTGTTTGAGCTGGTTGATGCTCAGCAAAGCATGTAAAGTCTTTAAACTTCACTTTGTGCATCAGTAAAATGATTATAACAACAGCTTCCTTAAAAGATTGTCATAATGATTATAAATGACTGCAGTGAGGCTACCATAATAATTGGCACATAGGAGATTCCATGTATATTTGTTTTTGTGGCTCTGTATTTGAACACCATTCAAATATAACAGAGCAATTCCAGGTAACTGGAAGTCCATTGTCTCCAATAAGAAAAACAGAAGAAACATTTTTTTCCTGTACCCTTCTGGTAGTTAGATTATATGAAGCAAATATGAGTAAGCAGATGCTCCTGTTTCATATTTGAATCTTGAAGGAGTGAAGCAAAGGTTCAGGTCAGTAGAGATATTTGCATAGTACTGGTTGTCAACTGGGACATTTGTGCAATGTCTGCAGAAATTTTTGATTGTCAGGATTCAGGGAGTGCTACTGGTATCTAATGAGTAGAAGCCAGAGATGCTGCTAAGCATCCCACAAGGTACAAGAAAGTTCCATACATCGAAGTCTCATCCAAATGTCAATAGTGCTTAGGTTGAGAAAGCCTGGAATCATACTGATAGCAGAGAGAACAATGCAGTATCACAGCAGCACTTGCGCAGAGATGGCAGAATGTCAGGTTATCTGGTCAAAATGCAATGTCATGAGCAAATGGCTTCTGTAAAAACATTTTGGCAGCTTGGCTATGCCTTGCCTCTTGGCATTCATGCTTAACCTTGGCACTTCAGTTTTTTATTAATTTTGCAAGCTTCATGACATAATCTTACAATAAATTCCTTAATGCTTATGTTAATGAATTTTCATGTTAACCATCAAGAAAACCTGATTAGTAGAAATAGTCAATAGCAATTATTATCATGATTAATATTATTATTAATAACCAAATTTATTAGAGAGATAATTTAACCAACTTTAAAATATTATTAATATGTACCACTTATTAAGCACTTCTATTTGCCGAAGGAGTAGACACATAACATTCAATTTATTCCCTAAAGCCACTTTGTGAAATAAGCATCAATATCTCTATTTTAGAAATGATGAAACTGAGGCAATTTGTACTCATCCAGCTAATAAATATCAGCTCCCAAATTCCAAATCCAGATCTTTCCAACTATAATCACTTTTGTTTATTAATCAGGTTATTTTGCTACCTAGCTTTCCATATATATATGTGTATATATATATGGAAATATACATTCCATATATATATAATGGAAATATGTATGTATATATGTATTTAGAGAGAGAGAGAGAGATGTATACCTCAACCTACCTCTCTCTTTCATTAAAATCCAAAATTCTAGCGTTCTGTGCACTTACTCTTTTCCTCATTTCTATTTAATTTATTCCACTCTATTCTGGCTTTTTATCCTTAACATTCTATTACAGTATCTCTTTACAAATCACAAGTGGCTTCTATTTGGTCTTCATCTTTGTCCTTTCTCTTCTCATGCCACTCACTCTTCCTGGCTACCCTGGATGTCATTTCATGATGCCTTATAAGCTTAATTTATATTAATACTAATTTAGTCATTAATGATATAAAAAGAATTTGAATAGCTAGTTAAATCCATAAACCTTGAGATAGCTACCTGGCTACTTGTCAGATAATCAAAAGAGGAATTCGATATACTTTTAGAAACAAAATTATCTGAACTGATACTTACACTCTATGGTTCTACCTTACCAATTGAAACCATATCATTTATTGCCTGCAAGGTTTGGTTTAGGGTTTGCTATAATATGTTCTATGCTTCTTTCACTTAGAATAGCACAGTATGATATTATACAAGTTAAATTATACCAGTCTTCAATTCACACATGGAGAGAATGGCTTTATTTCCTTGCCTGCATCTTTTTTTCTTGCCATAAGGCAAAGATTGGTTGATATTATTATTTAAGGACAGAAAACCAGAAAGCCTGCTAAACTTGTCAGAGAATCCTATTCTCCTATGTTGTGGCTAAAATTATAGCTATATAGTGAGAACTATGTACTGAGTATTATTAAACCTGCTGAGACTCAGAGATAGTCCCTCCATTTGCTGGCCTGCAGCAGCTTCTCAGAGAGTAGGTGAAAGCAGGGTAGAAAAATCTTCTCTCCCTTTATACTATGATTAGCAGTGGCTATCCCATGGCAAAGAAGAGTTAGGCTTCTAAAATAACATTTCAATTTCAAGGACTTTCTAAGTGTAAGTATTCACGTGCCACTTTCCTGCAAGCAACCTGCGGAGTGACAGCACAGCTAGGTCAGAAGGACAACCTGGTCTCAACTGCACAGTGTTCGAAGAATTGGTTTTGAGCCCAGGTCTCCAGTCCATATTTTTCCCACATTTTCAGTGACTTTCCCTTCAAGAGGAGCCGCTGCCCATGTTTGTCAGCTGACCTCAGTCAACCCTTCTTATTAAGATATTTTAATAATGCTGAACTTCAAAAGAAAAGAGATCAGGTTCTACACTGCTTTACTTTGAATAAAGGAACCTGCTCAAATTACTCACTACTAGAAACAGAAATTCCTGACAACTTTTAGTAGTCAATTTATCTCACTTGGCAATCAACCATAACACCAAGCATTCTTTTATAGAAAATAGTTCTGTTTAGGGTTTAATAAATAATAGGGCATAGAATTATGACCCTGGATTGATAATGTCCTGTGAACTTTGGCTGTATGAAAGTGATAGGCCTGTGAACAACATACTCAAAAATAAATTGTATCTTCATAAATATTTAAATTCATTTCCACCAAATTATTCAAAATAGGTTGAAATATGTTATTTTACATGAATTACATCTGGGCTCTGATCCTATTTATGGATGAAAAGAGACTGACATTTGCATTTAATATCTAGGGTAACACATGTTGTGAAAAGATGTCATGTTGTAACATTTATAGTTTCATCCTTTATCTAAATACAAACTGGAAATTTTAAAATTATTATGTCAAATGACATTTTTGTATTTGCATTATACATTAACTCTTCTATGGCTCTTCCTCAATTTCTCTAAATTGGAATTTCACTAAAATTGTGCATTATAATCATGGCATTAGGAAAATCTAACTCTGGAGAAGGAATCCTAAGTTGGCTGGGTCATAACTGAGAAACAAAAAGGAACTCTTCTAGATAAACAGGGAAACACAAAATAGCCACATTTGTCTGTATTTTTCTAATTTGGTAAAGCATAGCTAACAGAAGTTGTGTTGAGAGAATTAGATATAATAGATATAATGTTAGCATTAGATACAATGTTAAACAAAGGAACAAGACAATTTCATTGTCATTATTGAATATTGTATTTGATATCCCAGCCAATGTAATAGATAAGCAGAAGAAATGAGATAAAACCATTATTTGCTGATGACATACTTATCATCATATAAAACCAAATTAATTAAATGATAGGATATTGAATTAATGAAACATTTTACCAAAGTGGTTAGATACAAGTTCTTCACATAAAAATCAATAACTCCACTAGTTAACAGAATAAGCAGTTAGAAAACATAACAGTTAAAAGATACCCTTCACAGTAGGTATAGTAAAATTGTTAAAAATATGGAAAAATTAAAACTTTTTTAAAATAATAAAATACTCAAATAATAGAAAAGATATATTTATTGGTGGAAACACTTATTATTTATTTATTTATTCTAGAGACAGGGTCTCACTCTGTCGCCGAGGTTGAAGTGCAGTGACATGATCATACCTCACTGAAACCTTGAACTTCTGGGCTCAAGCAATCCTACTGCCTCAGCCTCCCAAGTTGCTAGGACTACAGGTGTGTGCCACCACACTCAGCTAATTTTTTGTAGAGATGGGATCTCACTTTGTTTCCCAGGCTGATCTAGAACTCCTGGAATCAAACGATCCTCCAGCCTCAGCCTCCCAAAGCATTTAGATTACAGATGTGAGCTACCATGTCCAGCAACATTTATTCCTATGAAAAGAAAATTTATGAATGCAAGGCAATCCAAATTAAATAGAGTTTGTTAATGAAATTCAATGAATGAAATTATTTATATGGAGCAGTAAATATCAAAAATATTCTATGAACCAGAGGCAGCCTTCATTTGGAAATCCCAAAGAAGAAAGCTGAGACACAGGCCAAAACACAAAGCTAAGCTGAGGGTGTCTTGTTGGCAGTTCAGAGCCCTGAACTGGTCTCATGTCTGATGTGATATGTCTGATGTGAGAGTCACCAAAATCAGCACATCAGTGTCATTCTAGTGGCCTGAATACGGTCTCACATGATCCTCTGAAAGAAGTACCATGCAGCTAATGGTTGCTATTGCCAGGCCACTATCCTGGAGCTGGAGTTTGTTTTAAGACCTGAGAATGATCTCACAGGCATGAGTCCCAGAGTTTCATGAGACATCTGGTTTGCCACATAAGAGGAAGAAGGGTTGGGGTGTGGTTGGTTGGGGTACCTTGAGAGGAGGAGTGACAACATCAGTGGCTTAGGATACTGTGGCCAGATGACTCTACTGATGCCAGCAAGTTCCAAGCACTGGAGGGAGATTAGAAACTTCCAGGTGTACCTCCTCTGTCTGCGTGCTGATTCACCAGCTGCTATCATGAGATGCCGGATCAGAGATTACCAAACTATGAACATTTCCTATATGCTCAACACCATAATTATGAGTGCATCATCTTTTTCTTTCTCATGTAGTAAGTAATACTTCTTATCAAAATTCTAGTATTTGTAGGGCATAAACCTACAGCAGTACTGCAAACAGTGAATTCATCTATGTGTGAACTCATATTTTTCATGCATTACAATTATATCTTAGTATATATATGTTCACAATTGTATACATCTTGTTATCATGATCTTCCCTTTGCCACAATTCCCTGGAATAGTCATGGCATTTTTTTCTTAAATCTGGATAATGGGGAGTTTAGTTGAATTGACATTTATTGGGTTTAGTAGGATATTTTATTTGATTTACAGTCATTTTTGTGTATAAGTGATTGCCAGCCACAGTTAAAATGACCTTCACAAAGACTCCTATCACTCACCACATTGACTTACATGGATGCTCAAAGGTGCATGGCAGAAGTAATATTGAAATATGAGCACATTTTATCTCCCTTAGTGCCAGAAGTGTGTGAAAGAGAAACAAGGTTTGAAACGTACAGAACCAGAACTAGAACTATGTGGAAAATTCTTTCAGTCATTATATGTGCAACACTTGAAGCAGTAGATTGTCTTTGCTTCAATGTCTGTCCAAAACAGAAGTCTTCTTCTATCAGGAATATACTCACTGAAGCATCAAATACAATTATATGTGCACACTCTTTTTCATTCATTTGCTTGTTTTAATGGAAATTGTGCACAATGGGATTTATCAGAATCATTGCTTTTAGGATTTGGACTGATAGCAGCACTATAATTCTTGAGTACATCCGTATATCTGTACATGAAGTCTCATGTTTTTTATATAGGGATCATGTCTTAGCATGTCTAACACATTTTGTCTTGATGAAGTTTATCAGTTTCAGATAAAGTAATGCATAAAATTGACACCAATGTAGCAAAAAAGCCTGAAGAAACAGTGTTCTAGTGATAAAACTCCTACACCTTTGTCAATAATTCAAAATATATAGTGCAAGAGCAATTTGTTACAACATGTAAAGAATAGGTCAATGCAACATAGAGATAATTTAAATATGCATTTGAAGTGCTCTTGAGCAGGCATCAATTTCAGACTAATTTTGTATTCATTTTTTCAGGATTATTGACCTTGCCAAAATTTAAATATGACAGGAAGAAAGTATATTAGTGAAAGCCAGGCAAGTATACTTAAAGAAGAAAGAAAAGAAAGATCATCAGAGTTTCATCATGTCAAAACTACTTTTACACGGTGGATCTTAAAATATCTAATGATGAAAATTATAAAAATGCTTAAGAAACTTCTCAGTAATCAAAAGTAAAATTTGATTAAGCTAAAGAAAAGACTAAATAATCTTTACATCCACCCTATAGAAAATCATATTTCAAATTATGGTTCTATGAACAGATGATGAAATATTATTCTGGACAAATTAAGAACAAAGTATACAGGTGAGTCCGGTAATTAATTAATTAAAATATTGTGCTATTTTTCTATTTAAAATATTTTAATACTTTTTGCAAATGTGTGTAAATTTTCTTCTGAGAATACAATTATTACTATTGATAACATTTCTGTACACAGCCTAAGTAGCAAAAGCAAGTTAAATGATCTGTTAATTATGCCACAATTAAAACAGGGAAAATCAATTGGTGGCATAAATATCATATTCTCTTTCCAGATATTAGTGCTTTTTCTTTGTCAATGATATTCTCCACAGATTCTGAGCAATACTGTCTAATAGTATGAAATTACTAATAGTTTAGTAACTCCAGTATAGTATTCTGAAATGATTTGATTCTTGTATTACAAATAATGTACATTTATAATGGGATGAATGATGGCCCCTACCTCTCCCTTTGGTGGTATTTGATCCATCAGCAAAACTTACTAACTCTACTTTCAAAATATATTCGGAATCTAACCACTTCTTACCATCCCACTGCTATCTTCCTGGTCCACGATGCCGTTATTCCTCACCTGGATTTTTCCAATAGCTTCCTAACTGATGAACCTTCTTCCACCTTTGTCCTCTTTCTGCCCTATCAGTCTATTGTCAACACAGCAGCCAGGGTAATCCTGTTAAAATAAGTCAGATTACCTCACTCTTGAGTTCAAATGATTAGAACGTGTTGCCATCTTATGCTGAACCAAAAATGAAGTCGTGCAATAATTTAAGAGGCACTGTGCGATCTGGACCCTACAACCCTCATTTGCCTCTGATCTTATCTTCTGCTATTCTCACTTCCTTTACTTTTCTCCAGTCATGATGACCTCCCAGGAAACATCACTTTCTTACCTCAGAGATATCTCCTTTGCTAGTATTTTCTTTAAACCTGCTTGACTCTCTCATTTCCTTTGGGACTTTGCTCAAATCCACTTTCTCAGTATGATCATTTCTGGTAAAACCTGTGATTATAGCCCTCAGGCACTTTTAACTCTCATTCTTGTTTTATTATTCCCTGTAGCATGCATCAGTGGCAAACACAATACACATTTTATTTCTGTTTTTTATTTTCTTCATACTGCCATCTGGAATATAAGCTTCATGAAAGCAGGGATTTTTAGAAATGTTTTGTTTGTAACAATGCCTGTGCCCTGCACAGAGTGATTGCCCACTACATACCAGTTTAATTTTTTAATCTAAAGTGAACTTCCTTGAGTGATTTTTCAAAGGCAGTCTGCACATATAAGTCAGGCTGTATTTTTATCAATTTACCTGGTAACATGCATTGCCACTACTTCTACCTCTGATCTTTGGCTTCATGGTCTGTCTGCAAAGTCACTGCAGCAGTCTATGACGTTGTCAGCTTGCTTCATAGTTTGCTACTTTTCACAATGTATTCAATGTGCTCTTTCACAAATACAAATCTGGTCATGTTCATCCTATTAAACAGACTTCAATAGCTTTAATTCTAGCATTCTTCCTGTAAGATCCCTCTTTTCTCTTCCATTCAAGGAGAAACGTTGGAAAGATATAAACGAGAAAATAATGCTGAATTGTATAGAATGAACTTGGATCCACATAAATTACTGAAAAGGGAATTATTTACAAATTTTGATACTGTAGTTCTTAGTACAAAACACTCATGACATGCATCATAACTCATGGCAATTTATGAATGTGTAGAAAAAAAGGACATTAAGGACTGGGGTTTTAATATATCAAAAAAAGTGCTTCCTTTTTATTTTTGTTTTTGTTCTTTTTTCTTTTTTGGGAGACAGAGTCTTACTCAGTTGCCCATGCTAGAGTGGAGTGCTTTGACAGCAGATCACTGTATTCTGGAGCTCCTGGGCTCAAGCAATCCTTCCACCTCAGCATCCCAAATGGCTGGGACTACAGGCACATGCCACACACCCATCTATTTTTTAAAAAACATTTTATAGAGATGAGGTCTCGGTATGTTACCCAGGCTGGTCTCAAACTCCTGGGCCCCAGTGATCCTCCTCTCTTGGCCTTCCAAAGTGCTGGAATTATAGGTATGAACCAGCAGGCCCAGCCAGAAAATGCTTTCTGTTGCTTTTCTTGTTGTGGGATTAAATAATTTGGATCATTTCTGTTTTCTGTTCATGGTATTTTGGCCAGTTGCATGGGGCTATGGATCAATTCAAAAGCAATTAACTTTTTGGAATATGTGTAATCTTAATTTCATTTGAACTAGCTAAGCAACACAAGTGATTCATATTTTTCACTGATTGTGTGATTTACACTTAATCCTTTTAAAACTCTTCAAAATGAACATGTAATATATCAGAATGCTACCGTCTTTTAAGTTTACGGAGCAAGGGTCCTAGATCTAGAACTTAAACTGTCTATATGTTGAATAGTTAGACATATCTGGGTAGGTATAAATAGCCACAGGAAGTTTCATTGGCAGGGATTTTATTTGCTTGTGAACATTGTGAGTTAGGTGAAAAATGTGCAGACTGAGTGCTTTAACATTTGAATGCAAAATCAGAATCTTGATAGTACAAGGTGGTTGCTTTACACATGAATTCCAGGGTTGGAAAAAGAATTTCCTCATTCCAGCACAAAGAGCACAGCGTAAGGGAGGAATGTTTGTATTGCTGTGGGCCAGAAAGAGAAAACAAAGCAATATAAACCAGGGAGCATGCTCTGGGCACCAGTTGTTTGCCTACTGAACACCTCTGCTTTATTCTAGAAACAATTCTCCCCATTTTGATTAGAATAGCTCCTCCTCTACTCCATCCTCAGGTAGTGATAGGATCTGTCAATTATGGAAACCCAACCCATTATCCAAAGGGATGAGGGCACAATTCATGTCAAGCCAATCAGAATTTCCTGCCCTTTCCCCCAAGGATTATTGGAATTTTAATTAAAGAGAAAGGGAGTTACTTTCTGATAGTGAAAGGAAAGATTCCTAAAGCTGCCAGGATAAAGACTTTAATATCTTAAAGGAATTAGCTTTAATAGGATAAAACCAACCTGAAGAAGGAAAATAATAATAATAATGATGATAAGAGAGAAGAAGAAAATGAGAAAAGTGGTAGAAAGAGGAAGACTGTATGATGCTGATTATGCTGTCATTAGAATTCTCTCTCTCTCTCTCTTTTTTTTTTTTTGGCATAATCACTGGCTTTATTGTGGTTCTGAGTTCGATTTTTTTTTTTAAGAGAGTGGTAATATTTCCTTCTTTTCTAAGCTGATTTTGAGTTTCTGATGTTTTTATCCAGTAGAATTCTGTTACAAGTGCTAATATAATTAATGTTTACCAAAATAATTGAAAAAGGAGAGAATGGAATGCAATTCAAAATAGATGATCAGAGCTCATAGTAGGCAGAGTTTTAGTGTACTGGCATCTGAATTTGTTACCATATAGCTCTCTTGACTCCAATTTTATTTTTGCTTTATGTTATTTTATTGTAAGTACCTTAATCAAATTTGCAGATTTTAAGAACCTTGAGTATACATTCTTTCTGGGTCCTTGAGGGTATAGTATTGATAATTATCCCAAAGTATAATATCTTTAATTAAAAATGCTTCTACTTGTGGTAGAATGTGAGAGGAATTTCACCTGCTGGGCCAAATGTGTGGTGAAAGGAAGAACCTTCTCTGGGAGGCAGGAATTCTTGATCTAAGGAGGACAAAAACAGACTTCTGATGCGGATCTCTTAGAAGAAGAAATGACAGGGAAGGACAAAGAAACCTTGGACTTGAAATGGTTAAACAAATATTGATATGAGAGGTGTAACAAAAATAACATTATGGACTTGACTTCAGATGGCCTATGGTAAATGTAGGTTATCCAGCTCACAACTGAATGGATGTCCTTGCCTCTAAATGTTAGATGATAATAAAGGGTCCTGTCAGACTTGTAGCAATGATACATGCTTTATTAATTATTTATACATCCCCATTCATTTCTTTGCAGTCATGACTATAACTAATTGGGAACATAGTGGGACATTTAGTGATTCCAGAGCTCTAATGCCATTTGAAGTTCAACATGGCCTTTTGAGAGACTGTCAAATGATATTTTTTCAGACATTAATGGTGAGGAAAAAATGATAAGAACAGAGGAATCAGATGGCCTTGTTAGAATCCTGGCTTAGCTACTAATTAGTAGTACCATCTAGGGAAAGTTACTTAAACCCTCTGTGACCCAGCTTTCTAATATGTAAAATGGGAATGTTAATAATGCGTCTTCATAGGTTGTGATGATTAAATAAAGTACCATGTGCAGAGCTCAGACCTGTCTTCAACACACAGTGAGTTTTAGCAATTTTGACAATAGAAAACTCATAAAGACTTAATCACCACAACCTAATACTGTCACATATATGAGAAGCTGTTTCACATCTAAACTATAGAGAAATATTTTCAGTGATGATACAGGTAAAATGTTGCTTGAAACTTATTGATGAGAAGACATTGAGAATAATGGCAACATCCAAAATGGGAGAGATTAAATTCCAGGTAATCCTAGGTTGTTTAAACTAAGGGGAAAAGTCTAAAAAGGTGAAATTTATAATAGGAACAGTAAAATTAAAAAACAAAAAGGTTAACAATTTTTTTTGCAAGTACAGTATTGGCAAGGTACAGCTAAATAGAAGTATAGGTAGGAGAGTCTGAAAGGCTTTTGGTCTACTGCAAATACAATGAGTTGATGATGGCATAGTGAAGATACCGACAAAGGTAATCTGTTAACAGAGAAAGAGTGTACGTGGAAGGTAAGAATTTTGCTTTACTCTGCCTGTCAGACCAGATCTAGAATGATTCACATACTTCTTTAAGAAGGAATGCATTTGGAAACCATGACATATAAGAGATTCCATGACATCTGTGATGATAATCACGACAAATAAGAACTAACGAATTTTAGCCTTGTTAAAAAGAGATTTCAAGATTAAACATTAGACTTATTTTATGTAGCTCTAGAGAGCATTTTTTTTTTTTTTTTTGAGACGGAGCCTCGCTCTGTCGCCCAGGCTGGAGTGCAGTGGCGCGATCTCCGCTCACGGCAAGCTCCGCCTCCCGGATTCACGCCATTCTCCTGCCTCAGCCTCCTGAGTAGCTGGACTTACAGGCGCCCGCCACCACGCCTGGCTAATTTTTTTTGTACTTTTTTAGTAGAGACGGGGTTACACCGTGTTAGGCAGGATGGTCTCGGTCTCCTGACCTCGTGATCCACCCGCCTCCGCCTCCCAAAGTGCTGGGATTACAGGCGTCAGCCACCGTGCCCGGCAGAGCCTACCATTTTCTACTAGGTGTCTGGAATGCCTGGGATGAGCTCTGAGTAATTGCATGTCACGATAGTGATTTTGCAGGGTCCCCAGCATCGATTCTTTTTTCTTTTGGTAACAATACCTTGAATTACCTTTGAAGAATTATCCCTTCTACAGTCTCAATTCACGATGTTTTTTTATGAAGTTGACTCAACAACATACTCTGGGTGTGGGCACTGTGATTGACTTAGGGATAATCACATGGGCTGATTTTACCTAATGATACTTTGACACAGGATTTTTGAATTATTGGAATAAGATACAAATGCAAAAAAAATGTATTTGACTTGACTCTGGAAGCTATTGCCTTTGCATTAAACCTTTGTCAGAAGCCAATGTGAAAGAGCAGAATTAAGACATATTCTTAAACTGGGTCATAATAATGTAATTTGAAATTCTGGCATAGTACTACCTTAAACACTTAATTTGTATGAGCCAACACATTCCCCTTTTCATTTATTTTTTAATTTGCTTGAACTTTTTACTTTGAAATAACTACAGACGCATACAAATTTGCAAAAATAGTACAGGGAGGTTCCTTGTACAAATTGCCAGCTTCTCCCAATGGTGACATCTAATGTAACTACAGGATATTATCAAAATCAGGAAATAGATTGCTACAGTATGATTAAGCAGATGGCAGCCTTACTTGGATTTTAGCATATTTTGCACATACTCAATTTTATTCCATTGAGTATAATTGTATGACATTTTGTTATATGTATAAATTCGTATAGCCATTATTATAATCAAGCTAAAGGACTATTCGTACATCATTACATCTTTACAAAAAACTCTCTTGTCCTGCTTCACCCCCTCCATTTCCTTACACCCTTGTAACCACTTGTCCATTTCCTTTCTTTATAATTTTGTCATTTGAGAATATTATATAAATGGAATCACACAGTTTTGAACCACTGAGATTGGCCCTTCTTTTTATTAAAGCCAGTTTAGTTGTTATATCACTTCCATCTGTGCTTCAATTGACACGAGCGTAGAAACAGAACTTGTTCTTAACCTCTGCTGTATTTGCTCATTCGGTGTAACTGAACTTCGCACTCTATTTCTTTAATTAACTTCAGTTTCCCCACAGAGAATGAAATCTTGCACAAAGCCAACTATGTGTCTGTGACCCCAGCAACTTACTCGGCTTTTGCCTTCTCCTGTATCCCGCTCAGAAGCTGCAGCTCTCAAACATTCAACTACTAGGTAGAGTCCTTCTGGAAAGTAGTAGACCATGTACAAGCTTTCACTCTTCAAACCTATTTTAGCAGCTATCAGGAATATATGACTTCTGAATTTCTGAGTAGATTGTTTTCACAGTAATGTAAAAATTTTCAAGAGCCCTATATCTGTTAAAGAAAAGTGAATTCACAATTAAAAACCTCCTGTCAAAAAAAATTCCAGAGTCATATGCTAAACCTGGTAAATACTATTAACCATTTAAGGATGATATAAAAGGAAGCAACATTTACCAAATTGTCTATAAAGTTTATCAGCATGAAGTGGATAAATAAATTCTGACAAAAACAGTATAAAATATCATTATGGACTCACATTCCTTATAAATATAGATGCTAAAATATTTAACAAAGTATCGGTAAATTGCAAGCAGCAATATCTATACACAAACATAAAAGTATATTATGAACAAGTGAAATTTGTTTCATTAATACAAGGTTGGCTTAACATAGGAAAATTAAGCAAAGTGATTCACCATTGAAATAACAAAAAGAAAAATACACAAGCACCAAATGAATACAGAAAAGAATATTAGAAAAAATTCAGCAGCCTTTCATGATAAATGTATTTAGCACACAAGGAAGAGAAAGAAACATCTTCAATCTAATAAAGGACATGTATGGAAAACCTACAGCTAATATATTTAATGGTGGAAGATGGAACATTTCTATCCTAAGATTAAAAAACTAGGTAAATATGTCCACCTTTGCCACTTTAATTCAACATTGAAGTAAAAATCCTCACCAGTATGAGGTAAGAAAAATAAAACAAAGACATTCCAACTGTACTAGAAAAAGTAATATTGTATTTATTCACAGATAACATTATTGTTTATTTACAAAACCCAAAGAAATCTTCAAAAAATCTCCTAGAATGGAACTATAAATTTAACAAGTTCACAAAATACAAAATAAATATACATGGACATGTCATGGACAACCAGAAAATAAAATTTAAAATACAGCATAAAGAACATGAAATAATTATGGATATATTTAACAAAGTATATGCAAATTCTGTATACTATTAACTATAAAATATCTTGAGGAGAAAAAAGTAGAGATAAAAACAAATAAATGGCAAAAGATCCAATAATAATCATGTATTAGAAGAAAAACTGTTAAGAAATCAATTTTTCAAAATGTTTATAGGTTTTATGAAATTCCTATTAAAAGTCAATTGTTATTTTTATGTAAATACAGAGCTTGACTTTTTGATCAGTGAAACAGAATAGAAAGTAGAGAAATGTAGTGATACATATGTAGTCAATTTTTTTTAAAGGAAGGTGTAAATGTAACTAAATGGGAGAAAGAAAAGTTCTTGAACAACTGGATACTCGTACAGAAAAAACAAAATAAAACTCAAAAACTTTTATCTTTCCTACCTCACTCATATACATATTCAGTTCAAGAATATATAGGTTAGCATAAACCTAAATGTAAAAGCTAAAACTGTATATCTTATAGACAAAACATATGAGGAATTTTTAATGAACTTTGAGTAGGCAAAGATTTCTTACATAAGGCCCAGAAAGCATGAACCATATAAGAAAATTTTTATAAGCTGTACCTCATCCATTTAAAACTTCTGTTCATTAAAAGATAACAGTTAAGATATATAAAAAGGTAAGCCACAAACTGGGAGAAAATATTAACAGTACACATATATCTGATACAAGATGTGCCTAGCATATATTAAGAACATGTAAAGCTGTAATATAAGAAATCAGTCGGCCAGGCACAGTGACTTCTGTCTCCAATCAATCTCAACACTTTGAGAGGTGGAGGCAGGTGGATTGCTTGAGACCAGACGTTTGAGACCAGCCTGGGCAACATGGCAATACCTGTCTCTACAAAGAAAAAAAATTAGTCAGGCATGGTAGTGAAGGCCTGTATTCCCAGCTACCCAGGAGGCAGAGGTGGGAGAATCACCTGAGCCTGGGAGGTTGAGGCGGCAGTGAGCCATGATCGGGCCACTGTACTCCAGCCTGGGCAATAGAATGAGACCCTGTCTCAACAAATAATAAAAGAATACAGAGGATACAGTAATGTGCCATGTAATAACATTTCAGTCAATGACAGGCCACATATATGATGATGGTCCCATAAGATTATAATGGCGCTGAAAAATTCCTATCACCTAGTGACTTCATAGCTGTCCTAATGTCGTAGCACAATCCATTACTCACGTGTTTGTGGTGATTCTGGTGTAAGCAAACTTACTGTGCTACCAGTCCTGTAAAGTATAGCACACATAATTATGTATGATACATATTTGATTATAATAAACGAATATTTTAATGGTTTATGTATTTACTACATTTTTATCCTTACTTTATAGTGTACACCTTTTACTTATTAAAAAAAGAGGTCAGCTGGGCACGGTGGCTCACGCTGGTAATCCCAGCACTTTGGGAGGCCGAGACAGGCAGATCACGAGGTCAGGAGATCGAGACCATCCTGGCTAACATGGTGAAACCCTGTTTCTACTAAAAATACAAAAAAATTATCCAGGCATGATGGTGGGCGCCTGTAGTTCCAGCTACTTGGGAGGCTGAGGCAGGAGAATGGCGTGAACCCAGGAGGCAGAGCTTGCAGTCAGCTGAGATCGCGCCACTGCACTCCAGCCTGGGCAACAGAGGGAGACTCCGTCTCAAAAAAAAAAAAAAAAGAAAAGAAAGAGGTCAACTATAAACCAGTCTCAGGCAGTCCTTCAGTATGTATTCCCAAGAAGACACTGTTAAGCTGTTAAGACAGCTCCATGTATGTTATTGCCCCTGAAGATCTTCTAGTGGGACAGGATGTAAAGGTGGAAGACAGTGATATTGATCCTGAAACTTTGTAGCCTTATGCTAATGTGTGTTTGTGTCTTAGTTTTTATTTTAAAAAGTTTAAAAAGTAAAAATATAAAAATTGAAAAAAGCTCAGAGTAAGAATATAAAGAAGGAAAATATTTTTGTATGGATATAAAATGCATTTGTGCTTTAAGCTGAGTTATTATAAAAGTCAAAAACTTAAAAAACATAAAGTTTATAAAGTAAAATGTTACAGTAAGCAAAGGTTAATTTATTATTGAAGAGAGAAAATTTTTAAATAAATTTACCAAAGCCTAAGTGTAAAGTGCTTAAGAAGTCTATACTAGTATATAGTAATGTCTTAGGCTTTCACATTCACTCACTACTCACTTACTCATTCACTCATCCAAGGAACTTCCAAGTCCTGCAAGCTCCATTCATGGTAAGTGCCTTATACAGGTGTACCATTTTTAATCTCTTATATCATTATGTTTAGAGTATTTTTTCTATGTTTAGATATACAAATACTTAGCATTTGTTATAATTGCATACAGTATTCAGTACAGTAACATGTTATACCAGTTTGTAGCTGTTAGAAATGGGTTTTCAATATCGCAGAAATCAACACTAAGACAAAGGATCTCTCAGAAAGGCCAATTTTACTTTCTGCAGAAAGGGTGCCACTCACTAGCAATCCTGCCACAAGAGTACACATGAACAAAGGAGATAGGGTCATGTATAACCTGATGGTCCACCCTATGGCTGTTTCCATTGGCTGGAATGGGACCTCACATTCTGTACTTGTCCTGACTGGCTAGCAACTTAGAACTTTCCAAAAGAGGAAAAGGCAGAGGAGAACAAAGGAAGGAGGAAGCAACTTGTGGAATGCTGAGAAAGGTAAAAACACCCCCCAAAAAGGAAGAGGAACAGGCTATGACCTAATGCTTGCTTGGGCCTGTGTAAGCATGCCAGGGCAAGTATCTAGGCTAAAATGTGTGAGCTAAGAACACAAAGCACATTGATCTCTTTATTTCAGCTAGCAGATATCTAAGAATGTTAGCACAGGTTTTGAAGAAATTTTGCTTCTAAGAGAGGTTACTATTCATTTCTAATTAGACGAGGAGGAAAATCCCTTTAAAGAGGAACTTCTACTTCACTTTCTACAGTAGCCTAGTGTTAAGGCTTTTTTATTCCTATCATTTGGCAAGCTAGAGGGAGTGCTCCCATAGTTTGGCAGTGGTTTTGTTTCTTGACTCCTGGAGCTCAGCAAGCAGAAGGGAGTGGAGCCCAGTGGCTTTGCTTCTTCTCTCCTGTTGATCAGCAAGTAGGAGTGAGTAGTGCCCAGCAGCTTCATCTTTCTCTTTGTTTAGTGACTGGGAGGGAGGGTTATAGCTATTTTACTCCCACTGCCTGCAGTTCAGCAAGCAGGAGGAACTCTTTTACTACTGCTCTTCAGCAAGTTCTGGGTTCTTGTCCTGTGACCAAGAGAAATAAGGTATGTGGACACTGGAGAATGAATAAGGCAGAGTAGAATTTTGTTTAGTGACAGAGAGAAAGCTTTCAGGAAGAAGATGGGTCCTGAAAGTGGGTTATCATCTGTGAGGCTGAGTCTGGGGTTTTTATGGGCTTAGAATGGAGGAATGGGTGTTGATTGGTCCATGGGTTGTCTTGGAAAAAGCCATTCCACTGGTTTAAAGGCATCATATAGAAGGAACCAATCAAGAGAGAGTGGGTAAGAGGGGGATGCAAGTTCTCACTCCTATTGAGGATTCTATCCAGAACTGGCAGTTTGGTTTCCAGGCCTTAGACTGTCCTTGGCTTGAAGGTCAAGCCTCACTGGGGACCCATCCCTGTCTACCTAGGATTTTGTCTGTCTCCTATCACTATCAATAGGAGCAATAGGCTATAGCACATAGCCTAGGTGTGTAGTAGGCTACACTATCTAGGTTTGTATAAGTGCACTCTATGATGTTCACACAACCACAAAATCACCTAATTACACATTTCTCAGAAAGTATCCCAGTTGTTAGGTGACACATGACTATAAGTAACATATAAGTAATAAAGAAATGATACCCTTAACTCAATACTAAAAAGTAAAACAAAATAATGAGCAAAAGGCCTAAACAGAAAAGTAAAAATGTAAATTGCTAATAAACACTAGAAAAGTTGCCCTATTATTCATCAAGGAGATTGTAGTTAAAATTGCCATTAGAAACTACTTTCCACCCATTAGAATGGCTAAGATTAAGTTTTGGTAAGGATAGGGAACAATTAGAACTCTGAGAGACTGTTGTCAGGAGTATAAAACAGTGAAACCACATCAGAAAAGAATTATATAGTTTCTTGAAAAGTTAAACAAAAATTTTTTCTAGCAATTCAATTTCTAAGAATTTACCAAGATAAGTACTATATTAATGAAAAGATTTGTACAAGATGCTCATAGCAGCTTTATTCATAAAAAATAAAAAAAATCCATCAACAGAGGAATGGATAAATTTTGATATATTCATGCAATATAACACAACTCAGTAAAAAAGTTGACTGAAACTGGATACATGCAACTGTAGAGGAGAGAAAGTAATATATTTTTTTCTCACCCATTGCAAAGTACATGGCTGATGCTTCTATAACAAAAGACAGATTAACAAAAGAAAAACACTTAAATTTGTGCAATATAAGATTTTGTGACACAGGCACCTTCAGAAATGAAGACCTAAAGAAACAGGAAAACATACACTTTTATGCTTAGGTTTGATGAAGAATGGACCATTGTGCAGAAGTATGATTGGACAAAGTGGGTATGATCTAGTAGTAGTAAACTGGAGAGGGGCCTTAGCCAGGCCTGTTTGTTCAGATTTTCTTTGTGTCCCTGTGTCTTCAGAAATAATGACATCATTTTTCTAGGTATAGGGATGGCGTCTTTGGAATGAGGTATAATGAATTACTTCAGAGGAAAGTCAATTGGGTTTAATGACCTGTTTCAGAGTACAAGGTGTGAAGGGAAGGTGAGAGAGACCTTCCAATTTTTGCTGTATTCTTAAATATCAAGGTGCCATATTTTGAGGTAGTGTGTCCCAAATTCCATCACAACAGCACGGATAAATCACACAAACATTATTCTGAATAAAATGAGATAGGCATAAGAGAGTACATATTCTAATTGCATGTATGTACTATTCAAGAATAAGCAAAAACCTCCAGTAAAAAAGATATATGATAGTAGGCTCAGTGGTGGAAAGAGGGAGACCTGACACTAAACCAGCATGAGGGAATCTTTTATATCTTGATTGGGGTGTTGATCTCATGGGTGTATATATTTGTCAAGACTCATTATCCTTAAGATATGTGCTTATTTACTGTTATTTAACTTATACCTCAATGAAAAAAATTAAAATTTGAAGGAAAAGAAATTTCTTGCATAATGATCACTTCTTGAGTCAGGCTATGTTCAATATGTAGCTTTAGATACATAGGTGACTTGAATTGTTGCCTGTCCATTATGAATGCTGTTATTCCTTCCTCAAGACCAAGTATCTCCCAATTCCAAGCTTTTCCCATTTTAACTGAACAGATGTTTAAGTCTAAGCACATCTCAACAACAGTCCTGTCCAAGTAATTGAAACAAGGACTCACCAGCAATAACTAAAAATATAAAAAACTCTTTTGCATTTTAAGATTCTTCATCACACTGGATATTCAAACAAATTGAGGTGGTCATTTTACTCAGTAGATGTTTGGTAATATTTGTTATATACCTATTACTGTCTTAGGCATTTAGCTGTATGATTTTAATGAGTTGGGAATTAATAACTTGCTGCTAATTTTTTTAAAGTAAGTCTTTTTTTTTTCTTTTCTGGCATTTCTTAACTGCAACAATGACTGTGCTTATATACAAAATGGGAGTAAATGATAGAACTAGGTTTCTATCATGGTCATTTTTATGATTAGCAATTCCTTCAAATAGCCAATTTATTGGTAATTCACATCACTTTTGAGACAAATTAATCTATCTCATTTGTATTTTTAGCCACATACTGGCATGATCTTTTTACATATAAAATATAATTTATTGACATAAAGATATATCACCATCTTCAATATAAACTCTTCTTATCAGGTTATGTATTATTAAGATTTTGAGACCTTGAAATGATGAAATAATTTAGAATATTTTCACTTATAAAATAATTTAATTAAACATAAAATTGTCAAAATTTATAATAAATCATGTAGCACCTATCATATAATTTTAAAATATTCACAACTATTTTATATTTGTTTGGCTAGGTAGGTACTATGTTTAATACATAACTGGCTTGAAAGCAAAGACATCATTAAAATGTAGGCTTTTGCTATTTCTATGTTTATTAGTATATCAAATTATCAATAAGCTCCATTATATAGAAAAACTGCTTAACTTATTCAATAATCAGAGCTGACAAAATCATCAGCTTGGTAAGCATAACCTTTATTTCTATATTTCCAATTTACTACATAAATTGGACAAGATTAATGTGAGATTCTTTAGCTTCTTTTCAGCAGCTCTATACATATATACCTTTTTCAACAAATTTTGCTTTTATATTTTAATATGTTGTATGCTATCAAATGTATTCTCATAAATATCAAAGTAAATACTAGCTAAATAATTGCCAACAATTTTGAATAAAAATAAAATATTTGATTAAAGTTATTTAGAAATATTTAATTTGGTAGATTTTAGAGTAATTTTCAGCTTTATACTCAATGGAAATAATGTCTTTTTATTTACTGTGCAATGATCTAATTGCGTATCAGCGTGGGCGGTACACTGTGATTCAGATAGTTTAAGAGAAAATTTGTAGATGTATATTTTGAAGTCCACTGCTACATTATTAAGCATCATTAAAGTTATTTACAAATGTAAATTAGTATTTTATTCTGGTTGCCTAAATTATTCTCATGAAAAATATATATGCTTTACCTTAAAGCAAAATATTTAAGTGTCCATTTTTGGATTTTCTTGGTGGCAAACTTAAGAATGATTTTTCTAATTTCATTAAAATGTGCTTTACTTCCTCTTTATAAAAACTACTCTGCCACTGAAGTCTTGATTCTAAGGACATGAAATTTAGCCAAGTTTTTACCTGTTCAACAAGTTCAAATTTGGCAGTCTAAAGTACCTATTCAAGTTTCTATCTAAATGTATTGTGCAAAGTGACAATTATGAAAACTATGTCAAAGAAGTGTACAAAATTACTGGTTAAATATATTTACTATCTGGGTAAAAATTAAACTGGAAATAAAATTTATTGATTGTAATTTTAATAGAAGGCATTTTCTTGACATGCCTAAGGTACTGTACCAAAGTGAATTAAAAAAGACATTCAATACTAAAGCCACACCTGAATAAACTTCAGTTTTCTCACTGAATAAGAGGACTAGCTCAGTGGTTTTTGAGTGAATAAGGAAGTAATAAATTAGACGTAAATCATGTTTCTGTTTATTGTAGTCTTAAAAATTTCAACAAATAAATGAGATTGCTAAGTGTCAGAATTTTTTCATAAGCTGGAAAGCCTGGCATTCAAACTTTCTCTGGAAAACAATTTGAGAAAACACTGAACTTACACATGTAAAGTTTTCTGTTTTATTAATTTCCTGATTGTCTGAGTTTTATTGTCATGTTGTGGCACGACTCTTGCTCTCTGGGCTATACCTTACATTGTCACTTCAAAAGTGCACTTAACAAAACATTTCTATCCAACATAGTACAAGGGAGGCTTTCCAAATATTTAAATCCATTTTAAAGTTGTCTATTAATCAGACTATACAATATGTAATTTGCAGCATGATTTACTTCTAAAATTACTGATTCATAATTCTGTTGCATTATTATTTTTATAGAGAAATATTAAGATTAGCTTGTCATATGACCAACCATGTAGCAAGATACGTAAATGGTTATGAAACAGTGTTTGTAGTAAATGGAACAATGAGTTAGTACAAAGTGAATGGAGCATATTTGGAGGTACAGTTCTCTTGCATGATGGAAACATTGAAAATTTTAAATATTAAAAATAAAAATATACAGATATCCCCAAAAGTAAGGTAAAGTATAAGACATGCAGATTTTTTTTCCTATTTGGATAAAAGAAACTGTACATCGATTGCCATATAATTTTTGTAATATGACAAGTGTTTATCAGGTGACTATCACTATTACTAAAGTAATCAGAATAATTGTCAATCAAGTTAACAACAATTTAATTTTGTCGATTCTACATACTCTACTCAAGAAGGATTTTTCCCATCAAACATTGGGGCTTCTACTGGCTTCTTTGTTAAAGTATCAGCATACGAAGATATCTTTACAAAACAATAACAGTCACACAATAAGAAGGTGTACTTTGCAAAAGATTTATTCTCTTACTGAGAGTTTTCAGAATAGTAAAGTTTTGGGGTGTGTGTGTGTGTGTGTGTGTGTGTGTGTGTGTGTGTGTGTGTGTTTGTGTTTGGTTTTTTCAGTTGCAGCTTCAAGTCCTTGGGTCTGTGGTCTCTTCCCTGATCTTCTACTGCCTGATCTGTTCTTTACTGCAGGGGATGTGAAGATACTCTTGCTTCAACTACATGTCCTATGCTGCTTGACATTGCCTGTATGACTGGCAAGCATATGACCCCGTATTCTCTACAGGTATAATCACTTAGGCAAAGAGGATGAGCTTCCCTTTTCATATAGTGTCTTCTTCACTGAATGTGCTGCTTTCCTCTCTCTCTTTCCTTCTTCCCTATCATTTCCCTTCATTTTCTTATTCTTTCATTCATTGTTTAGTTTCGTATTTACTGAATGCTCATCATGCACTAAGGGAATATAATCATGAAAAAGACGCTGTGGAAAGGCTGATGAGTAAATCTCAAATTACTGTATGATGAAAAAAGGTAGAGTGTGCTCTGAGAGCACAAGGGAGTGGTAAATACACAAATCTTGTTGAGCCAGAAAAGACATCGTAGAAATTTTTATACAGTGAAACCAGAAGGATAAATAGGAGTTATTCAATCACCTACTGCAACTTATTTTTGTTCAATGTCTTTCATTCAGCAGCCAGGTCAGGGCTATGTTGCTCCATGCTGTCTTTTATTCTTTTCTTTTTTAACTCTTTTTTCTCTATTTTTATTGAGGTATAATTTACAAATAACAATTGTATACCATTTATGATGTAAAAAGGGATGTTTTCTTTTCTTTTCTTTTCTTTTTTTTTTGAGACGGAGTCTTGCTCTGTCTCCCAGACTGGAGTGCAGTGGTGCGATCTCCACTCACTGTAAGCTCCGCCTCCCAGATTCACGCCATTCTCCTGCCTCAGCCACCCGAATAGCTGGGACTACAGGTGCCCGCTACCATGCCCAGCTAACTTTTTGTGTTTTTAATAGAGATGGGGTTTCACCGTGTTAGCCAGGATGGTCTCAATCTCCTGACCTCGTGATCTGCCTGCCTTGGCCTCCCAAAGTGCTAGGATTACAGGCGTGAGCCACGGCGCCTGGCCCCATGATGTTCTGATATATGTACACATTGTGAAATAGTTACCACAATCAAGCCCATTAACATATTCATCAGTTCACATAATTATTTGTGTATGTGTGTGTGATGAGAACATTAAGATCTACTCTCATCAAATTTCATGAATACAATGTAATATTATTAACTATAGTCACCATGCTATACATTAGATCCCCAAAACTTATTTAACTGGCCTAATACGAAATTTGTACCTGTTTACCGACATTTCCCCATTTTGCCACCTCCCCAGTCTCTGGCAACTATCATTCTATTTTCTGTTTCTATGAGTTTGACTTTTAAAATTTTCACAAGTAAGTGAGATTATGCAGTATTTGTCTTTCTATGCCCTGCCCAGCCACTCCAGCTCCAGCTGTGACAAAAAGGGGCCAATGGACAGCTAAGGCTGTTGCTTCAGAAGATGCAGGTCCCAAGCCTTGGCAGCTTCCACATGGTGTTGGGCCTGTGGGTGTGCACAAGACAAGAGTTGAGCTTTGGGAGCCTCCACCAAGATTTCAGAGGATGTATGGAAATATCTGGATGTCCAGGCGGAAGTCTGCTGCAGGGGTAGAGCCCTCATGGAGAACCTCTACTTGAACAATGCAGAGGGGAAATGTGGGGTTGGAGCTCCCACACAGAGCTCTCACTAAGGCGCTGCCTAGTGGAGCTGTGAGAAGATGGCCACTGTCCTCCAGAACCCAAAATGGTAGATCCACTGACAGTTTGTACCATGCACCTAGAAAAGCTACAGGTATCCAACGTCAGCACAGGAAAGCAGCCATGGAGGCTATACTCTGCAGAGACACAGGGGTGGAGTTTCCAAAGGCCTTGGGGGCCCACCCTTTGCATCAGTGTAACCTGGATGTGAGAGATGGAGTTAAAGGTTAAAGGAGATTATTTTGGAGCTTTAAGATTTAATGAATGCCCTGCCAGGTTTTGAACTTGCATGAGGCCTGTGGCTCCTTTGTTTTGGCCAATTTCTCCCATTTAGAATGGGAACATTTACTCAGTGCCTGCACCCTCATTGTGTCTTGGAAGTAACTAACTTGTTTTCGATTTTACAGGCTCATAGGCAGAAGGGACTTGCCTTATCTCAGATGACATTTTGTACTTGAACCTTAGAGTTAATGCTGGAATGGGTTAAGTTAGGGGATAGTTGGGAAGACATAATTGCATTTTGAAATGTGATAAGGACATGAGATTTGGGAGAGGCCATGGGTGGAATAATATGGTTTGGTTCTGTGTCCCCATCCAAATCTCATCTCAAATTATAATCCCCATGTGCCGAGGGAGGGACTTGGTGGGAGGTGATTGGATCATGGCGGTGGGGTGGGGGGGGGTGGTTTTCCCCATGCTGTTCTTATGATAGTGAGTGAGTTCTCATGAGATCTGATGGTTTAATGTTAGGCAGTTCCCCGCTCACTCACTTTCTGTCCTGCTGCCTTATGAAGAAGGTGCTTGCTCCTCCTTCATCTTCAATGATTGTAAGTTTCCGGAGGCTTCCCTGGCCAGGAGGAACAGTGAGTCAATTACACCTTCTTTCTTATAAGTTACCCAGTCTCAGGTAGCTCTTGATAGCAGTGTGAAAATGGACTAATGCACCCCATCTATGTGCAATCACCTTGTCTTAATTTATTCAGTCTCACAAACTGTTCCAATCAGTAAAAACCATTCCATTATTTATTGAAATCAAACATGGTCATTGCAATAAATGGCAAAGTTAAGGTTTAGTTCACTTTTTCATAATATAAATGCATAATTTATCCTAGAAATAACATATCTGATAAAGCACTTATGACTTCAGAAGTAAATATATAATAACCTAGAGCACCTTGATTACCATATCCCATGAGGAATACATAGGAAATCATTTCCCAATGTTTCTGTTGAGAAATGTGCCTAAACATATTTATACACAATTACTAATTATAGTATATACTATATTACATAGTTAATATGCTATATCACAGTATTTACACTTGTGTATAAACAAGAGAAATGAGTTTCTTCAAAATAAAATGATTAATCCTAATTAAGGACAGTTTGTTCACTGGGAAAGGAAATGAGATAATTAGAGGGATGCTAGAGGCAACTTATGGGAAAGGCAAATAAAAGTTTTATTCATCACTCAGAATAATTCCTTGGTGTGGGAACTCTGCAAGTAGAAAGGATTTTTTGAGACTAGTAAAGTAATGATATAATGACTTTAATTCAGACTGGTTTCTGTCATGAATCCTCCACCTTCAAGGGGAAATGAAATGAAACAATATGGTAAATTTGCCTTTCTGAAATCAGGTCAATAAGCTTCTTCCAAAGTGAATCAAGATGAATGACCTCCCCAGGACACTAGACAATGAAAATAACTTCCATAAGTCCCAGTAGAAAGAACATTGCAGTAGTAGAGAAATACAAGGGAGAATTAGATTTCTACTGAACTGTCACTAAAATTATATGCCTCAAGAGATAATTTTCTCTGCAAATGAACATATAGTAGTCTTTAAATATTCTAATTGTGATAATCTTAGTAAATTCATTTCAAAAGCATACATTAACTTTGGATATAAATAACTGTAAGAAGCATTTTAAGCAGTCATAGTCTCAACTATAAACATACTAGTTTAAAAAACAGCTGGGTGCAGTGGCTCATGCTTATAATCCCAGCAGTTTGGGAGGCTGAGGCAGGTGGATCACCTGAGGTCAGGAGTTCGAAGCCACCCTGAAACCCCATCTCCACTAAAAAAAAAAAAAAAAAAAAAAAAAAATTAGCCAGGCATAGTGGTGGGTGCCTCTAATCCCAGCTACCTGGGAGGCTGAGGTAGGAGAATCGCTTGAACCCTCAAGGCAGAGGTTGCAATTAGCTGAGATCATGCCACTGCACTCCAGCCTTGGCAACAGAGTGAGGCTGTCTCAAAAATAAAAATACAATGAAAATAAAAAGAAAAAAAAATTAAAAATTAAAAACAAACACTTGTCCTGATTAAATGTATGAATATGTATTTTCAAAAGGATTGACTCATTGCCAACAGAGTAATAATTTAGGGGGAAAATTTCATACAGCATTAAAACAGGCAGCTTTCTATAAGAAAGTAAACATTACAGTTAATACACTTTAATTAAATCTTCTGATAATGACAAGAAAAATAGAAACATACTATCAGTCTGACTTCCTTATATATCTCCTCTGAATTTCTTGGGAGGATGTTGAAACAAAAAATATTGAAAGGAATTGTGGCAAAACAATTGGGAAAAATATGCTAACTAAAATGTTACTTTAAACTATTAGAAGAGAAGCCCTATTGTCCAAGTAGATATACCAAAGTTTTGTTAGGATTGATACATTTGGTTAATACAGCCAATATCTAGAGAAAGCAATCTCTTCCTCATTGCCTATAAAACATATTAGAACCTGTGCTAAGAAAGACATTCACTTTTTGTATATGCAGCCAAGGATTGAGTTGGGATTATTGATTTTGTTTGGATGTTTCTTAGACTATGTGCTGTATTAGATTTTATAACTAAATTAAATACCTGTTTTATTTTGTTTTGCTCTTTTAATTTGGTGTGATTTATGTCCATGGAGTAGTAAGGTGATTACTAATTTTATTGATGATTATCTATTTCAAAGAAATTCTTAGTCGAGTTCACTCTCCTATTTCTAATCCCCACTAATTTAAGGATTCTTTTTCCTCCCTCAGTAAAGAAGATATAAACATAAATTGGTGAGTCCTAAAATTCATCAACACATTCAAGTAAGATGTGTTTTTGTTTTTTCCTTAGAAATACAGATTTCACATTAGTACAACAAATGGAGTATGTAATTCCATGTGTTCCAAATTCTTGTGACAAAATTTTGTACAAAATTTTGCCAGCTTGCTACTTGAAGTTGCTACTAAAAAACAGAAGGACCTCCTTTTCAAATCCACCGAAAGCAAAGTAATGAATTACATTGTATGTCTCTATACCCAGTCATTTTTTCACAAAGAGAAGCTATAAAAGCAGTAGTCTCTTTGAAATTTTTACTCAATTACAAACAAGACATTCTGTGCTAATCCCACAAAATAATGGGAGTGTGTATATGGAAGGGAATCCAGATGTACTTGGACTTATAAAAATAAAAACTCTCATAATCAATGTACATTTTGATATTATTGCATTGATTCTAGAATATATGTTTTATTAAATGTTGTATGATATCATATCAAATAGAAAATGAATGAACCTTCTTGAATGGTCACTAATCAAAAGAACCTTGGGAACCTAAAATTTATTCCTTTTTATTTATCTTACAAGAACCAAATTTATGCCTTTCCTACCAAAAAATATTTTCTTTCCCAATTCTAGCAAATGGCATGGATAATAAAGTAAGAAAATAATTATTAACTATCATTTTTATACTTATTGAACCCAGAGTAATCATTTGGGTGACTTTCTTATTTATTAAACGTAAAGCTTAAGACTATGAAGATTTTCAGGGCAACAGATACTATTTATGGGTCTTTTGGGTCAGTTTTATGGGTCTTTTTTATGAATTTTAAAATATATCTTCCTCTGAAATAAATAATTAGGAAAAGCCCCCAACCCCACCACTCCCTAACAGACAGCAATTAAGAAAATGTGTCTTTTCTGGACAAGAGAAAAAATAAAAGTCTGCTTTTTCCTCCTGGCTGACTAAGCCCCGTGAGAGTAACTGAACCTTTTGTGCATGAGTTCATGATTTGAACTTGGGCTGATTTTGACCCCTGTCCATCCCTCAGCCAGACACTTTTGCCAGAGGCCTAAACTGCACAACCATTCTCAATGATATCTGACTGGTATCTGTTCCTTGATTCCTGAATTGAATACATCATTCAACTCAGTGGGAAGAAGTACTTAACATTTAATTTTTATTTTGATAACAAATGAAAGTTTTATTTACTTAAATGTAACTCCTGAAGAAGTAAAGTCTTGGAATACAAATCTTACCTTCTCAGAGAAGCCTTCCTACACTACCTTTCTCAGTTTCTTTCTATTTCTTTACCTTGTTGGATATCACCCCACATGAGTTTGTTTACTTGTTTCTTTACTTCTGATTTCTCTCTCACTTTTCATATAAGCCTTATAAAGTCATAGGCATTCCCTACCCTTTCATCACTTTTCCAGTGCTCATTACAGTGGCCAGAAAAGGGGCCACTAAATAGAAGACTGTGCTTTCCATAAGTGTCCATCAAATATATGGTTCATTAAATCCTCATTTTATTCATTTGTGGAAGGATAGGAGGGAAGGAGGGAGGGAGGGAGGAAAGAAGGAAGGAAGGAAGGAAGGAAGGAAGGAAGGAAGGAAGGAAGGAAAGAAAATAATAATAAAACAAAGAGGTCATATTCTCTATAGTTGGCAAAATAGTTTACAGTATTGCTGGAAGGACTAAGATATAAAAAAATAGTGGATGCCTTAAGAGAAGTAGGGGTAATACTTAAATCCCTGAGTCTTTCTCTACCTTATTGGGGATGGTCAGTAAAATAAAGATTACCAGTAGTGATTATGCCTGAACTAGGATTCAAAGCACAAGAAGTTAGCTGTGAAAGGATTTTTTTTTTTTTATTTTATTTTTTGAGACGGAGTCTTGCTCTGTCGCCCAGGCTGGAGTGCAGTAGCGCGATCTCGGCTCACTGCAAGCTCCGCCTCCCTGGTTCATGTCATTCTCCTGCCTCAGCCTCCTGAGTAGCTGGGACTACAAGTGCCCGCCACCACGCCCAGCTAATTTTTTGTATTTTTAGTAGAGATGGGGTTTCACCGTGCTAGCCAGGATGGTCTGGATTTGCTAACCTCGTGATCCGCCCGCCTCGGCCTCCCAAAGTGCTGGGATTACAGGCGTGAGCCACCGTGCCCAGCCAGCTGTGAAAGGAATTTAATGCATATGTTGCAAAAGGAGTTCTCTGAAAGTTATTATAATGGATAGTATTATTATTGATATTTTTGCTATTATTATTCAATTCCTTTAAGAAAATCAGGTATAACAATTATAAACAAACAAACAAAAAGCTCTGGCTAAGAATCCTGAAAAACTGGCGGAAGACTGTAAAAACAATGAGTTAGGGCAAAGGTGTTGGAAGAAGTAATTACCGGGTTCCAATTTAACTCACTCTGTTATTACAAATTACTTCATATGATCCCCAGGGTATATATCCCTGCTTTATTGACATAATTATGCATGAACATCTTCTTACGAGAATTATGCATGAACATCCTCTCAAAAAAGAATGAATTTGTGTATGGTTAATGACAAAGGATAAACATGAAATCTTCTTATTCATGAATATCAAAAAAAGTGCTCTATTCTTCCTCCATCTCATAATCACTCCTCCTGATTACAGGAAAATTTCCTGGATAGAGAAAATGTTTCCACTTAATTTTTATTCCTTTAATCTTTTTCTGACTTAGTACATTCATGGGGCCAAAATGATTCCAAAGAAATCATTTAGGCTCCCCACCATCACTTTCTTTTAGGAAAGTAGAGAGTATCTAAAAAGAAGGGTTAAGATAGTCCTCCAGGCCGCGTGCAGTGGCTCACGCCTGTAATCCCAGCACTTTGGGAGGCCGAGGCAGGCAGATCACGAGGTCAGGAGATCGAGACTATCCTGGCTAACAAGGTGAAACCCCATCTCTACTAAAAATACAAAAATTAGCTGGGCGTGGTGGCAGGCACCTGTAGTCCCAGCTACTCCGGAGGCTGAGAAAGGAGAATGGCGTGAATCCGGGAGGCCGAGCTCGCAGTGAGCCGAGATGGCGCCACTGCACTCCAGCCTGGGCGACAGAGCGAGACTCTGTCTCAAAAAAAAAAAAAAAAAAAAAAAAGATAGTCCTCCCTCACTTTCCAGTGTGGGCTGCTCAATGCTCAATGAATGATAGCTTCTTTTTTGTTCATTAATCATATAGAAGTAAGGTGAACAAAGGTGTACTTAGAAAACAATAATTTGCTTGGGGAAGCAATCGCCTCCCTCAATCCTTACTTAGCTAATGAAAGCAAAGGGACCATGGGTCATAGGCAGATGAAAGCCCTGCTCATTTGAAGAAAACTAAAATTGCTGGGCAGGATGGTTTAAAATGGCACCTGGAGTAGAAGTATGGAAAATGTTAAAATTTTCCTTCTCATCTGGTAAGAAACAGGAAAATTTGGCTAAATGAGAGCTTCCATATTTTCTCAAGTACCATCGTATTAGTTTCTAAGGCTGCCATAACAAACTATGATAAATTAGATGGCTTAAATCAATAGAAAGTTTTTCTCTCACATCTCTAGCAGCTAGATATCCAAAACTGTCCAGAGGGCCATGCTCTCTCTGAAGGCTCTAGGGGAGAATCTTTTCCATGTCTTTCTGTCAGCTCCTTGTGTTGCCAGCAATCCTTAGTGTTCCTTGGTCCGCAGAGGCGGACTCCAATCTCTTTCTTCATAATCACATGACATTCTCCCTGTATATCACTGTGTTCATGTCTCTTCTCTTCTTCTTATGAGGACACCAGTCATATTAGCTTAAAGTTCCGTCCTACTCCAGTATGACCTCATCTTAACTTGATTACAACTGAGAAGACCCCATTTCCAAATAAGGTTACATTCATAGATACCAGGAGTAAGGACTTAAAAACATATTTTTGGAAAGACTCAATCCAACCTACAATACGCTACCATTTGAAAAAATACTTATTACATTAATTATATTTTATTTCTTATTAGTTTAACCTTAATATTATTTTCTACTGCTTTTCATAACAATGTTTAGGGTTTCAGTTAATTCAACAGACATTATTTCGCTAGGCTCCTTAACATTTATCTGATATACTCTATAGTGTGTATAGATTAAATGTGAGCTACAGGAGAGGATGGATTTTTATGTTTTGTCCCTAATGATTCCTCAGTGCTTACAATGGTTAACTTACAGTAAGATCTTAGTATATATTCAGGGGATGAATCATTTGTCTGAAAACCTAGCTATCATTTATAACATTGCCTTTTCAGGTGAGATGTATCCTGAATTCCAAAGGGCTAATTAGTGAAGTTTGGGATATCCAGCCTATATATGAACTGGGAACTTTCTGCAGGTTTTCTGAGCGATTAATAGAAATTGTGGCAGTGTTGCTCATAAAAGCCCCTTGCGGTTCATAAGTAATTTGATTGCTTTGATTGATTTTAAAATTGTTAGGTAATTGCATGTTAAAAACAGTTACCAAGTTACTTTGTTGTTAATATAATTAATATGTATGTAACATAAGTCCACAATAGGAAAGTTAGTAAATATTTTTTTAAAAAAGTAATAGAAGGAAATATAATTAAAATTAACCTTAATTTTCCCCACAAAAAGATAATCACTGTTAATATTTTGGTATGTATCACAAAATAATAAAATGAAGGAAATAAAATTAAAATCAAAATTTATTCACAAAAAGATAGGCACTGTTAACATTTTGGGATGTAAATGTATTTTGATACATTTACTTTTAAAAAATGGGGTCTTATGTTGCATGTAATATAAAAATTTACCATTTTTACTTAATACATTTTTGCTCATTATCTATGTCACAATATGTAATTATACAGAATAATGGCTCCATATTAATCCACCAAAAAGGTATTTCATGTTGTTACTTATTTAAATAATTTTCTATTGTCATTCCATGATTACAAACAATATCTTAATGGAACTCTTGTGGCCAACTATTTGTTAGCATCTTTTATTATGTTCCTATGTTAAACTCCTAGAAGTAGAATTACTGGGTCATAGGATGACTCCAATTTAATATATTTTCTTTATTTGCTTTTTAAAAGATCAAATTGTTGAGAACAAAATAAATTTTTATCTATTTGAAAATACTGATGAGAGCAACACCTGCTCAGCTTCCATCTCATAGATGCACAGATATGATATAATTATTTCAACTATACTAGTAATGAGTTAAAGTAAGTTTAAGTGAATATATCTGTGTATGGTTTAAACTTATGTGTTATCACAGTACCCAGTGGAGCTACACTGAGGATATGCCTCTCCACTATTTATTTATATAGTGAAAGCCTCCTGTAATAACTTATTCCAGGAAAAATTTATAACCTGTGTTATCACAGCTAACTATAGGGAAAGAAAACTAGAATGTGCTTTTCTTGGCTACTCAGCTAAGGTGTTTAGTGCTACTGAATGCAGTGGAAGAGAAGAATTGGGTCAGATGCTTGTACTCAGTGGTTGTGGTAATCATCCATTTAAAAATTTAGTCATTGCCAATAGCCATGTTTTGCCAGGTCCATTTGCAAAATGATACAAAATATGCTCTATCCAAAGCTTTTTTCCCTTCTATACATTTTTGTCATTTTCTCTATTACTTTACTTTCTACAAATTTCATTAAATCAATTGTATTTCTAAAAGAAAATATAATCAGTGGTTTAATAAATTAAAGGAAATATATCCTATATGCTAGCTTTTAATTGTTTTAGGAAATAATTTTTTATTCTATGACCATAATTGATCATTATACCTGATGTGGATTTGAGTGAACAAAGATTCTGTGTGTAATTTTATTTTATTATTTCAATTTGTGGTGTGTTACATCAAAGGTAAAAACCAAGCCAAACATATAAATATGCAGCTTAGAATTCACTTAGAACTCAGAGAAACAGGGGTCAAGAATAGTAGAGTAAGCCTGAATGATTTTTCTCTAACCAATCTGCTCATAACTTATGATTTTGAAATAGTGTATCCTTGGGACTTTGTCATGGGAGGAGGATGGTTGGGGAAAGCAACATGTTGATCAAAGGGTGTAAAGTCTTAGACTGGAGAAATAAGTTTTAGTGATCTAGTTTAGTGCATGGTGACCACAATTAATAATAATGTACTGTATATTTCAAAGTTGCTGAAATAATAGATTTTTAACATTCTCACCACAAAATAAATGAGTTGGTGAGATAGGAATATTAATTAGCTTTACTGGATATTTCTATAATGTGTGTATAGAACAAAACATCACCTTGTACCTCATAAATATAAACAGTTGTTATTTTTCAATTAAAAATAACATTAAAAAGAAAAACAGTATGGAATATTTTTAAAAATTCTTATTGCTTACTTTTTTAAAATAAAAAGAAGTTTAGCAAAGCCAATGGAAGCATTATTAATTATAATTTTTAAAATGTAATTAAAAATTATTGGCTGATATTTATTTTGAAGAGAAATAAAGAAAATGTTGGCTAAGTGCCAGGAAACAGCTATGAAGCCAAATTGGGTGGCATATAATCAGAATGGCCAAAAACCTTATAGACTTTTTTGGGGAAAAGGCTTTTATAGGGAAGAGACACTTTAAAAAGGAGATGATACAAGTTGGTGACACATTTATAAACATATAAATGAAAAACAAAACATAAACTTCTTGCAATATATTTCATCTTACATTTTCATTTATTACAGTACTGTTAAATACTTTACTTTTGTATCACCTTCTCTAAAACAAGTAGTGCTGTAAAATTTATTTGAGTATATCATAATAGATTCAATTTCAAGAAGGAAAATAACATTTTTATCTTAGGTGGACCAAGAAACACAAGGATGAATTAAAAAAAAATGTTGCCTTACACACTGCACCTACCTCCAAGTTTTGTTTCATACCTGGGCAGCATTTGCCTATTCCTAGGAGTTGGGAGAAAATGTATAAAATGTACAATCATTTCTGACATGATAGATTGCAGGAAATGGTTGTCTCAGCATCTGCATTTCTTCAGGGAAACAATTTACCTCTTGTAGCAAGGAGACTTCTTAATTTGTAAGTGTGGATTTTTATCCTTAGTTTGTGATATAGTTTGGATATGTGTCCCCACGCAAATGTCATGCTGAAATGTAATCCCTAGTGTTGGAGGTGGGGACTATTGGGAGGTCATTGGATCATGAGAACAGATTTCTCATAAATGGTTTATCATCATCCCTCTTGGTACTGTCCTCGTGAGTGTGAATGAGTTCTCCTGAGATCTGGTGGGTTGAAAGCATGTAGCACCTGCCCCCTCGCTCTCCTGCACCTGCTTTCGTTATGTGATGTGTCCGCTCCCCTTTGCCTTTTGCCATGATTGTAAGTTTCCTGGGGTTTCCCCAGAAGTGGAGCAGATGCCAGCATTATGCTTTCTGTATAGCCAGCAGAATCATGAGCCAATTAAACCTCTTTTTAACATGAATTATTCAATCTCAAGTATTTCTTTATTGCAATGCAAGAGTGAACTAATACAGTTTGTTAAGATGGATCTATCTGGAGACAAGCAGCCATCAAATCATAAAAGACTATGGTGGTTGGTGACAGAAAGTTGTTGCTGGACAAAAATTTAAATTGGCAGTGGAACCTAGTTAAACTAAAGGGCTTTTGCACAGAAAAAAAAAAGAAATACAAATAGAATAAACAGACAACTTACAGAATGGGAGAAAATATTTACAAACTATGCATCCAACTAAGCTCTAATATCTAGAATCTAAAAGGATCCTAAACAAATCAAAAAGCAAAAAACAAATACCCCATGAAAACATGGGCAAAATACATGATGAGACACTTCTCAAAAGAAGACATACAAGCAGTCAACAAGTATATGAAAAAATGCTTGGTATCACTGATCATCAGAGAAATGCAAATCAAAACCACAATGAGATACCATCTCACACCAGTCAGAATGACTATTATCAAAAGTCAAAAAAACAAAAAACAAAAAACAAAAAACAGATGTTAGTGAGGTTGCAGAGAAAAGGGAACATTTATACACTATTGGTGGGAATGTAAATTAGTTCAGCCACTGTGGAAAGCAGTTTGGAGATTTCTCAAAGAACTTAAAACAAAGCTACCGTTTGACACAGCAATCCCATTAATGGGTATATACTCAAAGGACTATAAAATTATTCTTCTAAAAAACGCACATGCCACAGTCCCATAGCAATATTCACAATAGCAAAGACATGGAATCAATCCAGGTGCCCATCAATGATGGATTGGGTAAAGAAAATGTGGTACATGTTCATATACCATGGAATACTACACAGCCATAAAGAACAAAATCATGTCCTTTGTAGCAACATGTGTGTAGTTGAAGGACATGATCATAAGCAAATTAACACAGGAACAGAACACAAAATGCCAAATCTTCTCAATTATAAGTGGGAGCTAAACATTGAGCACACATGGACATAAACATGAGAAAAATAGACACTAGGGACTAATAGAGGAGAGAGAGACAGAGGGAATTGAGGGTGGAATAACTGCCTATTGGGTACAATGCTCAGTACCTGAGTAATGAGATCCATACCCTAAACCTCAGCATCATGCAATACATGTAACAAACATGCACATGTACCCCATGTATCAAAAGTAAAAGTTAAATTTTTTTTAAGTAGGAAAGTGGTTTGTGGCAATGAGTGGTTAGTACTGGGAAGTGGTTGGTAGGTGGGAGCTTAGGCATGGGGTGGATAATGAATGGCAAGATGCAGTGGGTGAATTGCAACTGCAGGGCAAAAGTTCAACTGTGACTTCCTTTTATTTACCAGAGTAGAGAAGAGTAGAGAATTAATATGTATCAGTATTGCTACTACTATAAATACTTTATAATCATTGTTACATTTTGATGCTCTTAATTTATGTAATTTATTCAAATTTCTGAAGGTTTTTAGTACAGTCTATAAAATAAAAGGGGCCTTTGTCATTTTTTTTTTTCTTCTAGGATTTCAAAGAAAAAGATCATGTAGCTGGAAGTCTAAAGACAGCATCTTATTCCAGAACCAGGCCTATGGAGAGACCCCAGGGATCAAGGGAGTACTTAGGAGTCAGAAAGAGAAAAATTTGATGATTCCTTGATGTCAACAGCAACTACGAAAGTGGAATATAGGGAACTTGCTGCAGCCTACCAAGAAGTGCTGTGGAAAAAGATTTGAAATCAGTGACCAGATAATGTGAGTTTTCCCTTATGGAACTGTTGAGGCTGACCACATCAGGTCCTGCCAGAGACTATATAATTTTTTCCACTTCTACAAATTGTATTGAAAATTTCAATGTGGTAATTATTAATCTAAATAATAGTTCTTATGAAAAGGCTAAAGCAAATTAGAGCATCAGAAATCTGGAAGTTAAATGATCTTCTGAAATTTGCATGATGAACTCACTGTTGTGGAAGAATAAGTAATAAAACAGCTCTACTCATGCTGATGAACAAGTGGGCAGGGGGAATGGCGAGGGATGCCATCACTAAGGAAACCGTGATCATAGAGGAATGGTGACAGCAAGAAAGCGAACACACAAGTTAAACTTTGGTTTAATAAGTAAGTAATCTAATTTCCTACTTTTGGGAGATAGTTGATGATAGAGCACTGGCAGAACCTCATTGTTGAAGTTAGAAATATAATATTTGTTAAGTATTGATTTAAAAAGTAAATGAAGTGACTTCTATAAAAGTCTGAAAGTTGTTTTGCTGCTTCTTTTCCCTTTCTGTGAGTTTTGAACTCAATCATTACAGTTCAGTAGTTTTAGACCTTCCTCTTAAGATCTAATTATTTGACATTGAATAAAATATTAACTCTGAAGCTATTTATAGAAGGATTAGACTTTTTAAAAAAGTTTTGTGGATCCAGTAGATTCTAAGCTATCGTATACTTTTATTTTTCTCCTCTGAGCTTGTATTAGTCCATTTTCAAGCTTCTGATAAAGATATACCTGAGACTGGGCACTTCACAAAAGAAAGAGATTTAATGGAATTACAGTTTCAAGTGGCTGGGAAGGCCTCACCATCATGGCAGAAGGTGAAAGGCATGTCTCACATGGCAGCAGAGAAGAGAAGAGAGCTTGTGCAGGGAAACTTGCCTTTACGAAACCACTAGATCTTGTGAGATTTTTTCACTATCATAAGAACAGCACAGGAAAGAACTGCCCCTATGATTCAAATACCTCCCACCAGGTCCCTTCCACAACACGTGGGAATTCAAGATGAGATTTGGTTGGGGACACAGGCAAACCATATCATTACACCCCTGGCCCCTCCAAAAACTCAGGTCCTCACATTTCAAAACCAATCATGCCTTCCCAACAATCCCCCAAAGCTTTAACTCATTTCAGCATTAACTCAAAAGTCAACAATCCAAAGCCTCATCTGAGACAAGGCAAGTCGCTTCCGTCTATAAGCCTATAAAATCAAAAGCAAGTTAGTTACTTCCTACATACAATGGGGGTATAGGTATTGGGTAAATGCAGCCATTCCAAATAGGAGAAATTGGCCAAAATAAGGGGGCTACAGGCCCCATGCAAGTCTGAAATCCAGAGAGGCAGTCAAATCTTAAAGCTCCAAAATGATCTCCTTTGACTCCATGTCTCACATCCAGGTTATGCTGGTGCAAGAGATGGGTTCCCATTGTCTTGGGCTGCTCTGCCCCTGTCGCTTTGCAGGGTACAGCCTCCCCCCCAGCTGGTTTCACAGGCTAGCATTGAGTATCCACATCTTTTCTAGGTGCACTGTGTAAGCTGTCAGTGGATCTACCATTCTGGGGTCTGGAGGATGGTGGCCCTCTTCTCACAGCTCCACCAGGTGGTGCCCCAGAAGGGACTCTGTGTGGAGGCTCTGACCCACGTTTCCCTTCTGCACTGCCTTAGCAGGGGTTCTCTACGAGGGACTTGCCTCTGCAGCAAACTTTTCCTGGACATACAGGTATTTCCATACATCCTCTGAAATCTAGATGGAGGTTCCCAAACTCCAATTCTTGACTTCTGTGCACTTGCAGACTCAACATCATGTGGAAGCTGCCAAGCCTTGGGGCTTGCACCCTCTGAAGCCATGGCCTGAGCTCTACATTGACCCCTTTCAGCCACGGCTGGAGTGGCTGGGACATGGCACCAAGTCCTTAGGCTGTACACAGCACGGGGACCCTGGGCCCAGACCACAAAACCATTTTCTCCTCCTAGGTCTCTGGACCTGTGATGGGAGGGGCTACTGTGAAGACCTCTGACATGCCCTGAAGACGTTGTCCCCATTATCTTGGGGATGAACATTTATCTCCTCATTATTTATGCAAATTTCTGTAGGCAGCTTGAATTTATTCTCAGAAAATGGGATTTTCTCTGTAATCCCGGCACATTGGGAGGCTGAGGCGGGTGGATCATGAGGTCAGGATATCGAGACCATCCTGGCTAACATGGTGAAACCCCATCTCTACTAAAAAGACAACAAAATAAAACTTTAGCCAGGCATGGTGGTGGGTGCCTATAGTCCCAGCTACTCAGGAGGCTGAGGCAAGAGAATGGTATGAACCTGGGAGGCGGAGCTTGCAGTGAACGGAGATGGTGCCACTGCACTTCAGCCTGGGCAAGAGAGCAAGACTCTGTCTCAAAAAAAAAAAAAAAAAAAAAAGAAAATGGGATTTTCTTATCTATCACATTTCAGGCTGCAAATTTACTGAACTTTTATGTTCTGTTTCCCTTTTAAAACTTAATACTTTTAACAGCATCCAAATCACCTCTTGAACGCTTTGCTGCTTAGAAATTTCTTCCACTGGCCAGGCGTGATGGCTCATGCCTGAAATCCCAGCACTTTGCGAGGCCAAGGCAGGTGGATCACGAGGTCAGGAGATTGAGACCATCCTGGCCAACATGGTGAAACCCTGTCTTTACTAAAAATACAAAAATTAGCTGGGTGTAGTGGCACATGCCTGTAATCCCTGCTACTCGGAGGCTGAGGCAGGAGAATTGCTTGAATCAGGGAGTCAGAGGTTGCAGTGAGCCGAGATCGTGCCACTGCACTCCAGCCTGGTGACAGAGCAAGACTCCAAAATAAATAAATACCCACACCAGATACAGTAAATCATCTCTCTCAAGTTTAAAGTTCTACTAATCTTTAGGGCAGGGGCAAAATGCCACTCACTCTCTTTGCTAAAACGTAACAAGAGTCACATTTTCTCCAGTTCCCAACAAGTTCCTCATCTCCATCTGATACTACTTCAGCCTGAATTTCATTGTCCATACCATTATCAGCATATTTGAAAGCCATTCAACAAGTCTCTAGGAAGTTCCAAATTTTCCCATATTTTTCTATCTTCTTCTGAGCCCTCCAGTCTGTTCCAACCTCTTCTGTTGCCCAGTTACAAAGTCACTTTCACATTTTCAGGTATCTTTTCAGCAGTACCCAACTCCTGGTACCAATTTATTGTATTAGTCTGTTTTCATGCTGCTGATAAAGACATACCCAAGACTGGACAATTTACAAAAGAAAGAGGTTTAACAGACTTACAGTTCCATGTAGCTGGGGAAGCCTCACAATCATGGTGTGAGATTAAAGGCACATCTCACATGGCGGCAGACAAGAGAAGAAAGGTTGTGCAGGGAAACTCCCTTTTATGAAGCCATCAGATCTCACTATTATGAGAACAGTATGGGAAAGACCTGCCCCCATGATGCAATTACCTCCTGCCGAGTCCCTCCCACAAAATGTGGAAATTCAAGATAAGATTTGGGTGGGGACATAGCTAAACCATATCAGAGCTATTCTGCCAACTCTTCTGAAAACTTCCCCCTCCCCCAGAACAAGAACACTCAAGGTAAAAAAAAAAAAAAATACACCTACACACTGCCAGCCTCAAAACATATTTTAATCTAGAGGTAGCTGCCATGGTCTGATTACTTGTGTCCCCTCAAAATTCACATGTTGAAATTCAATCCTAATTGCAGTGGTATTGGGAAGTGAGACCTTTGGAAGTTGATTGGGTCTGCAGCCTCAGGAACTGGATCAGTGCCTGTATAAAAGAAGCCTGAGGGAACCCATTCACCCCTTCTGCCACATGAGAACATAGCAAGAAGGCTCCATCTATGAGAAAGGGCCCTTATCACACATCAAATCTGCTGGCACCTTGAACTTGGACTTCCCAGAATCCAGAACTGTGAGCAATAAATTTTATTGCTTATAAATTACCTAGTCTAAAGTATTTTGCTACAGCAGCTTGAATGGCTAAGTCAGTAACCCAGGGTGTATACTCAGTTCTTTTGCTGGAATAATTAACTGGTACTTCTTACCAGTTGGTAATCAATTGGTACTTCTTACCAATGATGTCAATAAGATATCACTTTGCCTCATGGGCACATACATCTTTTCACTATAGTTTTTCTGCTTAAGCATCTTCATATTATGTTTTTGCTGGTTTGACTACATATTTCACTTCATGGTAATGACACATGTGATAAACAACCATGTAATTTATTATGATAAATGTTACTTAACTAGATTACAACATTCTACTTTGAGATTTAAAAACATATTTACATTAAGGTATATTATTATGTTAGTTATCTAAAATGAGGAATTCTTGCCAGAACTCTAAGACACTTTGTTTAGATGAGTTTCTTTCCTTCAGAAACATGAATAGTTTACTGTTTCAATAGAATAAAGGGGTCTTTTTATTAAGGAGCATAGACTCTTGTTTATTCTTCGAACGCTTTATCTAAAAGTATAGCACAAGCTAAGCCAACAAAGCAGTATTATATCTATTGCAACTTTCATTAAACTTTACTTAGAAAATCTTACATCATTAAAACATAAATATATTTCTTTTTGATTTTTAAATTCACTGTTTTTGTTGTAATAAAAATTTGGAGGGAAATAATTTTCTAAACTTAATGCATTTTTAAAAATTTATCAGTGAATATTTTGTTGCCTATCTGTGGTTTTGAAGGTATAGCACTTTATTTGAGCTAAGAATAAGTAATCTTTATAAAAATATATTTTCACAATTTTAAAATTAACTTTTAAAGTATCAAATAAGTGGTTTATGATTTTTATGAATATAGGCCTAATATATTGCTATGGTAGCAGTAAATTACTATAATTTTATACTGATTGCCATAATAATATATTTGTTTTGTCAGACCAAATTTACTTGGTTATTACAACCTATCAAATCAAATAGCTCTATTTGTTGAATACTAAATATAAGGTTTTTAATAAACTTATTAGTTTCTATTTAAAAAAGAACCATCATTTTACTTTTTATATGCTTAAGTCATTTTAATTAGGGTCCCTATTTATTTCCTAAAGTATCAGTCGGTAAGTGAATTACTAATAACAATATTGGCTAGTCAGCTAATTTAGCTATTAAATTAAATTAGTGGGTCCTTCTGTTGTCATAGTTTTAGCACATGAAATTCTGCTCACCATATCCCCTTTGGACTTTTCCCTCTCTCCCTTAAATAATTCACGCATATCATTCTTCTTAGAGAGCATTCTAACTAAGATACTAATGTCCTCTTCAATTCTTAGGTTTAACCTTCCAGTGACTGTACCTAATTCTTCCATCTCTTTATTCTCTGAGGTGGAAATATCATCATCTCCTTATAACCTTTTCTTCAATCAGACTCTGCTTATATTTCCTTCTTGGTTAGCTTAGTTATATCTTTTTAATTTCATGCCAGAAAACTTCCAATAATGCTATTTCATACTATACAACTTGAATGAGACAGGACATTTGTAGATCTGATTTTCATTCACAGCTTTCATTAAACTCTGATTTAAAGATTATATTCTTATTCATGGATTTAGAGTTGCCCTTAAATAGAAGAGCTGAAATAGATCATCTTTTTTTTTTTGTTTGAGACGGAGTCTCTCTCTGTCGCCCAGGCTGGAGTGCAGTGGCGTGATCTCGGCTCACTGCAACCTCTGCCCCCTGGGTTCACGCCATTCTCCTTCCTCAGCCTCCTGAGTAGCTGGGACTACAGGCACCTGCCACCATGCCTGGATAATTTTTTTTTGTACTTTTTAATAGAGACAGGGTTGCACCATGTTAGCCAGGATGGTCTTGATCTCCTGACCTCGTGATCCGCCCGCCTCAGCCTCCCAAAGTGCTGGGATTACAGGCGTGAGCCACCACGCCTGGCTGAAATAGATCATCTTTAAAATCTTTGTAACTTTCACTGTGTTGAGTATACAAGTATCAATAGGCCTGAATATACTGAGCTTCCTAAAAGTGAATGTACTGGAACCAAAATAACTCATTGTTTGGATTATTTCAACTCTATGTTCCAGAAGTTCTTTGGGAAAATTCTCTAAACAGTGCTTGGGAATGGCTTCTCAGTGGGCAGCTGCCTCACGCTCCCCCATCACACATACACACACACACACACACACACACACACACACACACACACATTGTGACTACAATTTCCTTCTGCTGAACATAGATATGGCTAATATTTTTGAACAATATTCTTTTGAAGGTGGGCCAATGTCACTTGATACTGTGGGAAGATTGCCTAAAGTTATCAAATCCATTTATTGAAGTTTCTTTGCTTAGAATATGCATGTTGGCAAATATATCTTGGGGAGAAATTTAGCCTTTCTATCTCAAACTAAGTAAAGGAACATGTGTCTAGATTTCATCAGGAGCAATAATTCCTACTACAGTGAAGTTCATTATAAGCATCAGAGTACTCAGTCTCTTTGCTGAAATAGTCAACTGGCATTTCTTACCATACTTTTTCTTTGTGAGTTATAGTACACCCTCTCTGAAGTATGCCCCAAAGATGATAAATGCGAGCTTTGGGTTAAGAAAGGTTCAAACAGTTAGAATAAAGAATTCCTCTTTTAACAGAAGGCAACTATCAGAACAGGTAAAATCTAGGTATGTTCTGCCATCGTATATAATGGGGGGAATAAAGACTGTATGAATGTTTCTATTGTTCTTTGACCCTCAATAGGCATGTCTTTAGAACAGAACAAGATTGAAGAATACAATCCAACTTAGAAGCGGATATATTTCTGCATATGGAATACCCTACGGCACCCTATGGAAACATGGAACAAACAGATTTTCCTCTATCTCACTGATAAAAAATTAAGAAAAACACACAATAATTATGCAAAAATGAGAGTTTAGTACCAGGAAATAATTTTCTGATAATAATCAAGAGGTTAAGAAAATTTATGACGTTATTATGAATAATTAATGTAGGTCTCAATATTTTATAATAATAATAAAAAGGGGGAGTGGCCAAGATGGTCAACTAGAGGCAACTAGTGTGTGTGACTCTTATGGAGAGAAACAGAGGGGCAAGTAAATACAGCACTTTTAACTGAAACATTCGGGTACATACATTGGGACTAATCAAGGAAACTACCAGACCCACGAAGAATGGAAAAAAGCAAGGCAGGATGATAGCCCACTCAGGAGCAACATGGAGCCAGGGGAACTTCCCCCACCCAGGGAAGTCGTGATTGAATGTGAAACCCCAGGAACTCATGCTTCTCTGACAGATCTATGCAACCTTATGTCAGGAGATCTCTCTGTGAACCCACTCCACCAGGACCTTCAGATTGAAGGTCCAAAACTATATGGAGTCTCAACAGAGCAGCTATTCAAGCACATGTGGAGACCCAAGAGCCTTAGAAATGCAGGCTTTCCAGGCCTGCTTGCAAAATAGCTGCAACTCCAGCAAAGTGGGAGTTTAGACCCCTGTACATATCCCTAGGAAAGGAGTTAAATCCAGGGGGCTGAGCAGTGACAGTTTGCAGGCTTCACTTCCATGGCACCTCACAGGATAAGACCCACTGGCTTGGAATTCCAGACAGCCACCAGTAGCAGCTTTATCTCTCCCTACAAAAACTTGGCCAGAATGCTTGTTTAAGCAGGTCCCCAACCCTTTGCTCCTCACTGGGTGGTACCTCCCAGCCAGGGTCTCCAGCCACCCCCAATGGTGTTTTCAGGTGAACAGAGATTTGAAGCCACCCTGGGACAGAGCTTCCAGAGGAAGGGGCAGACCACCATCTTTGTTGTTAGGGTGACCTACCTGTTCCAGCCTTTAGGCTTTGGAGATTTCAAGCTGATTGGGAGTAGAAATGGACCCCCAGCACACCATAGCTGCTCTATAAAACATGGCCAGATGGCTTTTATAAGTGAGTCCCCAAACCCATTCCTCCTCACTGGGTGGGACCTCCAAATGGGGTCTCTAATCACCTCCTACAGGTGCATTTGGGCAGGACACAGGTCCATAGCTCCCTGGAATGGAGCTCCCAGAGGGAGGGGCAGGCTGCCATCTTTGCTGTTTCACAGCCTTCACTGATGATATCTCCAGGTGAAAGTCTGAGGTGACTAGGGACTGGATGGGACCCCCAGCATACCACAGCAGCCCTACAGAAAATTGTCCAGATTGTCACATGGGTGCCCATTTCCATATCTCCTCACGAGGCAAGGACTCCAGGCCTGGGCCTCCAGGCATGCTCCCTTTTAGAGCTATGGAGCCAGTAGCGGTTCTGCAACTCCCTAGACAGTGTCTCCAGGAGCACTCCAATTCCTCTGCAGTAGAATTGCCCTTGCTACCCTCGGACTAATGAAGGAGCAAAGACCCTAAGTGCTTTACCCACTCCTCCAACAAGCTGCAGTCTGACCCAAAGAGAGCAGGCCAGCCCATCTCCCATGGGTACCACCGTCCCCCCACTCATCACCAGACAGGGAATCCCCAGCTTTGATGACAGCATAAACCCTCCATCCTTAGTTGAGTATACTGAGTGATTGCTGGCCTGCATCTTTCTTGGGGGAGCCCCCTGGAAAAAAACAAAAGACCCTTGACCACAACCACTACTAAGGTCCCTTCCTCTGCTGCCTCCATGTTGGGGAAGGATCATGAACACTGAGATCACCCTGGAGCTGCAGTGGGCAGCCCAGGAGTGCTAAGCTGTGATGTACAGCCAACACTCAAGGGCAAGAGGAATTCACACATTCAGACCATTGAGAGGGAATACAATTTCAACTGTGAGGAAACACAGGAAACACAACTGAGGAAGGGTCTACCAACTGACCAGTGTACCTAAGTGCCACCTAATGGATCACACCCCAAAGCTTCAACACCAAAAATGGCTTGCTAACATATTCCCATCTAAAACCAAAAATGAGAAGTCAGCTTCAAATAGACCCTGCACAAAGCCTCGTCCCTGTGAAAAGACTCAGAAAAGAAATCTACTGACTACAAGAGATTCAGTGTACACTGCAGTTAAAGGTACACCCACATGCAGAGATGAAAAGGAACAAACACAAGAACTCTGGTAACTCAAATGGCCAGAGTGTCATATGTCTTCCAAATGACTATACCAGTTCTCCAACAAGAGTTCTTAACCAGGCTGAGCTGGGTGAAATGACATAAATAAAATTCAAAATGTGGATAGGAATGAAGATCATCGAGATTCAGGAAAACAGCAAAACCCAACCAAGGAAACTACTAACAACATTAAAACAATATAGGAACTGAAGGATGAAACAGCCAGTATAAAAAAGAACCTATCGGATCTGACAGAGCTGAATAACACAATAGAAAAATTTCACAATAAAATCACAAGTATTAACAGCAGAATAAACCAATGAGGAAAGAAACTGAACTTGAAGACTGGCTTACTGAAACAAGACAGACACAAAATTTTTAAAAAGAATAAAAAGGAATAAACAAAACCTCTAAGAAGTATGGAATTATGTAAAGAGGCCAAATCTACAAATCACTGGCATTCCTGAAAGGGAGGGGCAGAAAACAAGCAACTTGGAAAACATATTTCAGGATACCATTCATGAAATATTCCCCAACATTGCTAGAGAAGCCAACAGTCCAATTCAGAAAATACAGAGAACTCCTGCAATATTCTGCACAAGAATATCATCCCCAAGACACACAATTATCAGATTTTCCAAGGCTGAAATGACAAAAGAAAGAATGTTAAAAGCAGTTAGAAAGAAAAGGCAGGTCACCTACAAAGGGAACCCCATCAAGCTACCAGCAGACCTCTCAGCTGAAACCCTGCAAGCCAGAAGAGATTGAGGGCCTATATTCAATGTTCTTAAAAAAAAAAAAAAATCTTAAACCAAAAATTTTATAACCAGCTAAACTAAATTTCTTAGGTGAGGGAGAAATAAAATTCTTTTATGATAAGCAAATGTTGAGGGTGTTTGTTACCAACAGACCTGCTTTACAGGAGATCTTGAAAGGAGCACTAAATATAGAAAGAAAAGAAAGCCCACTACCAGCTAATACAAAAACACACTTAAATACACAGACCAGTGATGCTATAAAGCAACCATGCAAACAAGCCAGCCCAATAACAAGCTAACAACACAATGATAAGATCAAATCCACACATATCAATACTAACCTCAAATTTAAACGTGATAAATGCCCCCACTTAAAAAGCAGGGTGGCAAGCTAGACAGAAAATGGCAAGCTATGACTCAATGGTGTGCTGTCTACAGGAGACTCAGCTCACATGTAATGACACCCATAGGATCAAAATAAAGAGATGGGGAAAAATCTACCAAGAAAATGGAAAACAGAAAAAAGCAGGGGTTGCAAGCCTAATTTTAGACAAAACAAACTTTAAGCCAACAAAGATAAAAAAAAAGAGGCAGAAGGGCATTATATAATGGTAAAGTGTTCAATTCATCAAGAAGACCTAACTATCAAATATATATGCACCTAACACAGGAGTACCCAGATTTGTAAAGCAAGCTCTTAGAGATCCACAAAGAAACATAGACTCCCACATAATAATAGTGGGAAACTTCAACACTCCACTAACAGTATTAGACAGATCATCAAGGCAAAAAATTAACAAAGATACTTTGGACCTGAATTCAACATTGGAACAAATGGATCTGATAGACAGATCTCTACAGAACTCTCCACCCTAAAACAATAGGATAAACATTCTTCTAATCATAATATGGCACATACTCTAAAACTGACCATGTACTTGGACATAAAACAATCCTCAGCAAATGCAAAGGAACCAAAATCATACCAAATGCACCCACAAGCCACAGCACAATAAAAGTAGAAATTGAGACTAAGAACATTGCTCAACACTATGCAATTAAATGGAAATTAAACAACATGCTCCTGAATGAATTTTGGGTAAATAATGAAATTAAGGCAGAAATCGAGAAATTCTTTGAAACCAATGAGAACAAAGATACAACATATCAGAGTATCTGAAACACAGCTAAAGCAGTGTTAAGAGGGAAAATTATAGTATTAAATGCCTATCAGAAAGTTAGAAATATCTCAAATTAACAGCCTAACATCGCAACTGAAAGAATTAGAGAAGCAAGAGCCAATCAACCCCAAAGCTAGCAGGAGACAAGAAATAACCAAAATTAGATCTGAACTGAAGGAAATCGAGACACACACACACACACACACACACACACACACACACAAAACAACATTCAAAAGATCAATGAATCCAGGAATTGGTTTTTGAAAACATTAACAAATAGATAGGCTGCTAGCTAGACTAATAAAGAAGAAAAAAGAGGAGATCCAAATGACCACAATTGGAAATGATAAAGGGAATGTTACCAGTGACCCAAAGAAATAAAAATAGCTATCAGAAACTACTATGAACACCTCTATGCACACAAACTAGAAAACTAGAAGTAATGGATAAATTTCTGGACACATACACCCTCCCAAGGCTGAACCAGGAAGAAATTGATTCCCTTAACAGATCAATGATGAGTTCTGAAACTGAATCGGTAATAAATATCCTATGAACCAAAAAAAGCCCAGGACCTGATGGATTCACAGCCGAACTCTACCAGATATACAAAGAGGTGGTACATTCCTACTGAAACTATCCAAAAAATTGAGAAGGGAGTCCTCCCCAGCTCATTCTATGAGGCCAGTATCATCTTGATACCAAAGGCTGACAGAGACACAATAACAAAAAAAAGAAAACTTCAAGCAAATATCTTTAATGAACATTGATGCAAAAATCTTCAACAAAATACTGGCAAACCAAATCCAGCAGCACATCAAAAAGCTAATCTACCATGATTAAGTAGACTTCATCCCTGGGAAGCCAGGTTGGCTCAACTTACACAAATCAATAAATGTGGCTCATAACATAAACAGAACTAAAGACAAAAACTGCATGATTATCTAAATAGATGCAGAAAAGGCTTGTGATAAAATTCAATATCCCTTCATATTAAAAACTCTCAATAAACTATGTACTAAAGGAACATACCGCTGAATAATAAGAGCAATCTATGACAAACCCACAGCCAACATCCTACTTAATGGGCAAAAGCTGGAAGCATTCCTCTTAAAAACCAGCACAAGACAAGGATGCCCTCTTGTCACCACTCCTATTCAACATAGTATTGGAAGTCCTAGCCAGAGAAATCAGGCAAGAGAAAGAAATAAAAGGCAACCAAATAGGAAAAGAGGAAGTCAAAAATTATCCCTGTTTGCAAATGACATAATTTTATATCTGGAAAACTCAGTAGTCTTGGCCCAAAAGCTCCTTCAGCTAAAAAATTTCAGCAAAGATACAGGATACAAAATTAATGTACAAAAATCACTAGCATTTCTGTACACCACCAACAGCCAATCCAAGAGCAAAATTAGGAAGGAAGTCCCATTCACAAACGCCACAAAAAGAATAAAATACCTAGGAATACAGCTAACCCGGGCGGAGGGCGGGGGCGGGTGAAAGATCTCTACAATGAGAATTACAAAACACTGCTGAAACAAAGACACAAAGAAATGCAAAAACATCACATGTTTATGGATAGGAAGTATCAATATCATTAAAATGGCCTTACTGCCCAAAGCAATCTAGAGATGAAATGCTATTCCCATCAATGACATTCTTGACAGAACTAGAAAAACCTATTGTAAAATTCACATGGAACCAAAAAAAAGAGCCCTAATGGGCAATAATAAGGCAATTCTAAGCAAAAGGAACAAAGCTGGAGTCATCACACTATCCAGCTTTATACTACAGGGTTACAGTAACCAAAAGAGCATGGTACTGGTACAAAAACAAACGCATAGATCAATGGAAAGGATAGAGAGCCAAGATCAGACTATCTGATCTTTGACACAGCTGACAAAACAACCAATAGGAAAGAGGCTCCCTGTTTAATAAATTGTGCTGGGATAACTGGCTGGCCAAACTCAGAAGATTGAAGCTGGACTCCTTTCTTACACAACATAAAAAACAACTCAAGATGGATTAAAGACTTGAAAGTAAAACCTAATACTATAAAAACCCTGGAAGACCCACCTAGGGAATACCATCCTGACATAAGAATAGGCAAAGAAGACACCAAAAGCAATTGCAACAAAAGCAAAAATTGACAAATGGGATCTAAAATGAAACTAAAGAGCTTCTGCACAGCCAAATAAACTATTAAAAGAATAGTCAACCTATAGAATGGGAGAAAAAGGTGTAAACTATACATCTGACAAAGAGTATCTCACAACTATAAAGGAACTTATAAGAGAAAAACAACCTCATTAAAAAGTGGGCAAAGGATATGAACAGACACTTTCAAAAGAAGACATACATGCGGCCAAAAAACATGTGAAAAAAAAAAGCTCAATATCACCGATTATAAGAGAAATACAAATCAAAACCACAATGGGATACCATCTCACACCAGTAAGAACCATTATTATTAATATTAAAAAGTCACACACACACACACACACACACACACACACACACTTAATCATATAAGAAAATATATTGGGGAACTTTCATATTATTATTTAGAATAAATCAGGCACATACAAAGTGAGCTGATGACCAGATCTAGGCCTAACATATTTGATAACTGACTGAAAACTAAGCAAATGATAAAATAGATAGAACTTACTAATTTTACTATACCCTGCCTCTATGCAAAATAAAATTAAATATTCAGAAATATACATATTTTTATCAATTTAAATACAAATGTTTAAAAATTAATAAAACCTACATTTTTTTCTTCTGAATTTTTCCATATTGAATTTTCCATGGGTCAGATTAAATAAATCATTGCTACAGCTCCATGTACCCTTTATATAAAATTCCACAAATACATATTTAGTCTTTTCAACTATGCTTTGTATAAAGACAGGCACATTTGTACAGAATTAATAATGCCACACTATATACAAAGAGGACTATAGTGACTAAAATCATACATTTTTATTCAGAATTTTTGACATTCTTCTTAATTATACTTATGTACGTTTCTAACTCAATTGAATTCTTTTCTTTTTTTTTTAATTCCATAAATGGTGTATCCCTGTTAGCTTTCACTATGGCAATATCCCTGTTCTCCGTTTAGGAACACATAAATTGCATATTGTAACACGAGAAGAACCATCATTCAGCTGAATACATATTTTCATGGATTAATGGTATTTTTCAAACAAAAATATGTTCTCTATTACAGGGAAGATAACAAATTTGAAGCAAACATCTCCTGTCATCCTAGTGGTAATTACCTATACCTAACCCAGTTCAGTTTGCTAATTGGCTGCCCTGGAATAAAAATTCCTGTAAACACCAGTGTAATCTCACAGTATGTTTATATAGTCAGCCTGAACTGAAAAGCCATCAGCAGATCCAGTGAATTGAAAATAAGAAGAAAAAGTAAATATAAGAATGATGAGAGCTACTTGGGGTAAACTAAAATTTCACTTGTCTGGGCCATTTTCATCATGTCTATAAGCCTCAGTAGTAGTAGGAAATACCTTTTAAATCTGTTAAGTTGGTGCAAAAGTAATTGCTATTACTTTAATGGCAAAAGCTGCAATTACTTTTGCACCAGCCTATGGACGGTATATTAGCATATGCATTTAAGAATATGTAATGAGCTTTACCTAATTGAAATATATATATATATATATATATTTTAAAGCTCAATTCCTAAAAATTATAATTTAGAAATTTAGTTGGAACAATTTTGGTTTCAATCTATGTGTTTGTTCAGCACATATATAGATTCAGGAAGAAATATTTTATTTGTAAAAATATGACATGTCGCACAAGACATACCTTAAAAACAGATAAGAAAAACATTCTATCTTTACTTATATTCCACTCAAAACATATTATCAGAACATTCTAAAGCTTCCATAATTTAGTTGGTATATTAAAACAATTTACCAAATTGTTAAATACAGATTTTTAAAAAATAATAAAATACAATTCAGTTATTTACTCAAAGATCCAGGATACAAATCTGACCAAATGATTATTGGCATCTAAATGTTGAATTCTATAGGAGAAACAGACATATAAACAAACAATGGCAAACAGTGTAATAAATGCTAAAAAGAATACCAAAAAAAAGAAAAGATATGATAGGAGAGCAAGTAAAGCTGCATTTAAATACGTTGGGGGAAATCAGAGTGGTAGCATTTGAGTCTGTGTCAGAAAAGTAAATTCTACTTTACTTTAAATAAACTGTATTAAATGTAATTGTTTAGATAGGCTTCTACCTTTTCAGAAATGCTTATTATAGTCTTTATTATGAATAGAAACTTTTAACATAACATGATTACAAATAGTTGAACCATGCAACAGACTACCATCTAGTTCTTTCTAAATAATGCCTCTCTTGAAAAAATGCTTCTCTAGATTCAATTTATTCATGAAGCAGCATGTGTTTATTTCAAAGTCTGTCATTCCTGAAAGATACAGGCCCAAGCCTGTTTTGTTTGTGACGGCTAATAATATCCCAGAATTGAAAAGAACTATTATTTTTATATTAGTTATGCTCTGTCCCTGTTTGGTGAATTAAGTCCCAAGCTTTGAAAGTCTTACTTCATGAGCTAGCTTAACTTTTGGTCATCAAAGGCAATTTAGCTGCAGAGAAACTTAGCTAGCAGTTGTCTTTAAACCTACGGTTGATGCCTGAGGAAAGAGGGAAAAGTAGACTGTTTCTAATTTGAATGGGATATGGGTGGTGGGCAAGAGTCCTAGTGCAAAAGAGTGAGACTTAGAAAGGCTCTTGTGAAAACTGTATTTACTTAACAGGAGACTTAGTAAGAGATTTATTTGAGAAGGTGGAAGTTTCAAATTGAAGGATGGGCCATATCACCCAGATGGTAGTAATCCTCGCTCCTGGTAGTACTTCTTCTTTACTGGGAGGAGTGGAAGAGAAATGATCTTCAAGGAAATTCTAGTTGGGTAAGTCTCCTGGGAACAGTATCAGTGATGACCCAAGTATCAAGGTACCCTGGGTACCTAGAGAGACACGGCCTGAATCAGTGAAACCATTTCAATTGCATAGAAACCCAAAGAAGATGATGATCTGGTTCTTGGTGGCTGCCTAGGCAATCCTATTTGTTTAAAAGCTCTTTAAAGCTCACTGACATTGTAAAATACCAAAGGCAAAATCACTTAGTTCATTTTAAACTTGAAAGATGGGTTGGGGGATAATTTGAATACTTTCATCTTAGTGGAGAGTTGTAAATCAATCTAGTACTTAAAACATGAAAGGAAATTATTTCATTGCAGAAATTCTCTTAATTTTGTAGTTCTGTGGATGAAAGGGCTTTGCATAGAAACTTTGAATATTGACATAGAACTACTAGCATAAAAATATTTATAAACATAATTCTTTCATAGGGCTTTTAAAATATACAAATCAAATTGGGTAGCTTTTTGACTACCTTGTAAGCAACAGGGTTGCAAAAGGGAGTAATTTAAAGGTTTTCATTATCTAATCCTCATGATCCTTAAAGGTAATAATGGAGTAAGTTTCAGTACAAGAAATAATCTTAATAGGCCAGACTTGAAAATTGCAATAAACATGATGGGACTGTGTGGATGGCAAAGGATTCTTAGCAAGATATAACAGGGTAGAATTAGTGTTAGAGCAATTATTTTAGCTGTATGCTCATTTTCTTTGTGTAATTTTATGGCCTTAATCACTCGTAAGCAAATTCAGTCATGAGGCAATGCCCTTGGTAGTGAGTTAGACTTAGTAATATTGGCAGTGCATGGTGGATGAAAACTTTTCATACATGGCTTCTTCCTTCACAAAGGAAGTTTTCTATAGCTTTTTACTTGGGATTTTTTTTTTTTCAGCTCAACAAAAGGATGGAGATCTGGCTTTTGAAAATAAACCCTTGGAAGGAGCCATAGAGAGATGCCAACTAGCTTAGGCCTGTTTTCTCATCCACAAAGAAATGAATTTATTTGCTTTTCCTTCATGCTGAACAATACATGTGTGGAAATAGATCCCAGGTTCATGAGAAATGGAAATTGAATTGGATTATTAATCAGCGTTCTGAGCTATGCCTGGGAATGTTCTGAATGTACTATATTGAGCACAAATACACACAAAAAAATACAAAAGAATTAGTTTGTAAATACAGGTGTGGGTGGCAGTTTCATGTCAGTGGGCCAAGATTGGTCTGATGAAATGTTTCACTAAAGTGATTATCACAAAACAGAATGATTTTTACAGTGAAAAAAGTTTTAGACAAAACCCTATGTGAATAATATTAACTTGAGAACACTACGAATTTCTTTAGACTTAGATTCCAGCTGACACATGCTTCGAGTATTCCACATTCTCACATTATTTTATTTATGCCTCTTACCATATAGTATTACCTATTTAAATATCTTTTTCTGTCATTAGACTGTAAGCTCCTCAGGGATAAGAACTAACTTTTATTGATTTTTGTATTTTCAACATCTGCCCAATGCCTGGTACATCCAGTATTTAAAAAAAAATTGACCTCAATACAAATAGGACATAGTGAGTTTATTGTTTGCTAAATAAATGACTTAACAGAGTTTTGAGGGGCAGAAAAATATTTATTATCTTAGGCCATTTATAAGTTAGGCAGCATATTATTTTCCAAAATATTCTCACATTCTCTCTGCTCAGAGACAATCTAGAAATTTTATATTAAAATCTTTAGTTAAGATACTTATGCTAAGGAAACTACCTGAGCAAAGAAGGTTGTAAGAAATGTAGACAGGATTGGGGAAATATGGAAACAGCCTTCAGAGCATGGATTTAGCAGAAGTATTTTCATCATACCATAAAAATTCTAACAAGTACAGATTCACTTGTTAGATTATTATTGAACTCAAGTAAAGAGAATGCATGCATGCATAAACTAATTGAGCTACTTGCAACATTCTTCATGGTGTCCTAATAGATAATATGGAAATGAGTAAAAGACAGGCTGGACATGGTGGCTCATGCTTGCAAACCCAGCATTTTGGGAGACTGAGGCAGGAAGATCACTTGAGTCCAGGAGTTTAAGATCAGCCTGGACAACACAGTGAGACCCTGTCTCTAAGAAAAAATAAAAATAAATAAATAAATAAACTTGGAAAAGATAATAGAGTTAAATGGTTTGTAAGTGGATTAACCACTACACATAATGGACATCAGCTTTAAAAGAGGTCATGTATTTTATGCCATAGACTCTATCTTTGTGTCTTCTTTCACATTTGTAATTAATGTTGATGATTCCAACTTAACAAAATTTAAAAAAACACAAAATTGGGAAGGAACATCAGTACAGTGTATTCATGATGGATTCATAATATTGACAGTCTGATCAAATATAACACTATAAAGAGAAGGGCTTTATTTTAAAATACATATATAAAGATAAGTACTGGGCTCTATTTGGGAGTTAATGAGTTCAATTTAAGTCATAGCATAATGTTAAATGAACTAACACATTATTCCCTTGCATCATATTTTCAGTGGGGACATTTTAGTCTTCCATGTTTAAGATAGAAGATACTGTGTATGCTATTACTGTCTGGGTGCCACACCAGAAAGAATATTGCAAATGACAGAGCTTGCTCAAAAGAGAAGATCTGGGGTTAAGAACAACAACAACAAAACATGTCCTCTGAGCGTGATCAGTAGCAAAAAAGAGAAAATGTAAAATCTATTTGAAAAGGCAAATGCTATCTTATAGGCCTAGAATCAATCAATTCTTTCACTCTGATTCCAAAAGCCTTAGAAGCCATCACATGAGCTTCCCTCTCTGCGACACCAGGAGGCTCTATGCCCGTGTTGACATTAGAGTTTCAAAGTTTATGGCCAGAGCATTGCAATGTGTTTTGCAACCCTGGTCTTTGCATCATGCTCATCACAGAGGATTTCACTGTGAACATCTCACTGTTGAGAAAAGAAAAATAACTCAGAGCAGTCTGACTCTGTAGGGTACCCAGGTCAGAAAAGACATGAGCATAATCTGGTCTCCTTTCCGTTGCCTGGGAGCGATTGTTTAAAATCATTTTGTTCCCGATTAGCGACCTTACCCATTATCTTCATGTTTTGGGGATTTGTGACACGAAAAACAACATATAGCCAATGAATAGCTTTTGATATTTTAATGTAAATTATTGGAGAACAACTTAGGAACTGCCTTTTATTTTAATTTAAAAACCTACTTATTGCTATTGCTAATCAGAGTGTATATTCAGGACAACTTGAATCTATGCTCCAGGGTTGCAATCCTCAAGCTTGGCCCAAATAAACTCTCTACCTATATTAGTTTTGCTTCAACTTCTTTCTTTCAGTTTGACACTGTTTTTGTATTATCTACTGAACCTTACTCTCTCATGGAACTGTGCTTCCTCTTACCCTACTTCCCACGCCTTTCAAATATACTTTTCGAATTACTAGTCTAACATTTAAAAATATCCATCATACAAAAAGCTGGCTCTTCTTAACAATGTCCCTAATACTTGTGGAGCAGCCCAATAGGTTCATCTTTTCAGTCATGCAGAAAAGCCAATGTACTGAGAACAGCAGGTATTGCAGCAAAGGAAAAGTTTAATTATCATAGGGACAGCCAAGCAGGGGAACAGGAGACATTTCTCAAATCTACCTTCCTGAGAATTCAGAGGCTAAGATTTTTCAAGGATAGTTTGGCAGGCAGGGGGCTAGCAATTGAGAATGCTGATTGGTTGGATGAGGATGAAATCCTAGAGGGTCAAAAATGGACTTTACATCGTGGGTCAGTTTCTGGATAGGGGCCTAAAGACCAGTTGAGTCAGTTTCTTAGTGTGAATCACAGGTCTGGGTGAGTCCAAACAGAGTCAGGTGGTAACCAGAATGCAAAAGCCTAAAAAATATCTCAAAGGCTAATCTCAGGATTTACAATAGAGATATAATCTATAGGAGCAACTGAGGAAGTTACAAATCTTGTGGCCTCTGGCTGCTTAACCCCTGAGCAGTAAGGAATCATAAAAAAGCAAGCTAGAAGACAATGTCTGCTTATCGTTCAGCTACATCTACATTTTAGCAGAATTCTGACCCCTCTTGTAATCCTAACCTCGTGGACTTCCATTCATCTTACAAAGGCAAGTTTCAGTCCCTGAGCAAGGATGTGATTAGTTTGAGGAAAGGACTGTTATCATCTTTGTTTTAACGTTAACAAATGCAGTTAGCTTGTGAGGTTAGAAGCAAGATGGAGTAAGTGATATCAGATTTCTCTCACTGTCATAAGTTTTGCAAAGGCAGCTTCATTTGATTTCTACCTCCCTTACTAGAAGAAAACTCTTCTATTAAAGCATCCCATTAAGAAGATACTTCTTCACACATAAGCCATAAGAACCAAAAGTGCAATTATTATTCTTGATTTCAAAATTCTCACTTTCTACTCTCTTGTAAAATTCTCTCTTCATTTGAAATTCACAGGCTCTGAGCATATTGCTGTTTATTTTTCCTCTTTACAATTTAATCAAAAAATCTTTGTATCACTCTCTCATATCAATTAAAGTTCTTGGCATCGGAATCAGTGTTTTTCTCTATCTCATGTACTATAATCAGTCATAGTAATTTCGAAGACCAGAGAAGGAAATAACTATAGATCTCATCTCATAAATTCACAATTGCTTTAAATTCAATCAACTTCTGTTTGATTATACTTCTTTCTTTATATTAAGGGATTCACTTTGGACCTTCTTATCACAAAAAATATGTCTCAGCAGAAACCAGGAACCTCAAAATGTTTATCTCCTAACATTGTAGTTCCTCAGACCCTCACTTTCATGGCCTACTCTTTGATTTTATAGAGATATCTGGAGTTATTTTTTTCCAGTGTATTAGTCTCATCTTGAACTTTCCTCTCTGACCGAAATTGCTGCTTTGCTAGTCACTGGGACTCATTTGAACAAGTGTTTTCACCCTCTTCACACACACATCTGCTACTACTGAAGAAAATCATAGAATTGCATATATTTGGGTCACTATATATTAATAGAATTTTATTTCATCTGAACTCCAGAAACATTCAACAATTTTTGTTTTCCTTGGTCAGTTACCTTTTTCTTTCTGTTAAGAACCTTTCATGTACTCATCCTTCCATTTAGATTTTCTGAATAAGCTAAACCTCACACATAACAAACTTACTTTCAGTCTTTAAATAAAATTGAGGTCATCAGGCATGAACTATTCCAACTCCCTTTCCCCTTCATACAACATTATTTATAACTGCATGTGCTCTTTCTTTATTCTCAGATAAGAATAAGAGGTTGTATTCTTCCTTTAAATGTCAAGTAACTTATCTCTACCCATCATCTCCTGTCTTTTCTAGCATATTTGTCCATCAAGGTTATCTACTTTCTCTTATGTATTTAACTGCTGCAATCTCTATTGGGTCTTTGTCTCTATATGCATACTCAAGGCACACAATCTTAAGCACTCTTTCCAGTGACCCAATTGATACCAATGTATCTCTCCAGAGTTTTTCGCTGACCTCTTAATTCATTCTTTTTAGTCACTTTTTTGGCTCTGCCATCAGGTTTCTGACCCTGGATTCTCAGTCTTTTCTTTCCATGCACATACCCTCTTTTGCAATATCAACACTCTTGATTTTAACCATGCCCTATAGGCTCAATAGCCTCAAATGTGCATCTCCAGATTAGATACTGAACTTACCTTCAGAATAGTTAAAAACCTACTTATTACTATTGTGACAAATTTCACATAATCTACCTACTACTCATATACAAAAACCTCACTTAATGAACCCTCTGTCTACAGAGATACTGAGTCCTGACATCTTTGAGTCAGCTTAGGCCCTGCTGTCTACTCATACCTAATTCATCAAATCCTAAAAATTATGCTTTTCAACTATCTTTCTTTTCCCACAACGACTTCCTTAGTTCCATACTTTACTCAGACTATTGAAATAGTCACTTAATTCGGATCTTTGACTTTAGGCTTACCTGCCTTTCATCTAGCTTTCACATCATTGGTAAATAACAGAATGTGAAAGCATGTTTTACTCATATAAACAGAGTGTGATTTTACTACATTTGGAAAGAGCTTCAAGGAACTACTAACTGTTAACATGAACTAAATGTGGCCCGAGAAGGACTCTGTACTTCTATATTTGAGTCCTTGTGGAGAAACTGCAACCTAGCTTAATAGGTAGACAAGATTGAAAACCTGACTTAGGAGTATGCATCTGTAACAATAGCTGAGTCTTGGCCAATCTCAGCCATCATACTTCAACCATTCATACACTGCTGAGTGTTCAAACTGTGTTCAAATGAGGCTAATGCCAACTTATTCTATACCTCACTTTCAATTTCTGTACATCGTTTCCTTTTTTTTTTTTTTGTCTGTAAATATTTTTCCACCACGTGGCTGCAGTGGAGTCTCTGTGAATCTGCTGTGATTCTGGGGGCTGCCCGATTTGTGGATCATTCACCATTTAATTAAACTCTTTTAAATTTAATTCGGCTGAAGTTTTTCTCTTATCATAACTATGTTTCCATATGTGGTAAATAGTATGGCAGGTCACTCTGCAGGTCACTATATAGAACAAAGGATTCGTCTATAAAATAGTAAGTTTATCAAGCCCATAGCTACACTCTTACACAATGATCCCTTGGAAATCTAGCTCTGTGCAAATGTTCTCACTGACTTGAAATGGGAAGGAGTGCTTCCCAAACTGTGTGTGTGTGTGTATGTTTTTTTTAATGTTATTATTTTCTTTATTTGGCTAACATGTCCTTCTCAGGGAGTATGACCCCCGCCCCCGCCATCACCCTAAAAAGTGAAACCAATCCTGACTTTCATCAGGGAATAAGGGATCCATCAGCATATACTGTCAGAGAAAATATATTTGAACTCCCCTCCCACTGTCACTCTTGGCTACACTTAACAGCAAAAAGTTTACCTGGCTCACAATAAACAGAACTAAAAAGACTTCTGGATGTGGAAGTTAAAGAGGAAATCTAATGAGTTTCTGATCTTGGAAACTGGAAATAGCTTTGCATTTAATTAAAAAGTTGAGCCTGTAATTTAAACCAGATCATAAATCCTTAGTGGCTAGAGAAGCAGAGAAAGGAAGAAATAGCTTTGATTTGACAGAATTGAGCTCAGAAAAGCCACAGAATTAGAAACTTCTAAGAGTTACCTCTGAATTTGAATGACTCTGGTATCTAGCTATGACATGAACCACCATCTTGCATATCAAAAGTTTATACCCATCAAAAATTAATCACACTATTGAATAGCCTTTTTTTAAAAAATAAATTGCGATAGGCTCTAGTTAATCCTGGAGAAGATTAAATATCAAAATTACATTCCCACATTAGATGCCCTTTTATGAAAATAAAAAAAATGTCCAAGATTTGGAATTGACAAAAAAAGAGTACTGGATGCCCTTTTATTGCACCCTCAGAGTTTTATCTAATTCAAAAGGATATACAAATGTAACTGGCTTTCTGTTGATTCAGCCATTTTTACATCTTTGTAAAAGAAAATAATAAAAAAAAAAACTGAGTGGCACAAAGAAAGAAAAGATAAAATTAGTTTCTGTTCTATAGAAAAAAGAAACCCAAATATTACTTATCATGGCTGTATGAAACATTAAGCAGTTTTGGATCTATTGGCAAATTAATTTCAGTATTTTTGAAGGGCTGGTTGCCATATTATCTCTTGAATGGGTTATAACATCGTATGGCTGCTCATACTAATTGAGTTAAACAAACATTTAGCCCATACTTGTTTATATAATATTTATGATTTTACCTTTTTGAAAATTATAATTTAGTAGCTTTACAGTCAGAAGTAAGCCCTAGGAAAACAAATCAATAAAATCAATGAACCCTGTACTAAGAAGGTAAATGTGTTTTGTCACATAGCCAATGAATGGCTATGTGACTTATTTCACACAGATATGTATATATCAAGAAGAAAAATGTTGCCAAATAAAATGATTTTGCATGTCTACTATCTAGATAGCAGAACACTTCTATGTTTCTAAACATAGGGGACTTTAATTACAGTTTGCCTAAAGGCAGCAGGTGTTGGCTATTACTTGTCATTTGGTTTCTATGTGAATATTTCTTGAAAACCATGAGACTCGCCATTTTTGACCACGCAGGTGGTATTTAGTAGAGGAATTTTTGTAATGAAGATTAATATTGATTGGAGTATACGTTTCTAAATTTAAATTGCTTGTACATGTTAATGAACGTTACAATGTATAATCGCAAAATAAATACAAAAATAAATATATCTTCCCCATCCTCAAAATAACTATCCTGTCATTAGATTTAATCAAATGTAATTTGATTCAACAAACATGCAATACTCTGATGAATAAGGCAATTTGTTAGGTTCTGTCAAAGCTGAAAAAGAATGTATAAGGCATTTACATTCTGAAAAAGAATGTATAAGGTAGATGTTTTACCAAGAGAAGCTTCAAATCAAGTTGAAAATAATGAAATACATATCTACAAGTAGACTGTAAGTTAGAATATAATAATCTTAATATATCTGCTTCTCATTTATGGATGATTGATATGCTTTTTGAAATGGTGTGATAGAATTTATTCCTTTCTTTAAAATGTGCATTCAAATTAAAATGAAAATAAAAGGCCCCACCAGCACCTTGAGTATTAAAGTCAGTACATTTTAGGAATCCAGTATAGGTACTAGATTCCTACATGAATCCACAAGTGAATAAAGGAAATGCAATAACTACTCATAGCAAGATGACAGGTCATTTTCCGACTGGCATCAATCTTCCTGGATGGCACAGAATCATCTTATTAAGATGCTTGGTAGTGTGGTTTGTGAACTTACTGTTACCCCAAGTGATTATTTTCAATTTTTATCTGAAGTGAAATTAAAACTAATAATAATTTCATTAATTTCAAACAAAAACCTCTGATGTCAAATGTTAGAAGGCCATCGCTACAAAGATAAAATGGTGTTCACTGGACACAAAGCAAATAAGAATGTATTGCTGCTACCAACTTCTTGCTTCACCATAGTGAAAACAATCAGAGCACTACATGACAATGCTGATATAATCTGAGAAATAAGTGAATCCAAAAAATCCTTGAGAATGACAGAGGCTTGGATACAAAAATTTTTATAATGGAAAAGCAGGATAATAAATCCTGGTTATAAATTAATGTTATCTGAGGTTTCACTTTTCTCCATAAAAGTTTATGTGTTACTCAGATTAATGTGATATGGGGGGAAAAAGTACAAATATATTTTTTTCTCTTATTTTCCTACCCTGTTTATTTCTTTTGAGAAAAAAAATTAACTTGATTTAAAGTTTTATGAATCATTTTACAATTTTCAGAAAGGTTTTTCACGTAAACACTGAGGTGATCATAATAGATATACAAATAAATATTATGGGAAAAAAAGAGCCACTCCACCTGAAATGGCTTCAAAAGAAATCCTTGCCTAAAATCCAAGGGGCAGACATATAGACCAATGATACAGAATAAAGAGTTCAGAAATAAACCCATGCATTCAGAGTCAACAGATCTTTGACAAAGGTGGCAAGAATATACAATGGAAAAAGGATAGTGTCTTTAACAAACAGTGTTAGGAAAACTAGATATCCACATACAAAGAATGAAATGTGGACTCCTATCTTATACCATACACAATAGTCAAAATGGATTAAAGACTTGACATTTAAGACATGAAACTACAAGACACCTAGAACAAAATACAGGGAAAAGGCTTCTAGATATTGGTCTCAGCAGTTACTTTTTTTTGCATTTAACACCAAAATTATAGGTAACAAAAGAAAAATTAAAAAGTGGGACATTTCAAACTAAAAGGCTTCTGAACAATAAAAGATACAATCAACAAAGTCAAGAGACAACTTACAGAATGGGAGAAAATATTTGCAAATTATTTATCTGATAAGGGGTTAACATTGAATAAAACAAAAAAATTCTACAACTAAATATCAATAAAACAATATAGAACTGATTAAACAAAGGGCAAAGAACATGAATAGATATTTCTCAAAAAGACATACAAAGGTTCACAAGGTATACAAAATGATGCTTGGCATCATTATTCATCAGTAAAATGCAAATTAAAACCACAATGAGATATCATCTCACACCTGCTAGGATGGCTGTCATTTAAAAAATAAACAAAGATAGCAAGTGTTCGCAAGAGTGTGGAGAAGTTGGTGCTCTTGACACTGTTGGTGGGAATGTATAGTAAAATGGTACAGCCACTCTGGAAAACAGTGTGGAGGTTTCTCAAAAAATGTGGATCCAGCAGTTCCACATCCAAAAGAACTGAAACGAGGATTTCAAAGATATATCTCCACTCCCACATTTATTGCAGTATAATTGCAATAGCCAGTACATGGCTAAATGTCTAAATGTCTATCGACAGGTAAATTGATCAAGAAAACTTGGTATATATAAGCTATGGGATATTATTGAAACTTAAGAAGGAAGTCTTATAATTTGCATCTACACTGATGAATCTGTAAATCATTATATTAAGTACAACCATCACAGAAAGACAAATACTGCATGATTCCACTTATTTGAGGTCTCTACATTAGTAAAACTCATAGAAGCAGACGGTAGAATGGTGGTTTGTGGGGCTGGTGGGATGGGGAAATGGGAATAAAATTTCAGTTACGCAAGATGAGTAAGTTCTAGAGACCCGCTGTTTAACATAGCGTCTAAGTTAAAAATGTGGTATCATGTAATTAAAATGTGTTAAAAGGGCAGATTTTATGTTCAGTGTTCTTGCTACAAAGAACAAGCAAACAAACACACCCAAGGGAACTTTCGGAGGTAGTGGATACGTTTAATATCTTAATTGTGGTATGCATATGTTCAAACTCATCAAAGTTTATGCATTAAACATTTGCAGTGATTTTGTATATCAATTATATTTCAATAAAGCTGTTCAAACAAAAGAACAGAGATAAGTGTGAAAAGAATTCTAGGAGGAATGTAGATCTCATACAATATGGGTTGTGTTAGGAAAAGCCAAGTGTAGAGTTTTTGATATTGCTATTGTTCTTTCCACTGAAGGATATATTGAGGGAAGCAGAGCTAAATAGAGCTTGGGTCAGCTTGGAAACCATATCAAATGCCATACACAGACTTGAAATTTTACTGAGTGTTAAAGAGAACACTTTACATTTATCGAATGGAGGTAGTATGTGATCAGAGCCATGTTTTTTTAAGGTGGATTATATTGGCTCAAGTCATAAAGGGAGCATTATGGTGGGTCAAGACTGAAGCTAGGAAGAAATATTAGGAGCCTATTTAATGTGTAAGTAAAAGCTAAAGATCGGCCCTAAAAGAGTCTCTGTAAAAATGAAATGGGTTTGCTTCTGACCTTCTAGATGCCAGTACTTCTGTCCTTCAAAATGACATATAACTGGTCAGTTTTTACTTATAGACATTACCCAAAGTAAAGTACTATTTTTTATTATTATTTTTAACTTGAGCCTGGTTTAATTTAATACATGACAATGAACTTGCCATGTTTGGTTCTAAACAACTGGGCTGATTTTTATTATGGTATTTTGAAATTGCACTTGCATGTATTTTAATCAAGAGATTTGTCATACAAGCATAATAATGCTTCTCTTCTATCATTTCACAGATCTAAAAATGAATGGTAGGGTGAGTGTCTGAAAACTGGTTTAATAAAAAAAAGTCTCACTGAAAATTATGGAGGACTTTTAAGTAGTCTTAATTAGTATTTTCATTTTTAATATTAACTTTTCCACTCTTCAGTACGTAAATTCTAGTCAATGTGCTGAAAGCCTAGTAAAAATCTGAAGGTCCTATTTGAAGTCAGGCCTACAGCATGTCAAGGACTGACTATCCATGTCTCAATGTTCAATGCTTCCCCTGTGGTAGAAGTAGAAGTATTCATTGCAATAATTCTATAAACACTTACCAAGCACTTATGAAGAAGCAGACTCTTGATTTCGAAGATGACCTGGTCTCCAGAACCTTACAGTTCAAAAGAGCTGCCACTTATTAAGGGCTTACTCTGTGCCAACCTAATTGCTAAGCACTTTACATGAATCACTCATTTAAACCTCAAAACTACCCTAGAAAAGGGATTAGAATTGTTAAATAATTTGAGAGAAATCACACATCTTAGAAGTGGTAGAATTGGATTCATGCCAAGGTCTCTGTGACTCAAAAGTGTGTGTCCTATTAATTACCCTTTACAGAAACCCATACAGGAAAGATAGTTCAGTAGAAAAGAGAGACACAGAGGTTATGGGCACAGGATGGATTTCATTAGAAAGCAATCCTTGAGCTGAACCTGACAGAAAAGGAATAAATTTTCTCAAGAATGGTAGAAATATCAGTCATTCCAGGAAGGAACAGAAGCATACCAGGGGTGGAATATCTTCTGGAAACTATGGAGCAACCCGGGAGCCTAGAGTGTGAAGAGCTGCATATCGGTTGTTGAACCTGGAAAGACGGAGGGCAGCCAGATGCTTCACAACCCGTTTTAAACAGTTTCAGGACCTGAAGGGCTCTGAGAAGAGAGTTAAAAGATTGGCAAAGCCTCTGCCCAATGAGAAGTTATCATGTAGTGGGGGAGGTAAGAAACAAAGATTGGAAAATATTAAGCACTAACATATCTGCAACATATTAATAAGTTTAATTCAGAGTGCTTTACAGCGAGCATCTTAGTGCTTACAAGAACTCATCAAAAAGATTGACTATGGTCAGGTATAGTTAATAAGAGAGGTTTCCTAGAAGAGGTTTGTTTGGAGCCCAGGTTTGAGATGTAACTCTATCATGTTACTCTATTAGTTAGCCCATTGAAAAAATTCTCACTTAAGATATATATGTAAGCATATTAACAAAAACTAGTTAAATTCAGTTCTGTAAGAGACATAAAATATTTAAAACAGATCTTGATTTTAAGGAGTAAAGGAGAAAAGCTTACCACACACCAAAGTATATGACAATGTCAGCTGTTACAGGTATTGATTTACATTACCATGTGCAAAATAAGTAGAAAGTGCAAACTGGTGGAAACAAATCAGTATTATACCCTGAAAAAAAGACATACAGTAAGCACTAGTGATTTTCTCTTGAGGTATACAGAGTTAGTTATATAAACACTTCCCATAGTTAATAGGGAAGAGTACTGTCTTCCAAGAAATTCTTATCTGAGATAAAGAGGAATCTGCCAGAACCTACGAGAAGCTCAAGCTGCTTCCTTCTTTTGCTGATTCATGAGAAAATGAGCAATAGCTCAGGAAGGAACTTGAATTACATCTTTAGTTACTTTGAAATCTAAGGTTGAAGGCAAAAGGATTTGGGGCAGGGAAGTTGCATTGTACAGGTGAAGTTATCATCCCTTGATCTAACTGAAAAATCTACGTTGGAGACAAAGAAGTATTTGGAATTGAGTCAATGCAGATGGTGTAAAAAAATGTGTTTTCTGGGATACACCCCATCATTTCAGAATGATGGATGGCTGAGGAGAAAAAGAGAACATCTCACAATGAAAAAAAAAAGAGATCTAAAGATCTAAAGCACAGGTTTTTCCCATATGCTGCTACCGATAGGCTCTTTGTTTCTTCTTGTTATCCTTATCATTTGAGGTTATTTTTCCTTTGCATAAAAAAGGAAGAAGGCATATTTTGTATCTGAGAATACTATAATACCACAGTGATGGGAGAGGTTGATTGATTATGAATTCATTCATATTGTTTGAAATGAAGAGTCTAACTAATGGTATGAAATACATGAGGTATTAAACACAGTTCCTACACCTAGCTTCAGAAATTAGTTGGACAAATAAAAGATGATGAAAAACTGGCTGAACTGCATTTTGGGTTTGAAAAAAACCAAGAGGTCTGGGTGGATAAGTTGGCTTTACAATTTCACTGTAAACTGAGTGATGTGGCAGCCAAAATTTCTAACGAATCCGTACATTGCATTAGCAAAATTAAAGTGACAGGGAAAGCAAAGCATTAATTCTCTGGCACTTTGCTCTACCCAGACCACATCTGGAACCAGGTGTTAATTTCTGAACCCTGATGACTGTTAATTTTCATACCCAGGAATAGAATCAGTTGCTAAGGACTATGGAAACCATGGGATATGAGGAGCAGTTGGAAAAAATTGTGCTTAATCTGGGAAAGAAGACATGCATACTAGCCACCTTAAAGTCTTTCAATGACATTGGCAAATAATTTCTATTTACATTGTATAGCTTTTGAATTTTGACTAATGCCAATTCAGGAAAAATGCAGGGAAGATGTTGGGTTGATATCAGGGAATTTTTTCTTTCTTTTTTTTTTTTTTTGAGATGGGGTTTCTCTCTTGTCACCCAGGCTGGAGTGCAATGGCATGATCTCAGCTCACCACAACCTCTGCCTCCTGGATTCAAGCAATTCTCCTGCCTCAGCCTCCAGAGTAGCTGGGATGACAGGCATGTGCCACCATGCCCGGCTAATTTTGTATTTTTAGTAGAGATGGGGTTTCTCCATGTTGGTCACATTGTTCTCGAACTCCTGAAGTCAGGTGATCCGCCCACCTCAGTCTCCCAAAGTGCTGGGATTACAGGCATGATCCACCATGCACGGCCAGGGAAATCTTTTTTACAGCTTGAGATCTCCATCAATAGATGGACACTTCATGAAATAATTGTAAGTCACAAAAGATATTCTAGATAAATGTATCTGGATACTCATCATGAGTATATCTGACTCAACATGTGTTTGAGTCAGTTTATAGTGGTTATGAAAGCTGATTATTAAATAATCAAGAATTTTTTCAGTTGGTTTGGTTGCTTAAAATCACCAAGGGGTGGGTGAATACACACTAGAGAAGCCGGCAAATACTCCAAATCAGGATTTTTTTTTTAATTGGGAGAGCCAATTTGCTAGCACACCACTGGATTTTATAGATGACAGGTACAATGGCAAGAGATTTCATTCTCCCAAATCTGAATGCCTGTGAATGTATACATATGCAGCAGAATACAAACTGAATTTTTATTTTTAGTAGAGATGGGGTTTCACCGTGTTAGCCAGGATGGTCTCGATCTCCTGATCTCGTGATCTGCCCACCTCAGCCTCCCAAAGTGCTAGGATTACAGGCGTGAGCCACCGCTCCCAGCCTAAACTGAATTTTTAAAAAGAGGGATGTAATATGTTTAGTAAAGTCAGGAAAGTTTATGAAGGAGGTTGGAGGTAAAATGGCAAAAATTTAAAAAAGAATAAATACCAGGGAGTGGATTATATTCTATGACAATAGGAAAAGAAACAAACAAACAAAACAAAACAAACTAAGGATAATTTTTTTTTTTTTTTTGAGACGGAGTCTCACTCTGTCGCCCAGGCTGGAGTGAAGTGGCGTGATCTCTGCTGACTGCAACCTTCTCCTCCCAGGTTCAAGCGATTCTCATGTCTCAGCCTCCTCAGTAGCTGGGATTACGAGCGTGTGTCACCATGCCCAGCTAATTTTTTTGTATTTTTAGTACAGACAGGGTTTCACCATGTTGGTCAGGCTGTTCTCAAATTCCTGACCTCAAATGATCTGCCCACCTTGGCCTCTCAAAATGCTAGGATTACAGGTGTGAGCCACTGTGCCTGGCCAAATTATTTTTAATTAAGGCATTTGTGAGATATTTTCATTGTTGAAAGAAAAGTATAGTATCTTAAGAATGTCTGTTCCTTTTCCTATTAGAGATAGATATCCTAAGGAACAAATGAATGAATTTTATATCCAGAAATTGCTAAATGTATCAACTACAAATTTTGATCCTAAGAAATTACACTGCTTTTCAAAAAGGCAAATACATTTTCAATGTGTCATTCACAGTTAGTTGTAAATGCTACGTGAGATTGTTGCTTTCTGTAACATGAATTTTTATTCTTCATTCTATAATTTAGGAATGGGATAATTATTTCCCCATTTAATCACACACATAAGTTCCCTTAATTTCAGAGGTATTTAAGATTCTTTTCATATGGGTGGCTCTTTTGATATCTACTTAATTAGCCCCCAGCTTGGATGTTTTTGCTGAAATTTGCCACATTACATGTTCTATAAAAGCATAGCTCTTGTAATTTTTCATGTTATAAATTAACCATCACCCATTTCAAAGTCTAATAAGTTCTGAAATTAAAAAAATAATAAATCCAAAATGTCTTTAATTGTTATGTGAACTTTTAGTAAAGTTTTATAGATATTTCATCTCAAAGAGGGAAGGGAAATTTTTCAATTTTAAAAATGTCTTCCCTTCATTTCAATGTCATTAAAAAAGAAATAAAAACACAAATTTCATTCCATATTTATCTCTTCTTTCTTCGAGTGTATGTAATACTATGTGTGTGCTCCTGGTATGGTAATAATCACATTATGACTATTTTTATATTAAATAAAATTCTACTATTCATTACATCAAGATTAACAACAAAATCTGTGTCTCATTCATTTTCATGTGCACCCAAAGGCTCAAAGGTGCATGAAAACTGCACAATTTCATACACAAAGTACATATTAAATATATGTTTTTGAATGAAGGAATTAGTTTAGTCATTTTCCTGTTAAATAACATAAGCAACATGCTGCTTTCAGTGGATATATCCATAAATGACAAAAGCCAAGCTCTATTACTCCCATAGTCCCTTTGAGGTATTGCTTTTCTACAGTCTTCATTCAAAGTATTGATGTAAAACTTCTAGATTCATGTTGTCATAATTTTTTTATAGGATGAAATTTTGAAGGATCAAATATTATATTTAATAAAATCTAAAATAAATATATTTTCAACCATTGTGGAAGACAGTGTGGCAATTCCTCAAGGATCTAGAACCGGAAATACCATTTGACCCAGCAATCCATTACTGGGTATATACCCAAAGGATTGTAAATCATTCTACTATAAAGATACATGCACATGTATGTTTATTGTGGCACTGTTCACAATAGCAAAGATTTGGAACCAACCCAAATGCCCATCGATGATAGACTGGATAAAGAAAATGTGGCACATATACACCAAGGAATACTATGCAGCCATAAAAAAGGATGAGTTCATGTCCTTCGCAGGGACATGGATTAAGCTAGAAACCATCATTCTCAGCACACTAACAGAAGAACAGAAAACCAAACACTGCATGTTCTCACCCATAAGTGGGAGTTGAACAATGAGAACACATGGACACAGGGAGAGGAATATCACACATCAGGGCCTGTCTGAGGGTGGGGAGATAAGGGAAGGATAGCACTGGGAGAGATACCTAATGTAGATAACAGGTTGATGGGTGCAGCAAACCGCCATGGCAGGTGTATACCTATGTAACAAACCTGCACATTCTGCACATGTATCCCAGAACCTAAAGCATAATAAAAAAATTAAAAAATCTAAAATAAATATATTTATAATATTCTACCAAAAGTAACTTTCTATGCAAATAATATACACATATACATTATATGTGTAGCTGAGTGTATGTGTATATATAATTATACAGACATATATGCACAAATATTTATGTCTATACATACATATATTTTAAAATATATTTTATATATATCTATAGATAGATATATACATGGATATCTTCAACAAATATTTAAGCAGTGAATAAATGCTTGTCCTAACAAATGTTCATTTTTTTGCTCAACAAATTCATTTTTGTATGTTATATGCAAATATATATGTACACACACATATATGAGAAATCTCTGCCCTAGCAGGGCTTATGTTATAGTAGAGGAGATAGTCATTGAAAAATAAATATACTTTAATATTTCATGTAAGAAAGTAGTATTCACTATAAAAGACAAGAATAATAAAGGGGCAAGGTAAAAACAAGGATACCAGTTTTATAGCTATTTCAGATGTTAATTTGGACCAAGGAGAAAAGTTAGAATCCATATATATTTTTGGTGGTTGAGTCAGCAGGACTTCCTGGATGTGAAATATGAGAAAATGAGTGGGGTTGTGGATGATGTTAAGGTTTTGGCCCAGAACAACTATGTAAATTGATACTGTTACTACCAATTGAGATGTGGAGAGCTGTGCATGTAGCAAGTCTCAGAAGGAGGTGAATCAAGAGCATAAATTAGTTCAAAATAGATACGATCAAACATAAGCCCCTTTAGGCAAGTAAAATGATTCATAGATTTGAAACCGTAGAATGAATGTGAATAAGAGCTAACAGACTTTGTTCTAGTGGAATTGAAAATTAGTGGTGTTCTTCTTTGTTACCACAAAATAGTAATTTCATATATTATGTTAATTTACATAAATTATGATATTTGACAATCTCTACGTATTTTACTAAACAATTTCACACATGCAGTTAAGAAGTTATCCTTTTTATTGTATAAAATTCTGAGGAAAAACATTCCTCAAGAATTGACAAATAATTTTGTGCTGTTGGAAGATTCATTGTGCCTAACATTTATGCTCTTTCCAACTTCTGTTGGCTTACTAGATTTGTGTGGGCTATGAATCCTCCCCACTGGATAATAAAATGTAATTTATTTTTATTTTTATTGAGTAGAATTTATTATTTTATTCACCCAAATTGGAATTAAACTGACATTTACATGCCAATATAAAATGACTTGTGTAGGCCAGGTGTGATGGCTCACATCTGTAATCCCAGCACTTTGTGAGGCCAAGGTGGGAGGATTGCTTCAGCCCAGGATTTCAAGACCAGGCCTAGCATTATAGCAAAACTCTATCTCTACCAAAAAAAAAAATAAATAAATAAAAATTAGCCAGGCATGGTATCATGTGCCTGTAGTCCCAGCTACTCAGAAGACTGAGGTGGGAGGATTGCTTGAGCCTGGGAGGTCGAGGCTGCAGTAAGCCAAGTTCACACCATTGCCCCTCAGCCTGGGAAACAGAGTGAGACACTGTCTCAAAAAAACAAATAAATGAATAACTTGTGCAAACCAATTTCATACCTAGTATAAAGAATCTTCTTAAACTACTAAAGGGATCAAATGTTTCCCACAGACACTGCAGTACACAACTATATACAGGTGAAAAACTGTATCTCATTTTAAGCATGGCAAGGATACAAAAATAAACACCCCATGATTCCAACCCCCAACAATTAACAGTAGAGGAGATTAGGCAGTCTAGAGGAAACCCAAGGAAGACTGTACTAAGAGCTTAATTGGAAAAATAACTTTTCTTGGGGGTGAGAGGAAGTGACTAATTCTGACAAAGTGATTGCAACAGCAGAGGGTAGCCCAGATAAGGTTGGGATTAGTCATGATAATAACTTCACTTTATTAAAATTATATTTAGGATTAAATTTCTTCTAGGCATTCATTCTTGTTTGACTTTCTATATTACTTATAGAACCAATTTATTGAACTAGTTAGACTAGGTTAGGTACAGGCAGAATGCAGCTGTATTTTTTTTCACCTCTACTTTTTGAATTTTATCTGAAGATGTTTTTTCTTTTTCCTAATGAAGTTGGATAGATTCCACAGCTTTTAGAAAATTTTCAAATAGCAAAAAAACCAGGTCATTCTCTATAAAAATACACACCATTATCTAATGGAAAACTTCTCTCCTACTTCAGTTTACATCTGTCACATGCTATACTGGGGGAGAAAATGCAGGGTTGACAATATTTTTTCACTTGATATGCTTTTTATCTAATTCTCTGGCAGTTCTTACCTCATATTTTGCTCTGTATTTACATTTCTTACCTCATATTTCTGATCTCTGCAGTGTCAAGTACAGGAGAGCAGAGAAGTGGTACAGGGGCAAAAAGGCCAGATGTGACGGGTTCAGTTGTAACTTAGTATCAGGCCTTCATGTTGGATGCCGGTTTTTTTTCTTCCAGCATGCTTTGTGGTTTAATTGGTAAAAGGCAATGTTTATTATGGAGATGAAGCTTATATGAAGGGCTCGGAAGAGCTGGTAGAGTCAATTCCCAACGCTGTATTCAGTGGCTTTATCACGGTAGCTTGAAACCATACGTTGGAAATACTTATATCATGGAAATTAGAAAATGATACAAATTAGGGCTTTAAATATTTTTTGGAGGAATGGGTTAGATATCAATGTCTAATCACATTTTCTTGGGCATTTCTTATAGGAATAAGGATAAGTTATAGGTTAATGCTGAAGGGGCAGTTTTTTAACTACTCCATTATAAGTGTTTTTCACATTGTTTAGATCAATGCTGTCCAACAGAACTTTCTACAATGAAGGAAATATTCTATATTACACTGTTCAATATGAGAAACATTAGTCAAACATGACTATTGTGCACTTCAGATGTGACTAGTACAATTGGAGGACTTAATTTTTAATTTTACTTCATTTTAATGCTTTTACATTTGAACTTAAATGGATGCGTGTGACCAGTGACTACAGTATTACACGGTGCAGGTCTAGAGGACCTCTAAGTCTTCTTTAGGTGGCCTCTCAACCTTCTTTATCATGGTAGGAACTTGACACCTATTGTTTTGTCTAGCCTCTTGGGGCCTTGGCTGAAACTGAGAAAACAGAAAGTCACACTTAACTATATAGTTGGAAAGGAAAACTCAATGACATATATCAACTATGAAATTTATTAATCAGAAATTACTTTTATTCAGTTAGAATAAATTAGGTTTAAGAGTGTTGCAAATTGAAATTCATATATAAAGAATCATGTTAATATGATTCTAAGAATAAAAAGAAAATGCATTGAGTGAATTTTGTTTGGGCAGTCAACATAACGACAAAAGGTATAAGCCATGTCCTGCTCTCAAAGAACCTTAGATTCAGTATCTAAATTGAAACAGAACATAAAAGTTCTTATCTATGAAAATTCTACTCTACTATTGTAAATTTACATATTCTTTTGTGAGAGCATGGTAATTATACCTATGAAACTTGATATGCATTTCCATTTGGCAGTGGAGCATTATGAAAAGGATGAATTTGGGAGTTACGTAGGCTTTGGTTGGAATCCGTTTCTACCTACTGACTGTGTAATCACAGGCAAGTCATTAAACTCTCTGAATTTTGGTTTCCTCATCTGAAAAATGGACCCAATAAAAAGAACCTTTTAGAGTTGCGTTAAATAGATGATGCAGTGCTATATATAATGCCTGGAACATAATTAGCATTAAAGAGGTTTTAGAACACTTTATGAACTCTACACAGTTTGTTTGGTTTTTTTTTGGCTATAACTTTTCAAAAATTGTTTTTATTTTCTCACCTATTCTGTGAAATAAATATCAAAAATTTTGGCCTTTAAATACTATCAGCTTGCAGAAATCCAAGTAATTAAAATGAACAAAAAGCACAACTATAAGAAAGAATTTACATTCATCCATTTTTATAGGGTAGACTCATCCTTTATCATGAGTGAACTCTTACAGTTGTATTTTGGCTTGTTTTTTATTGCTAGCCTTTTTGTCACCCAATATCATCTTCTTAATGATATAGAAAAAGTGACTTTGTTAAAAACCGTTTTATCACTTTAAACAAGTCTACAATCTGAACTGCCCCCCATTAGTTATTATAACTAATAATCACTCTTTAGTTTTTCATCAAAATTTACTCAACTAACTTTCTCCCTTGTACCCTATAACCCTTCAAATACTTCTTGTGATTTAGCCAAGATTCTAAAGTTCAGTGATAGAAGGTCAACCCAACTCACTTAAGCTAAATTTATTGTCTCATACAAACAAATCACTGGAAAGACATCAGTAAGCTGGCATTATACAAGGTTGAATTGTGGCTTTCAAAATGCTATTGAAACTCTACTCTCATTGTTTTTTTCCTTTCTCCCACTTTGCCTCACATAGTGAAAGACATGGTGCTTAGCAGCTCTGGGCTCTTATTCTAACAGTTTCATGACTTTAGAAAAAAGGACCTTCTCTGTCACATGTCCAGTTTTATAAATATCAGGGTAAAGATCTGGTTTGTCTTCCTTGTATCATGCGCCTATCATCACTATAGCCACGGGAGAAAGATATTAGAATTGGCCAAGCTTGGGTCATTTGGAGTCAGGGTGGAAAGAAGAATGGTGTCTTTACTAGATGAAAGGAAAAGAGAAGAGAATGAAGTACCTGGTAAACTGTATTATAAACACTGTAGACACCCTATCAAATAAACTCTTTCCACCTTAATAAAGCTAGTTTTCCTAGGCTTAATAGCATGTGATCATTTAATCAACTGTAAATGTTTTTCTCTACTTTTATCAAGCAATTCAGATTCATCATTTTGAAAACCAAGCACAACACTGACTTTCAAAAAGTTTTTCTTTAATCATTCCTTTATTTGTGTTTATTCTGCACCAACTCTAACTATATTGAACTCTATTGAAGAAGGTGGAAATTGGTGTTAGTAGATCTGGATCAGAATCCCACCATGTCATTATTTACTTTTGTGATATTTGGCAAATTCCATGCATACCTTTAAATTTAATTTGAAGACAATCAGGATTACAGTTTAAAATGTAAGCAATGCTAACATTATTTTAGAAAAGCCATCATCCCCTTCGATTCCATTTCCTGATACTTTGCATGTGTCTTTTTTTCCCTCTTCTTAACTTTTTGTTAAGTTTTTCAGACCATCTCTTTATCTCTGGTCTTCTAATATGACATAATGAAGTGCCATGATTTGTGTGTGTGTGTGTGTTGTTGTTGTTGTTGTTGTTTTAATTCATGTGCTATCTATGGAGTCTTTTAATTGAGAAACTAATATTTCACAGTTCTGGGAAATTTTCTTTTACTACCTACTTGATAATTAATGCATCTTTCCTTCTTCATGCCTGACCCTTCAATTTCTCTGTTTTCTTATTCTGGATTTCCTAGCATTCAGATATTTAACTTTCATGATTGTCCTTAAACATTTCTTATCTCTTAATATCCATGAATTTTCCTTTTAGTGTTACTTTCTGGGAAATTTCTCGAACTTTTTTTTTTCTACTGCATACATATATGTATATATAAAAGTATATTGCATATAAATATCCAAAAATATGTGTATTTAATTTTGCTACCAGATTCTTGATTTTTGTAAGAACATATTCTTGTTCTCTAAATAATCTTTATTTTTTTAAAAGCAGAATTATATTCTTTTATTTCTCTAAATATAGTAATAGATTTTGTGATGTTTTCCTCTCTTATTACTTTGCCTCTTTTTTCTACTTTTTTTTTTTTTTTTGGTTGTCATTTTGCCCCTTATATTAGCACTTTTGTTCAACTGCCAATGGGTTGGCCATTCATATTTAACTCTCAAACATGCAACTGAAATTTCAGTGTGTAGGAACAGGGCATTTCACCCAGTGAGTTTCACTATCCAGTGACTATCGGTCAAGCTGTCTTTGTAGCTATTTGGGAGACCAAATTTCAGGACCTATGGCTATTTCTCTTGTGGTTCTCAGCGTATCAAGAGAATAATGATCCAATTTCTGCTTTCCATGTGAACCTAGCTGTCAGTGTTTCAGAGTTCAAAGGAGATGGCAACGACAGTTTTCAATAAGATGATTTTCACTTAATCCCCATTTCCCATTCTTGCTATATTTCCTTAAATCTGCTCTACCCTGCTTTCACCATTTTTGTTGTTCCAGATTCTGAGACTGCTCTAGGATGAATTTTAGACTGTGCTGCTTCGGTTATTGTGAAAGTGAACCTTCTGTTTCTTGCCACAGCCATGTAAAAACGTTCATCTTTCTGTATGGAAAAGGAAAAGAATATGTAGAATATAACTGCTTCTAAGACACACTCTCAGGCCTTCTCTATTCATCCCACCCCTGTCCTCATCTTCACAGGTTCCTCATGTTTACAGTTTCTGACACTTTCTGATGTTTTGTGGCTTCAGTCTTCTCACTTCATGTTTATTTCCTCATCTAAACAGGCTTCAGTTTTCTCTTCTCTATTAAGTTATTAAGTCAGTTAATGGGTCGCTCAGGGACCAACTGGAAAAAAACATGAACCACACAAGTTATATCAAGCAAAGAAAATTAGACTCAAATAATTGATTACAAAGTTGGATATAATTACCACCCCCTCTAGGGCTTAAGGAACAAAAGAGAAGTGATGGGGTTTTCAGAGCCTAGAGGAACAGAGGAGAGTCCTCACAGAACTGGGGTTCACAATGTAAGCGTAGTTGCTGCTGGTACCTCTGCAGGGACATGAGGCAGCTAGCTCTGAGAGTCCTGAAAGAAGCTAACATTTCAAACCAAAAGGCCAGGTGGGGCAGGGGAACTGTCCAAGAAAACAAGAGCTGATCAGTAGCTAAATAGATAAAAACAGATTTTATTTGGGACCATTGCAACAGGGAAAATAATCTCAAGGTAGAACTGGGCTCAATTCTGAATATAACAAGCAAGATAAAGTGGAAATTTACAGACAGAAATGGGGTGAGGAGCAGTGGATAGAACATCACTAAGAAGAAACAGCAGGGGTAAAAGGAGATTCTAGCTGTTTGGACCTGACATAGCTCTTGATGAAGACAAGCCAGGGTGATCTGACATCGCCTGTGGGATGGTAGGGGGTGGGGAAATTTGTCAGATATTATATTGAGGATGATCAGTCATTGAAGGTGAGGGATTCTCGCTAAACCAGCTTAGCAGGATTCTTGCTAAAATTGAGTGATACAAGACAGACACAGAAGTCCAAAAGTTGTGGCCTAGTTGGCAAGAAGCTTCAGAGGAGTCTGACTAAAGTTTGGTCAGGGTAAGAATCTTTATCAGAACACAAAGAAACTCTTGTTGTCTGATCTCCCTTTAGTCCCCCCTATTGAGAGACTCTGACAAGAAGCCAGCCAGCAAGGATTTCTGAGAAATGGAGTTCAGAGACCCATGTCCAACATCACAAAGAAGGATGGATTTGAGCTAAGAGCATAGATGAATGATCTATACAGTAACCATACCTTCGCTCACTTTCCATCTTCCAAAATTAGGTTGCCAGCCCTCCTGTGGGGTTATCTACCATTTGTTTGGACTCTTTCTGTGGATTTATTCTTGTTTTATTCCTCTAATTTTAGTTGAGTTAGAGAAGGAAAAAGAGATATACCATACCATCAAATGGCCATGCTGATTCTCTAAACCTCAATTTCCTTGCTTTAAAAATGAGAATAATCAAATCTACCTGCTAGACTTTTTGTGAAGATGAAAATGCATATCAAAACACTTAATATTGTCTCTAAAACTGCATAAGACTGATCTGTAAAAAACGTGTTACAGTGCCAGACATTGGGAAATTTAGTAGCTGCTATTGGTCTTAGTTGCGGCTAATAATACTTTTTTTCTGGTGGCAAATAATACAAAAATAATAATTATTACTGTTATTATTAACACACTTAGTTTCCATCAGTGTCAGGACTGCTTTAAGAGTTTTACACACATTACAAATTTTAAGTCAGTTAAATCACAGCCATCAGAACATATTGTACTGTTATTACACCCACTTTATGGATAAGAAAACTGAGGCACAAAGAGGCTAAGTAAATTGCTCAGCGTCAGTCATCTGGTAAGTAGCAGAACCAGGCTTTGAGCCCCAGCAGTCTGACTCCAGTGTCCATGTGTGATCTTAACCACTGTGTCACAGGTAAACTTTGCTAATCTGTAACATGGTGACAACAATCACAGTTACCACAGAGTTTCTATAAGAATTACGTGAAAAAAAATATTGAAAACAAATCAAACAACTGAGTACTGATGATAATAAATGTTAAATATTATTTAAAACTGTAATTTTGTTAATGTCTTTTTTTTGGAGTCCTCTAAATATGCCTATATTACTAGCTTGTTTTAAATCTCCAAAAAAGTTGTTTTAATAATCATTGCTATTTTGCACCCACCCCATGCTTAGCACCACCACCCCCAGCCCCCCGGCCCACCATATATTACACTCTTATAAAATCTGTGATGGTTCATTTTGTGTCAGCTTGACTGGGCCATGAGGTACCCACATATGGTCAAATACTATGCTGGCTGTTTCTGTGAGGGTGTTTGTAAATGGGATTAACTTCAGGCTGGAGTGCAGTGGTATGATCTCTGCTCACCACAGCCTCAGCCCTCTGGATTCAAGCGATTCTCGTGCCTCAGCATCCCTAGTAGCTGGGACTATAGGCACACACCACCACGCCTGGCCTAATTTTTTGTATTTTTAGTAGAGAGGGGATTTCACCGTGGTGGCCAGGCTGACCTCAAGTGTTCCACCTGCCTCGGCCTCTCAAAAATGCTGGGATTACAGGCGTGAGCCTCCGCGTCCGGCCGAGACTAACATTTAAGTCAGCAGGTTGAGGAAAGCAGAGTACCCTCCCCAAAGCAGGTACACCTCATCCGAAAAGGGATGAGCTTCCCCTGAATAGGAGAGGATTCCTTCTGCCTCTCTGCTTTCAAACTGAGATATTGGTTTTACCTTATCTCTAGACTCAGACTACAACATTGGCTCTTCCTGGGTCTTAAGTCTGCCAGACTTCAGGTTGGGACCACACCATCGCCTCTCCTCAGTTTCCAGCTCGCCAATTTACCCTGCAGATCTTGCAACTTGTCAGCCTCCAAAACCATGTAAGCCTGTTTTTTTCCATTTTTAATTATTTTATGGTCACCTCGGCTTCAGAGAGCTAATTTATTATAATAAATCTCTTTCTTTCACACATATACATATACACACACAAATACACAAAATACATATATAGTATATAAAATGTGTATATATATGAATATATATGTATATGTGTATATATTAATACATATCTTGTGATGTTTATATTTCTCTGATGGACCCTGACTAATACAGAATCCAACATAGTTCTAGCACAATTTTATTTAAGTCAATATTCAGCCTTTGCATTATTATGACTATTATAATATTCAGCCAGGTAACTACTGTTACCTAGTAAAAGCCAAGATGCCAGCATAGAACTGGATGGAAGGAGGGAATATTATCACTCTCCTCCCCCTGTTTTTAGTTAAACTTCCAAGATTCTGCTTCTAAAATACCACATAGTTCTTAAGTAAAACATGAGGTGAGAAGCAAGAGAGACTATAAAAATACTCTCCTCATTCTCTCCAACCCATCATAGAGTCGTGCATTCATTCCATGAGTAATTATTGAATAATAGAATGGAATAGTAGAATAATTATTCTACCTCATACACTGTGCTGTGTGTTGTGAGAGACACAAAGATACCCTTTAAAAGCTGAGCCTAATACCCAGTCAGGAAATGACATTGTATGAATGCCAGTTGAATCAAGAAGTACCCTTTCCTAGATCCTGAATTTAACTCAGGGCCTATGTCAGTTGGGACATATATGTATGTGTATATATATATATATATATATATATATATATATATATATAGAGAGAGAGAGAGAGAGAGAGAGAGAGAGAGAGAGAGTGTGTGTATGTGTGATTCCCTTTAAACAATACACAGTTACAAACCATGGATATTTTTAAATTAGCAATTATCTGAAAAGTTCATAGATAATTCTTACAGTTTAATGACAAACTGTCAAACTAGTTTTTAAATATCAGTTGCTTTAAGAAATTAAGGGTCATGGACATTATTATGCTAATCATCTTCATTTGTAAGGATTTTTATTTGTAACATTGTTAAAGTTTGAGGGAAAAGAACAATGCTAAGAAAATGTCAAAATAATGAAAAAAAGAAATCCTTGAATATAGAAAATTATATACTTATTTCAAATATATCGGTAAAATTTACATCATAGTGAATTATTTAAGTCCTAAGTAATCAAGAATAGCTCCTGAAGTGATAATAAATAAAAGGAGCACTAATTTTTAAAGGAAGTCTTTTATACTGTCTCTCATAGCAGTTATCCTAATTCACTCATTTCCTGGAATAACTGTTTTTGTGGGCTTTATCTCCAAAGGCCCTTCTATGAGAGGAGAGCCAGAAAAGGTCTCTAGGTTTGCCTGGGTCACAGTAACTTCCAGAGAGCAGTTACAATGGGGTAGTGGGAATAGGTGAGGAAAGAACTTGGTAACAGTTGCCAACAGCTGGGATAGGCTTTGTCTCATGAAGTTAAATATGGAGTAAAGAAAAGGCGAGGAAATGGAATATTTCTAGGACACTATCACACTAATTAAAGGGTTACATTTATTAATTTCAAAAAGGAAAGCTGGTTGTTTGGAATGTGGCCGAAATGGGAAAAATTAAAGATACTTGGAAAGAAAGAATTACAGGGCAAGTGGGAAGTAATCAATCAGAGAATAGGTGAGAAACTCAGTTGAGTTGGGACTAGAATGAAAGAACTGAGGCATAAAGACAGGATAATGTGAGAACAAACAGAGACAGCTGTGTACAGAAGTGGAAATGGTTGTGGACCCTGGAGCCAAACAGCCTGGTTCTGAAGCTGGGTTCCATCAGTTATTAACTACGTTGACACAGGAAAACAGTTTTCACTTCTCTGTGCATTCATTTCCTCACATGTAAAATAGAAATATTAACACTTTCATGATAGGATCTTGTAAAAATTAAATGTGTTGATACATATGAAATACTTAGAATAGTGCCTGGCACATGGTGAACACTAAATGTCAGCTATTTTTTATTTATAATTTTAAAAAGTTATCTGCTGCACTAGTAGGGTAGAAGGAGGGAAGCTGGAACTTTTAAAGCAAGAAGAGGGTCTGCAGTAAACTGCTCTGCAGTGTTGTCTGCACACATTAATACTACTAAAAATAGCATTTAGTAGCCAGCACAGGGCTTTGCTGTTTCAATGCTTTACGTATACTCATTAAATCCTCACAATAAACCTATGAAGTAGGTACTATTATTATCCCCATTTGCAGATGAAGAAACATAGAGATTAAATAACAAAATAGGCAAAAGGAATCAAATGAGATATAGAAAATTGTTCCAGACTGCACTAAAATATAATAAACTCTATAGCCTGTATAATTTATTCCAAATGGTATATTAGGAATCTCAGCTTGCTGTGAGCAAATTAGAGCAATAGCCACATGCTACAGAGGTGATCCATATATTAATAAGTTTGCATAATTGATATAAGTTCATGATGAGACAGGAAAAGAAACACTCTAATATGAACAGAGGAGAAAGGAAAGCTCGGCTGAGTACAGGCTTGATTGTGTATGCAGAAAAGAGCCATTTACTGAATGCAGTGTGAAGGTATGCTCAGTGGTGAACACGATGAGTCTACTTGCTTCATTATAGCCCTTTGTGTCCATGCTGCACTCTTCTGATGGTGTACACATTATGCAACAGGAAAATTATCAAATGCATTTGCTCTCTCCTAGGGGAAAGAGTAACAGGCCCACACCACCTGCCACATTAACCTTTCCTTTTTGTATTAAGGTTTTTGCCTCCTGTTCATTTTTCCATTCCTTATTGCTCATAAACATTCAGTCTCTGTAGCCCTTGCTGAAATTTGTAAGTTTTCCCAGCTGCAATCCCAGTTGGTATCTCACTAGCTTTTTTCCCGCTTATCTATGATAGGCAAGTAACCATCTGCTGTTTTAAATTGTATTGTTGCCAGTATAAACTGTTAGAGGTAAGCTAAGAAGATTCAGATCTGTTATTTCCTTACGGAAGAGACAACCTATTTTAAATACTGTATTCCTTCAGTTTGCTTTATGTCAAATGCTTGACTTATTTCCACTTGAGAAAGTAAGAAGAAAAGGGACTAGGATTGAAAAACGCTGATCCTTTAACTGTACTTGAAGCAGTTCTACCTAGAGATAAAACACCTCACTGGAAGATTTGTTGTTGTTGTTGGCATAAGGTTTCCACAGAGAAAGAGCTACACAATTTTAAGTTTGTTATTTTGTTATGTTCACATTTCCAGGCAAAGTAGTTCTTGATTGGCTCATGCTACATCTTATTGTATTTTATTTGTTAAGTTCATTATGGTTTCTCCATAGCATCTTCCATTTTATTTCTAAATAACCAGAGACAATGAGTTGACCTAATTTAGTGGTTTTAATTTGAAATCTTTAAAAAAAATTAAAAAGATGCTTTTCTGTCAAAGCTTTGAGGTATCTGAATGGAAAAGCTACTCTTGCCATGTTTACTGGACTACTGGACTACACTAGAAGAGAATGTTTATCGTAGGAACCTTGAACATATCTAATAACACCTCTATTATAAGAGCTTCAAAGCAGTTATTAATCAGATATATAGTACAAAAGTGATCAATGTAGTTTAGAGATTATTTTGAGACTTAAAATTCAAATCTATCAATGACTAGATAGGTGTTTTCCTTTAAAAAAATTTGACACATATAGAAGAAAGATATTCTTCTGAGGAGCAGAAGAGAAAAAAAGGAATCCTCTATCTTCCGCCTTACAAATTCTCTAGCAAAGTCAGTCATTGACAAAGAAAATTACTATCTTCTTGAAGCAGCATCACAGTGCCCGAAGTCAACTACTGAATTTACTTCTCTGGACTAGATGCTGAAACGTTTTAGAAAAGCATTTTCAAGAAAAGTCATAGAAGACCATTAAAAGAAGGAAAACCAAAATATCAGGAAATCTTCTGAAGTTTATATAGTTAAGGTGCTTAAAAGGGGACATGGAAAGAATATATATATATATATATATATATATAGAGAGAGAGAGAGAGAGAGAGAGAGAGAGAGAGAGAGAGAGAGAGAGTAAAAGCCTAAATGTCCAGAAGCTATTTAGCATGTAAATATGCTATCTTGGAGGCTGAGACAGTAATGAAGATAAATTTGATGAAAATAAATTTACACATTTAGATTCTTTGTATCTTTGAAGTCTGTAATTTAAAGCGATTCATGTGTACGACTCTCTTAAGTATGGGTCCCAGGAGAGGAGACATGACTTCCTGGGCCGAGGGCAGTACCGTAAAATTGAGTGTAGTCACTGTTCAAGACATCCTGGGTCTATTTTGTATGTCCCATCCCCTTTGAGAAACAGGAAGTAGAAGTGTACAAGATTTGTCCATCTGTACAATTTTCCTAAAAATATACCAAGATTTGTTCAGCTTTGATCCCTTCAAGAGTTTAAAATTTTACTCCTGGACAAAAGGAAAAAGAAGTGTTTGGGTACTGAGGTTCCCACTCACTATCTTTGTGGGGAGCACATAGTAGGTGCTCAAAACATTTTCTTGAATCAACGATTCCATGAATACATATATTGAGTGGTATAAAAGGCTGTTACACCAGCATAATGGGGATGAAAACCCAATTACAGTGGTTTAAAAAAAGAACAAAAAGAAGAGAGCCAAGAAAGAAAAAGGAGGGAAACACTGTTGAGGAGTTTTGCTGTAAGAGGGATAAGAGAAAGGGGATAGGAGCACAAGAGGAATGGAGGGTGAAATGGATTTTTATTAAAATAGTCTTTTTTTTAGGACTGGATATACTGTAGAATGTTTATGTTTGCATTTTACAGAAATAATCCAATAGAGGGGAAAGATTGAAGGTAGAGGAAAGAGAGAGAGAAATGTTTGGAATAACATCTTCTATTGAATGAGAAGTGCTGGACATGAAAGAGAGGAGAGGCTAGGCTTAGGTAAGAGCACTGTCCCCTCCTTCTGCTGGTTACAGGGAAATAAAGAATAGATGAAGACAAGTGGATGCTGGCTGGCAATGATGTGTAAAAAGCTCTGTTTTAATTCTTTTTATTTTCTAAATGGAAAAGGAGTCAAGATCATCAACACAGGAAAAGAAGCAAGAGGAAATGTTTCAGTTTTAAAGAATGGACAAAAAGGTAAGAAACAGTCGAGAGAAGTGGGAAATTGAATGGACCATGGAAAGATGCTAAAATTGCCAAGTGCCAAGTAGCATTAACAAAATTCTTGAGTCCTTCTTTAAAACTTATTTTCTAATCTTCTCTCCCCCTTAGTTTTATTTAGTACTTCAAACTAGGATTACAGTGCAAAAAAATTTACTCTGTAAGTAAAAGTCATATTATTTTTATAACTACTTATGTTTACCAGTTATTATTCATGGAGGAACAGTGTCACCATGGCCTTTATTAATCATATTTAATATTTTGTAAATATAACAGAGTTGGTATATAAACTTAAATTTACTGTTTCTTCCTAGAATATGAGTGGCCATTTTCAGAACCAGGACTTTACCCTGACTTAGGTTATAGACATCAATGAAAAAATATGCACACTTAAATTCAGTTACATCACCTCTTATATAATAAGGTAGTCCAATTTGTCATTGATTTGCAATCTTGGACACTTTTGGGGTTCAGGACATAATACCCTGGAATATAGCACATTGGCATTTGAGGAAATGGCAGAATCAGGAGGGTCATTCTTACCTTCCCCTCGCCCTTCTCCCCTGAAGCAGGCTATACAATAATTTTCTGACCTTTCTCTGAAGTGGGTCATAAGACTTTCATTCCAGATATGCTCACCCTATTCCCAGATGAAAAGAACATCCTTATCTGCAAAAACACAGTGATGCCAAGAGAAATCTGAACAAAGAGACCTTGCTAATTTCCCCCCAGTTTATTACCATTAGATCATACCTTTTGTCCTCCAATCATACTTCCACATGACTGTCCATAAAATTCCACAAGATATCCTGTTTCTTTGGTCCTTTCTGACGTCTCCCATATTATGCAAAATTTATATTAAATATATTTGTGTACATTTCTTTTGTGAATCTGTTTTTTCTTACAGGGCCACAGCCATGAACCTAAGACAGAAAGGAAATATATTTCTTCTCCCCTACAACCCTTAGGAGACTATATTTTGTTTTTAGTATTCTGAGGGGAATATAAAAGATAAGGTTCAAACAACCATAACAAGAAAGATAAAATCTGAAAACGTTAGATGTTTATGCATTTTGAACTTCTAGGAGTGAATAAACTAAATTTTCTGAAGGTATTTTCTTCAAGGTCTTATTGATCTGCTCCCCTCACCAGCTGAGAATCCTGAGAGGAAAAGAAGTGAAGAATATGCTAAAAAGTCATTTAGATAGGAACACTTCTTCCTAGCTAATTATCTTATGTATTGATACATAAAATATTAACAGTCAAGAACACAATCCCATATACAATAGCCACAAAAAGAATAAAATATATAGGAATACAGCTAACCAGGGAGGTGAAAGATCTCTATGATGAGAATTACAAAATACTATTCAAAGAAATTAGAGATGACACAAACAACTGGAAAAACATTTCATGCTCAGGAATACGAAGAATCAATATTGTTAAATGGCCATACTTCCCAAAGCCGTCTACAGATTCAATGCTATTCCTATCAAACTACAAATGACATTCTTCACAGATTTAGAAAAGAAATTCTAAAATTTATTTAGAATTTTAAAAAGAGCCCAAATAGCAAAGAAAATTCTAAGCAAAATGAATGAAGCTGGAGGAATCAGGTTACCTGACTTGAAACTATACTACAAGGCTACAGTAACCAAAACAGCATGGTACTGGTACAAAACAGACACACAGACCAATGGTACAGAATAGAAAATCCAGAAATAATGCTGCACACTTATAGGTGTGTGCAGCTGTAAGCTATATCTTTGAAAAAGCTCATAAAAATAAGCAATCGGGAAAGGACTCCCTAGTCAATAAATGGTGCTGGGCTAACTGGTTATGCAGAGGATTGAAACTAGATCCCTTCCTTACACCACATACAAAAATCAGCTCAAGATAGATTAAAGACTTAAATGTAAAGCCTAAAACTATAAAAACCCTGGAAGACAACCTGGGAAATACCATTTTAGACTCAGGCCCCAGCAAATATTTCATGAAAAAGATACCAAAAGCAATTACAACAGAACAAAAATTGACAAATGGGACCGAATTAAACTAAAGAGCTTCTGCACTGAACAAGAAAATATCAACAGAGTTAGCAGACAACCTACAAAATGGGAGAAAATATTGGCAAACTATGCATCCAACAAAGGTCTAACATCCAGAATCTGTAAGGAACTTTAAGAAGCAAAAAAAAAAAAAAAAAAAAAAAAAAAAAGAAAAAAAGAAAAGAATTAAAAATGGACCAAGGATATAAACAGACACTTTTAAAAAGAAGACATACATTCAACTAATAAGCATATGAAAAAATGGTCAACATCACTAATCATTAGAGAAATGCAAATCAACACCACAATGAGATACCATCTCAAACCTGTCAGAATGGCTATTATTACAAAGTCAAAAACGACAGATGCTGGTGAGGTTGCAGAGAAAAGAGAATCCTTATATACTGATGTAAATTAGTTCAGCAGCTCTGAAAGTAGTGTGGCAATTTCTCAAAGAACTCAAAATAGAATTACCATTCAACCAAGCAATCCCATTATTGGGTATATATCCAGAAGAATGTAAATCATTCTATCATAAAGACACATGCATGCGTATATTAATTGCAGTGCTATTCACAATAGCAAAGATATTGAATCAACTTAAATATCCACCAAAAGTAGACTGGATAAAGAAAATATGGTATATATACACCATTGAATACTATGCAGCCATCAAATGGAATGAGATCTTGTCCTTTGCAGCAACATAGATGGAGTTGGAGGCCATTATCCTGAGTGAACCAACACAGGAACAGAAAACCAATCGCCACATGTTTTCACTTTTAGGTGGAAACTAAACATTGAGTACACATGAACACAAAGAAGGGAAGAGCAGACACTGGGACTTACTTAAGGGTGGACTACAGGAGGAGGGGGAGGATAGGAAAACTACCTATAAGGTAGTATGCTTACTACCTGATTGAGGAAATAATCTATACACAAACCCCTGTGACACGCAATTAATTTACCTATATAACAAACCAACACGTGTACCCCTGAACCTAAAAAAAAATTATTTTTTTTCTGCTCAATACTATTTCAAGAAAATCTGGGGAACTCTAAGAAGATAGATGTGGTTATCAAATTTTAGAGATGAAGAATGTGACAATTCAAAAGAACACATTTCAGCTCAGCCCCTGTCTCAAGGCTCAAATAACTAACTGTTCCTTGGGCTGAAATTAGCTCTGGTGGTTTTTGGCTATAATAACCACAATTCTTTTGGAGACTCTGTAGGGTGGGAGCCTTGATTGAGAAGGTAATTCTTATTTTGATTAGTGTGTAGAATGCCCTACAGAATATTGGAGTATAATAACAAACTTTCATATGTTCAAGGTAATTGCTATTGTTGGTTAAGTATGATATAAACCTTAAAGAATGTTATTTTTTATTTAATGGAAACTGAGGCATAGAACTTGTTCAGGCTGTGAATGGTAGAGTAAAAATTTAACAACAGCTGAGATTTGCACTCTTGATCCCAGAAAAAACTACGGGAGCTATTTTATCTCTACTAATCCTTTACCTTTTATTCATATTCTTTTTCTAAGGTATCAGGATATTTTTTTTAAAAAGATTCTTAGTCCTTTAATACATGCTGAGATTGTCCTGTGAATGCCTCTGAGAATTATGGCCTCAGCACAGCCTGACACAGGTCAGGTAGGCAAATGATAGGCTGTTGAAAATGAAATAAATCACAGCGTTTATCTTAGTGCACAGTTTCAGAGAGAGACTGAGCATCCACATGATTTTGTGTGATTGTACCAAAGTAGTTACTAAATTTTGTCACTGGCGGAAATGACAGTAGCGTAATAAGGGATTTTCTACTGATTACCCTCTTCTACAAGTAGAAGCAGGAGCCAAGGACATTTTATTTTTTTCCCTTGAGAAGAGGAGTGAATATCAGAGAGCAGTAGGAAGACTGTCAGCAAAGAGAACTCTAAAACAAGAGTTTCATGTTGCATATTGTAAAGGAAGAAGTCATAAAATGCTAAATGAAATATCAGATGAAATAATATCCTGGTTGCATATCAGGTAGAACAAGGGAAAACCACAAGGTAGTGGGGAAGACATACAGATATGAGCTTAAACATTTGAGTGAGGAGGCATATTCGAAGAGGCAATTCCCTGCAGAGCAATTTTGTTTGATAAGGTTGATAATTTATTATGCTGGGAAAAATATGAGGGTAAACATTTATAACTTGGTCCAATCAAGTGACTTTGATATGTGTAATGGAGTGTGATTTATAGGATATATTCATTCAGGCATTTCAACTTGATATATGATTATCGAGGATAACTTGGTAATCTAATTCCAGAGCAAATGTACCTGACATTATAAAAAGCTCAAAAATATTCATTTTATGGTGTATATGATGATGTTTGAGGATCATTCTATCAGAGCTTTCACTTTGTGACATGAGAATAAGAAAGGAGCACAAAAAATAGATTATTACCTCTGCTTTGGGCTAAATTTTGTCCCATTAAAGTTCATATGTTGAAGCCCTAACATGCTGAAGCCCTAACATGCAATACCTCAGAATATGACTATGTTTGGAAGTAGGGCCTTTAAAGAGGTAATTAAATTAAAATGGGATTCTCAGTGCGGACCAATCCAATATGACTAATATCTTGTTGAGAAAAGATTAAGATACAGACAACGCAGACAGAGGGATGACCGTGTGAGCACACAGCAAGAAGGCAGCCATCTGTACACCAAGGAGGACTCCTTGATCTTTGACTTCTGGCCTCCGAATTGTGAGAAAATAATTTTTTTTTTTTTGAGATGGAGTCTCGCTCTGTTGCCCAGGATGGACTGCAGTGGCACAATCTTGGCTCACTGCAACCTCTTCCTCCTGGGTTCAAGCAATTCTTCTGCCTCAGCCTCCCGAGTAGCTGGGAGTACAGGTGTGTACCACCATGCCCGGCTAATTTTTGTATTTTTAGTAGAGATGGGGTTTCACCATGTTGACCAGGCGGATCTTGAACTCCTGACCTCAGGTGATTGGCCTGCCTCTGCCTCCCAAAGTGCTGGGATTACAGGAGTGAGCCCTGCCCTGGGCCCAAATGAAAATTTCTTGATATGTGCTGTCAGAGCATTTAGAAGTATAGAGAGGTGGGATTTAATCATATATACAGAATAGGTTGTATGACTGTCTTTGTATCCATTTATTGTTAACTAGGAGGCAATAATTCATGTGGAGACTTGGATTCATCATAATACATGCCACCTATAGCAAGGCTGATTCTCAGTGATACCTAACTAGAGTTATCTAAAACATTGAATACTTGTGGAGAACAAAGTTAATTTATTTTTGTTCAAAACACTCAGTTATTTCCTATGTAAGATGGAAACAATAACAGTACTAAACAGTCTTTGTAAAGATTAAATACAATATTATATGTAATGTACTTAAAACATTGCCTGGAATTTGTTAAGTGTAATCATGAATTATTTGGGTATCTATATATCTCTTAGGGCTCTTCCAGGCTGAAAATTTTATCTCTGTCAGGAAAATGATCAGGTTGAGAGCTTTAAGCTAAAAAAATAAAGCTCTACCTAAGAAATAGAATTTTAGCCGATGCAAAGATGTTGGGCAGTGTTGTAGGTTTTAATTGCGTCCTGCAAAAAGATATGTTGAAATCCTGACTACTGTACCTGTAAATTTGACATTACCTGGAAATAGAGTCTTCATAAATGTAAGCAAGGTAAAATGAGCTCATATTGGACTAGGTTGGGTCCTAATTTGATGACTGTTGCTTTTATAAGAGAGAAATTTAGACATAGAGACACAGGAAAGAAGACCACATAAAGACAGAGGCAAAGATTGAAATGATGCTGCCACAAACCAAGGAATTCCAAAGATTACCAGCAGCCACAATAAGCTAAAAGAGACAAGGAAGTCTTCTTTTTTAGAGTCTTCAGAGGGAGCATGGCCCTGACAACACTGTGATTTGAGACTTCTAGCCACCAGAACTGTGAAAGAATACATTTCTGTTGTTTTAATGCACCTGGTTGATAGCTCTTTGACATGGCAGCAAGCCCTAGAAAAATGATAAAATTAATTATTGTAGAAATGAAAAAGATATTTAACTAAGGAAAACTGTTGGCTTGGTCTTGCTTTATATGTAAGAGGGATGAGGCATCCCAATCAACTTATTCTTGAGCATTACAAGATGTTGGTTAATCAGTGTTCTAACCACATTCCCTTTTATACTGTCGTACTATGAAACAGTATTCATTAACTTCAAATTTTCAATTAACATAAATAAGTAAATATAATCTCTATTCAATTAACATCAATCAATAAATAAAATATCTGGTCTTAGAACCCTTTGATCCTTAATTGAAATAGTTCAGTAATATACAAAATGTTTATCCAACTGACATAATTATTGAATATACTTCATCACTAGGTCATTTCCTCTCTTTGCCTAATCATGTTCAGATAACAAAAATGGAGAATTATGTTTTACTTAAATTTCAAACACTTCTTACAAGTTTTCCCACCCTCAGGAATCAGACTGTTGAAATCTTAAAAAAGAAAACAAGTCTGACTTGATCACAGTATTTCCTAATTTGTGACAAAAAGATAATAAGAAACTGAATTTTGGAAATATTTTCAGTGATTTTTTTAATAAAGAATTTTGATTGCACCACTTCTATTGAAGTGATTTATCTTTATTTTGAATTATTTTCACAGTCTTAAACAACATTGTAAAACTCAAAGATGCATATAATTATGATTAATGATTTTAGAAAATTGCATTTAAGTAAATATTTTATTCCTCTTTTCTTATTTCTCCCTAAGAATACTGACTGAAAAATGAGCAGTTTATATATCCTGAGAGTAAAGTTTCCAAAGTTAAACAGGATAAATGCAAATCTAATTACTTTAAGAAGTGAAATAATACCATTAATCAAAAAAGTCTGTTGATTAATTGTTTAAAATATCCCAGTGAGTCATTATTGTTTATGGATACCAAAAGACTGAACATACAAAGGAAAACAGCCAAACTATATATAAAATTAGAATTCTAACCAAAAATCTGCAGCAACAAGCCCAGCAAACCAACTTATTCTCTACAATAACCAGCCCAGGGAGTCACTCTGCTATCTACAATTCAGACTTTTAGGAAGTTAGACCACTATCTCTAGTAACCATCTAGGAAGAGAAACAATAGTTCCTGTAAAATCAGTCCTAAAATGGCCTGGACATGATTAATAACTGACAGCTTCCTTAATCTTTGTCCCCACTTCCAACTTAAGACCAACAGGGAAAGCCAAATATACACCCATAACCACTCATAAAGGATGCCTTGCTTCTAATTAGCCGAGCTACAGCTTCCCCATTCCAAGAGCCTCCAATCAGAGAATACTTGAAGGCATCCCTTTCCTTTATTTATTTATTTATTTATTTATTTATTTATTTATTTATTTATTTATTTATTTTCTCTATAAAGCTTTTCCACTCTCCTGTTTGTCTTTGAGTCTCTGCCAAAACACAAATGATGGTGGCTGCCTCCTTTGCTAGAGCAAGCTCTGAATAAACAGGCTTTGCTTGTCCTCATATAAATCTTTCGGGTAAAAGAGCCAAATGAAGTATCAACTCAAAACTAGTGTCTGTTTCTAGGATTGACTTTCAATAGCTGACTCTATACAACCTTAAGTACTCAACATATGTAACTCTTAAATAACTTATTTACAATGGAATACAGGGAAATAGAATGCTAAACTTATATAATTCTAAACTTATTCATTTGTCTGTGGAGATAATGTAGATAGCATAAGATATATTCCACGATGAGCAATAATTGAGATGTGTGAACATGTTCACTTTGGCACAGATTGAAGACATCTATAATTCTTTTCTAAAGACAAAAAAATTGCTGCAGTATTTTATTCTACAACAAACAAGGTATGGAAGTAACTGGTGAATGATTACAAGTATGTCACGTACGCATTCAACTTACTGATACTAAGTTCACCTGCAAAGTCAAATAGGCAAACATGAATTTGTATTTCTCACTTAGATTCGTTCAGACAGTGAATCACATGTTTATCAGACAAAATTGTTTTAATTAACAGTTTTCTTACATATACTTGATATCAGGCTCAGTTTAAGTTCAAGCCTAAAGTTTTAACTTCAGTTGTGTTCTTCTTATTGTTATTAAAGGAATTTATATTTATTTTTTCCATTTAATTTAAATTTTGTTTTTAAACTTTTTACCCAATAGAGGTGATATTTCATAACAAAGCTACTATTGAGTAATAATGTAATACAGTAATTTGAAAAACTGGGAAATGCCTCAGGTAAATGAATGAAAATTATATTTGTGGGTTATTCATTTAATATTAATATTATATTCGAATCTTATTTGATACTATAGGAAAAAAACACTATTTTCGGGATCTAGATCTAACAGCAACCTTTGTCTTAACTTAGACTTTGGATAAGTGAATAGTATTTTCTAGACATGTTTCATAAATATAAAATGAATTGGACTAGATGATATCTAAGAGTTATCTAAGATATCTCTGTACTCTTACAATAGAATTTTTTAAAAGCTTTGAAAATTTTCCTCAATTATACTCCACTCTGGATTTGTGTGTCACTACAAATGGAAAGGACTGAATATCGAGCAAGTGAATTTTATGACAGTCACCACTGAATTACTCATAATCTGATTATCTAGCTTATAAACTTTATATATCATGACCTTTTCTCTATCTGCCTGCCATTTCATAATGCTTTCTTTTCCAAGGCTGTCTTGGCCAGTTGAAATTTCTCAGTTTACAGCTGCACTGTCCAATATGAGAGCCACCAGTCACAAGTTGCTGTTCATCCCTTGAAATGAAGCTAGTATCACTGGAAACTGAAATTTAAATTTCAGTCAGTTTAAATGTAAGTTTACAAACTGACATCAGCTTAGTTGTTGGGAATCTGGAACAACTTAGGTATATAAATCTACTTTTGTAACTTTAAATGTTATGATATCTAAATATGAAGCATATTTTTTATAAAAAATTGGCGTAGGAATTGAGATGGCTGTAGATAAGAAACACAACAGAGTTTAAAAACTTAGTACAAAAATATAAAACATCTCATTAATTTTATGTTGATTACATGTACAAATAATAATATTTTTGTATATACTGAGTTAATTATGATTAACATTGAGTTTCCTTGCTTCTTTTCACTATTTTTAACAAGCATTAAAACTACCGACTACTAAACATATATAGTAATAAATATTTAAATTAGTAACTACTAAAATATTTAAATGTTTTTAGTTGGCTTGAGTTATATTTCAATGGGACAGTGCTAGTCTAACTTATTCAAGGCTCTTCACCAGCTCTCCATATACTGCAGAGTGAAATACCATTAGTGTTCTATGGGTAATTGATTTACTTTTCTAGACTCAGCCTGCTGTCACTTTGCACATCCTCAAACATTCCCATAAACCTTTCCCAGTCTTAGTATGTTCCTCAATCTGTGTCCTGTATAAACTGAATCTGCATCAGAAGACTACCCTATCAACATTTCAGTGAGCATAGCACATCATCCCTGGTAAAGACTAAGAATTCCTATACTTCCATTCATTGCTATGTGTCTTTTACTGAACAGCTAAGCAGGAATGCTGTCTAACCCTTCCCTGTAGAAACACCGATGTAATCAATCTCCTTTATCAGTGTCCCAGGGTGATATTGAATCCTCCCTTATCCCCGCCACCTCCCACAAAACAGAGAGGAGAACCTGGATCCCCAGAAGAGCAATAATGGCACAAAAAAAGAGGAGGTAGTGTGGAAATAGAAACCTTCAGCACCTTTACTCTGTTGAGGCAGAAAAACATCTAGTTCATAATTCTAATCTTTCTTAATTTGAATACAGTCCAAAAATAACTGAATTTTGAATAAAAATTTTTTTAACTCTTAAGTTTACTTTATAAATGAAATGTTTTCTAATATTAAACATAAACAAGTCATCAGAAAGGGGGTTAGAATCTTATTCATAATAGATATACCTTGGCAATTCCTTTGTCTTTAAAGTTCTAACTTAAGCTCTCATTAATCTGCTCCTTATTAAAATATGGAGATGAAATTATTCAAAGTTTATTTTAGTGTGTATTAAGCACTAAGACACATATCTCTCCATTTTTTACAGTACATATTCTCTCTTCAGTTCAAAGAGGTAATGTGAAAAAACAAATAAACTGACTTTTGAAATTTTATTTTATTATTTATATATTGTCATAAGGTGTATCCTCATCATCTCTCAGCAGGTCTGAGAAAGGAACAGATGTTTCCTATCATGTGTTTCCTTTTAGTCTTCAGTTCGTTTTTGACAGGTTGAAATTGGAATATTTATCACTGTTGGTGTTGTGTTTAGTAATTGCTATTTGTCAAATTCACCGAAAAACATCTTTTAAAGAGATCTAATATCATTTAGACTAGGGCTATGTAACTCCACTATCTTGACTGTTTTTAGTTAAAAACTCAATCAAATAGGTATATTGAATAAACTTTTGCTTTCTACCATATGTTCATGTTCAAATTAGCTGCTCAGACTTGAATTTTCAACATTTAAAATGCCTTATAACAAAGGATTTGAGGCAGTTTTCACATGTATAAAAACAATAAGAAAGTATAAATGAAAGACATTTTTGAAGAAATAAAAATCATTTAATCTGGAAAGCATGTACTATTATTTTAACACTTGTGATTATAGCAATGATCATAGTTGTAAACCATATTTTAATGTATTTTTAATTTAATATGAACTCGTAACCCTTATCCCATAATTATCTCAATGCAATCTGATCAGTTAGATAGAGTGAACATTACTAGCCATATTTTATCAATGAGAAAAGAGAGGCAAAGAAAGATGAAGAGGTCTAGCCAGATTCACATGAAGAAGAGCTTCTTAAATTTTGTACTAAATGATATTTTAGCTTATTAAAATAAGCGATGTTCTGTGATTTGGAATATATCATGCCATTCATATATGCACTACAAGCCCCAAGTTCTGAACATAGGTGTGCGACTCTCCTCCATAAGTGCTGAAGAAACACGCGCTGTCACTCCTCCTAATAAACTCTTATAGCACCTGGTTCTGTAGACACTGTGCAATGAGGTACAGACATTTTTGTATGAGTTGTTTCTAAAATTGTCATTATCAGAATGACTTACCTTTATTTTTGGCAGAAAATGGGGTGGGGGACTGATCGTGGCGGTTGGACTGCATCTTTAACTGCCAGCTAATTTTAATGTAATTAATTATCCATTTATGATGCTTATTCTCAAACATGAGGTCCTATTTTTCACAAGTCTGTCTAAAAGGGTAGATCTTAAAATGTGCAGAATTTCCCCTCAGCTTTTTTACTATAAGAATATCTTGAGGTACAGAGACATAGCAAGGTCAAGTAGGTCTTGTCTTTGCATATATTTCTAGGAAAAAAAATGGTAGGTTATTCTGGAGTTTAGAATCTCTATAACATGAGTTGATGAAAATCTAGCATTTAATCCATTGTGATAATGCTCTTAACTCTGTATAACATCCACAATCCTCCCTTCCTGCCTTTACTCTCATGCTCCACGAAGGCAGGTATCTTGTCTATCTTGGTTACTGTTTTATCCCTAGGATCTGTAACAATGCTTGACACATGGTAAGTGATGAATAATACTTATTGAATAAAAAACTGAATGAATATTACCTGAATTTGAGAAAATATATTCTGTAACTAAATAATTTATCTGGCTTTTAGGAAGTATTATGAACCCAAGCTATAGACTTGTCCAGATTGTGGAGTATAGTCAATCATGTAGCCTCATTAATATTTTAGGCATTTTAGTATCTTATTAAAAGAGAAATTATGAAAACCATGCATTTTCAACCTGTCCCTGGACCTTTAGCAGAGAGATAATGACAAAACGAGACAGGAAAGGAATCTAAGATAATACAACTGGGAGTGGGGGAAAAAGAATATTGGTTTGGGGTGGCAGAGGAGGAAGCAGGGTGTGTATTGGGAATAGAGTGGAATGAATGTGTTTGAAGGAAAGAGTGATCAACTGGGATGACTGCTGATGAGAGGAAAGTTTTCATTGCCTTTGACAAATGGAGATTATATCAGAGGTTGGATGGGAATATCAAAGAGTAAACGAGAAATAAAGAAATAAATTAGCTACATGTAGACACCCCTACCTTTTTCCCCAAAAAAGCTTGGAAATTCAAGGGAGCAGAGAAATAGTACAACAACTGGAGAGAGATGTGAGATCAAGAGAAGACTTTTTTTTTTTTTCTAAAGGTATTAGAGATTGGGTGAATGTTGACAGGAATAGATTAAAAAGGGATAGATTACAGACTCAAGAGAAAAAGGGTATAACAATTGGAATAAAGTTCTTTAAAAATTGAGAGGCAATGGGACACAGGACACAAATCAGTATTAGCCTTTGCTACTGTCAGTGACAATTAGATTAAAAACTTCAAGAAGACTGATTCAGATACAGGTAAGTTTATAGATTTGTTGATGAAAAATGAAGGAACTCCTATTTGATGATTTATATTTTACAATTAAAGGTGGTTTCATATTTACAAGAAAAGATTAATGGCTGAAAGAAGAATGGTATAAAATTTAAAGGGAAAGGAAATGTATGTGACAATTGTGAAAAGATATGTTCCTATGTTCAACTTTTTAAGTTTTATTACCCCATTTGGAACTGACCATTGGTATGGACTTGCATTAGAGACTTGGCAGGAGATCATATGGTTCCTTCTTTTAGGAAATATGAGATTAGAAAAAAATATTTTCTTGTGAAATGCACTTTTAGAGACAGAAGTCTTATTTAATTGAAAATTTCTCAAGTCATTTATTCAGGGAATAATAGATCTTGGAGAAAAGGGTTTAGTTCTTTATTTTAATAACCAGCTTCCAATTTCTTTCGTATTTTAACACTGGTCCTTGCTGTCTTAAAGTCCATCACTATATGTGGTTAGACTGAGGAAATCATGCCTGAGAACAGTAAAATGATCTAAGGGGGTTTCCAACTGATTTATGACCTATTGTTAGCTATTTTTTGGTAAAGGATTATTTGTAACTTCATCTCAGGTACTTTGAAGATAATGTTTCCTGGTTTGTCATAAATCATGATATTGTAGATAAGTCTAAAACCATTTTGTATTCGAGACATAGAGAAACTAATTACCCTTCCTCAAATGTTCATCTCTAAATATGATTGCTTTCTCCTTAACTTTAATGTTCTTCATGATCTCTGTCTGTTCATGGTTGACCTATAATAGTTCAATGCAAATGCCACCTATATATAGTACCATATCATCTTTAAATCCACTAGTGCACATTAGCTTTTCTAAATTATTAAAGCGTTTGATCATACCTTGTTTATTGCTATTACCTTCCTACTGACCTTTTAGAATACTTTTAACAGAGATATCTTGAAAACCCTAGTAGATTATGAGTTTGTTGAAGATAAGAATATCACTTATCTGTCTGTTGTCTTTGTATTTGTCATAGCATAAGCAAAGGTTGTGACTTTTATGTTAGTGACTTGTATCATAAACGCATTTTTGTTTTAATGAGTGAATGAGCTTCCTGGATATTCAGATTTCAGGGATTTACCTGATTGAATTTACCTTTTAGAAAGATTACCCTTGTGCATTTTAAAACATCAATACAGGAAATATCAGAACCACTTATTCTATTTATGGTTTACTGTTTCTGAAAATGAAGACATGTACTGATGTCTGAATGGCATTTATATATGACAATAAAAATTGATGTCTTTCCCTGAAGGGGTGAATAAGTTAAATGAACAACTGTTTCTAAGGAATATCAAATTCACACCTCCTATTAAGTGTCTGGATAAATAAGGAAAATAGAATCTACGACAGCTGATATCGGGCAGTTCGTCTGTATGAAGTGACTATTAAAATGTGTATTCAATATTTTAAGGCCAGAAGAAACAATATTCTAAGAATAAATACGAATTAAAGCTACCAAATCACTACCCATTTCCTTAAATACTCATTAATGTTTTCAGGCACAGAGTAGAAGTGGTGATATCCCCCTGCATTGTATAGAGAGAAGCAAACATTCATGATTTAGATATCCACTACACAAATTCAAAAATGTGATTTTTAAGGGCTATAACAAAAATAGGAAACATATTTTATTAACAATAAAAAATTAAATTCCTGTTTTCAACTGTATCACTTGTTATTAGTTTTTTCTTCTTCTTCTCATTGTTAATTACTCTATTACTCTTTAGTTTTGAGGTTTTTTTTTTGTTTTTTTTTTTTTTTTTTGAGATAAGAGTCTTCCTCCCTCACCCAGGCTGGAGTGCAGTGGTGCAGTCTTGGCTCACTGCATCCTCTGCCTCCCGGGTTCAAGCAATTCTCCTGTCTCAGCCTCCCGAGTTCAAGCAATTCTCCTGTCTCAGCCTCCCGAGTAGCTGGGACTACAGGCGTCTGCTACCACACCCATCTAATTTTTGTATTTTCAGTAGAGACGGGGTTTCACCTTGTTGCTCAGGCTGGTCTTGAATTCCTGACCTCAGGGGATCCACTCACCTCGGCCTCCCAAAGGAGAATTTTTTTTTAAGATTTCTGCAATTAAACTATTTATACTTTCAATGTAAACTCTATACGGGGAGGGATTTATTTCTGTCTTGCTTATTGCCATGTTTCCCATATCTAGATGCTGGTGGATGCTCAATGAATATTTGTTCTACGAATACATGAAAAACATAATAGGTAGGGCAATGCCAACGAAAAAAGGTGCCTTCCGTCAGTAATTATTATTATAAATTGTTTAATTATCTGCCTTGCAATATTGTTTTATTTTTAATGAGAATAAAACTTAGACTTTATGACATTATAAGTGGTAGAAGTAGATAAATGACATAAGATCAACTAGACATATAAAATTAGGCAAATCATTTAAAAGGTGACAGCTACCATGCTAAACTCAAAATGTTGACAAAAGGATCAAATGATATCATGGACTCATTTAGGAAATACCCAACAGTATACAACCCAGGCACTGCAAGTTGTGGAAGAGAAAATGCTCTGTGAATTCTAATATTTATTTGTGTATCAGTGGTTGTAGAATTATGAGTAATATTTATAAGCTTTAAAATATATCAAAGTACTTTGTATCCATATTTCAATGGATTTTCACAAGAAATCTATGAAATGGGTTTTATCCTGTTTTATAGATGAAAAACTGAGACAGATTAAGTGACCTGTCTAAAGTCACAAAGCTAATAAAGGAAAGTAAAAATACATTGTGAGATTTTACATACCAGGCACTGACCTAGATGTTTTATAAATAAAAAAGTATGCCCAAGAACAAAAATTCCCCCTTCCCTCATTTTCATTTTCAGCTTTCATCCCCAACCCCATTCCCAGACACTGATTAATTTGCTTTTTGTGAATATATATTAGTTTGCATTTGGTGGAATTCTATATTAATGGAATTATGTAACACGTACTCTTTTCTTCTTTCAGCTTCTTTCACTCAGCATAATTACTTTGAGATTGATCCATGTTGCAGCATATGTCAACAATTCCTTGCTTTTTATTGTAACATACCACTGAATGGATATACCACAGTTTATTCTTTCAAGTTTTTTTGGAATAGCTGGATTATATGATAGTTGTATGGTTAATTCTTTATAAAAACTGCTTAACTGGGCCATGCATGGTGGCTTACACCTGTAATCCCAGTATTTTGGGAGGCCAAAATGGGTGGATCACATTGAGGTTGGGAGTTTGAGACCAGCCTGACCAATGCGGAGAAACCCCGTTTCTACTAAATATACAAAATTAGCTGGCGTGGTGGTGCATGCCTGCAATCCCAGCTACTTGGGAGGCTGAGGCAGGAGAATCACTTGAACCTGGGAGGCGAAGGTTGTGGTGAGCCGAGGTTGTGCCACTGCACTCCAGACTGGGCAACAAGAGTAAAACTCCATCTAAAAACAAACAAACAAATAAACAAACAAACAAACAAAAACTGCTCAACTGTTTCCAAGTGGTTGTAACTTTAGGAAACTAGAATCTGATGATAGGAATATACAATCATCAGATTTCTGGTTTTCTATATCCTTGTTGACACATGGTATGCTCAGTCTTTAAATTTTAGTCACTCTAATAGTGTGCTTTTGAAAAGAATGTGTCTTCTGCTCTTGGTGACATTTCTATAAATGTCAATTAGATCAAGTTGGTTGATAGTGTTTGATGTGGTTTGGCTGTGTCCCCACTCAAATCTCATCTTTAATTGTAACTCCCACAATTCTCACGTGTTGCGGGAAGAACCCCATACGAGGTGATGGAATTATGGGGGCGGGTCTTTCCTGCTCTGTTCTCATGATAGTGAATGAGTCTCACAAGATCTGATGGTTTTAAAAACAGGAGTTTCCATGCACAAACTCTCCCTTTGCCTGCCATCATATATGTAAGACGTGACTTGCTCCTCCTTGCCCTTGCCTTTCACCATCTGTCATGATTGTGAGGCCTCCCAGCCATGTGGAACTGTAAGTCCAATAAACCTTTTTCTTTTGTAAATTGCCCAGTCTCATGTATGTCTTTATCAGGAACATGAAAATAGACTAGTACAGTAAATTGGTACCAGTAGAGTGGGGTGTTGCTGAAAAGATACCCAAAAATGCAGAAGTGGCTTTGGGAACTGGGTAACAGACAGAGGTTGGAACAGTTTAGAGGGCTCAGAAGAGAGGAAAATGTGGGAAAGTTTGGAACTTCCTAGAGACTTGTTGAATGGCTTTGACAAAAATGCTGATAGTGATATGTACAATAAGGTCTAGGCTAAGGTGGTCTCAGATAAAGATGAGGAACTTGTTGGGAACTGAAGCAAAGATGACTCTTGTTATGTTTTAGCAAAGAGACTAGTGGTATTTTGCCCCTGCCCTAGAGATTTGTGGAACTTTTAACTTGACAGAGATAATTTAGAGTATCTGGCAGAAGACATTTCTAAACAGCAAAGCATTCAAGAGGTGACTTGAGTAGTGTTAAAGGCATTGAGCTTTATAAAGAAAACAGAGTATACAAGTTTGAAAAATTTGCAGCCTTACAATGTGGTAGAAAAGAAAATCCCATTTTCTGAGGAGAAATTCAAGCCAGCTGCAGAAATTTACCTAAGTAAGAAGAAGTTGAATGTAGATCACCAAGACAATGGGGAAAATGTCTCCAGGGCATGTCAGAGGTCTTCACAACAGCCTCACCCATCACAGGCTTGGAGGCCTAGGAGGAAAAAAATGGTTTCATGGGCCAAGCCCAGCATCCCTGTGCTGTGTGCAGTCTAGGGACTTGGTGCTGTCAGTCCCAGCCTCTCCAGGCATGACTAAATGGGGACAAGGTACAGCTCAGGTCATGGCTTCAAAGGGTGCATGCCCCAAGCCTTGGCAGATCCACATGGTGTTGAGCCTGCGGGTGCACAGAAGTCAAGAATTGAGGTTTGGGAATCTCTGCCTAAAATTCAGAGGATGTATGGAAATGCCTGGATGTCCACGTAGAAGTTTGCTGAAGGGGCAGGACCCTCATGGAGAACCTCTGCTAGGGCAATGCAGAAGGGAAATGTACCCCTACTGGGGTACCACCTAGTGGAGCTGTGAGAAGAGGGTCACCATCCTCCAAACCCCAGAATGGTAGAACCATCAACAGCTTGTACTGTGTGCCTGGAACAGCTGCAGACACCCAACACCAGCCCATGAAAGCAGCCAGGAATGGAGCTGTACCCTGCAAAGCCACAGGGCAGAGCTGCCCAAGGCTGTGGGAGCCCACTGCTTGCATTAGCGTTACCTGGATGTGAGACATGGAGACAAAGGAGATCATTTTGGAGTTTTCAGATGTGACTGCTCTACTGGATTTCAGACTTGCATGGGGCCTGTAGTCTCTTTGTTTTGGCAAATTTGTCCCATTTGGAATGGCTGTATTTACCCAATGCCTGTACCCTTATTGTATCTAGGAAGTAACTAACTTGCTTTCGATTTTACAGGCTTATGGGTGGAAGGGACTTGCCTTGTCTCAGATAGGATGTTGGATGGTGGACTTTTGAATAAATGCTGAAATGAGTTAAGACTTTGGGGGACTGTTGGGAAGGCATTATTGGTTTTGAAATGTGAGGACATGAGATATGTGAGGGGCCAGGGGCAGAATGATATGGTTTGACTCTGTCCCCATCCAAATCTCATTTTGAATTGTAACTTCCACAAATCCCATGTGTCCTGGGAGGAACTCAGTGGGAAGTGATTGAATTATGGCAACGGGTCTTTTCTTCGCTGTTCTCATGATAGTGAATAAGTCTCACAAGATGTGATGGTTTTAAAAATGACAGTTTCCATGCACAAACTCTCTTTGCCTGCCACCATCCATGTAAGACGTGACTTGCTCCTCCTTGCCTTTCACCTTTCACCATGATTGTGAAGCCTCCTCAGCCACGTGGAACTGTCAGTCCAATAAACCCCTTTCCTTTGTAAATTGCCCAGTCTTGGGTATGTCTATCAGCAGTGTGAAAACGGACTAATACAGTGTTATTCAGTCTTTTTATCTTTATTTTTATTAATATTCTATTTACTTGTTTAATCAATTATACAGGGGAAGGTATTGAAATCTGTGAATATAATTTCTCCCTGAAATTCTAACAATTGTTGGTATATATGTTTTGAAGCTCTTTAACTGAATGAATAAATATTTAGGATAATGAGTTTTTCTTGATAGATTGGCTCATTCATCATTATGAAATATCTCATTTTATGCAGTACTATTCTTGGCTTTGGAATCTAATTTGTTTGATGTTAACATAGGCAATTCAACTTCTTATGTTTCCTGCTTGCATCCTGTATCATTCTCCATCATTTTACTTTTAACATCTTTGTATCTACATTTAAAGCTGGATTTTTGGAGGCAAAATATACTTGAGTCTTGATTTTTTTAGTCCAATCTGTTAATCACTGCCTTTTGATTAGAGTGCTTAAACAATTTACAGTTAATGCAATTATCGATATAATTAGATTTAAATCTATCATCTTTTATATGTAGACATTGTTTCATCTGTCCTTTGTTTTCTTTTTCTCTTTTTAAATTTCTAATTTTAGTTAATAATTTCTTATAATTTCAAATTATCTTATTTATTGGCATATTACATTTAACATTTTGTTACATTATTTTAGTGATTGATTTAGGGCTTAAGGCCTATATCTTCAATTTAATCACAGTCTATATTCAAATGATACTATATCACTTCATATTTATTATAAAAGCCATACAGTAATGTTTTTCCATGACTTCTCTCTTGACCTTGTTTTCATACAATTTACTTCTACTAACATCTCCATTACATTATTATTTTATTTAAATAATCCATTACATCATAAAGAGATTTATATAGTAAGAAAAAGGCCTTATATGTATACTAGCATAATTACCATTTATAGTTGCTCATAGACCTTTGCAAGAATTCATATTTTCATCTGTTCTCATTGGCCTTCTTTCTGAACACTTCTGTTATCATTTCTTATTCAGGTCTGCTGGTGATAAATTCTTTCATCTTTTCTATGTCTTAAAATGTCCATATCCTAAGCAAAAAGAACAAAGTTGGAGGCATCACACTACCTGACTTCAAACTAAACTATAGGGATACAATAACCAAAAGAGCATGATGCTGGTATAAAAAGAGAAACATGGAACAATGGAATGAATAGAAAATACGGAAATAAGGCTGCACACCTACAACCATCTGATCTTTAATAAACCTGACTAAAGCAATGGGGAAAGGATTTCCTATTCAATAAATGGTGCCAGACTAACTGCTTAGCCATATGCAGAGGATTGAAACTGGACCCCTTCTTTACACCATGTATGAAGATCAACTCAAGATAGATTAAAGTCTTAAGTGTAAAACCTAAAACTCTAAAAACCCTGGAAGATAAAGTAGGCAATACCATTCTAGACACAGGAAAGGACAAAGATTTCATGAGGAAGACACTAAAAGTAATTACAACAAAAGCAAAAATTGACAAATGGAATCTAATCAAACTAAAGAGCTTCTGCACAACAAAAGAAACTATCAACAGAATAAACAGACAACCTATAGAATGAGAGAAAATTTTTGTAAACTATGCATCTGACAAAGGTCTACTATTCAGCATCTATAAGGAACTTAAATAAATTTTCAAGAAAAAACAAACAACCCACTCTATTAAAAAGTGGGCAAAAAACATGAACAGACACTTTCCAAAGGAGACATAAATGTGGCCAAGAAACATAGGAAAAAAGCTCAATATCACTGATCATTAGAGAAATACAAATCAAAACCACAATGAGATACCATCTTATGCCAGTCACTATGTCTATTATTAAAAAGTCAAAAAATAACAGATGCTGGTGAGGTTACAGAGAAAAAAGAACACTTACATACTGTTGGTGGGAGTGTAAATTACTTCAACCATTGTGGAAAGCAGTGTGGTGATTCCTCAAAGAGCTAAAAACAGTACTACCATTTGACCCAGCAATCCCATTACTGGGTATATACCCAAAAGGATATAAATTATTCTATCATAAAGACACATGCACACATATGTTCATTGCAGCACTATTCACAATAGCAAAGACATGGAATAAATCTAAATGCCCATCAGTGACCGACTGGATAAAGAAAATATGATACAAATACATCATGGAATACTATGCTGCCATAAAATGTAATGAGATCTTGGCCTTTGCAGGAACATGTATGGAGCTGGAGGTTATTATTCTTAGCAAACTAATGCAGGAACAGAAAACCAAATACTGCTATTCACCTGTAAGCAGGAGATAAATGATGAGAACACATGGACACATGGAAAGGGACAACAGACACTGGGGCTACTTGAGGGTGGAGGGAGAAGATCAGAAAAAAAAAACTATTGGGTACTAGGCTTAATACCTGGGAGACAAAATAATCTGTACAACAAACCCCCATGACACAGGTTTACTTATATAACAAACTTGCACATGTACCTTTGAACTTAAAATAAAAGTAAAAAAAAAATGATATTTTGCCTTCATACTTAGAAGATATTATTTCCTGGTAGAATTTTTGATTGATAATTTTTTTATTTTTGTTTTTAATTTCAGTACATTAAAGATGTTGCTTCAGTGCTGTTTTGCTTTCATTGTTTCCTTACCTTCGTAACTTTTTATGATTCCTATTTTTCTCTGGCTGTCTTTAAGATTTTCTCTTTATCACTGGCTTTGAGCAAATTAATTATGATGTGCCTTGGTGTAGTTTTCATCATATTTCTTGTGCTTAAATTTCATTGAGCTTCTTGGATATGTGTACTTATAGTGTCCATAAAGTTTGGAAAGATTTTGGCCATTATTTTTAAAACTTTTTTCTTGGCTCTACTTCTTCTGTTACGTGTATATTAGAACACTTTAAAGCCTCCCACAGCTCCCTGATGATATTTTTATCGTTTTAAGTATTTTTTCTCTGTGAATATTTAAGTATTTTAGATATTTGCTATTGATAGTGTCCAAGTTCACTATTTTTTTCTCTCCCAAAATCTCATTCACTGTTATTCCCATCCAGCACATCTCAGACATTATAGTTTTCCTCTCTAGAGGCTTGGTTTCTGTCTCTTATATTTTTTATGTTTCTATTAAACATTTTGATCTCTTCTGTAGCTTTTTAAACCTTGAAATATAGTTATAATAATGTTTTAATGTTTTTCTCTGCCAATTATAACATTTGTGTCCGTCTGTGCCCAATTTGATTGATTTATTTTTCTTCTTACTATGGGTTGAATTTTCCTGCTTCTTTGCATGTATGGTCATTTTTTATTGGATGCCAGACATTGTAAATTCTAACTTGTTGGAAGCTAAGCACATTTGTAGTCCCATAAAAATTCTTGAGCTTTGTTGTGGTATAAAGTCGAATTAGTTGGAAAGAGGTTATTTTTTCTTTTGCTTTTCAGATAAGATGAGACAGGATGAGAGTTTTGAACTAAATAGTCACATTATTCAGGAGAGAGATTTCTAAGTACTCTTTATAGTGCTCCATGATTTACGAGGTTTCGCAGTCTGGCTGATGAGAAAAGATGCGAATCATTCCCCAGCTTCTGCTAATTTTCTCACTGGCAAATGCTGATGAATATTTTGCTCCCTATTCAAGGGAGGCCTCTGCAGATCTTTAGGCTTTTCTCTGTGTGCAGCTCTCTTTTCCTTGCTACTCTGTTCTGTGATTCTAGCCACCTTGATCTTCTCAGACTCTTGCCCTGTCTCCTCATCCCAGGGAATCTGTAGGTATCTATTTGACTTCCCTATCCTTTCACTGGTCTGGAATCTTTTTGAAAACAGTAGGCGGGGACCATGGTAGGGCTTATTATATTTGTTTTTCATCTTTACAGGGATCACTATCCTTTCTCGTTTCATCTCCAGTATCTTGAAAACTGGCATTTTTTTGTTTTTGTATAGTTTGTCTGGATTTAGTTGTTCGAGGTTGGAGGGTAAATCTTGGAAAGACATCAAAGAGCTAAGAGACATACCCTCTAGATTCACTCTCCTTATTTGTCTTCCTTAGCATCATTTATTCAAGTTTTACCTCTTACCTCTCACTGTATAAGAGGTAAAAACTTCTCCACTTTTCTCTGTCTTTCAGTTTTGGAGTCCTTAAGGAATTAGTGCTAGTTTTTTGTTTTTTCTTACAGTCTAATAAGAGTCAATATATGTAGAATGCTTACTCTTAGTTATTACATTTAATCCTTGCAAGTATTCTGTGATCAATGTACAATCATTTGCCCCAAATTAACCCCAACTTCACTAGTTTTATATAACTAGTTGGTGGTAGAGTCAGGATTTGAGTCTAGATATTCTGATTGCAGTGGCCTTGTTTTTAACAACTATGCTCTGTTGCTTTGTTTTACGTTGTTCTTTCTTCCTAGGTGGTCTCATATACATGCATTATTTGAATTACCATTTATATATATGCTGATGACTCTTAGGATCTAGTCTTTCAATGCTATCTGTTTTAGAGCCTTTCAAGTTCTGGTTCTGACCAGTTCTGATACTAGTGGTTTACATTATTGAAGGATGTTTTTGGCTAGATGCAAATATTCAAAGCTTTCCACTTTGTCAAAGTCCTTGGATAACAGTTAGAAGTAAATTACGTGTGTATATACACATAGAGAGCTATAGATATAGATGAAGGTAGATCTATAAGATTTAGATATATTGATATATATGTATATCAATATATACATACATTGTATATATACATGTATATATGTATAACAATATATACAATATATATACATATATATGTATATATATACACACTGAACAGACATGGTGCCAGCTCTCATGTATTTCACAATTGAGATTATAAGTAAACAAATAATTAAAACAATAAATTAAGCATCAGCACACAGAGTATTGTAAAGAAATGACATTGTATTGGGCTATGAAAGAGGAAAATATATGTAGTGTGATAAATTAGGAAAAGCTTCCCTAAGGAAATAACAGTTGAGATAAGACATGTAAACACATGAACAGACATCAACTTTCAAAGAGCTACTTTTTGAATGATTGAAAAAAAAAGAATATTAACAGATATAGCAATATTTGTTTCAATCTGTAAAGCCATCTTCCTGGTAACTAAAAATCCTATTTTGGAGAGAGGATCATTATTACCATTACCCAAAGAGTCTCTTCTTATCAATTCTGATAAATAATGCAAAGTTGAAATTACTCCTGATTAGTATTTATCTTAATTAGGATTTTAAATTCAGTTTGAAAATCATGTGTTGTATATTCAATGTACTCAGACGCCCATTGTAAACACTACAGGGAATAGGTAGAATCAGGGCCCACTTACTATGGGTAATTGTATTATATATCATCCACAGACATATACTGAGTCAGTTTTAGATTGATTGGTAGATGAGAAAGATACGTAAATTTTTTTGCTAATGAGTAAAAGGTAATAATTTCCCTAGTATGTAATAAATTGTTGTATTTCTAAAGCAAAATATTTATCAGTTATAGCAGATACTTAATAAACCTTAATTATCTTGCTCCTGGATGCTCTGCCTTAATAATTTTGCAAAGATATTGGCAAAAGGAGGGAAAATATTTGTATGCTATATATATATATATATAAAACTTTAAAATAATATAATAGAAAATATGTCCATAGCAGCAAGAACCAGAGATTCATCAAAGAAACTAATCATTTAACTTAAAAATATGTTAAAAATTTGCAAATAATGAACTTATTTTATGTACTTATTTGTTTTAGTTAAGTATATATATCTATGCTAAATTTTGTAAATTTAAAATAAGGGCTGTACTTCCAGTGTGTTTGTGAAATAAAATGTAATGGTATGTGTGTATTAGTCTGCTAGGGCTGCAATAACAAAATGCTCTAGACTAGGTGGCTTAAACAAACATTTATTTTCTCACAGTTCTAAAGGCTAAAAGTCCAAGATCAAGGTGCCAACAAATTTGGTTTCTGGGAAGACCCCCTCTTCCTGGCCTTTATGTGGCAGCTTTCTTGCTGTGCCTTCACATTACCTTTCCTCTTTGTGTGTGCCGAAGAGAGAGATCTCTGGTGTTCCTTCTGCTTCTCCTAAGAATCTCTGTTCTATCAGATTAGGGGCCCACCTATATGACCTCCTTTAACCTTAATTACCTCCTTAAAGGCTCTAGATCTTAACAGAGGCACATCTGGGGTTAGGGCTTCAACACATGAATTTGGGGTGAACATAATTCAGTTCATAACAATATATATAACTTTATTATAAAGACTCAAGTGATGCCTACATATTAGCTATCTAAGGGTAAAAAATAAACCCTTGGAATTGTAAACACATTCAATGTACAATAAATTATATATATATACATGCGTATGTAAATAATATGACTGTACTTAGAGGAAAACATGGGATTACGTTATATTACATAAAGTATTGATTTATAAATATATATCTCAATTAAGACTATAAATTTCAAAATAAAAATAAAGAGAATGCATCTGTTATAATTTTTTTAAAGTCACACATTCAAAATATATTGAGTTATATATTTTGTAAAATTCTTACAAATCTTTTACCATTCATTTTATAGCAAGTGGAATTTTGTCATTAATTTTGCACTTGAGACAAGGGTAGAACTGATTTAATCAAGGCATAATTAGAGTACTTGACAACGTAATTGTATTCTATCACTAATGGGAAATGATCACGTATTTTAAAAATGTAATATGAAATCTTTTGATGACATGAATATTTCCTTTCTTTTATCTCCTGCTAATTTCTGTCTCCTCTCCACTGTCTCTTATTTTCCTTTATTATCACTCTGCTTTATTCATTGAGCTTCCTTTTCAACTTCCTTTTGATATATCCAGCAATTTTTATTATATTTGAATATAATTTTGAATTTATTTTCTTTTTTGGGAAGGGGTCTGCTTTTTCTTCTTGTAACAGGATTTCTAGCATGCATCATACAGGTTGATCTTCCTGGTATTTTAATTACTTTTCTGAAAATATTAAATTCAAGATCTCCTGAGACTGTTGTAGTCATTGGCAACATGTCTGCCTGTTATCTGCTTTCTCAGCCTTATCAGCTCTAAAACAGTTGTTTACCTGAATTTGATAGCTAATTTTTTTAAAGACCATTCTCAGGGAATATTTCCTAACCATGGTAACCATAACGCACAAACAGACACAGCCACTTTTGTAGAGAAGTGCTGTACTCAAAGATTGTTGGCTATATAAAAACCAATTTGTTTTGGGTGGATTTGGGGATAATGTCGCAACTCAGTCAGCTTGTAAAGGATTTATGGAAGATATGATGAACCTGTTATAATAAGCAGATTGTAAAGGAAAAATTTTATTCTATCCCAGAACATAACAGAAATTATTCTGAATGGCTATCATTCTCTTCAAGTCACAGGTTATTTTTTTGTTCTATGTGTTTGTTACTTTTCTATTCTTACTTACACAGGCAACTTTGGAATTTTATATGAAGCAGTACATTATTCCTCCTTCACTTTACCTCTGGACTCAAAGGTAATTAAAATTTCCTAGTTTCACCATGCAGGTATTGTATTCCACACTCTCCTTTCTGTACAAAACATGTACACGAGAGTTTATTCATTTATTCATTCAACAAATATTTATTGAGTCCACACTATATGTCAGGCTGTACTAGCTGCAAAACCTGATACTATCCATGCTTTTTTGTAGTCCTCTCTACTGAGGAAAACACACATTAATGAAATAATTACACAAACAAATGGCAACTTCCAACTGTGATAAATGTTGCAAAAGGTACACAGTGCTATGAAATCTTTTTATTAACTTTTATTTTAGGTTCAGGAATACATACACAGGTTTGTTATACGGGTAAATTCATGTAACAGGGGTTTGTTGTTCAAATTATTTCATCACCAATGTATTAAGCCTGGTACCCAATAGTTATTTTTTCTGCTCCTCTCCCTCCTCACACCCTCTACTCTCAAGTAGACCCCAGTGTCTGTTGTTCCCTTCTTTGTTTTCATGAGTTCTCACCATTTAGCTCACGCTTGTAAGTGAGAACATGCAGTATTTGATTTTATGTTTCTGTGTTAATTTGCTAAGGATAATAATCTCCAGCTTCATCCATGTTATTGAAAAAGACATGATCTCGTTCTTTTTCATGGCTGCATAGTATTCCATGGTGAATATGTACCACATTTTCTTTATCCATTCTGTCATTGATGGGCCTCTAGGTTGATTTTGATATTGTGCCATGTCTTTTGCTATTGTGAATAGTGTTGCAATGAACATTTGCATGCATGTGTCTCTATCGTAAAATGATTTATGTCTCTGGGTGTACACCCAGTACTGGGATTGTTGGGTCAAATGGTAGTTCTGTTTATCCCTTTGAGGAATCAACACACTGCTTTCCACAGTAGCTGAACTAATTCGTAAGTGTTCCCATTTCTCCATAATCTCTCCAGCATCTGGTTTTTTTTTTATTCTTTCATAATAATAGCCATTCTGACTGATGTGAGATGGTATCTTATTGTGGTTTTGATTTGCCTTTCTCTAATGATCAGTGATATTGAGCTTTTTTTCATATGCTTCTTGGCCACATGTATGTCTTCTTTTGAAAAGTGTCTGCTCATGTCCTTTGCCCACTTTTTAATGAAGTTGTTTTTTCTTGTAAATTTGCTTAATTTTCCTACAGATGCTACATATCAGGCCTTTGTTAGATGCATAGTTTGCAAATATTTTATCTTATCCTGTAGGTTGTTTATTCTGTTGCTAGTTTCTTTTGTTGTGCAGAAGTGCTTAAGTTTAATTACATCTCATTTGTCAAATTTGGGTTTTGTTGTGATTGCATTTGTTGTGATTTGTCATGAAATCTTTGCTCATTCCTATGTCCAGGATGGTATTGCTTAGGTTGGTTTCTTGGGTTTTTTATAGTTTTGGGTTTTACATTTAAGTCTTTAATCCATCTTGGGTTGATTTTTGTATATGGTGTAAGGAAGGAGTGCAGCTTCAATCTTCTGCATATGGCTAGCCAGTTATCCCAGCATCATTTATTGAACAGGGAGCCTTTTCTCCATTGCTTGTTTTTGTCAGCTTTATGGAAAGCTTGTTTTTGTCAGCTTTAGGTGTGTGGCCTTATTTCTGGGTTAATCTGTTCCATTGGTCTATGTGTTTGTTTTTGCACGCATGTCATGCTGTTTTTGTTTCTGTAGCCCTGTAGTATAGTTTGAAGTTGGGTAGCATGATGCCTCCAGCTTCGTTACTTTTGTTTTGGATTGCCTTGGCTATTCAGACTCTTTTTTTATTCCATATGAATTATAACCCTGTTTTTTTCTAGTTCTGTGAAGAATGTCAATGGTAGTTTGATAGGAATAACACTGAATTTGCAAATTGCTTTGGGCAATATGGCCATTTTCGTGATATTGATTCTTCCTATCCATCAGCAGAGTTGCAGTTTGATTAAAAATGGTCAATAAACATAAATCTAAACTGCCATATGAGAGAAGTTAAACATCTAAAACTTAAGACCAAGCCAGATAGCCAGAAGACTGATAGTTTTTATTTATTTATTTTTATCTTATTTTGTATTTTTGATAGAGACAGAGTTTCATTCTGATCCCCAGGCTGGAGTGCAGTGGCACAATCATAGCTCACTACAACCTGGAACTCCTGGGCTCAAGCAATCCCACCACTTCAGCCTCCCAAGTAGCTGGACAACAGGCGCATGCTACCATGCCTGGCTAGTTAAAAAAAAAAAAATGTTAGAAACAGGTGTCTCGCTAGTCTTGAACTCCTGGCCTCAAGTGATCCTCCTACCTCAGCTTCTCAAAGTACTGGGATTAGAGGCACGAGCCACCACACTAAGCCTGATACCTTTAATTGTTTTTTAATTTCTCTTTTCTTTTAATACAACTGATTAAAAACTCTTAAAGTAAAATATTTTCCAACAAATTCATTATTAAACATCAGGACAAAGTTAATGTATTTTTCTATGAAAATGATATAATCTCACATGGTCTGAATATCTAAAATATTAACACTAGACACAATATAATGAAACTGTAATTATTACCAGTAATCTTACTGAGTTTTATACTTAAACTGACTGGACATTTTCTACAAGGCAATGTTGAACTTTTAGCATTATTTTAATTCTACTTACAGATATGGGTTACTGGACATTTTCTACAAGGCAATGTTGAACTTTTAGCATTATTTTAATTCTACTTACAGATATGAGTTACTGGACATTTTCTACAAGGCAATGTTGAACTTTTAGCATTATTTTAATTCTACTTACAGATATGAGTTACCACATTAATATTGCACAATTAGTTTCCCTCTGCAAGAAGCCATCATCACAGATTAAAGTGTCTTTTTAAATACTATTCAATTTTTTACATTTTCTTGGGATAATAATGAGAAATTTGGACTTATAACTCACCAAGCAATTCTTCTCAACTCTTTTAATCACAAATTTTTGATAATTTGTGATTATCAGAACAGATATTTCAGAATATCTGAAAATCATCAAATTTCTGATAATGTGATCCATATCTCTATTGCTAGAAATAATAGTTTAAGAAGGCTATTCCTCTGTACATTAACATAATCTGATGTTGCTTTCTTCATCACTATTTATACTTTTTTTTGTTCACCATTTATAGTGAGAAAAGTTTATACAATACTTTGAAACAGGGAGATGATTTGCGTTCCTTTTTTTTTTTTGTCATTTGTCAGCTTACTTTTTTTTGGAGGGTTGCAGGGATGGAGTCTGGCTATTTTGCCCAGGCTGGTCTGCAACTCCTGAGCTTAAGCAATCCCCCTGCCTCAGCCTCTTGAGTAGCTGGGATGACAGACATATGCCATCACACCAGGCATAATAGCAAAGTTTTTGTATCTATAAATAAAAACGTAGTTTTTTGTGTTTGTTTTGGTTTGTTTTTTAGATGCTGGCTAAAAAAGAAATTACTTGAAGTAATACTACCGTTTTTGTTTTGGTAACAAAAAAATTGGTAAATGACAACAAAGAAGAATTTCCTATCAGTATTTTTTCCTTTATCAAATAATTGTTGGAAAGGATATTATCCTTTATAAAAAGGGGGGAAAGAAAGGCAGTGAACACCTCTCATTATCTCTTCATCTTTCTGCATCTAGGATCATAAGGGTAAAGCATAAAATAGCCTTTTCTAAATTACCGTATATGAAGCCAATTATCAGAAGCTGGCAAAATAAAAAATAAAAGTAAGTAAAAAAGGCAACCCTGAGAAGTCACTTGCCAATTCCATCGCCATCAAGTTACATTCTTTCTGAATTGCTAAAAGGACACTTACTTTCAGATCAGCTCAATTACTTGGATAGAATAAAAATGTAAATATTAATTAACTTGGGTCTTTGTACACTGAACATAAAACTCATCCTATACATGCTTTTGTAAATTTTCATTGTGTGGTATTTATTAAGTATTTGGAAAAGTTCCTCTTAAAACTTTTTCTGATTAGCACATGAGCCATGATATAGTAACCATCCAAGTTATTGTCTAAACCCTGACAATTATGAGAGTGAAACAGAGCTATTAATAGAGTAAGCCAAGAAGCGTAGAGTGAGTCTGTCCCAGGCATATATGGATATTTGGTCATCACAGCCACAGCTGTTTTGTAAATATATTTACATCACCATAAAATTACCTTCCAGGCTCTTTCATCTATGGCTACCTCCTCCATGAATTATGTTTATTTTTTGATATACTCTATCATATGAAATTTCATTAGTCTTTGTGTTTCTATTATCTTACAACATTCCTTTTAGTCCACTTTGTTACTGTTGCTTAGAAATCATAATGCCCATATTTACAGTACATCAAAGATAGTTGTATTTAATATATGTTAAACATTGGACTAGGAACTCTTTACCTACATGTATAATTTCACAGCAATATTATGAAATAGTCATTACTAAAAAAAAACTGAGGCTTTAAAAATTATGTATATTACCTGAGGATGTCTTACCAATAGAAGGACCCATACTCCAACTTAGGTCTTTTTGAGTATGTTTCTGTGTTGCCTGTCCCATTTTTTAAATCCATCTTAAATTTTAGCTTTAGCTCTGGTGATTAATCTTTTATATTAATAACCTTAACTTTAGTGTTTTACATTCATTTTATCTGTTAAACAATCATTCCAGAAAGCAAATCATCTTGGAGACAGTAGAATGACAACCATCCTGTAGAGCTTGTTGTGTTATTTGATTAAAAGGACTGTACAGGCAAAATCAATGACCATCTCATGCACTTATCCATTCATTCAATTCATTCAAGCAACATTCCAAAGCATAGAGATACATTAATTAACTACAGAATTCTTGGTAATGAGTCCACAAAGAAGAATAAAAGACACTTCTTGCCCTCAAAGAGCTTATCCTCTGTTGTGAAACTGCAACTCACAATTACAAACTATTTGTTAAATGTAATGACAGAGTACTATGGGAGAATAGAAAAGGACTAAATTCTGAGGGCAAGAGAGGGTGTTAGCAGTATGGCCAGTGAGAAAGGAAGGTCAGGGAATAATTTCTGGAGGAATTAATACCTAAGCTGAATCTCAAGGGTGAGCTTGCTTTCATATATGTGAACCTGGCAACTCTTCACTCTGATGCATTAATTAAAGAATTGCCCTGAGTTCACCTGAAGGCACAATCCTGTTTCCATGTACACAAAATGTAGTTACGTAGTCAACAACAAATAATTCAACACATACGAATTGCTTAACTACTACTCTAATTTCTTCTTTTGTATTCTCTTATATTAAAGTGATGAATAAGGCATGTCTTTGCCCTCAGGAAAATTCTAATCAAAAGAAATGTAAAAATGAGTTACAGGGTAAGGATGTGATTTTGCCATTCTTGTCAAGCAAGCCATTCAAATCACTGTAAGCATGTAAACTGCATAGGCTGCAAACCAAAGTTAGTTTGATGATATGAGAGGTTTCATCTGGCACTATCTTTGAAGGGTTATATCAATATTACAGGTTAATATAGAAATAAAAACTATTTTATACATATCTGACTTCTAGGCTTGCCCACAGGTTTGCCACAACTATTCACAAAGGTTGGGAGACAGAGTCATGGGACAAGAAAGGTGGAGGTTGGACAAGGTGGGAGACAAGCTGGCTTCTTCATGGATCCTTGCAGTTTGTCTTGGCTGCAGGCACGGTGATCTTAGTACACATCTATAAAACCTTACTTAGAATTGCTGGAGCCAGAAGTTCTAGGGAACTCAAAATTAAAAAAAAAAAAAGGGCAATATGATGCCTCTTTTGTATATTACAGAACATTCCTAGTGGAGCCTGGCTCAGCACCCTGTAAAGCCATTAATATTCCTGTAGTGGAGTGTATAAATAAGTCAGCTTAGAGCATATATATACTTAGTGTATGTATATACATATATTTTGTGTATATATACACATATATACTTAGTATTCGAAACAGACTGTGTCACAAAGGAATGGGGAAGAGAATAGGAACTCTATGAACTGTCTTCTGTATATTATTTCTTTTGTCTGTGTTATAAAGAGGGATCATCTAAAAAAATCCTATGTTTTAACAGATTTTACAGTCAATTTTAACAGATCAATTTAATGTGTAAGTGAAAGGGGGAAGGGGAAGAATAACCATGACATGTAATCACTTTGATAAAAAGTTTAATGCACAAAGGAACATCAATGTATTTCTATAGCAATTAATATTTTTCATTTTATTACATCCACTTGTCCTAAGATACCTGAGGGCAGGAAGTTTCTTTCTTGTTTATTGCTGTGTCAGTAGTACTGAACAGACTTGTCCATACAAAAAATTCAGCACTCAATCAATATGTACTGAGTAAACTAAACAAAATATGAATATAAAGAGTTGCAGGTTGCTTTTTAAAACTTGTTTCTGAAGAAAAAGATTTACAAGTTAAATATACCATTGACAATGGTTTTCTAAACTTTAGAATTTTGAATCTAGTCTAATGTTATTTATAACATCTCCCTGAGTGTCAAAAGCTTTGTAAGTATATGGAACTTAGAATTTTAGTAAATGTTATTGCAAGAATATAAGTCTTCCACATAAAATATTATCACATTATTTTGCGAACAAAAAACCTATAAAAAGCTGTATAAAAATTGGCTTATTATTTTTTAAGATTTTCTTTTTTCTTAAATGTTTTAAGAAGTCAACCAATATTCTATTATTATAATATTGTTTATTATAAACAACAATAATATATATAAAAGATATATATATATAAAATGTATTTATGTGTAAAAAATTGTGCAAAACCAAACTGCTATCAAGGTAAATTTCAATTATTTGTCTTATAATACATGATATTTAAATATATAATTTGCTCACCTATTACAAATTTAATGTTAATTTGGGAAAGTAAGGTGGGAATTATTTTCTTATGCCAAAGTAGACAGATATAATTTTGAGAGGGGCAGGAAATGTACTTGCTCTCCCCATTGTGTAGAAATTATCCTTTTTATAAGGAACGGTTTTGGCAGCTGTGTGCATGTGGCCATGTAGATTGATCTGTGCTTCCTCAGCAAATCAAAACAAAAGGAAAGCACATTTTAGCTATCAGGCTGTAGATAATTGAAATTAAAATTGTGAAACAAATTGTTTTTGACAAAAGAGTTTCCTCCTCAGAACTGAATATCAAAATGTGGTTTCCATTTTTTCCACTCACATGGCACAGCTTCCACTGTGGGTGACGTCCAAGATCCTGATTCAGGATGTGGACTAGGAGGGTCCAGGTCACGGTGACAGCAACCAAGGTTGTTGGATTTATTAATGTATTACTCATCTTGCTAAAACAAGGTTTAAAATAAACAGTCATATAGCATTGTCTTACCTTCTATTTCATTATTTTAATTTTAGTTTAATTACATAATCTAATTTGATTGAAGAAAATTAATTATAGTTAAAAAGTAGTTATACCTTGCATTTATGTAGAAAAAGAAAAGAAACAAACAACAACAACAACAACAAAATAGATCCCTGAAAGCTCTGGGGAACCTATGTTTTAGGAAAAGCTCAACTTCCAAAATTTGACAATCTTTAATTGAAATGTACCTCTAAACATAGTGTGATAAACAAGTCTTTAGAACTATATGACAATCAGGGCTGTGCTCTAGTTTCTAGCTTCTCTGCTCCAAAACAGTTTTTTATAGTCAAGCTTATTTATCTTTAAACCACCATTAGATTGAAATAGATCAATAAAAGAATTCTCTGGAGTCCAATGAGGAATTGCTTTAATCATGAAACATTACTCAAAAGCAAAAAAAAAAAAAAAGTTAAGAGCTGTGTATATACAATTATTTTTATCTTTAGACTATCAGGAGATTAAAATTGGTTAATAAAATAGCTGTCTGGTGCTCAAAGGGAGATTTATATAATCAGAAAATACTATATGAAAGCAAAAATGATGAAAGCAAACTATTAGTTGTTTAAAACAGAAATTGATGCCCATCAATCAAGGTAAGACATACACAGTTTCTTCAGATTCACTAGTTTTACATGCACTTATTCATGTGTGTGTGTATTGTGTATTTAGTTCTTGCAATTCTATTACATGTGAAGATTTGTATAACATAATCAAAATTAAAAACTGTTCGGCTGGGCACAGTGGCTCACGCCTGTAATCCCAGCACTTTGGAAGGCCGAGGCAGGCGGATCAAGAGGTCGGGAGATCGAGACCATGATGGTGAAACCCTGAAACTCCGTCTCTACTAAAAATATAAAAAAAGAAAAAAAATTAGCCGGGTGTGGTGGCGGGCACCTGTAGTCCCAGCTACTCGGGAGGCCAAGGCAAGAGAATGGCGTGAACCCGGGAGGCAGAGCTTGCAGTGAGCCAAGATTGTGCCACTGCACCCTAGCCTGGGCGACAGAGCGAAACTCCGTCTCCAAAAAAAAAAAAAAAAACTGTTCTAGCACTACAAAGATCTTCCTCATACTACCCCTAGTAACCATCCCCCCTTCCCACTATTCCCTGAAAAATTTCTTCATTGATGACAACTGAAACATCATTCTGCTACCAAAATCATAAGGTTTTTAAAAAGGATTGATATAACCTTCCAGTATATAGTTTTCATTGCAGTTTTTTCAGTGTCAACAAAACACTTCTCTGCTCACTGTAAACATGTATATTATAGGAAAATGCAGAGTTGTAGTTAATTGACATCCTATGATACACACTATTATAGAAGATTTGGGGTAAGATAAATACATGATACAGACATACAGCTGTCTCTAAGGCCATGACATGGATTTGGAAAGGCTTAGAGCATTGTAAGCCATTTTATGGATTTTACTTTTAGTCTGAGTGTAAGGGTGGCTATTGCAAAATTTTGAGCAAACAGCAATCTGGTTTTATTTATGCTTTAATAGGACTATACTGACTGCTGTGTTAAGACTGTAAGCAGAGGCTACAAGCATTCAGTAAGATAGGGAAGCAAGGTGGTAGCTGTGGATGTGATGAGAAATTATTAGCAACTGTATTTGTCTATATTTTGGAATAAAAGTAAATATTTCCTAACCAATCATGTGTAGAGTATGACAGAAAGAAAGGAGACAAAGAGCACAATGATACCTTAGGATAAGCCCTGGAACAAGGAGGTTGCCTTTCATAGAGAAAAGGTGAAATGGGCTGGGGGAGGGAGGAGAGTAAGAAATTATGACTTACTCTTTTTGGAAATCAATGCATGCACTGAAAGCGATTATTCAGCTTTCAATGTATGCATTGCATTGCTTACTAGAAACCATTGCAGTAGGTCTTTTTTATTTATTCATTTACTTATTTTGGGGGGACGAAATTTCACTCTTGTTGCCCAGGCTGGAGTGCAATGGCGTGATCTCGGCTCACTGTAACCTCCACCTCCCAGGTAGCTGGGATTACAGGCACACACCACCATGCCTGGTTAATTTTTTTGTATTTCTAGTAAAGACGGGGTTTTGCTATGTTGGCCAGGCTGATCTCGAACTCCTGATCTCAGGTTATCCTCCCACCTCAGCCTCCCAAAGTGCTGGGATTACAGGCATGAGCCACAGTGCCTGGCCTGTCTTGATTCTTATTTACTATTATTTATTATTTCTCTAGTTCTCTTCTTTTCTGCTACATCATCTGTTTATTCATTTGCCCAGTTGCTCTTCATTGTTTGCAAGGTTCAATATAAAAATATGCAAAAAGGATTTAAGGTCCAGGATAATTTTCTTATCCTCTAGAGTAGGTTGATTTTTCTTTATGCAAGTGTCTAGGGCTATCAATAGACCAGAGTGACCTTCATATTATCAAGAATTTAAATTAGAAGTTGCAAATATATTTTCCCCTTATTTGAGGGGTGTAGATCATCAGAATCCTAATTAAAACTGTTGGTGAATTACCAATGTCTCTTAGCAAAATTTGAACCCAATTTTTATTTTCATTTCTATGAATTTTCCAAAAACTCTCAACAACTTCTTGATCTCACCAACCACTTCTTCCTGAATTGGCAGATACTCCTAAAGGAAAAAATTGAGCTAAATACCAGGTTCATGTTTCTCTAAGTTTCATTTTCTTTTATTTTGGAATTTGGTCCTATAATTGTCTTCCTAGCACTCCAAATGCACATGTGTGCACATGCACAGACACATACGCAGATACACACTTTCTTAATCTACCTTACTGAGAGGGTTGAACCGAATTACAATTGCCACTAAAAGAAGCAGGACTCCTGGGCCATTAAATATTTTTTTTACATGTAAATCCATATTTTATACCTAATAATAAGAAAGTGAAAAGGTAAAAGTTTAAGAAGTGAATAAACAAAGGTGCTTTTATATTAAAAAAAAAACAAAAAACACTGTTTACAATCCTACTCTAGGTGGTGGGATATAGTAAGAAACGGATAGATTGCCAAGACACCTGCTATTCTGGAACTGACATTCTAGTAGGGGAAGACAGGAAAGGACCAAAAAAGAAAAAAACAAAAAACAGATATCACAAATGCTAGCATGGATTTTAAGGAGGCTCCTGTAACACAGAGCAGGCAGCAGATACTCTATATTGAATGGTCTGAAAAGGACAGTCTAGGGACAGGACACTGAATCCAAGAAATGAAAGACAAGAAGAAGGAAGCTATATGACAATCTGGCAAAGTGGCATATGTCTGAGGAATAAGAAGGGGCAAATGCACCTGTACTGTATGGATCACAGGAGAGAATTATAGAAGACTTTGTGAGATCAAGTGAGGATAAAGTGATATAGAGCCCGGAGACCAAGATAAGAAATGTGATAAATTAAAAATATGCCTGCCTTGGTTTATCTAATACACCCAACCTCCAACCACATAATGAGGAGAACAAGTAAGCTGAACTCTTGCCTCTTGGAAAATCATCAAATATATATTAGGAAAGGCCTTTTTTATATCTTTCTTCTAAAATATCTCTTATTTCTTCTTGTAATGACTTTTGAGTTTTTTGTTTGTTTGTTTTGCTTTTGTTTTTTTGAGATGGAGTCTCAGTTTGTCACCCAGGCCAGAGTTCAGTGGTGTGATCTTGACTCACTGCAACCTCCAAGTCCCAGGTTCAAGAGAACCTCCCACCTCAGCCTCCTGAGTAGCTGAGTTTACAGGCACCTGCCACCCCATCCAGCTAATTTTTTTGTATTTTTAGTAGAGACAGAGTTATACCATGTTGGCCAGGCTGGTCTCGAACTCCTGACCTCAAGTGATCTGCCCACATTGGCCTCCCAAAGTGCTGGGATTAAAGGTGTGAGCCACCGCACCTGGCCCCTTTTAATGACTTTTAAACCGATATGTTATCAGGCTAAACCAGTGGGTTGATGATGCACATTTATTATTTTTTTTCTCTCTTGGAATCAAAATAAAATGAGATAAAATGAAACAGCGTAAACCTAGAAGTAACAAATCACCATTTTATAATCTCCAAAGTAATCATTGATTTAGGCAAGATCATTAATGCATAAAAATGTTAAAAGTAAATGCAAATTTAAAAATGTAGTTCTGCATTAGAGAGTTAATAGCCATCCTTACTTGATGTCCATGATATAGCAAGAATTCCATTTTCCAGATCCTGCAAATATGTTAGTGACAGCTTAATGTCCCATGAGGACTCTTGAGGATCATGAGAAACTACACTAAAACATGACATATGATCTCATTTCCTGTGTGCCACTGTATTTGCCACATATATATATATATATATATATATATATATATATATATATATATTTGACAAATTCAACTAGGACATTTATTTCATTTCATCTTAGAGTTCTCCCTTTCTCTCTTTCTCTCTCTGTTTGTGTGCATGTTTGATCACTTCTTCCAACCCAATTGCATATATAAAACATTCCTCAAGTCATACCACTTTTGTAATACATAGTTTTAGAAAACTCAAATTAAAAAAAAAACACAGATATTCTATGTCACAATGGCCAGTAATAATAAAGGCAAAACATTAATATTAAATGCACGGTTGTAATGACAGACAAGAAACATTCAATGACTAGGACTAGACTATACATCTAGAAAAATGGGTGGTCCAGGAGTACAGCTATGTAATCCAGACCTGTTCAGGAAGTGTTTGAGGTTTGGTGCCATCTCGTGGCACTTTTCTGCTATGGCCTAAATATCAGTGGAGATGATCCTGGGTCCTTATGTTGAGGACTACTGCTATCTTGTGCTTTGTATAACATCTAGAGTGTTGGAAGGCTTTTCTCAGCATGGTTGCTTTGAGCAGCCCTGCATAGGGACGACTCAGAAAGGGTCTTTGTCCATGTTCCTAGTGTTATCTCAGCAGTTTACTGCTGTTGCTTATTATTTCATGCAGGCCTTATGGTAGGAGCCGGGAAATTTCTCAGTTCTCTTATTCCAGCCTCAGTCTTAGGTAAGCCCTGTACACTTACCCTTCCAGGATGGGGCTTTCTGAGCATTCCTTATATCTCCCAGCAACTCACCCTTCCCAATCCCCTGCCGACCAGAACTCTGCCTTGTAAGGATGAGGAGGGTCTAGGCCAAGAGTGCATTTCCTGTCTGTCCCCAGTAGCTTTGCTTTGTATTACTGCAAAAATATAAAACCCTGAGCATTCTTGCCTCTGCCTAGAGTCTGGATTTCATGTCTGTTCTCCAGCAGCACCATTTGAATACTGTAGTCTCATTTGCATACCTGCACCACTGACACAGGGGGTGGAGCTTGTCAGGTTCTTTTCTCTGATCCCAGTCTTTCTCACATGCACCCAGTGGAGGCCCATGTTAAAAGGCTGGTAAGAAAGTGCTGAGGTACCTCATGTTTGAAGTTTCGAGAAATTCTAAATTCTCATGATTTCCCAAATTTAATCTTCAAAAATTCATTAACATTTTAGACGTTTCCCTCTTAGCATGTTTATGTCAGCTGCTTCTTCCTCTCACACTCTGCTAAAGGAAAAATAGTTGGCATGTACACCATCTTTTTGGAGGGGACTGTCACCCTTTTGGAATTCAGTTCACCTAGTTGTCTTTCAACCTCAATTCTCTGATGAGCTCAGAAAAGTTATAATTTCTTAGATTATACTTTCTCTTTTTCCTTTCTTCTATTTTCTTTTTTTGATATTAGAGTAGTAGTGACATTGTCCTGTGTCTTGAGATTTTCTACATCCTAAGTGGAAGTAGAGCTCACACTAATCATATTAAACAATAATTATATAAATGTCAGTTTCACTTCCATAGATCTCTTGTAGACAAGGCATTTTTATATTCCCAATGCCTAGTGATATTTATTTATTATATTGTTGTAGTGGATTGTCCACATGTCTGTCTCTCTAACTAGATTACAAACACGTCTGAAGCAGTGACTGTGTCTCACACATTATTGTAATAATAATAGAGCTTATATTTACAGAGAGCTTGCTATAAATGTGGTCTACTCTGTTATAAACGCTTCATATTTACAATCTCATTTAGCATCATCACCAACTTTATAACGTAGGCATTATCATTCTAACCTTAAGTTCAGTAAGCAAACACAGACAGGGCAGGGCAAGGTATATAGGCATGTGACCTCTACAGTAAAAAGTATAGGGCATTACTCTGAGAAGGGCCCCACACTTAGTTTTAAACTCCCACAACACAAATTTACCTATGTAGCAAAACTGCACTTGTACCCTTGAACTTAAAGTATGAGTTTTAAAAGAAGAAATATCAATAATACATTTTTTAAAAAGAATCTGCTATTGCCACCTAGAAATTCCTAATACTTTTATTTTTGAATTACAAGTAAAGTCTATGAGATATAGAGCAAGCCAGTAAGTGGTGGAGATTGGCCTCAGGATGTCCATGCAAGTGCAGGCTCAGGATTTTGAGCCTTAGGCTTTAAGCAATTGGCCTGGTGCCCCATCACACAGGTATAGGCTTCAGCCAGTTCAGGGGGTATTCTGGGGTCCCAAGAAAACCAGGTGGCACCTGGGTCCAGATTAGGAGCCATGGTGAGATGCAGTAGAGATGGCAGTAGTGGTTCTAGCCACAAGAGAGAAGTGAGGCTCCATATATCAGCAGCACTAGGCTCCATGGAGAGAGTATGGCTGGATCGTCCATCCCCAGAGCCCATCCTTGTGGCTTGTGCACAAATATTAACTCTCTAAACCGAGGGCTGGACAAGAACTGTTAATGCACAGGCAATATACTATGTCAGCAAATAATTAAAAAATAAAACTTACACATAAATGTTGTAATAAAACGTACCAGGAAGTGGCTAAAATTCTTCAAAGTGTTTGGAATATCCAGTTTTGAAAACTGCTGCAATATTGGAAAGCAGATATCAACAGTCTTAAAAATAAAAATTAAATTTAAAGATCACCATATTGAACAGAAAAGAACATGATTTCCATATGAATCTTCAAATAAACTAAATTCTCAGGATAACTTACATTTAATCTTTAAAAATTCATTAAAATTTCAGATGTTTTCTTCTTAGTATGTTTGTCAGCTGCTTTTTCCTCTCATACTCTCCTAAAGGAAAAATAGTTTGCATGTCCACTATCTTTTTGGAATAAAGATAACTTTAAAATTAATAAGAAAAGCAACTCTAAAATTAAATTTTCTCTCCTAATTGAAGATACGAAGATAAAATGCATTACCAGGCATTTTGAACTTTATATATATATATATATATAATGAATCCATTTTTAGTTTCTTAAATTGATTCTACAAGTTACAGGGAATTTCTGAAGAAGTGTTAAAATAATATTGTGTAAGTTTAAATTTAAAACTAAACTCAGAATACATAAAATAGATTTGTATTGAGTCATAAATACTCTACATAGCTTTAGTAGTTTACCAAAAATATTCTTCTCAAAATAGAAAATTATTTGTGGCGTTGCATTTCTCAAGAGCAATTGATGTCACTTTCACACATATTTTTAGAAAATTTAAGTATAAGTTTTGATGACTTAATAAACAAATTTGCAGAAGTGATCCAGAAAAATCTTATGATTAATCAAGATACCACATTAATAAAGTATTAAAAGATATTGACATTTTCAATGATATAGAATCCTGGTGAGTGAATATGTTCCCTGATATCCCTAGATACAAAGACAAATCTCAATCTTTAAAACTTTGATTCTGTTCAATTTAAATCTGTTTTTCAATATTTTGTTTATCTTTCACTATTTGTTATATTACATAAATTTATGACACCAAAATGTTTTTCGTTTGTAAATTTATGTTTTTATTCATGTATCATGGTTCTCTATTACATTTTATAATTAATAAATTTTTAAAAACTGTTTAATTTTTAGTTACATTTAATGTCACTTTTTTCCTGCATTTCTTATGAGGTAACCCACATCATCCTATTGCAGTAGGCCTCACAAATTTTGCAGCTAGTAAAGCACATAGACAAAGTAAATTGCATAAAAACTCATAGCTAGCAAATAAAGCAGTCAGTATTTCAACTCAGAAAGTCTGGCCCCAAATCTCTTAATCACTAGGCTATGTATACAATTTCTACATTAAGGAATCAAAGCCCATGAGGGCAAACGGAGTGTAGGACATGATCAATAAGTAATAATCCAGGTAGAAGGGAGGACTATGTCTCATTGGACAATGCCGGTATGGTCTCCTGGAGCTGTTGATTTCAAAAGTTGCTGTTACCGTGAAGAACCAGATGATATTAATAAGCACAAGATAATACAATTTTAAAGAACTTGCATTAGTTTGTTAGAGCTGCTTTAGCAAAGTTCCACAACTTGGATGACTTAACCAAGAGAAATGTACTTTTTCATAGTTCTGAAGATTAGGAGCCAGAGAAAAGGTAAAGGCAGGGTCAGTTTCTTCTGAGGGCTGTGAGGGAGGTATCTGTTAAACTGCTCTTTTCTTGGCTTATACATGGATGTCTTCTCTCAGCGTCTTCACATTTTTTTTCTGTATACATCTCTGTGTCCAAATTTTCCCTTTTTAAATAGATATCAATCATATTGTATTAGGGGACACCTTAATGACCTTATTTTAACTTGATAACCTCTATAAAGACTCTAAGTACCATTGTGAGGTACAAAGGAGTGAGGACTTCAATATATGAATTTGGGCGGACACAGTTCAACCCATAACAATGCTATATGTTTTAAAGTGTTTTCACAGTGTGCTTTTATTTTTGCTTAGAGTAGGACTAAATGAAATGAAGAACTACAAAGGAAAATATAATAATTTCTACATTGAATAAAAAGACACTGATGTCTTCAATTATATGGAGTGACGGTGAATATGTTTCTTAATGTCCCTAGATGTTAAGACATATTTCAATCTTTAGGACATTGATTCTGTTCAATTTAAATCTATTTTTCAGTATACCACTAATGTTAATCAAATTCAGTATTTTGTAACAATAGCATGTCCTCCACTAGAAAAATAATTTAAAAATTAAATTCCATTGCAGAAGATTGCCTTGGGTACAAAAAAAGGCAACACTAAAAATTGGGGGTAAAATATGCATATTTTTCTGAATATGTACATTTTGTATGTACATATATATGTCTCTCTCTCTCTCGAAAATTATGGAATAGTAAGAGAAATGTTATCACTGAAAACAAATTGCCAGCAACTAAGATAGATTGAGGAACAATAAATATTCAAGAACAGCTATATTTTATTATTTTAAAAATCAGAAAAAGAAAAATATAAAGTTTTCTTAAAGTAGGAAAAAACAGCATTTTTTTCAGAATATCTTCAGTAAGCAGCCACTTTCTAGAGCTGTAAACCGTGAAGACAGATCATAGTGTTCAGCTGTGTAAACTAAGACACAGATAAGGAGATCCAGTAGGTTGTAAAAGTAACAATACTCATCACTTACTGTCTTTTATATTTTATATCATACTTGCACTGTTATATAATTTCTAGGGACTTTCAGAGGAATTGTAGTAGCTACAATGAATTATTTATCTGCACATGAACACAAAACAAAAAAAAAATGGAGTTAGTCCATGTTCCCAAATACGCATTCGAGGGAGAAGTGTTGTAAATCTATAGAAGAAAATCTCTTAAAGCTAAGGATTTGTGTTGAAGTAGGAAATGTTCCTAATGCTTCAGAGGACAGTTACTTGGGTGAGGCTTTTGTTTCTGCTCTGTATATTTGAAATCAAAGGTTTAGAGTGTCTATACTTTTAAAAAGAGAGTGACTTTCACAGTATCCTCATACTGTTAAGTTTAAAAGATTACTTATTTTGTTTTTCAATGCCATATCTAATTAGGACCAACATTGTTAAGAAACCTAGGTTAATATTCGCTAACCTTAAATATTAGTAAAAATTCTTAGACTTTCAAATAAGGCATTTTTTCCTCTTATATTTCTCAGCTTATTGTATGAAGAAAATGGCAAATAACATTTAGATTATGAAAAGAGAATCTGGAGCATTTATTCAATTATCAGTATAGAGTAGTACAACTACAACTCCAAACCAATAAATTATGCAGTTTAATTCAGTAAGTGTTTTTCTAAGCTACAAGGAATCCTATAACGGGAATAGAAAATTTAAAAAAGGAAAAAATATTGTGAATTTACAAATTGTATTTTATTTTAGGAGAAACTAGTGTTATTTTTTTCTACCCTACCATACACAGTAGACCAGCAGAGTGAGCACACTGGTTTTGCATGACAGTTGTGGTAGGCAGAATTCTAAGATGGTCTTCATGATCCCCACCCCTAGTATCCAATTCTAAGTATCCAAGCATAAGCTTTTCTCTTTGTTTGCAGACAGAAACTTTACCTCGCTTTTAACCATGAATATGGCAAAGTAAAGGAATTTTGCAGACATAAGGTTTCTAATAAAAAGGAAGATCATCCTGGGAGGACCTGACATAACCAAGAAAGCCTCTTAAAAGAAGAACCAGGCATTCCCCGAAAGAAGAGACTCGAAGCAGCAGGGATTCTTGCCTTCTGGTCTTGAAGAAGAAACAGCCATTTTCTGAACTACCTATGCAGAAGGTTACCTCTAGGAACTGTGAGCATCAATCTCACAAACACAAGGAATTGAATTCTGCAAAAAACTTGAATGATTTTGAAGAGGATCTCAAGCTCCAGATGAGAATACAATCCTGGTCACCTTTACTGCAGCCTTTTGAGATCAATATGAGGACACACTTATGCTGTGCCCACATTCCTGACCCATGCAAACTTTAAGGTAATAAATATATATTGTTTTAAGCCACTATTTGAGATAAATTTTATACAGCAATAGAGAACTAACATACGTAACAATCATGAAGTGTGCTAAAACATAACTGCAGAGAGCTCATCAGAAAAATGTTATTGGTCATAGCCTTTATATAGATCTTACAGTCTAAATGTTTCAATATTTATTTTCAGTTGCTTACACAAATATAATCACACACACACGCAGACACACACATACAGGTACACATACATATGTATACCTGAGAAACTCTAAAGGGAAAAATTAATCGCATTTAAATAACAGTTGTTAAATTACTAAATCCAGCATAGCTTGGCTTCGGGTAAGGTTTATCCCAGCCTTTGTAAGTATCCCAACTTGTAGGCACTTGCCCATTTTAAAAATATGACTATCAGTATGCTTCCTGTTCTACTTGAGGTCACATGGCATGACTTCAAGATAAAACATAACTCTGTAATTCTATATAAATAGTAGGTTAACTGTTGACAGAAGATTTTTGAAGTTTAAATAGATTAAAACTATAAAAACCAAGAAAAGTTTCATGTAATTTACATTAATAGAGAATAATTTATCAGAGTAGAAAGACCATCATCATTCAAAGACATAGAAAAATCACCAAACAAACTTAGTTTAATAGTAGATTTTAAATAGAAAGATAAAATATGACATGAAGCATTAGGTATGTATTTGTATTACTTTTACAATCAAAGTTGAAGAAGTATTTCCATCCGTATTTGATTTTTTTTTTTTTTTTGCCCTGACAGCACATTCACACTGGGACCTCAGACCACTAAAGGCAGAAGGTACTCTGAGCAGTCAGAGCTGGCCAGGCCCTGCTTTCAGAGGTGGTGGGGCAGCATTCTTGACACTCGTTATATGCTGTTATATGCTCAGGGGCACACCCACTCACTCATCCCTGGTGCAGGACTCTGCAACACCCTCCTGACCAAAGAGCAGCCACAGATGGCTGATAAGCAGCATCTACTCTTGGAAGCAAGTAGGAAAAAAGGGGCAAAAATGGAGGCAGTAGGGAGAAATGTGTGTGTCTGCCCATGGAAGGCTGTGGTGAACCACAAAGCACCACGATTCTGTCCTTTACTCAGAAACCACCCTTGAGCCTCCTGCTTTATTCCAATTCCATTACACCTGCCTGAAATTGTCTCTCCCCTTTCTAAGAGGAATGCTGGAACAAAGCTTCCATTGTCCCTCTCCCTTCCTCCCTGCTCAGGGCCCATGTGAACAGCAGGTCATTGTTGAGAAGTGCCTGTTGCAGTCATTCTCACACCCCACAGCCACTGCCACACACACCCACTGGTGACTGCCAGGGCCTGTCAATAGATCTTATGTCCACTGAGCCCCCGTGGTGAGGTCCAGCAGCCACCGACAGGTTGTGTTCCCTCCTGCCGTCAAAGAGCACCCAAGTACTTCAGACAAAGAGGCTTTGTACAGGAGCTATGGCCAGATTCTTTACACCTGATCCCTTACAGGAGCGCCTGTCCTTACAGGCATCAAGGTTGGAGGGTCTTCGGTCCTCCATGACCCCAGGTAGAGGAGCTGGTCACTGGTACCCCATCTTATTCTTGTGTCTCATCCTTTCAAGAACTTGAGAGCTTTATGTTCATCCTGACTGAAGGGGTTCAAGTTAAAACTCTTTGGCTCTGGTTTGCCTTGGGCCCATTGTTTTTGGATTATTTCTATTTATCCAGATGATCCTGATTTTTCTTAATCATTTCCTTCACCTGAGGGTGAGGCATCTTGACAAACATGTTCCTGAGGCAAACCACATCTTCAGAGAGGCTGAGACCATTCTGCAGGGCTCTCAGGCCCTCTGGGTTTTTATTCCTTTCGGTGTCCACATCCACAATCTGCTGTTTGTCCACCAGCACCTCCTCAACAAGCTCCTCCACCTCGAACAGGTACCACAGAACTTGCTCTGCATCATGTGACAGCATGGCACCAACCAACTCGGGTGCACAACCCCTCATTTAATCTTTCAATGCTGGAAGAAACTGCTCCATCATGTAATTAAAATACTGTACAGTGTTTTGAAATTAACATCTTGACACCAGTAATCTTATGTGTATATATTTAACTTTAGATTAAAGTCAAATAGGGCCTAAATGTGATTTCTTTCACCCTTAATAAAAATTTCAATATTCCAAAGGTGATCTAGTCATCTTGGAGCTTAAGGAATGTTGCCTTCCCATTGCCAGGCAGGGATAAGATGCCACTTCTACCTCAAAACTCTTCTAGGAGTTTTATAAATTTGCATTTTGCATTTAGGTCTATGATCTATATTGAGTTAATTTTGGAAAGAGTGTAAAGTCTGTATCTAGATTCTTTTTTTTTTTTTATGTGGAAGTCCAGTTGTTCCAGAACCTTTTGTTAAAAAGATTTATCTTTTTTTGTTGTATTGTCTTTGTTCCAATGTCAGTGATCAATTGACTATTTATATGGACCTATTTCTGGGCTCTAATTAAGGGAGTACTTATAAATATCATTTGGGACCCTTCTGTGAGGAAGACTTGACCTTATCCTTCATTTATTCATTTAATCAATAATTTGGCCATATAAATATGTATTTCTGTATATTTATTTTATATTTTGAGTTATAATTCAATACTACCTTGCTTATTTTATTTTTAAAGTTATTCTAGTTTTGGCCATTGAGAGCTCTTTTAAATTGGTTCCTGTGTCACTTTGACATAACCTCATTCTCTTTTGTTTGTTTGTTTTGAGTTTTTTCTTACTTTCTGGCACTATATGTATGATGCTCTTTTATTTTATTTTATTGCCTTAGTACCAGAATCTGCCATTTCTCCAAGGACCCCTGGTTCATTTCATTGGAAAATGGTAGCTATTGCCTTTTATACATTGCTAATTTGTTTTCTTAGAGATAATTTATACCAAAAATCTCCCAAACCAGTTCTTTGTCCCTGAAACACCGTTAATAGATTTTTTTCCTCTTCTATCATAATAAATGTCATGGCAGGGCAGTCTACACAACTGCCCCCACAAAACTAAACAAAACAAAATAAAACAAAACTAAGCCTGGGCTTCATCACTGATTCTTCATGTTCCCTTAGGCCACATATAAAACAAACAAACAAAAAACCAACACATTTTTCTTTATTATATTTTGCTGCTGTGGATGCTTATTTTGTCATTCTGCCTCAAAAACTGCCTTATTCCCATGTATTTTCCATAATGATGCAAAATTATGGTAAACTCTGGTATAACGTTACTGAGGAAATCAAGAATAATTATTTCTACCTGTCTCATCATCGCCACCTGGTATCACTTCCCACTTCCTCTCCAACCATCCAGCAGCATTGAATTTCTTAAAGTCTCCCAGGAGCCTCATGCTCTCTCACCTCCTGTCTCCACCCATGTTGTTCCCTCTGTTTGCAACACTTTTCTTTGACACTGACTCAATTAAGTAGCATTCACTCTTCGTGTTCAAATTTAAGTTTCACTTTTTTGCCCCACCATGAACATATATTACAGTAGCAATCCAAAAAAGTAATTTACACAAACTTTTAAATGCATATTTTCCATTAATAGAACAACCCATGTTTAATAAGCAATATATATGTTAAAAATCAACAGAAAATAGAATTTTTTAAAACAATGAATCCTTTATGTATTTATAATCCTTTAAATATTTTGTGCATATTATTTTATTATGAAAGCTATTTATAATATGAAGTAGAACTAAGTTTACTTTTCATTTGTTTCTGCTTATAAATACTATATTCCCTGAGATAAATCAATAAATAAGAATATATAATTCATTAGTGATAACAATGATAATCATTTCTGGAAAAATGACAGGCAATCCTCTGAATTAAACCCCAAGTCTCATATAATATATCATCATCTAGCTAGTTAGAAATGAACTTGGGCATTCTTCATAAGCATGTATAATCTTGTGTTTCAAAAGTTGGAAAAATAATTGTATATTTTCTTCAAAAACAAGTAGATCAAGCATATGATTATTATTGTGCCAAACTTTCATTTTAGTTGGACTTTAAACATATATATACTCGTTTTCTAGTTTAACCTAGAAAGCTTATTCTAAGCATAAATTAAAACAGTAATGTAGTATAACTTGGTGGTAAGCAAAGAATTTGCCTGACAAAAAATAATTTCTGCCCCTGCCTTCTCTAACATTCAAGATTCTTTTCATTACTATAACCTTTAAATCTTCATAAGAAGACACATTGTTTATGAATATGCCCAAGGCATAATATTTCTGTTGAAAAGCCACCTATTAATTAAGAGTAAGGCATGGCAGCCAACCAGCAGAAAACAAATTATTGAGAACATAGGCTTGGGGCATGATACTTCTGTATATGTGCAAGTGTATGTGTGAGTGTGCCTATGTCTCTGTGTGTATATGCCTATAAAACCTGCCAACAAAATGAGAGGTTAACAGGAGTTGATTAAAGGGTTGGCAAATCCAACGGGTTTAAGATAGTTTATGTCAATAAATATATGGTGAAAAAGGTACCTCATCAAAATATCAGTAAGGTAAAACTTAAAACCAGTATAATATTAATAATTTAAAAATATATACATTAACATCAACTCACTCTTTGGGAAATAGAAGAACTATGAACATATTCCTTTCTCAAACAAATTACAATGCAATTCAAGAGGTGAGGAAAACACACTTAAAGTGACAGCAAATAACAGTAATGTAATTAGATGCAAAACAAATGTGATGACTCTAAAAGCTGCAGGAAGTGAACAAAAAGCTATTACTCAAAAAATATTCATGAAGATCTTGCAATCTACATGTGTCTGGAAGTGTAATACACAAACAGAGAGCGTGCAGTCATAGCGGAAGGGGAAGATATTTTATCTGAAAGCAAAAGCGTGATGGAAAGCGTAGAGAGAGGATTAAACATGGCAGGTTTATAGAATAGGTGAATCTTTTCTGAAACAGGCTTTATAAAGCTTGTTGAGGTCAAAGTAAAGTTCCACTAACATTTGTATAACTTTTCCTATGCTTTTTTCAGTATACTTTGAAGATGTTGCTTATTTGCCTTAAATGGTAGACCCAAACTCCTCTAATTACTAACTCTAAGTGATCACTAAATATAGTTGAGCCTAACGTTTTGAATCTGCTGAATTGCAACTACTTGTCTCCTGCTAGTTTTGCAAGGTAGCTTGTGAGAATTAAATAAGGTTGCATATAAAAATGTTCTAAATGTTGTAATTATAATTTGAGTATATAATAATAAGGTAAGCTGCTACTTAATAATTCTAACTTGATTCTTCATATATTCATGCTCAATATTTTAAATAAAGAAATACAATAATGTAAAAATAAAAATAATAGAATATTTTATGAAACCACAAGTGAAGTAATCAGTGTTTCAGGCTTCTCATTACTTGATCAAGAATTTCAGTCTCCAATTCTAAAACTGCAATACACTGCAGGCTACAAAACTGCTTCTGCAATTGGCCTTTAATAATGAAAATTAAATCAGCCTCAGGTAAAAATTCTGTTTAGTGCTCCAAAACCATCATGAGAAACTTATGGGCATGGATAAAAGCATGTTTGAAATTAATGTGACTTTAATAAGTAATTAAAAACAATTATCTCCTATATCCACTGCATTTTAGTTTATTGAAATGGTTAGATTTTCATTTGAGAATTTAAATCTGTGAGATCAGCTTTACTTCCAGTCTGCTAAAAAAAAGAAGAAGATTACCTTATTCCTACTACTCTTTCTCTTTCATCTCAAAAAACAATTCATGCAGAATCTGAAAGCTTATTTTAGTGATAAATACGTTTTGCAGAGAGTTTTTGGCATTAATGAATTAAAATTGTCTCTTATGTTAGCTAATTTATCTTATTTTAGTAAAACTTTACTGTCATTTACTCCAAGGCTTCTAACTGCTCAACAAGATTGCATAATTTTCCTGTCTGATCCAGAGTGTAATAATCTATCTGTGTTATAAAGAATAGTCTACTCCACGATATATTACTTACATTTTCTCAGGAGTGAGCTCTGATAAAATTGTTTCTTGGAAGAAGAGCATTTGAGAATTGTTTTCGCCAACTTCCATTTCCCCTTTTCTTTTGCACAGCAATTATATTAAACACTTGTTCCCTTTATATTTTTATTGTTCCTTATCGTACATATATCCTCTAATGTTACCCACTTGAACGTTAACTTTTATACAGAAAAAAATATAGACAGTAATTATGATTAATCAAATATAATGCCAAATTTCATATGGCTGAATTTCCTGGATCTTAAATTATTCTGCTATGTTTGTTATATCTCATATTTACTAAACAATTTCATCCTATTTAGCTACAAAAGATGACACATATTCGATGCATCCTTCTTTTCTGATTAGATAATGATGTCAACTAATAAGTGAAGCAAAACTATGTAAGTAAATACATTATGGGCACTAGTGTGATTTAGGACAGTTTATATTAAAAAGAGGTACTCAGCAGGGATAATTTTGCCTGCCAAGGGATATTTAACAATGTCTGGAGACATTTTTGATCATCACAGCTGAGAATGTGTCACTAGCATCTAGTGAATGGAGTCCAGGGATGTTGTCAAAGATCCTACAGTGCATAGGATATGCATAGGATTTGTTGTGGGAAAACTGCAACAAATACTTATCCAGTTCAAAATATTAATAATGTCAAAATTGAGAAACCCTGATATAGACAGAATTTATGATTCCTACAGTTTGTCAAGTTGCTATTTATTTCTTGATGGAAAAGGAATCACACATTCGATTTTTAGTTCCAATAGCTCCCTTATACATTAGTCCAGATTGAGGTGTGCATTTCTCTGCTTAGTCATGTCATTCACTTTATGAAATGTATGTAACAAGAAAGCTTCCGATTACCTAATGACAGGAATCTATCTAAATTATCTACAGAGAGAAGAGGATGGGAAGCATTTACATGCATCATGTTTCTGATAAATGATGACTATTACTGCATTGTAAGCTATGTTAGTGGAAAGACAGGGGAGATGAGTGTATGCTGCATAATTTATACATTAATGTAGTATTTAGCATCTAACACATTGTTTGAATTTTAATGAAAAAAGGGATAGTCATTTTTCTTTGAACTATGTTTACACAATTTTTGTGTGTCTGTAGAAAAATCTTGATCTAAGCTGATTTACCCTGCCAACCCCCCCAAAATATAACCCTTATAGATACTTCATCATTGTTATATCAATTGTACTTACTATGCTTATTTTGTTAATTATAGACCTTGAATTAAGTGTGTTTTAAAATGGTCAAAATAATTATTACCAGTCATGATTTGGGTTGGGAAAATCTATTAAGTATACTAGCTAACTTGGGTGAATTTATGGACAATGTATGAAAGTACCCAAGGTTACACTAACATTTCATAAACTGATCACCTTTAGGTAGATTTACAGGGATTCCATTTATAAGCAGTCTATTGTTTGCTTCACTTATTAGAATTGTTTTACAAGACCTGACAAACTGCATTATTCTTGGAAAAACAATTACAAAAATGCCTTCCAAAAGTTAGAAGATCTTGCCTTACTGTTCTCCCTTGAATTATTTCCCTCAACCTGGAAGGAAACTGCTTCTCATATCATGCTTGTTTGATTCAGCATGGTGATTAAAAGTGTTTCTTTTGGAATCTAACAAATCTGATGCTTGAATCACATCTTTTCCATTTACTACTAGCTTTAATAATTTTGGCAAGTAACTTAACCTTTATAACTCATAATGTAGTAGTCATAATAGTAGTAAAAACAATTACACCCTGTATTATTGTGAAGATTAATTCAATGCATGTAATTTGTTTAGTAAAATGCAGGACACACAATGTGTTTGACAAATTCAATTAAATGAATTTTCAAAATATTGTGTTAAACAGCAAAGTTTTTGCTGTAGCCTAGATCACTTTTCTGATATATCCAGTGACCTACTTGCTATCTTTATCTTGAAGTTTAAAAATACATGCACACCAGATTAAATATGTCAAATCTGAACTCTTTTCCCTCCAAAACGTGTTTTTCTTTCTCCTGTTTCCAGGTAGTGGAGACATCCATAGAACTGTTCCAATCAGAGACCTAATAGTTATCCTTGCCTCCATCTTCACAATAATTCTTCATGTTTGTGAATCAGTAAGGGTCTTCTAATCTATCTGTTTAATAGTACTAGAGATGGGGCCACTTGTCTGTGTTGCTACCTCCTTGCCTTTTATTTTAAGTCATCATGTGTCCAACAGAAAATGATAGCAAAAGTTCCTTCAGTCATATCCTTGACTCTCTTCTCTTTTTCCCACTGATCTGTTTTTCTGCATGAAAACCAGAGTGGTTTTTCAAAAAAGATCAAATCATGTAGTTTCTCCACTTAAAGGCAGTGACTCCCTTACCCCATTGCTCTTAAATTGAATTCTAAAACACTTAACCTAAGTTTTAAGTTTATCTAAATTAAAATTGTAGAAGCCCTTAATTTTTTTGCATTCTTTTCCATAAGTAATTTAAATTAAATACCATACAAAATGACAATATAAAATATTAATATTAGGAAATATAACAATTTTCATTTTTGCTCACAATGATAATGACAAATCTTTTTTTTTTTTTTTTTTTTTTTTTTTGAGACAGAGTCTGGCTCTGTCACTTAGGCTGGAGTTCAGTGGTATAATCTCAGATCACTGCAACCTCCGCCTCCTGGGTTCAAGTGATTCTCCTGCCTCAGCCTCCTGAGTAGCTGGAACTACAGGTTGGTGCCACTACCCCCGGCTAATTTTTGTATTATTAGTAGAGGCGGGGTTTCACCATGTTGGTCAGGCTGGTCTTGAACTCCTGATCTCAAGTGATCTGCCCGCCTTGGTCTTCCAAAGTGCGAGGATTACAGGAGTGAGCAACTAATCTTTAATGGCTCTCCTTCAGAGGCATTCTCCCTTACTCCCATCGCCACCTCCCACTCTGGAATTGACTCTCTTTGCTGGTTCCCCTAAGCACATGTTGAATAGGCTTCAAGATAACTGAGCGCCAAGGCCATTCTTAAGCCTCTAGCTTTACTTTCCAACCCCTCTTGTAACTATTTCTTTCACATCGTCCAAGCATCCAGCCATTTTAAGTTGTGATTCTCTGCCTTTCTTGTAAGCATTAATAGTCACTGTTCCATTTACTTTGAATACTTTATTTTTTTCTTTTTTGTTAGCTTATTCCTACTCTATTCTCAAGTACATCTAAATGTAATTCCTTCAGAAAGGCCTCCCCCAACCCATTATTTCCTCATATACTGAGTTAGGTTCTTACCTCTAAAACCCCATGCTACTTTCCATTTACTGCTAAGACATCCTCCTTATCCAAATTTTACTACTTCATTTTATGGCTCACAAATAACTGTTCTCTTTTAGGTCCATCTCAGAGATCAGCATGATCCAGTCTACTGCTTGTTTTTGTATGGCTCACAAACTAAGAATGTTTTTGGTTGGTTGGTTTTTGGTTTTTACTTTTTAAAATTGTTGACAAAAATCAAAAGAAGAATAATATTTCAGGACAAATAAATATTTTATGAAATGCATATTTTAATATCTTTAAATAGAGTAATAATGTAAATCATCCACTCTCTTTGATGTATACAATGCTTATAAGTACTTTTGCACTACACCTGCGGAGTAGTTGCAATAGAGATCATATTGTCACAAAACCTAAAATATTGACTATCTAGCTCTTTACAAAAATGTTTGCCCACTGCTGGTCTATTATATCGGATGTCAAATTTCTTAAGGGGGAAATTATATTTTCACAATTACATCTTAGTCATCTGCTGTTCACTGTATACTTGTTAGATGAATAAGTGAACTAATAGGAGTGAATGAATGTAATGAAGATGAATCAGTTCAATTTATTCAGTGGAAAGTAAAGTAAATCAGGCTGGCTCAACCTAGGAAAAAAGTGACAACTGAAAGCAAGTAGGTTAGGTCACAAAATAAAAGAAAATATTGAAGAATGAGGCCTTGGTGAGGATAAGAACTAGCATGGCTCATGAGATCTTAGTAACAGGAACCATTGGATGATCTCATTCAAATACAGTGATTAACTTTGAATCTACATTTGGCTCAAAGTTCATATTTCCAGGAGAGATAATCTGACTACCCTTTGACTAGGGAAAACAATCACTTTCATTAGCAGTTCAATTTAGATATTATATAAGCTTGAAGTAGACAATCCCAACAATACTACTTATAAAATAAAATCAGGGTTCTAGTACCAAAATAAGGAGTGGTATTGATGCTAGCTAGACAACAAAATGACAAGATGTACCCTACAATAGAAAAAATGGGAGTCAAAATTATTTTAAATGGAAATATCTGGAAATTAGACTATAGCTGCCTGTTCTGGGACATCTTCCTTCTACCAAATTGAATAACAATATATTCACAATTGTCTTACTCATTCTCATGAATTAACTAGCTTAGTTTTAACATTATTGTTAAAAGTGAAACTATAAATGAAACTATTCATAGAGTACACTGAGCGTACTCTCCTTCTGATAGTAAAAATATGCCTACCTGCCAATTTAATTGGAGAAGATAAAAACCATTATTTTGTTCATTAGTGGTTTTATAATAACTTAAAAAAGAGAGAAGGACTGGATCACAACTTAGTATACGATGATGAATACACTGGTTAGGCTGTAAATATGAAATTATCCACATCCCAAACATTTTTGTGATAAAGAGATGACTATGGCATATTAGTAATGTCATGATAAAGGAAATGTCTCTAATAGTCTCAGAAACACAGAAAAACATTTACAAAGTGATGGGCACTAATAATCCCAATATTATTTATCCTCTAGTATTTTTCTTTTCATTCTTTTACTGAGTACTGACTGTCCTCCCAGCTAGTCTGACACATCTCATATTATAACTGTTCCCTCAACTGTTAAGCTTGAACTCTCTGAAAAACCTTTATTCCTCCCTGAATGAGGCCATACTGACAGCTTTCAGAGATCATTTAAGCTGTCACCACAATTATACCACCCTCCTTCCAGTTGGGTACCACATATTTGAATCAGCTCTTATATTTTTAATTCATATGTGTCAAGTTCTTGAAGTGTCCACTTTGAAAAATTTCTGAAGGATTCATATGCAGCTCCAACTGGAGTTCTTTTTATTTTTGTTGTTATTTCCCAGATAAGTAGCCCTAAATTTTTTACTCCTTTCTCACAATGACTTCAAATGAATGTCTCTTGTGAAAAACTTTCTCTTATTAAGAAAAAGAGCCAGCTGCTTAAAATGCTTACATAAAAACCAGCATTTTGAAGTCTTTTTAGTCACTAAACCACATCTGCTTAAAAAAAGTCATATCTAATGATGTTCAGCCCCTGAGAATGAAAGAAATCCAGCTTAACTTTACATATCCACTTAACTTCCTTAGTAAAACAAACTAAATTGATTTTATGATACATAATACTACATGTATACTGTAGATATGATTACTACTTAGCTGATAAAAGATAAAACACATGTTATTTTATTTTTACTGTGTCTACTTTCTACATAATAAATTTATTGTCTGCTTCTTCAGCTTATACAGTTAAGCTTTCTTTCAATTAATTTGTAGTTTAGATTGGACAAGTCACTGAACAATTGTTGAACAGAAAACAAAATTACATATTTACCAGAAAAAATTTAATCATAAAACTTCTATGTAGATTATATTTAGACCACACTATAAAATTTCTGCTGTGTTTCCTAATGTTTTTGATGCCTATGTTGACTTTTCTGGCCATATATTTTTATTAGCATCTGTCATAAAACAGTTATAATACAATTCAGTTCTACTTTTAGATTTTTATTCAGAGAAACATTTTCGGCCCAATTACAAACATCACTCTAGGAGACTGTTTTTTTTTCCTTTGACTTAAGTATAATTATAGTTTTACTCAATAATTTTGGTTGATTTAAATTTTATGATACAGCAACTTCTCATTTTGATGAGAATTTTTTCCTGAATATTATAATAAGGTACTCTCTTTACAACAACCTGACTTTCTGCATCAGGTGACATTTTCACAGTTACTTCTGATTTGTTATGAATCTTTCTTGATATTTTGATATGACTCCAGTGTAAGTTATATACCCCACAAATTTAAAAGTGAAGAAAACTGGCATTATGATCTTTGTTTAAATGCTTTCCAGAATGCTTGAGTACAGGAAGAAGATATATTGTTATAAAACCTTTTTAATGTAATTTTAAAATAGTGGTTTAAATTTATTAAATGCTAGAACACACATTAAAAATGTATTCTTACAAAAGTTTTTTAATTAGTATTTTATTTTCAAAAACAAAAAGGATTTTTTAAAAATTAAAAGAAACCACAATGTCTCCAACATACGGAATAATACATTTGTTTGTGCTTAGTAACATGTGAATTTTTTTTCTGGCTGTATATTTCATATGAAAAACATGGTATAACAGTTACTGTTTTGTGGGATACAAGAACAGTGTCTGCTGAAACACAGTAGTACCTGCCTTGAGATATTTTAAGATTAACTTCTCTGAGCTGTTCAAAGCCTATTGGGAAAATTTCCGCTAATCTAAGTGGTTTTCATCTTATTCTGAACCATGCTTTTATTTTAACTCTTAGATTATACAATTAAAATTAAGATTCAGTTAAAATTATACATTCATATACTCTGCATCTTGAAAAAAAGGTATTCACGTTTTCTTCTCAAATATGAGAGTAGAAATTCAACCAAGTATGCAAGACATCTTTCAGTCAAGTATCTTATATGTATCACAAACCAGGATGATTTATTTGGGAATGTAATCTAATCTATTTGGAATTTAGTTTTCCAATTTGAAAAAAATCAGGGCTTAGGACTAGTTAACTGCAGTCACTTTCAGTTCTAAAATTATGAAGTTTTTACATTCATAATATGAATATGTAAAATTCATATTAGTTTTACAAAATATGAAAAGAGAAAATGACAATGTTTCTTAAGAGTTTTTAGTATGCAATATATTTGGAGCATTTAAAAATGAAAACACACCATTTCATATAACAAGTTTCTTTGAAAGAATAAGGATAAGCTATTATAAAAATTGTAATTATTCTGCCATGTTATGCCTAAACATAGACCAAGACAAAAGAAATGGTAAAGCCTAAAAATTTTTTTAAAAAAAGACAGGAGAGACATAGAAGTACAACCAATTGCTATTAGAAGCTTATGAACCACATTTTCTCAAATATTTAAATTATAAGTCCTTGACTGCTTATTTTTTAAAAACTCACACTTTTATAGCTTTTAATATTGACTGATAATGAAATAAAGTATATATCAAGTCTTTAAAGTAATAAAATTAGGTTGCTAAAATAGGGCCTAATATCTTAGGCATCAATAACATGAGACTTAAAAGATATTGAAAGAAAGTAATATCATGTAAGCATCTTACATTTTTTTCAAGCCTAATTTACTGTTTTGTATTAGAAATTAAGATACATTGACTACAAGGTTGAACTTCTCTGTCAAGGTTAAGAATGGTGATAATTCAATCAAGTTCTTCCACCTAAGCTCCCAAAGAGGAGTATGGGTGCAACCGCTTCAGAAACTGACTACTCTTAGTTGCATCTTAAACTGGTTGTCATGGATTTCATCTTTGATCCAATGGATAACATGTGGAAGAGATAGTGTATGTTGGTGATTAAAAGCTTGGCTTCTGAAGTTGAACTGCCTAAGTCAAACTACCAAATCTGCCACTTTCTCTATATTTTGGATCAAGTTAGTTAGTTTGCTCTTTTTTATAGTTTTCTCATCAGTAAAATCAGGATAATAACAATGACAATTTCATAAGGTGTTTGTGAAGATAACATGAGTTATTAGGTTGGTGCAAACGTATTTGCGGTTTTTGCAATAGTTTCAATTGCAGAACCTGCAATTACTTTTGCACCAACCTAATAATACGGAAAATATGTTAAACAGTATGCTGCACATAATAATGACTGAAGAAGTACTAATTCTTACACTATGTGTGCATGTGGAAGTTGAAGAAGACGAAGGAAAAACTATCAGATGCGATTTCTGCAAATCCTACAATTCAAGACCTGGTTTGCAATTAAGTGTCCATGAGGCCATTATATGTCCATGAGGCCAGTTTCTGAACACAAACTACGTAACATAGAGTCTCTTCCACCTGATAAATTTTACAATTTTACAATTCTTTTTTTATTCCAAAGATAAAAAGGGGTATGTAACTCTTTACAACTTGATAAACTCTTGCGTATAGAAATAAAAATATTAAGGGCAATATAACTTTTTATCATCTTACAATTTTATATTTTATGGACTGTAGTTATCACTAAGGTTATACACAAATATCTAATCATGATCCTCCATGAAAATAGTAGGTTGCTAATTCCTGACCTTGCATTTAATTCCAGCAGATAGATTGCAACCTGAGTGTTTTTTTTTTTATTTTTAAATTGACAGATAAAATTTATGGATATTTGTCATGTACGACATGATGTCTTGAAGTATATATACAGTGTGGAATGATGAAATCTAGCTAATTAACATATGTATTGCCTCACACACTTATTTTTGTGATGAAAACACTTTACATCCATTCGTAGCATTTTTTGAGAATACAATACATTGTGTAGTCACTATGTTGTACAATATATAATGTACAATATAGTTTAAGAGTAAACTTATTTCTCCTGTGTAACTGAAATTTAAGACAATACAATGTTAATAATCCCCTTATTTAAAACAAATTAAATAGGTGAGCTAGTTTGGCATTCCTACTTGATAAGAGATACATATACGCCAATTGTTGATTACATATTTTATGACAGAGAGAATAGTTTATTACATTTTTATAAAACAATGTTGGAATAACTATCAGGCAATAAATATTTTAACTATAAAGTAATTATTTACCATGTAAATACCTCTATTATAAATCTATAGAGTTTACATCCAAATTTGGAGAACAAGCAGGAAATAGAGGGAAGTCATGAGAGTAAATTATTAAATAGAACTTGGAAGAATTTGATAACCTGTTTAAAACCAAGACTCATAATCTCTACGTCAGGTTTATCCATACTAGGTTGTTTTTATTACTCAAAGTGTTTTGCTTAACAAACATTCAATTGGTTCTTACTGTCTTCCAGGCACTGCTTTAAGTGCTTTAGAAACTGATTCATTTAATTCTCAAATCAACTCTATGTGACATGTGCTATCATTATCCTTCTTTTATATATTAGAAAACTGAGGGATGAGAAGGATGTGTAACATGCCTAGGATCATGCAGCCAGTAAGAGGCAGAGCGAGGGTTTGATCTCCAAGAGTTTGGTCCCTGTTTTCATGCTCTTTATCTCCACAATGTACTACCGTATGTGAAGATTTCCTTTTCATTATTTATCTATAATTATTTAACTTTTTTTTCCATAAAGATAGTTAAAAGACTGGTTAGGTTAAAGTCTCTAATTCAACATATCTTCAATTTGGCCTACATATCTAAGTATCAGTTATAGCTTCAGCATTCAAATCATCATCATCACCATCATCGTCATCATTTTTCATAATATCTTAGTAAGTGTGTTTCAATTGGTCACATTTAAATAAGAGCTTGCAAACATTCACTGGCTATCAGGCGCCATGGAAATTACTTTGACCTTTATCATCACCACTTTGGACTCTTTCTAAAATCATAGACGAAATTAAAATCAGAAAGCAGCTAAGCCATTATCCCAAAAGAGCTGAGAGTTCAAAGGAAACTTATGTTAGACACTGAAATGCATTATGTGATTATGTAACACAAAATTTGCTTTCTCAAGTGCTCTATTTGCTAGGCTGAAAATAAAAATCACACCACCATTCACCTCAGTAGTAGCTCAGTAATAGCTAATAGAAAGAGAAAATTATTTTCCCTAATGTGCAAGTTGGCTTAACAATGAAAGTTGATATTGATAAGAAAGCCTCAATTAGATTGATCCAGAGTTTAAACCAGTTACTAAAGAATTATCTCTTTGTTTGAATTCATTATTCACTAGATGCTAGCAAAGCTTAAATTACTGAATTTTGATAACTGATCATCTAACATTTACCAATATTATATATATATATAAATGTATATATATATATAGACTCACAGCCAAGAACCTATCTCCCTATAACTAGTAGTACACAAAAGCAATTGAGAAATGTGAATAATGAGACTAACAGGAAGTCATAATAGCAAAAACACCTTAAAAATTATACATAACTCATTTAGTGAAATTTTTCTTATTTCTTTTTAAAGATTCTTACATGTTTAGCTTATTGCATCCATGACAGTATCAGAATATTAATAATATAACCCACAAATTAAAATATAATTAATTTTGCAAGTAAAGCTATTTTTGACAATATTAGCCAGGTATATCTATAGAGAGGAAAATTATTGAATTTTTAAATTTAATATTTAATTATTTGCATGTAATGCTATAAAATCAAGTGTTATTGAGTTTCTTCCTTACCTACCCCATCCCTCACCTCAAGATATTAAGGTATTAAGCAATGCCAATTTTATCAGGTAAGCAAACTCAACTTCAATTGATTAGCTAATTATAATAATAAAGTCAGTGAATTTTAACGTTATATAAGCCACTGAAAAACACTCTCCTGACGATTAACTCCAAGTGGAGTGCTATGCTAACATTGTTTAGAAAGGTCATAGAAATAACAAGAAATCCAGTAGCTATGAAGCAAATATGAATGATAACCTCTCAACAGGCATCTTTATTACCTTTCTCCTGTCACTCCCACTAAATCCATTCTGCACAATACAACTTATTATATTTCTATATAACACTGTATTATTAAGCATAATTTTCTTTATGGCATTCCCATTTTTGAAATTATAAACTAACTTTTGCACACAAATATAGATGACAGTATATGAAACTCCCATGTATCTATCGCCTATCTTAAGAAAAGATGATTGACAAAATGTAAGCCACTATATATTCTTGCCGTCAATTTCATTCCAGAGATACAAAGAGACTAAAACATTTGTCCTGTTTGTTAATTGCTTATAGGATTCATCCTAGGATGAATGGTTCCCAGATCAGCATCAACATTGCCTGGTAACTTCTTGGAAATGCAAATTATGGAATCACATTCCAGATCTACTGAATCAGAAACTTGCAGGGGAGCTAGCGGAGAAACCCAATTAATCCTGAAGAGTGGGATTTATCCTCTAGTGAAATCTTCATTGAAAATCCTTACAGTAATCATTGTCTACTAGTAAAATATTTCTGAGTTTGCAATCTTCGTGAAGTTTGTGTACTATCCCTAACATGTGACACTGTATATTAGTTGTTTCATATATGTCAAGCCTATTTCTCTAGAATCAATTGTAAAGTATCTAATCATAAAATTTGTGTTTTTATGTTAGCCTAGCACAGGGCTGGGCCAAACTGTGTCTAATAATGTTGTCTTGATTTTCTCTTCATTGTGAAGAGAAAAAAAAATGGAATTGCATTACATTTTCTTTTGATACAATTGAACATTGAGGGCATATTGTATTTCATGTATTTGCTAAATCCAGGCGTACATTTACTCAACAGCATTGGAAATAAACAACAATAAAACTTTGGAGCTATTATCTGCCATTATAACAATAATTTGACACAAAATTGCTTGTATGTTTTCAGGATTGGAACAAGAAAAATATTTTTTTCTCATCAGTTTTTTCCAGAATTTCTAATACAAAACATAAAATTACCTCCCAAATTTCATATTTTTACTACCTGCATCACTGTATATTTACTGTGATTTAAAATGGTAAGATTATCAATACAGTTTATTGACTCCTTAGCTAGTTTGGGGCTTCCAATTTAGATTGTAACAGCAACATCTGATAAAAGTATAGTGTTTTAAGATTAACATGGTGTTTTCACTTTGGATCAATATTTTGTCTTTTGTATTGTATTCCCCCTTAATCTGATCCATAGAGCAAATTGGTCCTTGATAAATGTTTGCTGAATGGTTCATTGGCTAAATAGATTATGTAATCTCATTTGTTTCTCACATGAACCCTATTTCTCTCTTATTTTGAAGATAGGAGCATAGGGCTTTGAGAAGTTAGGCAGCTTAGACAAAATCACACAGCAGCTGACCAAGTTCTTGGTTCTGTGATTCTAAATATTCTATTTGTACTACTGCTTCCTTACTATCTCCTATATTAAGCTTAGGTGAGAGATAGAAGTAAGATAATAGTGAATCAAAAGAAACCCTATCTGTACTATTATTTTGAAATCTGAGATTTGATTTCCAGTCTGTGTTTGATGTGATGCGGTTTTATTAAATGCATGGGAATAATACTTGGTTTACCTGTAAATGGTCGGGGTTATCAAGAGATTCACAATGAAAGGAAAATAAAGCAGAAATGTCCTTGGATTAGAGTGCATTCCTCTAAATTGGTTTCTGAAAATGATCTGCAGAAAGCAAATTGAACAGAAGGAGATAAATCGCCAATTCTGCAGCATATAGGAGGAGCAGTAGTGCTCATTTAAACATGTGGCAAAGTTGTCACACCTGCAGGCCTCACAACAGATTGTGGGAAATGTGACACCCCAAGTTGCCAGTTTGGGATTGCAAATTTGAATTTTCTCCATTAAAGGAGTGAATCCCTGCTGCTGTGCAAACTTTAAAAGCTTCACTTTTACTTTACAACAGCATGCTTGCAAGCTTGGAAAACATTCAAAGAGCTGCTGCAAGTCAGGAAGTGAACTTTAAAAGTCTTGATCTGCAGTGGCAAAGGTCTGTTTGAAACAGTGAGAGAGAGTAGGTGATTTCATAGCATGTCTTGTTGAAGAGCTTGCAGAGTGAGTGCAATATGGCGTAAGTGAAGTCAGCATGGTACATATCTTTCAGACAGTATAATGTTCTTCCAAGGTGATCAAATAATCACTGGATGAATGTATTCAAAAGGAAAGAAAACAATGAAAGATCTAATTTAAGGTAAAAGCAGTGGGAAAACAAAGCTTGGGGTTTAAGCACTTCTTTAATAGGGCTGCTGTGAAAAGTTTCTATAGTGTGTGAAACGTGAGGCCAAGATAGTGCAGAACCAGACCCTTGTGTTAAAATACAAGAAAAAGAAAGCTTTATTAGGGAAGTCTAGTGCACTTACTCTTACACGTGCCTGGAACTCCTCAAACCTAGTAATTTAGCTTGTAAAATCATCACCATCATTCCACAATACCTCATAGAAAGACATTCTAATCAGTATAATAAGGTTTTCACTACCAGGTCTGTTTCTCCTTTTGTGATATCTAGCTTAAATTATGATTAAATGATAAACATAATAGTCACAATGCAATGTACACCCTAGTTAATTGTGAGATTATTTATTTTATTTCTATAACTATTGTTCAGATTCATCTGTTGCTGCAGGGAATTGAGAACTTAAGAAGAATATGAACAATTTATTTGACACCATGCTTTGTTCTTTGTATTGTCTTGAATTTAGTTCTCTGTCATAGGCTTGGAAGCGACCTCTAGACATTAGATCATCAGTTCTGCTTCAGGCAGGACAGATTTTAGCTATGCCAGATGGTAAGGCGTCGATCAAAAGGTTCCAGGAAAGGAGATCTACAAGTTTCCCTTGGAAACCTGTTTCAGTGCCAGTGCTCCTAATCCCACATTAGTATGTTCTCAAACATCTCCTGTCTGCTGATCCATACTCCAGGAATGTTCTGTCAATAACAGCAATGATCGTGAGCATCCTAAATCCCAGCAGCTAAAATTTAAGCTCATATACAGATGGCTGACTGCTTAACAGCATCCTTTGTACAATAACCCTTTATATGTTTAAGACTTTCAATTGTCCTTGGCAAAGGATATCATATAATGTAATGCACAACTCTGGGCGCAAACATGATACAGATTGCCTAAGAGCAATATAGACTGTATTGGAGTTGATTTTCCTTTAATGATCATGAATGGCTCACGTCCATTCATGATTTCTCACTCAACCTATGTTGTAACTAATGATGTAATGTTTAAAGATAGCTAGTTGGGGTTAAAGTACAAAGCTACCTTAGTTAAATAGACATATAGCTTTAGGGGCAAAGGATGTCAACATTTTATTTTTCACAAATATTGTTAACAATTGGAACAGGCACTTAGGCAGCAATGGTGGAAGAAAGAGAACTAAACTAATGGTTCCAAGCTCTATAGCTTCTCCTCCTGACTATGTAACAATGTTTTTTGTAAGCATATGGGAGAGAATTAAGTGGCAGAGACATGGTACTGTCTAAGAAAGGGATGCTTGCCTAACTACACCCACTCCAAGTAATGGAACTTCAAATCTTAGAATTTGGCTGTGGTCATTCAATCCATCCACGCGCCTGTATGTTTTTGACATCTAGAGCCTTTTTTTTAAATTTTTTTTTAAACGTGGGGGTTTATGAAGGTGACTAAAGTGTTTCTTGAAAGTGAATAAAATTGACTTTGAAATTAAAGCATATATATATGACAGACTATAAAGTACAATAATATATGGAGGGATTATAATGCCAACCTCATTTCTATCAGAGGAAAAACTGTTGTAATTCTTTTTGTACACTTTGCATTTTTCTTATTAAATGGATTGTCTTTAGAAAGTACCACATTACCTTGCTCTAAACTACCTGGTTGGGATGCTATTTGTTATTTCAGAACTCTTTTTGCTAAACATGGGAAGTTTTAATGCTCACCTCATGCAGTCTTTGTTTTTGAATTTTTATTAGTTGATTTCTGTGGGAGTTGTTGACTTCCTCCAGCAGGCTCTGCAAAATATCAGGCCTCAGTTTTGCTGATTTGCTGATTTGCTGATTAACAAAAATGGCTAAATTTGCTGATGGCTTACTGTCTCTCTTTTTAAACTAAGCTTGGGCTTCCTTGTAAAGGGTCTATATTTTCCTTTCCATTGTATTTGTAGGCAGTTTCGCAACGACTAGGGATATTTTCAAGCTGTTTTTGTGGAAAAAAACTACTTTTCCTTCTTGGAGTACAAGCTGAAAACAGCTTCCTCAATTGTTTAAATATTAACATGTATTCTGTATCCATAAAGAGTTTTTCATCATTTATCTATAGCAAGAGTAACTTTAACATCCTGTACACTTAGTGTTAAATAAATGCTATTTTATCTTATTTGGTAAATGTTGCTAATCTCTCAAGGGCTAGATTTTTTACCTGCTGTGGATAGAAAGTGCCATAATGTATAATGTATTACATCTATTATATTTATAGACTTACTATAATCTGAGAGAGTATGGTACTCAAAATACATGTCATATGAGCCCAAGAACCATTAGAATAATTCACATTTCCTGGGATTATTAACCATGATCAAACACGCTGCAGCAAGATGATATTAAACAGTAGGTTTTATCTTAGTTACCTTTTCCCTATGACTAGCCCCATTTATACAACACCGTGCCCAAGGAAACTAGAGTTTGGGAATGTCCATTGACAATAAAACTATTAAGTAAAGCACAGAGAAACCACGACATATCAAAAAACAACTAAATGAATGAAGTAGAGCAATACAAAAAAGTATAGATGAATTTTAGACCCATATTTTTTAAAAAGTACCCAAAGACTATGTCAGTATAATATTATTTTTACCAAACAGGAAGATAGGGAAATAGAATAAAAGAGGGGCACATTGGTAGATTCTTATTACTGAAAATATTTCAGTACCTGCATTAGGCAGGTGTCTTTTATGATTCTATCATACTGTTATGCATATACCCTACCACTGTACTAAATACTATTTTATATATATTAAATGTTACGTTAATAAAATAAATAAAGAATACAAGTAGAAAAAATAGCGTTTCTTCAGTACCAGCAAAAAATTCTCTAACAGGGCACTGAATATACAATATCCAATATTAACATCTGAATTAACACTAGTACTTAAGAATGAACACCAGGAGAGTACTAGTTATAATGATCACAGTACCAGTTAGACTCTGTTTCAGGTAGCTCTCCCAATATATTTGGAGTGCTATTTTAATAACACAGGATTTTTGAAGAATAGTACATGTAATGAGCATGATGCTTGGTATAGACTTCACTCACCCACTGACACATAAAGCCTAGTGCTCAGAATCCACATTACAATGACAGCTTCATCTTTCATAGGTCTTATCATAGCTTTTTCCTTTTCTTAAATTACATTCTATCAGAAATCCTTTGGTCTCTTTTCATGCCATGTTTCTGTTTGAAAAAGAAGTTTCCTGAAAATACACTTAAAAACAAACTTCCCCTAGGAAAAAAGAAGAATTTCTGATATCCCCTTTCAAATATCCATCCCTGCCACTTTGATGATGAGATGGTGAAAGTTGAAGATGTACATCCAGCAAGGTTGATTGATAACCCCTGATACGTTGAAGAAAGCATGATGAAGATGAGAAATCAAATTTTACAGAGATAATTAAGCCACAGCACAAATTACATAAGAGGGAAGGAGATGAAGAAGATACCAAATAGGAAGTCATTCAGGATAATTAAACAGAACATTATAACCCCAGGATAAAAATGTACCCTACTCAAAACATGTACGTGATTAGAGGCCAGGGGCATAAATTTAAACTGGATTTGTGTCACTTTAAGATGATCTATAGTAAGTAAAATCCAGGAATAAATTCCAAGGCTTAAAGATAAAATAACCCTATTACTGGAGTAACAAAGAGAAGTAAAAGAAAAAAAAATCAGCATTAAACATGTTTTGGAAAGTAGGAAAAATTACAAAGGCTAGTGGCTTAAACTATATTATGAGAAGATCTTTATTTTTTCTGAAAAGTTAAGAGTAACCTGGAAAAGCGTGAGCATATTTATGCTAACGGGGTACAGTTTGAGTGCTATGCCTCATACACATTCTATTTAGTACACAATATAATTTGGGTCCCAATATTTACTTTAAAATGTGTGTGTGCGTGTGTGTGTGTGTGTGTTTGAAATGCCTGCTAGCATGTATTGTCGTACAGTGGATATCTCTGGTTCCAAAAAAGGATCAAACAGTGTTTCATTATCAATATCTTCCTGAACAATGATTATTAAAGAATATCCCCAGGATTCCTGAGTTTACAGTTACTGAAGAAGAAATATTCCCTTATCTTTCGGTCGGTAGGAGCAGAAGATTACCCTCAGATATATGTTTTCAAAATTGATATTGAGAGACATGTTTCCTGTCTGATCTGGTAGAATCCATGGAAGCAGAGCTTATTATCAATTTCCTTTGAACAACAGAAAGTCTCTAGTTATTATTTTGAACTGAGCAAACTTACAGTTGCTTCCATGTAGTGCTAAAACTTCTTCATTCAAGCACAACTTCTGATTCTTTTACATTCAGTCCAATCCCCAGGGTTACAGTCTAAGCTTATTGAACCCCAGTCTGTCTTTTGATTCCATTCTTCTTTAAATTCTTTAGTATCTTCTCAAACTATTTGGTTTTATCATTCTTTTTTATTATTTTTTGATTTTATACATTAATGGGTTTTGCCATGCTGACAATCTTTCTTCATGCTGAGTTTGGTTGGTGAAAAATCCTGTAAAAATAAAGTTACTTTTTCTCTCCTGCTGTTATCATTGACTTTTTTGAAATCATTATTATTTGCATCTTTGGTTTCTTTCTGTTTATAAAGGTTTTATAGCTATTTGTTTTAAATGAAAAATGTCTAGGTCTTTATTTTTTCCAGTTTTAAAACTGGAAATTTTTTTAAAACTGGATAAAATTTTTTTATCACTCTGAGAATTTATTAATAGCAAGAATAGTTCTTCTACTTATGGAATTGAACTTTTTGGAAGGTTGTTTTTCCTTCACAGATTGATGGAATTTCATGAGCCTGGCCTTGTCCCTCTTTTAACAATAATAACAGACCAAATATTTAGTTAAATAATTTGTCTTCAGGGTGCATATATAAGTATTTTTGGAGCTCGAAGTTTCAAATAAACTCATCAAGGCAGGTAACTATACTGCAACATATGGTTTGCCAAGATTTAGATAGTTATGGCTTCAAAAACAAATCATTCTGGATTCTAAATTTATGTGATTAAGGGAATTATTTTGTTGTTGTTTGAGAGGTGGAGCTGGAAAAGAGTTTTGGATTTTAAAAAAGATTGTCTTGGCCCAATAAAGAGATAGAATACACTTCTAATGCCTCTGACTGTCCTGGAGAGATGACCATGAGAGCCTATATATTTACAGTTGCAGCTCTCCTCAGAGTGATCCCGAATTCAGGTGTTGGGGTTCCCATGCACAAAATAATCCACAAATCATACGTCTACATTTCAAATATAGCATGGATACCAAAAAAACTAAACCCTACTACATCATCCAGCTTTAGGTTCAAAGTCTATAAGTTTCAACTAATTTAGATTATTTTCTCTAATGGTCAAAGGAAATCCTGTTATAGAATGGTATTTGCTAGGGTGGGGACAAAGGTAGTTTCAAGCCCTAGTAGTTCCGAGAAAAATGCTCCTAAGCTTATCTTACTCAAAACCTAAGGCAACCAAAGAATAAGTAAATTATTATGCTTGGGGCTCATACTCTATATTTCTGTTTCAAGGTAATCTTGTTTTTACTCAGAATGATTTACCTCAATGATTCCCATAAGAATTGAAGGAGGAGGAGAAGGTAGCAGGGGGCATTTTTAAGAGAGAATATGACAATGACTTGAATACATTTTTAAACTACATGTGGCTCACATCCCAGGAGATGCATAAACACAACTCGGTAAAGCTATTCCACCACCTATGGTCATTGTATTCATTTCCTATTGCTGCAACAAATCACTACAAATGCAGTGGTTTCAAACAACACAAATTTATTCTCTCTCTTATTGGGTTAAAGTCAGGCTGTTGGCAGGTCTGGTTCCTTCTGGAAGCTCTAAGAGAGTATTAATTCCCTGCCCTTGCCAGGCTTTAGAAGTTGCCCACATTCCTTGGCTCAGAGCACGCTTCCAGCAATGACATTATTTGATCTCTGTTTCCATATGATATCTCTCACATGACCACCAGGCAGAATATTATTCTTCTTTATAGTCCAACAGAATTATTTTCACATATGCCACTGTTTAAGCACTTATTACATTGTGTGGCGTACTAGTCTGTTCTCATGCTGCTAATAAAGACATACCCGAGACTGGGTAATTTGTAAATGAAAAGATTTTATTGGCTCACAATTCAGCATGGCTGAGGAAGCTTCAGGAAACCTTCAATCATGAGGGAAGGGAAAGCAAACACAGCATTCTTCATATAGCAGCATCAAGGAGAAGTGCCAAGCAAAAGGGAAAAGCCTCATATAAAACCATCAGATTTCATGAGAACTCACTCACTATCATGAGAACAGCATGAGGGTAACCACCCCTATGATTAAATTACCTCCTACCAAGTCCCTCCCATGACACATGGGATTATGGGAGCTACAATTCAAGATGAGATTTGGGTGGGGACACAGCGAAACCATATCATAAGGTAAATATGTATTAGAAATACTCCTCAAGCTATAACGGGGTTATAAACTGTTAAACCTATCATAAAGTTGAAAAATTGTAAGTTGAACCATCCTAAGTGGGGCCCATCTGTATATCTGTATATATCTTTCTTTTGAAATGAACTCTTCAACGTCAGAGACAATGCTTAATTTCCTTTTGAATATCAATGCCTACCACAATATCTACGATATAGTAGATGCTTAATAAATGTTTACAATAATTAAATAACTAAAATTCTTTGTATCCGCCAGAATAAATTTTATAGCTCTCTGTGAAGTAGAGGTACATGCCATGAAGGATCAGTTCAAATTTTCTAGGGAGGAAGACCTCATCTGTTTTTGGTTACATGGATTGTGGTGCTTCAAGAGGAATGAAACTGTTCTTCCATAATCCAACTTCCAAAAAGAAAATAATAAAAATAGGCATCTTACTGTTCATCTATCTTTGTCTCACTTGTAATATTGGCCCTATAGCTAAAAACAATACACTTTTAAAATATTTCTGTATTTCATCTTTAGGTTTTTTTTATATTTTAGCATCTTTTATAAAAAGAAGCAATAAATAAACATCATATAGATGAACACTATTGGGCATTTGTCATTGAAAAAATGTAACTTTGAATGGTATTTCAAAGAATAAAATCAATCTGTAAGTATTGAGATCTCTTGAGAATTAAACACATATAACAGGTTTTAGCAGTCATATTGGAACTTGTCTCCATATGTCTCTTCATTTATAACTCTATTATAGCATTTTCCTTTAGTTTGGAAAGTATCTCATTGGGTCATTCACGTAAGAAAATGTAGGAAGCAAGTTGCATCTTCTTTGACATTTATTGAGAATTCTCAGCTCAAATTTATGAAATGTGGGAGTTAGTGAAACAAAAGAGCTTTGTCAAATGCTACTGCACTTTGATGAAGAAGTCAAGAGAAAATGGAAATTTATCTCCATCTCTTTGATCTTTTAAATCTATTCATGTCAAAATACCCTATCTATCAAACTACGAAACTGTTATCATTCCTTTTGTAATTCATTTATTTTGAAATTTAGGAGAAAATCTTGACATAACATAATTTATTTTTATTTCTGCAGTTCTCCTGAGAACAATTTTACCTAATCAAAATTAATCCATAAATTCAATTAGATTGATTGCTACTTGATAACACATAGAAAATATTACCACCCGGGTGCTGTGGTTCATGTCTATAATCCCAGAATTTTGAGAGGGTGAGGCGGGCAAATCACTTGAAGTCAGGAATTCGAGACCAGCCTGGCCAACATGGCAAAACCCAGTCTCTACTAAAAATACTAAAATTAGCTGGGCATCGTGGCCACAACACAATCTCTTGAACCTGGGAGACGGAGATTGCAGTGAGCAGAGATTGCACCACTGCATTCCAACCTGGGCAACAGAGCTAGATCATGTCCCAATAAATAAATAAATAAGAAAATATTGAGACTGCTTTTTTCCTGAATTAATCTGGATGTAGGGCAGTGATATGAAGCAATCAGGAAGAATATATTTTCAAATAAAAATACTTAAAACTTACACTGCTATCTTGAGAAATTAAAAATCTCTTTATAATGCAGTACTTTTTTTTTCCATCTGACCATAATGAGGCAAATCATATAAACTCAAAAATCCTCCCTCCACCTCTCATTTAGGATGCTAAGAGTGTCCTGCATCCTAATAGCAATTCCAAAACAACTAAAACCACAAATCCACAAGCATCACTAACATTGGCATATATCTGGTTCTCCTCTTCAAATAAGATATAGTTTTCTTTCATCAAGCAAATAATCCTCAGTCATCTACTGTGACTATAGCCTTATGTTTATTTATTTCAGAATTTAAACATCAGTAGGTTCTTAGTTCATAGAACATAATACTCTGCTTTTGATAGTGACACACCATACAGTTTACAGATGAACGTGAAAGTTTCTCCCCATGGAAACATAGGAGTCTACATAGAATTATTTGAAAAATGTAAATATTGACAACGTTCAATTTGCCAAACATATCTACAAGAGATAAGTAACTATTTATTTTCCAGTGAATATATAACACAGAGAATGACCAAAAATAAGAACATTTGAGAAAAAAAGGAATAATTATAATCAGACAGCACTAAATGTGGAAAAACTTATTTCCACTTTTGAGATACATAGCAGTCTAGCAAATCTCAAGCAGCCAAAGGCATTCCAGGGTACAGCATATTTACAATGAAAAGTATATACTTTCTTAGCCTTGTATGGAACTGTAAGAAGCAATTAGGCCTAAAAACAGAAGTAGAGCAAGATATAGAGTATCCAAAAGTTTTTACCAGAGAAATTTAACTTGGAGGGATGTCGATAGGAAGAATGAGAATGTTTGCATTGTTGCTTGAATAAGTGACCAATGGGTCATGAATTATTCATAAAAATACTTCATAGTTTGTACAATTTGTCAGGAACTATCTTAATTGCTGGGCTTGTAATGGTGAGCAAAAACTACGCTATCACTTTCTCATTCAACTAAATATTGAATTGGGGAAATAGCAAAAAAAGAGAGAGAGACAGATAGTGTGCAAGAAATATTTTAATTCAAATGCATGTGTTTGTTTATGAACATATTCCAAGGAATATGATTAAAAATGGTGCGGCAGCTTCCACTTAGCTGAGATTTAAGGAATGATTAAGATTGAATAGTGTGATAGTGGGTTATGAGTAAAGCTATTTACAAGAGGCAGAGGAAGGTCATGCAAAGTTCTCATGAATAGATGGACTATGTGACTTCTAGTTAAAATGATCCCCCACACAGAGAGTGAGGTAGACAATGATATAAGATGGTTCTGTGGCATCACCCTGAAGTGGATTCCTAGTCCCATTTCAGAAAGATCTACTCTGTATTCTAAGAGCAATTGGAAACCATTCCTGTGTTTAAAGTAGGAATAGTATACATGATCACATTGACAATTTGAAAATGTAACTCAAACTCTAATGAGAGGGCTCAGAATGGATTTAGGAAATACTATAAAAAATGAAATTCAGTCCCATAAAGCATATCATAAAGGCAATCACTGAGAATAAGAGAAGCATATATATTCAAGGGATACTTACAAGAGAGAAACTGAGGGCTTAGTGAGAAATAGGCCACGAGGCATGAGGCAGAGAGAAGTGTCTAGAATGACTGGTAATATGGATCTGTGTCATTAATTTATATAGGAGACAGTGGGGAAAAACTGTCTGTGAATTTTGTTAATTTTTTTTTAAATTTAAGGTTCATTTGAGGATCCAAATGGAGACATCAAACAGGCACTTCAATCAAAACAATATTTGCACGTTATTGAATCAAATCATACAGAAGAGCATAAGCAATTGTTTCCAATTCTCTTATTTGCCTCTCCCAAGTAATCTCTTCTAAACATTTCTGGGTTTTGTGTTTTTATTTCATTAATTCTAGTGCTTAACCCATAACTTTAAAAATGAGCTCAGATTTCTCTCTCTTGATTTATTAGCTTCAGTTAATATTTACTTACAACTGATAAAAGAGTAACTCTCATCTCAATGTTACTATTTATAGTTTTTACCTTCCTAAACTCTTACTAAAGGCATGTGGTTGATTAAATATAATTTTTGCCATTTATTTTAGTTATTTGCATTTATACCTCTGTCCAAATTAGTTGCTGAGCTGTATTTATTATAACTAATTATATTTTATGTGCTTAGTTTTTCCTCAAAGATTCTTCTTATTGCCTGCTGCAGTATTTATTTGAAAATAACCATTTTAGGTAAAATGGAAGTATATCATCTGAATAAACAGGCTACAAATGCATTTGCAGTTTTTATTAGCAAGAAGCTTGGGATATGATGTTTTAGTTAGAGAATTACATGAGGAGTATGCACAATCAAGGAAGATACATTTTCTTTTCATTTTTAAATTATTTTTAGATACTTGTTAGATATTAAGAAAATATATTTTCAACATCGATGAAAGATATAGCCCTGTTACAGAGTAAAATAAAACAAAACAGAATTCCAACAACAAAAATGGGCATGTTAATTTGAAAATAATGCTAAAATAATAACATCGTGGTGTGAAGAGTCAAATTTATTCATTCATTCAACAAATTTTTATGAACCAGAGACTATTCTAGAGGCTAGAGTTACAGTTTTAGGTTTTAATGGACTATTGAAAATAAAGAAATATACATATTACCTTTTCTATAATTCTATTTTATTTTTAATTTTTAAAAATTTTTTGTAGAGACAAGGTCTCACTCTGTTGCCCAGGCTGGTCTTGAACTCTTGGTTGGCCTCAAGAGATTGTCCCACCTCTACCTCCCAAAGTGCTGGGATTAAGTTTAATGGTTAAGATCTGTGGATATGATGGTAAGAATGATGAATTATATAGCTCCAGGGTTAACATATAGTTACTCATTGCAAAAAAAATCCTTCTAAAATACAGGCAACAGAACAATAATAATGGTTTCATCATATCTTTGATTAAAAGCTGAGTTTTATCCATGTCATATTACTATTAGGCAGCTATTTTTTAAGGCTCATGTTGTAGCATAGTTTGTTACTTTATGACTGTTGTGTGACCCTGAATAAGTTATCAAATTCTCAAGCATTAGCTTTCAATCTGTAAAACAAGAACGACAAAGATCCAACTTGCAGAATGTTTTTGTAATGATGGCCACCAAATAATTACAATTCTCTTCCATGGCTCTTGGTAGGATTGTACTTCCAAGTTCCCTTAAAGCTAGCTGTGATTGTGTTTTCCTTTGGTCAATAAGAGATAAGTACAAGTGCTGTGTGACACTTCTGTTTGAAAGCGTGAAGAGCCTGTGTGTGAAAACCACACTCTCTTTTCATCTACCATGATGATAGCAGGTGTTCTAGACAGTGTTTGATCTGTTAGCTTGGATCTAAGTGGCAAGACAATGTGAAAATAGCCCCCGACCAAACAGCAGTGAACATGTAGAGAGTGGGAGAAATAAAGCCTCGTTTTTATTTTTAAGTCAGTAAGATTTGAAGGTTTTTAACTAACACACACACAAATATATATATAAAGGATATATATGAATAATATATTTATATATTATATAAATGGCAATAAAAATATTTTTAAGTAAAAGAATATAGAAAAATAGAATTATGGGACTGGGTATGATGCTCCTGTGAGCAATGTGTAAGAATTTCCAAAGGAATAAGCTTAAATTTTAATTAATTTTAGTAGAGTTCTAAAGAATTAAAAAATATGATATTGTTTTTAAAATATGGTGTATATACTGATACAAGTATATGCACATAAACGTTTTTACATATAATATCTCAATGTATATTCACATATTTGGGATGGTTTTGATAAAACCCATTTCAATGTGAAGGAAAATGTAAAGTTTTTGAGGTGTCTTTTAGCATTATGATTTTATGAAGTTTATTTTTCAGCTATTTTGGCATTTAAAATAGGAATAAAACAGGTACATGCTATTTGATGAAACTGAAAAATGTTCAATATGTACTACTTTTTACATATAACAGAAATCATGTTCAAATAATTATGGAATTTTATCTGCTCTGATGATTTATGGACCCATTTCTCTATCTGATGGTATTCTTTATCATTTTGTCAGAAGACGACCCATTGCTGTAAGTTTAATACATAAATATATAAGTCCAATATGCATGTAATCAGAATAAATAATAATGATAATATGGACATGTTACATAAACATTAAAAAGCTTTGCCATTTTATTGTAAATTCAGAGACAGAGAAACAGACAGACAGATTATATGTACATAAAAATGGCTGTAAGATGAATAAGAAATGACCTTTGTCTTCAGGAAGCTAAAATATCATAAGGAGGAAGATACTCACATGAATGAACTAGATAATACTGCATTGATAAAATGTGTGGTAGGAATTTCAAAAGTCAGAAAGAAGAGTTCAGAGAATGAGGGAACATCCTTTACAACAGTCGCTTTTCTGCCTTAGGACCTAGCAACTCACATCATTTAGGATGAGTGGCTGAATCAGCACTCAGACTCTCAGAACAAAGCATTTCAAGTGTTTATTTCAATGGAAAATAGGAAACATTATATTTCTGACTAAGCATGTCAGTTATTGTAAAATCATTGAAAATATAAAAATCTGGAAATAAATGTTAGAAAAGATAAAAGTGTACATTTGAGTATAAAAATTGTAAATGAAATATGTGACCAACAACATGGCTTCATCCACCTACTGAGGAGAATATGAACAATTAAAAAGTATCACCTAGTCTCCAGAAACCTGAAATTACCTCAGGTAAACTCACAAACAAAAGCTTAACCTGAGACCTTTGGGATGATTGTGACTGATGACTGTGATTCAAGACATTAATCACTGATACAGCAACTTTTGGCCATTAGGCACTTTTACAAATTTTGAATAAATAATGAAAGATAATTGAGGATAATTTCCATGTGATAAAACACAAAATCCTACCAGGCTTAATCTACAAACAGAGAGTATAATTTGGACTCAGTTATAAGCTATTATACTCAATCATTTACTAGACAATGTTAGCAATTTTTGGAGCAATTTATATGATTAGTCAAAATAAGATTCATATTTCTTTTCCAGTTACATGGAATTTGTTACCTTCAAAATACAACAAGAAAAAAGTCTGAAACTAGACATGGGACTTTTAAAACTACATGGTCTGTTAGAACGTTCTATTGTGTATTGCCTTCAAGATAGCATTTATGGAATTCCAATAAAAATAAAGTTTGAGTGCAAAATTACTAGAGTGATAAAGCCCCTTTATCTATAGTAATGGTCTCCACACTCTGTAAATCGTAAATTTATTTTATCTGGAACTGAATCATAAAATACTTCAATATCAAGTACAGCAGAGGGTAGAATTTTATCATCCTCAAAACTAGAGTGCCTACAAGTAAAACCGAGAAGTGAACTTTTGTAGAAGTTGTATATGTATATTTTGTATATGGCAGTAATGTTGGGACTGAAGAGTGAAAGGAGAAATAAGAAAATGTAAACTGTATTCTTTCTTATTTTTTATCAACCAAAGTGAGGATTTGTTTAGCTTGATTTGTAAATTTGATTCAACCTTAATTAACATAAAATGTTATGGAGGATATATCATTATAGCTCAAAACTCCAAAAAGCAGATGTTTTAATTTTATTAGATTTTACACTTTAATATCAATCTTTTAAAATTACTTTTTAAATTTTTAAAACCATCTTTTTAAAATATTTAATCAATTTTAACATAAGTCAGCCTCATAGTTTTAAGACTATTATGTGAAGAAGTTCACATAATCGTTCACCTCATATTTATGAGCTAGGTGTATAAACCAGAGGTAGAAATTGATTTGGAGAAGGAAATTTTAATTTAATAAAATTCCTCTACATTTGGTGAGAACCTAAGATTCAATATCAGCAGTAAAAATGTCCCATCTCAACCCCCACCTTTGTTTGTTTTAGTTTGTATCCTTTATTCCCCATTCTTAATTTCCCATTCTACCATGTTCAATCTCTTAATAAAAGTAGAGAAAATAAGAAAAAGAAATAATCAATGTGGGAATTAAAGATTAATTTATTCAATGCATTATACATATATTTACCACCTACTGTGTGTTATTGCTCTAAATGCAACCAATCAAACATGAACAACAACATCTAAAATTATTCTGGAGCTTACATTCCAATAAAAATAACATATGGCTTCCAGCTCCATCCCTGAATTATCCTCAGCAAACTAATGCAGGAACAGAAAACTAAACATCCCATGTTTTCACTTCTAAGTGGGAGCTGAACAATGAGAACGCATGGACACAGGGAGGGGAAAAACACACACTGGGACCTGTCGTGGGGTGGGGTGGGAGAGCAAGAGCATTAGGTAAAATAGTTAATGCATGCTGGGCTTAATACCTAGGTGATGGGTTGATAAGTGCAGCAAACCACAAGGGCTCAAGTTTACCTAGGTAACAAACCTGCGCATCCTGCACATGTACCCTAGGACTTAAAATTAAAATTAAAATTAAAAAATAAAATAAGAAAATATGACTAAAGACCTGAAGCAAACGAGTAGATGAGACATGCTGATATCTTAATGAAGAGCACTCCAGTCAAAAGAAATGGAAAATACAGAGCCCTTAAGACAGAAACCTGCTTGCTGCTTCTGATGAAGAGTGAAGTCATTTCAGTAATAGAATGATCAAAAGGAGAACAAGGAGAACAGCAGATTATGTCAGAGGTAACTGGCTGAGGAAAAGGAAGACAGATCATGTGGGTTATAGCTGCTTTTTAAAACGTTTTCAAATCATTTGACACTCCTCCATTTACAGTTGGCATCTAATGTTTTCTTTTATGAATATAAGTGGGCTTGTAACTCTTTTGGCTAATAAACTACAGTGAAAATCACAGTAAATTACTCGTTAGAGTAAGCCATAAAAAGTTATGAAGCTTCCTGCTTCTCTTGAAATATTCATTCTCTGGGTGTTTCTCCTTTGTGTATCCCAACCACTTTGCTATAAGAAACCCAAACCACATGGAGAGGCCACATGAAGAGGCTCTGACAATCCTAGCAAAACCTAGGCTTTTAGTTTTCTCAGCCTAGGTGCCAGATACGTAAGTGAAGAAATGTCCAAATTAATTGAGGTTTCAACCATTTATGTCACCCTGAGTCATTTGGGTCTCCCCAGATAAGGTTTCAGACATCATATAACAGAAATAGCCATTCCCTCTGTGCCCTCTCCAAATTCCTGAATTACAGAAACCTTAAGCAAAACAAAATGGCCACTTTTTTACACTGCTAGGTTTTGGAGTGGTCTCCGTGAGGAAACAGAATTCAGTACTCACATTGGAATGCTGCCATAACAAAAAACCTAAAATATGTGGCTTTGGCTAAGAGGTAAAACTGCAAATTTTGGAGTTGAAATAGTCTTAAGGGGACAGTATATGGAAGCCTGACAGGCCTTGAGAAAGATGTTTCAATAACTTAAAGTAAAGAAAGTGTTATTCGATGCTAAAGAAAAGTTGACGTTGTTATATAGTAGTAAAAGTTTAGGAAAACTGCCATCTTTGGTGTCATGGAAAATAGAAAATGTACCTAAGAAAACAGATCTTAATGCAACAGATCTGGCTAAAGAGATTTTTGGCAGATTATAGACAGTGTCAAGTGGCTTCTTGGAACTTTATTTTATAAGATGTGTGTCATAGTCAGTTTGGGCTGGTATAACAAAATCACCATAGAGAGAGTGACTTAAAAAACAGAAATTTATTTCTTACAATTCTGGAGGCTGGGAAGTCCAAGACCAAGGAGCCAGCAGATCCAGTGTCTGGAGAGAAACTGCTTCCTGGTTTGCAGAATGTCATCTTTTCATTGTATCCCTCCATGGTAGAGAGCAGATAGAGCAAGCAAGCTCACATGCCTCTTATGAGAACACTAATCATGAGGGCTTTACCCTCACAGCATACAAGACAAAATCACCTCCACATCCTTCACCTCCTAATACCATCACATTGGGGGATAGAAATTCAACATATGAATTTTGTAGGAACGCAAACATTCAGTCCATAACTGTGAATATAAAGCATTAGCTGAAGAATGAATTATTCAATTTTCAAGCAAAATTTAAAAGGAATGTAAAAAGGCCAAGTGTTGCTGGATTTAAAATAAAACTATTTCTCATAATGTAAGAAAGGGTTATCTTGGTCTGAGACTAAAGATAAAGCTAAGAATACAACTATAAGGCCTTTGTTAAAATGTCAGGATGGTTTCACGTGGAGCCTCACAGATCCACTCAGCTCAGGCAGTCAAAGGCCTTTTAAAGATTTTAAGGATATGCCTCACGTATCCTCGCCATGAAACAATGAAGCTTCTAAAAATTATAAAGAATGTTATCCTACTGCAACTCCATAAGAAACTTAAAGTTGAGAATAACTCATTTCAAAAGGATTTGTGGGATTGATTTTTGTCTAATACAATGGATTACAACTCAGTTAAGTACTGAAGCCCACAGAAAAAAACACAATATGCCACCTTGGGCTGAAAAGGACAGGCAGTACAAAATCAAAAGAGGACCTTGGACTCTCAAATTTCTACAAGTAGAAGATAATTAAGAAAACTACGTAGCTAAAAAAAGGACTAAGCAAGAATGACTTAGAACAGAGAGGATCTCAGGGGATCTAGTCAAGATCTGGGGAGAATCAGTCCTAGGGAATTTTACTGGGCCCATAATCAAGGAAATGGCATGTACCTAACTGAATTTCAAAAATGCTGTGGGTCCGTGTTTGCTAAGTGCCTCCCTTACCTTTTCTTTTTGAATGGAAGTTTCTGTTGCACTATACTATGCCTGTTCACCCACATTTACTGGGTAACTGTAGGGTGGGCTAAAAGGATTTCAGATTGGCAAAATATTTACCCAAGGAATTGACCCTGAGGTAATTCCTGTGCTTCCTGATCTGATTTAAATTATGAGAGTCTAGACCTTAAGCCTGAGCATGATGCCAAAGTGGAATAAAGCTTTTGGTAGGTCTTTGAACATTTTGAATTTATTTTTCATGTAAGGAAAACATAAATACTTTGTAGCCAGAGCACAGATTATGCAATGGGAAAAAAAAAAAGTCCAAAAATTTGTTGAGGCTGGGTGTGGTGGCTCACGCCTGTAATACCAGCACTTTGGGAGGCCAAGGCAAGCAGATCAACTGAGGTCAGGAGTTCGAGACCAGCCTGGTCAACATGGCGAAACCCCATCTTTACTAATAATACAAAAGTTAGCCTGGTGTGGTGGCATGTGCCTGTAGTCCCAGCTACTTGGGAGTCTGAGAGAGGAGAATCGCTTGAACCCAGGAGGTGGAGGTTGCAGTGAGAGAAGATCACGCCATTGCACTCCAGCCTGGGCAACAGAGTGAGGTTTGGTGTCAAAAAAAAAAAAAAAAAAAAAGTTGACATTCTTCCCATGGAGAAGTGCTGTCTCTGTCCCTTCCTCTTGAATAGATGCTGGCATGTGTCTGCTTTGACCAATAGAGTGTGAAGAAAATGATGCACTATTTCTTCCAAAGCTAAGTCATAAAAGAAATGCAGCTTGTCCCTGGATTTTTTGGTATGCTCACTTCCAGATGATTCCTTTAGATACACTTCCTCTTACAAACTCGTTACCATGTTTCCAGGGAGCACAAGCTACATGGTCAGGCCATATGTAGGGGCTCTGGTCAACAATGCAAGCTGAGCCCAACCTAACCCAGATACTAGAAATGTGGATTAAAATCTTTCTAAATAATTTCATACATCCATGATGACAACAACTATATAAGTATTCCCAGCTAAGGCTCCAAACATTGAGAAACAGAAATAAATTATCCCTACTGTGCCCTGATTGGATTTCTATATCAAAGAATATGAAGTTGTTTTGTTTTAGACCACTAAACTTTGGGATTATTTGTTAAACAGCAACATTGGGCAGTGGGCATAGTGGGCATACCAGCTTTAGCTTTAACTATGACCGAGAAGATAAAGCATTGAAACATTTTAAACAAAGATACAAGATCTGGCTTAATATATTTTGAGACACAATTTATCTATGAAAAAATGTATCTATTTAAAAAATTCAATAATTTATTGAAAAAATGGGTATTATCAGTGTTGCTTTATATATGTATTTTGTAATATATATTTTATAAGCAAGCCTTGAGTCAAAATATAAAGCCAAAATACTGAACACAGTTGTTGTTAGAGAACAGTAAGAACTGGATTTTGAACATTAAAAAGATTAAGTTATTCCATTAAATACCCTTAATCCACTAACCCAGATCCCATTGCTATCTGCAGAAATAGTCAATTTTTATTGACTATTTGTTCACCAAATCCTCTTATTTCCTTCTAATAAGTGGTAGCTGGGCTGGCAAGCTAGGAAGGAGAAGGGCTAGAAGAGTTGAGTGAATGTCCGGAGGCAACAGCACCAGACCATTCTCCAGCAGGCTATGAGATGGGTGGACAGGCCTAGGAAGTTGCTACTCTGGTCTCTTACCAAATGCAGTTGTGTTTTTGGAGGCTCCTGAGTTTTTCACTACCAGTGTTACTGCAGGTAACTTTGGTAGAGTTAGGCATAAAGAGGAGTATAGATCCCCATACGCATTGGAATAAGCCTTGAATAACAACCACATTGGTTACTATAAATAAAGTGTGTATGGGGCACTCGGAATGGGTAGAGGGTATTTGTTGTTTCACAGAGAACAGCAAACTCTTCCCATCTTCTTTATGGACAATTAAATAAAGGGATCAACTTTTTTAACAACTGAACAAAATATTAGACATGGGTGTTAAGCATTAGACTCAATATGCCTATGACATAATTTTAAAGCAATATATTGTCAATTGATCTTTCTTCAAAGGTAATGACGTGAGAAAGAAGAATAAGATAATATGAGGGTAATACTAGGTGTAATGAAATATCAAACACTGATATACTAGAGAGTGAGTGATTTCATACTACTTACACCACTTTTAATGGAGACTTAGAAGTAATTCAACAAAGTGTTTCAATTAAAGGAAATGTCAAACTTAAGCAATCAATTTCCCATATGAAATGTGAAAGAAAATACAATTTCTTTTTCTTATTCCCAGGAAGTAAAATATGCTCCTGTTTAATCTCAGCCTTCAGAGTTTAACAGTATTACATTGCTTTCCCTTCTCTATTGTGTGCAACCCAGGATAGAATATTACCTCTGTGTGTCTAAGCATGAATAGAAAGTGAAAACAGCCAGGCAGTCAAAGACAGTTCAGAGCTTATTGCATATTAGATAATCATTCATCAGTTTTCAGTTTCAGCTGTTTGCCTCTTCAGAAACTTTTCTTAAACAAGACCTCTCATCCTGTAGCCTTCATTACACATAATATTTTTTATGTTTGTAATACTACTAACAAGCGTTTATAGAACCCTTACTCTGTTCCAGTGAAGTGCTGAGTTACATGTGATATTTCATTTGTACCTGCCTATTAATTCTCTTAAGTATGTACTGTTGTCTCTATTTTGTAGATGAGGAAAGTAAGCACAGAGAGGTGAAAAACTTTTCTCCAACATTTCAACACAGAAAATCTATCTACAGTATTTAAGAAAGAATGCTTTCTTAAATACTTATTGCCCTATAGAGCTCACAGTTAACTGTGCTTATACATATATGTTTCTACATTATATGATCATATGCACATGAAGTATGACATCTTACATGCCACTAAGAATTTTTATTCACTCAAAACATATAGCAAGAATAAAGAACTAAGTCCAGTGTTACATATCTAATCAAAATTAATAGAAACCATGAATTAATCATACCAATCATGATAAAGAAACATTAAGGGAAATATCATCTAATATTTCCATTAAATGTCTTTAATATTAGAATTTATTATTTTTTATGTAGAGGCCAACTTTGCCTTTTGAAAGGACATTCCCTGAAGAAGGAGACTGACTTTCATGGATGGGTCTGAAATAAATTTCAAAAAGGATACAATAAAATAAATAGAAAAAGGCCGAAGAACATGCTTAGTGACTTCCACACTATGCCACTCGGAGCCCCTGGGGCCCCAGACGGCAACAAGCGAGTTAGCAGGCACTGTGAGTAGGCTGAGAAGGACTCTGAACTTGCCCCTACCTTTATTTAAGGGGAGGTGGCCCTGTGGCCAGGGAAGAAAGAGCTATGAGTTTGAAGGTACAATTCTACTAGTTACTCTGAAAGTAGAATAACCATCTAGTCAAAGGTTACAATTTATGAAACAATGGAACATCCCTCAATCTGAAAGGTTGCTCTCAACAGACAGACTCTTTTAGGAGTATCTGTGAAGGGAACAATAGATAATCACCAGGCTACAATTTGACAAGAGATCAGGTATTCTGGGAACCTGGACCTACTCTCAGTCAGGGTCCCTCTAGAATAAAGCTCCTAACACCCACCCCTCCATCTGGAAATGGAGAAAAGTGGTTATATCACCCGTGGTTTCACTCCTCACTGAAAAACTTGGTAGTTGGCGTCTGACAATTTCTCAAGATCTAAGTCCACAATTAAATTATCTTTCAAAATGTTAAGCAATAAAAGCTTTGTACCTTTTTAAAGAAATTATTTTTAAAAATATAATTGTAGTCCTGGTGACAGGAATAAAAAGAAAAGTAACTTCCTCATTCTTTTCAGTAGTGAGGTCAAATTATCAACAAAATGCTTTTATTATACCCACTGCAATTTACATTGTTTTCAAAGTTCACTTGGATGGAAAATACACAGTTAAGGTCTTTTCCAGAGTCATTTAAAGAAAAACCTGAAGCATAATGTTAAACTAATTAGTCATATTTTAAGATGAGCAGGTTCATGATGATCCTAAATGCCTTTGATTCTTTTTTGAGAGGTAAGTGGGTGTTAAATTATACATGAAATTACTTCTTACAAAAGAAATATTTTATTAAAAATCTTTTAAAAGTGTGATATATTCTCATATTTAAATTTCATGAAAGAAAAATCTTACAAAGAATAACTTAGACCAGTCACAGTGACTCACACCTTAATCCCAACACTTTGGGAGGCCGAGGTGGGAGCATTGCTTGAGCTCGTGAATTTAAGACCAGTCTGGGTAACATAGTGAGACCCTGTATCTAAAAATAAAAATAAAATAAAAAATTAGCTGAGTGTGGTGGAGTGTGCCTGTAGTGCCAGCTACTTGGGACTGGTGGGGGAGGTGAAGTGTTGAGATGGGAGGATGGCACTGAGGCCAGGAGGTCGAGACTGTAGTCAGATGATGTGACTGTGCCACTGTACTCTGGCACGGGTGAAAGGGTGACAAGCGAAAACCTGTCTCAAAAAAAATAAAAAGAAACTTTTTGTAGCTAAAGGGAAATACAACATTTTAAGGCAAATCATCTTGAGATTGACAGGATTGGGGAAAAAAAAACGGACACATTTTTCAAGCCAAGTCTTGTTCATAAGGAGTATGATGGAAATCCTATTGTCACAGAGTTTACAACTCATTGTTTTCTTCTTTAATTGTGTTTCCTCCTAAACCTTTTTTTTAAAATAAATATCTACTCAATTAACTGATTTCTCTTCTCCAGATTTTGCTTGGAGGTCTAGAGTTTAATGGGGCAATAAATGACTGGCATTAATCAAACAACAAATAATTGTGCAATTTATGTAGTCCACTCTTAGCAATCAGATTTTTATATCATTTTGCCTCTTTCCCACAAATTCATTTCTACCTAACAGCGATATTTATTTTGTGCTCCAACTTAAGGTTTAAGAGACAAGAAGACAGAAGCCTCAGTGGTTTGCAGTGTGTATGGGGGAAAATGTTTTAAAGAAAAAAAGCCCTTTTCTCTGTTATCACTAAAATAGGGGTAGGGAAGATAAATATGATTCTATAATATATTCAAAGGAGAATGCTAGGTGTATTATCTCTGTTACTGTTAATTGCACAAAAACCCTGCAAGGTATATATTAGATTTTGTTTATATAAATGAGAAAGATGATGATCTTAGAGAGATGAAGAAATTTGCTTAAAATCACAGTGATTTTTCACAGAAAAGATCTGACTTGAACCAAGGTAGATCTCACCCCAATCATGCAGCTCTGCTGTGCTTGTTTTCATTTGAAGCAGTATGTGATCAAATTCCTGTAAACCTGGAGTCAGAGGCAGAGCCTATGCCTGCGCCCCTTAAGGGACTAGGTACAGAAACTTCCAAGGGTCAGGCTTTGTGATGGGCAGCAATTCAAAATACTACACCTGGCTTAAATTTAACTTAAAAAAGAAGAAACATGTGAATAAGATAACCACAGATCTTTATTGTTACAACAGTCTGATAAATGCTAAAGGAATGAGTTTGCTGTTTTGTACATACGTGTGGCAAAAAGATCTTCACAGGACCATGTGTAAGAATGCTTTTCAATGCAGACTGCTTTAAGAAAGAATGGGTTTGGTTCTCTCAGAGTCTATTAGGAGATCACACTTCCACATTGAGTTATGACTTACTAATAGAGAAATGACATGAAGCTTATTTTAACTCATTCTTATGAATTAAAATTAATACAGATATAGTTTGTAGTGAAGTATCATGATTAAGAGATCTCACAGGCTTTGCAATCAGGCAAACCAGGGTTCAAATCTCAGCTCTTAACTTTTTAGTGATCTTGAGCAGTTAACTTCCTTGTATGTTTTTCCCCATTTGTATAATTGGGGGATTACTAGTCATTCCACAGTGGGAATTTTTGTGCAGACTTAATGATATATATAAGAAAAAAAAACTAGTTCATACCTGAAAGATCTGCACCTATGGCTTTGAAAAGTGCAGTCCCTGCTTTCACTGGTTGTTGAGTGCCTGTGGCTTTTCCAAGTGCAGAGGGCAAGCTTCCAGTGGATCTACCATTCTCACATCTGGAGGGTGGTGGCCCCTTTCTCACAGCTCCACTAGACAATGCTCCAGTGAGGGCTCTGTGTGGGGGCTCTAACCCCACATTTCCCCTTGGCATTGCCCTACTAAAGGTTCTCTGTGAGGACTCTGTCCCTGCAGCAGGCTTCTGCCTGGACCCTCAGATTCTTCCATACATTCACTGAAATTTAAGTGGAGGGTCCTAAGCCTCAACTCACTCAGGCTTAAAACCATATGGAAGCCACCAAGGCTTATGGTTTGCATTCTCCAAAGTGGCAATTTGAGCTGTAACTGGACCCCTTTGAGCTCTGACTGGAGCTGGAGCAGCTGGGATGTGGGAAGCAGTGTCCAGAGGCTGGCAGGGCAATGGGACCCTGGGCCTGGCCGGCCAAACCATTCTTCCCTCCTAGGTCTCAGGGCCTGTGACGAGAGAGGCAGCCTGGAAGATTTCAGAAATGCCTTCAAGGCCCTTTTCTCATTGTCTTTGCTGTTAGTACATAGCTCTTTTTCAGTTATGCAAATGTCTCTAGGAAGTGGTTACTCCACAGCCTGCTTTAATTTCTCTCTAAAAAATGCTTTTACTTTCTCTGTCACACAAACAGTCTGCACATTATCCAAATTTTTATGCTCTGCTTCCTGTAAAAAATATAAATTGCAATTTTATCATTTATTTGCTCCCATATCTGAGCATAGATTCTTAGAAGCAGCCAGGTGACATCTTGAAGGCTTTGATGCTTAGTAATTTCTTCTACCAGATACTCTAAATTATCACTCTCAAGTTCAACTTTCCACAGATTCCTGGGGCATAAACAAAATGCAGCCACTTTTTTTTACTAAGGTATAACAAATGTAATCTTTGCTCTAGTTCTCAATAAGTTTCTTGTTTCCATCTGAGACCTTGTCAGCCTAGACTTTACTGCCCATATCACTATCAGCATTTTGGTCACAACCATTTAACCAGTCTTTAAGAAGCTTCAAACTTTCCCTCATCTTCCTGTCTTTTTTGAGCCCTCCAAACTCTTCCAACCTCTGCATATTACCCAGTTCCAAAGTCACTTCCACAGTATGTGTATAGCAGGTATGTTTATAGCAATGTCCCATCCTTTGGTACCAATTTTCTGTATTAGGCCATTCTTGCATTCCTATAAAGAAATATTTGAGACTGAAAAATGTATAAAGAAAAGAGGTTTAATGAGCTTATTGTTCTGCAGACTGTACAAGAAGCATAACCTAGGCATCATCTGCTTCCGAGGAGGCCTCAGGAAGCTTACAATCATGGTAGAAGGCGAAGAGCAAGAAGACATCTCACATGACAGAAGCAGGAGCAAGACAGAAAGAGTTTGGAGGGGAAGTACCACATACTTTTAAACAACCAGATCTCATGAGAACTTACTCACTATCACCAGAACAGCACCAAGGAGATGGTGATAAACCATTCATGAGAAATCCACCCCCATGATCCAGTCACCTTCCACCAGGCCCCACATCCAACATTGGAGATTACAGTTCAACATCAGATTTGAGTGGGACAAATATAAAAACTATCTCACTCAGCTACATATTTTAGGCATAATTAGAACTTGAGAGAATTAAGCATGTTGGCTGAACTCATGAGAAACTCAGAATTGATGCATATTATTGATCACTATCTTATAAATCTCCTGATTATATACACACAAAAACACACACACTTTTAAAGCTTTGGTGGCACTAGTAGTTTTTGTTTGTTTGTTTTTTTGTTTTTGTTTTTGAGATGGAGTCTCACTCTTTGCCCCAGGATGGAGTTCAGTGGCACGATCTCGGCTCACTGCAAGCTCCGCCTCACAGGTTCACGCCATTCTCCTGCCTCAGCCTCCCAAGTAGCTGGGACTACAGGTGCCCACCACCATGCCTGGCTAATTTTGTTTTTGTATTTTTAGTAGAGACAGGGTTTCATCGTGTTAGCCAGGATGGTCTCAATCTCCTGACTTTGTGATCCACCCATCTTGGCCTCCCAAAGTGCTGGGATTACAGGCGTGAGCCACAGCACCTGGCCTAGTAGTTTTTTTAAGGTTCTGTTTTCATTTCTACAAAGCAGTTTCCTACTTCCTAGAAGAAGAAATAATTTCAGAAACAAATTTATTTTGGAAATACAAAAGCTGTGTAAAACTAATTTCTTTTTTTTTTCAGAAGAATTAGAAAGATTAACCAGAAGATTATAAGGATTACAGAGGGACAACATAGATAGAAGTTGACATTTAATTAAGTTTGAACTTTTGTTTATTTCATGATTTGATTCTTATACCTCCATGGTATCTTTACTATGTTAAGTGCTTAAACAAGCTATTATATATAGGAAAAACAAAAGTTTCCGGAAAGATCCCAGAGCAGGAAAGAGGTAAATATGTCAAAAACTAAATGAATAAAAGGGCTGGATATACTGGAGGAAAAAATGAGAAACTAGAGGCCAGACTAAGAATAAAAACCACAGTATAGGACGAAAGAGACATGAAAGATAACCAGATTGAAGATTCAAGTGAGACTTTTGAGTTTAACATCCTGGCAGATTCTCCACTTCGGGGATAAAGCAGAGCCTGCAGATAAAGTCACTGAGATATAGAGGAGATGGAAATTACTGACAGAAAAATGAGGATGAAGAATATTTAAAATAATGTGTACAAGCCCTTGACAAAGATGAGTGTCTTGGATGTTAGTAGATGGCCCCAGTGTGAAAGATTGTACCAGAAGTACAAGACAGAGGAATCAAAAGAAAAGCCATTGGCTTAATATTTTAAAATGTTGATGATTTGATTCAATAGTTTGAATCAAAGAGATATTTGCCCCTCTCATTTTTGCCCCATTGACAGAAAGAATGAGAAATTTGGAGGATCCATGAGGGCTGCTAGGCTAGCCAGGCAATGTAGTAGGCTGAATAATGCACAGAGACACAGAGAAGAGAACATCATGTGAATGAAGATGGAGGCAGATATTTAAATGATGTATCTACCAGCCAAAGAATGGCCAGAATTGTCGGCAACCACCAGAAGCTTGGAATAGGAAAAGTCTCCTGCAGAGGATCCAGAAGGGACCAATCCTGTTGGAATCATGATTTCAGAATTTTGCCCTCCTAATCTGCAAAAGAATTAAGTTCTGTTCATTTAAAACATTCTGTAATAATTTGTTGCAGCAGCCCTAATGAGTTAGTGAAAAACAAACAAACAAACAAAAAAACAAAAAAAAACTAGATTTTCAGCCAGCAAGATGAAATAATGGAAACACTTAAATATACGCATCATAGTTAACAGAGACATGGACAGTGATAGGCTACTTGGCCTGAGAAAGGGAGGAACTAATTTGTCTTAGTAATAATGATAAAGAGGGAGGTAACAGTAAGAAAATGTCTTGACTTAGATGACCAATTGTTCATAAAGAGAAATTAGGAGTTGAGATTCATAAAGAACATGCAGCCAGAAGTGGTGGCTCATGCCTGTAATCCCAGCACTTTGGGAGGCCCAGGGGGGTGGACCACCTGAGGTCAGAAGTTCGACACCAGACAGGCCAACATGGCGAAACCCCATCTCTACTAAAAATACAAAAAGTCGCCGGGCATGAAAGCGGGCTCCTGTAATCCCAGCTACTGGGGAGGCTGAGGCATGGTAATTGCTTGAACCTGGGAGGCAGAGGTTGCAGTGAGCCAAGATTGTGCCACTGCACTCCAGGCTGGGGTATAGAGTGAGTCTCTGTCTCCAAAAAAAAAAAAAAAAAAAAAAAAGGAAATTAAAGAGCATGCAATATAGACAGTATTGGAAAAACTAACAGAAACAACCCCCTGGAGTGGAAATTTTAAACTTTTTCCTAAACTCCTTCCTGAGAGGCATCAGGGCGTAGCAGAACTCAGGATTTGGAGCCAGACAGATTTGAATAACAATTCTTATTTTTCCACAAATAAGATATGCATATTTGGAAAACTTCTTTACCATGCTTGAACATCATTTTTCTTATCTATAAAGTAAGAATGACATTAACTCTTTCATAGAGTTGTGATGATTTACATAATATAATGTATTTTGAACTGCGAGCACATTGCATTCTATATAATGAAGATAGAGGACTTATCCCATAGGGTTGTTATGAGATTGGATGCATATAAAATACATAATAAACACTCCTATATGTTAGCAATTATTTAATATTAGCTTTTCATCAACCTCTCCTAGACCTCAATATTAATTACAGCCTCCTAGAGAAGAGAAGCATGAGCTGGCATTCAGTCAGAGCAGATACGCCTGTCTAGACAGTCTGCTTGAGTTTTTAATACACCAGTTGGAATACACCTGTTTAATGTGTTTCACAGAAAATACTCTGAATATAGAGTATTAGGACACATTTTAGCATACACCCTTTTTGAGGTGTGGCTGGCTCAGTAAAAATGTGCTGATGACATGAGAGAATATGTTATTAATGACATATTCTTGGAACATCACTGTATTTGTAGTTACATTTTGTCATTGCATAAGTGTGTACATAAAAGTAACAATAGATTACTCGTTATGAGAAATATGCGAACTATAAACACTTGTGTACTATCTCTGATTTATATTGCTCCCAGATGTTCACACATAGTAAAAGGCAAAGGCAGGAAACAATAACTTTGTTTATAATAAACTAAATAAAACTTCTCTGATAATCTTGCATAAATGAATGACATCAGAATTACAATTTATTGAATACATTATATACTGATAAACATTATCTCTGGATCAGAGAGAATGGTTAGTATCTATACTGTTTTATAGTTTCTTTTTTTTAACATTTTGGAATAATGAATATGCCAAATGAATTATTTCATGGCACTTTTATTGGGCAAATATTCACAAACACATTGGGCACTGGACTGAGTCAAATTCTCTATCTCTAGGACTTCTAATGTAACATGCCTGAATACTTTCATTCACTTGTTCAAGAAATAACTACTGGGTAATTACCATATTCCATGTACTATTCTAGGTACAGATGCTAAAACTGCAAACTACATCATTGTCCTCAAGGAGATTACATTGAGTGGCATAGAGATGGGAAGGGTTGGCTGAGAAGACAAACCAAAAACAAACAAACAAATAAAATAATAAGTGTACTTAATTAAAGAAATACAGTAGGAAGTGAGTAAGTGGTGCTGTTTACAGGATGCCTCACTGAAAAGATGGTATTGAAAGTAAGACCTGAAGTATTTTAAGAAGTCAGTTAAGAAGAGAGCTGAAGCAAAGGCTTTCCAAGCTGAGGATTATAAAGCACAGTGACCTTTTGTCTTAGCTTGGGCTGCCATAACAAAATATTATAAACTGGGTGATATAAACAACAGAATTTATTTCCTCACAGTTTTGAAGGGTGGAAGTGTAAGATCAGGGTGCTAGCGAGCTCAGGGTCTGGTGACAGCTCTCATTCTGGCTTGCAGATGGCTGCCTTCCTGCTGGGTATCACATGGCCTTCCCTCTCTCTCTTCCTCTTCTTATAAGGTCACCAATCTTATTGGATCAGGACCTCATCCTTGTGACCTGTCATAACCTATCATCCAATCCTATGACCATCCAATCCTTATGACCTATCATCCAATCCTAATTACCTTCTAAAAGCCCTATCATGTTGGGGGCTAGGGCTTCAGCATATGAAATTGGAAGGACACAATTCAGTCCGCAGCACCTAGGAAGGAGTTCAGCTGTGGGAAGAGCATTAAAAAAAGGCCAACGTGGCAGGAGTGAGCAAACAAACGGCAAGACAGTAGGCCAGTTAGGCAGGATCCACACAAATAGGGTTTCTAAGGCAAAAGTTAAGAACGTGGATTTTTTTCTACAAGTTATGGGCAGGGGGCATAGAATAGAGGGTGTTAAGTAGGGAAATGCAAAATTTGATTTGTAGTTTAAAAATTACTCTGGCTGCTTGGTGGAGAGAAATATTAAGGGAAGAGTCAGAACCAGCTATGGAATTTGAGAGGTGAAATTCTTGTTCAAAAACTATTAAGAATTTCAAGATGCTGACAGTACAATATTAAACCAACTGTGAGACCCTTATGTATGAGGCCCTCCATGACTGCACAGGTCACATATCCGTGAAGACAACTCTAGAATCAGGTGTAGAAGGAGGAAGACCACTTACAAGATTATCGCAGCTTCTGCCGTTGAAAAATGATGATGCTCTGTAATAAGGTAGTGGAGGTGGGAATGAAGGCAGGTTGAGAATTGAGGAAACACTTTGGATAGAAAACCCAGAGGAGTAAATATGGGAGGCTGGGGAAAAGGAGGATCTGGATTCAGCAGGTGGTTGGATGGTGACTAGAGCTGGGGAGGCTGAGGGAGAAACAGGTGGGCTGGGGGTGAGGATCAAATGTTCTTATCTGGAAGGCTACATTTAACAATCAATAAAAAATCAAATTATTGAAAAATAATATATAATGTTTTGGGGCCAGGCATGGTGGTTTACACCTGTAGATCCAGCACTTTGGAAAGCTGAGGTAGGAGGATCCCTTGAGCTTAGGAGTTCGAGACCAGTCTGGGCAACATGGCAAAACCCCGACCCTACAAAACATACAAATATTAGCCAGGCATCATGTGCCCACCTGTAGCCCCAACTATTCAGGATGCTGAGGTGGAAGAATCACTTGAGCCCAGGATGTCAAGGCTGCAGTGAACTGTTATCGTACCACTGTACTACAGCCTAGGCAAAGGCAACAGAGGGGAGACTGTCTCGAAAGAAAAAAATATATATATATATCGAAATACAGTTTACTCTTGGAAAACATCAAAATATTGAATATATGTAGCTTTTCCTTGACAATTTAAAAAGTTTTTGAAGTTGTGGTTTGCAAACTGGCGTCTATTTATATGTGTAGGTGTGCATTTGTTTATACAATCTGTGAGGTAATTAATATAAATTTTATTATTTTAAAAATTATTTCAATCACCTATGTTTAGCAGTGTTTTAAACTATCTCTGGTAAAAGATATTTTTTCCTTAATTTCAAGTCCATTGCGGACCAATACTTTTGTAAATTTTTTTTAATCCTAATTACTGACAATATACAATTTTGGAGAATGAAAAATTCAAGCCCCTTTATTTTGCTATTAGAGTCAATAGATATAAAATTGCTATGTAAACATTCTAGAAGTGTTTAAAGGACTAAGCTCCGCTTATTTTTTATTTTTATGGATATGTAATCGTTGTATATATTTATTATATACATGTTATATTTTGCTATGAGCATACAATGTGTAATGATCAAATCAGAGTAACTGGGATATCAATTACCTCAAACATTTATCACTTGTGTTAAGAACATTCCGAGGCTGGGTGCAGTGGCTCACGCCTGTAATGCCAGCACTTTGGGAGGCAGAGGTGGGCAGATCATGAGGTCAGGAGTTCGAGACCATCCTGGCCAACATGGTGAAACCCCGTTTCTACAAAAAATACAAAAATTAGCTGGATGTGGTGGCACGTGCCTGTAGTCCCAGCTACTCAGGAGGCTGGTAGGAGAATCTTTTGAACCTGGAGGCAGAGGTTGCAGTAATCCGAGATCGTGCCACTGCACTCCACGTTGGCAACAGAGCGAGACCCATCTCAAGATAAAATAAAATAAATAATAATAAAAAAGAACATTCCAAATTTTCTTTTCTAGCTATTTTGAAATATACAAAATTTTATCGTTAACTATTGTCACCCTATTGTGCTACTGAATATTGGATCTTATTCCTTCTATCTAACTGTATTTTTGAACCCATTAGCTAATATCTTTTTAACCCTCCACTCCCTCACTATCCTTCCCACCCTCTGTTAACCTTCATTTTAATCTATAACTTCATGAGATCAATTTGTAGCTCCCATATATAAGTAAAAACACGTAATGTTTGTTTTTCTGTGCCTGGCTTATTTCACTCCTCCAGTTTCATCCATGTTGTTGCAAATGACAGTATTTCATTATTTTATGTCTAAATACAATTACATTCTGTATGTGCACCACATTTTCTTTATCCATTTATCCATTGATGTTCACTTAACTTGATTCCATACCTTGGCTATTATGATGAACATGAGAGTGCAGACACATCTTTGATATACTAATTTCCTTTCTTTTAGATATATGCCCAATAGTGAGATTCCTGAATCACATGGTAGTTCTGTTTTTAAGTTTTTTGCAGAAACTCCACACTGCTTTCCATACTGGTTCTATTAATTTACATTTGCATGAACTAAACCATGTACGAACATTTCCCTTTCTCCGCATCTTTATCAGCATCTGTTACTTTTTGTTTTTTTGATAAAAGCCATTTCAAGTGGAGTGAGATGATAGTTCATTATGATTTTTATTTGCATTTCTCTGAAAACTGGTGATGCTATAATCTCAATTCTTGTACTTAGCTCATTGCAAACTGAACCAGTCACTTTGAGAAGCACGGTTTCTGACTACCTCCCAATAACTGTTCTTCCTTTCTTTCCCTAACCAAACAACTCCTCTTTCTATCTCCCTCTTAATCCACAAACCCTTGATCCTTTAAATTGCTTTGTCTGTGTCACGCAGGTGACCTCATCTCTTACATGCTCCCTGTAGCAGGGGTCGTTAGACATTTTTAAGTCACATCCAGTTCTACTAATGAGAAGCAGTAAAAGGTGGATAATCAACCCTAAGTGTGGAAAAAAAAAAAAGAGAAGATAAAAATAAGAGACTTTCATGGCAATTGAGGTTTAGGATAGGTTATCTAAAAATGGAACAATAATAAGCTTTTTACCACTGTTATCTCTGGTACCCATTCTACTAAAAGAATATCTGCTACTTTTTCAGCCCTGAATTTGAAAAGTCTGCTTTGTTGTCCTCACCTGCATGAATGAGAGCCTCTAGGCTGTTAAAGAAGCCAATGTGTGGGTCAGAGGAGCTTACAGTGAGTGGACAAAGCAAATATAATCCTGCCTTACTAATTTCGTAGGATATTCACCTTTCTGAAGTCACACAAATGTAAACATGAAAAATATTCATTATAAAAGAAACCTAGGGAAAGTGCAAACACTTGAAGAATGTGCATTTTTTACAATTGCATTTGTTTTATTCAAGCGCTTTTAGTTGCAAGGAATAAGAATCCAAAGAGTTAACAAATAAAAGAGATGCTATTTCAAGTAATTGATGGAAAATGCTATATATATGAAATAATGTCAGGAATTATGGATGAGACCTGGCTCTGGGAATTGAAAAGCAGGAACCCAGACAATAGTATGCTAAAACCTCTGATTTGTAGCATTTTTCTATTTCTGTGGTGTAAATATTCCCACCATGGCTGTTTTTAAACTACGAACTTGAACATAAAGTGGGACAAGATGCCCAGAAATATACAGTTACATTACATTACACACCAGAAGCACACCAATAAATATAGAATTCCTACCATTTAGATATAATATGCATAAATAACCTAAGAGGAGGAATAATAGTAAAATAATTGGAAAATATGTTTTGAGTATACATTGTCCCTATATATTTATATGTAAGTTTATATGTTCAAATTTTTGATAATGCCTGGGTTTAACAACCAGCTTGTTAAATTTGTGAACATTTAACAATCAGCTCTTTTGAACCAGCATAAAGAACCTCTAATACGCCACTAAATTGGGTTTGCCACAGCTTTAAATGCAGGTCTTACTCTACATTAAGTTCCAATTTTAGAGTCCACAAGCAATAAAATATAGCATAGTCTAATTTTTCTGTTGAATTTCACAAGGGGAAAATGCAATATATTCTTCATTCTTTAATAGACAGTTGTATCATGATTGATCATTCCTGGTCAGGGATAAGTAGAAGTATTATATAAATCAAAAATGACCTCTTACTATAGAAATATTTTAAATTCTATGATATATGGTTAAATAATAAGGCTAAATATGTGCAAAAAAAGATAAGAAATAATTGTTTCTCTGTTAGTATTATCTAACAATGATAAATATCATGACAGGTGATATTTATCAAAATTGCTTGTATGCGGTTGTTAACACAAAACAATAAGTAATTACTAGATTTTTTAATCATGAAAAAGCTACCTACAAAACTAACTGCTAATCAAATTGAAAACTGTCTCTGTTTACTATGTAGTAGGACCATTAAATCCTATTCACGAACCAATGTGATGAAGTATAAACTATGAATGTGAAAAACAAGAAGTCTGTGGACAATTTTGTTTTCCTCCTGTGTACCACTGACATGGCTTGTTCACTCCTTGATTGACAGTAAAAAGAACTGTCTCTGATGTCATACTTAAAACACAAGCCAAAGGCAATGAGTGAAACTCCAGCATATTCTGATTCTCCCAAAGCCAGAATAATAATTAAGACCCAAAATGAATTTGAACGAGGAGATAACCACATTAGCCACACCTTAGTAATGGCATGGCAGCTATTTTATACTGAAGAGTGGTCTTATGATTTTTTTAATGATATAGCTCTCTAGCAGATTTTAACTTATTTTTGGCATAAGAAAAAAGATAGATGTCAAAGGTAGCAAAATGATGCATTTTTAAACACTATTTCTATTGTCCAGTTTTGTGTTTGATTTTATATGCAAAAGTTGCTACTCTTTAAGTCTAATATATCTTACAGTATGCAGGCTACTTTCATTAGAATCACAGGGTAGTGGGCAAAAGAGAGCAAGGCTTGATGCAAACATAGATACCTGGGCTCCACCCAAGGCGTACTTCTGAATCAGAACATTGAAGGTGTCCCTCCACTCCCCCTTCCCTCCATCATGGCTACTGGAGGTGATCCAAGCATGATTCACATTAAGAAGTAGTTTGTTTTCCTGAGCCTCACCACCTGCCATCTAGTTTAAGGTGTGACCCCTGTAATTCTGGTTTCTTTTTTGAGGGTTTGTCTTTTCCAGGATGACTGAAAATGAACATTTTCATTCCCTTCAGGGGAAATCTCAGGACTGTGAACCCATCACAACAATTATATCAGAACACAAGACACGACCTGGTACATTCAGGATTTTCAGACTTGCTTAACCTTAACACTTAGTCAGGGAGACTCAGTTCCAGGTTGAGCTGCATAGAAAGCCAGGCCACGTGTTACTAGGTCTTTCCCCAAAACAGTGCTACTTGTGCATTCCATACTTAGCCTTCTTTGGATAATCTCCATCACTCTGAACAAATAAAAACAAACTATATTTTATAGGCAGAATGTCATGTTAACTCATCAAAATAAAAATTTTTTCTCATTTTATAAAAAGCAACAGTCTGAGAGATTCATCCCAGACTCAACCACACATGATTTATATCATCAAAGGGACACAAAAATGGGGATTTTGCCATTTTCCACATGAATAAAGGATAGGACTTGCTTTACATTTCTGAAAATAAATAGAACATTTTACAGTGATTTTTTTCCCCATATAAAAGTCTCTTCTAAAGGTAATTCATACTTTTACTTCTTGGGAGAGAGAAAATTTATATTCTAGAAATGAGAGCATTTACTGATTGTACTCTTCAGAGTTAATATAAATGAATAGAGTTAGTTTCCATTAAAAGCAGACTTATACATAATATATATTTCAAAATATATATATGCAATCTTTATAGAATTAAGGTATGTACTCTTTTTAATTTAAAGATATGTATTCTTTTCTTATTCTCTTTTGCTGCATCAGCATTAATTTCATTAAGCATTATTACTAAAGATGATTCTAACAGTTTCATGCATTCATCTTTCATTTTAGAAATATTTCATAGACCTTCACTATATCTCCAATAGTGCAAGATTAATTGTAATAAAAATGGCATGTCCTTAATTTCAAAGAGTGAATAATTAATATTTCTGGTATCCTTTGAGCAGCTTTGGTGTAAAATTCAGGAACTACTCTTTTGGTTAATACAGTATTCAAATAAATGATTTACAGATTTAATACAAATATTTAGTGTTTCAGCATTTCAATTGTCTAACAAATACTGTATTGTTTATAGACCTCATAAAAACGTATGCCTTTAAACTTAAAATTAGAATACAGAATTATTCATTAAGTTACAAACTTTAAATTGGAAATTCAGAATAAATCTGTTAGCTACTCTAATGTGCAAAATTCTCTTAAACATTAATTCTACTTAAAATGTAAAACACAGATTACTCCTATAAGTAATGTAAAACACATTAGTTCTAAGGTTATTATTTAATTTATAATTTCTATATTTATTATAAATATTGATTTAGAATACGTATCCTACAATGCAAATAATTCTCATCCCAATCTATGGAAATGAGAATTTTCTATGCCAATGCATTGGGATTTTATTTAAATCATTAAAAATTCTAATCACATCACAGGATTTTTTTTATTTTGTCTGTAACTCTATGGGTGCACACCCAATCAATTTCTGTTATACAAACTAAGTCTCTAAAACTGAAAAAAAAGTTCGTGTCCTAGGATAAGCCATATTACTACCTAATTTTTCCAGTCTTTACTCAAAAAGTCTGAGCTCCCACTAGAATTTTTGCTACCTCCCTTTACTGCTTTATTTGCATTTCTTTAGTTCTCTTAATACATTTGTGTCTTTCCATGTCTGTATAGATTCATTAATGCTGTTTGACAGAGTCCTTCATATCATTATTATATAATCTGTTGATCTCCATCCCCCTCATTTAAATGTACACAATTCTGCAATATTTGTGTTTGTTTACTGTTTTTGCTGATTTCCTTTTTTTTTTTTTTTACCACATTTTCCCTATTTGATAGGGCCAAAACTCATATAGTTATTAAAATGACATCAGACTAAATTATTTTTATTTCACATGGCTTTGTCTGTTTCTGTTGGCATATTGTCATGCTAATAACAAATGTAACCAAGTAAACAGGCAGCATCATTATAGGAAAATGTACTACAATAAAGGAAGTGTGACTCTCCATAGAATATATACTACTAGCAGCTTATCCAAACTTAGATGAGGAAGTACAATTAGTTTAGTGTAGCTTAAGAGTAGGCATCTAGCAGACAGTAAAAAAGAGAAAGATTCAAAAGATAAATCAGGGCTATATAAAGTGGAATCCAGTTGACTGGAAAATTATAGGAGTTTTCCTGGAATATTGAGCTACCCAAATAAGGTAGGATATCATGAATTTGTAGCAGTCCAGGTAAATGCAAGTATCTCCAGCAGTGCTTACCTTCCCTCAGAGTTCTATGGACATTATTGCTAGCTGGAGTAACCCTGGTTAAGAATTTTGCTATCTAAAGACAATGACAGCACAGACAGATGAAAGGCATGATAATACTGCCATGTGGTGGCACATGCAATTAAGCTGATTAGGAAAGAAAATGAAGATAGGGTGTAACTACTGGGAAAAAATAGAGTGGTTAAGAGACTCATGGTCTCCAATGGATCAAAGAAAATGTATGATAGAAGTAACGGAGGCAACCAGGAAAATAGGAGGTTGCAGCCAGAAAGAAGAATCTCTGAACTTACTATTATGGAAACGGACTTCTGAGATGACAAGTTTTAAAGTATAGCTTTAGCAGAAGTGGAAAACTAAAATAGGTGGGTATAAAGGTTCCTGGAGTTAGCAAGGTCAGGAATCTGATGAGCTAGATTGTTCAACAGAGTACTGATACTAGATTACAGTCATCTAGTATGATCTAGAAATTCCTTGTAAATGAGAGTGGCTGGGAGTTTGAGTAGATAAAAGCAATTCTTGTGAGCAGAGACTTCAGCCCAATTTCATAAGCCTGCAGAGAACAAGGAGTTTTACATGAGGATAAAGAAGTAATAGTTGAGGAGCAGCAGTGGGAGAAAGTAAGGATAAATCCTCCCTTGTTACTTTGAAATAGATCCACTGGAAAGTAATGTCTTTAGTGGAGACTCAAGTTTCCCAAAAGTGGAAACAGCATTCAGGAAACGGATTATGATAAAAGCGAGCTTGCTTACTCTGAAACAGGGATTTCAGAGAAGAAAGTAGGAAGATTTGGAAAGAAAGCAGCTGTGGGAGAATGAGTTTGGGTTGAAAAAAACACAAAGCAGCATGGGTATTATTACATAGGAAAGAGGGCATGACAAGATATATCTACATCAGGGTCAATAACTAAGGAAAACAGGTATTCTAGAGTTACCTGGCTGCAAGCTTTCCAAATAATTGATCCTGGGAGTCCATTGTTAGGTATGTGATTGGTGGCTAGATCTTTCAAAGCTTAGGGGAGCTTCGCTAGATGCTTAGGCAGATGAAATAGGGTTAGAGCCTTGTCTCTAGAATCTGGAAGGGCTGGTAAAAATTGTTGTGATCTATTGATTCATGTATTATTTTTCCATTTTGGTCATCAATTGTTATTTAAATATTTTTTAAAATTTTAGTGTATTTACAACTGGCTGTTTCAACTATTTATGAAGGACTGGGAAGGATTATATATATGCTATATTAAGTGGATATATATTTTAATTAATCATCCCTTTACTTTTGATAATGAAGTTACTTCCTACTTTTTGCAATTATGAAATACACAAGTATTATTACACATAAATATTTATGTATATTTCACATCATTGATTATTTTCTTAAGATAAATTCTTTTAATTAAGAACACCAGGTAAAATAATATAATTGAATTGTTTGTAACACACAGGCCAAATGCTTGAGGTGAACAATACCCCATTTACCCTGATGTAATTATTATGCATTGTATGCTTGTATCAAAATATTTTATGTACCCCATAAATATATACACCTGCTATGTACCTACAAATCTTTTTTAAGTATATAAACATTATTCAGACTCCAAATTAATTTTCTGAGTTTTTCTCACTTTTGAGTAATAGTTTCTTTTGAGGATATCTTCCTCAAATACTGGGTTTGATAACTTTAAATAATCTTTGATAATTTGAAACATTAAAAAATACATTGTTATTTACTTTATATTTCTTTATTAATGACATTTATCATATTCTTATATGTTTATTTGACATATGTGATTTGCTTGTTTGTTTGGGTTCTGTGTCCCACTGTTTTTAGATGCTTATATTTTGTGTGTGTATGTGAATTAATAAGAGATCATTACACATTAATTTTGCTAAATCACTGTCAAGTATCTGGTATATAATTTCTCAGTTGATTGGCTTTTACATCATGTTATGCTATTTTTAATTTATAGTTTTGATTATACATGCATGCACATGCACACACATAGACATTTATCACATACATACATACATGTATATCTATTTTAATTTGGCATGAGCTATTTTCAGGTATTATTTCCTGAACTATTATAGAAATCACATGTACTACATTTTACTTAGACTAAATTTTATAATTATTTTATATAAAATGTTAAAATGTTTAAAAATTTTATTATTTCTAGTAAATGGTGGTCTTAGTTATAGCTGTTAATTAGTTTAATCATTTTCTTTTCAAAGAAATGACTAAAATCTCTAATTAGTTATTCACAAATTTTGCTGATGCCCTTTGCATGAATCTCATTCTAGAAAAAAAAATCAGGCTACTAATTTTTTCTTTAAATAAAAATGGTATGTATATGTTATACACTTATATATTCTTATTTGAAAATGAAATTTTGTGGGAAAAAAGAATACGTGAGAACGGGATTTACAGCTTTTTTTATACCTGTTTTGTCTCACAAGTCAGCCATTACAATAGAGAAAAGTAATCATGATAGTCTTATTTTCTGAACTATTAGAATTACAAGCCTAATTTTGCAGTGATAATTATTTGACTTTTTTTTTTCAATATTATACTATTATCTAGAACTAAAAGTCAGAAATCAAACCTGGATATCTTTTTCTGGTTCAAAGATAGAAAATTCAAGGGTGCTGAAATTACTCTGAATGTTGTTTTTATTTAAGAGCTCAATGAATAGGAGAAATAATAAAGTTATTGGTGGTTTATATAAATTGTGGTTATTTTTAGTATTACCTTTTCTAATAAAATTCAAGAATATAAATAGGTTATATAGTGTCTATAAAGTGTTTAACAAAAATCTATTGTCTAATTGTAAACATCAACTAAGATTTTTAAAATAAATACTATCAAATAGACAATAAGCTTACAGGTACAAGTGATATGAAAGAAATTACCATTTTCTGTTGGCATGTCAGTTACCTTAGTTCACAAGAAAAACAACCTATATAAATTGTTAATATTTTAAAATGTAAAGCATCAAGCAGATAGGTTACAACATTTTGGAGCAAGAGCAAATGTGTTCATTGGCCTTTTAGCTACAAATACTTTGCTACAGAATATTTTTTGCTTATTTTACATGATCTGAAATGCCTGAATCTTATTAAAAAAGTCTGAGTCTTACTAAAACAATCATGAAATATTAATAGTTGTAGTTAGTTAATTAAATTATTATTATCCTGATGATGATGATAATTAGGTTAATATAAAAACAATTAGGTAAGTTCTTTTGAAGGGCACACTTTAGGAATATTCTATTTGAGACCAGAATGGACATTTTAAATGAGGAATATCATTCACTGGTTGGCCTACAACTGAAGCCATCATTGCACCTACAGGTCTTGGATTTTATCCTGATTCATACTATTTTACTCTACACTATTTCTCTATTGTATTATCTCCCCCCAAAGATTATTTTTTCATCAGAATTAAGGAGAACTATATGTAATACTATCTATTTTGTTAGAAAAACATTCTCTGTTTTTCTCTTAAGAACTATGTATCTCAAATGTTACTTTTCTATGATGTCTTCTAGGCAGGTTAAGCCCTTTTGTCATCCTTCATATCTCTTCTTGTTATTTTATCCACATAAATATGTATTTTCATAAAAATTTACAAGACCCTTCTTAACCTTTAATGCTAGGACTGTATTTTATTTATTCTCATAGCACTAATAATGTGATTGAAAAATAACACTCACTCAAGTAAATGCATAGGCGTCCCTGCATTCCTTCCTCTCTTTTTCCTCTTCCATTATTCTTTTCTTAAAACTATAAAACTTATTTCTACAGCACAAATAATTTGATCTCTTTGTGAAAAAAAAATCCTTTGTAAAATTTTCTTCGTGATTATATGTTGGCTTGTATATATTCCATTCCAAGTCCTTATACATTGTCCTCAAATCTCTGTCACCATTTCTCCCATCCTTACAGTTCACTCATAAATCTTTTTATTTCACTGACGCAGGAGAACAAAAGAAGCAACAGAAGAAATTTTCTGGTAGCTTTGAGCAAAATAACTACTGAATTCTTTCTTTACTGCAAAGAATCTGTTTTTTCTACTCTCCTGATTAAGATCGACATCTACACATGTGCCAGAGATCCCATTCATCCTGACCTACTCAAAAATAGATATTATTCAAGCAGCTCACTCCTCTCAAGACATATCAGATGTTCTGTCTGGGGGAGAATTATTCTTATCAGCATACAGATATTTTTAAAATGTCTTACATATTAAAACTATCCTTTTTTGATCCCATTTTCCTTTGAGTTATTGCCCTATTGTTCTGCTGTCTTATTGGCAAAACAAGTCACTCAAAAAGCAGTCTATACTACCCATCTTCAGTTTTACTGTGGTAGGCATAATTCTAAGAAAACCCCCAAAAGTTTTCCCCGTCCTCTTGATGTACAAAACCTCTATAATCCCTGGGACCACAAATAGGGTGAATTTATTTCTGTGATTAGGTTTTGTTATGTGGCACCGTTAATCTTAAAATAGAACATCCAGGTAAATGCAGTTTTTTCCCAGCTTTTCATAAAAGAGGAAGTCAGAAATTCAAGTATGAGAGATTTTACATGAGGGAGATTTTCCATTGCTGGCTTTGCAAATGGACAAAACCACATGCTAGGGAATGTGGGTTGCCTCCAGAAGGTGAGAGTATTTCCCACCTGACAGCCAGCAAGGAAACAGGGACCGCCCATAACCACCACGAGGAAGTGAATCTTGCCACAACCATGCAAGCTTAAAAGAAGACCACAAGCTCCACATGAGAACACAGAGTGGCTGACAGTCCTGCTGTGCCACAATTCTGACCCAGACTCTGAGCTAATAAATAGGTGTTGTTTTTTAACCACTAAGTTTATGGTAGTTTATTTCACAGTACTAGAACATTAATACACATCCCATTCTCCACTGACTCATTCCAAATAGTATTTAGCACCACCATTCCAACAAAGCAGGTCATCAGTGATCTCCATATTGATAAATTTGATGGACAATATTTGATCCTATTTATCCAGACCATCAGCATTATCTTACCATGTTGACCACTTCCTTGGTCTCCAGTTAGCCTCTGTGGTACACCATTCTTTCAGATTCCTCTTATCTCAACTGGCCTTTTTCTGGCTCCACCACACTCTTAACTTGGTTTCTGAGACTCCACATCCTTCCTCCAGATTTTTCTCCTACTTTTCTTGTAACCTGCCAGGATCCTTGGTGGACTGAACAAAGGGTGGCGAAAGCGGGAATAAAATTCAAAGACAAGAGAGTATATTTGGAAGATGGGGTCAGGGGGCACGTTGCCTCTAGTGGACAAGGGCCCTGAGCTTTACACAGACCTCCATATTTATTACACAAAAGAGATAGCAAGAAAGCGGGGGTGATTGTCAGGTAATTGTCAGCCGGCTGTTTGGTTCACAGCAGGCTTGCAAGACTGCAATAAGTGCTGGATTTCTCAGTAGATAACTTCAAGGAGCCCGGTGCCAGGGAGTGTGAGGCCCTCAGCAAACCTTTTGGTGGCAGGCGCAGTGTGATTTGCTCACATCCTGCATTCATGATCAACAGTTTGCTGTTTGATCATATAGCCTCCAGTGGAATGCTGAGTTGGTCACGATCCCACAGGCCTTTGGCTCCCTGAATTTTCTGATGCTCCTTTCAATCTCTTTTGCTGGTTTTCCCCTCATCTTTTCTGTCTCTCAAATCGAATGTCTCCGGCTTCATCTTCAGAACTCCCCTCTTTCTATTCCCACCCCTGGCTCATCTTATCAGGTCTCACGGATTTAAGTACCAACTACATGTTAATAACTCCAAAGTTTATATTTAGTCTGCTCTTTTGAAATCTAGACTCATAATATCTAATTACCTACTTGATGTTGCCTCTGGTATGCTTAAAAAGCAAATCAAGTGTACCATGCTCATAGCTGAAATCCTGATTCTTCCCTGCCAAAACCCGATTATTCACAATCGGGTTTTTCACAATGAGGACATCCAGTGAAAGCCAGGTTCATCCTTCTAGGAACCTAAATTCCAAATATTAGAAGTTTGGCTTAATTTCACTCATATGTCCTCCCACATATTTGATCATTTGGTAAGTTCCCTTAGAGCTTACATTCAAAATATATCCAGAATCTATTTTTCAATACCTCCACCACTAACCACCTGGTCCAATCCATGAGAGCCTCTTTCATGGAGGATCTTACTGCTTCAGGTCTTTCCACTACCACCACCACCACCAGATAATTAGGAATAAATGTTTTTTTAAAGTACTAAACAAAAAACAGATTTCATAACTTACCACAAAACCCTCCAATGGCTTCCCATTTCACTCAGATTTGAAGTATTTAAAATGCCCTCCAAAGTTCTTGATGATCTGGCCCGCAGTTGCCTCTCTGATTCTGTCTTACTGTTTTTTCCCTGGTTCACTCCACTTCAACAACGTGTTTTTCTTGTTCATTTTCCCAGCATGGTAAGCCCATGTTGCCATGAGTCTCTGCAATTACGGTTTCCTCTGCCTGGGAAGCGTGTTTTGTTTTGTTTTTGTTTTTGTTTTGTTTTGTTTTAAGTCATTTTCATGGTTCAATTCCTGATGTATTTCAGTCACACTTCAGATCTCTTAAAAGAGAAGCCTTCTCTAATCACCTGAGTCATATAGTTCTGTTCTGCCTTCTCCATCACTTATCCCTTCATTTAGTTGTCCAGTTAACTTTTTTCTATAAAACGTATCACCATATGACAAATTCTACATGTACTTTAAAAAATAGTTTAAGATTTGTTTTCTCCACATGAGAATGTAAGCTGTATGAGGGTAGGGCCATTTTATTCACTCTTGGTTCTTCTACACCTTAAAAAATTGTCTTGTACATAGTTGAAATTCCTATTTTGAAAGAATGTCTTAAAGATGATGTTCAAACTAACTAAATGGTTCAAAAATTGCTGTGACATTTCATATAGCTGATGCCAAATAACTAGTTTTACAGATGTATCCTCCAGCACACTGAGCTCATTAACACTTCAACCTTACTCCATCTCAACCAACTGAGTAGTTTATCAGAAATGTCTAATTTAATAAGTTCAGTATGTTTTGGAAGATAGAGCACTGTTTTTCTCCCAGACTTCTAGGTTCATGTTGGAAGGGGTACAACTATAACTGCTTCCAAAAGTTGTGGTGTGTTTCAAATTAGATAATATATATAAGCCTTAAATTCCATAATAATCCAAATCTTAATTTATTAAACAATGATTTTTTATAAGGTGTTATGCTTGGCAATGAATGAGAAGAGGGCAAAACGATAACAACTGCAAAACAAATGCAATGATCTACACTTTGTTATCCAAAATAATAGTCAATACCTAACACAGGAATTTTCTAATTTGTTCTGTAATTTTCTTATAAACTAAAAATAAGACCTAAAGGCTTGACTGGACTCAAATTAAATATTTTTGGCAAGAATAGTCTAACTAGGTGGTGTTGTATACCTTATTTTGTACCATAATAAGAAGCATATAATGCCTGGAAACATTATCATCAGTAATACTAAGATTTATTACTCAGCAAATATGTTGTCAGCCAGATCTCTTGTTTGTTCCATGCCAAATGAACAATAGTAAGAAAAAAGTGAAAAGGTTTTTATTCCCTGAAAAAGTTTTTAGTCATAACTGATTGAGCAATTATCACAACTTGTTCTTGATCCACTGCTGAACCACAAGAAAAAAATAAAAATTTATTATTCTCTCAGGTATAATCATTATCCAAATGACCACTTATATTAATTTAAAAGATTTGGGCAACATTAACAGTTTTTGACAAAATGGTTGATTAAATGTAATAGAAACAGGAAATTATGTGACTGAATCATATCGTTCAAATTCTTTTATTTATTTATTTATTTTTTGACAGAGTCTCCCTCTGTCGCCCAGGCTGGAGTGCAGTGGCACGATCTCGGCTCACTGCAAACTCTGCCTCCTGGGTTCACGCCATTCTCCTGCCTCAGCCTCCCAAGTAGCTGGGACTACAGGTGCCCACCACCACGCCCAGCTAATTTTTTGAATTTTTTTTTTTTTTTTAGTAGAGACAGGGTTTCACTGTGTTAGCCAGGATGGTCTTGATCTCCTAACCTTGTGATCTGCCCGTCTCGGCCACCCAAAGTGCTGGGATTACAGGCATAAGCCACTGCGCCCAGCCCAAAGTTTTTAAATGATATTTCCAGCAGCAATACATTTCTACTTAAAGTAATTTTTTTTTGTATATAATTTAATACATGTTGTTTTGTCTCTGGCTGAGGTACAGAGCTTCCTGTTAATCAAAGTCATGCATACATTTTTCCCTTATTCTTAATATCTACCTAAAAATTCAAAGAAGCATATATGATTAATTTTGTTTATCTTGCTTACAAACATACAAATATAATAACTCTGGAAAATATAGACAAAATGAAAAAAGTAATCTGATAGAATAATAACTTGAATAATGGAAATTTTTAAAATATTAGGCCCTATATGCCTAGTAATTAATGAAAACAGAATGTCTCAAATAAAGCAAAACATAATATAATTGTATCACCTAATATATAACTATACTTGAGTGATTTTGTTTCCAATTTCCATATTAATAAAGCATTAATAAAGAAATCAGAATTTGGAGAATGAGTATAGTAAATAGTACTTTGATTTACTAATGATTAAATGAGTATTCTGTTTGAATACCTTTATCATTGACTACTAATTAATTTTACAGAACTTGACACAGGGATCAACTATTTTGCCAATAAACCTACAAAATAATGTTAACTATATTTGCTATTTTCTCTATTTAATCATTGGATTGAATGGATAACATTCAGTTTGGAATTAGTCTTATGATAAGGTTGTGTTAAAAGGAATCATGTATCTGTTTTTAATTTCAAACTGTTGTATTATCTTTTCCACACATCTTCACATCTTCACCCCATCTCCACATTCAAAGTATAAAAATGGTAAACATAAGGAAACTTGTTTAATCATCTTAGAAATGAAATAATCACAAGTTAATCAAAATTTTGCTTTTTTTTTTTTTTTTTTTGAGACAGAGTCTCGCTCTGTAGCCCAGGCTGGAGTGCAGTGGCGTGATCTCGGCTCACTGCAAGCTCCGCCTCCTGGGTTCACACCATTCTCCTGCCTCAGCCTCCCAAGTAGCTGCGACTACAGGCGCCCGCCACCACATCTGGCTAATTTTTTTGTATTTTTAGTAGAAACGGAGTTTCACTGTGTTAGCCAGGGTGGTCTCGATCTCCTGACCTCCTCATCTGCCCACCTCGGCCTCCCAAAGTGCTGGGATTACAGGCGTGAGGATCGCGCCCGGCCTTTTTTTTTTTTTTTTTTTTTTTTGAGACAGAATCTTGCTCTGTCGCCCAGGCTGAAGTGCAGGAGTGCAATGGCGTGATCTCAGCTCATTGCAACCTTCATCTCCTGGCTTCAAGTGATTCTTCTACCTCAGCCTCCAGAGTAGCTGGGATTTACAGGGATGCGCCACCACACTCAACTAATTTCTTTATTTTTAGTAGAGACGGGGTTTCACCATTTTGGTCAGACAGGTCTCAAACTCCTGACCTCAAGTGATCCACCTGCCTCGGGCTCCCAAAGTGCTGGGATTACAGGTGTTAGCCACTGTGCCCGGCAACAAATTAATCAAAATTTGAAGTACCATTTAAACCTAGTATGTTAACAACCTTAAAATTCTTGTGAAATTGCACAAAAACTATAAATTCTCAGGCTGCTATGGGCATTATAAATTATGCATAGGTATATGACCAAATATTTTAAAGGATACACAGTTCTTATGTCTTGATTCAGTTATTTCACACTTCATATTAAGGAAAAATTTAAAAATAGCAAAAGTTTGTATATGGAAGATACTGATTGCAGAGTCATCAAAATAGCATAAATATGCAAATTAAATTTCCGATATTAGATATATGATCAATAAAGTTTTTGTTGTCCCAGAACGATATTGATATTGAGCTTTTTTTCATATGCTTGTCGGCAACATGTATGTCTTCTTTCAAGAAGTGTCTGTTCATGTATTTTGCCCGCTTTTTAATGCATTTTTTCTTGTAAATTTAAGTTTCTTACAGATGCTAGATATTAGACCTTTGTCAGATGCATAGTTTGCAAAACTTTTCTCCCATTCTGTAGGATGCCTGTTTACTCTGTTGCTAGTTTATTTTGCTGTGCAGAAGCTCTTAAAATTAGTTAGAACCCATTTGCCAATTTGTGCTTTTGCTGTGATTTGTCATGAAAACTTTGCCTCTATAGCTGTATATGAGAAATAGTACAGTGTTTTTATCTGTTAGTTTTGTTTTGAAGACATGTCCATAGTCGATAACTCTCTAAGTCAGTTGTTTCATAATGTTTTGTTTATTTTGGCTAGAATTATTGCCCTATTGATTTTGTTGTCCACAGGAAAAAAGACACAAATTTTGTTTCTTAGGTTTTCTAGTTAACTGGGTAATACGAATACTTATTATTCATTACATGCTAGATGGTACTGTTACTCCTTCTTTGGTTATTCATTAAATATAATCATTTTATTTAAATGAGTCTTTTATTTAAGCGTATTGCATCTTTTTGCTAAACTATCTCACCATACACTATGAGGAAAAGCTTTATTCATATTCTATGATTTAATAAATTCATCTGGATAACTTTATTCAGTTTTAGAACTTAAAGTAACCAACTAAGGCATGGGCTAATTATAAAAGACCAAGATTATCTGACCATGGATTGAAAGTGGTAAGATTGAGCCTCAGGGAAATAAAGTGTTCTCATGTCAAAGACATAAGTGCTTAGTTCCCAATAACCCGGGAGCCAGTGTAAATTGATATGATCTAACAAGCCCAGGGCATTTCAATACCTTCATGGAGTGCCCTGGGGGTGGAGTCTGCCAATTGTTCTGAAATTATGGTTTTATAAAGAAATCAGAAAACTACTCTCATTTAAAAAAAATGATGGAATGAAAAGATTTGAAAAGATTGGGCAAATGGACATTTCAAGAAAAAGAAAAGTATATTCTTAGCTCTTAAGCAAAACCTTCTAGTGTTTCTTCTATATCTGGAAGTTTAGAGTGACTGAGATATTATGGTCAAAACTTATGATGAAGAAGACTAAGCAATGTGAAAAGTATGGAAGGGGAGGAGCTAGAGCTTTAAGTTATCACCTCATGGGCTTCTGTATCAGAAGGAGGAGACATGTTGTCCTGGGAGGTAAGGTTCCTGGAAAGACTTACCTTAAGTTTAACCAATATAAATAATAAAATTTATAATACTACTAATAACTTGACAAATTAGAAATTCGAGGTTTCAGGAAAAGAGAGGGGTCTGCCAATGTTATACCATACCACTCAATTAATGCTAACAAACACATTTTTCATGATCATTAAAATTCCTACTAGGTCAACAATAAATGTTGAATACAGACAAAATATGATGTAATATGGCAACAGATTCGTGACTGTTTGTATCCCTAGATTTAATACACATACGAAATAAAATGAGAATTTTTTTTTTTTTTTGAGATGGAGTCTCGCTCTTGTCTCCCAGTCTGGAGTGCAATGGTGTGATCCCGGTTCACTGCAACCTCCGCCTCCTGGGTTCAAGCGATTCTTCTGCCTCAGCCTCCCGAGTAGCTGGGATTACAGACGCATGCCACCATGCCCTGCTAATTTTTGTATTTTCAGTAGAGACAGGGTTTCGCCATGTTGGCCAGTCTGGTCTCGAACTCCTAACCTTAGGTGATCCACCTGCCTTGGCCTCCCAAAGTGCTGGGATTACAGATTTGAGTCACCGCGCCCGGCCAAAATGAGAATTTTTATAAAAATATTAATTTGTATCCTTTGCAGCAGCAATAATAGGCACAAAAATGAATATCTATATACCACTACCTTTATTTAGAAGCTTCACAAAATGATACACTAAATGAGACAGTTTCGCTAAAGAATTCCACTATAGAAAATTTTTTTTTCCATTGGCCAATGTCAGAAGTGGGTTCCTAGTTGAGAATTAGTTCAAGACTTTATCCCTGTTCAATAGGGATAAAATTTCATTTATACACAATAATTAGTCCTAGAAATCTTCTGTACAACATTGTCCTCATATACAATGTGGTATTATACCTATAAAAATTTGTTAAGCTGGTAGATCTCATGTTAAGTGCTCTTACCACCACCACTACAACAACAATAATAACAAAAAGACCTTATCCATACCTCAACTCGAGGGATACCTAATTTTATATTTACTAAATATACCTTTCTTTCCATTTTCAGAGCTATTGTTTTTATTTCAACAATGCATCATACTTCACCCAAACAATTTCAGCCACCAACTACCTGTTCTTCTACCTCAAGTTATATTTCAGTTCTGTCAAAACTGCTAATCATGGTAATACTAATCATTCAAAAGCAGAATTCTTACAATTTCCTTCATGATCATAAACTTTCAATGATTCTCTATTTCATAACAAATTAAATAAAATTTGTTTGTGTGGAATTGTAGAATTTGTTACAATAATATCCAAACCTTTCTCCTAACCTTATCTGACACGTGGCTCCAACATAGCTTATTCTGTAATACATTCAATATCTTCCAATATCTCTTTCCTTTCTCCATGTTTCACTTCCCCATCTTTACTTATAGATCACTTGCACATCCCAAGATACCTTAAAATCACTGTGACTTCCTTCAAGATGCCTTTCTCCCAAAGGCAAGTGATAGTTTTATAATTTGAATATGTGTTTCACTTTTTTCTAACTACCTGCAAATTTCTTACATTTATAACTAGTTGTGCTTTTATCTTACCTTCCTCTCTAGAGTACATTCTTAAAGCAAGGTTGGTGTCTTACCCTAAGCCCATGCAGACAGAACACATTGTCTTGCGTAATTTTGATAAATTTTTAAAATTAAATGACTAAATCTTCATTTGACTCAGAAAATGATTACAATGGACACAGGATACCCATAAGTTGATAAAAATGTGACTTACTGTATCTTAGTGACTATTCATATCTTAGTAAGTATATTTATTGTTTACTACTATTAGTAAAATAGTCCCATAATTTTTAGAACTATTAAATTTGTGATTAAACACTGATTTAAAATCTAACATTCTATGGTAGAAGATACCAAATGACTATTAAAAGCCTATAATTTGGACTCACACTTTCTGCATTTAAAACTCAACTACAAAACCAGAAAAATCGAAACATTGAAGATATAACACTAAACAAAACAGAGAAGCACCCTTTGATCATGGAGATTACATTCTAGAGAAGAATACAGACAATCAGTTCATAAACAAACAAGATAATTTCAGATATAATAAGTGATATAAAGTAGAAATTAGAAAAATACATATCATAAAATGAACCGAAAGGGCAAAAATATATGTTTGCTTTGTTGTAGTCTATTTTAATTAATTATTTTTCAGAATAATTAGTACATGTTAATTTCATTTAACCTAATACTTGTATGATACAAAGCTGAATAAGATAGTTGTGCTTACATGTTGATAAAAATTTGATAGCCAAATTGGAATAGCAGGTAGTACAATTGTAGTATGCTATTCGGTTGAGTGATTGCAAAGTTAAAAATTATTTCCTTGCAATTATGGAATATGAGTTTGGAGACCACAGTGAAACAACATACTGAAGGCCATTCATGTAATACTTTGGAGGCCCATTCAACTCATTACGTTTCATGCATCATTAGTGAAAAATTGGCAATATGCTGTATGCTTTCTAATATAGAGGAATAAAAACTGTGGAGAAGGAAATGATTCAAGAGATCATTAGTGAACACCTCCAAACTGAGTCAAGTTTCAATTCCACTTCTTTGGGGAAAAATATTACAAGCCAATATGGGGTGGGAAAAATGTAATGTAAGTTAATAAACCATAATCTATATTTTTAAAACGAACTGTAAAACTTGCTTATGGTTTAAGTTTTCTTCAGAAGAAAACTTCAAAATAAATATTCATTGAACAACTGTAATGATTACAGACAGTGGCTTTTCCTTCTAGTAAATTTAATGATATTATTGTATAAAGCAACATAATAGTAATTTACCCCCAAACTTTTTTTTTTTTTTTTTTGAGACCGAGTCTCGCTCGTCGCCCAGGCTGGAGTGCAGTGGCGCAATCTCGGCCCACTGCAAGCTCTGCCTCCCGGGTTCATGCCATTCTCCTGCCTCAGCCTCCTGAGTAGCTGGGACTACAGGCACCTGCCACCACGCCCGGCTAATTTTTTTGTATTTTTAGTAGAGACGGGGTTTCACCGTGTTAGCCAGGATGGTCTCGATCTCCTGACCTCGTGATCTGCCCACCTCAGCCTCCCAAAGTGCTGGGATTACAGGCGAGCCATCGCGCCCAGTCACCCCCAAACACTGTAACTGATTTACATTTATAAATGAGGGATGAAATATCACTCAATAAAACCAATGAAGATGCCAGCAACTCACAATCCAGATCTGATTTCCAACACAGTGACCATTCATTGCAAGGGTATTGTATTCTCAGAGGAAACAGATTAGTTTTTCATTATCTCTAAAACATATAAAATCATTTTAATTTCAGTTATATGTCAAAGAAAAATGCAAAAAGAAATTTAACTTTAAATCATGGCCACTATATTCATGTATTGTTTTCACAAAACATACTATTTCCATGAACAAACACTGAAAACACAGCGCACTGAGAGAAACACAAACAAGATTTTAGACAGCTCTGTATATAGTTCTAATTATCATTTGGCAGTACTCTAAAATTTAATATAAATTGTATACATATATATATACACACACACAGACACACATATATAAACTTATATGCCATCTCATCTGTTGCCCAACATTGCCTTCTAAAAAGAGTTGACAGCAGTAACTTTCTTGAGCTGCTCCTAATCAATTTGAAACTTTTTCTCCTGTTCTTACTTTTCAGAGGCATTGATATATTTTTAATGAAATATTATACCTTTCTGTTTCTCATTTCCATTCTGTGTTTTTCTGACCTTCACATTTCTTAAACTGACCCTTTTATATGAGATGTATACACACTGAGCTGAACAGCAGCTTTCAAGAGATATCATCCTTGGTGATCAAGATATTTAAAAGGAAAGCATATTTAAGAAATTCTCAGTGCTAAACTTTACATGTAGCAAATACCTTTTAGGCACCCAAGGCTGTATCATTGTATCAAGATGTTAGGATGCGTCTTCTAGGATTTTCTGTTGGTTTCACCGTTGCCCCTTAAGTTACGGATACAACTTATTCTAACAAATTACATAATGATAACAGAACTTTATGAAGATTAATTCACATAATTTTTCATAATCTGTATATAATCAATTTAATTATCCATTTATTCATATATTCATTCATTCCAATTTTAACCAATCATCTATTATTTTTCATATAGATATTTGCGTATTGCCTACCCGTGTACTTGACAATGTAGAAGGCACTACATGTTTCCATCCTACAAGTGTTTGCTCTACCTTAGAAATCCAGTTCTATGAAACTGTCTTCTAAGACATGCCTACTCTACCTCTCCTGTCTTTGCTCATGTATTTTTCCAAGTCTCTTCCAACTGATTTCTTCATTCTTTAAACTATGAAATATTTTTTTCTTATTGCTGGCCTCATCCTGCATAAAGTATTCTTTATTCGATAAGGAAGACTTCTTTTGTCTTTCCAGTTATATTATAAACCCATGGAGGACTTATCTCTTTCTTTTTGACATCTCGAGCAGTACTACAGAACAGCAGTGGTATGATAGGCTGAATAATGGCTCCCTAAGATGTCTACACTTTAAACTCAAGAATATGTGACTGTTACCCTATGTAACAAAAATAACATTGCAGATGTGATTAAGTTAAAGATTTTGAGATGAAAAGATTATTCTGGATTGTTTGCATGGGCCATAAGTATAATCACAAAGAGAAAATATTATAAGAGGTAGGTAGATTTGACAACAGTAGAGAAACCAATGTGACCACAGAAACAGAGAATGGAGTGATGTAGCCAGGAGTCAAGGAAGGATAGAATCCCCTAAAAGTAGAAGAGTCAAGAAGCAGATTCTCCCTTGGAGTCTCGGAAAAAACAGCCTTGTTCTAAGCCCATACATTTTATTTTAAATTTCTAGGCTCCAGAACTGAAAGATAATAAATTTGTGCTATTGTAAGCCTTTAAATTTGTGGTAATTTGTTACAGTGGCAACAGCAAACAGATGCAACTGGGTATATCATAGCCATTTAATGGTTACTAATTCAGTCTTTGGGCTTTTGTCCACAAGAGGGACTTTTGGTAACTACTCTTCCATGACTCTGGAAATAACAATAAATTCTTCACCATCTACCTATTTAATTTGAAATAAAAGGAATATGGCCTACTTAGTTAAAAGGCATAATAATATACTTCATATTAAAAAGGATATTTTTCTTAAACTATTTCCCAATTGTCCTGATTATATTTATTTTGTCAATAACCTCAGTTTATGATGTGTTTATTACAAAAAGCCAGTGCTTAATATTATGTATATAAAAAAGGAGGATAATAGTCTACATTTTACTATTCTTGCAGTCCATTCCTCATTTATTTTATTTTATTTTATTATTTATTTTATTTTATTTTATTTTTTGAGACGGAGTCTCGCTCTGTCACCCAGGCGGGAGTGCAGTGGTGCGATCTCGGCTCACTGCAAGCTCTGCCTCCTGGGTTCACGCCATTCTCCTGCCTCAGCCTCCCGAGCAGCTGGGACTACAGGCGCCCACCACCACACCTGACTAAATTTTTGTATCTGTTAGTAGAGACGGTGTTTCACCGTGTTAGCCAGGATAGTCTCAATCTCCTGACCTCGTGATCTGCCCGCTCGGCCTCCCAAAATGCTGGAATTACAGGCATGAGCCACCGCACCCAGCCATTGCTCGTTCTTTAATGTTTACTTTTCTTTCCTATTTTACATGGAGGCACAGATCAACACAGGACTTTTCTATCTATAAAAATCATTTTCTTATAGTGATGACTTTAGTTCATATTTTAGAAAATATGTATTTTATATTTTCTGAAAACTGGAACAATTTGCATGTGAGTGATTTTTTAATAAGAACATAAGAATGACTAAATCTAAATAAAATATTCTGGGGAAAACATCCATCCCAGATATCACTTTATTATCTTGATAGTCATCTATAGGTATATACAGAAAGAAAATTCATCACACATGATGGGTCTTCTCACTAGTTTGATAATTGTGGGCCTCACAGCACTATGTTTATAAAAAATAAAGGTTCTTATGATAAGTTTTATTCAGAATCTATTATAGACTGAATTGCATCCCCCCAAATTCATATGTTAAAGCTCTAATATCCAGTACCTTAGAATGTGACTATATTTGGAGATAGGGTCTAAAAGGTAATTAAGAAGAGAGATGATTAAATTAAAATTAGGCCATGAGGATGTACCCTAATCCAATATGACTCATTTTCTTATAAGCAAAGGTACAGAGGCAGCAGGAGAGTGGCTATCTTTATGTCAGGGAGGGAGGCTTCGAAATAAATCAACCCTGTTGGCACCTTGATCTTGGACTTTCAGCCTCTGGAACTGTGAGGAAATAAATTTTCATTGTTTAAGCTACCTAGTCTGTAGTTCTTTGTTACGGCAGCCTGAGCAGACTAATACTTGATCTTAAAATATTTTATGTGAAAACCCAGCAGTGATAGATTTCATCAATATATATGTAGTCTTTTTCTTGATTCTCTAAATATTCAGTTTATGTAGCCAAGATATCAGCAAATTTTAATTATTAAGATTTATTAAAAGTGCTTCAGATGCTTATGTGCACATATTTTAAAAAGTCACAAATATACACTGAAATGGTAGAAACATCATTCATCTTTAGCCAGTCTGAAAATGTTAACTCTGCAAAAATTGGCAGAATATGACTACATATCATATGAAAAGATATACAAGAATATTTTTAGTTACGGAGAAAAAAAAAAGGTATGCTTTGAAATTTAGAGGTAACCTTTTCCAATTGGGGACTGTGGTAATCAGAATTCTAAATTTTCACCAACCCCCCAAACACTTCTGTGTAAAAGCTTTGCATAATCCTCAAGACAGTGAACATGGTGGATTTTACTCCCATGACTAAGTTATATGGCACTGGTTGCACAAATGTCAAAGAGAGATTTGAAAGAGGAAACAAATTTGATATGCCATGTCTGGTTTGAAGTTGAACAAAGCTATATGGAAAAAAACCTGAGAGTGACCTTTAGGAACGCTCTAGAAGCAAAACTCTAGGTATCTCATTATAACTGCAAGGAATGGGATTCTGCCAACTACCCAAATGAGCTTAGAAGCAGATTCTTTCCCAGCACCTTCAGAGGAAAGCTCAGGCCTGATTGACACCTTGAGTTCAGTCTTATGATATCCTGAGCAGCACAAACCTAGACACATCTTGGTGAACTTTTGGCATAAAAAGGCAGTAATTAATATGTGAGTATTGTTTCCAGTTGATAAATTTGTGGGACATGGAATTCAGCAATAGAAAACAAGCATATGGACTATAAAGGAGTCCTTTATTCAGGCTTCTATAGATTTAAAATTCATTCCAAAGTTATAAAAGCAGCTAACATTTTTATATGTCTTATATATTTTAATATTTGTGGTTAATGTTTTTTAAAAATTATTTGAAGTATTATATTATTCTATAATAACAAACTTTTAAGAGTTATTAAATGATCAGATTATATGTTTGTAGGTATAGAAAAACTGAATAATGTACAACTCTCCAAGGAACAACTCTCTAAATTACCCATAACCATTTATAATTTACTTTGTTTGTAATAAGCCAATTATCACTACTATTTAATAAGTGAGACCATGTGCATAGAAAATATGTGACCATAAAATAGAATTTATAGAGTAAAAGAGTGTTAACATGCATGCAATGCTAATGAACATGTAATATAAGCAGAAAAAAGCACTGTTCAACCCAATGGGCTGAATACAAAGGGAAGATAGTTTAATTGAAATGAGAGCACTTTAGAAGAAGGTGGAGCAAGATGGCAAAATGGTACTCCCCAGCAATCATCCCCTGACAGAAACATCAATTTGAACAATTATTCATGCACAAATCTATCTTCACAAGGGCTAAGGAGACCAGCTGAGAGATGAAAGTACCTGAATATAGCACAATAATTTTTTTTAAATGCATTGAAGAGAGTAGAAAGACCAGTTTTACATTACCCACATTACCCATTACCCCACTTTCAAGCAGCACAGTGTGGAGAGAAATACCATCTGCTTAAGGGAAAGAGAAAAGTAAGCATAGGATTTTTCCTTGGAATCTAACATTGGGCCTGCCACAGTAAAACCCAGCATCAGGTGGATCTCCATGACCTCTGACTCCAGGTTGATACCAGTGGACTGAGCCAGATCTGTTCCAGTGCCATACAGGAACCCATAGTTCCTGCAAAATGGGCTCTATCTGCAGTTTTCATCACCACAGCCAACTATGAGAGACTTGGGTACCTGTAAAACCATAGCAATATGCAGGACGCAGCAGCTGTAGGCTTCAAGAACACCTTAGTACTGAGTCAGTCTCAGTGGCCATAAGATTCCAGCTCTGCCCCATGCTAGTCATGGTGGGTCTCAGCTTAGGGCACTCCATAGCATTGAAATAGCCACAGTGGTCCTTGGTATAGGGATCACACCAGATGATCTGCTCAGAATCTCTGAACATGTTTACTGTTGAAGGGCATTCTCAGACAAAGCCAGACTTCAAGACTGGAAGAAATACATACTTCTTCAAATCAGTAGACATCAAAAAATGTTTATAAGGATCAGAAACAATTGGGGAGACATGATATAACCAGGCAGATACAATAAAGTGCTAGGGGCTGACTCTAAAGAGATGGAGATGTATGAATGGTATGACAAAGAGGTCAAAATAACTGTTTAAAGGACATTCAATATATTTCAAGTAAATACAGAGAAATAATTCAAAGCAATGTGGAACAAGAAAAGTAAATGACCAGAATTAGAAATTTAACAGAGAGACTGAAATAGTAATAGTAATTTTTTAAAAAAAATTAAACAAATTCTGGAATTGAAATAATATTTGACAACCTTTCAAATATGCAGAAAAATATAAATGTCCAGATCAAGGAAGGTCAAAGGTCTTCAATCAGGCTAAATTCAAATAATACTAGCCTAAGCCATATTATAATCAAATTATCAAAACTAAAAAACAAAAAGGAAATTCTGAAGGGAGCCCAAGAAAAGAAGCAAATAACATATAAGAGAGTTTTAATACACCTAGCATCAGACTCTCAGAAGAAACATTACAGGCCAGAAAAGAGTGGGATAAAATATTAAAAGTGCTCAAAGAATGAGAACATGTCCTTTGCAGGGACATGGATGAAGCTGAAGCCATTATCCTTAGCAAATGAACACAGGAACAGAAAACCAAATACTGCATATTCTCACCTATAAGTGGAAGCTAAGTGATGAGAATACATGGACACATAGAGGGGAACAACACACACTGGGGCCTTTTGGAGGGTGGCGGATGGGAGGAGGTAGAATATCAGGAAAAATAACTAATGGGCACTAGGCTTAATACCTGGGTGATGAAATAATCTGTACAACAAATCCCCATGGCATGAGTTTATCTATGTAACAAACCTGCACTTGTACCCCTGAACTTAAAAGTTAAAAAAAAAAGAAGAGAACTACCAACCAAGCATATCGTACCCAGCAAAACTGTGCTTGAGAAATGAAGAAGAGGCAGGGCATGGTGGCTCATGCCTTTAATCCCAGCAATTTCAGAGGCTGAGATAGATTACCTGAGTCCAAGAGTTTGAGACAAGCCTGGATGACATGGAGAAACCTCATCTCTATAAAAAATAAAGTAAAATAAAAGATTAGCCAGGCATGGTGGTATATGTCTGTAGTCCCAGCTATTTGGGAGACCGAGATGGGAGGATTGCTTAAGCCCAGAAGGCAGAGGCTGCAATGAGCCATGACATCATCACAGGACTCCAGCCTGAGCAACAGAGCCACTCTGTCTCAAAAAAAAAGAAAAAAAAAAAAAGAAAGGGAAAAAAAGAAATGAAGAAGAGATAAATCAGATAAACAAAAGCTGAGGGATTTTATCACCACCAGACTTGTCCTATAATAAATGCCAAACAAAGTTCTTCAAGCTGAAGAAATAGCTTACTTACTAATGAGTAAGACAAAAATATCTGAAAGTATAAAACTAATTAGTAAAAGTAAGTACATAGTCCAATTTAGAATACTCTAATACTGTAAATGGTAGTGTGTAAATCACTTATAACTTTAACATAAATGATATTAAAAGACAAAACTAAAAATAATAACTACAGTAATTTGTTAAGAGATATACAATATAGAAAGATTACAATGGTAACATTAAAAATTTTAAATGTTAGGTGGACAGCTGAGGAAATGCATAGAGATTTTCATTGTGGGTGTTTGTTGGCAATCAAAGTTAAGTTATTATCAGCTTAAAATAATCTATTTTAACTATAAGATGTTTATTGTAAGCATCATAGTAACTACAAAGCAAAATCTATGGTAGATTTAAAAAATAAATGAAACACAAGAAATTAAAACATACCACAAAAGAAAAATCATTTAACCACAAATAGAGACAAACAGAAAGAAAAAAAGAAAAAAACAACAGATCTACAAAGCAAATAGAAAACAATTAACAAAATTACAGTCAGAAGTCCTAACCTATCAGTCATAACCTTGAATTTAAATGATGTAAATTCTCCTATCAAAAGATATATAATGGCTGAATGGATAGACAATCAAAACCAACTATGTGCTGCCTACAGAAACTGATGACTTAACTCTTCCAAAAAACTGAAGAGAAAGGAATACTTGAAAACCTACTTTATAAGGCCATAATTACCATAATATCAAAATCAGACAAAGATATAGCAAAAATAAAATGATAATTCACTATCCTTGCTGAATATAAATGCAAAAATCCTCAAAGAAATGCTAAAAAACTGAATTCGATAGCACATTAAAAAAGATTATTCACCAAGATCAAGTGAGATTCATCCCAGGGATCCAAGGAAGGCTCAACATACCCAAATCAAAAATCATGATACATCATATTAAGAGAATGAAGGGCAAAAACCACCATATGATCAGTTCAACAGATACACAGAAGCATTTGACAAAATTCAACATCCTTTCATGATAAAAACTCAACAAATTATGTTTTGAAGTAATGTATCTCAACATAATAAAGACCATGTATGGCAAAACCACAGCTAACATTCATAGTCAATTGGAAAAAAATGGAAAGATCTCATCTAAAATCTGGAACAAGACAAGGATGCTCACTCTTACCATTTCTATTCAACATAGTTTTGGAAGTCTTCGCCAGAGCATTTAGGCAAGAGAAAGAAATAAAAGGCATCCAAAATGGAAAGGAAGAAGCTAAATTATTCCTATTGGCAAATGACACTGTCTTACATTTATACCACCTTAAATATAAAACTCCACTGAAAACAAAATTGTTAGAACTAATAAATTCAATAAAGATGTAAAATACAAAATTAACATTCAAAAATCTATAGTGTTTCTGTGTATTAACAGCAAACTATCAGTAGCTACAAAAAAACACAAAAACTTAGTAATAAAGTTAACCAAGCAGGTGAAAAATATCTACATTGAAAACTATACAGCATTTATGAAAGAAATTGAAAATGACACAAATAAATGAAATAGTCATCCATGTTAATGGAGTAGAACTAATATTGTTAAAATGTCTATATTGCCCAAAGCAATCTACAGATTCAGTGCAATTTCCATCAAAATAGCAGAGGCATTTTTCACAAAAATAGTAAAAAAAATCCTAAAACTTATATGGAACCACAAAAGACTCTGAATCGCCAAAGCAATCTTGAGAAAAAAGAACAAAGCTAGCAGCACCACATTACTTGACTTCAAAACATACTATAAAGTTATAGTACATTCAACAGTACATTAAATTCAACAGAACATTAAAAAATATTATTCACCATGATCTAGTGAGATTCATCCCAGGGCTGCAAGGATGGCTCAAAACAGCATGGTAGTGATATAAAAAGACACATAGACCAATGAAACAGAATAGAAATCTTATAAATAAATTCATGTTTACACAGCCGATTATTTTCTCAAAAAGTTGCCAAGAACACTCAATGAGGAAAGAATAGTCTCTTCAATAAATGGCTCCAGGAAAATTGGATCTCCACATGCAGAAGAATCAAGTTAGACCCTTATCTGACACCATATACAAAATCAACTCAAAATGAATTTAAAATTTAAATATAAGACCTGAATCTATGAAACTACTAGAAGAAATGATAGGTGGAATGCTTCATGACATTGGTATGGGCAATAATTTTTTGGATCTGACCTTAAAAGCGGAGAAAACAAAAGCAAAAATAGAAAAATGAAATTATATCAAACAAAAATGTTTATTTAGCACAGGAAGGAAAACAATCAATAGAGTGGATAGAGTATCTACAGAATGGGAGAAAATATCTGCAAACTATATATCATATAAGGGGAATATCCTAAATATATTATAAAGTTGGTGACCCAATACCAGGAAAACAAATAATTAAAAGTGGACAAAAGACCTGAATGGACATTTCTAAAGCAAAGCTACACAAATGGCCAACACATATATGAGAAATGCTCAACATGCCTAAACATCAAGAAAATGCAAATCAAAACCATGATGAGGTATCACCTCATTATTGTTAGAAGGATTATTACTAAAAACTTAAAAAATGAGTATTAGGAAAGGATATGGAGAAAAGAGACATTTGCACACTGTTTGTGGAAATGTAAATTAGTACAGCCACTATGGAAAGCAGTATAGAAGTTCCTCAAAAAATTAAAACTAGAACTACAATATGATCTAGCAATACCACTATAGGGTATAAATCCAAAGGATATAAAATCAGTATGTAAAGAGACATCTACACTCCAGTGTTTATTTCAGCACTATTTACAATAGCCAAGATTTGGAGTCAATTTATGTGTCCATCAACAGATGAGTGGAAAAAGAAAATGTGGTAACACATGGAATAAAATTCAGCCATTAAAAGAAGGCAATTCAGTCATTTGTAACAATATGGATGAACCTGAAAGACAAGTGAAATAAGCCAGGCACAGAAACACAAATATCACATGAGCTCACTTATGTGTAGAATCTAAAAAAGTTGATCTCATAGAAACAGATAGTAGAATGGTGTTTACTAGAGGCTGTGGAAGTTGTACTGGACAGGGCCCAGGGGGAGAATTTGGTAAAAGGATACAAAATTGCAGGTAGATAGGAGAAAGAAATTCAAGAGGTCTGTTATACAGCATAATGACTATAGTATATGAAGATACACTGAAGAATGCAAACGTTAACTGTTCTCACAAGAAAAATAATAATTATGTGAGCTGATGTATATGTTAATTATCTAGATTTTATCATTCTACAATGTATATGTCCCATAAGGCATCATTTTTTACATAATAAATACATACAATTTTATCTATATTAAATAAATTTATTTGAAAAACAAGAGACACTTTTGGAACAAATTAAGAAAAAGAAGTTGTTGGAGAAAGAAATTTTGAACAATGTGGTAAATATGCATGAAAGATTTTTCTGCCTACTTAGAAGTGAAGAGATATGCAAAATTCAATAGCCCAATTATCATAGGAGCCATATCTACATTTGAAAGATCTTATTTCTGGCTATTTCCAGTACACACAAACTTATTCAATGCTAATTAGGAACAGAAATTAGAAAGGCAATTGACAGACAGACAGTACATTCTAGGTTATTGTAACAAAAATTCTATTTCTTAAGGAGAAATTTCAGAGATAAATCCCGGGCAATATGTAGAGAGCATGTTCTTTGTATCAACAATGGAGAGCTAAGCTTACAGCACAGGTTAGCGATAAGAGAAAATAAAGAAAATTTGTCAAAATAAGCTAAGGGTTCACCAGATAAGAAAGATGAAAAATGATCATTAAACCACTTAAAACTATTTACAATCTCTAAATTGTCATTTTAGTAGATTTTGCATGGCTGATTTCATTGTCTAGGTTTTATCTCAGTTCAACTTTAAGAGCCTTATCCACAATACATAATTAGCTATATGGCCTTAGCCAAATTGCTTTACCTATATGTGCTTCAGTTTGTTCATCTGTAAAATATTACTCAGTTTACCGGGACAAAAGCTGGCTCCCAAGGTGTGGTGAGGGTTTGGTAAGCTAATATTTGTAAAGCACTTAGAACAGCATCTGGCACAACATAAGCATTACATAAGCATGTGCTGTCATAATCTTTAAAACACTGGGTAAAAGGAATCCTTTGATTCATGCATGAATGCCTTAACAAATGTTATCAACCAGTATTTTGATTATTGATTAGGTGTTAGGCACCATATAAGATTCTGAGGATGAAGCAGTGCCAGATACAGTCCATGTAGTCAAAGACTTTACAGTCTAACGTGGATTAGAGAAACAACAAAGAAATGTCAATGTCATGTGAAAGCACAGTGCAATATATAAAATGGATATAGTGATAATACCTACTTTCTAAAATCGGCATGAAGTTTCAATATAATTCATGAACATATTTTAGTACAGTAATTAGCATAGAGTAAGGACATAATGAAAGTTAGCTCTTACTCTTGTGTTGTAGTCTTTTCTGTTTATTTCTTTTATGCTTGTTTTTTTTACTAGCTCATGAGATTCCCTCCAGAAAAAAAAATCTTATCCTCCATGAACATTTAACATTTTTTGAATAGTATATGCTTGATATTCTTAATACTGAATATGTGAAGATTAATAATACAAGGTTCTTGCTCTCAAGAGACAAACTTGCATATTTTAAGTTACAACATAATATGATAAACACAGTTACAGTGCTATAAGCAATAAACTCTAGAAATGCAGAGAATGGGGCAACTTTCCCTGAGGAAACAAGAGGTTTCCAAGGACTTATTACCTCATCCAGATCTTAAAATGAAGGAAGGTTTTTACAGCGAAAGAGTGATATTGAATGAACCACGTAATGAAAGAATATGATTAATCTAGAGGTTTTAGGAAAGGCAATAGTAAGGAAAAATAATAAACAGGAGGGCAGACATGTGGGTTGGCCCCACATGGGGAACCAAGCTCTGGAGTAAGTTGGGGAACCAAGCCCTGGAGTAAGTTGTACTTCAAGGTAAAAAATTTAGATTGTGTGCAGAGAGCAATGTGAAGCATTGGAGCAATGTCCTTGACTTTACTTGCTTTTTTTCATCCCCTTTTTGCTTAAGCATCCATGGATTATAATCTTCATACAGTAAGCTTTGTTTTAAAGAGGACTCTGAAGGATCATGGTTGGTTCAAGCGTCGTATCGGCTGATGCCTGGAACTGACTTTAATCCCCAGTATTGTGCTTTAGAAACACTATATGCTCTATACACATTTATGGAGCCAAATTGAAAGTGTGAGCTTAATCTGAAACAGTTTCTTACTGCACTCACATAAAAAATATTTTTGGTAGAACAGTCCGGACTTGAATATATTTAAACCTGTGTCCTAACAATAGACTCCTCTTATCCCACAACTTTCTAAGAAGGTCAAACCTTTTACTGTCACAAGAAAGATTGATTGTGATCTGGAAAAACTGGGAATGAATTTTCTCCATGGCATATGAGCACCTCCCGTCAGAAATTGTGCTTATTGCAATAAAGTATTAATGGTTAAAAATGTTTTGGTCTCTTTCTGTTAATTTTATTATCATAGAAAAAAGAAATTGAGTATCCAATTGTTGAAGCTGCAAGAGTTAGGATATGTTGTCATAAGTTTCTATTTATATTCTGGAAGCCAAAAGTGTAATTGGTTCCTCATCAATCATCAAACTAGAAAAATAGGAGACTGGAAAATTGAGATTCTAAATTTAAAAAGTGGAGTTTTCTTCTTCATTACAACTATCCTATGAATTTTTCCTAAAATCTTTTCTCAGTCATCTATAAGTGAGTTTATTATTCAGTCTTGCATGATCACACTGTTATTTGTAATCCATTATTTGGCCAGTATGGGTCTGAATTTTGTAATGGGTGTGCCTTAGTATACAGTAATTAAATTATGATTAAGTCAATTTAGATGACTATCTCCTAGTGTTTATGTCCAATTTTGAAAGCATTAACAGTATTAGTCATAGTACATGTTAGGCACACCAAATTGCCTAATGAGGTATCTCTATTAATACAGAAAAATTGAAAACTGTAATTTAGTAAAATTCAATCCTAGCAAAATACATAAATCAAGTCATAATCTCTCCAAATGGAGACTACTTTTTACACTATATATATTTTTTCCCTAGAGTTATATGTTTCAGGTACCACTGCTTATTCCTACTTTCTATGATCTAAATTACCCTAGACTAAATTCCAATCCCTAATGCACTGAGCTTATTCATCCACATGTTTGGGATGGGCAAGAGAGAAGCAAAGGTCCAGTTCCTGAAACTTTCTATTTAATTAGAGAGTATCTCATTGTCTATTTTCTAAATTAATGGGTTCTTATTTTTTTGCCATTGTGTATAAAATACAGAGGCAAAACATACTTTCTCTTTACACATAATTCATATTCAACTGGGAGATTTTATAATTGTCACAAGAGGTGTCCCTCTGTGCCCAATAAGCCATGACAATTTAAAAACATTTTTAAAAAGATATAGGTAGTATATATTTATGTATTAACACAGTTTATTATTTTTAAATGTGTTAGCATTTAAGAATGGAATCCCCTAATAAAAAAGTGCTTTTTGTTAATATTGTCCTCTGACTTTCCAATGCAATTGTATCTGATCATGTCCATTTAGAGCTGTAGCCTTTATTACATTTAATTTTCACCAGCCCCCAATGAAATGAAATAAAGGCATTCATTGTCTCTTTTTTTCTCTGATTGGCCAGGAAAAACACTATTTTATACTGTGATTTATAATTCATGTCATCAAGTGGCCAGATATGCAAGCTAAACAATATTTTTAAAATATATACTTTATACTTACACGAGAATAAACTGTGAAGGAGATCAGGGAAAATACAGATCATTTTTCAACTCTAAAGGAAATAAAACTGGAGCTTATGTCACATTCTCCAAATGATAATAGACTGATGTCCAGTCATTTGTCTCCTCAGGGCTACTTTAAAGACTTTTGTAGAAAAAAAGAAACATGTTTCTCTGGGCATAAGCACTTTTTAAAATTTATGTTCACCTATTTCCTTGATAACCATATTTAATTGTACTGTATTAACAGAGATTTTCAGCAGATTTTTCAGGCATTGGTATTTCGTTATACACAAGTAAGAAATGCAAGAGTTCTCATTTAAAAATATATACATAATGGCAGCTTGAATTTTAGTACAGGCTTTTCAGAATAATACAACCAACAGTACATATAAACTATGAAAGAAAAATTACTAATTTACTTACAATGAATACCACATAAAGGATGTCTTTATTCTAACTAAAATGATGATGTAAGATGAACAGTTCCTAAAGAACTGAAATTATCCTAACAGAACCTCATTCCATATCTGGACAAGTGTATACTACTATTTACATAAAATACTTCAATTAAAATCCTGCATTTGTCAGCTCTGATTTTAAACCTCTCAAATGTGGAATACTGGCTTTTCAAGAATCCAACAAGAAAAAAAGATGCTGTATATTTTATCTACAGAGTATTTTGTTTGTTTGTTTGTTTAGCTCAAAATTAGGTAGTATCACCTAGCAGGCACAGGTGCCTCTAAATAAACTCTCCTTTCATCATCCTCAAAAGCAATCTCATAGAAGCAAGTCATATTTAAGGACATGATCGATGGCTCAGAAACTGCAGGCAAAATAGCTTTGCCCTGAGGTTTGATGAGGATCTCGCCCCAGTGGAAATTATAGGCTGTTACATTACCAGAGAAACAGGTGCCCCAGATACTTCAATTCCCTTCCAGTTCCCACTGTGGAAAGAGGAGAGGAAGTAGAAGGTTAAACAGGCACACAGAAGCAGAACTGATCAGTAATAATGGCTCACTTTTTCCTCATGAAAGAATTACTCATTCCACTGCTGTTTCTTAGTATATTTGGAGTTCGATAACAGGTTTTTACCGTCTTTTATGCTGCAGTAAGCTTATATCTTTATCTCTTAAAATATCTACTGTTTAAAATTTGTACTAGTTTTAGGAAATAATGCATAGTTATGTTTCTATAATGTGCTAACACTGCCTTGTTAATGTTTCTCACATGCCTCATTCATTTTCCTAAATCCTGGGCAAAATCCCCAAAAGGAAATGTCAATTGCTTATACTGTTTCTTCTTTAATAATTTTCCAACACTGAGAATCTCAATAACCTGATTGAAAAAAAAACTTTCTCAAAAGTATAGCATAACATTTGGAAGAGTCAGTAAAAATGCAATGTTTTCTAGAAATTTAAATTTCTATTTTTCATTGCCTTTCAAAAGTAATATCACTAGATTTATAATTAAGTTTTGTGAAAAAAATGCCTGAAGTGTCCCAAAATGAAATTTACCAAAAATCTACTCCTCAAAGGAGAAGGAAAAATAAAGAGGTAAAGGAGGGGTATTTTAGACTATTTTACATATTAGGAACAGCTGAAATATTTTTAAACCACTATTCTTATCCTTCACAGATTTTATGCACAGCACACACAAGTTGAAAGGAGAAGAATTGAGAGTTTCAGAGAGAAAAGGAGTAGTACAACTAACTGTCTCTAAGAATTCCCTTAAGGTCACAATAAAAGAAACATGCATATCTTTTAGGACTTTTAGAATTATTTTAGGCCAACAACCATGGAAACTTTAGGTGAGAAATGGAAAGACAAAAGAGAAGTCTCCTTGTCCTAAAATGATGGCTCCCAAGGAAGGAAGATGATGGAACATTTTGATCACACACACCCTTTTTCTTCTAATTTTCATTTTCTCAGGGAGGAAATAACTTGAGTGGCATGAAGGGTACACATCAGAGAGTATCACAGACCTGAAACAACTAGAGGATGTGCAACTGTATAGCTATTCTTGGTCCTAGCACGAACAAGGTCCTTTGCTGCATCAGTGGGAGTGAACAGATCATTCTGAAAAAGCTTGTATAGAGTTACATTATCTTGAAGTTTTTGCAGGGGGTTTCAGACTCATAGGCCCTCTACAGTCTCTCTTACTTTATTTACTCTTACTCTTCAAGTAGTACTTGGGAGTATCTTATTTGAAGATGCTCTTTAAAAGTTAGGAGGTGCCAAGGTAAGGTTCAAAGGATAAACACAGCTCTTCAGGTCTGACTCTTGTGTGAACTTTTGATGTAAGATGATAAAAAAATTGTGGGGTTGATTGAGGAGTTAGTGCTACTTATTCTTTTAAAAAAACTGTAAGTCATACCTTTAGTTATACTTATACACACTTATATATAAGCAATACTTATAACATGTATTTGATGTCTGCTTAATAACCTATGATATAGGTACATTATTATTATTCTCATTTCACAGGTGAAGAAAAAGAAGTATAAAGACATTAAATAAGTTTTTTAAGGGGTTACAACTAGTAGGTAGCTGAGCCAAGATGCAAACCCAGACTGGATCCCACTGTAGCATTCTTGGACATTATGCTACTGGAAGGATAATACCCCTATGTTAAAAGACAATTAATAAATTATTGCTATATAATCAAGCAATTTTCCAGGAATTTGGGATTTCCTTGTTGCCTATCCCCTATCAATGAGGTAGGAAACTTGAGTTAAATTTGGTATAAGTGCACAAACAAGGAAAAGAGTTTACGCATATTACATATTACATAGTTTTTACCTTTGCTATATTTCTTAGAAACCTAAAATTCAAAGAAGCAATTTATATAAATTTGAAATTTCTTGTTTTTAGTTAAATTCTGATTGTATTAATATTTTCCAGTGAGTCCTAATGCCATAATATACCCTATGCAAAAAAAGAGGGTTTACTTTTGTCAAGCAAATTTTGGGAACTGGTAGGAACTCCATTCACCTTTTGGAGCTTCTCAGGACATCTCAAATGTTAAAGGCTCTATGAGATCCTGCGGTGAGGTTTAGTGTTGTTCACTTCATCATTTCCCAGACTTCTTTGAGCAAGCGTTCTTTGGTTGTCTATGTAGCTGTTGTTTCTTAGATACCCCTATTCAAGTTTTGTGTAGCTACTTGTTCAGTGGAACACTCCATAGTAAATTCTGGATTGCTCAAATTAAAGTGGGGAATGAGGACAGCCATTTTACTCCTCTCACATTCTACAAAGAGTTGGAATCTCACAGATTTTCTCACTGTATGAAAGCACATGCAGTCTCTGGAATTGGGCAGAGTTTCCATGGTAAATTATTTCTTTCAAGCCTCTTTAAAGAAGGTATTCGGCATCTCCTTTGTTGACATTAAACAATATCACTTTCCAATTTCTATGCAACAGCAGTTTACTGTTGTCAGTTTAGAGTTATTTTGCATTATAAATGTTTCTCTGGTTCCTGTTCACTTTTAATAGAGAATTTTAGTCTTTATTAAACACACTTGTGTAATGTGTTTTAATTATAACATTCAATTTAATTTTGATGGCTTCAAATTATATTGAAAAGGCAAGAAAAGAACTTTGCATTTTTTATGTTTCTTTTTAGCTGGCTGGCTGATTGGTTCAGTATTAATTGATACTTTAGCCAAACAGAATAAATACTAACAAGCTCTTTCTGTTGTCAAACAGCTGTTATGATGATGGCTTAACTACTAATGGCAGATTTTCTACCATCAAATACAGACTCATTATACTTTGTACCATTAACAAATGCTTGTCAATATCAAATTATCTTAGATCTCTGAACATGTTGTGCTTAATCATTATTCTGATATTTCAGACAAGCAGATTATTTTTAAAATTGGCAGTGGTGTCAAACAGCAAGTTCATTATCTTAGAAAAATAATTATATCAGCACTATAGAAGGTCATTTGTTAACTTTCTGTCTAGAGAGATAAACATTTGTAAGATCCCAAACCAGCAGATCAAGATTTTTAGTTTTAATGTGTGACCTATAAATCCCACTGAGTAGCTCCACCTCATCCTTTTTTTTCTTTCTTATTATTATTCTTAACTTTACACATTGGAGGTTCTAGACTCTTCAGGTTCTTGCAAGAATGACAGTTTGGTTCTTCTATTAAGGGTCTTATCTCACAGTACAGGAACTAAATCTCATGTCATTTCCCATATTTACATTGTATTATCAAGAGAGTTTGGGAAGAGGATGGAAAGTGTGATCGATGTAAATGAACAACCATTATTTCAAGTGATATTTTTTCTTCTCTATTAAAAAAATGACGGTTAGAAGTAAAGCAGTTGAAAATATAAATTTTTATATGCTTTTCTAAGATATTCAATCCAATAGCATTTCCTTTCTTGTAAGTATTGTCGTTAAAAGTGTAGCTACACAGATGGCTATTAAGATGGCAGAAATGAATGAGACTTCCACTTGAGAATACTTGTGTTTGAAGGATTAACACAAGGCAAAGGAATAATGGAAGAGTTAATGTTTTGTCCTCTTAGGAAAGCAAATAGATGACTAAATATTATGAATACTTCAAGGCAAGGGATGTATGGACAGCATAGATTCCTTAAGAAGTCTATTACAGTACCTCAATGAATTTTGGATAATAGATTAATAAAGTTTAGGACCTAGAACTTAGGATAACTTAAAAAACATTTATAGGGTAAATATCTATGGATGGAAAAAAAAGAGAGTTTCATTCTGAATCATTTTTGTTCCAATCTAAAGTGCTAACATAACCAGTTTTTCTGCCAATGTAAAACATATATTTTATTCTCCTTCTCCTCCTTTAGTTGTAATTACTTCCTTCTTCCATCGAGTTTAGTAATGAAAAGAGCATTACTTTTGGAGACAGACAGACCAAATATTTTCTTACACTTCAGTATTGGGCTCTAAGCAGAGCGTTAAGACAGACAAAATTGAGGTTTGTAAGCTTTTGTTTGACTCTCATTTCCCATCCTAATGCACCTCTCTGCTTCCCTCTCCCCAGTCACCTCTTATGTAGACTTTCCTTCATCATACAAGAATTAAGAAACTCAGTCTCTCTGTTTCAAGAGCCTCCCTAACCTAAAGAGAGGGAAAAATGGTGTTTTTTTAGTATACTTGAGGCTACGGGCTCAGCTCAGCACTGCCATGACAGCCTCTCCTGCAAATACGTTTCCTACCACCAGTAGACAAAATCATAAGTATTTCTAACTGGGTGAGTTAAATTCACCTTTTAAAAGTAAATTATCACAAAGTTCTATATGATAAGAGACTAGCAGAACTGTTCTTGATCCAGTTGCTCTCTGCTCTGTGTTTCCAGAGCCAAAAAAATTTCCTTGTTTCAGCTTTCTTACTGAGTATATTCACTCATCCAATCCTTTCCATTCTTTCCAGGTGGAGATTCTTTCTATGTGGACTCTTCTCATGTGGGCGTATCTGGACATCAAGTGTCCCCAGTATTTTCATAAAATCTATTTATTTCTCATTTTTTTCCATCTCATTGAAAATATCACAGGAGATTGTAAGAATAAAACATTTTGGCAGTTTTGGCCTTGTGAGAAAGCATCTCAGGTTTATAGGTTATAGGTTCTGGCACTTATAAAAACCATATTCCAAGTTAACAAGAGATAATAAGTAAAGTTCCCATTATAGAACTCTCACTATTGAGTCTCCCACCATTAGATTTGCCCATCCTGGGATCTCAGTAGAGACCATGGTGACCAAGTCATACATTTTATTTTCAAATCTTACTTTATTAAATTTTGCTTACCTTTATATCCACACCCAATTTAATACAGTGAAAGTTTATTTTCTATTGTCTTTAACACATCCTTTATCTCTAACACCCCTAAGTATGCTTCTAGAGCCTGCTCGACTATCACCCTCTCAATGTGGCATTATACTACCAATCGCAGCATTCTTTGTCTATTCCTCCTCTGTTTTCCATCAGACTCTATTCATACTTCCAGTGTTGAATTTGTAATGAATAGGATTTATCAGCTTACATGACTGCCTTTCACATAGTAGTCCCTCAAAGAGTATGCTTTATGTGATTACAGGAATAGATGAATAAATGGTTAGCTGGTGATATGGTTTGGTTCTGTGTCCTCTCACAAATCTCATCTTGAATTGTACTCCCATAATTCCCACATGTTGTGGGAGAGACCTGATGGGAGATAATTGAATCATGGAGGTGGTTTCCCCCATACTGTTCTCATGGTAATGAATAAGTCTCACGAGATCTGATGGTTTTATCAGGGGTTTCTGCTTTTGCATCTTTCTCATTCTCTCTTTGCCTGCTGCCATCCATGTATGACGGGACTTGCTCCTCCTTGCCTTCTGCCATGATTGTAAGGCTTCCCAGCCACATGGAACTGTAAGTCCAATTAAACCTCTTTCTTTTGTAAATCACCCAGTCTTGGGTATGTCTTTATCAACACTGTGAAAACAGACTAATACAGTAAATTGTTACCAGTAGAGTGGGGTGTTGCTGAAAATATACCCAAAAATGTGTAAGAAACTTTGGAACTGGGTAAGAGGCAGAGGTTGGAACAGCTTGGAGGGCTCAGAAGAAGACAGAAAAATGTGGGAAAGTTTGGAACTTCCTAGAGACTTGTTGAATGGCTTTGCCCAAAATGCTGGTAGTGATATGGGCAATAAGGTCGAGGCTGAGATGGTCTCAGAGGGAGATGAGGAACTTTTTGGTAACTGGAGCAAAGATGACTCTTGCTATGTTTTAGCAAAGAGATGGGTGGCATTTTGCCCCTGCACTAGAAATTTGTGGAACTTTGACCTTGAGAGAGATGATTTAGGGTATCTGGTGGAATAAATTTCTAAGCAACAAAGCATTCACGAGGTGACTTGGGTGCTGTTAAAAGCATTCAGTTTTAAAAGGAAAACAGAGCATAAAAGTTTGAAAAATTTGCAGCCTGACAATGCGTTAGAAAAGAAAATCCCATTTTCTGAGGAGAAATTCAAGCTGGCTGCAGAAATTTGCATAAGTAACAAGCAGCCAAAAGTGAATCCCTACGACAATTGTGAAACTGTCTCCAGGGCATGTCAGCAGTCTTCACGGCATCCCCTCCCATCACAGGTCCAGAGGCCTAGGGAAAAAAAAGTGGTTTTGAAGGCTGGGCCCAGGGTCCCTGAGCTATGTGGAGCCTAGGGACTTGATGCCATGTGCCCCAGAGGCTCCAGCCATGGCCATAAGGGGCCAATGTAGAGCTTGGTTCTTGGCTTCAGGTGGTACAAGCCCCAAGTCTTGGCAGCATTCACGTGGTGTTGAGCCTGTGGGTACCCAGAAGTCAATAATTGAGGTTTCTGAACCCCCGTCTAGATTTTAGAAGATGTATGGAAATGCCTGGATGCCCAGGCAGAAGTTTGCTGCAAGAGTGGGGCTCTCATGGAGAACCTCTGCTAGGGCAGTGTGGAAGGGAAATGTGGGGTTGAAGCCCCCACACAGAGTCCCTACTGGGGCACTGCCTGGTGGAGCTGTGAGAAGAGGGCCACCATTCACCAGACCCCAGAATGGTAGATCCACTGACAGCTTGCACCATGCACCTAGAAAAGCCACAGACACTTAATGTCAGCCTGTGAAAGCAGCCAGGAGAGAGGCTCTAGCCTGCAAAGACACAGGGGCAGAGGCGCCCAAGACCATGGGAACCCACCTCTTGCATCAGTGTGACCTGGATGTGAGACATGAAGTCAAAGGAGGTCATTTTGGAGCTTTAAGATTTGACTGCCCCACTGGATTTCGGACTTGCATGGACCTTGTAGCCCCTTTGTTTTGGCCAATGTCTCCCATCTGGAACGGTTGTATTTACCCAATGCCTGTACCCCCATTGTGTCTAGGAAATAACTAGCTTGCTTTTGATTTTACAGGCTCATAGGTGAAAGGGACTTGCCTTGTCTCAGATGAGACTTTGGACTGCAGACTTTTGAGTTAATGCTGAAATTAGTTAAGACTTTGGGGGACTGTGGGGAAGGCATGATTGGTTTTGAAATGTGAGGACATGAGATTTGGCAGGGGCCAGGGATGGAATGATATGGTTTGGCTCTGTGTCTCCACTCAAGTCTCATCTTGAAATGTACTCCCATAATTCCCACATGATATGGGAGGGATCTGGTAGGAGATAATTGAATCATGGGGGAGGTTTACCCCATAATGTTCTCATGGTAATGAGTGAGTGTCACGAGATCTGATGGTTTTTCCAGGGGTTTCCGCTTTTGCCTCTTCCTCACTCTCTCTTTGCCTGCTGCCATCCATGTAAGACGGGACTTGCTCCTCCTTGCCTTCCACCATGATTGTGAGGCTTCCCCAGCCATGTGGAACTGTATGTCCAATTAAACCTCTTTCTTTTGTAAATTGCCCAGTCTTGTGTATGCCTTTATCAGCAGTGTGAAAACGAACTAATACAACTTGGCAAGGATCTTCTTTTTCAACTGGGTGTAAACTCATTATGGGTTTAGAATCAGTCCTTCACTGAGCAAATGAAGTTAACTCTGACCAGTAGGCATTTTCTAGATTAAAGTAGGTTTGCTCAGCACTGGCCTTTTGACCACAAAGTGCAATTTCAGTCCAATTTCATTCATTATCTCCTTCTATTATGTTTTTAATATCTATTGGCCACATGATAAATGCAGCAATTATATGCAAATGACTGAGAAAAAAGATCAAAGTGTGTGCCTCTAGCAGAGACATTCATTCATTAAGAGCATGGTGCCAGGTTGCTCGTAACTGTGCTGATTATCTGCTTATGCTTTTAACAAAAGTTCCACAAAACATTCTTATCTATCTTCCTAAAGTCTGTCATTTGGCTTTGTAATTTTTTAGAATGTATTTTTTCAAGAATAGAATGTATACACTCTGGACACCCATGACACTATTATCTGTGCACTGGTAAGAGACATGTGTTCCAGGGAACCAAAACTTTTCAGATTGTATTTCTGAGGATTGTTTCAGATTTTTTATTCAAGAGCAATAGAAAAAAATTTCTGAAATTTGATAGTGCTTAAATATTCATATGTCTTCTCACTCTTAGATGAGTTGATCAACTCAGAAAACTTTATTAGATATTTTATTTATATTTTAATTATTTTTCATATTTCCAAAAGAATATATAATGGAAAAAATATTTCCCCCCCACCCAAGCAGTTCTTTGGGTTAAGAGGCAGACAACTTTCTAATAAATATCTCCATCTAGTGGTACAATTAGAAATATATTAAAGACATAGTTCTATAAGAAAACATTGCTACAAATTCGTTTTCTGTGTTATGTATTAAAAGTAATGGCAGTAACTGCCATTACCTTTGCACCAACCTAATGTTTAAACATGTGTGTGTGTGTGTGTGTGTGTGTGTGTGTGTGTGTATTCAGGAAAGTATCTAGTTAGGAAGTAAAATTCAACCTTCCATATGATAACAATATTTATGCTAAATTTTGTAAAAATGGTTGTACCAAAAATTTAAACATTATTTACTAAATCTGAGACATTTTATTCACTAACTTAACTGATATCTAGCTTATTCATGACCAGCCACCCTGTATATAGCATACACATCAATATCAAAAATAAGGAAGTAAAATTGATGAACTTTTCACATTTTCAAGTTGGGTCAGTTGAGAAAATACTTGACATCACATTTTCTTTTTAAGTTGTGTAATTTGAGAAAATACTTGACAATGGCTTTTCACCATCTAGATTAGATGCAGAAAAATATGCTAAATGTTGAAGCCATTGTTTCTTCCTTGCCTTTCTGTTCCTGTAAACCAGAATTCAAGTTCATAACACAGAACTTCAGAGAGGCATATTGACAAAAAGAAATGTACTAGATGATAAAAAAGTTCTACATTTCAACATGTAAATACTTGGGAACAAATACACTAGATAATGTCCAGATGGGACATTATCTGGATTTATAAATTATATTTGTAGATGAGCTATATTACTTATGAATATTCATTTAGGATATTTGTTATGACAAGGAATTGGATCTGAGAGGAATGAAAATTTCTGCTAGCTCATGCTCTCTTTAATGTGGAAACTTTTCTTCTGAAAGCCTGAGCTGAAGAGACAGATATTTAGAAGATGGCCAACAATTTAACTTGTCGCTACTCAGGAACTCAGGAGTATCTACAATTGTCCTAGATAGCTATTTCTTTTACAATGTTTCTAGGACTGTAGGAGGGCATAATGCTCCTACAAATCAACCTTTTTGTACAAAAGCATTTGCCATATGACTCATAATAAATCCTCCTTCCATAATAATTTATATAATTTATCTGTTTTTTAAAATGTATTTCTACCCTCATCTGAAGGATATAGATGACTGTGAAAGCGGCCATTGCTCAGAAAACAGCTGGAGGACATATTCCCTAGGTATGAAGCTTCTTCACTGACTAGTCAATGTAGACTAAAGAAAAAGATCTCACTAGAAGATTTACACAAATCAGCAGCATCTACTTATTTATGGCTTAATTGCATTTCTAATTAATCTACAAAACACATTTGCCAATCATCTCACATAAACACTCCTAATGTTGCGGAGCTCGCTACTGTGTCAGAGAAGTAAGAAGAGTGTTAATTGATGTGTCCAGTCATCATCAAGGCTATATTTCTACTCTCCTGTACCAAGAAGTGAGAATAGAGAAAATAAAAACAGCACAGGTCAATGTGATCTTCCTGTTCTCTCCCTCTTTCTGTTTTTTTCTTTCTTTTTTTTTTCTCGCTCTCTCTGTTTACCCTTCTTTCTTTCTTTTGTATTTCTCTAATTCCAAGCAGATGGCTAGGGTAAATCAATAACAGAATAAATACTATAAGCTAGGTATGGTGGCTCATACTTGTAATTTCAGCATTTTGGGAGACCTGGGCTGGCAGGGAGTTCTAGACCAGCCTGGGTAACATGGTGAAACCTTATCTCTACTAAAAATACAAAAATTAGCCTGGCATGGTAGTGCACACCTGTAGTCCCAGCTACTTGGGAGGTGGAGGTTGCAGTGAGCCAAGATCACACCACTGCACTCCAGCCTGGGCAACAGAGTGAGACACCATCTCAAAATAATAATAATAATAATAATAATAATAATAATAATAATAAAATATAATAATAATAAAATAATAAAATAAAATAATAGTAATAAAATAAATGCTACAAATATCCTAAAGTCTAACAGTCTAAAAAGATCAATCCAGACCTCGGTATAAATCTATAAAAATATTTAGATTCAAAATATAGTAACAAACTTGGTTGAATTTAGCATTTTAAATAAGGCTTGAAATGAAAACTAGAGGTATATCAGCAGACACTGGTAAAGTGAAGAATATGAAGAAAGATATCAAATGTATTTTATTGTTTACAGTTCTTGAAAATCTTTAAATTGAGGCTTACATTGAAATGTAGTGCTCATTATTATGCATAGATTAGTTTTTATGTAAAATCTAAATTATCTTTAGATTTTACATAAATCTAGATTTATGTAAATAAATAAATCTAGATTTTACACTCAATCATTCCTGTAAGTAGTCCAGCCTTTAAGGTCAGGGCCATAGAGAATGTGCCAGTTTGCACAAAGTTTGCAGGACAAAAGAAATACTGATACTAATTTTGCATTCAGTAAAAATTACAACCATTTCTTGGATTAATAAACTACTAAGGCTTTTTTTCTGGCTTTTAAAAATATTCTCTTTGGGCAGGGCACACTGGCTCATGCCTGTAATGCCAGCACTTTGGGAGGCCAAGGTGGGCGAATCACAGGGACAGGAGCTCAAGACCAGCCTGACCAACATGGTGGTATAATACAAAAGTTAGCTGGGCGTGGTGGCATGAGCCTGTAGTCCCAGCTACTCGAGAGGCTGAGGCAGGAGAATCGCTGGAACTTAGGAGGCGAGGTTGCAGTGAACCGAGATCGTTGCCACTGCGCTCCGGCCTGGGCAACAGAGCAAGACTGTCTCAAGAAAAAAATATATATAAATATCTTTTATTTGCCTCAAATTTGAAATATAAAAAAAAATTGGGAAGTGTTCCCTTAGGCCAAACCAGTCAAACAATTCTAACATTTCTTATATTTTTGCCAAACCCCATTTCAAACAATTAAAGTTTAGAGTTTTGTTCTGTGCTTTCTCCAATTTTGTTGGTCTGGCCTCCAAACATTTTGTAAATATTAGAATTCTGGATATACCAAGTGTCAGACCTCTTTTATCTTGACTCCAGTAAATGATTTTCTAAAATCTTACTTAGCATATTAGTAAATTGAGTAAAACTTTTTCATTTCCATAAATTGTAATTAGTAGGCCATCATCAACTTAGAGAACATGTTCAGGGAAGTGAGGCTGGGTCTGGTATTTTAGACAGTTATTTTTTTCTGATATGAATTATTGAGTACAAAGCATTCTTATTAAAGTTACGACCAGTATCAACTTACCTATTTTAAGGGTGATAGAAATTCAGAATGCCATTGTAAAACAGAGAAGTGGTCAGAAATAAAGAAAGGGAAATAAGTTAACATTATTGCACTATTTGTCTATTCAGGTGCCCACACTTCATAGTACTAATTTAATTTGTTATTTAGGACACTCCAAGCAGGGTTTTTTTTTAATGTGATAACATAAATCTACATTTCAACCCAACCAATGTTTCACTCTGACAAAAAGAAAAAAGAAAAAAAATTCAGTAAGCTGATTTTTCCAAATACATTTGATAGTTCTTAATGCTTTAAAATGAAAATAAAAATAGTATACTGTAGAGTGTGATTAAGAAAACTGATTTATTTTTATTCTCTCATGATATGACTTCTTATTAATTACATAAACCCATGAAGCCACTTTAGAGTATGCCTGTACATTCAAAAAGACTGAAATAAAGTGGAAACATTTTCAATTTAAAAAACTGAAAGAAAAATGTTTCATTTCAATACCTTTAAGACTGAGGATTGGTATTCAAACATATCATCAGCATGAAACTGAGTCAAGACATTTACTTAACAACTTGAAAATTTATCATGATCGATATAATTTATACATTTTTATTGTATATGTTTGATTTCCATTGTCAAAGTTTAAATGAGCTTATTACAAATTATTACATGAAAAAAATTAGGTGGATTGAAGAGGAAGCCCATACTTTATTAATATATCAAATTATTTTCTCAATTTATTTTTCCACAGGCTGAAGGTCACTAATACCCATTAATTCAACTGTGTTTTCTGAATCCTCTTTTTTTAATCACTCCTTATCATTCTGAGGTATTAAAATCTCACTTAATGTTCCAGTCCTGCAACCATTCCAGCTCTGATATCTCTTCCCTACAAATATACAAATAAGAGAGTTCTTTCTCAATTAAATTATGTGCAGAAAATTAGAGTTTTCTTGCTAAGACTCTTAAAGTATAAAAGCAAAGTGACCCAGCATATGTGCATTTACTAAAAACTACATAAAGAGGGTTAATTGGAAAATACGAATGCCTTCCACCTAGAGACCCTACTGTACTATTCAAGACACTCTGTTCTGATACCCTACTGAATGCTTAATATGCTTTACAAACATTGTATAATTGAAACCTCGCCAGCACTTTGTAAGACTGAATATTATCATCACAATTTTACAGTTGAGAAAAATGAGGCTTATAGAGTTTTAATAATTTGCTCAAGATATACAAGTAGACTGTACTAGAGAATGTTTACAGCACTATCCAGAGGAAGAAATGAGTGAAACCCAAGACAGGGCTCCTGCCTTTCAGGATGTACCATTACCTAAATAATGCCATAGATAGCACTGCTTTAGGTTAAATAATCTCATTATTTTTCCCCTCTTTCTAGATATGAAATGTTTCATCATTATTCTCATAATTTGACTATAGGGGTAAACAGCAAAATTAAGGCAGACTTTTTTTAAAAAAATGAAACAAATAAAAAGACACAACATACCACAACCTCTGGGATGGAGCAAAAACAGTGTTAAAAGGAAAGTTTATAGCACTAAATGCCTATATCAAATCGATAGGAAGATCTCAAATTAACAACAGCATTCTCCCTAAGAACTGGAAGAAGATAAGGACATCCACTCAGCTGCGCCTACTGAACATACTATTGGAGGTCTTATGCAGAGCAACTAGGCAAAAGAAAGAAACAAAAGCCATCCAAATAGGAAAAGAGAAAGTCAAATTATCTCTGTTGGCTGATGACATCATCCTAGAAATCCTAAGATAACTAGAAAACCCTAAAGAGTCCTCTAAAAGCCTCCTACAGCTGAAAACCAACTGCAATGTTTCAAGACACAAATCAATGTACAAAAATCAACAGCTTTCTATACACAAGTAACCTTCAAACTGAGAATCGAATCAAGAACTCAATCCCATTTACAGTAGCCACACACATACAAATAAAATATCTAAGAGTATATTTAACCAAGGAGGTGCAAGATCTCTACAAGGACAACTACAAAACACTGATGAAAGAAATTATAAATGAAACAAACAAACGGAAAAACAGCCCATGCTATAGATCGGAGGAATAAATATTAAAATGATGATATTGCCCAAAGTAATCTACAGATTCAATGCAATTTCTATCAAATTAAAAATGTCACTATTCACAGAATTAGAAAAAAAATTCTAAAATTCACATGGAACTGAAAAGGAACCCAAATAGCTTTAAAAACAAACTAACTAACAAACAAAAACAACAAAACCAGTGGCAGTGGTATCACATTACCTGACTATACTATTAGGTATATCTGCTGACTATATATTACCTATAGCGATATACAAGGCTACAGTAACCCAAACAGCAGGGTACTGTTACAAAAATAGACACATACATCAATGGCACAGAATAGAGAACCCAGAAATAGCCACACATCTACAACCAACTGATTTTCAATAAAGCTGACAAAAATGAGCAATGGGGAAAAGGCATACTATTCAGTAAATGATGATGTGAAAACTGGCTAGCAATTTGCTGGAAAATGAAACTGGACCCCTTCCTCTCACCATATATAGAAATTATAAACAAACTCAAAATGTATTAAAGACTTAAATGTAAAACCTCAAACAATAAAAATCCCAGAAGGAAACCTAGGAAAAACTCTTTTTGACATTGGCCAAGGCAAATAATTTATGACTAAGACCTCAAAAGCCATTACAACAAACACAAAAACATTGACAAATGGGACCAAAGTGCTTCGGCACAGCAAAAGAAATGATCAACAGAGTAAACAAACAGCCTACAGAATGGGAGAAAACATTTGCAGTCTATGTATCTGACAAAGGACTAATATCCAGAATCTATATGTAACTTAAAGCAGAAAGAAAAAAGATAACCCCATTAAAAAGTGAGCAAAAAACATGAATAGGCATTTCTCAAAATAAGACATACAAGCAGTCAACAAATAGATGAAAAGATGCTCATCATCACTAATCATCAGAGAAATGCAAATTAAAACCACAAAGCGATACCATCTCACACCATTCACAATGGCTACTATTAAAAAGTCAAAAAAAAAAAAAAACAGATGTTGCTGAGGATGGAGCAAAAAAGAACATTTGGTAGAAATGTAAACTAGTTCAGCGTTTACAGCAAGTAGTATAGTATTTCTCAAATAACTAAAACAAACAAACAAACAAACAAAAAAGCTACTATTTGACCCAGCAATTCTACTACTAGGTATCTACCTGGAGGAAAAATGAATCATTTCACCAAAAAGACACTTGCACTCTCATGATATTGCAGCACTCTTTGCAATAGCAAAGTCATGGAATCAACATAAGTGTCCATCAAAAGTGGACTGAATAAAGAAAATGTGGTACATACACACTCTGGAATACAGCATAACTATAAAAAAGAACAAAATCATGTTACTTGCAGCAACATGGATGCAGGGGAGGCCATTATCCTAAGTTAATTTTTGCAGAAACAGAATATCAAATACCGCGTGTCCTCACTTGTAAGTGGGAACTAAACAACGGGTACACGTGGATATAAAGACGGAAACATCAGCACTGGGGACTCCAAAAGCGGGGAGGAAGACAGGAGGGCAAGGTTTGAAAAAACTACCAGTTGGGTATGATGTTTCGTATTTGTGTGGTGAGGTCAATAGAAGACCAGACCCCAGCATTATGTAATATATCCGTTTAACAAATCTGAACATGCATCCCTGAATCTGACGTAATACAAAAATAAAATACAATATTTTTTAAAAATATAAAACTATCTTATTCCAAACCCCTAATCACTTCTTCTGAAAATATGTCTTTTAATTAAAGTCATAAGATGTAATAGCGAATATGAAACATAACCAAAATTATTATTAAAACTTAGTTTGTATAGTAGAGAGAGTCAAGGAAGATGACCAATGAAAATGGGTAGCACAGCGGGCTGTGCTGTTTAAGAGTTGGAAGAGAAGAGAGGCTACTGGTGAAAATAGAGTTGTCTCAGTGAGAGCTATAGTAAGACCCAAGCTCTGTCTCTGGGAAAGAGGTACTTTGCTCCTTCTGGGCTGTTTAATTTACCACAACAAATAGTAGGAGGACCCAATAAAGGCATTCACCTGCTTACTACTGTTTGCCTACATTATAAGGTAACCCCCAATGTATTACAATATAATTAAGTCAGATTCAACAGTAAAGTACATATCTTAATTTCTGAAACAGTGTAAAACTCTGTAGTACTTCTAACTGTGTGGGAAAGAAAGAGAGATCAGACTGTTACTGTGTCTGTGTAGAAAGAAGTAGACGTAAGAGACTCCATTTTGTTCTGTACTAAGAAAAATTCTTCTGCCTTGAGATGCTGTTAATCTGTAACCCTACCCCCAACCCTGTGCTCCCTGAAACATGTGCTGTGTCAACTCAGGGTTAAATGGATTAAGGGCTGTGCAGGATGTGGTTTGTTAAACAAATGCTTGAAGGCAGCATACTTGTTAAGAGTATCACCACTCCCTAATCTCAAGTACCCAGAGCACAATACACTGGAGAAGGCCGCAGGGACCTCTGCCTAGGAAAGCCAGGTACTGTCCAAGGTTTCTCCCATGTGATAGTCTGAAATATGGCCTCGTGGGAAGGGAAAGACCTGACCATCCTCCAGCCCGACCCCCATAAAGGGTCCCTGCTGAGGAGGATTAGTAAAAGAGGAAGGAAGGCCTCTTTGCAGTTGAGATAAGAGGAAGGCATCTGTCTCCTGCTCCTCCCTGGGCAATGGAATGTCTCCCTGTAAAGCCCGATTGTATATTCCATCTACTGAGATAGGGGAAAACTGCCTTAGGGGTGGAGGTGGGAAATGCTGGCAGCAATACTGCTGTTTAAGGCATTGAGATGTTTATGTATATGCACATCAAAAGCACAGCACTTTTTATCTTGTTTATGATGCAGAGACATTTGTTCACATGTTTTCCTGCTGACCTTCTCTCCACTATTACCCTATTGTCCTGCCACATCCCCTCTCCGAGAAACACCCGATAATGATCAATAAATACTAAGGGAACTCAGAGGCCAGTGCCGGCGCGGGACCTCCGTATGCGAACGCCGGTCCCCTGGGCCCATTTTTCTTTCTCTATACTTTGTCTCTGTGTCTCTTTCTTTTCCAAGTCTCTCGTTCCACCTGATGAGAAACGCCCACAGGTGTGGAGGGGCAACCCACCCCTTCACTAACCAGCCAAGTAAATAATGAAACATAAATTATGACTCAGCTTTTGCTTCACTGTAAAAATCCTGCATTTATGGAAACTGGAAGCAAAGCTAACCTAAGCGTGCCATCTAGTGGAATGATCCAGCATGACCACAACAGGTTGTTCGCTCTCCCTGGATTTTTCTTAAAATGATGAAAATAAATTGGAGGGAGTCAGCCATGCAGAAATGGGATGCTCTAGCTAATACTTGGCAATTAAAGAAAGAAGTTTAAGCCTAGAAGTAAAGATGGGAGGGAATGCTAATCATTGTCTCCTTTCTCCCCCACAGAAAAACTCACTACCCAGCCCACAGGCAGAGAAGGGAGTGGAGGCGGCCAGCGGTGTGTCTCAGAAGAGCTGTAAATACTGTGCTGACACAGGGTGAGAAGGACCTTCCCACTGTGCTCACATTCCAGGGTAGGAGGGTCCTCTCATGGTGATGACTCCTGTGAAGGGGAAGATGGGACAAAGAAAGAAGTAGGAGTTGAGGGGGGTTGGGAGGAGTGCAGCTTTCCCTTAAAGAATTTGATAGTGATATAGATATGACTGCAATAATGATAATTTTGAAATGGCAGCTATGGAATATACAAGAGAAAGGAGGGCCTGATTGGAGATTAAACATCTAATAATTGCCCTGGGGCAAGAGTTGGAGGGAAGATTCTGAAACAATGTTTAGAATCCCATTTATACACCAAGCACTCCTGCATGGGGCAGGATTTTGGTAAACCCCAGGTATGTATACCCCAAAGTATGCATGTAACCACAACTTGAGGCCTTATTTACATAAGTGCCTGTATTACTTAAATAAGTTCAATACATCAAAAAATAAGTATGAGGCTTTTGTCAACTCTGTCATTACCTAAACTTGATCCAGATAGCTAAAAACAGAAGTTCTCTCTTGCTACTTTATAAATAGACTTCATAAAGAAATACAGCCCAAACTTTAATGCATACAGATATCCCTATAAAATACTTATTAGAAATGTGGTTTTGCAGGTTCCATCTGTGAGATTTGAGGGTTGATCTGAGGTAGAACTCAAGGATTTGAATTTAAAAAAGCACTCTTTGCTTCAGGTTGCATGTAACCACAATTGGAGAAATGCTTTCTACTAAGCCAAAGGTAAATTGGCACTGCCAATTGCTACTTCACAGAAAGTAAAAATGATGTTGAGAGGAAAGCAAGGAAGTATGGGATCTTGTGCTGCTGTTGTTACCTGGCTGCTCCAAAGAACCATAAGATTATAACCAACTCATCTTGGTTTGCCTGGGATTTTCCTGGTTTATCACTGAAATTCCTGTATCCTGGAAGACCCTTGAGCCCCAAGCAAACTAGGACAGTTGGTCACCTACTGAAGAAACTTCCTTAAAAAAGAGTTTGCACAGTTGTAGCTACCAGAAGAAAGCTCAGCAAAGATTCAAAGTCCTTCTAAAATGATCCAGATTGAGAATACCAGCTGCTGGGGAATCATTATTAGGCATTACATCAAGAGGAGGCATCAAAAATCCAACAGGAGAAGCTACCTTTGCTAACAATAGCGAAGAGGCAGAATTCAGAATTCTTACTGATTGGAGTCATCACAAGATTATATTATATTACATTATTATATTAGATTAGATGGTTTCTCCTGCTAGAAGCAACTTTTATTTTTTTTAACTTTAGCAGTCTTTTATTTCCAAAATGAGTAAATCAATGGACAAAAAAGAAATAGGAAGAAAATGAATTTGGCATAACTCATTACTAGAAAAGCAATGTTCATTTTGAATAATGGGAAACTGAATTTGTGTGAATTTGTGTGACATCATCCAAAGCCTCCAATTTCACCAATGTCATTCCTTTGCATCTGAGTCACACAGTTGGTAGTTTTTCACTTTAACTCTTCCAAAATAAAAGTAAATAAAAATATTCTATTAGGAAACCTGATAAATTTTGAAACCCAAAAGCTCAAGCCAGTTCTATAGACCTTGAATTTTTCAACCTAGCACTAAAATTGTCAGTAATGGATTGGATAGAATACAGGCTTACACAGAAACAAACATGGTTGACTTTTTCCAGACACAGAAAATAAGGTTACCAATGTTATAAAATCTCTAAGTTGTATCTACTTGGAGATACTGTGCTTGATATCAGTGGTCCCGATTTCATTAGGAGAAATCTGATCATCTTTCTGGAATTGAAAACTGGAAATGGCCCAGCTGGATTTCCTTTTAGAAGACACAAGGTTTCTTGAAATGAGCTATCCAAAAGTAAGATATTCCTTTCTTGCACCAGTAAAGACTGAATGAGCCTGAACAGGTGTTGCATAAATGACCACTTGATCACCCAAATGCATGAGCCTCTCTTCTTTCTGGATACAAGGTCAAGCCAAATCATGTTTTCTTGCCTCCCTTTTACTTATGTGTGGCCATGTACTAAATTCTAGCCAAAAGAAAGGAAGCAGAAATGATATGTGCTACTACCAAGATTGGACTATGAAAACCTACTACACATTCTCCTCAATGTATGCTTCACTTCAAGTCTACCAAGATGGTGGCTTACAGGGTATCGAAATCTGCTGAAGATGAGAGAACCTGCATTCACCTGGGAGCCCGAATGACTGTTAAGAAGGTCGCCTGTCCAGTTGATCACTTGACTGGTTTATGTGGGGAAAAATATATTCAGCAAGAGCTGATATGGTTTCAGGAGTATTGCTAGAGAAGTTAGCCTACTTTCACCAATTTGAACAAAAGCCGAAGATAGGCTGCATTATGAAGGCACTGTTTCTAGGGCTTGCTGTAAAAGATGATATCCAGGTAATGAGCATTCGTGAGGGCAGGTGATGCCTTTTGCTATGTGCCATGTCAATGCACAAGACAGACATACTTTCTCTAAGGCAGTCTATTTCCAGCAGAGAGTTTTCTTAAGTGTGAAAAGATATTGCAGTAGACAAGCAAGATTTCTTTTTATTTCTGCTAAAGGTAATAAACATTAAGGTCTCATTTTAAAAAATATAAATAAATTGAATTATAGGTGAAAAGGAATGCATCATGCTGCTACTTAACATTTCTTTGATTTCCCCAAATGGAAATTATGATTAAGCCTAAGTTTTAAGTTATAAGTCATTTGAGACGCTTCTGAATGTTGTCTCCAAATTTGTCTCCATATTTGAAGAACTATGTATTTCTCCAAGGACTCATAAAGTGGAGAGCGGTCAAATGTGCCAACAGCCTAAGAAAAGGAAAACTTTTAAGTGAAGGAAATGTTGCTAATAAGTGGAAAGGTTACGTTTTATTGAGTATACACATTTATGGTCATAGTTTTAAGTTTCGCTTCAAGCAGCATTGCCAAGATTAAAGTTATAATTAAATCCCCATTTTATAAAGATGTCAGTTAGTTTTTTCAGTGATTTTATGATTTAATTAAGGACTAGGACAACTTATTGCAAGCATGAGTAGTTTTAATAGTAAAATATAGTTTAGATTACTAACTTGATGTTCCAGAGGGACTGCTTCCTTGTGAAAGGGTAATTCACTGTAAGACTTCCTTATGTTCAAACCTGTTCTCTCTTCATGCAGTGTATTTTATGACTCAGTTTTGTGGTTTCCACATACAACTATCCTAATAGCAGCTGCTTCCCAACCTCCCCCCACCACACACACACACACACACACACACACACACACACACGTTTTTGTCTTACAGATTTAGTTCTTTACTTGTGGTGAAACTATTAGAATAGAGGCAAAATGCTACATGAATCTACAAAGATATACGTCTTCTAATGAAAATAGTAATTACTTTTTCATAATTTCACAAAATGAATAAGCCTAAACAAACAAGACACATGCAATGACCAGAGGAAAAAAGAGGCAATTCCTAAAACACATGTACAAAGCTTCGTTTACACTGAGCTCCGGCCTTTTTTTGCCTCTTAAGGAAATTTGTTTCAGTGGAGGAGTTGTGAGAGTACTTGTCACATACAGGTATCAGCTTTTTCCTACCACAAAGGAAAGAAAAAGAAAAGAAGCTGATGAACCTGATTAATAATAATTTAGGGTGGCAGACGTAGAAGGGAGTCAGAGATTCATCCAGTGCATTTTTATAATCTAATATTGGACAAAACTAAATACACGTACAGGATCACAAGATGCCTTAACGGAGTCTATATTGGACATACAAAGACTTGATGATTAAAGCTCTTAAAAACAGACATCTGGTAAATCTATGACTGGTAAGTGTGTGTGTGTGTGTGTGTGTGTGTGTGTGTGTGTGTGTGTGTGTGTGTAGAGAGAGAGAGAGGGAGATAGAAAGAGAGCAGAGGGAGAGCGCACACACATACAACAGTCTGTGGCTTGGATGGTCTAGGCACTTGGAGGATATGCAAAGTATGAACCTAAATTTTAAGAACCCTCTACCAAATTGGGAAACAAGACTCATGCAATGAAACAATAAAGTAATACAAGAAAATAAGATGTGATTTAATGGCAAAACAAAACAACATGTTATTGGGGGAAAAATAAAAGAGCACTTCCTATTATATAAAATTTGAAGCTGTTAGTCAGCTCTGCAGTACCTAGTTCTTTGACACTGATAAATTTCCTTAAATTTTCTAAGGTATTAAACTACATGATCTCCAAAATTCCGAATTTCCTTAGATTATCTAAGGTATTGGACTACATGATCTCTGAAATTCCTTACGCCTGGAAATTCTAAGACTTTAATTTTAAAGATAATCAGACTAGGAAGTGAACAAATGTGTCCTCAGAGGGAATAGGACATGAAATGAGCCTCAAAGAAAAAATAGGTTTCACAAAGTGTTCAAGGACAAGGTAGGCATCCAAACATGAAATGAAAAAAAAAAAAAAACCACAAAATATATATCTGATATGATGAATGATGTGGCATGTCCACTTTTCCATGACAAGTCATCTGAGTGGAACACATAATCCATGTCAGAGGCAGTCGCCACATATTAGATCTTGGCATGTTTTGAAAACCAGGGTGAGAATTTGACCATCACATTTAAAAGGTGATAGGAGGAACACAGCTGGAAAATGACAGAGAAAGAACCAAATGTTGAGGAAGAAGTTGAGGTAATGAAATGAAACAGAATTAATAGAGAACCAAAATGATACCACAATGGTCTGGGGATAGTGTTGAAAAGAATAGCCAATCAAATAGTAGGTTTTTGAATAAAAATATAAATGTGTCAAATGAGATAGAGACATACTGGTTCCAAGCTATTCCCAAGTCAAAAGAAAATGGAAATTTAAAGCGGTGCTGTGCTTGCTTACTTCATAAACAAAGAGAAGACTATTGTAATCAGTAGCACCTTTGCTTCCTCCATCCCGTGTCCATATAAAAGCAGTCATTGGCACAACCACTGTTATTGCCAATAGAAGGGAGAAACATAAAATAAAATAAAATAATAATTACATGTAGTTTCTAAATGTTTGCAATTTATGTATTCAAAACTGAATATATTTTTATAACAAAAATTAATTTTAAAAAGGGAGTGTTTAACATAGGCACTGATTAAAATAATGATGTGTATAAGGCAATGCTAGCCATATCATTATGGGTGAGAAGTTTTGTGCTATAGTCAATAATCTGATTTTTTAAATCTTTAAATTTCCCATAGCTTCAGGCATGAAAGGAGGACTTTGTGTGTATCAGCGGAAGAAAGAGAGGGAGGTTCTTGCCGTTACACTGCAGAAATTAACAAAATTTGGCCTACTCAGAGGCAGTTAAGCGAAGAACATCATGATTACTTATAGTTTGTGGAAACAAAAATAAAAGCCACTATGCTATAAAAGAAACAAAATTAATCTGATGCAGAGGAGCAAAGAGAATTTAACACTTCCTGTATGTGAAAAACTGCTAAGCCAAAATTGGTTAGCAGCCGTTGTTTTCTGTAGACAGGAAGCAAGAATTAACTTAAATTGTAGCTTGCTATTAAGTTAAATATAAGGAAGTGTTCATTTACTATGCAAATTATTTCCAAATACAGGAAAGAAATACAAAACATGAGAAAATTATGGAATGAGTTTTCATAGCCATACTAAGAAATGGAAAAGTAAGAAGTAAGTCGCCTTTCTGAGATGTGAATCTGTCAAATGTAAAACATTAGAAGAAAAGCACTTAGAGATTTGGATGAGAAATATTAAATGAGAAGCCTGCATAAGGAAGAGTGACAAAGTATAAAGAATTAGAAATTAATATTAAATACATTATTATATTCAAAATACTTCCCCCTAAGAAATTAAGATAAATGGTTCATGTTTATTTTATCTATTCATTATAAAAATTTTAAACAATGCAGTAAAGAATAACAGTTTTTAAATTAAACACAACAAAACTTAGTTAAGCCACAAACAAATGACACAAACTACCACAATCCAGAAATAACTATTTTTATCATTAGGTAAATATCATTACAAATATATATATATATTATTGACATAATAGATACAATTTTTTTACTCCTAGTGAGGTATAATCGACATACAACAAACTGCACATATTTAAAATGTACAATGTGGTAAATTTGAGACGTGTAAACCCATGAAACCATCACCACAGTCAATATATTGATATATGAGAAAAGTTTTGGGGGTAATAGATATCATTATTTTGATTATGTATTTAACAGACATTAAACATATTTTTAATAAACGTTAATTAACCATTCTAAAAATCCTACAAGTGTGGTGTTATTTTATCCCCACTTAAGAAAACTAAAGCCTAGTTGGGTTAAGTAAACTGCTTAAAGTCACAAAACTAGTAAGTACCAATCTGAACTTGAACCCAGGCATTCTGGAATATAAATAAGCAAATATAATGTCTGTAGGTATATACTTACAGAAATGGTATAGAGATTACAGAATAAATTCTTATAAACAATAACAAAATAAAAAGGAAATTGTGTTTCTAATTTGGTTTATTTAGCAACCCTTAAGGGCTTAAAGGCGAAGATATTACTTAACTCTAATGGAAAGGCCATGTAAGATATTGGCTGGGCATACTGCTACCTTCTGGGAAGCTCTCTGTAAAGGTGAGTTTAACTGTGAGATGGGGACAGTACATCTCAGGTGAGTAACTGTGAGGTGGGGATCTAATTCATAGGGAGAAATTTAAGTGTAAGTCAATGATTTAAATCACTTAAAATTTTGCCTACCCACCCTCCCCGACCCAGGGAACATTGAGCAATGTCTGGAGACATGTTTGGTTGTGACAACTTGGGGACATTTCTGCCATCAAGTGCCAGAAGTAAGGATCTTGCTAAACATCCTGCAATGCACAGGACAGCCCCCTACAAAAAAGAGTTATTTGGCCCCAAATGCCAACGGTAGCACCGTTGAGCAGGTCCTGAATGAGGAGAAGCCATGAGTCAGCCAAAGCCATGGACACAACAAAAGAGAGTAGGGACATTTAGCCTGTAGAGCACTAACAGTAAAAGCCAAAACAGACAGAAGCTTAGCTGACTGTCCACAGTGGCAGAGGTCTTGTATGGAACAACGGAAGCCTACTTTTTAGAAGAAAATGGGTCGTCCAAAGGGAATCAAGTCTCTAGAACTATCCTGAACCGTGACTCATATTGAAGTTCTCCCCAAAACCTGCTGAGACATGTTCCTTTTCCTTACTGACGAACCTGTAAAATAAACTCCTCTTACCTGTTATACAGTAAGTATGCCTCTTTTATATTTTTGTATGCTGAAATATCCTAAAAGAACCTCCAAGTTTAATTATTTATGTATTATAGTCTTATGCTCTTTAGTATTGAATATACATTTAAATACTAATAAAATATTTTACCCAAATCATTTATTCATTTCTCAGAATATATTCAAGTTGGTTCCCATATATATTGTTTTCCTGTACATGGTAAAATTAAACTTATAGTACTGGCATTGATCCTTAAACAGGATATTCAAGAGCTGTTGAGTTAAAATAATTAAGATTATTTAATATGAAGATGGACACAGGTTACTCTGTCAACTACCTGTATTTAAATATTATCAATGACTGAAATTAGAAGAGTCATTTCATAAAACTCTTTATAATTAAAAAATAATATTGTCTTAGAAAATATACATAATATGTATAATTTTTAATGTAAGTTTATAAGAAAGGTTCACACTTTCAATATAGTCTCAATTTTTTAAGTCTTCAATGAAATTTTATGATTTTGGTAGATTAAATGATTAAATAATCTCAATTCTCTCTTTGAGATAGGCCTGTCAAATTCTTCTGTATCTGTTTATAATCATTTATTATAGTGTAATTGTTTCAAATACACCTGAAATTATAATTTAGCATATCATTTGAAGTTACAATTTATTAGTAAATATAACAAAGCCTAATATAGAATGAATTCTCAGTTATAATCTAACACTTACTAAATGTATGAGCATGAGCAAATTATATAATCTCCATAAATCTAAAGATGTATTTTCTATAAAATATGGACAATAGAGCCTATGTTATAGTAGTTGTTAAAAAATTAAGATAATGCATGTAAAGCATAAGATTATGGACAAATGTTATCAATTATTATTGTTGTTTATACTTCTAATATCATGACATCAGAAAAATACTTTTTTTAAGTGAAAAGTTCATTCAATTAAATGACAACAGCTGCAAAGAATACAACTAATTTATTATGTTTTTGTAATTCTATAGATTATTTTAAATTTGAATCATCATATAAATTAGATAACAAAATTCTAAAGTTGAAAATAAGTGACCTAGTTTTAAGTATGACCCCATTTACTTACTGGAAGCTTACAAAATGAAAGACCAGCAAGAACTAATTCTGACAATGTTTCTTTTTAGTCTGACAGCGGGAAAGAACTTGAGCCACAAAAGTACAATTTTCAATGATAGTAGAAGTCAAATTCAATTTCCATATGACAGATAAAGATTAAAAGGTGGTTGTCTCTAAAAATTAAAATTTAGTGTTTAGTGCAAAATACAGTGTTTATGAAGGCAATTGCTCCAAACACTGTGACAGATGTATAAAGCACTGATACTGATTTCTACACCCAAGTCAGAGAATAAATACCAATTGCTACAAAGAGAAGACAATGAAAAACACTAATTGTCATAGCAATGACAGCCCATGGGCTGAGCTGGACTTGCCATTTTAGAAAAATAAGTGAAAATCTGAGTAATATTAAGGTGCCAGCAGGGACCCAGGGACCATAGATAGAGCTCTAAAACTATCCAACGGAAATGTTAGGGGCAGGGGTTTAGGGAGACATCTATGTGAGTTTAGAAATAATTTAAGAGTTATAGAATAGAAAGAAGTAAGGCCAGGCGCGGTAGCTCATGCCTGTAATCCCAGCACTTTGGGAGGCTGAGGCGGGTGGATCATGAGGTCAGGAGATCGAGACCATCCTGGCTAACACGGTGAAACCCCGTCTCTACTAAAAATATAAAAAAATTAGCCGGGCATGGTGGCAGGCGCCTGTAGTCCCAGCTACTCGGGAGGCTGAGGCAGGAGAATGGTGTGAATCTGGGAGGTGGAGCTTGCAGTGAGCCTAGATCGCGCCATTGAACTCCAGCCTGGCAGCCTGGGCAACACAGCGAGACTCCATCTTGGGAAAAAAAAAAAAAACAAAGAAAGAAAGAAAGAAAAATAAGTAAAGAAGACTTGTCATTTATGTATGACTCCATTGCTTTTTTAGGATTCCTTTTTTTGTGACCTATAGAAACACACACACAAATATACACAAATGAAAAAGAATTTTCTATGATTTTAGCCAGAGAAAAACTGTGGCAAAGTGAGTCATTAAATTACTTTCATTTGGCGAGACAGAAAGAAACTCCAGCTATTAAGTTTTTGGACTGTTATTCCAGTGTGCTACAGCTAAGTGACTGTTTTTTTTGTTTGTTTTTTTTTAAGAGCTCAGTTTCTTCTTAGTGAAAGAAGATTGTTCAGTGTGTTCAAAGTAATTGTCAGGCAATTATGTTATTTAAAATCTTTCAGAAGGTGCTTTCCTGAACAATTTAACGATTTAGGAAAAAAATCTAATTTCAAACTCCAGATTAAATTGTTAAAGTTCTAAAATATTCCAATCAGATCTGGAAGGATAGTCTTATTCTTTTCTATTTTCAATAGAGATATTTTAAGGAAGGTGTATTCTGTACCGTGATCTCCCTATATTCTAAAATGAATTGACCTGACACTTGTCAAGTTAGGGCCAAGCTCAAACCCCAGAGCCTCTTTGTATTTCTGTATTTAAAGATGTAACAGTGTAAGAATATGTGTTATAAATGTAACTGACTACCCAGAGGGAAAGTACCTTGAATATTTTCAATGAGAAAAAAACTATTTTTCTCTTTCTTTTTATCTAGTACTTGTTTTTAATTTGTACTTCATTGAATAATTGTTTCAACCATTCAAGTATTTTTTTAGCTACTCAAAATTCATGACTTTAATATTTTATATTCTAGTCAAGGATGGAAAAAAACATAAACACAATGCAAAATAAAAACACTTTTTAAGCAATATGCTGAAATACACTTAACTACGAAGTGTAATATTAACTGTAAAGATGGAGCAATTAAGTCTTCCTAGTGGAAGAAATGGTGTCTTAGAAAAGATTCATTTGATCTTGATCTGGTTTTAAAAACTAGTCATTCCCACTTACAAGTAGAAGGCGAACAATGAGAACACATGGATACAGGGAGGGGAACAACACACACTGGGGCCTGTTGGCAGGGGAGGAGGGGTGGGGGAGAGCATCAGGAAAAACAGCTAATGCATTCTGGACATAATACCCAGGTGATGGGTTAACAGGTGCAGCAAACCACCGTGGCACACGTTTACCTGTGTAACAAACCTGTGCATCCTGCACATGTGGCCCACAATTTAAAATTTTTATTAAAAGGCGGGAGAAACATATTTAATGCAATAAAGCTAGTTTAATTCTTGGGTTCATGCCAAAACACTTATTGATTTATTTCCTTCAGGCAAGCATTGTTCTTGGCATGGAGATAAAACTATGAACAAAATAGAGTTCCAATTTTAAATAAGTTATATTCTGTTGGTGAAAAACAAGGAACAAAGAAATAAATAGGGAATGTGTTAGGTAGTGAAAAGTGCCACAAAATGACACGAAATAAAATCAAACAGGTAACAGGATAGAGCATATCATAGGTAGGATTGCTATTTAGGCAGAGAGGTCAAGGAAAGCCTTTCAAACTGGCCTTTGAGAAGATGCCTAAAGAAAGTGAGATCAACTCATGTGAAGATAGTATATGTGGGAAGTGCATTCAAGAAAGAGAAGGGTAAGAACAAAGACCCTGAGGTCTTTGTGGACATCTTTGAGGAACAGGTAGTACAAAATAACGAAAACAATGTCTAAGTTTAGTTTTGGCTGCAGAGTGGTTAAGGTAGGCTGGAGGTAAGGATAGTAAAGTACATTTCAGATAAGTTGTGTATCATGTCCTAATTTTACTTATGAAAGGAATATGATCTTTGTCGTACAAAGAAAACTAGTGGCAATATAATCAATCTCATTGGTTATAAAATATTCAGTGGAGTACCTAAGTGAGCATACTCTAGAGACAGAATGCCTACATTAAACTTCAAAAGGCACCATGCAATCTTGGACAAATTTACCTCACTTGTATGCCAACATTTTCTCTCTATAACATCACTGAAATGAGGTATCTGCAGGATTGTTGTGCATGTAAAGGCTTGATATGAAACCTGACATCTGTTAGATAAGCAAAAACAAAAGAAGAAATTCTCCATTATCTTACCACAAAATGCTGAAATGGGAGAGTTCCCATTATCCCCTTCTCAGGGCATGCAACATGGGTGTGGTTTGCTTCTTCAGTGCCCCACTGCTCAAACCCATAAAGGAAGCATGCAGACGGGCAGGTCCTGGGGAGCATTTCTGGACTCCCACCCCATGGCAGCATCTAGGGTTGAGTGTTTATAGCTCCTGAAGCCCTAGTGGGTGTGTGTTACAGTGTGCTCTTTCAGTTTTGCCATCTGCAGGTGGCTTGTGTTAATCAGCTCAGATAGACCCTCTGCCTTATCACAAGGACAGAGGGCTTTCTGTATCCTGGGTTCTTGCCCTAGTGTACCAGAAGCATCGGATCAGACGTGGGTTTGGAGGATGAGCGCAAAGTTTTATGGAATGGTGGAGGTAGCTCTTAGCAAGATGGATGGGGAGCCAGAAAGGGGATGGAAAGGGAAGGTGGTCTTCCCTGGAGTTGGGCTGCCCAGCAGCCAGACTCCCCTCCAACTGCCCCTGGCCAAAGTTTCCTTGGCATCCACGTCACTCCACCATCTCTGGCCTGCCACTGTCTGCTGGTGTCTGTCAGTGTCTTCTTCTGCTTCTACTGATATCCAGCCACTTGGGTCTGTGCCCCAGGTTTTTATGAGCACAAGGTTGGGGGGTGGGGGGTGGTGGGCCAAAAGACAACTTTTGGGGCACGAAAACAGAAATTCCTGTCCTCATTTAAATCCATGGACACAGGCCTGAGGGTGGAGCCCTCACCAGGTACCCCACCCTTCTCTACCCAGCACTTCCCTGCCCGCCTCCCGTATCAGTGCCAAATGCTGGATGAATTTCAAGAACATGAGAAAGTAGATGGTATCAAATGCTACAAAATACTAATAATTAAAATTGGTCTTTAGGACTTATAGAGTTAATATAAACACAAGAGTAAAAGAAAACAGGTTGCATGTGTTGAAACCACATATTTCAGAAACAGAAATATTTAGGAGGTAAGAATGGCTGAAAGTTGGTGGTGTGATTTTCATTTAATCTTTTCCCTGGATACTTGAGGTAAGAGGGGAAGGCACCTGAGAGTCAAAGAGATAAATTGGGAAGGTGGAAGGCATACAAAGTTGTAAGAGGCAGACCAGAAAGGAGTCAGGTTTATAAATGAGTTATGGAAAGCTGTGTAAGCACAACAAAATGCTGACATTCTCCTGCATTAAGACCCATCTCAGCCCACCATCTCATCTAAAAGTTCTAGACATCCATTTCCAAGACATCTTAAAAATAATGCAATCTTTTACTGATTATTTCTTGCAGAAGACACAAAATGAAATTAAATCACATAGTACATGTCAAAAACTACTCTTTAAGTTATTACTTCCTTTCCAAAAGTTTTATACTCTTCATGTACTCTCAAATCTACCCTATCTCAGCACACATTCTTAGGTCACACTGAATCTACATTTTACCTCTCCTCTCACTGGAATTTTCCCCCTGTATGATTCACATGTTGATGTAGACCTATCAAGCCATTCCCCAGGGTTCTATTATTTCTATCCACCACTCAATATAGCAAAGGAAGAGATTCTTCCATCAGACCCACCCTCCACAGACAGCAGAGGAGATAAATAATATAAATGCTTATAATTTAAAGCTATTGCCTCTCTGAGAAAGAAAAGTTGTATCAGAAGATTGCACAGAGACAATATCTTTGGAGGAAACAGAAGACAAATGCACTATAATTAAAATACTGTTTTTAGGTTTATCTTGTACCATTCATGAGTATTTCAGATTATGAGATTATGTTTTCTTTGACTTGTTTAGTATGAAACATGCAATTAATGCCTTAACCTCCCTTTTAAAATCAATTCTTAGAAACTAAGTAAACACAAATTATAACTTACAGTGATAGCATTTTGATTTTAGATCTTTGGTGACATTTACTTTGCAGGCCGTTGAAGACACTTATCTGAGTTTCACCTTAATCTATTAGACTGGAATGCCACAAAGGGGTCAGAAAAATAAAAGAGAATCATTTTATAAAGCTATTATACATTTTAAAATAGCATGAAAATCATTTGTGAAATGAAAAACAAGAGGTAACTGTCTTCTCTTCTTTCCATAAATGAATTGTAATCAAACCCCTTTGCCTGAAATTGCTCAATATACTTGCATTATCACAGTATTCAAGGCAGTAACTGTGGCACTAGGATTGTTAAAAATCTACTAATTCAATTTTTTTTTCTAAAAGCTTCCCCCATGTTGAGGTTTCTGCCAGTTTCTTATATTATATTGCTATTCATTTGCTAATCTTTAAAAAAATAATTTGACTTCCTTAGGAAAAGAAACAGTAAGTAGGCTACCAGTAAGTAGCACTGCACTATTAGCAGCAATACTGTTTAATTTCACATGTTCCATATTCGAATTGAGATAGAAGGTGACATCTGAGAGTTGTACAGTTGCTGTCAAGAAAAGGCTGAAATGCATTTCTCTCTAAATGTATTATAAAAATACACATAATTATGAATTCTCATGAAATGCTGGAAAATAACAGCCCTCTGTTGGAAGAGGAAGCATAATAACCAATATGTCTCTATTTATTTTTGCTCCAACATGAGGGTAAGGGGTTTCTTTGACAGTCAGTGATTTTCAAGCAGGTTTAAGAGATAGAACTCTTGGTGATAGGTAGAAGGGTGAGGATAGAAACCAACAACTTTCTTATTTTCTGAATCTCTGCTCTCTCAATTTTAATCTGACCAGATATTTGGATACTGATAAATTTTTGCATTCAGCCTAGTCCCATAAATCATAGTGCCTTACAGAGTCCACAAAATTTCCCTACCCAAATTAAAGTGCTCTTAATTTATTACAGCAAAACATTGTGTCCATTCTTTATTACATTTGTCGAGTGTTTTTCTTGTTTATATCTACCCTTCCTTTCCTTATATCATTCCTCAATGCTTTCACTGTTAAAGCCAAGTGGAATGTAAAACAAGTTAACTGAATTTAATTAATGCAAAGGAAATGGCTATCCTAGCAAGAGAAACAAAGTAAAAGCTTCCAGAATTCCCTTCACTAGTGAATGAGACTTTCATGGACGTAGGTAGAAGCTAGGAAGCATGAAGAAAGAGAGGAATACATTCATAGATAAATTGCTTGGAAATAATTTTTAAAGTATTAAATTATTTAAATAAATTTGTTTTAAACCTATTTATAATTCTAATGGTAGAAATTGCTCATTTCTGAAATCCCAATTTGGAAAATACAGCAAAAGCTAAAATGTCTGGAATGAGTAGAGATTTAGATATATTAAATAATAGAATATATATAAATTATAATATTCAAATAATCGGAATATTGCATCATATTTACTATTAAAACTTAACTTGAATGTGTACATTATTGTTAGATAAAAGGATTTTATGGTCTTTCCATTTTGTAGATTATTTCCATTTTGTAGATTATTGGTCATTTACAAAATCAAAGCAAACTTTCTTACACATAACATCAGATCATATTTACTTGAGATGAAAAATATGTGAAATACACAAAAGCCTAAAATCTTAGAATTAGTGGGAGCCTGAACTTCCATCTAGTCTAAACCTTTTATTTTATAGACGAAAAGTGTTCTAAGAATTGGTAGTCAAATTCAAAAATCAGTTAAAGTCAGAACATAAAGTCAGAAGAAAGTTGTGATTGGGAGATTAAAAAAATTGAGTTAGTAATCACGAACCAGTCTGAAGATTGTAATTAGGTGTACCGTGAAAGCAATAGGTAACAATGTGACAAGGACAAGAACTTCCAGTCCAGCCTGGATGTGTATCTCAGCCCTATCAGATTTTAACTTTGTGAGTTTGGGTAAGTAGTATTTTGAATGTTGGTCTTAATTATCAGCATATTTTCTATAGCTTGTTATATGTCAAAAATATGGGGAAAATTAAGAAAAAAATACGTTATGTAGTAAATGAGACCATTTTTACCCTAATTTCTTTTGTTTGAAAATTATCAGACCTATAAGAAATTTGAAAGAACTCCTACATGGCTTTAATTTAGATTCATCAGTTGTTAATCATTTGCTTCATTGATAAATATAGTTGCATATGAGATATAACTATAGATATTGAGTATTCACATAGATATAGTCATAGAAATAGAGGTAGGCATAAATATAGATACAGATTTGTCTTCTTTTCCAGAAAAATATTGAGAGTAAATTGCAGATACGATGATACTATACTCCTTATTACTTAAGCATCATAATACTTTCTATATTGTCTCATAATGACACAATATTCTCCTACATAATCACAATAACATTATCACACTGAAGAAATATAATATTAATGCAATAATAATCATCTTATATAAGAAATCTTCCCAAGTATCTCAACAATTTAGATTATAGCTGCTTTTTTCCCTCTAAATGATGATCAAAAAATTAAATATTATATCTAATTGTCTTGTTTCTTTAGTTCCTTTAATCTAAAACAGCTCTTACTTTATATTTTATGACATTCACACTGTAGACTCTAGGCCAGTTGCATTATAGACTACCTTGTAGATTTGTTTGTATTTTCATGATTAGATTCAGATTAAATATTTATGTCAACAATACTATATTTTAGATAATGTTGTATCCTTCCCATGGTATCATATCAGGGGAAATATAATTTAAGCTTATGCCATTACTGATTATGCTAATCTTAAACACTTGGCAAAGATGATGTTCACTAGATTTCTCCACTGTAGAGGTACATACCTCTTCCCGTTTTAAATTCATATGTAATCTATAGTGATACTTGTGATCAGTTGAGCATTAAGTTCCCAGACAACTTTTTACTCAATGGTTTTAGTATGCACTGATAATCTTTGTCTGAATCAGTTATTACAATTTTGGTTACAAAATGATGATGCTTAGTAATTTATACATTTATTTGTTTGATTATTTGTTTTAATTTCTAAAAGATATCCAGCTCATTATCAAAGTTATACTAGATATATGTAAGGAACTAAATACACTTTGTGTCTGACTTGGTTAGAACATAACAATAAAAGTGAAAAAAATGAGAAAAACTATGAACTTGGTATTCAAATAGAATATTTTAAATGTGTTTTTTATGGTCATTTACAAAATCAAAGCAAACTTTCTTACACAGCCATTCTCTTACCTTTTGGTAAAATGCTGTGGAACTCCTAACGCAAATTCAGTGAACCCGATTTAAAAAACAATAGTCTAAACTAGTAATTTGACTTCCTCACAGAGTAGAACAGTGGTTACTAGAGACTGAAGAGGTGAAGGAGGTAGGGAAGATGGGGACAGGTTGGTCAATGGCTACAAAGATACAATCAGAAAAGAGGAATAAATTCTGGCATTCTACTGCATCAGACCTGTGCCAGCCTTTTTGGCACCAGAGACAGGTTTCATGGAAGACAATTTTTCCATGGACCAGTGGTGTGGGTCATGGTGGTTTTGGGATGACACTGTTCCAACTTATATCATCAGGCATTAATTAGATTCTAATAAGAATAATAAGGGGTGCAGAACCTAGATCCCTCGCATACGCAGTTCACGATAGGGTTCTCTCTCCTATGAGAACCTAAAGCCGCTGCTGATCTGACAGAAGGTGGAGCTCAGGCAGTAATGCTCACTGGTGGCTCACCTCCCCTCCTACTGTTCCAGTTCCTAACAGGCCACAGACCCATAGGGGTCCAGGACCCAGGGGTTAGAGACCACTGTTCTATTGCACAGTAGGGTCAGGATAGTTAAGAGTAAGGTATTATACATTACAAAATAGCTGGAAAATAGGCTTTCGAATGTTCTCACCACAGAGAAATGATAAATGCATGAAATGAGGGTTATGCTGGATAACTTGATTTTATCATTATACAACATATATGTGTGTTGAAACATCAAACTATACCTCATAAAGATGTGCAATTATAATGTGTACATTTTTAAAAAAGATAAACTGTTTTCTTGAAGAAAATTATACCTCTTAAATTATAAACAAAACAAAAATAATAATCTGGATTATAAACAGCTACTGCATACTTATTTTTTATTGCTATAATTTCCAGTTTTATTATTCCTTAAATATTAATAGGATGTAAGTTTAATGGGGCAATACGTTTCCTCAGGACAGTGATATTGATTTATATAATTTATTTGGTTTCCCACTGGGCCTGATATCATTATGCATATATAGATAATGTATTTCAAAATTTTTGAAGAATGAATGAGTAAATTAATGAATTCCAGCTGCCCACCTCCCTGCACCTCTATTCCCTGGTAACCACCTTTCTACTCTGTGTTTCTAAGACTTTTTTTAGATTCTGCATATAAGTGAAAACATAGGTTTTTAATATTTTCAGCAAAGAAAATAATAATAAGTTGGTGATATGATGGATGTATTAATTAACTTGATATAGTCTTTCTGCAAAGTATACATAGATTAAAACATTACATTGTATTCTATAAATATACACAATTATTATTCATCAATTAAAAAAAAGAAGCAGAATAGCCAAACAATACTGAATAAAAAGAATAAAGCAGAAGGCATCAGATTACCTGAGTTCAAATTATACTGCAAAACTACAGTAATCAAACAGCATGGTACTATCATAAAAACAGACACATAGGCCAATGGAATGGAACAGAAAACCCAGAAATACATCCAAGAATTTACAGTCAATTGATTTTTTTTTACAAAGGTGCCAAGAACACACATTGGGGAAAGGATAATTTCTTCAATAAATGGTGCTTGGAAAAGTAGAGGGACATATGCAGAAGAGTGAAACTAGACTCCTATCTCTCACCACATACAAAAATCAAATCAACATGGTCAGATTTCAGGTCTTCAATATAAGATCTGAAACAATGAAAGTAGTAGAAGATAACATTGGGGAAATGCTTCAGGACATTGGTCTGGGAAAAATTTCTTGAGTGCAACCTCAAAAGCACAGGCAACCAAAGGAAAAAATGAACAAATGAGATCACATCAAGCTAAAAATCTTTAGAACAGCAAAGGAAACAACAACGTGAAGAGACAACCTATAGAATAGGAGAAAATATAAGCCAACTATTCAATTGACAAGGGGTTAATAAACAGTCTATAGAGTCAAGTGAGGTGGCTCACTCCTGTAGTTCCAGCTACTCTGGTGGCTGAGGTGGGAGGATTTCTTGAGCCCAGGAGTCCAAGGCAGCAGTGAGCTATGATCATGCCACTGCATTCCGGCCTGGGAGACAATGACCTTATCTCTAAATAAATAAATAAATGTATTTTTTAAAAAAACAGAATATATAAGGAACTCAAACAACTTGATAACAGCAAAATAAATAATTATATTTTTAAAATGGGCAAAAAATCTGAATAGGCATTTCACAAAAGAAGGTCTACAAATGACCAACAGGTATGTGAGAAAATACTCAACATCACTAATCATCAGAGAAATGCAAAGGAAAACCGCAGTGAGATATCATCTCACCTCAGTCAAAATGGCTTTCATCAAAAAGACACACACACAAAAAAAAAAAAAAAAAAAATGTTAATGAGGATGCAGAGAAAGGTAAATGCTAATACACTATTGGTGGAAATGTAAATTAGTACTGCCACTATGGGAAACAGTATGCAGGTTACGTTGAAAGCTAAAACTAGAGCTACCATAAGATCCAGAAATCTCATGTCCAAGCAAATGTCCTAAAGAAAGGAAATTGGTATTTTGAAGAGGTGTTTGCACTCCCACGTTTATCACAGCACTATTCACAATAGACAAGATACATAGAGAAAATGTAGTACGTATATACTATGGGATATTCAGTCATTTAAAAAAAGAATGAAATCTTCTTATTTCCAGCATGGATAGAACTGTAGGACGTTATGTTAAGCGAAATAAGCCAGGCACAAAGAGACATGTATTTCATGTGCTCATTCATATGTGGTAGCTAAAAAACATTGATCTCATGGAGGTAGAGAGTGAATGATGGTTACCAGAGACTGGGAAGGAGAGTGGGGAGGAGTGGGGAATTTGGGAATAGTTAATGGTTAGAAAAATACAATTAGATAGAAAGAATAAGATGTAGTGTTCAGTAGCACAATAGGGCAACTATAGTTAACAAGAATTTATTGTATATTTCAAAATAACTAAAGAAGCGGATGTAGTTGTCTTCAATACAAAGAAATGACAAATGCTAAGATGATGGATATCCCAATTGCTGACCTGATCATTACAGTGTGTGCTTACATCAATATATCACATGTGCTTCATGCCTATGTACAAATATTATGTATTCAGAAATATTAAAACAAAAAATGTAAAAGTAAATAAATATATTTATTTTTTAAAAAAGAATTAAATTTCTTTAGGATACAGGGAAATGTACTATACTACCATTTTTTACAATTTTTAAAAATATACCTGTATATTATTACCCACAAGATGGTGCTATTTTCCCAGCAGCGAGACCAAAAATAGTCGTGTGGTTTATATGTACAGCTATAAAATTCAGTACATATGACTGAGGGAAAATATTTTCCTATTTGAACTGGAAACACAATTTTTTTCTATTACTGTTCTAAATGTCTGTCTTCCTCCGTAAACTTTTTTTAGAATGTAAATCTATTTCCTAATACTTCAGTTTCACAACCAACTAAGGGCTCAATGTCTCCACATAAATGCCTAACAGTTTTCTCAGATTCAACACATCCAAGATTAAGCTTCTGATCTTCTTCATCACTCTCACCCAAATCTATTTCATCAACAGTTTTCATGTCTCATTGGATAAAAACTGCATCTTTCCCACTACTTGGGCCCAAAAGTGCTGGAGTCATCATTCACTTCTCTGTTTTATCAATTTGTTCTTTTTTTGTTGTTGTTCTCACATTTCTCTTGCTATCTCTGTCTGCCTCTCTCTCCATATCCAATATGTCGGAAAGTCATGTTGACTCTATCTTCAAAGTATTCCCAGAATCTAACCACTTCTTCTCACCCCTACTGCTGTTATCTTCTTTTTAGCCACCATTACCTCCCTACTGACCTCTTCATTTCAGCCCCTGTTTTCCTGCAGTGTATTCTTAACCTAGTAAGTAGTGGGTCTTTTTAAATCACCACTCAGATCATGTCCCTGACCTGCTCAAAACATGAAAATGTTCCTGTTTCACTCAGAGTGAATGTCTAAGTTCTGGTTCCCTACTACCCTTCTGGCCTCAACTCCTACCATTCCCCACTTCTCTTATTCACCCCAAACCACACCCCAAGTCTTTTCTGCAGACAAAGCAGATACACAACTCTGCTCTAGTTCTTTACTTTGTTTTACTTGGAATGCTGTTCCCCAGAGTACTACTTGGCTGCTGCCACACCATCTTCAAGTCTTTCCTCAAATGGTGCCTTCTCAATGAGTCCTACCTAGCCTGCCCCACCTACATCTTCATCATCTCCATGCTACCTCTTTCCTAGCACCCTGTACAGATTACTTACTTATAATTGTTAATGCCTGCCTTCCTCACTCCATGAGAGAAGAGGTTCTGTTTGTTTATTTGATTTCAACCAAAGTTCTGAAATAATAAACTAGTAGATGCTCAATAAATACTTATTGAATGAATAAGTTATACTCTAAGCATTAATAGTGTTCAGTCAAAAGAGATGAGAAGTTTTTCCTTATAGAAATATGAAAAAGAAAACTAAAGAAGATATCAATTATATTACATACATGGTATCAATTTTAATTCAAAAGATATTTATTTACAACCCATAATATAAAACATATTTTCAATAAATGGCTACCAATAAGCAAAATAAATATCTCTAAAGTTTGCCAAAGCTCACTTGGCATTACATGCTATAAGTTGATATAACCCCTCCTTCTGGAAAAGATAATAGGAGCTAAATTAGGACGATGCAGTGAGCCAGACTGGGTTTCCTAGAGTATGTATTTCCATAACACAAATGCATTTGTTGCATAAAGGCATAGACATTTTTATATTTCACTTTAGCTTTTGGTTTGATGTGATTATGTTTTAATATGGCTTTCATGCCTAGTCTGTATATGTGTAACTGTGGTGGAATCAGATGTCGCTAAGTGTCCATTTCTCTGATTCAGTAAGACATCCCTGTGAGAAGTCAATCCAAGGTAAGTAGTTTTTAACAATTACATTGAATTGGGGTCAGGGATTTCCAAACCAAAACAACTTTTGGTCACATTCAATTCTGTCATAGTCTTTTGGATATAATTTGAGGCTAAAACTATATGTTCTACCAATTCGATGATTTTTCTTAGTTTTACTCACTACTTTAGCTAAACACACTTGTTTTTCGCCAGTTATTTGACTAAATTGAAAAATAAGTATTTAGTAAGCTCTAAAATTAGTTAAACTGTCAAAGCTGGTTATGTAGACTCAATGAAATTTATAAAAACCCATGTTCCCATTTCTAAGAATAGTCTCTTAGGCTCCCATACAGAGGAACTTTGATTGCAACCCTGTCCCTTCATTGCCATAATCATGGTCACAGCTTTATTATTATCATGCTTTATTTCAAACAATTTTTCAAAAGCAGAATGACTGAATAATTTTATCAAGTATTTGTAGTTCATATTTTATGCATTTGTCAAGTTTTTAACTGTAAAAGTTATATAAAGAAGTACAAAATCCTTTTTAAAAATTGCTTAATTTATGTTTTCTAATGACTTAGGCTGACAGTTTATGCTTCACATTTCAAATTCATTGGGGGAGCGGGGAGAAGGAAGGAAAGAAGAAAGAAAGAAGGAAGGGAGGGAGGGAGGCTAGATTTTATATAATTTAGATATATTACCATCAGATGGTGTTCAGAACTCACATAATAAAGTTAATTCAAGGCATTCTGCCTTTTAGATAATATTCTCTGATCAAGCCCTTTTGCTTTTTCAGAATAAACTTTCTACTTGTTTATTGTCACATTTATAATTTCTCATTCAAAATCCTGAGATAAACGCTGAGCATGGTGGCACACTCCTGTAATCTCGGCACTTTGGGGGGCCAAGGCACTAGGGAGGCTGAGCCAGGAGAATCACTTGAACCTGAGGGGCAGAGGTTGCAATGAGCCAAGATCGTGCCACTTCACTCCAGCCTAGGCAACAGAGTGAGACTCCGTCTAAAAAAACAAAACAAAACAAAAAATCCTGAAATGTTCCCTAGTATAAAAATTTTACTTAGTGATAAATTGTTTTAGGTCTCACTACATCTGCTTTGTTTCACTTTTCTTTGTATAATAGAAGGCTTTCAAGACTCCTGCATTATGCAGGGCCATATGACAAGTATTGGCCAAATGGCTGTGCACAGAGTGGCACTTGTCATGTCCAATCCACAGCATTGGAGAATGAGTGTGAGTTCCCTGGCCTTGTCTCTTTCCTTCTTGCAGCTGCCCTGGAAGCCGTGCTTTGAGGTGGTGTGTCCCAGTATTGAGGAACGTCAGTCAGCTGGGGTCCCTGAGTAATCTCCCAGAGCAGTGATTTCCACTGAGCTCACAAGACAACTGCTAACATGTGGGAGGTTAATGTTTAATGCAGCATAGTCTAGCATATCCTGACTAATTAAACCAGTAAAGTAAATAATTGTAAAGTTGTGTTTCATTTTTTAAAAACTCAAGGTAAAATTTGCTACTTGATCACTGTTTATCCTGTGGCTACTAATATATTTCGCATATTCTAAACATTTTAGTACAATAATCCCACTTGAAGCAGGCACCCTGATGTTAACTACGTAAGGAATAATTTCACAGCAGCTTCTATTTGCCAAGTAACAGGATAGGATTGGGAGAACAAACAGGCATCGGGTCCTACTCCAACCAGGTTTAGAATCTGTGGGGGAGAGAGCTAATAGAGAAAAAGCATATCAATCCAATCAGGACAAATTCCCTGGAGGAAGAGAGTGGAAGGCAGTGATGGGTGTGACCGTATCTGGGAACACAGGGAGGGCTGGAAAGAGGGAGCTGGGTAAAAGCTGATACTTGATGTTTGAGGCTGGGATGAAGAGTCATGATAGAACATTTAACCTTTGCTACCTTAATCACCATCTTCATAAAGAAATATATCTACAATCACATCACTGTCTGGATCATAACAAAACAGATACATTTGTAGCCAACATTATAGTTACCAACAACTTGATCCAGGGAATGAGTATTTCAATTTAACATTTTAGGTAGGGGGAAGAAAGCTTTTTTTTTTTCTTATAAATTGAAGTCTAAAGTTGGAAACAAGCATGAACACAGAAAATTAATTCTCTCCCATGACATAAAAAAAATCCAAGAAACTGCACATTTGGCAGGAAAATTCTAAACAGCCTTCAGGTGCCAATATCAGAACAATCTTACACTATGTAGAAAATTGTTAGTTAATCCTTCTCCAAAAATTTTATTTTGTAAAATGAAAGCAAGTTCTATGTTTTAGCTATAGTAAAAGAGTATGTAGTTCTCTCAAATTGCTGGATGATGTGAATTTCAAACAAATTATTTCAAACAGATTTAAACTACAATGTTCCTAATACATGATTTAATCTTTTGCATATATAGAGTGATTTAGGCTTTTGAAAGCATTTTCATATACATTATGTCATTTGATCCTAAATGGTGAAATGTACATAATCATATTTAAAAATACAATACTTACGACAACTCTACCACCCTCAAAATTAAATGTGAATTGAAAATAAACTTAGTCTCTCTGAAGCCAGAGTAAGTAAAATAAAATCAGATTTAAGATACTATTAAATGGCAAAAGACAATGTACAAATCAAAAAATAAGAAATGGAAAGAACCATCACAGATGAGATAGTTCAAATTTCCCAATTGTAGTAATGATCATAATAACTTCATACAGTTTATAAGGCATATTTTAAAATATGCTTGGGACATTTAGATCACAGATCATAAATGGTACATTGACAGGAGACAATCTTCTATCACAGCTTGCCTTTCAGCAACAAATGGCACTTTATAATAAGGCTTTCTCCCTTTTGTCCCTAAACAGTCATCTAAATGCATTGAAACCTATAAGCCTTTAAATAAAAACAGGACGATACAACAGTATTTTACATTTAGGTCCAGATATTATTTCTACCAGCAAGTCTTGCTAAGATTTCACTGAAATAGTTCTCTTAAAACTGATCACTCTGTTTCTACTCTTGATCCTTTCATTCTATTTTCAACGTAGCAGTTGTACGGATTCTGTTAAAGCTTTATTCAGGTAATTCAAGGTCAAACAAGATATGTCACCTCTCTCCATCCCTGACATCTACTACTCTGTCTATCTCACTTCCCTCTAATCATGGGGACTTCATTGCCATTCCCCTGATGTGCCTTAAGGCCCAGATTGGATATATTATTCGTGGGGCCCAGTACAAAAAGCAAAATGCAAGTTTTACTGTTCAAAAATTTAAAAAAATTTCAAGATGGCAAGGGTCTTGTGCAAGATCTTGTGCATCAGCACAGGGTGCACACTTAGGAAACCAACCTGCTTAAAGTATTGAACTGTTTTGTGCTTTCTGCCTGAACACTTTCCCTAGGTACCTCCTAGATACCTGTGTGCTAAACTAGTCATTACTCTTTTTTTTTCTTCCATTATACTTCCCAAACTTCAGTTCTTTCATTAAATACCACATCTCAGGCCTTTCTACCCACCTTATTTAAATTTATAATCTCTATTCATGCACACCTAACCCCTATCCTCTATATTTTTGTTCATAGCATATATTGCTATCTATTACTTTTTTTTTTTTTTTTTTGAGACGGAGTCTCGCACTGTCGCCCAGGCTGGAGTGCAGTAGCGCGATCTCGGCTCACTGCAAGCTCCGCCTCCTGGGTTCACACCATTCTCCTGTCTCAGCCTCCCGAGTAGCTGGGACTACAGGTGCCTGCCACCACGCCCAGCTAATTGTTTGTACTTTTAGTAGAGATGGGGTTTCACCGTGTTAGCCAGCATGGTCTCGATCTCCTGTCCTCGTGATCTGCCCGCCTCGGCCTCCCAAAGTGCTGGGATTACAGGCGTGAGCCACCGCGCCCGGTCTATTACATTTATATTTTACTTACTCAATCTAATTTTTGCCTTCTCCCATCAGAATACCAGTTTCAAGAGAGAAGGTGGTTATATCTAATTTTTACTGCACTTAAAATATTCCCTGCGTTTAAAGTAGTAATACTCAATAAAGGTGTTGAATGAATGAATGAATGAAAATATGATTGGCTTTCAGCAATAAAATGCTAAAGACCTGTGCATCAACAACCCATGGGCTGAATGCTGGTCCGTCTCATGCAGGAAGATTCCCAGGGTTTACTTTGGATCAAACAGGTCTCAGAATATGTACTGTAGTGTATATTATTGCCTGAAAGCTATTGGTAGAATAGTGGACCTCAAGAGCTGAATCGGAAATTCTCAGGTAAATCATGGTTTCTGGGACAACAACCTCAATCTCCTCCCCCATCTACTAGTAAATTATGCTCCACCCTTCCTGGAATAATGAGATCCAGAATACTTAACATTCCCCTGCCTAGGGATGTTCACTTTCTATCCCTTCAGGTAAGTTTGGCTGGAAGGTCGCATTAATTAAATTAACTGTTTTTCTTTTATTAACTTTTGGTAAGTCTGCTTTTTGTTGTTGTTATTGTTTTGTTTTTGTTTTTGTTTTTGAGATGGAGGCTCGCTCTGTCACCGAGGCTGCCAGGCTGGAGGGCATAGGTGCGATCTCAGCTCACTGCAAGCTCCGCCTCCCAGGTTCACACCATTCTGCACCATTCTGCTGCCTCAGCCTCCCTAGTAGTTGGGACTACAGGCGGCCGCCACCACACCCGGCTAATTTTGTTTTTGTATTTTTAGTAGAGACGGGGTTCCACCGTGTTTGCTAGGATGGTCTCGATCTCCTGACCTCGTGATCTGCCCGCCTCGGCCTCACAAAGTGCTGGGATTACAGGCGTGAGTCACTGTGCCTGGCCTGGTAAGTCTATTTTATCTCTACATATGCCCACCTATTTAGATTTATTAAAAACTCTTCTCATGTCACATTGAGAATTTAACACTATTACAAGTGTCATATACAGCTTCAAACCCAACAGTGACTCAAATCTGGTTGTTTTTTATCTATAAGAGCATGTAAACATAGTTGCCCAGCTTCACCCTCCCAGTATTTCACTAAGTAGCTCAAAATCATCTGGGAATAACTTTTTTTTCCTCTAACTTCTCTCCCTTAACTCTAGATCAGCCCTCTGGACTATCCATTAGGTGGCACTGCAAATCTCTGGATAGTTGTCTTGTCCTCCTAGAGTCAGATTAATCTTGTTTTATTTTCCAGTTAAATATGAGTTAATATAATCACCTGGAAATTAGGAGATTGTTGGAGGTTTGTACAGAGGGAAAAATGTGTGTCATAATGCTCTGAGAGAATGAGTGGGAAAGAAAATATTCCGAGAAAATATAATGGAATGATTTGTCAGTTTTAGTACACATTTGAGATTTACAGTAAAGGAAAGGCAAAAAGTCAGCCCTGGTGTGTCTGAGTACATGTATCTCATGAATGTGTGTTTGTGTGAATGTGGGTGTGTGTTTCAGTCCCATTCATCTGCATAGGTATAGTTGTAAAATATGCAGCTCGTTGGATAGTCGCTTTATTATGATGGGCCATGATACTAAACATTTTCTAAATATTATTTGAACATTTGTGGTTTTTGGCCATGAATTTAAAATAGAAGCCCTTGGATTATGGTTGCTTTTTCTCTGATCCCACAATGGTTACATGAAATTTTCTTGGTTTATTCAGACTGCTATAACAAAATACCTTACCCTGTGTAATTTATAACTACAGAAATTTATTGCTCACAGTTCTAGAAGATGGGAAATCCAAGATCAAGGTGCCAGCAGATTTGGTGTCTGGTGAGGGCCTGTTTCTTATAGACAGTGCCTTCTGTGTTTCCTTGCATGGCGGAACAGGCAAAAAAGCTCCCTGGCGTCTCTTTTATAAGGGCACTCATCCCATTTATGAGGGCAGAGTTCTTATATCATAATCACTTCCCAAAGTCACCACGTTTTAATACTGTTGCACTGCAGATTAAGTTCCAACTTATGAATTTTGGGGAGACACACATTAAGACTACAGCAGCAATTCAATCAGCCACTAGTTGTAGAGAATTATCCTAATTATTGATCATAGAATATAAATCGTGCCCATAGATGATAAAGGCATGATGGGTTGAAACATATTGAAAAAGTAATGGGATAAGTAGATTGTAAACCTCAAACGAACTTATACAATTTTTGGAGGGGGGTGCTAAAATATATTTTATAAAAGAGTAGGACATAGGTCAGAGAAAAAAGTACTTGAAATTAACATATCAAGAAGGACGGCAATTATTGGTGATAACTTGTTCAAGAGTATTGCCTAAGACTTCCCTTAAGGTTTTCATAAATTAAACTATCTGGACCCTGTGTGCAACAGATTCATCCAATTGCAACATCTTTTCATCTATACAGCTTTCTTATGTGCAAGTGTACCAGAAGAAATGTTATCACATGATAAAATTAGTATATTCTTATAAGAATTCTGAAATACAGTGAACATCAGAAAAAGAAAATTATCTTAGTTTGACATACTTTGGTTGTGAAATGATTCTCCAGGCTTCTTGCATTTCTGCACCTCCTAGGAGAGAGGCATTCACTGCCTCTTGTTTCTGGCAATCTTATCAAGAGTATTTGTATAGCAAACAGTCTTGAAAGATAACAGTACTTTTCTCTCTTCAGAGCAAAGGGCAAGTTTGTTTACCGCCCTGAGTAAAAGATTGTAGTTCTCTAAGGTAGTAATTTCTCTTTTATATGTAAGCCATTGTATTTTCAGGTATCATTTGGGCTTGTCAAATCACCTCAGGAGTATTGAGGCAAAATAAATTTATGAAAATATGTTGATGTTCAAATTGCTTGCTCTGCCATGAGAAATATTTTTCTTGATCTCTAACCTAGGAGTCTCATATCTTCTGCCAACATCTATGAAGTTGTGGCAGGCTCACTTGCTAGCTTGCAAGTAGGGCAATATTTCAGATCCATTGCAACTCTAGACAAACTTTATTCCAGGTGATTTTATAATATTTTCTAGTGATCAATGATTATAAATGATTACAATTTTAGAAATTCATCAATTAATGTCAGGGTGTTGGAGCCAAGATAATTAACTAGAAGTAGCTAATGTGCATTGCTTCATGAAGAAAAGAAAGAGTGGTGAGTAAATACTAGTGTCTCAAGTAGGTCATCCAGCTGGGCATGTTGGGATTCATCAAGGAAGCAAGGTGGCCCATGGAGAACAGACAAAAGCAAGACAGGACAGCCACCCACCCAGGATTGGTGTGGAGTCAGGGTAGGCTCCCCACCATAGTGAAGTAGTGAGTGAGTGAGAGCCTCCAGGAACCACTTGTGCTGTGGACCTTTGCAATCCTGGGCTCAGGAGATCCCCCATGACTCTTACTAGAGCCTCCAGACTGACTCCAGACTGACAAGACAAGGATGCCCACTCTCACCACTCACCACTCCTATGCAACATAGTACTGAAAAGTCCTAGTCAGAGCAATCAGGCAAGAGAAAAAAATAAATGGGTCAAAATAGGAAGAGGAAATCAAACTATCTCTATCTGCAGATGATAGGATTTTATACCTAGAAAACTTTTAGTCTCTGACTAAAAGCTCCTAGATCTGATAAACAACTTCTGCAAAGTTTCCGGATCCAACACTAATGTACAAAAGTCAGTAGCATTTCTACACACCAGTAAAGTCCAACATGAGTGCCAAATCAAGAAAAACCCCCACAATATCTACAGAAAAGATAAAATACCTAGGAATACAGCTAACCAGGGAGATGAAAGTTTTCTACAATGAGAATTAGAAAGCACTGCTCAAATAAATCAGAGATGACACAAACAAATGGAAAAATATTCCATGCTCATGGATAGGAAGAATCAACTTTGTTAAAATGACATACTACCCAAAGCAATTTCAAGACTAAATGCTACTCCTATTAAACTATCAATCACATTCTTCACAGAATTGGGAAAAAAAACTAACTATTCTAAAATTCACATGGAACACAAAAAAAGAGCCCAAATAGCAAAAGCCATCCTAAGCAAAAAGAACAAAGTCAGGGGCATCACATTATGCAAATTCAAACTAAACTACAATGCTACAGTAACCAAAACAGCATGGTACTGGTACAAAAATAGACACATAGACCAATGGAACAGAATAGAGAGTACAGAAATAAAGCTGCACACCTGCAACAATCTGATCTCTGAAAAAGTAACAAGCAATGGGAAAATGATTCCTTATTCAACAAATGGTCCTAAGATACCTGAGTGGACATACACAGAAGACATACACAGAAACTGGACCCCATTCCCTAAGCCATATATAAAAATCAACCCACTATAAATTAAAGACTTAAATGTAAAATGTAAACTGTAGAACCCTTGAAGAAAACCTAGGAAATACCTTTCTAGACATAGGCCCTGACAAACATTCTCTAATTATTTGAGAAATCCAAATCAAAACCACAATGAGATACTGATACCATTTTATTCCAGTCAGAATTGTCTATTATTAAAAAGTCAAAAAGTAATAGACGCTAGTGAGGCTGCAGAGAAAAGGGAACACTTATATATTGCTGGTGGGAATGTGAATTAGTTCAGCCACTGTGGAAAGCAGTTTGGCAATTTCTCAAAGAACTTTAAACAGAACTACCATTCAACTCACCAATCCCATTATTGAGTATATACACAAAGGACTGTTAATCATTCTACTATAAAGACACTTACATATGTATGTTCATCACAGCACTATTCACAATACTAAAGACATGGAATCCACCTAAATGCCCATCAATGCTAGACTTAATAAAGAATATGTTGTATGTATATCCCATAGAACACTATGCAGCCATAAAAAAGAACAAGGTTATGTCCTATCCAGCAACATGGATGGAGTTGGAGGCCATTATCCTAAGCAAACTAAAACAGGAACAGAAAACCAGATGTCACATATTCTTCCTTATAATGGGAGCTAAACTTTTAGTACACATGGACACAAATAAGAGAAAAATAGACACAAAGGCCTACTTGAGGGTGAAGGGTGGGAAGATCAAAAAAACACCTGTTGGGTACTTTGCTTATCACATGGGTGACAAAATAATATGGATACAAACCCTAACAACATACAATTTATCTGTACAGCCAACATACACGTGTATCCCTAAAACTAAAATTAAACTATATATATATATATATATATATATATATATATATATATGTATGTATAAAACATCTCCATCACCACAAGAAGTGTCCTCATGCCTCTTCCAGTTAGTTCCCCTGCCGAGAGGCAACCACTATTTTCATTTCTATTCACATAGATTAGAGCTGCCTGTTTTTGAAATTCACAGAAATGGAATAATATCTTATGTACTCTTAATGCATCTTTCACTTTACACAACACTTATGAGACTGTATAAGTTGTTGTGGGCATCATTAGTTTGTTCTTTTATTGCCGAGTAGTTTTTCATTGTATGAACACACCACAATTTATCTACTCTCCTGTGGATGGATATTTGGAGAATTTCTAGTGTTTGGCTGCTACAAATAAAGCTTCTGTGAAGAAAAAACTATGGGAATTGGGATAATCAGAAAAGAACTAGAATACTTCACCATTACCAAATTTTTGCATCGAATAAACATGGTTATTTTAACATGTACTCTGGAGTCGGCCCCCTACCCCCCCAAAAAAAGAATTGACATCAGATATGTAACACTAAATGTCACTGACATAAACTCTTCTCCCTTTTGTTAATTTGGACATTTTTCTGTCCCTAGCTTTCTTTCAAGATAGCTCTAACTTTCCATGATGTCTCATTAATAATTTGCAAATACCTGAATCACATTTCAGAATATGACACATCTGTTCTAGGAGACTTGAATTTTTGTAATGGTGCCCTCTAATGTTTTTCCAACAAATTCTTCATCAATTATATTTAAAAATTTTAAATTTACATTTTCCCTACTTTTTACTATTTCAAGAAGACAGGAGTAATGCTCAATGGGATAGGTAAGAAAAATATGAACTAATTATTCTAATTCTTCATTATTCATTATATACACATTTTAAGTATGTATCCACTTCATTGTATCTCCTAGATAAGCCCTTTGAAAATCCAAATGAATTATAATCTAATTGTAGAGAAATATTTGTTTGCTTAAATGTATCTATTTTTCTTCTGATTTAAATCATCTGATTCTATTCAGTGACTATTTAATGCTTATTGTATACAATGGAATACTTGCTGTGGGGAACATAGAAAGATCAAATCAGGTTAAAATATAATGAGAACAAAGAAGTAATCAAATTTAATATATAACCGAGAGAAATAAGTGTATAACGTAGTACTAATTTGAGAACATAAATACAATAATTGCATTTTTGAGGTCTTCTCATCTCTTTTCAAACATCTTCTTTTTTAGAGCCTCAAGCCCTGTTCAAATTTATCTGAACATTCTGGAAATCCTATTTTCTAAAAATAGATATTTATTGCTGATTAGGAATTCTTTGGTTAATGTCAACTTATATGACACTGTAATTTTCCCTGAAAATTCGCTAAATTCTACCTCACCAATCAGTTCTTTCTTATTCAAAATTAAGTTCAGTGGCAGATTGACATAAGGAAAGTATATGAGTTTGAAAACTCAGGAAATTTTTATTTCCATCACAGACCTGTCTCTAGACAGCAGAGTCATCTTTTTTTGCTTATCTAATAAATTCACTCACTCATTCCAGAAATATTCATTGAATGTCTTACCATGTGACAGTCACTATTCTTTACCCTAGGAATAGAGCTGTAAACAAGATAGCAAAATGGTATAGGGACTATTATAATGTGATTATAATTTATTCAATTTTAAAATTTGCTTATAGGTAATTTCTTAATTTGTATTCCACCTTAAACTGTCTTTGAGGATAATTTGTATTTCTTCTTATAACAGGAAAAATTTGATAAAGAAAATAGAAAAACATAGTGAACTGTCATTAGGAAAACAGCTAGAATGAAGTAGATGTAGACAAACAGTAAAAAGTAAGCAAATGACTACATAAAATGTCAGACAGTTGTTAAGCGCTGAAAAGAGAATAAAACAGAGTTCGTGATGGAGAATGAGCTTAGTGGGAGAATATTGGCAAGATTTTGGAGATGCTGTTAAGATGAAATATACTAATGTGGTAATAAAGGTAGGGATTGAGCAGAGTGCTTGGTGAGCTTCCTTTAAAGAAATGTTTTGATGATCAGCAATTTCCTATGTAAAGTATATCTCTTTGATCAATTTATTTATTTATTTAATTTATTTTTTGTGTAAGACAGTGTTGCTCTGTCACCCAGGCTGGAGTGCAGTGGCCAACCTCTGCCTCCTGGGTTCAAGAGATTCTCCTGGCCGGGCGCAGTAGCTCTGTTGCCCAGGCTGGAGTGCAGTGGTGTAATCCACCTGCCTCAGCCTCCAAAGTGCTGGAATTACAGGCGTGAGCCACCATGCATGGCCTGACCTCTATTTATAATAAACTTTGCTTGTAAGGAAACAATATAATCACTATGATGATTTTCTTCTGGATAAACTGTATTGTGATGGTTAATTTTAGATGTCAACTTGACTGGATTAAGCCATACCTAGGTAGCTGATAAAACATCATTTCTGGGTCTATGAGGGTGTTTCCAGTAGAGATTAGCATTTGAATCGGTGGACTAAGTAAATAAGATCTACCCTCACCCCATGTGGACAATGTGGACAGGAACTATCCAATTGAATTAGGGCCCAGATAGAACAAAAGGCAAAGGAAAGGAGAATTTCTCTCTCTCTGTCTCGCTCTCGCTCTCTCTTCTTTCTCTTCTGGAGCTGGGAAACCTCTTCTCCTACCTTTGGACATCAGAACTCCAGGTTCTCTGAACTTTGGACTCTAAGATTTGCACCAGTGGCCCTCCATGTTCTCAGGCCTTCAGTCTTTGTCTAAGAGTAACACTATCGGTTTCCCTGGTGGTCAGGCTCTCAGACTTGCGTTAGCTATGCCACTGTCTTCCCTGGTTCTCCAGCTTGCAGACAGCTTATTGTGGGACTTATCATGCTCCATAATCATGTGAGGCAATTCTCTAATAAATCCTGTTTCATCTATCTATCTATCCATCCATCCATCCATCCATCCATCCATCCATCCATCCATCCATCCCCTATGGATTCTGTCTCTCTGAAGAACCCTGACTAATACACATATTATTTGAGGTAAAGAAAAGTTATGAGATTGGAGGACTGAGGGCAAACTACTAAAAAGTCATGTTGTCACTGATAACACACCTTTTCCCCCAAATGTTTGGAAAACTATTACCTATGTATATTGCATTTTCCTATTTTGCCTGTCATTAGAAGGAGGGTTCATGCAAAGTGGAGACTACAGAGACAATTTAAATGACATTCAAATGAACTCAAAACCTCAGAGTTAGAATACAAATTGAAGCTTTATTATAGATCAAATCAGTTCAGAAAAAATTGTCACAATTTAACAGTTGAGCAGAAATATGAAAATCTTTAAATAAAATACAACTCAAAAGCCCCAAGCATTTACACAAGCCCTAAATTATAAAGCATAAAGTTTATCGGTCTAAACATTTTCATCAAGTGCAGCATTTTGCCTTACCAAAAGAGGATTGCTAAGGTTGAAAGTGCATCCGGAGCAGGCAGAATAGAAAAGAAGGTACCTGGTCTGGCAACCATAGGTTAAGGGTTTTTGATCCACACAGCAAACATTTTCAAATAAGTAGAGATAGAAAGTTGAAAGCTATTAAATAGAGAATCATTTCCCCATTTCTTGTTTTTGTCAGGTTTGTCAAAGATCAGATGGTTGTAGATATGCGGCATTATTTCTGAGGGCTCTGTTCTGTTCCATTGGTCTATATCTCTGTTTTGGTATCAGTACCATGCTGTTTTGGTTACTGCAGCCTTGTAGTATAGTCTGAAGTCAGGTAGTGTGATGCCTCCAGCTTTGTTCTTTTGGCTTAGGATTGACTTGGCAATGCGGGCTCTTCTTTGGTTCCATATGAACTTTAAAGCAGTTTTTTCCAATTCTGTGAAGAAAGCCATTGGTAGCTTGATGGGGATGGCATTGAATCTATAAATTACCTTGGGCAGTATGGCCATTTTCATGATATTCATTCTTCCTACCCATGAGCATGGAATGTTCTTCCATTTGTTTGTATCCTCTTTTCTTTCATTGAGCAGTGGTTTGTAGTTCTCCTTGAAGAGGTCCTTCACATCCCTTGTAAGTTGGATTCCTAGGTATTTTATTCTCTTTGATGCAATTGTGAATGGTGCTGAGAAAACTGGCTAGCCATATGTAGAAAGCTGAAACTGGATCCCTTCCTTACACCTTATACAAAAAGTAATTCAAGATGGATTAAAGACTTACATGTTAGACCTAAAACCATAAAAACCCTAGAAGAAAACCTAGGCAATACCATTCAGGACATAGGCATGGGCAAGGACTTCATGTCTAAAACACCAAAAGCAATGGCAACAAAAGACAAAATTGCAAATGGGATCTAATTAAACTAAAGAGTTTCTGTGCAGCAAAAGAAACTACCATCAGAGTGAACAGGCAACCTACAGAATGTGAGAAAATTTTTGCAATCTACCCATCTGACAAAGGGCTAATATCCAGAATCTACAATGAACTCCAACAAACTCACAAGAAAAAAACAAACAACCCCATCAACAAGTGGGCAAAGGGTATGAACAGACACTTCTCAAAAGAAGACATTTATGCAGCCAACAGACACATGAAAAAATGCCCATCATCACTGTCCATCAGAGAAATGCAAATCAAAATCACAATGAGATACCATCTCACACCAGTTAGAATGGCAATCATTAAAAAGTCAGGAAACAACAGGTGCTGGAGAGGATGTGGAGAAATAGGAACACTTTTACACTGTTGGTGGGACTGTAAACTAGTTCAACCATTGTGGAAGACAGTGTGGCGATTCTTCAAGGATCTAGAACTAGAAATATCATTTGACCCAGCCATCCCATTACTGGGTATATACCCAAAGGACTATAAATCATGCTGCTATAAAGACACATGCACATGTATGTTTATTGCGGCACTATTCACAATAGCAAAGACTTGGAACCAAGCCAAATGTCCAACAATGATAGACTGGATTAAGAAAATGTGGCACATATACACCATGGAATACTATGCAGCCATAAAAAATGATGAGTTCATGTCCTTTGTAGGGACATGGATGAAGCTGGAAACCATCATTCTCAGCAAACTATTGCAAGGACAAAAAACCAAACACCGCATGTTCTCACTCATAGGTGGGAATTGAACAATGAGAACACATGGACACAGGGTGGGGAACATCACACACCGGGGCCTGTTGTGGGGTTGGGGGAGAGGAGAGGGATAGCATTAGGAGATATATCTAATGTTAAATGACCAGTTACTGGGTGCAGCACACCAACATGGCACATGTATACATATGTAACTAACCTGCACATTGTGCACATGTACCCTAAAACTTAAAGTATAATTTTAAAAAAAGAAAGAAAGTTGAAAGCTATAACCCAAGCCTATAAAACACATTCTTTCACAACTAAATACATAGATTGCTTCACAAAACAAACTATTTACTTGTTGACATGATATCAATTGAAATATGTCTTACTGATACTTAGTTAAAACAATACAAAAATTAAAGATTAATTGCCAGAAAATATTTTAGAATACTTTCCATATCCCTACACTTCTCTCTATAAAAAAGACTATTTTTCATAATATAACTTTTCTTTTAGTATTTTATGTATTGAGACTATAAATTGGCAGTCATATCACCACCATTATCATTAGCATTCATTTCATTCCTATCTAGGTAAGTGCTGATTCACAATATGATAGAAGGTGAAATATCTTATTCTTTCAGAAAAAGGCAGAATAATATCTTCATGATCTTGAAATTGGCAAAATTTTGTTAAATGGACACAGAAAGAGTTATAAGAAAAAAATGGATGATTAAAAACACACTAGAATTAAAAATTTCTTTTCCCCAAAATAGAGCATTAAAAATGATAAGGGAAAAGGCAAGGCACAGAGTATAATAATATGCTTGTAGCTGAGGATAGACATTCTAGAATAGCACTATACAAAAGAACTTTCTGCAATGTCTGTAACTGAGCTAGCTGTCCACTATGGTAGCCACTAATTGTGCATAAATATTGATTACTTGACATGGGACTAGTAAGACTGAGGAGTCAAATTTAAAATTTTATTTAATTTTAAATGAAAATTTATTTAACTTTTTAAAAATATTGCCAGTGGCTACTATATTAGACAGTGCATTACAACTGGGTTTTAGAGACTTACGTATACTTGCTTATTAGAACCCAAGCCTCCTAACTCCAGATGAACTCCCCTATGATATCATAACAAGTATACATTTCTAGCCAGTTTTGACCTTCACAACGAAGACATATACAATATTAGAAATAAGTTTGTGTTCATTTTATTCTTTAAGCTCTATTCCCACTAGTTAATTTTACTCATCCAATTGTCATATGTAATAGCTATTGAAATAGCTGAAATAATCATTTTCATCAATTTTTAAATCAAATTTTATCAAATTTATACATTTTACTTCCTTGGAGAAGCATCATGAAATAGTGATGACAAACAAATTAAACTCAAAGTCAAATTTTGCAGGATTTTTTTTTAATTAGCTAAAAGTTGTCTTTTTAATTACATTTTAAAACTTTGTCCAAATTATTGGAAGCTGCTTTGCAAATAAGCTTGGTTTAAAAAAGAAAAAAAAAGAAAGAAAAAAAGGAAGAAAGAAAAAAAAATCCTTATTTGGTGTGATTTGAGAGGTGCTAGAAGATAATTTAGTCATAAAATCTCTTTCCACTGGGTTAGGATCATTATCATTGGTCTTTGGTCTTTACCATAAACATCTATTTGCATCATCAGTGCCATTAATAAATAGCAATCAGATTAATCAATTTCAGCATTAGAACTCTGATTTTAAAATCAAATTATGATTAGCATAAAGAGTTCTGTCTTTACTATCGACAGCAATAATAGCTTCTATAAGTCAATGCTTACTATATGATAGTCATTATACTGGACACATTACATGTTTAATCCAAATGCTAGCTTCAAGTATCTCTTTCCTATATGAATCATCTACCTGAAAGTTGTTTCTCTGTCATATTTGAGTTCTGCATTAGGCTCTTACTGGTCACTACCTAGAAACTGGCATCTATTGGATGCCATTCTACCCAATCCCTTAATTTCACATGGACGACTACTAAGACTTTTATATATATGACAGAATTGATTGAAAAGTTGAGGCATTACTGAAGAGAATCAAGTTACAACATAGAAAAAAACAACAAAAAAAATCCCTAACACACTATGCTAAGTATGACTGTTCTCACGGTGCTAAAGAAAATAACTACAGGCCAGGCATGGTGGCTCACAACTGTAATCCCAGCACTTTGGGAGGCCAAGGTGGGCGGATCACCTGAGGTCAGGAGTTCGAGACCAGCCTGGCCAATGTGGTGAAATCCCATCTCTACTAAAAATACAAAAAATTATTTTTGTATTTTTATATAAAATACTTTGTGCCGTGGGAGTGGTGGCAGGTGCCTGTAATCCCAGCTACTTGGGAGGCTGAGGCAGGAGAATTGCTTGAACCCGGGAGGCAGAGGTTGCAGTGAGCCTAAATTGCGCCACTGTGCACCAGCCTGGGCAACAGGGTGAGACTCTATCTAAAAAAATAAAATAAAATAAATAGAAAACTACAAAAGGCAAATCCTTTATAAGACCCTTTCCTAGCTTGCTCTTGAAAGTCCCTTTTTCTTCATTCACAGTTCTAACCTCACAGTCACTTTTAGAAAAACTCAATCTCCTAAGCCTGAGTCTATCTCTTCCTTTCTTTCTTCCTTTTCTTTTGAGATGGAGTCCTTCTCTGTCACCCAAGCTGGAGTGTAGTGGCGCGATCTTGGTCACTGCAACCTCCGCCTCCCAGGTTCAAGCAATTCTCCTGCCTCAGCCTCCCTAGCAGATGGGATTACAGGGCACCTGCCCCCACATCCAGCTAATTTTTATTTTTATTTTTTATTTTTAGTAAAGATGGGGGTTTTACCATGTTGGCCAGGCTGGTCTCTAACTCCTGACCTTAGGTGATCAGCTCACCTCAGCCTCCAAAGTGTTGAGATTACGGGCATGAGCCACTGCACCCAGCCCATCTTTCTTAACACTATAAGTTTATTGAACAAAATGCCACAATTGTGCATTTATCTGACTCAGAGCTATGCAATGCTATAGAAGCCAGGAGCTTCAAAAGACTATGTTGAAATGGACATCAGCATTCCAAGGTCGAAGCTTCCTCACTCATCAAACTTGTCGACGGATAACTACTGTTTGAAATGCTTGTGCTCGCACACACTCAAAACAACTTCTTAGGATGAACAAAATTTCTCATTGCCAGTGTCAAGTAAATCACATTAATGAAGATGTTAATTTTCCTAAAGACAAAATAATCCACATAGTCTACTGCCTTGAAACGCAAATCCGTATTCCTACTTCCAAGCTGAGACACAAAGAAAATCGGCACATTGTATTTTCCATATATGGCTGAAGCAATATTTCTAGTCCCTAACATTCTTTCACAATCTTGACATTCCTCATCCAGAAATTAAATTTCTTTCCATTCTCTTTGAACCTGGTAAGGTTTTGACCATCCTGATAAATAGAATATGCATAAGTGCCATTGATCTCTGAGGCTAGGTTATGAAAGCACATACAGCGGCTACCTGGCTTTCTCTTGGAATATTCACTATTAGAACTCAGCCACTAGGTAGGGCACGGTGGTTTATGCCTATAATCCCAGCACTTTGGGAGGCCGAGGTGGGTGGATCATCTGAGGTCAGGAGTTCGAGACCAGCCTGGCCAACATGATGAAACCCCATCTCTACTAATACAAAAAATTAGCTGGGCATGGTGGTGTATACCTGTAATCCCAGCTACTCCGGAGGCTGAGGTAGGAGAATCGCTTGAACCCAAGAGATGGAGGTTGCAGTGAGGCGAAATCATGACACTGCACTCCAGCCTGGACAACAAAGTCAGACTCTGTCAAAAAAAAAAAAAAAAAATCCAGCCACTATGTTGTGAGAAAGCCCATACCACTTGGAGAGCCCATATTGCAGGTGTTTAAGCCAACAGCCTCAACTAAAGTCTAAACTAGCATCATCCACCAATGTTCCTGAGGAATTAAGACTTCCCAGCTTTCTATGATACTGTTTTACTCAAAAGTTATCTCCCTATCTCTCAAAGATATTCAAGGACTCCTCAGTCAGATTTTTGATGACTTTTCAAGAAGAATCATTGACTTCCTTTTCCTTCACCAAATTTGACTCCTTCTCCATGAGCACAACAGCAAGCACCCAGCCTTCATTCCATCCCATTGCTCCTCCTGTCCTTTTCAATCTCTCACTGTCTAAGTTCCATTCTTTCTTCAAGCTCCACAAATCACACCTCTTTAAACAAGACTCACCTTGGATTTCCACCCTTCACTCAACTCTCCCTTCCCTGAACTTCTGGAATTTTCCCTAGGATAGCAACTTGAAAGTGAACTTGAGCTACTGAGTATTTCTACTTAAGTTTTATGAATGTGACTACAGTCAGATCAAGTCAAGCGTATTAAAAATCTTCCAGCCTTTATACATATGCCGTTATCTGTTTTGAATCCTTTTCTGCAACTCATGACACACCCTTCAATTCTATGCTTAAATATCACTTCCTCAGGAAAGTTTTACTTCATCTTTCAATCTAGCTTAGGTCTACAAAACAGTCTATAAAGGCATAACAAAATATCAACAAAAACTGTCATCATTGAAACAAAATGCCTTTTTCAAACCAATACTCCTGTGAAGATCATCTGGCTGACTCAGAATTGCTTAGCTTTCTCTCTTTTTTGACAAGTTAGACATTCTGTTTGGTTAGAATGGGCAAATGTCTGTTAAGAAAAGAACATCTAAGATTCAACTTGAAATTGATCCCTGAGTGGTGCTGCGGTGTTGACCCCATTATACATGTGAGTGATGTTTGCGGTGGGTGGGGGAACACCAGGGGAAAAGGCTATATAATCTGTCTTGGTCTACGAAAGGCAGACAGAAGGAAAAGAATGTAGGAGTTAAATTTGCAGAGAAATAGAGATTTTAGTAGGAATATGGAATTAGGGAAAGAGATGACTCTCAGAAAATAAGTCTGGAGGAATCTGCATGGCTATGAGGAGAATATCCATTTTCTCAGAGAACATGATAGAAGATTAATATTTATTTTTAATTCCATGTAGAGGGTGACTCCCAGCTGACATCTAGGCTTTAACTATGCTGTACTTTGACATCATGGTACTTACAGATTATGATTTTTAAAATATTTGAATAATGTGTTTTTGCTTAAACTTTGTTTCTCCCACAGAACTGTAATCTTCCTAAGTGCAAGGTTCATGTTTCTTTCATTCATTGTTATACAAGTTGAGAGTCCCCAATCTGAAAATCTGCAATCCAATATGTTCCCAAATCTGAAACTTTCTGAGCACTGACATGTCACCGTAATAGAAAATTCTACACCTGATCTCATGTGACAGGTTGCATATATTATGAAAAATATTGTATAAAAGTACAATGTGTTTAAGATGTACAGACACATAAATGAATTTTGTGTTTAGACTTGGGTCCCAATCTCATTATGTATATGGGGATATTCCCAAATCAAAAAAGAATTCAAAAGACTTCTGGTCCCAGGAGATATGTAAAAGGGTTATTTAGCCTGTAATATCATCAATATCATCATCAAAACCAATTTCTGTTATGTACTAGGTGTTCAGTAAATATTTGTTGGTGAAGAAATAATTATCTCAAGAGGACTGTATATATTTTAGGGCAGAGAGTGTGCCTTATGATCTTTTAATCTCAGTCTATCACAGTGCCACACAGAGTTAGGTTTTTTAAGTGTTTACTCTTGATGAAAATTGCTACCATTTATTGAGAAGTTACCATAGGTTAGATGATTAAGTGTTTCATATGTTTTATCTAATCTAATAACCAAAACCACTGTTAGTTATAGGAACTATTCTTCCCATTTTCCAAATTAGGTAATAGTAATGCAGAGATATTAAGTAAATTAACCTAAATTATGTAATCTGTAAATAATGGTATCAAGATTCTAACCCAAGCCTGTTTAAAACCTGTGCTTTTGTTTTGTCAACTAGTGAACTAGTTTTCTTTGGAACTGTTGTAATTCACTGATGTTTGCTGAGCACGCCTCATTTTAAGCTGCATTTTTTTTTTAACCAGCATTATGAGAATGTTTATTTTGACAAATAAAATGCAGTACAATGAATTTCACCAGAAAAGTTTTAAAAAGTAGGTACAAATAAATATGTTTACAAATTATTATAGAAACAATACAAAAGAAGACTAAAATTCTCAGTAAGGAAAAACCAAAATGTGCCCAATCATATAAAGGCTCTTCCTTTGCAAGAAATGGGGATAAAGCTGAAGACCCAGTTTGGTTTTGCTGCTGAAAAATGTACAGAATACTTAGAAAAACCAGTTGCGGTCAAACGTTGTAAGCCCACTACCCGTACCTGCCTATTTTTGATCTGAGAAAAGTTGATGACCACAGTGCAAGATAGAGCTGAAGACAGGACAGCCAGGCATTCTCCATCCAAAGTCCATCACCCTACATTAATCTTTAAGTAAAATCAGAAGAAAAGCAAGTCCTTAGTGAGGTCTGAACTCTGCAGCCGGGTGACTGGATCTCCTCCATTGTAGTGCTCAAAATCGTTTATTTTTTGGCCAGCAGAACAACTTTATAGATCAACTGCCTTTAGCAAATGCCAGCTGCCTCACAGCCTTCACGAGCAGGGTCTGACACTGACCAACAGTCCTATCAGAAACTCAAGGTCTGTGTGATGTGGCAACTGTCGGCTATACCTGGAAAGCCCTTGAGAACATGAGAGGTAAAGGAAAGCACCAGGGTTTGCCCATTACTACATGTAATATGGAGATAAGGTCAGGGAAAGAGGAGATGATTATGAAGCAAAACCAATTCACCTACTGCACAATTTGACTTATATCTGGTTCTGGTTGGTCATACAAGGTGGGTGGTGGGGTATGGGGCACATAACTACATCCTGCAGAAGAGTTTGACCCTAATGTGTGCTCTATTTATACTACTTGTGCACTTCTTTCTTTTAGCCAAGACCTACCTGAAATGGGATTTGTACATGCAGATATGGAGAAAGACACAGAAATTAAAGCTAGAAGAAAGAAGAAGGAAAACCAACTCAACAAGCTAAAAGTAAAGGCATTTATCTAATATGAACCTTGACTTCATCTCACTGGAATCTAAATCCTTACATGAGATTTTCTATTTACAGTTGATAGCTTAGCACACAAGAGCTGAGCATTATTAAACTGAAATGAATGTCCTATATAGCTGTATAGACTCCAGTTCCAGAAATAATCAGAATAGTTTATAGGGGTTGTTAATAACAGGCCATAACCAAGGAATACTATTAAGCAAAATGATACCTTTCTGGAATTTTGAAAGATTTGGGACAAGAAATACCTTCTTCAAAAGCTGTGTAAAGTTATGCAAAAAAAAAAAAAAAAAAAAAAAAAAAAACCTGATTGTAGAGAAATTGTTGTGGTCAGTGGACGATTGAATACATAGTGGTAGAAAATATTTTATTCCTGATAATTATTCCAAAAAAATATAAGTTTACCAGTGTAGATAAAATCTTTCAATAGCTCAAAAGTTTCTACAGCTCTCTGTAATGCAAAATTGTCTACCAACAGGCAGAACCAGCACAGTCTGACTGACACACAGCACTATAAACTGGTAATCTGATTAGAAGAATAGTAGTTCTGAATTAATTAACCCTTAAGTGATATTTTTTAAATTAGATTTTCAGTTTCCGGGTCTTTTAGTTGTCTTCATGATTATGGACTTCGACCGCCACCCAGTGGAGAAATGCATACAGTTTGCAATTCTTCAAAATAGTAATGTTCTTTAAAGTCTCATTATTTAATGTATGACCTCATGAGCATCTGGATGAAATCTCATAATGGGAAAATTACATTTTTTTTTCATTTTTTCCTGCAGCCTAGGAAGCCAGTAGGACACCGTTCGGGCACCCTGGAGGAAACTCCTCAGTGCACTTCTGCAGGCAGCCATATGGTTAGAATCAGCGGGTTCACCCAGTGCCAGCTTACAACGGGCGTGTATATGAATAGCATGCAAGCAATCAGACTAGCTATGGGTTTCATATACTCCCTCTGTATAGGGTGCTTTTTACACCTTATGGAAAAGGTAAGTTAGACAAGAGCTAATATTTTTCTCCCCAGTAAGGCAGCAGGACTGCCGTTAAAGTGATGTCAGAGTTTCCATTTCAGTTCCTTATTTTCAATGCTTTAGCCCTCTGCCGTAAACATTAACTCTATGAAAAAAAATACATACTCACTTATATTGCATCTCAGGCCAGGAGAACATTCTTCTTATTAAATAAATGGTCTTGAAAAGAAATTAGATTGAGCATCATAAAATTCTATTTTTAGGGGAGGTGGAACCAACACAAGGCAGAATGAGGGATTTTTTTGTAAACTGTAATGTGTTTTCTTTCAAATGTTTGGGAAGAAAACAACAAGAGGAGTCAGAATATAGAAAGTTTGCCCAACCTTGCCTAAAAGAGCCTATCTAGTTATTCTGATTATTATAACGCTACGCAAGGAGTTTATTCTGTAAAAATCAGGTCAAAGTGGCATTCCCCAATCCTGCCCTCCTAAATAACACAAACAGGTAATTTAGAAAATATTTCTGAGTAAACAAGCAAAAGCTCCCCTCACCTTGTCCAGTGGTACTCCAGCTCTCAGAGTCACGGCTCAGGCAGATTGAGGTTTCTGTGGTATGGCCTCTCCCCATGCAGTCAGTACCTGTTACCATGATAAAAAAGCATGTCAGTCTTCCTTGTGGTCTGAAAAGTTCCAGTTCTGAGTACTCAATTCATTTGGATAAAATAGATTTTTTTTAAGATTAAAAAAAACTCAGCTGTCTGATCAAGGCTATGTTTTTCTTTTGTATGATCTGCACTCCCTGTGTAAAAAGGAGTTGGTAGTAACCACAGATCTCTGCCTCTGAAGGTTAAAAGAAAAAGAAAAATAAAGAAAAGAAGGAGAAGGAAGACAATGACAGGAAGAGGAGGAAGATGAGAGAAGAAAGAAAGCAAGAAAAAGAGAAAAAAGAAAAAAATAAAGAAAAAGAAAGAAGGAAAGAAGGAAAGAAAGAAAAGAAAAGAAGAAAGAAAAAGAAAGAAAGAGAAAAAGAAAGAAAGAAAGAAAGGAAAAAATCTTAAGAATTTAATATTAGGTCAAAAAAATTGTGGTTTTGGCATAAAAACTGCCCTTTTAACTTCTGAAAACTTTTTTTTCTGGTTTGGAAAAGAAATAGAGCAGTTTTGTGATGAAAGGATTTATAGAGAAGGTTTTCTTGGTATTCTGGTTGGATTTATTTCAACTACTGTTTAGAAAGAGAATATTTGTTATGTGTTTAAGTTGTTTTATAGTGTTAGGATCATTCCATGAGAAGACTAAAGCGATTATAAGAATATTGTCTAACTTTCTGCCCATCTCCATCTCAATTTCACGAATACCAAAGTACCAGACACAAATTTAAATTTCCTGAATTGTGAAGAAGGATATTAGCCATGGTGTCATCTGTATTTTTTCCTTATGTCTCTGTATTTCCTTGTAACCACCATGAGGTTTATAGATGCTTTACATTTTTTAAAGTGTATTTTGTCTTTTTATATTATTTACTTCTCTCATCTTTCTAAGACATGAAGAACTACCTAATTTGGGGTCATAAGAATGAGGGCTATACAGGAAGACTAATTCAAGGCTTCAGATTCAGGGCAGGCAGTTTAGGACACAACACTTATTATCATCTCCCTGAACCTCAGACGTTATCAGTCTGCAAGAGAAATTTAATCCTGAACATAAATTGCATTTCCTAAAAAAACATAATCTTGCCTTAAGACACCAACCTCCCTGATTACAGGGAATGTCTGTGTTTACACATTTGTACAGAGCATGCTGACTGTATTAGTGTCCTAGGAAACAAACTGTGTGCTGCTCACAGACCTGCTGCAAGCACTAAGGAGAGAAAGAAAAAGAAATTTTGAAATCAGACCCCCGATCTCCAACTCCTTTCAAATTCTTGAAGCACATTAGCTTTACTACTGCATGATGTACACGGTAGTATTTCTTCTAATGAAATCTGACTAAAAGTTTAAATGAGTTTAATGCATGAAATGTATAAATAAAATGTGGCCTTGATTAAATTTAGACTTGATACATAACTTAAATGGGTAGCCCAAGAATAGCATTGGTATCATGTGTCTAGACCTTTTCAGGCTTTGCAAAAGTAGTTTGGATTTTATCAGTTAGTGCAGAACACTTTCTAACAGGAGCACAGTATATATAAAAAGCTGAAATATGCAAAAGTACTGTGGAGAAAAGTGAGCGTAATTGAAAAGAAGCGACTGAGAAAATAACATAAGATATTAAAAGGTGACCGCAGAGTGGAATTTTGAAGTGTTGATTTGCAAAGAGCAATTTACATAGGTAAAACATTCCATTTGCCGTTTCTTCTGGATTTATTTTCGTTTCATGACTTTGGAAAAATCTCTTAATTTCATGAAGCCTCAGTTTTCCCCAGTCGTGGATCCAGATGCCTTATTTGCCTACTTTCTAGTTTGTTGGAAGGATTAGAATGAGAAAACAAATACAAAAGGATTTGGATTCTGTAGAGTGCTTATAAATCTAAGGCATTATCATTATAATAATTTCAGCTATATATCTAATACACTGCTTTTCAGTGTATTGAAAATACACAGTTGGCTTTTTCCTTAAGGATTTATCCAAAAGTCTACAAGACCATATCCATTACTCATATAAAACTCTTTGACCACATGACACAGAAAAGAGACTTTTTCAGAAACGAACTTTTCAGCTAGTGTGTTAGATATGTAACCCATTATTTGTAATAGGTAGGGCTAAAGCTATTAGACATATTAAATGGATTTTAAAAACAGCTCTTGGGAAACTACATAAATTAGTAGTAAAATGTACGGTCTTTGAAGTCAGCCATCCTCAGCTTCAATCCTGCCTCTACTTACTTGCTATAAGTATCACAGCTGTACAATTAAGAATGTTACTGTATCTTCATAAACTGTTTTTATATCATTTATTAAATGGAGATAAAAAATACCTGCTTAATGGTTTTGCTGTGAGGATTAAATAATATGATATGTGGAGAAGTTTTAACTCATCCCTGGTATTCAATAATAGCTATTCGAAAAAATTCTACTTTATTTTTTATTGTTTTATATATATACCACATAAATACTAAAATATGCATTTCAAGGCAATCACACCCATAAATAAAAAGGAACGTATTCCACTTCAAAAGGTCAAAGAGTTATTCCTTATTGACAGTTTAAAAACGGAAGACCAGTTCTGAAATCTCTCAAATTGAAGATGGAGAGGGGGATAAATGAAACATTGCAACATAAGGACAGCGCATGATGGAGTGGCAAAAGTTTCTCTTAAACCTCCTCAGGAGAAATGTTTGATGATTTTAGGCTAACCCACAGCCAAACTCTGTTTTTGTTTTGTTTTTATTTTTTCTGTTTTAAAGATTGCACAGTGCCACTCAGTTTTAGGCATCTAACAGAATGAAACCAGGTGAGTTTGAGCCAATTTTGCCTTTCATTTTTCAACTTTGTTTATTACTTTACTTAAACCACAACATTCTGAGATCTCACAAGAAAATCTGTTTCTGTGACATTTTCAGCCTGATTTCCAAACCAGAGAAAGAGGTTCAGATAAACTTGGGCTTGTTTCAAAAAAGCATCTGAGATTCTGGATGTTTATTTGAAGCAATCTGGACTCCTGACCTTTAGAGATTCCCCCACCACCCATAAAGAAAGCCTACAATGAATTTACTGTGCAAGGGTCTACTGCTTTAGTTTCTGAATGGATAAAAATCCCCTTAGTTTCAGGGAAAGTTGTTTCCAAACACATTCAGTGGAATCAAGCCTTAAGCAGATATATCGATGCCCTCCATTTAGGAAAAGATATCAACCAGTCAGGGCCCTAGTTCAGAAAACCTGTAATAGATTATGTATTCAATATGCTTTATGAGTTTAAAAAGTATTCCTAGGTTGATACCAATAAGAAGAGGCTCTTGTTGAAGAAGGTGGAGGGTTTAATATCTCCTGGAGCACTATAGAAAAATTCAGACCAAACTGCTCTCTCCCATACAGAGCTTCCTTTAATATCAATGTGGAACTTTAGAAAGTATGCCAGTCCTCCCCATGTTCTTGAACTTTTTCAAAAACTGAATTCTGCCACTTTTGAAACGATGAACACTGAGAAATTGGATTTGAAACCACAGCATTAAATGCTTAAAATCCGATCCTTCTGTCAGGACCTGGGATAAATTAAACTGATGTACATTATTTTTAAAGAAAGGAAAAAAATATGGGAAGCGGGTTTTGAACCCTGAAGGCATAGAACAAAACAAGTTATGCAGGTGATACAAACCATCTTAGTTCATTCCTATAATGGCTTTCTACTTCCATATGGTGGCCCATACTGGAAGTAATTCTTAGGAAAACATGTTTGTATGTGATAAATAAAACATTATTTTAGAGGTTTCTGTTTTTATTTTCAAAGATTGCTATTTTTGTATTCAGAGTTCAGACTGCTGTGTAATTTTTTTTTTTTACTTTGGTATTTGAGTTTATTTTTTCAAAGAGAGAGTGCTAGAGAATGTGTATAGATGATAAGGGTATAAGGTGAACAATTATCAAGTGTTTGCATCAGATGAATTCAGTGCAGCTGGATGATATGTATTAGGATTTAATCAAAGCTTTAGGAATGTAAACATAAAACGGGTTGAGTTTCACTTAGCATATTCTAAACTTGTTAATAAGTTATTTCACTAATACTACATAGATTTTATTAACATCTAACTCTCAAATAATAGCATTAGTCTAAAGATAAATACACAGTTAACAGTAAAAGCCTCTAGTTTATTAATTTTGGTTGTTGTCAATGGAATAATTTAATTTCATAATAGGTGCATAATAGGTGCATAAATAGGGAATAAAGCTTCCTAATTTAGAGAAATCTTGAAAAAATGAATTTCTTGATAATGATTCAAGCAGTAATAAGAAAAGCTCAAATATCAGAAGAGACCCACCATAGATAACCATCATTCAAATATTTTAAAAATCTAACAATTTAAGTTCACTTCACATATTTCTGCCAAGAGCATGGCTTTTTTCTCTGTTTCAGATCATTCTGGTATAAAGTATAAGCTTGTTTTCAGATCCGGGATATTTGCAAAGCAGGAATTAGAAGAAAGAAGATGTCTATCAAATTTTCACTTTTGAAAAAGATGCATGTGTACATATATACCTACATTATTACTATAGGCAGCATCATTTGTCAATCACATTATAATTACTTAAATGGACTTTGAGATTTACTGTGGGTTTTTTAATGTCTTCAAAAATTTCACTTAAAAAATTTGCTATTTTGTTTAATAAAATAATTAAAATGAATTATCTGTATATAATAGACTTTAAAAAGTAACAAGACATTGCAGAATATAGACATAAGTGTCCCCTGTAAGCTGCAGAATATTTAGAACTAGATACATTCAAATTGAAGTGGAGACATTAAAGAGTAACTTGGAAAAAAATGGGTGAAATAGAATTAATGGAATATATAAATATTTGAGACAATGAATACTCAAAAGTTAAAAGAGTACTTCATCCACTTCACACAGAACTTTTACGTTTTCTCAAAAATACTCTTGGAACAAGGCCCAAATATCAGAAGTTGAACAAATGAATGCTTACCGGCAAACAACAAACGAGTGTAGGCTGTGAAGCTGCCACACCCATGTAACCCCTTGTTTCAGTATGCATTCCAGACTGTTCCATTTCATTTTATAGCATCAAAAGTGAGCAGAAAACATATTCCTGAATCAATTAACACAACATGCAACCTTTTTTTTTAAACCTCTGATCTTAAACAGTGCCTATGAACTAAAGAAAAAGTCATGCAGCTTTCTGGTGAATTTGATCTCTGTTTGCAGTCACCAATTAGTTCTAATTATTCAACATCTCATATCCTTAGTTTTATGATTTGGATCATAAAGTGCCTAAGTGTTTTATTTCACATTGTTTCATTGATTTGGACCTGAGATTCAAGGGAAAGCTAAGGAATACTACAAATCTCAAGGTTGTAAACACTCGTGTAAAAACCAGGTAGTTCCTAAAAGAGGATGTTTTCTGGAATTTTTTTTAAGGCAACTGGACTCTCCATTCTCGTATACATTAAGCAGCTCAAAGGGCATGCTCTTTTCAGAAAGACTTAATGATTTGTACATCCTTCCTTTCTCCCACAAATAACTGAGAGGAATTTTAATCAATTTTTGTTAACATTTATTTTTTACCAATTTATTTTTAAGTTTTCAATTTTGTAACGTAGTGGATACATTGAAGTTTTTAAAAAGTATGCTAAACTACAAGCACATGGATTCTCAAAATTTTTCTCACATATGTGGTATCAAAGTGGGGTTTATATATTGTGAGATTCCTTGATAGGATATGACTAACACCCTTTTGTCATTATTCATTTTATGCCAGAGTTCTCTGATAATTTATTATATTTAGAGAGTATATGTTTCAAACTTTAGTACCTCTAAAATCATGTGATAACAGATTTTTATTATTTAAAGAGTTTACAATAAGATAATTATGTATCAATAACATTGTTATATTTTTTCTCACAAGAAATTTTTCAAAAATTTGTTTCTGTGAAAGCATTTAAAGAATTCAGTCTTCATCTCAAATTATTTTTTCTCTATTAAATTTTATTATGGAAAAAAAGGTAAATCATCACAACTGAGTACTTTGGCCTTGCATAGATGGAAATTTATCCCACGTATTCACAAAGGGCCACTTCGTACTACAGTAACACCTTACTAAGTGGATGTCATTGACTGTCAGCTGAAAGGAAGAAGTATTTTTGTCCTGTTGTAATTTTTATTCAAAAGGGACTCAAAATACTTTTCAAATTCAGCACTACCTTCAACTTGAAATTGAACCACCCTGGAGAAACTGCAAGGGCCGTCAATCATTTCATGGCCGCTACACAGCTGATGGGGAAACAGCATATTTTTGGCAACCATGGGGAAACCTTTTTCATACCAAAAACACAGTGGTGTCTTTGATCTCACAGAGGGAGGGCAAGACTTGTTGGCTTTTTTCTTAAGGATTTATCCAAAAATCTACAAGACCAAATTCATTACTCATACAAAATTCTTTGACCACATGACACAGAAAAGAGACCTTTTCAGAAACATTCAATAGGGAATTTTTCCTCTAGTCCTAAAGTTTGCAAAATCCCTGATAAATTTCTTACTGGAATTCAATCTTAACCAAAATTTATTTTCATTGGGTATCCCACATGCTACCTTCCAATGGAAGCTTTGCTTTATTATTTTGTTAATGATGCCCATTTAATTGAGAGATATATATATCAATTAAAGTTTCTAAGAAATTAAGAACACCTAAAAAATTAAGAATGCATTTTTAAAAATCAGGTCTTAATTTGTCAATTCTTTATTGACAATTGCATTGGAGGATTAAAATCTTTCTGTTACTGTGATTTTTGAAATATGACTTTCATTCTTTTAACTATCAATTATTATAATAAAGGTTACAAACAAAACAGACACTGGAAAATTGTTATATGTGGCTGTAATTCCTCATGAGCTTGGTCTTTGTTTAGCTTAACTCTGGATCCCATAGAATGAAAGTGAAATACCATTTCTAGAGAACATATTATGTGCCTAAAACCCTGCTGGGAGCTTTACTTTTTCATCTCATTTAATCATACGATAATCCTGTGGATGTTGTGGTAAGTGATAGTATTTTTCCAGTTATCCTCTGCCTTTTCCTATGAGGTGATGATACCTTCCTCCATGTGAGGCTTGGGTATGTGACTTCCTCCTGCCTATTTAAAGGTGAGTGAGAGTGATGCATGGCCCGTTTAAGCAAACCCTTTCAGAGCTACCGTATAATCGGTTCCTGCATCTCTCTTCTCCCTCTGCCATAAGACCAACACATCCCAGAAGGGGTGGCTTCTTCTGCCAGAAGGAAGAAAACAGGGAGCAGAACTTTAGCTGACCTGAAAAGGGTCTGCAATCCAAGCAATAAATGGACCTTTGATGTTGTAAGCCTCTCAGATTTTGGCAATGTTTTTGACCACAAACACCTTAACAGAACACAGGTAAGTAACATTAATACTCATTTAGTAGAGGAGTGCATTAAGGATTGGAGGAACAAAGTAAGTTGCACAAAGTAGCACAGTTAGTAAACTAGACAGCAAGGAAACGAATGCAGGTGTCTGGCTCCATCTGCCATGTTCTACCTTACAGTATTTCAGGAGGTCAAAATGCATGCCAACTCATTATCTGAAAGATTCCTTAGTTGTATAATTCAACTAAATACCAAACAGAATTATCGATTATTCCACTGATTCACACAATTTTTCCTCAGTAGGCCTGTACAAATGCTAGACCAGAAAAACTTCTTTGTTCTTTTATCTTTTCTATTCTATTCTATTCTATTCTCTGTTATTTACTTATTATCTGTTTATATTTCTTCCAAGGTTAATATACATATTTTCATTATTTTTAATATTCAAACCTTAACTCCATACTTGGGTACAAATCCCTGCTCTGCCACTTATTTGCTATATTACCATGAACAAGTCACAACCTCTGTAAGCCTCAGTTCTTGGCATATATAATGGGATAATAATATCCATTCACAGGCTTTATTTGATAATCAATAATGCATGAAAAACTGTTGTCATAGCAGGCATCTAACAAAGATTAACTTTTTTTTCCTAGTATCCTATCCCTTCTGTTAAGTGAGGTAACATCTCTAGAAGAAATTGCAGAGTCATGGATAACTAGTTCCACAAAATATTCAAACAACACTCTTGAAACCAACACAGAGAAAAAAAAATATGCTTCACCTTCCACCTTGATTTTCCTCAGTTTATATATTAATATATTGTTTTGTTCTTTTTTGTTTTTGGGACAGGGTGTCACTCTGTCACCCAGGCTGGAGTGCAGTGGCATCACCTCAGCTCACTTCTCCTCGACCTCCTGGGCTTAAGTGATCTTCCCACTTCAACCTCCTGAGTAGCTGGGACTACAGGTGAACACCACCACACCCAGCTAATTTTTGTATTTTTTGTAGAGACCGGTTTTCACCATGGTGCTCAGGCTGGTCTCAAATCCCGAGGCTCAAGTGATCTGCCTGCCTCGGCCTCCCAAAGTGCTGAGCCACTGAACCTGGCCTCAGTTTATATAATTTTACCTTGAGTTTCTTCAAAAGAGGCAAGCTTGTTTTCTTTTGCTTTGTTTTTCTAAAGGACTTTGTATATTGTTTTATAAAATCAGTAACTTTGGCTATAGGTATATATTTGTTTTTGAGATGGAGTCTTGTTCTGTCACCCAGGCTGGAGTGCAGTGGTACAATCTCAGCTCACTGCAACTTCCGCCTTTCGAGTCAAGTGATTCTCCTGCCTCAGCCTCCTGAGTAGGTGGGACTACAGGCCTGTGCCACCACGCCTGGCTGATTTTATTTATTTATGTATTTTATTTTTTTAGTACAGACAGGGTTTCACCATATTGGCCGGAATGGTCTCGAACTCCTGACCTCGAGTGATCTGCCTGCCTCGACCTCCCAAAGTGCTGGGCTTACAGGCATGAGTCACCACGCCTGGCCCTTTGGGAATATTTACTTTTCTTGTATCTGCTCAATCAAAAGTATCAGGTCTTCTATACGGATTTCTCTTGTATTATTATGTTTCTACTCTAACACACCCTATAGCATTAACTATAAAATATTACAAAGTTTTAGCTATAACCGTGTTTTAATCTAATTATCAACCAGAATTGAGCGGTAATATCTGTGTGCACTTTTTGCATGTTAAAGCATAACACCAGGATGGCAGATCCATTCTTCATTTGACATTAAGTTATTTGTCTTTACATTAAATTTTGGCGTCGCTCATTATGTCTTGAGTCACTTCAACAAACTTCTAATTTTATGAAAATCACAGAAAGAAAGGTAGTAGACTTGAAGTTCAAAGACTGGATCAAGGTTGGATTACATTAATTTTTATTTCCATTAAGTAGATAAAACAATCTATCTTCGTAATATGCAATGTACTTTTGAGGTTCAAATGAGAAAACAATAGAAAAATATTACTCTAAACTAGAAGATTAATATTACAGTGTTACGAATGTTTTTATTGTACCTAAAATTAAAAATGCCAGCATTTTCTTCCTATATTCTTTGTCATCTCAGCAGTTCAGTAAACTTCAATGTAATATTTTAAACAAATTTTATATGAAAACCAATATTAAAATATATTTACCTATCCTTTTATATGTGCATGAGGTATATACTTTTTAATTTGCAAGAAAATAAATTATTTTCCATATTTATTTAAATCATTTTATTAATAGATTAGCACAGGTATTACTTAATGATTCTGACTTACAGGGAGAGAGAAAAAAGTTTTTTTTATAAAATTAGGGTGTTTTAAAACATAATAAGGCAACAGCATATTATGACTTGCAGTTGTAAATCTCACAAAAAGACAGCTCCACTGACTCTTTACCTTGTAGTTCAGTTTTACCTTTTCATTTTAAGATGTTCATATTATGTTCAATTTCCTCTTCCATCCTCTATTGAATTTAGTGTCCAGGTTATTTTCATTTCTGTAACTCATCACTATTCATCAGGAATTATTAGTGGTAGTATTTTCTGCTTAAGCAAATGTGCAACAAATTTAAAACCAAAGAAGCTGATCATGAAGTAATCCTAGAAGAAAACATGGTTTTCAGATTTTCCACAGCCTGCACAATAAATTAGGTTGAAGACAGAAAGACTTTTACAGGGAAACTCAACAACACATGTAGAAAATATAGATTTTCGCCTGGGTGCTCATGTTTCTAGATTGTATTCATCTAATGCTAACATACTTGATTCAACCTGAGTGCTTTTGGCAAATGGAAATAACTGGGTACCAAATGCCTACCTGTTGCCTCTTTATAAATTACTAGACATTGTTCACTCATCCCTGCATTGTCTTATAAATTTTCACTCATTCTCATACCTAAAACAACGTATAATTACATCTTAGTAGTTGTTTTTCTTACAATTTAACCTAGTGGCTTCAAATATAAACTCAGCAGCAAGAAAAAAGGAAAAAGTACTCTTGTTAGCATTTTAGCATTTGTCAGACTCGACCATGTTGGAAATTACCCTCTAATTATTACAGAGCCTTGACTATGTTGTTTGAAATGAATGCAACAGTGTTCATAATCTTGACTAACCATGCTGTCCATGGTCTTTGAAAGATGGCATATTTTCAAATATCCCAGACTGGCTCACAATGCTGTCATATGTCACACTGGATTACCTTAGCCAGCTTGTGTTATGTTACATCAAGGATGTGACTAACATTAACCACATGTAATACAGCAGAGCAGTGCTATCCGCCAGGGAAATTTCAAAATGGCACAATTTTAGAAACCAGAATTTTAGACATTTCTGGTCATTAAGAAAAAAAAAGGCATCTTTAAATTGTTTTAAAAGAGATTTCTATTTTTTTCACTCTCACTTTCAAAGGAGCTGGCAGTTATAGGCAAAGCACAACTTGCTATACTCAGTATTGCAAATAAAAGAAACTGTAATATCAAAGCAATGTAGATTCAAAATATTCAAGTGAAACTTAAATGTAAGTACTTTAGAAAACAACATTCAATTGAAATTTTGCAAATTAAGTAAATAACTTTAATAAAAGAGGAAGCAAATGATGTGTGATTTAACTTTACCTCAGGTTCCACAGGTTTCATTTTGTAAAATGATTATATATTTATGTATCTTTCAGGGAATAAATTATTTTGCTTATCAACAAAATAAAGCAATTATTTGCTTACCAACAAAATAATCAGACCAACAGTGCAAATTATATTTCTAATATATGTAATCTAAATTTATACAAATCAATGAATAAAAATTAGGTATTTAAAATACTGTTAACAGTAGCATGTAACTAATAATGTTTATAGTTGCATGTAACTAGTAATGTTACCTTACAGGGTTCAACAAAGTCCTAATAGTCTATCACTCTTCAAAGATACTAAGACTTGCCATGAAGCCACTAGAGTTCATTGCCAGTAACAGGAGCAAAAATTCCAGTGAAAAAGATTCTGGCCTGATTAATGTCCACATGTATAGTAGAGATACAGACCAGCTCTGCTTTTTCCGAAAATGTAATCAGCAAGAACATGGTCTCTCAGTTAAGCTTATTCAAGGATATGCCAGATTAACCACCTGTATAAGTAGATACACCCCACCCCTTTCAAATTGGAATTTACAAATACTTCATACCTTTTAAAATTCTTTTGTTTCCAGTAAACTTAATCTTAAACCACTTGGAAATCTCTAACTCTTTTGGCTTTACTTCTCTGTCTACCCTGGATCCTACTTTAACTGAAAGTCTCAAAATAGTACTGAAAAATAATGTTGCGTTCCTGTTCTTGTTACCCACTTTTATATCCATGACAATTATTCCAATTAAAGAAAATTATTTGAGCCATATATATTGGAGCCAAATTAAATTTAAGGTTTCTTGTCTCAGTAGGGTTATATGGTTTTCTTATTACTCTGCATTCTCTTCCTACTTACTATCATTTAACGAGTGTTTCTCAAAAAGGTGTGGTTTTGCACCCCTGTGGAATATTTGGTAAAGCTGCAGACATTTTTGGTTATCATGACTCAGGGGTTGCTACTGACATCTGTGAGCAGAGGCTAGGGATGCTCTAAACATTCTGCAATACACAGTATCACCCTGTACAATAAAAAATTATTCGGCCACAATGTCAGTGTTCCAAGGTTGAGAAACTTTGTCTTGAGCTTCAATTATACCACCTATATGACTATGCATTAAAATTTTTACTGCAAATAGCTCCTTTGAATCTTTGGTCCTTGTATTCAGTTCTCTATATAATATCTCCACTCGCGTGTCACAAAGTTGTTCAAACTCAACTTGTCACAAACTAATCTTAAATTTTGTTCTATAAGTCTTCTACCTCAGTATTATTGAATAGCATCACTACCCACTACCTAGTACCACAGCCAGACACTATGCCACCCTTCCCGTCTTTCTTCCCCATCCACTTGCCCAATGCATTACAGAGCTCTACCATTCCCAAAGCCTAAATATTCTCTAATGTGTCCACTTCTTTCCGCTATAATGTCAAACACCGTAAGCAAACCACCTGGACTCCCCAGATCCCAGATCCATTCTTAAATTTCCTGAGTCCATTCACCAAATGCCTCCGGAGTGTTTTTTTGTTTATTTGTTTGTTGTTTGTTTTTGAAAGCTTGACTCTCATCATGCCACCCTACTTTCTACCATATGCAGACTTAAAAAACTCAATATTCTGTTCTTGTCCCTGCTTGCCACTCCAGTGTTCATTTTATCTTTCTTCAGATTTCTCCTTTATTTAGATAATCTCATGCTTCACATGTAATTTCATTAATTTCACAACACACATATTACCTTTCAATAATTATTCTTAACATCTTAAATTATTTTTACTGATATTTATAATAATTTTTTAACTTAACTCAGAAAGTTAGAAGTCATCACCATCCCTTTTAGCCAACGTCTTCTTCGTTCTTGAGTTCAGCTTTTTAGAATGTATCTTTTTGTTTTTCTAAATGAAGCATAAGTACTATATTTTCCATGTATCTATACATGTAAATATGTATTCTTATTGTCTTATACATTAGTCTAGTGATCACATTGTTGGCCATAATATTTTTTTAATCTTCATTTTTTTTCTGATACTTTGTACTATAGAGAGGTCAGAAACTAGACTTATTTTTTTTGGTAGGTATGTTTTTTCCTGTTTATAGGGATTATTTTAAAAATTATTAAATGTAATTACATGTAATTAAAATAGTTTTCTAATATATGTCTAGTTGAATGTCTTTTCTAATATTAAAAATGATCATGATGAGAGATTGTTGATTAAATCCTTAGTATAAGTCAAATACTAACTGTTTTATATACAGTATTTAATCTTCAAAATTACCATGTGAGCTCATTACTTTGTTATCCCCATTTTACCAATAGGAAAACTGAAATTTATAAAGGTTAAGCAGTTTCCCCAAGGATGTGCAAATAGGGCTTAAATGAGGCCGTAAGACTAATTCTTGCTAATTGAACGACGGTAAAAGTAATTTGTCATTTTGTGGAGAAGACAAAACAGACTGTGTCTTCCCACAGTCTCTCTCATCAGCTTACCAGTTGTTTTTTGACACCCAGGGTGACTTCGAAAGCCACTGTCATAGATGAAAGTGCCTCTATCAATGACTCCATGAACGACTGCATGGAACAGAAGTCCTTCTCAACTCCAACCAGAAATACCTACATGGAATTTCTAGGTGAGTGAAACATAAATCTGTATTATGTTAAGCTTCTGGGCAGGGCACGGTGGCTGACACCTGTAATCCCAGCACTTTGGGAGGCCGAGGTGGGCACATCACCTGAGGCCAGGAGTTCGAGACCAGCCTGGTCAAAATGGTGAAACCCCGTCTCTACTGAAAAAAACAAAAATTAGCTGGACGTGGTGGCAGGCACCTGTAATCACAGCTACTCAGGAGGCTGAGGCAGGAGAATCGTTTGAACCCAGGAGGCAGAGGTTGCAGTGAGCCGAGATCACGCCATTGCACTCCAACCTAGAGGACAAGAGTGAGACTTCATCTCAAAAAAAAAAAGCTTCTGAAATTTTGCAGTTTAGTATTGCTTCTCTCTAAATATTTATTAACACAGTCAAAAACATAAAATAAAGCTACACATTTAATCTTTACTGGGTAAAATAGGGTGTGCCATAAGTGTTCTTTCAGTGTGTGTTAAAGGAAAATACAGTTTACTTTAGATAGAGAATTAACTATGTTGGACTGGCATTGGTAAGGTATCTGTTCTGAATGGTTTTCCTAGTGACAGTATTAATATAGCCTATTTATTCCTATGTGGAAAGATTACAAACATCAAACATTTGCATAACAAGCATATTCATAGCTAAGTATATAAAAGTCAGAATATGCTGAGGATCTTCAGGTTGATTATAACATTTTTGTATCCAGTAGGCACTTTGCGATATTTAAAAGTATACTATTTTTATTAAAAAGTTAAAATGCTTAACCCCTTTAACCTCAATTTCAATTATGGTAATCCATTCAAAGCAAATTATGCTAAAACACATAGAAACATAAAGATGTGCACAAAAATATCTTTCAGTTATAAGATTAGTTCCTGTAAAAATTGGAAACAAATTACATGTCAGGGAAAGGGGCATATATTAAGGAAATCATGGCACTAATGTTTTTGTTTAATTATCCATCCATTTTGTTGTTCAGAAGTATATAGCTCCATACATACAAAGACAGTAAAATATAAAGACAGTGAAATTGATGTGTACTAAATTGGAGCTTTGGTGTAATCTTGCCATATCTGCATCTCAGTTTGTTCTGTTCATACGCCTATATGGGTGTATATGTTTGTATTTATATCTCTATTCCAAGATTTTCTCTTGTAGCCTTTTTTATCTTTGTTGTATTACATTTACTAAAATATTTATGTTTATTGCTTAAAAGGTGAATGACACAAAATAATTATATAAAACTATCGCCATGTTTATTTTAAGGAGTGGGTTGAGGATTTTTTTTATTACATCATAATGTGTCCTTTTTACTAGGAGTCATAAAAAAAATCCCTCCAATTCCAGGCATAACTGAACTGCTCATGTGCAAGAATTTAATTTTCAATTTGGACTAAATCGAGTAGTTGATGGTCTCTACTTTGGCTTCTAGGAAGCTGAGAGCTAAAATCAGGGCTTGTTTCTAACGTGTGCAGGATTTTGTGGCACATGTTTTATGTTCTGAATTCCACCTGGCACCATTCTCATTTTTAATCCTTATTTTACTTTTATTACATTTTCATCATTTTCGATGAATTATACATAATTCTAGTGTTGGGTCTTAGCAGTACCTACTTTAGGGAACAGGAAAATCTACCTTTAAAGCCTGCTGATAACCACATTGAGCAATAGGTGGGGAGAAAGTTACATTCCTGCATAGTTAAGACAAAATACGTTCTACGATGAAAAAGCACATATTTATTACCGAATTAACATCACTTTTACTTCTTATTTGTGTTCATTCATTGTGCACTGAGATTTATTTTCTCCAATCAGTTATTTTAATCGAGGTTATGCCTTTTCTTGCAAACTGTAGACCTCAGAATCCATAAGTAAGATGTAAAAACTAGGAAGCAGGCATGAAGGATCTTGTCAGCACATGTGTTAAATTTAGTTGTCTAAAATGAGATACTAGCTACATTTATTTATTTAAATCTTTATTTTTAATGGAGATGGCAAGGCACAGACTCTGGGCTTATACTGCTTGGTTTCAAAACTCACTTCCCGAAGGCCATGTTTCATCTTTCCTGGATCACTACAGTGACGTATTACAGTTGTACAGTTCCCAGTCTGGCCTTGGCTTGCTCAGATAAAACTTTGTATGTATTTTGTATGGCATAGATTCTATATTGTAATGATGTCCTATGCAAAAAGAAAAATTAATGAAATTGTAAATTTTATTGTTTTAATGTGTATGCATGTTTAGTGATGTTTACATTTTGAAATAAAATTTATGATTCATTATTTAAAAAAAAACAAAACTCACTTCCACTATTTAGTAGTTGTGATGCTTAGAACAAACTATTATGTAGTCTCAATTTTTTCATCTGTCAATTGGGAATAATAGTGTCTATCTCAAAGGTACTTTGTGAAGTCTAAATAAGCTAATATGTTTAAAAGTGCTTAGGATGTAGTTTGGCACTTCATCAGCATTGTATGTGTTAGTTATTATTTGTCTCCTTGCAATTAAAACATAGTTTCAAGATGCTTGATACTAACTGTTAAGTAAGAAATCATTGAATGAGGTATGCTCAATTTAAGTATACCTACTAACTGACTGAATCTGGAGAATTAGCTCTTATCCTTTGCCAATTATAAATTGTAGCTAATGTTACTGCTTTACACAAAACACTAACTAGTGTTCACAGCAGGGAAGAATAGTTAGCAAAGCCTCCAATTAGAGTTTTGTTTATACTTCCACTGGGAAAGATGATTTGTTAGTTTAAAAGATACCTATTGTGTTGATTACAGGTGTCAGCACATCCAAATTTTGGCTGTGCTCAAATACCTGCTGTGAGATGTAAGACAAGAAAATCAAGCCTAATTGTTTTAATTCAAACATATTTTCATTTACAACTGTGCTGATTGCTTTGACCCTTGGCTGAGTAACTTATTTAAAACTAATGTTTTTAACTACAAAAGTAATTTGACCTAAATTGATTAATTTCTTATTGCTGTCTTTGCTACTGAAAATAGCTTACCTTTAATACATAAGCATCCAGTATATTTATTACATTTATTTTTTATGGAAATAAATTAGGAGTTCAATTCACCTTTAGAAGGGGGTATCATGTATATGTGGTTGTGGGCATGACTGGCACATTTTTAAGTTCAAAGAATTCAGGAATTAACACTCTAAATTACTCAGGTAGAACACATAAAAGAAACTACCAAAAATGAATTAAGATTTTTAAAAAACGCCATCATAGATCCCTCAACATGTAATCTTTATTCCTGGGTATGAGTGTGGGATGGATTTGAAGGGGCAATGGCTGACTACCTTCATGCAAAAAGAAGCTAGACTGTGACACTTCTAGATGTCTTGATTTCTATGAGACCCCCAAAAAGTTATTACAGGCAAATGCACAAACTTAAAGTGAACCTACAGACATGGACACGCTATATTCCCTTTATAATCCCACAATATGCTTAAGGTATTTAATATTTTATTTGTTTTTTAACCAGCTCTTCAGAATTTAGTTCCAAAAAACAAAATCATGCAAATATTTTAAACTTCTTCACAATGATACAAGCTATTTATTACTGCTGCTATTTTATTGAAAGAATAGAAATGGAAAATATTAGATAAGTGAAAAAAATTAACAAGTGTACTAAACTAATATTTCTCTTTTTTTTCTTATCTTTCAACAAAATGCCTATCTCTTTCATTAACTTTAACTTTCGGGACTCTTAGCTTGGCTTATAATAAAATAAACAACCTAAGGTTGTCTTCCCTGTCTAAGTTAATTTGAATCAGAAAAGAATATTTACCTTTTCTTGGAATTTGTGTGATTCAAGGTTAGCCTATTTTGGAAAGACTGAGTGAGGCAAACCTAATCCTTTTCTGAAGCTCATTAATTGGAAGCAGGACCACACTGCAATAGCCTTTTCTAAACTGAGGGGAACAATTAAGAATTTAAATGAGGTGAAAACTCCAAAACAAGATTCTCCCAGTGGCCTCTTCTGTTTATACAGTAACACTCTAAATAAAAAGCCGACACCATCCGTGTTAAATTTCACTAGTTAACTGATAAGCTGGAGCGGAGAATACATTGACACTCTGGGTAGTCCTGTCAGTCACTCAGGCAGAGTCCATACATAATGCATGAGGATTTCCACTTTATTAGCAATGCTATTTTTTTAAGTCAATGGATGAATAGATAAATTGATAGACAAATAGAGAAATAAAGGGGCTAGACATTCAATTTAAACTCCCCTTAGTATTACTATCGGATTTGGAGATTTAAAATATTATTTAAGCTTCTCCAAGTGAATGAAAATACACCAGCATTTTGTACTGTGTCTATGAAGATCTGGAATGCATAACATTCCTTGTAATTTTGCAATTGACCACAATGTCACAATCTTGCACTATTTCAGCTGTCTCCACAATGAAAACCAAATTGTAGGTTAAAATTACTTGCATAATGGAATGAAATTCTTGCACTAGTACTTTAAGCCTTGTCTAGATTTTAAGCACTCACTTAACCACAAAAATTTTTTTTCATCAGTTATAACTAACCAGTAAATTTCTCAAATCCACAAATTAGTTACTAAATGACTTTTTGGCATGTTTGGGCAATAAAAAAGAATAATTCCAGTGCAAAGCACGGTTCATCATCTTTATTCAACTATGTTTCAATGGAGAAAAACACCAATATCTTTTACGCTGAAGCGTCTGAACACAGCTCAGAAGCACAGAAGGACAACTACTTTTTCCAAGGAGGCATCAGGGTATGTCAAAGGAGCATGGACCTTGAGTTATGACACCTGGAATCTAGTCCCTGCTCTGCCACTAGCCAGTTGAGGAAACATGGGCAAGCCTCTGGGACACCACTTTGTCATGTGAAAAATGAAGATGTTAGATGATCTCGTCTATTCCTTCTATCTCAACTCGATGAGACCACAATATTTGAATTATTTATGCACAAACGGTGGCATCCACGCCTGTAGATCTGGAAGACTCACTGGCCTTCCCTTTACATTTACATGCAAACTGCCCAAAAGATGAGTCTGCACAAAAAATCTTCAAGTTCACCTCTGTCTGCATTTTTTGTCCTTTTCATCTAGAGCATAATGTAGAGTCTGTAAATTACATGTAATACGGTGCAAGACTGTGGTACATGATCACATGTGTTTGGGGGGAGTTATATTAGATTTTCAAAGGAATCTATGACCTTAACTATAATGTCTATCTTAATCCATCTATAAGATCTAGCCACAATATAATCCCATCTCCTACCACAGTTTCAAATATTTCTTTTTAAATAAGATTTTCTTTTTTAAATTTTTTTCTTTTGAGTGCAGGGGTACAAGTGGAGGTTTGTTACACAGGTAAACTTGTGTTGAGGGTTTGTTGTATAGATTATTTCATCACCCAGGTATGAAGCCTAGTATCCATTAGTTATTTTTCCTGATCCTCTCCTTCCTCCCACCTTCCAACCTCTGAAAGGCCTCAGCGTGTGTTGTTGCCTTCTATGTGTCAATGTGTTCTCATCACTTATCTCCCACTTGTGCCTTAAATAAATGTTCTGTTTTTATATTTTTAAATTCTAGAGCAGAAACTTTAATCCAATTCTTTTTTACTTCAAAACCTTAGTTATCTTATGGGGATATAAATCCCAATATTAACTTGAAAATCTTCTTTAGTTCCTAACGCTTTAGCTCCTACAATTTAAGCCACAAGGTACTCATTTCCAAGATGGAGACTATTCCTTGAAATATTGACTATTCATTCAAATATTTTGGAGCACCCACTATGATCCAGTAATGCTGTGAAGAGGCTTGTTATTTGAATAAGATAGTTAAGCAAAGCCTTTTTGATTAGGTGCCTTTAAGCAGAGACCTGGAGCTAGAAAAAGGGTGAACCTTGGAAATGTAAGACGGAAGAACATTCCAGGCAGAAGAAAGACCAAGTAATAGGACCATAATGGTGAAGCCTTCTCAGAGTTCCAGGAATAGCAAGAAGTACATCCTGGTAATTAAAAGGGGTACAGAAGTTAGAGGATACCAGAGGAGTAACCAGGCTTTTTGCTAAGGACTTCGACTTTTTTATTCTGAGGGTTGTTAGCAGAGGAGTGCTATAATCTATCATATGTTTTAAATAAATAACTCTGCCTGTTGTGTGGATCATAAATTGAAAGCGGGCAAAAGTGAAACAGAGAGACCATTTAGGGAAAAAAATTGTATTAATCTAGATGGGACAGGATGCTGGTTTATATCAGGATATAGTAGTGAATATGATAAATGAATTCTGGATATATCTTGAAGGTAGAGTTACTGGATTTCCTTATCGATTGAATGTAAAGCATGAGTGAGGAAAATAAGTATAGAGCAACCCTTTTTTTTTTTTTTGCCACCTCAATAACTGGAAAAATGGAGTTACCATTTTCTAAGATGCGGAAAGACTGCCAAAAGGCTTGTGGGTGGAGAAACTGAAATAAAAACTTTGTCTTTGAACATCTTAAGTTTAAGATATCTATTAGATATGCTAAGTCCCAGGAGAGTCTAGCCAAGTACATTTATGTAGGTGTCTTTAACAACATAACAATTGTGCTTCAAGTCATAGGACTGGATGTGAAATTACTTAGGGAATGAGCATAGTTAGAGAAAGAGAAAAAGAAAAGAGGGTCAATCACTGCACTTTGAAGCATTCTTACATTTACTAGTCAGAGATATAAGGTAAAATCAGGAAAGGGACTGAAAAGTGACTCATTAATAGATGGTGACACGAACTAATAGGTATATAAAATTGTAACATTTTAAAAAGAAATGCCTTGCGTATTGTGAATCCTCAATAAGTAAAAGTTACTTATTGAAAAGCTTATGAATAAGCTGCACTCATAATAACTTCTCTAGGCTAAGTCTAAAATTTTAACATCAATTGCCCATGGGCCCTTGCTATCTAATTGTTCCACTAATACCTCAAACTCAATGTTTAAAATTGAGCTTACTCACTTTCCCTGTAAACCAGATGCTTCAATTGTGTGCACTGTCTTGGTTTTGAGCATCAATGCTCTCCAGACAGGGTAAAGTAAATTTAATTTCCAAAAAGAATTTTTCATGTTTACACGGTAGTTTCGCTTAAATGAAAGTTCTCATGAACACACTTTCTGAAGCATGAGTCCAAACTTCTGGATTTCTTAACCGTGCATTCAAGGTCCTCAGCGATTTGCACCAAACCTTTTCCAAGCTCACTTCACATTCCTACTTGCTTTTAAGAATAGCCTGCTCCACTTTTAGATGGGGTTGTTTGCTTTTTTCTTGTAAATTTGTTTCAGTTCTTTGTAGATTCTGGATATTAGCCCTTTGTCAGATGAGTAGATTGCAAAAATTTTCTCCCATTCTGTAGGTTGCCTGTTCACTCTGATGGTAGTTTCTTTTGCTGTGCAGAAGCTCTTTAGTTTAATTAGATCCCATTTGAAAAAGTGGGCGAAGGATATGAACAGACACTTCTCAAAAGAAGACATTTATGCAGCCAACAGACACATGAAAAAATGCTCATCATCACTGGCCATCAGAAAAATGAAAATCAAAACCACAATGAGATATCATCTCACACCAGTTAGAATGGCGATCATTAAAATGTCAGGAAACAACAGGTGCTGGTGAGGATGTGGAGAAATAGGAACACTTTTACACTGTTGGTGGGACTGTAAACTAGTTCAACCATTGTGGAAGTCGGTGTGGCGATTCCTCAGGGATCTAGAACTGGAAATACCATTCGACCCAGCCATCCCATTACTGGGTATATACCCAAAGGAATATAAATCATGCTGCTATAAAGACACATGCACATGTATGTTTATTGCGGCACTATTTACAATAGCAAAGACTTGGAACCAACCCAAATGTCCAACAATGATAGACTGGATTAAGAAAATGTGGCACATACACACCATGGAATACAATGCAGTCATAAAAATGATGAGTTTTTGTCCTTTGTAGGGACATGGATGAAGCTGGAAACCATCATTCTCAGCAAACTATCGCAAGGACAAAAAACCAAACACCACATGTTCTCACTCATAGGTGGGAATTGAACAATGAGAATACTTGGACACAGGAAGGGGAACATCATACGCCAGGGCCTGTTGTGGGGTGGGGGGAGGGGGGAGGGATAGCATTAGGAGATATAACTAATGTAAATGACGAGTTAATGGGTGCAGCACACCAACATGGCACATGTATACATATGTAACTAACCTGCACGTTGTACACACGTACCCTAGAACTTAAAGTATAATAAATATATATATATATATATATAAAGAATAGCCTGCTCCAGCCAACATTAGTAATTCCCTCTTGTCAAGTCTACTGTGTACACTGCTGCCAAGTTATCTCTGTTTAGATTATCTTTCTTTCCATCTCTGTTTGGTTAAATAATATTTAAGACTTTGTGTTGTCACAATATCACAATTCCATTTTCTTGGGATTTTACTCATTCTTTTAGAGCTGACTCCAGTGAAGTGTTATTCACAAGCTTTCTGCAGACTCCATTCAGAAGGGATCTCACTGTCTTCTCAGAGCATTTGCCTCCTTCCTGGCTTACGACATATCCAGTTTGAACCCATATCTTCTTTAAAATTACTTAGGCATGGCCTCATATACCTTCTAGATTTTAAACTGCTCCAGAGGCCATGAATACTATCTACCAACTCTAACACCTTTCCTAAGTATTTTTGTCAAAATTCTGTCTCAATTTTTACAAACTTTACTTGTTGAACCGTATTCACTGTATATTAACTGCCTTACTTTACAAAATGAAGCACCGATGCCTAGCAAGCTTAAACTACCCGCTCAGGGGCCACATACTGACCTTGGTATAAGGTCAGTTCACTTTTTCTTCCCATTCTACCACAGTAAATACAGATAATAAATAATCACATATTTGATTAACAGAGAAGAATATAAATATTTTAAATGGTAAAGAATAGTGTCTGACTTTATAGTATCCCAAATCAACAATGCTGTCAGTTCTTGAAAAAGGTATGCATTACCAAATTATGTTGATAAATATATATACCTACCCAGTTGTACCCTAAGAAAACCAGTAGCATCTATTTTGTAAAATTACTTGCAAAATATAGTTTTATCATTTCACTTTCTAACTTTTTTAACAAAAGCTTTATTGAAGTGTAAATGACATAGAAAAATGCACATATTTACACAATTTGATAGGTTTTGATATATATTTACACCCATAAAAGCCTAACCACAACCAAGATTGTGAATATATCCATCACCCTCAGTAGTTTTCTCATGCCTCTTTTTAATCCTTCCATCCTCAGCCTTCCAGTATTTGCCTCACGCAAACCCCAGCAACCACTATTCTGCTTTCTGTCACCATAGAAGAGTTTTCATTGTTTTGATGTTTTATAAAATTGGTCTATATACCCTATACTTGTGTTTTCTGACCTCTTTTACTCAGCATAATTATTTTGAAATTCATTCATTTCATTGCATTTCTCAAAAGTTCATTCTTTTGTATTGCCGTAAATAGTATTACGTTGTATGGGTATACCACAGTTTGTTTCTCCATGCACCTGTCGATGGAAATTTGAGTTGTTTTCAGTTTTTGGTTATTAAAATAGAGCATCTAAGAACATTAATGTACAAGTTTTTATATGCACATATGCTTACTTTCATGTGGGTAGCTACCTAGTAGTGTAATAGGCAGATCATATATCTGTACGTGTAGCTATTTAAAAAATTGCCCCAAGTATTTTCCAAAGTGGTTTTACTATTTTCCCACTATTTCCAGCAGTGTATGGGAGTTTGAGATCTTCCACAGCCTTGACTCAACTTACTTAATTTAATTAGTCTTTTGAATTTTAGCCATCATGAAGTGTACACTAGTTCACCTTTTAATTTTTAAAACACCGACTATGTGCCAGGCATTGGCAGTGGGAATATAATGCTTAATAATATGTCCCTTCTTTCACAGATGTGACAGTCAATGAGAAAATAATAATCAAACTCATAACTTCAAGTACAATGTGGTAAACCCTTCAATACAGGTACAGAGAAATTCTTTTAGAAACATAGGGAAGTGAAGTCAAAGAAAGATTATGGAAAACTTTTAAAGATTTAGAATTAGAAAGATACCTTGACTCAGCTAGATATGAAAAAGTAAAGATGCAAACGCATAAAAGATGATGGCATTTTTAGAGAAGGGGAAAGACGTATGTGGATAGTCCATTAGTAGTGAGGATATAGTTGGTCAGAATGGTAGAGAGTAGATTTCAAAATAATTTACCTACCCTGCTATGGAGGTTGAGTATTTTTGAGGCTGAGGACAGACATTTCCAGATCTGTGCTTTTAAAAACAAAACAAAACAAAACAAAGCAAAACAAAAAACAGAGAAAGCTCTGAAGAATGGCTAAATTTAAAAAAGAATGTGAGCAGAAAGACACTTAGCAGGCTAAGGCAATGGTCTAATCAAAAGAAAATGATGAGGCTTTAATGTATGCTTTAGTTTCCAAATAGAGAAAAACTATACATGATGTGTTTTTTTGAGCCATATATAATTTTAAATTCCCCCCTCCCGTAATAAAGGCACTGATTTCCCAAAGGACCAAAACTCTTTATTATACACTTATGATGGAATCCCCTGAGTAGGAAAGTTTTTGAATTTTTAGCATCCATTTATTCTTTTAGAGATTTCAACAGCTATTTAGTCTCTTAATAAGAAAAAACCCCCACAAAACTGAAAAACTCCTAGCACAAGTCTTTAGAGAGTTTACAGAGGGTATTCATTAGGTTATATACATCTTACCGTCCAGCACCACATTCTCTTCTGTAACTTCATTAAGTAGGAATAATTATTCTTGCAGTATAGTTGAGATTTCCATGGAGCAAAAGCCACAGCATATGGTTTGACTCCGATCAGTCCCCTTAATAAAAAAAAAAAAAAGTTTAAGTTAAAGTGGCGTATGGTATAAATTTATAAGCAATATTACTGCCTGGGGCATATAAAAATTCTATCATTTGTGGCTAAAAATTGTAAAAAGGCCCTTTTCACAAGTTTTATTGTTCTATAAGAATGAGAAGTAATTTTATAGTATAATAAAATGGCTACATGTAAGTATTACCAAATCCATCTTAATATGTCCCATATACAAAAAGGAGTTGAAACATATTTGTATCCTTCATTTACATGCATTCTGAAGTATGGCATAAACATAATCCTAAAAATGCTTCTCATACATAAAATAGGATATGTTGCCCTACAGCAATGGTTATTAACTTGTTTTTGTATTGAAAAGAGTATCTACCCGTCTTCTTTTACTTGCAAATACTGAGCAAGTCTGCAGTGAACAACTGTATTTTGCCTGTTTGCATTCATTCAGTGAATATTTACTGAGTTTCTGTCATGTGCAATACACACAGATTAGCCAAGTAGAATCTGTCCCTGACTTCATAATGCTTACATTCTTAGTATATCATTTTTAATGCACTTTGTACCATTATGGTTCTTTAATACCTCTCTACTTCAGGGTTTTCCAAACTCGGCACTATTGATGTTTGGGACAGAATAATTATTTCTGTAGAGTATTGTCCTGTGCAGTGAAGGATATTTAGCAGCATCCCTGGCCTCTACCAACTAGATCCTGCTAGTGCCCCTCCCCCAGTTGTGTCAAACAAAAATGTGTCCAGATATTAAAAAATATATCCTGGGGGACAAAATCAACCCCCATTGAGAATCATTTCTGTCCTCAAATAAGAAGACAGAGTTGTGCTTTCCACTCTAAATAATGTTGTTTTAAAAACTTAAGTAAATTTTAATCCAAAACTATTTCTAAATGATGCCCAAAATCTAAGTAAAAAGTAAAATAAAAAGTTCATTACATTGCTATTGCCTAAAATGTCAATGTTCCTTAACATCTTGATATTTGATGTTATGTAGCCAAACAATCAGGTGACTAACTGAATGTGCCTTTGTTCATGTGGAAATGAAGGCAAGTTTTTCTTTTGAAATTCATTTCTTTATAATTATTGTTTTAAAGGATACAGCATTTATTTCATTTCTCTTCTAAAATCTCAGAGTAGCTGAACAATTGTAAAACAAAATGTATATTCAACAAACATAAACAGTTATGTGATGCAAAATGCCTACACTGCAACATTAAATTATTATATTAAATTTAACTGAATCAGTCAGGACAGATCATGGGTAATCATATATAACAAAGACCTGTTGATTTTAATTGAATGACCAACTCATTTTTCCAAGTATTGAATTCAGCTTTATACTTGTGAAAAAACACAGCTTTTGAATTTTGCATAACATGTTTCATAATATTCATAAAGTTTTCCATATATCAGGTAAGCGTCTCTGAAAACTGACTCTGAGTTATTCAACTGAATCTAAGTTAAATAACTTTCTGGTAGTAAAAGTGGGAAGTTAATAAAAGAGGAATGTTAAGAAAATGTTGATCACATTCTGCAATTTGAAATAGGGTATAATTTTTCTTCCATTCTTTTTTATCCTTTTAGAAGTTAACAATAGCATAGACCTGCTTTTGTTATGTAGGCAAAGTAGTATTTTAATTTTACTTTTAGCTATACGAAGTGGCTATATCTTCAAATTGTCTGTTAAAATACGAGATCTATTTTGAAATCAAGCATTATTTAAATTAATTCTTCCATCATCATTACGTGCTAATACAAAATCAAGGTTAACCCCTTCATAGTCAATTTAATTTTATAAATGGACTGACTGATAAACTTCCTTCTAGGCTTTCCTAAGAAAATCAATGTCAACTTATTGATTCAGAAGCATTCTTTATTTACTTCAATGGGCTAAGATTACAATCAGAATTCAGTCAACAAGAAAATAAGGTACCATAATCTCCCTTGGCCTAAGGTTCCTGCTATACTGTAACAAGGGAAACCCACAGTAGTTTTTCAAGAATTCTTACTTAGGAAATGTGTCAAAATCAGTCTTCATAGATAACTTATGTGTTATATTTTTTTCTTATGCTCATTTTATCTTATGTTGCCATGGAGAAGTGTGGTGATAAAAGGGAGAAATTTGAAAATAGGGTCAGTTTGTCGTCTGATCCATTCTGCTTTGCTGAATTGTATAACTCTGTGGCTGTCATTTACTCTAAACTAAGTAGATAACAATGACCAAGGCAGCTTTATGACACCATGCTATATTCTGAAACTAGATGTAAAGCCACAATCTGTAGATTTTTAATGTTTTAAAAGGTGCTAACATAGCTACATGTTATTAAGCATGTAGTATCCAATGTACATATGAACAGGAATACAACTACATGTTATCAATCATCATTCTATATTTCCTTCTTTCCTAGTCCCTTGAGACAAGGTTCAGACATTTCCTAGCTACATTCTATTGTTCATTTTCTAAGAATGAAGATATTGGAACTGGTTAAAAGCAATAACTTTTACCTATTGATACTCCTTTTTACACCCATAATCATATACAGGAACGTTCTTCTTTGTGACGCTTTATGTCTGTTAAGGTCCCGATAATTGACAAAAAGGAATACATTCTCAACTAAAAGGATAGGTAGCCAGGGTGAAAAAAACAAGAGCTTTATTTGTGAGAAAACTCATGCTTCAAATCCTGGTTCTGCCACTAAACAGCTGAACAATTTATTGCCTTTTCTTGAGTCTTTATTATTTGTAAGTGATAAACTTTGGCTTCAGTTATTAAAATAAGTTATATTATACCCAATTTTTTTTTCTTTTTGAGACAGGGTCTCGCTTTGTCACCCAGGTCAGAGTGCAGTGGTGTGATCTTGACTCAATGCAGCCTCGACCTCCCAGGCTCAATCAATCTTCCCATCTCAGCCTCCAGAATAGCTGGCACTACAGGTGTGCACCACCAGGCCCAGCTAATTTTTGTATTTTTTGTATAGACATGATTTCACCATGTTTCCCAGACTCCAAATTATTATTATAGATAATATATTATAAATTATAATTTATTGTTGAAGATAAATTTATGGAAATTAAAATTAATCAAGGAAGATTTCATGAAGGAGGTAGGGTATATGGATTTGGGGGACTGGAAAGTAGATGGAAAATGAACATTTCTGGAATCATAGGCAAGGCAATGTTTATAGCACATGTGAAAGATAAACATAAAAAACATAAGGAATTTATCAGAATTGTATTATACACAAACCCCTCTCCCATTCAATGTTGTGTCACATAATCCAGCCCACAGCAATAACAAAGTGACTACAAACCTCCCTCATTTCCCCAGTCAGCTGTATTCCTAGGTATTTTATTCTTTTTGTGGTAATTGTGAATGGGATTGTGTTTTTAATGTGGCTCTTGGCTTGGATGTTGCCAGTGTATAGGAATGCTACTGATTTTTTGTGAAATATATTGATTTTGTATGCTGAGACTTTGCTGAAGTTGTTTATCAGCTCAAGGAGCTTTTGGGCAGAGACTGTGGGGTTTTCTAGATAGAGAATAATTTTGTCTGCAAATAGGGGTACCTTTATTTCCTTTCTTCCTATTTGGATATATAAATTATTCATTCTACGATAAAGACACATGCACACGTATGTTCATTGCCGCACTCTTCACAATAGCAAAGACAAGGAATCAACCTACATGTCCATCAACAAAAGACTGGATAAAGAAAATGTGGTACATATACACCATGAAATACTATATAGCTATATAAAAGAATGAGATCGTGTTCTTTGCAAGAACATGGGTGGAGCTAAAGGCCATTATCCTTAGCAAACTAACGCAGGAACAGAAAATCAAATACCACATATTCTCACTTATAAGTTGGAGTTAAATAATCAGAACCAATGGACACAGAGAGGAGAATAACAGACATTAAGGTCTACTTGAGGGAGGATGGTGAGAAGACAGAAAGGATCAGGAAAAGTAACTATTGAGTACTATGCTTAGTAGCTGGGTGATAAAATGGTCTGTACACCAAACCCCAATGAGACAAGTTTACCTGTATTAACAAACTTGCACATGTACTCCTGAATCTGAAATAAAAGTTAAAATAAAGAAACTTATTTCAACTACTGCTTGTCTATAATCTATTCTATATATAATGGACAGAAGGATGTTTTTAAAAACATAATTCATAATACTCCCCTTCTTAGTATCTTTTAATGGCTTTCCATCACAGCCAGAGGAAATTCTAACTTATTGCCCTAGCCTGTGCAGTAGTCTGTGATCTGGCCTCACATTCCTCTGATCTCCTCTCACCCCTCTTTTACCCACTTCGCTCACACTGGCACTCCAGCAATGCATACCTTTATTTCAGTTCTTCCAACACACCCAGCTTATTCCTTCAGGGCCCTTGCATCCTTTGCCTTGAATTTCTGTACAGATATTCATATAATTTATGCCATCTTATCATTCAGATCTCAGCTATTCAAGTCATCTCCACAAGGAGGCCTTAACATTTGCTATTTGTCTTATTCTTGTTAATTTGCTTGGTTATCATGCTATTCCCATCGCGAGGCTCTATGTGTATGAGAATGAGACCAGGCCTACCTTCTCTTTTTGCTACATCCTCAGAGCCTGGAATGAAGATTTATCATGGTTGGTGCCCAATAAATATTTGTTATAGGAAAGAGTGAATGAATGAAAGCCATGAGTACATGGGGATAAAAATAAAAAACAAAAACAAACAAAAAAACACAACAATTCCTTCACAGGGAAGAGATTCCTATGTTGCTGATTCACTTCGTGTGTCTAGGAGGATTTTAAAATCTCATCAAAGTATTTTATATTTCTACTCCTTTGCTTTTAGTTTGCTTAACCCACAGAATGTAAAGGAGAAATACGAACAACAATTTTTTGAGCCAGTTATTTGTATTTTCCATTTCTTGGAACTTAACCAACACTTTTAGAAATCCACATTCAGAACATTTGGATCTATTTACAAAGTATAGTACTTTGAAAGTGATTGAGCAAATACTGAATGTATGGAAGCAAAGGTATATCAAATAATTAAACAACCAGCAAAAGTTCCATACACAGAGGATGACATTTTCATTGGTAGAAAGCAACACCATACTCTTATTACTTAAAGAAAAAGGTGTCTTATTACAAAGCCTATAATTCACTTCCTTTGTGACATTCACTGCAAAGAGCTTATTTCAGCACACGTGTACAAACACCCCCTAATTCACAAATCCTGTTCAGTTACATTGAAAAGAAGGTTTTAAACTGCAAAGTTGTGAATGGGTTCTCTTTCTCAGATATCTCTTGTTTGATTACGATAAATTGGGGTTACTCTAACAACTGAACACACGACATGTTAGGATCTTTGTTCTTACAGCCCAAGACTGTTAATTTAACTACATAGCTTTGACACATCATTTTACTGCTTTGAAGCAAAAAGGCAAGTGGACTTTTTAAAAAATTTTTTAAAGAAGTTAACTTTCAGTAATAAAGTGAGGAAGACATTTTTTGGATTATATCTTCCTTTTGGCTTGTCTATCCTCACATCATCACATTTTCAGAAAGAAGGATTGGCTGGAAGCTGGCTCCAACTAAATCCTCTCTAGTACTGTTTCATTGAAGGATTAGAAAGTGACAATTCCCATCAGGCAGCTGTTTTTTTTCTTTCCTTGCCAGACTCCAGGGCAATCATATGAAACTGAGAGAAACCACAACTCAACTGTTGGCCTTCCACTTAATTTTTCATACAAATTTAAGGTCAGCCTATGGCCTAGCAACCAGTGAGGTACTTCTAACATGGAAAAAGTCACACAATTATGTGGCTATTTTGAATATGATCACTGTATTACCTGACAATTAAAAGCCGGCTTTTCAGTTGGTAGCAGAAATGGAATTCAATGCAATGGTATATTTTGAAGGCTGTACTAATTCTTATAAGAAATTAGCTTTTATTTCCTATGGATTGTAAACTTTTGTCAGTAAGCAGAGTTAATATGTTTGAATTAATTTTTTTTGTAAAAGCATGCATTCCCTTTAGAAATGACAATAATTTCAAATAATCTATTATAGATAAAACATTTATTTATATATATTTATCTTCTTATATAAAGGGAGAACTATGTGTGTTCTTGAATCTGAAATTTCTATTTAAAAACAAAGTATCATGTTATTTTTACTTTTTAATTTGCTGTAGCACATTATGATTTTTAAGTAATTGAATAAAAATGGCTCTAACATAACTTTTTGTTTTCAGGAAACATCTAGGAGTTGCTTACATTTTTAACAGAACCTTGAATACTTTGATTTTGTAAAGGTTGATAACTCTTTTTCCAATTATTCATCTGGAGAGAAACGCAAATATTAAACTGCATTTGCTAAGCTGCTCTTAAGTCTTTTGGTTAACATCTTCTATGAATTGACTATGTGATGCCTGATAGAGTCCTGAACTCTATGTTTTTCTGATGACTAGATTTGCCCTTCAGTAACATTTGCTCATCATCAATATCCCATGAATGAGATGATGTTTCATTGGAAGAAACAGATTGAAAACTTGTGTCTCTTATTTTCTGACATCTGGGTGAAGCTCCCAATGTGATTGTTTTTACTTTCTTTTAATCTTACAAAGAAATGTTAAAATTGAAGGACTGACCTTGTGTTCAAAGTTATTGTCAGAAACAGTGAAGTCATAGGCTTCTGTTTTTAATAATGCCTCACAAAACACAGAGCATCATTAATCATAAATGACTGCAGATTTCCTAGATCCTGGCACTGCTATGGGGCTTGAGCATTTTTAAGAGTCTTATAAATTTGAGCAGACAACAGCCTCATGACATTGCATAAAAATTTAGCTGTGATGGAAAGATGAAACAAAAGTTGAAAGCATTAAAATACTTAGAAACCGAAGATAGTTTTATTGCATTTCAATAAAATATGAGTCTAATTTTCAACTACTTTCAGTTTTTATGTTTCACTAACATATCTATCAATCAGCACCTTTTTATTGAATGACTACAATGTGTTCAGCACCATTTACCACCATTGACAATACAGAGACATGAAAAATTTATTCAAGAAACTTTTTATTGAGCATTTGAGTGTGACATTCTGTGCTGAGTACTTTAGAAGTACTCTGCCTTTTAAAGATGAGAAAGATATTCTTTTCTTCAAGAATCTTATAGCCAGCTATGGAGATGTTATAGACTTAACGTTTTGTCCCCCACCCCCAAATTCATATGCTGAAATTCTAACCCCCAATGTGATGGTATTAGGAGGTGGGACCTTTGGGGAGCAATTAGGTCATGAGAGTGGAGCCCTCAGGAATGAAATTAGTGTCCTTATACCCCAGGGAGCTCTCTAGCCATGGGAGGATACGACAAGAAGACCACAATGTGCAACCTACAGAAGGGTCCTCATCAGAACCTGACCATGCTGGCACCCTGATTTTGGACTTCTAGAGCTACGATAAATAAGTTTCTGTTATTTATAAGCCACCCAGTCTGTGGTGCTTTGTTATAGCAGCCTGAATTAAGACAGAAGGCAATTTTAAAAATATATAACATTTAAGAAAAGTACTAGACAAGTGAAGCACACTGAGGAATCTATCCTTTGGCTCTTAATTTCAGGGAATATTACTTGCTTGAGAAGGGAAACAACGTGGGTCTTAACGAGTAGGTAGGATTCAGATGAGAAGAGAAATAGATGAAGAAGTTATTTCTTAGAGAATAACTCTAAGAAAGGGCATTCATGTAAAAGATGTGTTTTAGGAGAAAGTGAGTCATACTAAAGGGAGATTATGTGGAGGAAATAATGCTAACAAAAATATCTCAGCAATTTTATTATTCAGTTCAATTCAATAAAGTGCATTAAACGCTATGAGTAGACACAACTAGATTCCATAAAGAGTGAAAAATTGAAGAGATAAAACATGTGCTCTCAAGGAAGTTTTAATCAAGAAGGAACTTTTTTTTCAACTATCTCTGCCAAAACTACTCTATTCTGCCACTGCAGTGCAAAGGCAGTCACAGGCAATACCTAAAAAGTATACAAAAAACTCTGATGTGTTGCAAAGAAATATAAAAAGCACTCTTGGTACTTACTGCAGAAATAAGTCATATGTAACCTGAGAGGTAATGGTACTCTTAATGAAGGCGCCATATGAACTAAGTCTTGAAATGTGTATAAAGCAATAATAACAGAATTAGTTTGCGAAGTCATTCCATGTGGAAGGAGCAACCCAGGCACAGGGAGTTGGGAAAATGAAAGGTGTGCTCATGGAAGAGCACATATTCACTTTCATTTGAACGCCTGTAAATGAGGGAAAGAAGCTGAAAATAGAGCTATTTCCCATGGTCTGCTGATATGTACTTAACACCAGCTCTCATAAAATGTATATATACACACAGATTCATGTACATTAATTTATGTTATTGGTGTAAAGGATGTGTAACTCACAATTTTATAAATGATGATAAAATACAGTACTTTTTATTATAATTTCCACGTAGTCAAATAATTCTCACAGAGTACTTTCATTGATATTGATGCACTCTTGTATCCAAAGCCAAACTATAGTTGCAATTAACAACTCATTATAGTTCCAACATGAATATTGGTTGATAGTTTGGCTTACATTAATGAGTAAGATGAGAGTAAAACAATAAAGATGAATGTTGGACATTTATTCATTTTTTTTCAATGACATGCACAACTTTTAAATCATACACATAATAGTTTTTGAAAACTGAAAGAATATTTCTTCAATTTGTTATAATAGTCATAATTTGAGGGCTACACAGAACACATTTTTAAGTTTGATGTGCATTATTAACATTTTTTTCTATTACTTTTGTAAGTCAAGACCAAGGGTTAGCAAATTATACACAGTCTATGGGCCATGTTTGGCCCACCATCTGTTTTTGCAAATAACGTTTTATTAAAACACAGGAACTACCATTTGTTTCCCTGTTAGTTTTGGCTGCTTTCCCCTTGCAATCATAAGCAAACTGTTTCTTAAAGGGCCAGAGAATAAATATTTCAGGGTTGGGAGCCAATTGTCTCTGCCAAAACTACTCTAGTCTGCCACTGCAGTGTAAAAACAGTCATAGGCAATACCTAAAAAATGAACATGGCTGAATTTTAATACAAAAACCAGCAGCTGGTCCACTGGCTATCATTTGCCAACTTTGTACACACTCAAGAAAACAATTCATTTTTATTCCCAATATGCAATATTTTCCCATTTCTGTGGTGTAAATTTTCCCATAATGGTGATTTCAATTTACTAACAACACATTACTGTACGCAGTTAGGAAAAGATGCATAGTATCACACCATAAAGAGTATTTCCACCATACAGATGCAACATATGTTAATAACCTCAAGAGCATAATGGTAAAATGGCAAAATAATTTTAAAGTAATGAATTTTGAAGTTTTATTACCTTTGTTTTTAACAAAAATGTTTAATTCTGTTTATATAATTTAATCTTTCCTAATACTTGTATTTAACAATTGGGTCACAAAATTTCTCAAAATTTAACATTCAGTCTCGGAAAGTGATATGAGCTTTCTCCAGCACACTAATGTCAAACTCAAGAGATAGTGATGTAATTTGCTAGGCCAAATAGAGTATTAGAATCATTTTGAAAATGCAAGTTACATGATTATGATTGTGCTTTAATGAAGATGTATCTGAAAGCAATGTGAAGGATAAACTAAACTGGAGGGAAATTAAAGAACAGGACACAGGTTATGAAGTTCTTACAGTGTTTTAAGCAGATATGACAAGAAATGAAACTATAGTAGTGACAGTAAGAATAGAAAGGAAGAGGATAAGATGTATGAGACTACAGGGAAGTATAACCAGTACATCTTGGCTATTGATTGGATCTGGAGAATGTGCAGTCAGTACAGTTAAAGATTATTTTAATTCTAAGGATTTTTAAAAATCATATGTGATGGTAAGTATGCTGATTTCATTGACAAAAATAGGATTTAAAAAATGTTTTCAAACACTTTATTAAGATCACTATCATATTTTTAAAAGTAAAAATAATTTGATATACAGGAAAGAAAATACACTATTTTCTGGAATATTTGATAATCAAAAAGTTTTGATTATTGATGCCCCATCGCAAAGTGTGGTATTTATATGGATCAGTGTGCACAGTGGAGACCCAAGATTAAATATTCAAGGAAACTGCCTGTTATCATAAATAAAAGGATAAATTAATAGTGAAATGTTTCACTTTTTAGTTAAAACTATTTTATATGAAAACATTCTAACATATGAATGAAAATTAAAACACTTTTAGGTTGCTCTTACTTGAACTATGATGATGAATAAGGGACAAAATCTATGCATATGTCCGTATTAATTGCAGCATTAGTGAAAATTAAAATTGAGTTGCATTTTACGTGAGGTTCATTCCATTGGAATGGAAGAGTGACTAAGAGTGAAGAATCTGAGTCATGAATCTATCACTTATTAGCTGTGATCATTTGAACAAGTCACTTAACCTTTCTGGGCCATAATTTTCTTAACTTGTAATTAAAGAATACGGTAGTATCCCACTAATATCCCCAACAGGTTGCGAATTTCAAGTGAGGCATTTCAAATAATGCCCTTACAACAGTGCTTGGCACAAAGTAAGTGGTGAATAAGTGTTAGAAATTAATATTATTTTATTAGTAGTAATGCGAATAGACTATTCAAACTATACCTTCTTTCAAATATTTGTGACTTATAATTTATCTCTATTCTACCCACGTAAGCATGCGCTATTTTAAACTCGAAGTATCAAGAAATATTCTATACTGATAATATTTTGAATTTGACAAAAATCTTTAGGATAAAGGAAAAAACGGTACTTAAAAATAAGTGTGTAATTTTTGATTAAATATAGGCCCAGGAATTGGGGATTTGGGATCTTTCCCAAATGATCTAATGAGTTGCTTTCTACTGAAGGAAGGCTATATGTTTTCTGCACAAAACAATATTTGCTTTTTGGAAAGGTGAATTCACTCTCAGGGACTGAACTCCCATCTCTGTCTTGAGTCATACAGGTCCATACCTTCTATCCAGACTTCTCTTCTGACCACTGTCAGAAAAATTCACTCAAGTGCCTTCTCCCTTTTGATATTTTACACGCAAATTTAACTCAACATCTCTGAGAATAATTTCATCATATTCCCACTCCACTCTCATACCCCCAATCTTCTCCTCCATTATTTACTAGTGATCCAAGCCAGAAATCTGGGAGTCATTATTTGTTCCATTCTTTCCCTCACTTCACACATTTAATTACTGCCAAATTCTGCATATTTTGTTCTCTGATAGTTCCTTGTATGAATGGTGACAACAGATCCTTGCTAGCCCTGGGAAGTTCTAGACTTTACCTGTTGTTCTAGTTTAAATATGGGTTACACTCTTTCGTGCTCAAAGAAGTTGCAGCTTGATGACAAAATATATCCTACTCATTTTCCTTTTTATCCTTTCAACAGCCAATGACACTACTAAAGTTAAAATCCTAGTCACCTCTTCATGGATTTGTGTGATAATATCCTAAATGATCTCCAATCCTCCAGTCCTTTTTCACTTCAATTAAAAATGTACATTGAAAATTGAATGGTCTTTCCATAAGGTAAATTTGACATTTACTCCCATGCTTAAACCTACAAAGGATTTAACATTTATCTGAGACCAGACAGATAAAACCCAAAATCCTTACATCAGCTATACAGATGTTTCTAATGTCAAACCACTCTTGCCTTTCTACAACAAACTTTTTTATTTTTGTATATAATTTTATTCACTGTTGAATTGAGCTTTTATTTACAATTGTTGAATCTGTATTCATGATTAAGCTAGGCTCATACTAAGTAATTTTCCCTTTATGTGTGTGTGCTGTCAATATCTGTTTTGACATCAAAATGACACTAGCATCACAAAATGAAAGCACTTTTTGAATGTTCCTATTTGGAAAAAATGGTATAAGAAAGGAATTTCCTGATTCATGGAATTTGATGCAATATACCTATGAAACCATTTGTTCCTGGGGTCTTCCTTCATGGCTAATGGCTCATTGTAGCAAAATTATATTCTTCAGAATGTTGTTTATGTTTAATTTCTAGTGCATGTTTTTCAAAACCATCATTTTAAACTTGTCATTCATTACTTGTAAATATCTGCTATCTGTAGTTATTTGTTCATTTTTATTAATTGCTTATACCTTTTTCAGGATAACTATTGAAAACTGATTATTTTGTTAATCTTTTGAAGAAAACAGTTTGTGATTTTCTTACTCTTATTTTTGTATCGTTGTTCTCTATAGTATTCTTTCCTTCCTCTGTCTTTATAATTTACTTTTCTCTTATTTCTTTAGTTTGTGGCTTTCATTTCAGCTTTTCCAGTTAAACTCAATTCATTTATTTTAAAATATTTCTTGCTCTTGTTTATTTTGTATTTTTAACTATTACTTTTCTTAGCAGTGTTTCACAGATTTTGTTTTCTTATTTATTTTTACCATGGTTCAGTTCTAAGATTACACTGTTGCTGTTGTTCTTTGTTTTTTAATGGAATGCTTTGGAGATTCCAGATACATGAGATTTTTTAAAGCTATCCATTTCACTGCTTTATGATCAGACAACATAGTCTGTATGATAAATTTTGGTATTTAATGTTAATTTGTGACATAGAATTTGACCAATTTGTGTTAATGTTTCATTTGTTCTTTAAAAGAATTGGAGGCTTGATCTCCAAGCCTCCAATTAAGACTATTAAAAACTAAGAATTTGGGGGCCGGGTAGAAAGTTAATAGATATGTACAAGTTGCTGAGAGAATAGTTTGAAAGGGAAGTCAAAGTGGAAAAAGAGTCTGTTAATGGGGTTAATAAGGTTTTTTAACAAAAGCTAACAGTAATGAAAAAGGTAAAGGAAAGATACTTCAAAAACCACACCCACACCCACACCCACACAAACACAAACACACACACAACAGAGAAGTAGAAGAAAGATATATAATATGTCACATGGAAATCTTAATATTGACAGTAATGTCAGGCTGAGTCAAGCTATTTGCATGGTTATCTCCTCATCCTTCATGTCTCACCTTAAGTTGGCGTCCCCAGGAAACAATTCCCTGACTATCTAATCGAAAGTAGGTCTTCCTATCACTTTCTACCTCAGTACCTAATTTATTTGTTAATAGCAGTTACCACAATTGTTAACTCTTCTACATATTTGACTGTTTTTTAGTCTATCATTTCTAAGTGGCTGGACCTCCATGAAGGAAGATCCAACATCTTTCTCACTGATCATTGTCTCTTGGGTATCTAGGGCTAGACTAAGCACCAAGAGGAGAAAATACGTACCATAAGGAGAACACAGGAGATCTTTGCAATAATGCATAGTGTGATTTGAAATATATACAATAGGAATTTGAAAATAAAAGAGAATGTTTTTAAATGCTCTTTACTAGATTTAGAAACTATATTAGTTTTAGAAGCTAAAATCTTCCAAGTCTCATAGGTCATCACTTTCTGTTAAATTAAGGGAGTAACTAATAATATATGTTTTGTGACTTTCATCATACTGGAAATTGAGATAAAGCAAGAGAAACGAGGAAAAGAGAGAGAAAGAGATAATTATATATTGTTAAGAACTTTATTTTTGGATAAAGAGATAGACATATAGAGAACAAATTAAAAATAATAAAAACAAATAAAAATCATATAGGCAAATGGATGGTATTTATTCAAAGTTGTTAGGTGAACTGAAATATGAAAACAGTAAGAGTTGTGGGTCATCATCTCCACTAGGTAAATAAATTGAAAGGTGAGGAAGGGCAGTTTCCCAGATGGCTTTAGTTTAGTTTGGCTCTGAAACAAAAATACTGTACTCTTAAAGGGAAAATGATATTTCAGCCTTTCTGTTCCCATGAAAAGAAATATGAAGAATTGTAAATCTTTAAAGAGGAAGTTCATTTTCACTAAGCTTTTACCTAAAGTTTCAAAAGAGGAGAAATAATTTCATTTATGTTGGATAAACACTTATGAATATTTTAATTTCTAACAAATAAAAAAAAGTTTGAAGTTTCTCTGATGTTTTTCTTCTAAAAAATTATTTAAATGAAAAAGCTGCTCTTAAACAAACAAGTTGCTGAAATACAGTAGCCATAGCATATAAACTATGTCTTTCTCTTAAGCTGCCAAGTTCAATTTCATAAATTACCCAAGTTTTCTAAAGTATCCACTGGAAGATATTTTCTAAAATAGGCTTCAGTATGTGTACCTTACTATTAAAGCTTATCAATAAATGCCCTGTCTCTTAATGTATCAAGATGACCTAATTCTTCATGAAGAAGTACACAGTTACACAAAATAATTTCATAGTTTTATATATATGATCCAGAACAAACTTAGATACTTAACTTAGAAATCTACTTTTTCAAATAAAAAATACATAACTTTTTATACTGTTGTGTGCATATTGACTTTATTTTTGAATATATTATTAAAAATTTAGATAGTTTTAATTTATATTTTCTTTAATTTTGATGGTATGACTAAGCCATTCTAACATCAAATATTAAAGATGCCCTATTTATTAAATGTTTACAAATATTTTTAATTGAAGTGATACATTTGAATAATTAATGATTTCATACTTATGTCAAAAACTTCTTAATCTCATAACTATACTAATATTTTCCACTGAGCTTTCGTACACATGATGAATAAATGTGCCCTGACAAAAGAATCTTTTGCTACTCAAAGCCAAGAGTCTTCTTTTTGTTGATGAGAATTGTTACTTTTGAAATGATATTCATTCATCCTCCCTTTTAGCACCTCTAAGTTTCCATTCACTCAAATGATTAACAAGTATCAAAAAGTTTCCCTATGGAACAGATCAAAATTGGTATCTGCTTTCTGACCAAGACAATGTAGTTGATGTAAATAAATAAATAAGGTACGCAGAAAATCTGCAGTAATTCTTTGTTCTTTATTTATTTATTTATTTGCATTAACCTCATTGTTCTGGGCAGAGAACAGAGACCAGTTTTTATATTTGAACACTTACTTGGTTTTTGTGTTTTAATGTATGCTACAATAGAAGCCAACCATTTTATAATTTCTACAGCTTAGACAAATCAGGTTAGACAGAAGGTAGAATGAGAATTTTCACCCACTGCATATTCATTATATAACCAGCACTGTGCTTGACTTCTTCACATCAGACCAATGAAGTAAGCAAAATTACACAAAGTCCAGATCATCTGAATAAGTTACAGAATCCCACATACCTAGAGGGACAAGGAGCAAGGATTGTATATTTCGAAGCTACCCTGTCCCTCTCCTTGCCTCCCTCCATTCCACTTGCCATATACATATAATAGTATTTATCTGCTATCAGCTCATCCAGGAAAATTTATCTGTCTTACATATAAATATTTAAAGAAAATTTTAAAACACTGCATACTGTTACAACAAAAGTTAAAGTTATGAATCTTTTATACATGTGAGAAAAACTCACTAGAAAAAAATTCACAAGGAAAAAAATCTCACAATGTCTTCAATAATTACAATTCAACATTACTACATGAAAACCACCATAAAAACAACAACAATGTAGCAATTGTTGATTTAAGAGAAGATCAGGAATACAAGAATGCTGAGAACAGCAGTATAGGCTGGAATAGGTAGGAAGCATACCACAGAAGAAAGAGAAAGGGAAAACTGTAGCTCTCAGGAAGTAAATAGAAGGAAAATAGCCAAAATACTTGAGAAATAATGGCTTAAATTACAGAAAAGGACAGTAGCCACTAAAAGAAAAATGATAAACATAAAAGGAAAAGGTGATTCCACTGTACATATCACTGAAATTCCTGAAGGAAACTAAACAATGAGACAAGACAAAAAGTTAAATATGTAATTAAAGAAAACATTCTGAAACAGAACTATATCATTTCATATATTGAAAGACCATATTGTGTACCAAGAAAAATTCACTCAGGACAATGTTACATTTCTTTGTAAATTTATTTGACTTTCAAATTAAAGAATCCAGGCAAAAAATATTGTGTCACATATATGAGAAAACAATGAAGCTGGTATCAGACTTGCACACAACATTCCATATGAATCTTCTTCACATTCCTATAAGCTCTCCTTCAGGTATGTAGGGTAAAGACATTTAAAAAAATTTTTTTAAACAACAAAAATGTATTTTCTCACAGTTTCACAGGCTAAAAGTTTAATATCAAGGTGTCAGCAGAGTTGCTTTCTTCTAAGGCCTCTCTTATTGGCTTGTAGATGGCTGTCTTCTATCTATGTCTTCACATGGACTTCCCTTTATATATGTCTGTGTCCAAGTTTCCTCCTTTTATAAGGACACCAGTCATATCAGATTAGGGCCCACTCATATGACCTTATTTTAACTCAATTACCTCTTTAAAAATCCTGTATCCAAATAGTCATATCCTGAACTCCAGCATTTGAATTTGGGGAGACATAATCAGCACTTAACAGGTACCAGTGATAACTACCTCTAGTTATTTGCAGAGCATATAGAGAACCAAAAAGAAGAATTTCCAAATTACTTGTAATCTCATCACCCACAGGGACCCACTCTACATACCTTCTAGTCATTTCTTATGTGTACACAGCTAACACAGACATATGTCTTTTTTACCAAAATAGGATCCTACTGTGCCTACTGTTTTGCAATCTACTTTTTTATTTCACCATTATCTTGAACATCTTTCCACATCAATTCTATTTTTTAATATATGGATTTACCAATGTTTTCTTAACCTTGTGTTGTTAGGTACTTAGGAAGTTTCAACTTTTTATGATAAACAACACCGCAATAAACATCTTTATAATTAGATGAAGTTGCATCTCTATCATTGTTTATTTATTTATTTTACTTAAAGTTCTGGGATACATACGGAGAACATGCAGGTTCGTTACATAGGTATACATGTGCCATGGTGGTTTGCTGCACCTATCAACCCATCATCTAGGTTTTAAGCCCCGCATGCATTAGATATTTGCCCTAATGCTCTCCTCCCCTTGCCCAACAAATGGTTTTTAACTTGAAGGTACTCAGGGAAGAGCATTCACATAGTCCTTGAAGAGACTGCCTGATAATGAATTCCATTCAAATAGCAGTAAAAAGATGACCTACTAGCACTGACTACATTTAACTGCAGATCCAAAAATAAAAGGTGGGGAGGGTGATTAGAGTAAAAGAGTGAAATTGAAGGTTATATTTTTGGACACTATAGAGATTGCATAACAAACAAAATTTAGAGAAGGGAAGATATGGATAGATAGAAAAATAGACAGATATTGATTGAACATTTATATTCATATCAGTCTGAAAGCCAGCATCAGATTAAATGGAAAAATAATACTGGGGACAGTTTCATTAAAGCTAGTAATAATAAAAGGCTGTTGCTGTCACAACTATATATTGTACATTTTTGGTAGGTATTCTCCAGTGAAAATATATTAGGAAAATAAAGAGATGTATATAAATGGGAAGGTAAAGTTTTTATTATTTGTAGATGCAATTATTCTCTAGCTATCCAAACAAACGTCTATCCAAACAAAAAGATAATTCAGTAACATAGTGATTTAAAAATAATACAGAGATATACTGTCATCATAAATGACAAGATCTAGGTAAAAATATAATGGAAGAGAAAGTCTTGTGTACCATATCAACAGGAACAATAAAATTAAGAAATTCAATACAATAACAATGAAAAGGTTTCTACAGGTTTTATTTATTTTCAACCCTGGAAGAAATGGATGTGCTGATTCGAATTTACAGCAAGAAAAATAAATGAACAATAAAAGCCACTGAAACTCTAAGTAAGAAAACAATGTAAGGAGACCAGCCCTATCAGATAGTAAAATAGCACACAATAAAAAGCTTCAATAATTGGCTGGGCGAGATGGCTCATGCCTGTAATCTCAGCACTTTGGGAGGCCAAGGCAGGTGGATCACCTGAGGTCAGGAATTTGAGACCAGCCTGGCCAACACGGCGAAACCCCATCTCTACTAAAAATACAAAAATTAGCTGCGTGTGGTAGCACATGCCTGTAATCCCAGCTACTCAGGAGGCTAAGACAGGAGAATTGCTTGAACCTGGGAGGCAGAGGTTGCAGTGAGCTGATATCGTGCCCAGCCTGGGCGACAAAGCAAGACTCCATCTCAAAAAAAAAAAAAAAAAAGCTTAGATAATTAAAACAGTGCATGTAAAATAAGATGGAAAGGACAGAATTGAGAGTTAAAAGTGATTCTATTACACTTATCACATTTGTTTTAAAGTGAAGACTGCATCTTCAATCCTGGGCAAACACAAACTTTTTAATTCATAGTGTTGAGACAACTTTGTGCTGATCATAATCCAAACTCCATAATCCAAAATGTTGAAATCCCCAAAGTCAAAATCCCTAAAATCTAAAATCCCTGATGTCTAAAATCCAGACAATACTGAAACATTAAAACCCTAAGTGTTAAAATCCTGAAAGCTGAATTCTGGGGAAGAAATTAGTGCATTTTTCAGTTGTGTGAAAGACAGTTGCATGGACTTAATTTTTGGTGTTAACTTGACTGGATTAAGGAATATCTAGAAATCTGGTAATGTATTATTTTGGGTGTGTCTGTGAGGATGTTTCCAGAAGAGATTAGCATCTGAGTGTAAGTAAATTAGGTGGAGAAGATCTGCCCTCAGTGTTGATGGGCACCATCTAATAGGCCATGGGCCCTGAGAACAAATTCAGAAGACAAATTGGTCCCTATCTCTGAGAGCTGGGACAGACTTTTTTTCTGCAGCCTTGGACATGAGAACTCCAGACTCACCGGCCTTTGGACTCCGAGACTTACACCAGTGGCTCCCCAGGTCCCAAAGCTTTTGGCTATACCATCAGCTTCCCTGGTTCTCAGGCCTTCAGACTTGGACTGAGCCATGCTGCTGGCATTCCCAGGTCTCCAGCTGGCAGACAGCTTGTCATGGGACTCTCAGCCCCATAATTGTGTGAACAAATTATCATAATAAATCCCTTCTCATATATTTATATACATATCCTAATGCTTCTGTCTCTGTGAAGAACTCTGACTAACACAGATGTGGTATTAGGGAAGCTAAGTGTTACTCCTTTTACTGTATACAACACAATGAAAGAGATCTGTGAAATTATTCCCTCACAAAAAGGCTGTGATAATGGCGTAATGATAAAAGTTTAAAAGCTAACTATTATAGGTACTGCATGTGAAAGCAGAAAATTGCTTGTGATATCTGAGCAATAACCAGATTTTCAAATGCACAGCATACACTTATGGAATGTATGGACCACAACCACTCTCCAAACACAAGTGCAGAGTATTTTGAAGATCATAGAGGTGAAAACACAGGTGAAAAATGCTTGAAATCTCCTCTACCAAGTAATTTGATAGTGTACTTCTGTACCGTAATGCCAGTTTGCTGTTATATATTTAATCATTACATCATTGTTTAAAAACTTTTATATTTTCTTCTTCAAATTTGACTCCACAAAAATGCATTATCACAATGTTCACTTCATGTGTAAGCATTGTGAGTGAATATAAAAACTCTGATCCTCAATACATGAAGATATATCTTACTTTGTATATCTGCATTTGTGAAAGAAAAAATTTTTTCAAGATCTCAGCTCTTTGGGCAACTGCATACTTTGTTGGGACCCATTGCAGTATTTGATAGATCTTGTCAAAAGACTCAGTGTGTCCATCATAGTATTTTACATGACCACAGTTAAAAAGTTGGGTGCACACAATTGCCAACCATAGTGATATATGTTTATGCATTTTGCTTTTCGACCTATTTCTTTATAAATATGGTTGATTTATAACTGTTATATTTGTGTGACTTGTTAGTATATATTAGTGTTTATGCTTGCAAAAATATGTGTCCTGTTATTGTATGTCTTATTGTGTAAAGTAGCTGATGAAGTATCCTCTCATGTTCTTATATGTTTTCAAATAAACCCCCCCCCCTTTTTTTTTTTTGAGACGGAGTCTCGCTCTTTTGCCCAGGCCGGACTGCAGTGGCACTATCTCCGCTCACTGCAAGTTCCACCTCCTGGGTTCACGCCATTCTCCTGCCTCAGCCTCCCGAGTAGCTGGGACTACAGGTGCACGCCACCACGCCCAGCTAATTTTTTGTATTTTTAGTAGAGACAGGGTTTCACCGTGTTAGCCAGGATGGTCTCGATCTCCTGGTCTCGTGATCCACCCGCCTCAGCCTCCCAAAGTGCTGGGATTACAGGCCTGAGCCACCGCACCCAGCCCTAAACCCCATTTTTAAAATGTAAATAATGTCTTTGATATTTTCGTCTCCAAAATTATATTTTCAAGGTCTGATGTTTTGGGATTTTAGACATAAGGAATTTTGATCTTTGGGGATTTTAACATTCAGGATTATGGCATTCAGGTTTTTGTCTTTCAGATTACGATCCAAACCCAGTTTGAGTTTACAGCATGGTGGCTGGCTTACCCAGAGCTAGCATTCCAAACAGTATGGGTCAAGTGGAAGCTACGTCTTTTTTATGACCTACTATTCGAAGTCATACAATATCACTTCTGCCTTACTCTTCTGGTTGAAGTAGTTAAAAGTCTGATCCAGATTTAAAGGGAGGAAACAGTCTACACTTTTCCTGCCAGCTTTTCCATATAATTTTGTATGCTAGTTGACATTGTTAATTAGCCATGGGTAGTTAATATTTGACAGCATTTGCCAAATATATCCAAATTTACTTTTTTCTTTTCTTCCTTTTTTTTCTTTCTTGATAGAAGTGTCTATTAATATCTTAAGGAGCAAAGTTTGAGAATTTCTATTCTCTATATTAAAATGTCATGTTGATAAAATGTTCAGCCAGCAGCAACCTTGGAATGATACATTTTGTGGTTATTTACTTAAATTGAAGATAAAATATTGTGGTATTCCTTCAATGTGTCCTTAGTAGAACTTTATAATCTGCCAACAATAACAACAGATCATTTTTAAAGCCCCTAGACTAGGAATAAGCTTGCTTTCTACGTTGTGTTTGAATTCTCCCCCTTGGCAACCTGTTTTTACTTCCTACAACTAAGGCACCATGCTAACCTTTCCAAAGAAGGTCTGTTTCCTAAAATATGCAAGAGGTACAGGTATGGTCTACTTGTGGCTAAGGTAACCAGGAAAAATTCACTGAAAACAATGTGAATCAGCCCTTGAACTACTAAAATGAATGAAGGTTTTGGAAATGTCATCCAACGCAAAATTATGACAATTCTGGGAATCACTGTTCCAACTTAGATAAAGTGACACAGCCACACAGCCACTCTTCTGGGCTCCCTCTTTAGAATTCCATTGGTCATTTTTTTTTCTTTCTTTGAACTAGTGCCACCTTGTCTAATTTACTGTAGATTCATACTAAGTTCTGACAGTGGATATGGCAATTCCCATTTCATATTCCTCCTAAGATATCTAATAGCTGATCTTGAACATTTACTCTAACACATACATTTTATCAAATTTCATGGAAAACTCTGAGATTTTGATTAAAATTGCTTTTAATTAATAACTTATTTGGGGAAAATTGAACGTAATCTTCACATTATTTGTGTTCTTTCATATCTACTAATAAAGTTTTAAAATTTTCTTTGCAGAGGTCCTTCACACTGTATGTTAGCTTTATCTATGTACTTGATATTCTCTGAGAATACTGCAAGCAGTATTATCTTCTACTTAATTGCAATTTCCAGTTATTTTTGCTGGTATATAAACTGAAAGCACAAAAAATGTTTATTCATTAATTCTATATCCAGCTTTAAAAAAAAAGACAAAAATCTTACATTACTCCCTAAATCTTTTTCTGTATTTGGGGGACTTTCTAAATAAAAGATCCTGTTATCTATAATAATGACGATCATATCCCTTTTCAATGCTAGACATATATTTTTATGTTTGTCAACAAAATACAAAGTACCCAGGTAACTCTTTAAAGAATAATAATTAGTAATTATTTCTGCCTTTCACATGTATTATATCATTCACTATTTATAACAGTCATGCAAGACTGACATCATTTATTATTATTGTTAGTATTATTATGTTTATTTAATATCCCCATTTCATGATAAAGTCCATGAAGTGACTTTTCCAAGGTTGTTATTCATTAATATGAGGAGTTCACATTGTAAAATCAAATTACCTTAAGTAAAAAATAATAATAATAATAGTATTTGAAGTGTAAAATTCCGCAAATAGATCAGGAATGTCTGGAACTAGGTGCTCAAACAATATAAGAAAACTAGGCTCTTTTTTTCTCTTTCTCTGTCCTCCTCCTCTTTCCCTTATCTTCTCCCTTTTTGTCTTTTTTGTTCTCGCTCATCAATCATCTTTCTCTGTGTTAGTTATATTCTCAGAGTAGTTGACATAGTAACCCACAGAAACTTTAGTGTACATTACTGTAGCTAACAACTGCATAATTTCTCTTTCTATGATTTAAAGAAAGAATCCTAGAAGGGATTCTCAGTATTCTGGCTTGATATATGGGCACATCTTTGAACTAATCACAATAAGCAGCTTGGTTATTCGTGCACAGATCTTAGTGTATGTGACTGTGTGCTGTGAAAGTTCCTAAGTGGGATGTACTGATTTGCAGTTCACTGTCTCCACTGGAATGGGGCCCTAACATGAACCTAAACCAAGTTGGCTAGTTCCTTACCCTTACCTAGCCCTATCTGCATTCTTCTCATTGAGGTGAGCTTTGGAGATTTGGGAGACAGATACTGTCCCTGAATCCCAGATGCTGAGTATGATCCTTATTAACCCACAAGGAACTACGAGCAGCAGCCTGCCTGAAAGAATACTTCTACTGACACATCTCCTACTGTTTTTTTCACCATGTACAAGACTAGAACTCTTAGTTGAATTCACCAAATCAGACCTAACGGTTTCATGAGCACTTCAACATTAATTGGAATATCTGGCCTACATTAGTTTCTGAGCTCAGCCATGTTTAGGACAGAATCATCCCTTACACTCATCCACTGAGGTGACAGGTAACCTTATAGTAGAGAAAACTTAAGTCATAGCACCCAGGGAATTTTTTTTCTCAATTATTTGGTTGAATATATTTTAACCAAAGATTTTCCTAGAACCTATATAGTATTTTTTAAATGTCTACCTTTACTAATAATCAATATGTAATGCAGTGTGACATAGTGAAAAAAGATCTGGGTGTAAACATAACCTCTTCATTTCCTATCCTGGTGAAACTGGATGAGGAGCTCTTCAAATTTTCTGACCCTCTGCTTTTTTATTTATAAAATATACATTAAAATACTTATAAGGTTGCTTTAAGGATTAAAGGTATATAAAGAGTAAATTTAGATATATAAATAGTAATATAAATTTATAAATTTACTATTTATATACCTAAATGGAAGTTTGGGTTATTTTTTAAATATCTAGTATGTTAAAAGCATCACGGAAAGATAATACAAAGACAATATCACAGACAGTTTCTCAAAGAAGCAGCGTATAATTTAGTAAAAACCAAAGTATAAACAGGATCAAACTAAAATTCTAATATAGAAAATGAATAACAAAATTTAAATGATTTCAGAAGACAATAATTATTTCTCATTTAAGTAATATACAGAATGAATATTATGATAATCTCAAATTCATATTTACAGTTATGATCGCTATGCATAAATCCTTATTCATTTGGAAGTAAATGTTCTTGGCATCTAAATCCATGTATAATTGATGTTTCAATCTATGGCAATAATTCACCACAGAAGAAAAGTATAATTCTATGTTTGGAAAGTTCTAATTAATTTTCAAACTCAATAAAACCCATCATTTAATCAACGTCCTGGATTGTTGCTCTGAGTATAATTCTGTGGTCATGTCCAAATTTGAAGTGAAGTAAATTATGATTGAATAAACAGACAACTTTTTCCCAGAATGATTTGGAGTTGATGCTTATACTGACTGAATTAATGAATCCTTTGGCACAGCCAAAACATATTCAAAGAAGAAACTCAGAAGAAATTATTTTGTCTTTTCATGGCTCCAAATATTCTACCATTTTTGTTTTCTCAAAAGATTACCCATTATAAGCCAACCAGCCAGAATAAAACATGAATTGGCAGTTTTAACATACACCTTATCTAACAGGAGAGCCTGCTGTGTTGTCCTGGGTACTCTGGAGAAAAGGAAGGTGTCAAATACTTGTCTCCTAATGCTGGGCTCAACAATCACTAAAGTTCTTAGATTTCCTAGCAGGATTAGTTAGAGAGGGCCTATCATGGATTCTTAATTCTTTAAGAAAACATTAAAAAGTGGCTTCTAATTGCTTTCGTGCAATGGTTAAAGATTAACCAGAGGGGGTGTATTTAGACAGAAAGTGTTTGATTAGGCCTAAAAACTTCCTGCAACAATCTGTGTAAGATTCCTCTAAATGGACTATGGAGTTCAAACTTAACAGACATTATTTTGGAAATTACAGCTCACCTCCACTCATGAATGTATTATAAATTATATGTTTTAAATGCATACCAAATATTAGTACCATTTACATTTTTGGTCTGTTCAGCACTCTATTTAGTAAATATAATTTGATAACCATAAAAATCTTAAGCCTTGAATTACAACTTAGTTCTAAATAAACTTTCATTTATTATGTTGTTTAACAAAAACTTAAGTTTTAGCTCTATGCCAAGGGTTAGCAATAAAAAGATATATAAGACATTATCCTTCTTATAAATATCAGTCAAGTAGAGGAATATGCAAATAATATAAGCAGATTATATGGCAAATTTTATTAAAAGTGTGTAGGATCACTCAATTAACAGAGAAAAGCATAAATTAAGAAGGGGAATGACTGAAGGCAAGATAATTTTGAAGAATCTAGAACTCAACAGTCTAAGACTGAGACCACAAAGTCCCAGAAAAAGGCAATAACAGTGAGTCAAAAGCATCACTTGAAAATTATAATTATGATGATGATGATAACAATAATAGCTAACACTTACTGAGTGCTCACTCTTTGCTAGATAACATTCTAAAAACTTCATGCTTATTTAATAAATGTAATTCTCAGAATAACCCCAAGTGGTTCATTCTACTATTATCGCCATGTTACAGATAAGGATACTAAGGCAATGGGCAGTCAACCATATTTTCCAAGGTCACAACAGTAGGAAGTACAAGACCCATAGAGCTGAAATTCACACTCAAACATGGATGCTAGAGCCTGTTTCTATAACTAGGAAGCCATGAGAAATAAAGAATTTTATGAGTCTCAGATTTCTCTCTTAGATCACTGCATAGATGACTTGCCAGTACTAAGAATAAACATTAGAGGAGAAGAAACATTATTGAAGAGAGAGATTACTAAATATTACTTCTGTTAGTGTTGATTTTGAGGGTCTTGCAGGAGATCTAAATGGAATGGGCTGCTATTAGAAACATGAATCTGGATCTGGGATAGAGTTGAAAATTAGAGGTATACATTTGGAGGGCATTTTATTGAAGTCATAAACTCACCTAGCAATGAGTGGAGTCAGAAGAGATCCTAGAATGGAACTATGGAGTATGTCAATATTGAGTATGTAGGCAGTGAGCCAACAAAGAATTATGAATCCAAATGGCCAGAGGAAAGAAGATTTCAAATGTTCATGGGGAGGGGTGTTTAGGAGAGTGTAAATATTAAGCAAAGGTCAAGGAAAATAAGGGATAACAAGTGATGACTCAATGTAATATTTCACAAGCTTAATAAGTACAGTTTCGGAAAAAGATGCGGAGAAAATTCAGATTTTAATTGTATGAATAGTAGTCATAATTATCTGAATCAACAAGTGATGCTTAAAATGGCACAGATTTCAAGCTAATTATTTTACATATAATATGGATATAAAAATGAGATATATGAAAAGTCTCTGTACCTTCTTCTCAATTTTATTTCACTTTCCCCTCAATTTTGCTATGACCCTAACACCTCTCTAAAAAATAAAATCTATTTATAAAATAGATGCTGCAAGTTAAACTACCTTTTTAATCACTACCGTAAGTACACAAAGATGATCATAGAATATTTGTTTTTATGATCATCTTTGCTACATCTATCAGTACTTTATACCTCTCCTAAATCAAAATGTTACGTAATCAAGAATCTATATCAAATTATAGAAAACCACTAACAATCGGAAGAGATGATACTATGAAAAATGAAACAAACAAAACAAAACCAAAAGTTGAACTCAAAAAAAAAAATACGAGGATAAGTTTAAGCAAGCCAGTTAGGTAACCATTAAAAACACTGAATTCATTCAAATCAAATTATTAGTATCTATTTAGCCTCTCAGCCATAAGGAATCACTGAATGTTAAAAATGTGTGGAAATTTAACAGATAAGGAAATCAAGGCCTTTGGCACTAAAATAGCCTAAAATCATGCTGCTAGTAGTCTTAGAATATAAATCACAACACGTCTTCCTTGGAATCAACATAAATGCCCATTGACAGTAGACTGGATGAAGAAAATGTGTACATATACACCGTAGAATACTACATAGCCATAAAAAAGAATGAGATCATGTCCTTTGCAGCAACATGGAAGGAGCTGGAGGCCCTTATTCTGAGCAAACTAATGCAGAAGCAGGAAATCAAATACCACAAGTTCTTACTTATAAGTGGGAACTAAATATTGAGTAGACATGGACACAAAGAAAGGAACAATAGACACCAGGACTTACTTGAGGGTGGAGGGTAAGGGGAGGATGCGTATTGAGAAACTACCTATCAGATAATATGCTTATTACCTGGGTGATCAAATAATCTGTACACCAAACCCCCGTGAAAAATAAAACAGAACACATCTTGATTCAAAGTTCAGTGTTCTTTTGACTACACTACACTGTATCCTTCTAAATTTTGTAGTCTAAATAATTTAAACTTGCATCTAAAAACTCTATATACCTGAGTCAACTACATTAAATATTCATGTATAGATTTATAAATGAATTGGCATATCTGACTGTGTATGACTGAATATATTACTGAATATGTTGCAATTCTTTCATTATTATCCTTGTATATAGTAGGCAAAAATGACTTGCTAATGAAAAGATTGCTTTCAAATGGCATGTCTATTTCCAAGAACTGTGTAAAATGTTGAATCAACATTACCCATTACCTTTAGTTTCTTGAATTTTTTGCCACAGTGATTATCCTCTACGAAGATCTGACAAAAGCTTAAGGAAGAACAATGCTCAGAGAGACTGGTATTATTTTCCTTAAAAAAAACTACAAGGATAAGGTTAAGCAAGGTTAAATGTAAATATGTCAATGTGTAGAGCTTATGTTTCTTCATAATGCGTAGTGCAAGTGTGCTATTAAATGCTCCAGAAAAATTGACTTAAACTTAGAGAAACTCGTATTTTTTTTTCCTAGCTTTGCTCCCAAAGAAAGACAACCAGATGAATGAATCCAAAACTTAAAACTTTCAGGTTTTTGAAAAGGTGATTTCACCTTACATTTATAAATGTAGTCCATGACTGTATATGACTATGCTAATTAGTGAAAAGAAGCAGATATTTTTGTTCTGTGCACTTGTTTGTGTGTTCTGTTTCCATTAAAAGCTTCCTGTTAAAAACAGGAATAAGCAGTAACCATTACAATTGGTATGACACCAAAGTCTGTAGCTTAAGCCTCCTTAATATAATAAACCATGAACTCAAGTTAGAATGGCTTTCATTCCTTAAATGCAAGAGAACTTTTTTAAATTAAAAGGAAAAATCTTCAACTTCATATATCATAGAACTATGCATAAGCATTCTAACAGTCTTATTAAAACCTAAGTGTTTTATTTAGGTAAATAAAACAACCATTTTTTTCTGAGAATATATTCAGTATTACTCATTAATACCTCTTAAATTGACAGTAAGATTAGAACATGTAAACACAAATTATTATGGAAGATTAGGTTTAGCAGTTGGTAGAATTATGTGTCAGGAATGATTTGGAAGAGAGCTCAAAGAATATGAAAAACTGCCTTAAGATCAATTACAATAATAACCAAGTAAGTAAAACTTACAAAGGTCAGTGCTCAGGTTTATCACAAATAAGACCTATGTTGGAATTTGAGAGTTAAAATTTCTCAGAGAACCCATAATTTTAAAATGTCAAATTGAAAATTTTTACTACAGATTAAGCTGCTCTAGCAAAGGAAATATGAATTACAATAACTTCTTAAAATTACTTTTCACCTATGTTCATTCATATAGCCAGCAATCAGTAAATATTTGTGGAATAAGTAAATAATTAGAGAAGTCTCTCCTTGCACAAACTGCTTTCCTAAACATTTTTTTGTTTCTTATTTTAGTGTTTCTTAAGGTATTGATAGTCCCTGTATGCTCTATTAACCAGCGCTGTAGATTGCAAGTTAGTAGAGAAATGTAGATTTACTTTACGTTATCTTATCCAATTGAGTTTAGAAGAAAAATTCTGGGATTTCCCTTTTCATCCAAATGTTTTCACTACTTTATCTTTCAAGAGAAAAGGAATGAGGAAAGATCAACCAAGGGGAAATGAAAAATGACAAGTGTTGAAGACACATATGTGTGATATCTGTAAATATAACCAAGTAAGCCCAGTCAGAATTAGAGGCTTTCGTGCCGACCTAGCAGGAATACTCCCTAGAATGAAGCCTCAGACTTTTCCAGATATTTCTCTGGAGACCTCAGAGTCCCTTTTTTTTTTTTTTTACATATATATATATGTCAAATATATATACATGTATATATATATATGTCAAATATATACATGTATATATGTCAAATATATATACATGTATATATGTAATATATATACACATATACATAATATATATGCATATACATAATATATATGTATATATGTAAAACGTGTGTGTATGTGTGTGTGTGTGTGTATATATATGTAAATATATATATATATGTAAATATATATATATATATATAGCATGAGAGCCTGTTAGGAGCCAGGTACTGTGAGAGAGAGAGAGAGAGATATACATATATAGTCTTTTTTTTTCTTTTTTCTGAAATCCCTACATTTACTCACTCCCACTTCCCTATTTCCAATGACCTAAGATATCAGAATTTCTATCTACTTCCCTTTTTAGTCCCCAGAAGAACCAATATTTTCCACAGGCAACCTTTAGTTAAGAAGTATCACTGGATGTGCTTAAGTTAAGAAGTTATCACTGGATGTGCTTTGGCCTTTTTAATAGAAAAGATATTTATTTACCAAATGTGCTATAAATATATCTCTATGTGAGACAAATCATATACGATAAATTATCAGCTAAAAATTCTCCTCAGAGGTAATTTGAAACCAAAGTCAAATTTGGCTGAAACACAGAAGATATAGTTCTCTTTAACCTAAAAATATGTAGTAGTTGAATTCCACTGAAGGGCTTGGCAATGCAGTAATATGTTTGTAACCAGGGCCTAACTTCTTGTTATTACCAGTGGTTTATGGTCAAAGTATTACAGTCAGCACATTGTAAAAAACTTTTGGGAGAGTGGCTTACTTAGTGCCAAACTTGAACTGAAATTTCATTTCTGGTAGCTTATCTGCACACATCTCTAAAGGCATCTTAGTTCTGGTTCTGTGATAAACAAAAACAAAGGGGGAATCAGACAAGGAAAACAATCTGTATTTGTGGTTTATTTTCAAACTGCCTTTCTTCCTCACTTGAGTGAACAAACCAACATACAATCAGAAAGAGTAGGGGCCCAGGGAAGGGAGCGAAATTTAAGATATCTTACAGTGCAGTAAACTCAAAACCGTTAACATTCACAAACCATTTTTAAAGCCTATAATTTGTGCTAGAATGATTCAGAGTGATGGGCCTTTCATCCAAACCTTGATATTATGCCAGGACTCAGCTTTTCCTTTCAGTTCCTATAGGCCTCAGGAGGCTAGCCAGCTCCACTATGGCTCCAGGTATCGTTCATTCATTTCTTTTGTAAGCATTTATAGCATGATAGCCTGTTAGGAGCCAGGCACTGTGCTATTCCCTAGGGATGCAAGGATAAATAAATCATCATTCCTGACCCCCCCAGGCACTTATTACCAGTTGAGGAGGGAAATGATAGTAAGACTCTTGGAGTGTGACAAGTGCTGTGATACAAAGAAAACCAGAGAGCTATAAGGGGTGGGGAATAAAAGGATGCAACACTTAGTCCATGGAGTCAGAGAAGGCTTCCTAGACAAAATGGGTCTTGAAGAGAAAGCAGGATTTCGCACAGTAAATATTCAATATCTAGCATCTCTTATTGTAGTTATTATTACAGCTTGATCACCTCTAATTTGAAAATCTGAAATCCTTTTTTTTTTTTTTTTTTTGAGATGGAGTCTTGCTGTATCACCTAGGCTGGAGTGCAGTGGCGCAATCTCAGCTCACTGTAACCTCCGCCTCCCAGGTTCAAGCGATTCCCAGCCTCAGCCTCCCAAGTAGCTGAGACTACAGTTGCCCACCACCATGTCCAGCTAATTTTCATATTTTTAGCAGAGACGGGGTTTCACCATATTGGTCAGGCTGGTATCAAACTTCTGACCTTGTGATCCACCCGCCTCGGCCTCCCAAAGTGCTGGCATTACAGGCGTGAGCCACAGCGCCTGGCCTGAAATCCCTTTTGAGCACTGTCATGATGCCCTAAGTGGAAAATTCCACATGTAAGTACTTAACAAAAACTTTGTTTCATGCACTAAAATATTTAAAATATTGTATTAAATTACCTTCAGGCTATTTGTATAAGGTATATATGGATCATAAATAAATTTCATGTTTATACTTGGGTCTATTCCCTAGGATATCTCTTTGCAAATATTCAAAAGTCCAAGAAAAAAAAAATCTGAAATCTGAAACACTTCTGGTCCCAAGTATTTCAGATAAGGGATATTCAACCTGTACTATGATTATTATTTATATGTCATAAAAGGGTGTTATTCATTTCTAGTCTCAACTGATAAATCACTTCATATGAGAGATGAATAGTTTACTAGGTACAAGTTTTTTTTGGAAATTAACAAATACAAAATGCAGAGCAGCAGATGATAAACCTTATAAAAATCAGGAGTTTTGTGAAGCTGAAACTGGTAGTATCACAACAAAGCAGTCTTTATTTATGTGACCTATCCCAACTGTCCTAAAAAGGTCAGTTGAATTATGATCATAACATTGTTTCAAACAAAATGCCTTTGGCTGGATCACTCTAGAGTTACTTTATCCCTGGAATGCGACTCTCATATTTCCTAAAAAGGGAAGTCCCTTCTATAAAAGTGTGTCACTCATGGATGAGAAGGAAGCCATAACTATAATTTAGACTATTAGAACAGGGGTCAGCAAACTATGACCCGTGGGGCCAAATCCAACCTGCTGCCTGTTTATATAAATAAAGCTTTATTTGCAAACAGACACACCCATTCACTTAACCACTGCCCATGGCTGTTTTCACATTACAAAGGCAGAGCTGAGTAGTTAAGATAGAGACCTTATGGTCTCCACAGCCTTAAAGTATTTACTATTTGACTCTCTACAAGTTTTCCAAACCCTGCATTACACTATTAAAGTAATTCATAGCAGTTTACACATTGCAATGACTTCTTTCTGACATCAGCGGGGTGGTGGGGGGCGGGGGGGGCTTTTTCACTAATGCTTTCATCTTTGAAGTATTCAAGTACAAGGGGCCTTATTTAAAGTTATTATTCATTTGAGTTATTCTATATTTTCATTGTATTGACTAACACAATAATTCTTTTCCTTTCTGATAAATTTTCTTGACTATTTATTTATAAACCAACCAGAAAGCATAATTTTAAAGCCTATTTTTAAAAACTGTATAATCTCCTTTGCCCTATTCAATTCAATTTTACCTTAAATATGACCTTTATCATAACATGTGGAAAGAAATGCTTAAGTTCTTGTAACCAATTCCAGTTAATATGACTTCAGACCAATTAAATGTACATGGTAAAGAGAGTTAAGTGGTCTATAATTTATCATCTTTGGCTGGGTGCAGTGGCTAACGCCTGTAATCCCAGCACTTTTGGAGGCAGATGTGTTCGGATCACTTAAAGTCAGGAGTTCAAGACCAGCCTAACCAACATGGTGAAACATGTCTCTACTAAAAATACAAAAATTAGCTGGGCATGGTGGTGGGCACCTGTAATCACAGATATTTAGGAGGCTGAGCGAGATAATCTCTTGAACCTGGGAGGTGGAGGTTGCAGTGAGCCGAGACTGCACCACTGCACTCCAGCCTGGGCAACAGAGCGAGACTCTGTCTCAAAAAAACAAACAAAACAAAACAAAACACCTTCACTATAAGTGGGAGGAAATGCTGGGATTGAGGGCATGGATTCTGTGTTTTATAAGATTTAAAGATTATTTTGATGATGAGATATAACACAATGACACTAGGATAGATGAAGGACAGAAATCTTTGTTACTTAACAGCTCCAAACTAGTTACTTAACAGCTCCAAACTGCTAGGCAGGGCCAACAGTTGTTGCACCCTGGGAAAGGGTAACAGCAAGTTGAAGCTGTAGGGAGAAACTAATGTATGGCAAGTAGCGGGGGATAGCTAGGTTTCCTAAATTTCTCTGGATTGGGTAATTTGAATAGTATCCTGTGCTTCGGGGAAAAAGGATTATCCCTAGTTGTCTGATATATGGTCTTGGGATGATAAAGGCTGGTACATAGAGGATCAGAGTATAAGATTCAAAAAGGAAAATGGATGGAGTATGGACTTAACTAGCTTTTCAAGAAGGGAAAGTGGCTGGGCACAGTGGCTCACGCCTGTAATACCAGCACTTTGGGAGGCCGAGGCGGGCAGATCACCTGAAGTCAGGAATTCGAGAGCAGCCTGGCCAACATGGTGAAACCCTGTCTCTACTAAAAATACAAAAATTAGCTGGATGTGGTGGTGGGCGCCTGTAATCCCAGCTACTCGGGAGGCTGAGGCAATCGCTTGAACCCAGGAGGTAGAGGTCGCAGTGAACGGAGATAGGCCATTGCACTCCAGCCTGGGCGACAAGAGTGAAACTCCATCTCAAAAAAAAAAAAAAAAAAAAAAAACGAAGGGGAACTGACCAGCCTCTAGTAGTCAAGGCTTCAAAACTGAGTCAAGCTTCCTTTTTATAAAACAAACGCAAAACTACACTCTGGGGTTGGATTTCTTAAATTCAAGTCGGGTTACAAATACTGGTAAACGATTGGGCCCTGACCAAGCTGCTTAATCACTCTAAGCCTCAGTTTCCACATCTTTAAAATAGGGAGAAAAAAGTATCTACCTTTAAGGGATTGTTGCATGATGAAATGAGAGATCTGTATTAAGTGTTGGGGTATTAGTCTGCTTTCACGCTGCTTATAAAGACATAACCGAGACTCGGCAATTTACAAAAGAAAGAGGTTTAATTGGACTCACAGTTCCACATGACTGGGGAGGCCTCAGAATCACGGTGGAAAGCAAGAAGGAGCAAGTCACATCTCACAACAATGGCGGCAGGAAAAGAGAGAATGAAAGACAGGTGAAACTGGTTTCCCCTTATCAAACCATCAGATCTCGCGAGACTTACTCACTACCATGAGAACGCTATGGGGGAAACTGACCCAATGATTCAATTACCTCCACCTGGCCCTGCCCTTAACAGGTGGAGATTATTACAATTCAAAGTGAGACGAGTGGAGACACAGAGCCAAACCATTTCAGCTGGGCACTGTATCGGGCCCATAGTGATTACTCAGTATGTGATAGCCATTACTATCAGGACCAATTCTACACACACAGAGTATTATAGTCTGTTATCCTAGAAAATAATATTACACAAAGTGGACTGTGGTACAGTTTTTAAAAATATTACTACATATGCTTTTTGAATACAGAAAACCAAATATACAGAGACTATGTCTGATACATAAATTCCCTTTCCTTTAACAGCTTGTTCTGTTAAAGCTATCCTAATGATCATATTCTGCTTACCACTTAATCAGTTATACAGTGAATTTAAACCAGTAGGTTATAATTTTGAAATCACAGCTCAAGTAAAATTGCTTTTATTGATTTTTTTTTAAAAATAAAACAGCATCATATAATTTTACCTTTCTGCAATAGCCATAGTAACCTAGGGTTTAACAATGATTCATGACATCGTTTTAAATTTAAAGATCTATTGATTTGTTAACTTTTTCTTTAACTATAAGAAGAAAACAAAGACTCTAACTGCAAGTAAAAATTCATCTGAGGTTACTGGAAAGAAGAATTTTTGCTAAACATATCTATAACAATCTTTCTATATTTTCTAAACATGCAATGTTATGTTGGCATAACTTTATCATTTAGCTATATTGAAAAATAATTTATCTTTATTATAGAAATTAAATATTTTTCAGAGAAATAAAGCCTAAAGTTGTAAGTATATAAGAGATTTTTTAAAAGTTGTGAAATTAAATAGTATCTTTATATTTAATTGGGTTATTAGTATATTTGATTCTAGCATTTCCATAGCTCTAATCTTATTTCATTGTTAGCCACACTGATGTTTTTTTTTTCTTTAACTTCTATGAGGAAAAAATGAAATTAGCCCAGCATGAGATTATTCATTGTGGTCCAACATGTATAGCTTGGTTTGGAAATGTTTGCCTGCACTTGTGGCTGAGTCTCAATCAGCACACCAGTTTCATATAATGTATACAGGTTTTAATTTTAAATACGTATTTTCACCTGTTTATCAATCATTTTAGGATGTAATCAAGTATGTTGGTAGCATAAATATGCATTTGTGATGATATAGACTTTTCCTTGGAAATTTTATTAAACATTCTTGTGTGTGCATAATCAAAATTATTAAAGAATTAAGTGACATTCCTAGGTTGACATATAGTTTTAATCTACAATGATTCAACTTATATCTAATTGAATATTTAAAGTATACAGCATAAACTACATATAAACCACAAAAACAAATTGTGGAACACAAAAGTAAAGAGCATAGAAATAAAAAAAAGCATAGAAATCAACTGACATCAAACAGTAAGAAATATCACTGTTTATAAAACTATGGCACTCAGCATTAGCATATAGTTAGAGATTTGATGCGGATCTAAAATTCAGAGAAGAGTGAACTGACATTGATTCTATAGGACCAGGGAAACAAAAAACCTGCCCTTAGTAATAATTTGCCTAAAAAGTTGGGGCCTAGACAACCATCCTGTTTCCTTATCTCTTTGAGAACAGACCACGGGTTTTTAAAGAAATGGATCAGATTAAGTATCTAGGAAAATTCGTGACTTAAAAAAAAAACAAAAAAAACTTCCTTTTAAAATTTAATCAGAGAATAAACACTTGTAGGAAGGAGATTTGTAGAAGATTTCATTTTACGCATCATTCTAGCAGAAAGAAAAACTGAAGTCAGCACCACCCTGAATATTCAGAAAAACATTCTTTAGCGAATGGCCAAAATCAACATCATGTTCCTGGATTGTTGAACTTGCTTCCTGACCCATCAATTGGCCTTGCATCTGGGTTGGCTGCTAATCTAGCTAGTTACTCATTCTCAGAAAAGAAGGAGCTTTTGATTTTTAGCATTAGCTTTTATTTTGATATTTTGATATAAAAAAGTGTCATACAATAGGTTACTTGCAAGAGTTTCTTTCATTATTCAAAATGTATTTTTAGTATATTAGTTACATGATATTGGGATGGCAGCAATAATCAGAGGATATACAAAAGAATAGCCGTTTCCTGGAAGTATAAGCAATCACAGAAGAGGCCATCTTGTGTTTACCATGAGAATCAGTTGTCATTTTCATGACATCATTTATGTTTTTTTTCAGGTAAATTTTTGTACTGATGCAATTTTGTTCACTGTCTATGCTTCTTTCACAACTGTCCCTATAACCTTTGCATTGTTTCAGACAGGCAATTCCTGTATTATATTGAAATGAAAGGCCTAAATCAGAAAGCTGGGGTTTAAATTCTTAGTTTTTAGAGATACATGTTTTATTATTCACTATCTTTATTCTTTTATCTTTGCTCTGATATATTACATTATGTTTTCACATGGCCTTGTTCAAAGACTGGAAGAGGAAGAGCCATACTTCTTATTGTGTCTGTTTTGACAGAGTAGAAGATCCTTCACCAAAGTCCCTAACAACCCACTTTTGGTGTCATTGGTTCCTACCTGGTGATTCCTTTAGATGGGGGGATGGAATTGTCACAATTGGCTAAAACAAATCAACATTCACTCTGGGCCAAGGTGGGGTCAGCTTCCGTAGGCACATAATCACACCAGGGCTCTGCCACTGAGACAGGCAAGGGGAGAGTGAGGGAACTGATGGACACCAACAATGACTGGCACAGCTTTATGGCTACTTTCAATTCTTTATGCAACAAAGACATTTCATGAGACTCACAAATTATACCAAAGGAATTCATTTTTGTGTAAATGACTGTAATTTCAACGTCAAGTAAAAGTCTTAAGACTATGATAATACTACATTGTCTCTCTCTCTCTCTTTTTCTTTCTTTCTTTATTTTATTTTATTTTTTTGACTGAGTCTCACTCTGTTGCCTAGGCTGGAGTGCAGTGGTATGATGTCAGCTCACTGAAACCTCCGCCTCCCAGGTTCAACTGATTCTCCTGCCTCAGCCTCCCAAGTAGCTGGGATTACAAACATGTGCCACCATGCCTGACTAGTTTTTGTAATTTTAGTAGAGATGTGGTTTCACCATGTTGGCCAGGCTGGTCTTGAACTCCTGACCTCAAGGGATCTGCCTGCCTGGGCTTCCCAAAGATCTGGGATTACAGGCGTGAGCCACGGTACCCAGCCACATTGTGCCTTTTTATGATCTTTTTATAAACACAATGCGATACACAGTGTGAATGTGTAGATTTTTTTTGTTTGCACTGTTTATGGCTGTTGAAGATTGAATGAGGAGAGCAAATATTCTCTCAGATTTAGTTTGAATACAAACCACAATGAGAAAAATAATAGAATGCTTATGTTAAGTTGTATTCTCACAATGTATTAAACCTCCTAAAACAAGCTGTTTGACATAGCTTTTTCTTTTTTTTTAAGAGAAAAAATACAGTGTTTACCATGGAAAAATTTCCAAATTACAAAATTAATATGTTCTGTTTATACTAGTTTAACCACTTCTGAAATTTCTACATGAAAGTGAAATGGCTTTCATTCTGCCCACCATGTAAAGCAGTTGGGCGTGCATTTTTCCAAATATTTTTCCTGTCTTTTTAAAATTATTTTAGATTCAAGGTGTAACACGTGCAAGTTTGTTACATGATTGTATTGCATGATGCTGAGATTTAGGGTACAATTGAACCCATCACCCAGGTAATGAGCATAGTACCCACTGGGTAGTTCAACCCTTGTCCTACTCTCTCCTCCTCCCTCTTGTAGTCCCCAGTGTCTATCGTTTTCATCTTTATGTCTATATGTGCCCAATGTTTAGCTCCCATTTATAAGTGAAAACATACAATATTTGGTTTTCTGTTTCTGTGTTAATTCCATTAGGATAATGACCTCCAACTGCATCCATGTTGCTGCAGAGGAAATGATTTTGTTCTTTTTTATGACTGCATAGTATCCCATGGTGTATACGTACCACATTTTCTTTATACAAGCCACTATTGACAGATACCTAGGTTGAGTCCATGTCTTTGCTATTATGAATAGTGCTACAACAAACATACAGGTATATATATCTTTTTGGTAACATAATTTTTTTCTTTAGGTATAGACCCAGTAATTAGATTGCTGGGTAAACTAGTAGTTCTATTTTTAGTTCTTTGAGAAATCTCCAAACTGCTTTCCACATTGGCTGAACTAATTTACATTCCCACCAATAGTGTATAAGTGTTCCTTTGTCTCTGCAGCCTCTCCAACACCTGTTAAATTTTCACTTTTTAACAAAAGCCATTCTGACTAGTGTGAGATGGTATATCACAATTTTGATTTGCATTTCTTTCTGATTAATGATATGAGCATGTTTTCATTCATTTTTTTGGCCGCTTATATGTCTTATTTTGAGAAGTGTCTTTTCATGTTCTTTGCCCACTTCCTAATGGGGTTATTTGGTTTTTTGCTTGTTGATTTTTGTAAGTTCTTTATAGAGTCTGGATTTTAGACCTTTGTCAGCTGCATAGTTTGTGAATATTTTCTCCCGTTCTGTAGGCTGTTTGCTCTGTTGATAGTTTCTTTTACTGTGCAGAAGCTCTTTAGTTTAACTAGGTCCCACTGTTAATTTTCACTTTTGTTGCAATTGCTTTTGAGGACTTAGTCATAAACTTTTTACCAACAGTGAAGTCAAGAAGGATATTTTTTAGGTTTTCTTCTAGAATGTTTATAGTTTGAGGTCTTACTTGAGTTAATTTTTTAATATGGTGAGAGGTAGGGGTCCAGTTTCATTTTCTGCATATGGCTAGCCAGTTTTCACAGCACCATTTATTGAATAGGGAGTCATTTCCTTATTTCTTTCTTTATTTTTTTAAAGCCTGTGTCAAAGATCAGACAGTCATAGGTGTGTAGCTTTATTTCTAGCTTCTCTATTCTGTTCCATGGGTCTATGTGTCTGTTTTTGAACCAGTACCATGCTGGTACTGTAGCTTTGTAGTATAGTTTGAAGTCATGTAATGTGATGCCTCCAGCTTTGTTCTTTTTGTTTGGATTGCTTTGGCTATTTGGATTCATTTTCGTTCCATATGAATTTGAGAATAGAATTTCTAATTCTGTGAAAAATGACATTGGTAGTATGATAGAAATAGTCTTGAATCTGTAGATTGCATTGAGCAGTATGGTCATTTTAATGATATTGATTCTTCCAGCCCCTGAGCATGAAATGTTTTTCCATTTGTTTGTGTCATCTATAATTTATTTCTTCAATGTTTTGTAGTTCTCCTTGTAGAGATCGTTCACCTTCTTGGTTAGATGTATTCCTAGGGGTGTGTGTGTGTGTGTGTGTGTGTTGTAAATGGGATTGCATTCTCAATTTGGCTCACAGCTTGAATGTTATTAGTGTATATAAATGCTACTTTTTTTATGTTGATTTGTATCCTGAAACTTTACTGAAGTTGTTTTTCTAGGTGACATAGCTCATTTTTAAAGCACTTTGAGTTGTAGGAAAATAAGTTCACCAAATTAATTAATTTAGTCAACAAATACATCCTGAACACCAACTATGTACCAGTCATTGTCCTAAGGGTGAATATACAGAGATAAGTGGAATAGTTAAGATCAGAAAAGTTGTAATTGAATGAAAATATGAAATGAACAAACAATTCGAAAACAAACAAGTCTCAAAAGAACAAAAAGGTAATGTAACATAAAATAACAGTGCTGAGATACAAAATATACTTATTAGATAATAAAGTCAGAAAAATCCCGTATGAAATGACTTTTAAGCTAAATTTAGACAAATAGATCTCCAAAATACACCCTTGAGCTAAAATGTCTTTTTATATCTAATTGTTTAAAGAGGAGAAGAATATTTTTATACATGAAAATTATATAAATTCAAACTTCAATGTCCATAAATAAAGATTGGTGGAAAAACAGCCATGCTTATTCATTATGTATTGTCTATGGCTGGGTGACTAGTTGTGACAAAGACTGCATGACCCAAAAGCGTAAAAATATTTACTGTCATGCTTTTTATGAACTTTGCCCATCCTTGGTCTAAAGATGAACAAAACTGAGTCTCAGGTAGAGAGCCAGGGGAAATACATTCTAGGAAGAGAAAAGAGTACACAAGAAGTTCTAAAATAAAGCAAAGCCAAAAACAGAATGACAGTGATTATGTGGGAAACAAAGAAATTCAGTAGGAGAGGTTATCAGGGCCAGTTTATACAGGGTCCCCACGTCAGCCAGGTGGAACTACCATTAAGTGTGATGGGAAGCCCATGAAGGATTTTAAGCCAGGGATTTCTTGGTATTATCTTTTAAAAATATCATTTATATGCTGTTGGGAAACTTTACTAAAGGAGAGCCGTAACAGACAGCAAGCCTGATTAAAAAAAAAAAAAGTTACCTACTGGTAACGGCCAGACAAGAACTGACAGTGGGTCTTGGTCAGTGCTGGTCAATGATTTGCATGTTACAAATCTTTGAAGAGAACAGGTCAGAAATTAAGGGTAAGCATTTAGACACTTCCAAAAAGGATTTCTTATTGTGGTGCCATTCAAGCATATGAGCAATTGCTTATTTATATAACATGCTTGGAAAGAAGGAAGAAAGGAAGGAAGGAAGGAAGGAAGGAAGGAAGGAAGGAAGGAAGGAAGGAAGGGAGGGAGGGAGGGAGGGAGGGAGGGAGGGAGGGAGACAGGGAGGGATAGAGAAAGGGAGAGAAGGGAAGGGGAGGGGGAAGGAGGAAAGAAAATAAGGAAGAAGAGAAGAAAGGAAAGGAGAAAGACAGAAGGAAGGAAGGGAGGGAAGAGAGGGAAAGAGGGAGGGGAAAGGAAACGAAGGAAGAAAACTTCAGAACCCCAGCAAACTTATTTGCAGTGTGCCTGACTTCCTTATTCTTTGATTTTAATTGTGCTTCAAACAGCTTTATGTGGCCTCTTTTGTTCAATGAAATAAATTAAATAGTTTTTACCTTACCTCATACAAAAAAAAATCAGTGGAGCTTGATAAAACATTTGCTAAGTCCTATATAAATTACATCTCTGGCTCATTTTTACCATTGTATACTTGTGAGAACTTCAGTCTGAATATTCACTTGCTTGGCACACAGAATGCTGAAATTTTTGCCCCTTACTGTTGGAAGGAGACTAGTTAAAAACTATCTGCAGTGCTGACAGTTCTTGCAAAAGAGTTACCAGTAACAGTTTTTCTATCACCAAAATGTTGCCAGTATATAAAACATCAGGGCCAGCTCCTGATGATCTTTCTTCAAGGCATACATAAGAAAATTGGATTGAAAATAATATTTCATTCAGATGCTTATTTTTATTGTTGTTAGTACACTGGCTACACAGACAAACTTAATGAATAATTCATTTGAAGTTTTAAACTTTCAGCATAAAGTAAAGAAGGTTAATTTATTTATACTAACACAGATAAAGAAACTTTTGTGTAGTTGAGAACAAGTTAAAGTGAATTTGTCTAAGTATGATTCTAACAAGGAAAGACATTAAACACTAAACGTCGGAGTAAAATTTCTAATGTGAATTGAAACAATTGCTTCATTCTCAACAAAATATAGGATACATAGTAAAAAGAGTTCTTAGTAAAGAGTTAGAAGTCTAGAATTTCACTCTACTACTTATTAATCATCTTTAAGAAGGTTATTTTAAATACTTCCAGCCTCAGTTTATTCAACCAGAGAATGGGTTAATCATATGTAATCTGTTTAATTTACAGTTATGTGATGTAGCTAAATGAGACAATGACTGAGAACATACTTTGGAAATTATTTATACACATTACTATTAAAAAGCTTGTTAAATGAGCTCCTAGAATCAATATAGTTACTAATGTACTGCAAGCAAAAGTGGTCAAACTACTCTGTGCGTAAATAAGGCACAAAGGTCATTGGAATATTTTCAATGGTGTCTGAGGAAGGTAAAGGGAGTCAAAAGGTATATAAATCATCTCTTACCTACAACTGTCACTGTTTCTTCTCATGTTGACTTCTGAGTTGGAAAGGTTGCCCCACCTCTGAGTTAAGCTTAGTTCTCAGACATAAGACAGATGAAGCAGGTTATTAGCAGCTAGTGTGGGGAGGCCAGTTTTAACTTTTCAGTTTACAAGATGATTTTTTGCAAAATTCCACTATAAATCCAGACAGATGTATTTTGTATAACTTCAATTTTTCTCCTATAACTATTTTCAAGAATATATATGGAGTGGAGAATTGAGCTTTAGAAATGCCATTTCATATGTATTGTGGTTATTTGTATCCCACTGGGAGCAAATGGCAGAATAGATGCTGAAACCTAACCTGTATAAAAACCAGGAGTTTTGGCCAGAAGCTAAAATACTCTCTTACAAATAGCAATCACAAATCTTTTTTGATGTGGACTGAGTTATAAAGAAAATGGAAACTCTTACTCTTAAAAGACCATAAGAAACAAAGTATTATCTTTCCAGCTGAGGTTAGAGTTGTTTGTGACCTTAGAGCTGGCAGCAATGGAAAAATCATGTCGAGTTTTATATGCTACTCACATGGTTGCATTTTTCCAAAGGAATAAGTGCACATATGATTCTGATGACCTCATAAGAGATATAAAGGTGTTATATTATAGTGGAAGACCAGCAAGCCTTTACATGAAAACTTCCTTTTTCCTGCAGTGTTCAAGATATTACCCACACCATATAAATTACACAGGGCTTCCCAAACATATAGCTGCCTGCTTTTAACTAAAGCTAAAGCCAATGTGAAGGCAGGATTTGGGCTGCTTTGACCTCAGATAGCAACAAAAATGAGGCATGAATATGGACTGTGGGGGAAGGAAAACAGGAAGTATTTTCCAATGAGATTATCCTCCAGGGATATTAAATAGTAAAGAAGCAACTCATATATATTAAACTTAATCTGTAAACAAAAAGTTCCTTTATGATGAAATAAGCAGATGATTAAGTATTTGTGAAACATAAAGCAGACACATTTAACAGAGTCATTAAATACAAAGAAAATTAGTCAGACTGGAATAACAATAAGCCGAGATAGACTTGTCTAGCCTAGATACAAACAGTAGAGAAAGCCTGGAAACGTTTATCCTTCCTTTGACTGATTTTTACCTATCAGCACATTTTTTAAATGACCCTTCTAAAGCTATCTCTTGGAGCAAAAGGTAGAATCCTGAAACTCATATTCTAGCTTCAGTAACGGTAGCTTTTCCAAAGGGTCTAAGCATTTAAACAATTTAAAAATAGTTTTGAAAGATAATACAAATATTATCTTTCAAATACAAATATTTGCATGTGTATACACACACACACACACACACACACACAGTTTTTTGCCAAAAAAATTTGAAAATCCATCATGCACACTTCCTCATGAGTGGTCGATTAATTGACACAGTCATTCTAGCAGAGTTGAATAGCTATTCCTGGACACATCTCGGATGTTAAATGTTTAACATTTACCAGCTTGGTCCTTGTGTACTGGCAACACTCAGTGTAATGATCAAGACACCTTAACCATTGTTATAATAAAAGCAATAATATACGAAAAAATATTCAACCAGACACATATTCTTTTGAAGAATATAGTTTTTTACTAATAAAAGTCACTTGAATCGTCTTAATGCCTGTGGAAAATGGTGACTAGAAGAATTTTTTAGAGGAATTTTTCAATGGATAGCTCCAAGAGGAGAGTTTACATTGTGCTCATGGTCTTCAGACTCTTTTCTCCATTAACTTGAATTGGTACATGAAAAAATAAAATAAAACACTCATCCTTCTACTATATTAGAAACATAATTTGTTTCAAATCATAAAAGAATAATGCATTTACTTTTACATTGTGCTGCTATTGTTTCTTAACCAGCTTTAGCAAGTGTGAAGAAACACTGGGCAGTGTAACTAGAAGACCCTGTTTTTATTCTCAGTTCTTTCCCCTCTCCGTTATGAACTTGAACTCATTTTCCCCACTCCTTTGGAAACTTGTGCCATTAATTATGCTGTCTCTCACTTTTATCTTCAAAATCTCTCCATCCACTGGTTTCCTTCCATGTGCTTTCATAAATGTGTTCCCTATGCTGAAATATGTTCCCTATGCTGAAAACACACAAATTAACAAACACACATGCAAACTAACACTTTTTTCTTTGATATCTTCTTATAACCCATCATCCTGTTTCTCTGTATGTTTCAACAATCCTGACTCTTTGAGATCTTCAAAAACTCTAAGGTCTTCAGAAACAATTCGACATTATGCAACAATGCCAAACATCTCCATAGCCAATGACTTATAATGTTATTTTTAGAGAAATGTCTTATGTTTCTATCTCTTTACATATTCTTCAACAAGTAATGCTCTTATTCTTTTATTATTATTATTATCTTGGTAAGAAGACTTAACGTGAGATCTGCTGTCTTAACAAAATTTTAAGTGCACAATACAGTGTTATCAACTTTATGACCAATTCGACTGTTATAAAGTTTCAATTATGTAGCCAGTAATATTCTTTCATTTTTCTGATGTCCCCCGCCTCCCAATCTTTGCCTGGCAAATTCCCACATTCCTTAGTTGTCTCTGCTTTAGAAAGGTCTGCCTTAATCTATAGTAGGTCAGCTTTATTGCCTATATCATCTTGTGCTTAGCCTTTCTGAACACTCAGCTTACCTGTTAAATGTCTGCTTTCTGCACCAGACTTTAAGCTCCACTGGGGAACATATTGCTTTTCACAGAACCTGCCACAAAATGAATGATCAATAAATATATACTGAATTAAACTATTTTCTTTCTGGCCAAACTTCTTAAAAGAGATGTTCATAATCATCATAAAAGCTTCCTCAGCTCAAATTCACTCTTCATTATTCTAAAATATGACTTCTGCCCCCACAAATCTGTTGTATTTGCTTTCAGAGAAGTCACCAGTGACCTTGTAATTGCCTTTAGTTATTGTAACTCCTTAACCAAGCTGACCTCTCTAAGACATTTGATACTCCTAAGGCGAACATTCAGTAATTTGTTTAACATTTATTGTTTTCTGTGTGTCAGAAAATGTGAAAACGCTTCCCTTAGATTTCATCACATTTCTTTCACCTAGTTCCCCTACTTCTCTAAGTTTTCTTCCTGTCTTTCCTGAGCCAGCTTGCTTTCTTGTTCTTACCAAGGATTATTATCAGCCCTGGACTCTCCCTTTTACTTTATTGGCTATTCTTACATAAGATGAGTCTCCTTTAGTTAAACTGCTCATCATCCTGCTCATCATCTCTTAAACTATTACAGCTCCGTCTTACTGATTGTTCCCTGCTTCCAGCATGCCCATGCCAAGGCACCTCCCACTCTCATCTTCATTTAAAAATAAACCCACAGTTAGTCTTTGCTTTTAAATTTGTAATGTCCCCTTATTGGTCACAGGATACAGTTTAAATTCATCAGCCTAAACCACATGGCCTTTCACAATATCTCCCCAGCTTCCTCGAAGCCTCATCTCCAGATATTCTCTGTTGTACCCTGTGCTCCAAACATCCCAAATCATGTCACGTTTTAAAAACACATGCTACCCTCACTTAAATATGGGAGCTGTCCTCACTTTGCACCTTACGCTAAAAGTGCTTATGCTTCTCTGCTTCTTCAGAAAATTACAACATCAAAGATCTTATATGGTGAAAAGGGAGGTATCAGAAAAACATTTGAGAATCTGATCAAAAGATATTGAACCTCTTATCAGATAAAGTCACGCCTGCAAAAACAATTTTTCATACAATTTCATGGAATTTTATCTGCCTTGTTCATTTTGCAGAGTTGAATGTCAAAATACTATGTAAATGCGAGGCACTCATTTTTCTTCCATCTGAGAAAGAAAAATCTTCATATGCTATCTATTGCCTATATTAGGAGCTCAAGCAAAATGGCTTATGGGTAATTTTGAATAAATTGGCGATTTTATCAGGTTGGTCAGGCTTCAAATTAGATAATATAGTCTATACTCAGTCTGAAACATATAGAACAATGGGGCTTTCTATTAATTAAATAATACAAGCATTCCCTAAATTCATATTGTAGGGTGCAGTAGGGAGTAGGAATAGTATAAGTTTCAGAAGGTAAATACCTGAGAATAGCAATAACACCTGAGATTATGGAAAGCTAGTGGATTTAAGATGACACATTTCTTATAAGTGATAATTTCTCGACAACTATCTAGCCTCTTCTTCAACAATTAACCATTCTATAAACATTTATTAAGCATGACTCTGTGTTTGCATTGTACTAGACACTAGGCTACACGGAATTTAAAAAGTCTTTAATCTTGAGGCTTCGTTATCTGGAAGATTGCAGCATTCTTTATTTCTAGTTCCCCATGAGATACATAGTAATTGACTTATTTATCACATGCTGAACATGAGTTTAAAAAGGCAAACTGGTGCTGTATATACTGTGAGCTTAAACATCAATATCAATTCTGATTACCTTTGTGAGTTTGAAATGCAGAAAGGACACCAAAGAAATTCTAGCAAGGAACTAATGACACCTGATAACAAACAACAAATAAATGTTATTGTTTCAATAAAGACATGGCATGAAATAATCAATGTTATACATAAGAGCTTCTAATTATGATTTTACTGCACTGAGTGTCATGAGTTCTATAAAAGCAGAATAATTGAGCAAGCAAAATGAAATATTAGCTGGTTTCAGATGAAAGCAAGTGTGTCAGTCTGAGCTGCCCAGGCAGTCCTGTTTTCTGAGATGTTCTATGGCAGTAGTTTGAAGAACATATCCTAAGCCTTTAGGTGCTGAGTACATTTTGGAAGACATGTACTCACCTCTGAGTGATTAAACTACTGGACATTGTACCACAGCTAAGAGGAAAAATGTGTCCACTGAAACTAAAATTTGAAATTTATAGTTTTAAAGCTAGATTTTACAAGTTTATTGATACTTTGCATGATAGAGCAAAGCAATCAAAGGTACATACACATTTTTAAAGTAAAGTAAGAAAAGGAATAAAAAGACTATAAAACAGTAGCTAAAAAGCTTATGTGGCATTTTGAGCAGCATTTGGATGTGAATTTAATTTTTATGTAATACAACTCAATATGTCTGAAAGTCTCTTTTTGTATTTTTTTTTATTGCCTAAATGTCACAACTAACAACTAGTTTGGAGCCACACCTACCACTGCAGAGGAAATACTGTAAATGGGTGTGAGTTGGTGTGTGTGCAGCCATAAAACTTCAAGGACTAATTTCTCAAGTATAGGTATAATATTGTTCTCAATAGAGTTCAATAAATGCAAATCAATAAATAAAGAACAGATATTCCTCTAGCTAATGTTGTTCAATAGAATATCAATTAAGAACAAGGAAGTGAAAAGCTAAATTCAGCAAGATTTTGTCATCCCCTTGAGTAATATTGAACCAAGATTACTACTCTGAATTTGATCATCTAACAAGTAGTTCTCTTAACTAAGAGACACATGGTCTAAATCAGAAACTCTTAATACACATGCCTTAGGAGACCCATGAGACCATTGAACCTGCTGTGCTATTCCACAGCTGCTGCACAGTCAGTCCTGCCATTCTATTATTGCTGGGACCTAAATTGTCTCTACACTCAAGCAGTTATCACATCCCAAAGTTAAGCATCTGAGAAAGAATTTAGGCATTCTTTTTTGATGTTTGAGCAGATACTCTACCTCCTACCTTTTTGTCACCTTCACAACATAAAAATATGCAAACCAGCTTGTGGACATTTAGCCTAAATTATGATAGGCATTCATAAGGATCATAATAAAAAATGTTCTCTAATAAATTCTGAAAGTGTAAATGTTAAAAGAAGATGCATAAATTAGACACTAGGTTTACAGGTAGAAAAAAACAGAATTAGAAACATCATGTGTTTGCTTGTTTGGAAGGTAGGTCACTCTATCTCTACACAATAAATGGTACAAACAGGTAGGGATTAATTTAAGTAAGTATAGACTTATTAACCTAATTTTTCTTAAAATGTGCTGTAGACTTATAAATGAATGAATTTAGAGGTTAAACTATGAGTTGAGCAGAAAGTGAAAACAGTTTTATGGACCAAAAAATTGAATTTTACATTCAGCAGCAGGGTTGTCACGTAATGGATATCAGACAATATTTGTTGAATGGCCTAGGGAAACTATATTTTATAGAAATGTTGAACAATTATGAGAGTAATACTATGTTTTTTCAATTTAACCCATCACACATTTATTGGGTGCCTGCTGGGTGTAAGTCAATCATCACATATTGTGCATAGTGAAAATCTGAAGTTAGAGAACAAGCAGTGTGTTTTCCAAAGAAAGACCATTCTGATGTTTTCATTTCTCTATGGAAATTATTGTAATCACAACTGCAAGAAAATAAAACAGAGATCAAAAAGAAACATCTGATATTGGGACATAGACAGAAAAAAAGTTACTAAAAAAGTATCTGTATTTTTAAAATATAGGTGTGCTATTCAATTATGTATTGTGTAATAGATTATAATGTAAGATATAATAATTCTATATAACAACATATTTACTATGATATATATGTAATCTTTGAAAGTTATTTTGCAAAATATTTTTGCCATTAAGCGTACAAATTAATGGGATTTCAAGCAAAATTATAGTGGAGCAGTTATTGTTTGAAAAGAAAACACATTTTAAATAAAATAGCATGTTAGAAAAATACAAGTCAACATATAAAAATCTGTATTATTGATTTCTTGCTATAATTTTTACAGAAAATGATCATTTTATATTTCTGCTTACAACTACTATTCTCTGTGAGCCTCCCCGATAATGTTTTTACATGTGAGGTGTGTTAAAACTCTATTAAAGAAGTTAGTCAATTATAGATAATCCATTGGCTAAATGAGTTTTCTATCAACGGACTAAAAGTGGTAGCTGCTTGAAATAGTATTGTAGATTGAATCTATTCATGAAAATGTTCTTCCTATTAACTGGTGCTTACAGAACTTGAAAATTAAGCCTTAATTCAGAAACTATAGTTAGGGTCCAAAAACTCTACTTGAAATATCTTTTATTACCTTTTTTTTTTTTTTTCACAAGGGAGCCAAACTGTTACTTCCTCATAACTGCCATGCAATTTTCAGGGATTACTTTAAGTGTGAATTGTCAACTATTTCTTCCAGCTGCCTCCTGTCAGGCTATAATCCCATACTGAGCCTTGTCAGAGGTCACTGAGCTCTTGACTAATGCACTTCATTAGGGGAGAAAAGCAGAATGTCTCCAGCACACAAATGGCAGGAGACATACAGCAGAACTGGGCACTTAAAACAAATAGCACTAAACTGTAAATCCATGAAATCTTAAAAGTTCCTTTCAGTATAGTTCTAATCACTCAGAACAAAAGTTACTATATCAAGTTTCTATAATTACTTTGGATTTTTTAAATATATGATACATTCTGGAATTAAATTCAAGCTACTAACAATGATAGATAAATGGCTAATAAGGAAAATAGTTATTCCAAAGAACCTGCTCCTTTTTCACAATTGTTCCTTTAAATTAATTTTTGTTTAGAATTTTTACTTTTCTCTGATCATTAGTATAATACATTTATTTTAAATCTTTGAAATTCTTTATATTGAAAATTCATCTACTTTCAATGAAGGTGGAAATTTACAAATATAGAAATTTGGAAAAATGTAAATTTCTAATATTTATCTATATAAACCTTCACTATAGGAGCATTTGGTTGGCTCAATAATTAGATAAAAATTTTCCCATTATTTTGCAGTAGACTATTTAAGAGTAGCTTTTGAAGCAAGCTACTACATACCTATTCTGTTTTTATTCTTGGTCATGATACTGACATTTCTGTTTTTGTGTTTTAGCTTTATAAGAACAATTTTGGAATATTATTCTTTAGTCAGAAAGATATTAATGTTCATTATAAAATATGCTAAAATATATATTATTATTTCCTTTGCCAAATTTAAATAACCTTAACAGAAAGTAGGGATATATATTAGTCTATGATATTATTTTATATGAAATAAACTAAGAGAAGCTTTATTCCTGCCTAAGGATTAATTATTAAAAAAACTTTTAATCACACCTATCAAAAGTACAAAATGAAATTACATAGTTAATAATGGTAAAATGATATAACCAGTGTCTGACTACCATATTCACTACCAAACATGCTATCATTTTGAGAAGACTTTCTTTAATTTAGGAGACAATCTTCTTTATGTAAAAGTGTCATTTAAAAATGAAAAAAATACAAAATATATTAAAATGTGTTGAAAAATCTGAAGAAGGTATATACATAAATGCTAGTGTTTTGCTTGCTCACCTGAAAAGACTAGGTTCTTCATTTTTTTCTTGAAAAAAATAACTGAGTTATATACTCCACATCTGTCTTTAGAAGTTATCTTTATAGGAAACTAGAATGATGCATCTTTTTCCGGCTTTGTTTTTGAGATGGAATAACAAACATGAATTGTTTAGAGCAGCAATGTCACTAATAGGTTTTAATTTTTTTATCTTTGTTTTGTATTCTTCTCATAGAAATGCCACTATTTTTTTCTCCTCCCACTTCTCTCTATATTTTCTAACCCAGATGTCAGGAGCCAATTTAAAAACTCATAAACATAAAACTACACATCATGAACACAACTTACTATGTTACATTCGTAAAAACTGTGGCATAATCTCACCAATATTCATTACATTCTAGTCAAAGTAACCCAGAAGGGTGCAATCATTTCTCAATCACAGTTTAAAAAGTCATTACTCAAATCAGAGCTTAGAGTACAATCTACTGTTTTCTCATAATTACTTGAGGCTCTTTCTGGTTTAGAGAAAGTCATAAACTGATGTCATTGAGTTTTCCTAGAGGCATTTTCTTTTAAAAACCATTTAGATATCTGGTAGGTACTTGCTCACACTGAGAATTGTTTTGTGACATTTTGATATGTTCTCCCAATGTTTTTCTCACCATAATTTGCAGTCACCCTCTGGACCTCCATGACAGTGGAATTGAATAACATTTTTTTCTAAAATCCCAAGGCTTCAAATTAGGGATCAGGAGTAAGCTCTTCTCAACAGAGGGCTCATGGGTCTGGACTTTAATTAAAGTTCTTCTAGTGCTAAGAAATGTTCTCAGTTTTCCTTCTTCACCTATGTCTGGGAATTTACTTAAAATTAAAAATTTCATTCAAGATGAACTTTTAACATTCAACATAATATTTAAAAAATAATATGTTCATATATAAAACAAATAACCTATTGGAAATGCAATGCATTATTAAAATACTAAAAAATTATTGTTGCAATGTATCCATATAGTGATAGTAGACTGTAGACTTTCCAGTGCATGTCAGGTGCAGCCCAAGAAATTTCTGAATTTGTAGCAAGATGGGTCCCAATTTTCCTTGAGATTAATTTTCATTGAAATAAAGCAGACAGTTTCTTAGTTATCCTACATATAAGAGAACCATTTTATATTATTAAATTCAAGTAGTTTATAGTCTTAAAAGTATGTTCTATCCTTTTAGTAGACTAACATACTTCTATGATATAATGAAATAAAGGACCAAGGAAACATGTACTGTGAAGAATGAGGAAATTTGATATGTTTCACCATTAGCAAGGATCACTTGAAGGCTAGTAAGGCAGGAATCAAAGCTTTCTCTAAGATTTGAATGGCTACTATGCAGAAAAGGTGATTTTTTTTTTGTCTTGCACCAACATGTAAAACTACTACTAATGGGTAGAAGCCTGGCAAATATACATTTGATTCAATTCTAGAAAATCTGAATTATCTAACATGGATAAGGGGATCTCAAAAAGTAGTGAAGTTGTCTCTGTGATGGTTCAAGGAAACTTTGGGTCACACTTAGTCAAGAATTCACAGAGCGATGTCTGTAATGGGAGAGGGCTTGAATCATATAGGACCTTTTGAAACCTAAAATTCTTTGCTTTTTGTTTAGATAAACAATGCAATTATATACACAAAGTAGCAATTGTGATGAACAAAAAAAATCTCTGTGGACTTGTTCTGTGCCTATCACCGCTGGAAGTTTGAATTTATCAAAGGCAGTGACTTATACATTTTTGCAATTAAATTTCAAGTACATAACAAGAATAAAGAAAAACATTTTATAAGGGGTGTTTTAAAAATAAGCTTGAAAAAAAGCAGGTACATTTTGACCTTTAAAAATGTTACTTGCTTGTTCACTTCTCTTCTCTTTGTTTTTCCAGGCCATGGTAGGAAAAACACAAAATGAGCCGAAAACATTTTCATCTAGCAGAAAGCAGGAGGTGCTCATGAATGATGAGAACATGTCAAACAGATACAGAAGTCTATTTGAAAGGGGCTCCCAGTGTCAAATCTATAACAATTTGGGCATAAAAAATAATGAATAAAATATTATAACCAATTGGAAATAATAAAAAAAAGCCCTGAGACCAAATTGGTATAATGAGATAAATTAATTGAAAGTTTGTTGAGGAATGGGGTATTGACATATGATATAATTTGGCTCTGTGTCCCCACCCAAATATCATCCTGAATTGTAATCTCCATGTTTTGAGGGAGAGACCTGGTGGGAGGTGATCTGATTATGGGGGCAGTTTCTCCCATGCTGCTCTCTTTATAGTGAATCAGTTCTCATGATATCTGATGGTTTTAAAATGTGGCACTTCTCTTTTGCTCTCTCTCTCCTGAGGCCATGTAAGATGTGCCTTGCTTCCCTTTCACCTTCCACCATGATTATAAGATTCTTGAGGCCTCCCCAGCCATGCAGAATGGTGAGTGAATTAAACCTTTTTTGTTTATAAGTTACCCAGTCCCAGGTAGTATCTTTATAGCAGTGTGAGAATGGACTAATATACGTAATAAGCACAAAATACTTACTATTGCTGTAAGTATTTACTATTAACATATATATTAATTAACTTTCCAGTGGAGAAGCCTACCTTAATCAACTAATAAAAATCATTAGCATGAGACTGAAATTGCCTGTCACCTAGTAGAATGCAATGAGAAGAATGTAGTGGCATTTCAGTGAAGTACAACCTGAATCTAATAATGGGAAATATTAGACAAACCAATTTTGAGAGATATTCAACACAGAAAATGGCTTGAAATCTTCAAGTCTCATCATCATGAAAGTCAAAGAGCAACTGAGGAATTGTTCCATGTTTAAAAAGACTAAAGTGATATGAAAAGTAAATGCAGCACATGATTCTGAACTGGATTTTTTGTCTGTTTTGGACATTGTTGAGACAACTGGTGAAATCTGAATGACTGAGAATGAAATGGTAATAATGTGCCTATGCTAATTTCCTGATTGCTATGCTAATATTTTGGTTATGTAGGAGAATGTAAGAAATGCACATTGAAGTGTTTGTAAGTTCAGGAAAAAGTATTCTGTGTGCTGTGTGCCTTTAACTTTCCAGTAGGTTTACGATTGTCCAAAAATCATATATACTGTTACATATAATATATATTCATATATATGAAGTATCTATTTACATATTATTACAATTTATCTTCTTTTGGCTCAATATATCAAAGGGATGCTAACAATCAAGGTTGTAATAATGATAGCACAGGTTTTTTTATAATTGGTGATCCTTCCTTTTTTTTTTACCTTTTTCAGTGAAAGATCAATTATTATCTTTCATAAATATTACAAAAGTAACTTTTGCATTGGAAAGCAACTTTTGGAAACAGCAGGGAACACTTGGGCCATAGGGTATCCCTGTGGTATAATAGAAGCACTGCAACTAACTAGGTTGTTACTGTAAGCATATTCATTAGTGTCTGTGAAGACATTGTTAAATCTTTTAAATGGGATTACTAATACTAGTCTTGGTAGACTCTTGCAGGTATTAAATAAGTTTAAAAGAAAACTATCAAAGAGCCCTAGTGCAATGTCTAGCACATAATATCTACCTATTCATTCTACATTCACCAAATATTTATTGAGTAGTGTTTGGGTTCCAGGCTGGTATTATGCACTGGGACTACAAAAAAAAATAAGGATTTCATAGTATAGTGGGTAAAACACACAAACAAATTATAACATATGGAGATAGTGAAATGAGAGAGTCATGCAACATAGAAGAATAAAACACTAAACAAATGCTATTATAGTGCATACGGGAAGAAAGGTTAGAACACGTGAAATCAGTGCTCAACTCTAATTCCAATACTACTCAACATTTTAATTTATTATATGAGACTACTATAGAAAAATATGCTTTAGAGAAGAAGATAAGTGAGAAGTGAGTTTGTGTCAGATAATATTGAGTCTTCATTTAATAATATAATTTATGATACATAATATCTAAACAAGACTCTTTCATTCTATTGTGTTTAAAGGAAAACTAGCACATCTGATAGTTATGGAAGAATTGCTATGTATCAGATAATGCCTTAAGAATTTTACATATATAACTTATTAAATCATCACAATGGACCACTGACTTAGCTCTTATCACAGTACACCTTGCAGACTCTTAACTTTTGTGGGTACTCATATCCACTTGCTAATCTCATCTAATATTAAGGCTTTAAATACAGTACTAAATTTTTGCTTAACTGATTTAATTACTCATATGGCTGATTTGGACTTTTTGCTCTGATCTTAAGATTCATATATCTCAGTGTCTTGGATTCATATATCTCACTGTCTCACAGGCTTTCCAAACACCAAAAACTGAGATAGCTTCTATGCTCCATAGCCTTCTGTCACTTAATGGTGATTCTATCTTCCTATTTAATCAGGCCCCAAATCTTTGAGTTATCCTTGACTGTGTTCTCTCATTCTCTACAAGCTATTCATCTGCAAACCCTATTAGCTCTATTTTCAAACATATATCCTCAAATCTAACCTCTTATTATTATCACCATTACTACCTTCTAGTCAAAGCCCCATTTTAAACTCTTGGTTGAATTTTTGCAGTAGGCTTCTAACTGGTCTCCTGCTTCTCTGCCTTCTTGCCACTTCATTCTACTGTTAGCACACAAGCCACTCCTCTGTCAAAACATTTTCATAGCTTTCCAAATCACTCAGAATAAAACCGAAGTCCTGGAAATGGCCTAAAGTGCCTATAAATGCTCCATCTTCCTCTTCTTTTAGGTTGCTCAGTTTTCCAACTGCTATTCCTTTCTTAGCAACCTCTCTACCCAATGCCTGCAGAATGTTCTCCCTCTCTCCCTTAAGGTCATTTTTCACATTCCGTCATTTCAATAAGGACTTCCCTGGTACCCCTGTTAAAATTCAAACCTATTTACTTTGCAGTCTTTATCCATCTTCCTTGTTTCTCTTCCGTTTTTTCTCAGAATATTTCATCATATAACACTCTACATACTTTTGTTGTTGTTGTCTATTGTTTGCCTTCTTCCATTGGAATGTAAGCTCCATGACTGAAAGAAACTTTGTTTGTGTTGTTTACTGCTCTTTCTTGGACTGAAAAATATTAGGCACTGAATAAATACTTCTTGAATGCTTGAATAACCTGAACAAATTTGCATCCCACAGCAAGGGACAATACCAGAAATAAAACTCAGGTAGTCTGGTTCAAGAGTCTGTGCTCTCACGCTCTCATTCTTTATAATATATTATTGAGATGACCTTTAGCTCATCCCCATCTAAACCCTGAATACCCGTTTATTTCCAACACACTCAGTAAACTGAACCACCTCCCAGAATATCTTTGATATTGCAACTCTGGCACCTCACAGGTAAATTGTGCTAATGAATGAAGAATATTATTGTCACAGAAGGATCAGTTTAAAAGAGGACATATTCCTGGAGGAGTTTAGGATATGTCAAATAGAGTGACACCATGTGAAGTGATGGCAAAACATACGGTTCTAGAGTCAGTGCATATGTACATATGCTGCTTAAGTACAGCCAGTGAATCCAGCATTTTTACAGATTATCTGTTACGTACGTACACAATCCTCTCTTCACTCCCCACACTAAATTGGCACTGATATTTCATAATATTCTACACCCTAAACAGAGACACACCTGCATAGGTTAGTATGAAAGCCAAGTTGACAGCATGTTTTATGCACTGGCTTATTTCTTGGCCAGAGATTTGTTTGCTGTCATAGAGACCTGGCTTTAGAGCTGTTTTTAATGTAACATAATAGAACACATACAGAGAGTACTCAGTCAACTTAAAAAAGTGTATATTGAACACCTCCTCTGTCCAAGGTGCAATAAGGCTAGAAAGAAGGATAAGAAGCAGCTGTTTCCAGAAGGAGTTTACAGTTTGGATAGGGAGGGAAAATTAATGCATACATAAAATTATCAAAGAACTGAGAACCAAAATGTAATCCTGACTGGAGACAATTAAGATAAAAGATGAAAGCCTGAACCAATGTAGTTAAGGAAGGCTCTGTGAAGGGATGAACACGAACATTTATTAAGTACCTGCTATGTGCCAGGTGCTTTGCATATATTGCCTCACTTAATCATCACAGTAACCACATGGGGTCTGAATTATTATGTTATTTTTATAGGTAAGGAAATTGTGTTGAGGTCCGTCCAATAAGCATTTATTGCAATCTTATTGCAATCATTTTGTATCTCCAGCCAGGAACACAATGCCAAGTTTGGAGGAGCCAAGCTTGGCATTGTGTTCCTGGCTGGAGATACAAAATGATTGCTTTCAGTCCTTTATGAAATTTAAATTTTAGTTGGGAAGGTTGGAAACAAGATAGGTGAACATAATTCAAATTTGATGTTGAACCACATTGACAAGATTAAGCTTACTTTCCATGGAAATGACAAGAAGCTTCCATCCAAAAATGTGGGTGCCAAGGAAGTTTCTGGAGGACATAGCGTCTATGCTATATCATTAAGGATGGCAAAGATGAAACTCCCCTCCAGACAGAGCAGACTGTAAAAGCAAAGTCACAGAGGTCTGATCCTGTATGGCATGTGTATTAGTTAAAGTCATGCTAACAGTTATTTTTTAAAAACCCTAAACTATATATTGGTTCAAACCTGATAGAAGTGAATTTTTCCGTTTGCAATGTCAAAATGAGTGCTCTTGATTTCAAGGAGTCTCTTCTTAGAGTGTTGATTCAGGAACCCAGGGTCCTTCATTCTTGTATCTCCTCCATCATCAATATGTGATTTCCAAGGTCTTCAAGCTTTTCTGCACCAGGTTGACAGAAGAAGAGTGTGGCTAATCACCTATGAGAAGCTTCCATGCACCAATTCTAGAAGTAGTTGTCTTCAATTCCATTTCCCTAAAAAACAGTAACACAGTCATATCAATCTGCAAGGGAGGCTAGGAAATGTATTCTATCTTTTGGCTCAGAAAGGGAGGAGGTTGTTTTCATGAATAAATAGTGATATTTGCTTTTGTGTATAAATTATGTTATTGCAGTGCAAATAAGGAGAGATTAGAGAGAAAGGTACAATCCCACCATAGAGAACCTTTTTATTTCATGATAAAGAGCTTCAGTTCAAATCAAGAAACATTTCTTGAGCAAAGACAGGTATTGTCATGTGCTAAGGGCAAAACATAAATCCCAAGCTTTGTCTTCAAGTGATTATATTTTAGTAGCACACATTGAAAATAGATTGATTTTAAAAGTTTAATTTTTAGCTTGTAGGTAATAGACATGGCAGGAGAGAGGGGCATAAAAGTGAGGGGATAGAATGATCTGATTTGCTTTCATATATATTATTCAGATGATGGCAAATGAGATAAATTTGGAAGTGAAAGACTATAGGCCAGTAAGCGAACATTTCTGACTTAAAATAGGGCAGTATTAGTGGGATGGAAATTTAAAATTTAAAGTTGGAAGCCATAATGTTCTATATGTAGAGAAAAAAGAGGAAAAGTCAAAGATGACTCCTAGATTTCTCATTTGGGTGAATGAGGTGATGGCTTTCCCATCAACTGAGACATGGAATACAAAGGGAGAACTGGGTCTATGAGACAGGATAGTATGGTGAATTCAGTTTTTGAGAAGTTGAATTTGAAATGACAGGAAAACATCTAGCTGTAGATGTTCATCAGACTCCTGGGAAGTACGGTAGGCTGAAATATGGCCTCCTAAATATGTCCACAACCTAGTCCTTGGAACCTTATATAGTAAAAGGGACTTTGCAGATGTGATTGAGGATATTGAGATGGGAAGCCTATCTTGTATTATCCAGTTGGCCTCAATGTAATTGCAAAGATCCTTACAAGAAGGTTGCAGGAGGATCAGAATGGAACCAATGACCTGAAAAGAGAGAAAATTCTATGCTGCTGCCTTTGAAGAAGGAGGAAGGGACCATGAGTTAAGGAATGTAGGCTTGGGAGGTAAAAATGGGGAAAGGCCAGGAAATTAATTTTCCCTTCTAACCTACAGAAGGAAGCAGCCTTGCCAGTACCTTGACTATAGCCTCATGAAACTGATTTTGGAATTCTTACCTGAAGAACTGTAAGATAATAAATTTGTGTTATTTAAGCTATTACATTTGTAGCTGATACAACAGCAATAGGAAACTAATAAAGGTGCAAATATTTCCAGGAATGAACATGTAGATGATGGTTGAAATCATAAAACTTAGATACAGTAACCCAAAAATTATAAGGCAAATATAAGATATAATATCCTGGGAATCACAAAAATTTAAAGGATAACCAGAGAAACAATGCTTAGAATAGGAATAAAAAATAGATGATCAGAGCAGTGTCAGTAGAACCAGGAGAATATGGCATCATAGAACCCAAAGTTATAAACAAAAGCAGAAAAAAAGTGATCAGCAAGTTCAAATACAGGACAATGGTCTTTATAATTTAATGGATGTAAACTTCTTGGATGGGACAGTGAAAGATGTGAGGCTGGAGGAGATATTGGAGGAGAAAGAGAACATATCACCTTTGAGTATAAGTATTTGAGTATAAGTATTTGAAGCACCTATGAAGTTATGAGGCCAATCTGAGGTGAAGCTTTGATAACAAGTTCAGACTGCTATTTTTTTGTACTACATCATCTCCATGGAATTTTGTTTCCAATTGATATCCCAGATTTGTCTTTGTAGTACAACTTGTTCCATTGATGTATCAGCTGATTTTTATTAAAATAAACGCAATGTGATGCCCCTCATTGAAGTGTTTTTGTTTTAAGTTTTTGTGAAAGTGAGATTTTGTTCTACCTAAAGGATGATAAATATAAAGAAGATGGGATCTCTGTGAGAGAGGGTGGCAGGCCATTAACAGCGGAATCATGATGGTATTACAGTTCTCTTCATCTATCAATGGCTCCTATTCATTGCATTGACTTTGCATCATTTTCTTCATATACACAACTCCTTATACTAGCTGTCATAATTCTCAATTTACACATGCATAAACAGAGACTTGGGAGTTTAACCAACTCACTCAAGGCTATAGTTAATAAGTAGCAAAACCAGGCATTCAATTCATATGCATTTCAATACAAATTCTAATTCATCTCATTATTCCATTTCATGTTGGCCTATAGAATGAAACAAGTAGAAAGGAAATTCTATTTCATAGATAGTAAACTACCACTTTCCCCAAAAAGTCACTTTTTTTCATTAAAGTAAGGTCTTCTATAATGTTTTCTGCAATAAAAAGTCATATCATAGTATTTTTATATTGGTTAGTTTTATTTCATTGGTTAACTGCAATAAACTGTTCAACTGATGTCTGTGTGATAAAGATGCAACATAATTTACCCTTTTACTACCTCAATGATTTTATGCTTAGTAACTGACCTGAATGTATAGAAAAGTGTTTTATACATTATGTATTATTAAAAAATATATAGGCTGGTATATACTTTAAAATAATCTCAATATGTTAGTAACATATCATCTTATTGAATCATACATTTTATAAATGCTATAACTATATACAATGTGCAAAATATAATACAAATTTTGACTTCAATATTTCTTAAGTAGTTCATATATTTTTCTAAATGAAGTATTTTTTCTATAAATGTAAACTGTTCAATTTTTTATGTTTTCCTCATTTCAGAGATTTTCCTGCAATTTCACTTCAAGTATTGATGCAAGTACAGCTGTGGTTTTTAAGGAGGTGTATACATGACTTATTGTACAAAATTTATCCATCATATGCTATTCACATATTTCAAGAATTAAAATACAGAAGAATGACAGTGGCAAAATGTATTTGACACTCGATAGGACTCCAGGAATGCAACATGCATAAGGAAAAGTTGTAGTCAACCTACCTAAACATCAACATGAGGAATTCCTCTGTATAACCTTCTGTTCAGACAAGCACATCGATGTTTAAGATTTGAGTTCTCAGCTAGGTTTAATATTGAATATACACACTATATTGAAAAGACATTACTAAAACAACTGAAATATAAAAACAGTATAATTTACTTCTCTTTTCATAAATCACTTTTTCTAATGAGTTTGACATTCCTACATTGATCCTCTGGCACAAAAGGACCTTCAGAAAGCACAGAACATTTTATGTTCCTTCTTTAAAAACTTAGTTGATTATCTTTACCCTCAGAATAACATTAATTTTGTTTGTTTGTTTGTTTGTTTGTTTTAGATGGAGTTTTGCTCTTGTTTCCCAGGCTGGAGTGCAATGGCATGATCGCGGCTCACCGCAACCTCCACCTCCCTGGTTCAAGCGATTCTCCTGCCTCAGTCTCCCGAGTAGCTGGGATTACAGGCATGCACCACTACACCTGGCTAATTTTGTATTTTTAGTACAGACGAGGTTTCTCCATGTTGGTCAGGCTGGTCTCGAACTCTGGACCTCAGGTGATCCGCCCGCCTCAGCCTCCCAAAGTGCTGGGACTACAGGCATGAGCCACCGTGCCTGGTCTAAAACTCCTTTCCTACAGCATGCCCAATTCCCTCATGATGGGGCGTAACGCTTTTCCCAAACTTATCTTTCTCTATCATGGAACCACCATCATATTTATTGCACCCCAAACATTGCATATACAATAAAAAATATGTACATATTGTATAAACAAAACATAGAGTCTGCCAATAAAAAGTTAATTAAAATATATCAGAAATGCTAATTATACCCTCAATGCTTACCATGCATCAAATCCTAGCTTAAATGCAATACCTATGAAGTCATTCTATTTAGATCAGGCCTATCTCTTCACTCCCTCCTCTGTACTGCAATCACACTCCCATCAGACCTCTAATGTAATACATTATGCATTCCTTTGAAAGTTTTGGCTACATGCCTTACTCTCTCACTGGACTCTGAGTTCTACCAAGTAGAGACCATGTCTAATTTTTCCTTGGGTCCCTAGAACTCAACATAGAATTAATTCTTAATTTCATATCTGAAAAGATTGTCTTGTTGGAATGAAAACATTTCAGATTTTATAAAAATTGTATGGAATTTATGATATATAATATACAAGATGACAACAGTTTTCTGGGTCTTAAATATAAAATCACCATAGTAATATTTCTGCAGTGAAATATAATATACTAATCATTAGCGCTATTTACCAAATATTTATATTTCTCTTCCCTACTAGACACCCAGTAGGATTATACTTCTTGTGTTGGGGAGGAGCCATGTAACTAGTTCTGGTTGTCAGTGGAATCATGGTGTCATTTCTAAGTTCAAGTATCAATTATTAATGAAAAATCATCCAGAGCTTTCTCTACTCCTCTGACATGACAGCCAGCAGCATTTGTGACGGGCAGTCTATCAACCTAGCTTCTTAGGTGACTATGTCAAACCATAGTGGACACGTTGTTCTAAGCCCCTAGATTTGAGGGTTGTTTGTTACTACAGCATAACCTAGCTCATTCTGACATACACATGTAAGCATTTATACTGAGTTAACAAAAAAGACTATAATTATCATGTTATTTCGGAGCATGTTTTATAATCAAATTGTTTTTTATCATATTGAGTTTTTCTATCAAGTAGATTACAAAAAAAAACTCATTGTCTAAGTTTTTGGTTTTGGGAATTATGAAAAAGATGCTTTGAGTCAATACCCGTCAAACTTATAGCATACAATGTAGCAGGAAACAGCAGGTATTAAATTTTTTTAAAGGTAGAGTGGAATGTCCTTGATCATAAGAACATTAATGTTTTGATATTTATTTGCTTTTATTATTAAAATGTAATATGTAAATTATAAGAAATTAAATACTGTAGATCTACTATATTAATCTCTAGTTTGGTTTTTATGCTGATCGACGTGTAAAATGCAAAGACAAAACAGATTTATATAAGATACAGAAATGTAAGTTATATGAGGAAAATTTCTTACAGCCCTATTTTGAATTCTGTACTTACAAGTAAGATAAGAATATAAATCCTTGTTCTGTCTAAATAATTCTATTAGCTAAATTTATTGACTACCTATTCTGTGTAGGTACTATTTTAAACACTTTATATGTATTAACGTAGTAGGAAAGCATAAAAATTTACTCTGTGGAGTATTATTAAGCTAGTTTTATAATATTGGGTAAGGGAATGGAAGCAAAGAGGAGAGTAACATCTAACATCATAGAAATAGTAAGTGGGTCATATCCAGGTATGCTGACCCCAGAACCTGTGCCCTTAATAACTATATTATGGGAACTATGCAGAAACTCTAGACTTAAGGAAACAAAAAATACCTAGTAACATTACTTTCATTCTGTTTATCATGGAGCTTATTTTTCTTTCTTTCTTTCTTTCTTTTTTTTTTTTTTTTTTTTTGAGACGGAGTCTTGCTCTGTCACCCAGGCTGGAGTGCAGTGGCGCGATCTCGGCTCACTGCAACCTCCGCCTCACGGGTTCATGCCATTCTCCTGCCTCAGCCTCCCGAGCAACTGGGACTACAGGCGCCCACCACCACGCCCAGCTAATTTTTTGTATTTTTAGTACAGACGGGGTTTCACTGTGTTAGCCAGGTTGGTCTCGATCTCCTGACCTCGTGATCCACCCGCCTCGGCCTCCCAAAGTCCTGGGATTACAGGCGTGAGCCACCGTGCCCGGCCGGAGCTTATTTTTCAAAGCTTTGGCCACTTTTCATTTCCCCACTGAAATTCTTCTCAAGTTCTTTGATCCTGAGTTGTTTATTCCAAAATTTAAAAAAGGATCCAATTCTATTTAAAAATGTCATTTCTATGCTGCTGATCCATATGTTGACTGCCAGTCATTAAATATATTTTCAATAGCATCACAGATGACAATTTTTTACTTCAAAATGTCTCTCTGGAAATATCCATTACCACTGAATGCATAACAATACAAGTAACACCAGCTATCACTTATTGAACATATAATATCTGCCACAGATAATATAAGACATTTTGCATTTACTACATCACTTACTCTGTATAACAGCATAACAACTTTTCAAGTTTTGCATTCATTTATTTTATAGACGAGGAGACTGAGCCTTAACATAGGTTAGGTAACTTAGAGATAGAACTGGGATTCCAAATAGGATCAGCCTAGCTTCAAATTCTGTGCTCTTTAATCTGTGGGAAATCTGGTATTTGGATGGTCATCTCACAAGTAAATGAACTAAAAATAATTTCACACAAAGGCTTTGGGGGGTTTGTCTCCGTTTTTTAATCTCAAGAAAAGTGCTACAATAATTGATGCATAAAGTACATTAAAAATATGTTCATTAAAATACAGTATGCATTTCAAAAATAAATGAGTATGTGGATTAATTTCATGAATATTCTTCTCTCAGAATGCTCTAAGTCAAGTCAGTTTATATGATATGGTGGTAACTTTTCACATTAACCTAGAAATTGCCGTTTGGTTTCTTTAGAAATTTATGCAATTTGAATTGACAAAAAGGATCAAGGGGTAGAATTATTTCCTTAGCTACAAACCAGGTACTTTCAATTCAGAATGCAGCCCGTATCAGTATTCCTTGTACAAGGAAACATGATCTCCTTAGCTCTTTTGGGGAAGAGTATATTTTAACATGTGTTGTCTGTGGCTGATCAGCATCAACAAACCCCAGTGCATGTGGCACTTTAATGAGCTTTGAGGATCTTGAGTTAAAAAGATGCATTTCACTCTTTAATTGTGCATAATTCAGATACAAAGATAATTTGGTAGGGAACATGATAATGCTTATACCAAGAAATCTGGTAAATCTATTTATAATAAATTGTGGTGGTTTTTTATTACCAGATGCTGCCTAGTTTTCCTTAGAAATAACTCCTCCTAAAGCAACGAGTTTCAGAGAAACTCATGTCTAAGATTGAACACCAGAAGCTACATAAATCCCCTGAAATTGCAATAAAATATCTTTCCAAAGAAACCAAACCCAGATTCCATACCATAATTCAGGCAGCACGGCCCATCATAAACAAAAATTCATTATGCCTGCCGTGTGGAAAAATGTTAAGCAAGAAGAAATAAACAGAGAATGTTTTAACAAATCATATTAGCCAAATGAAAAAAAGAGGATAAAGCCACAGTTCTGAATGAGACTGCCAATAAAGCTTAAAACTGAGCCAAAATTTGGAAGAAATCTAAACATAGCCAGACCAAGTCTAAGTCTTCCTAAGATATTTTATTCTGCCTTTTTCCTTTCAACTATTTCCTTTAGATTTAAGGGGAAACCTTGACCAGATCTAGAGATGTGATATTAAATGCACACGGATTATATCCAAACCTAAATTGAGGAAACAATTGAGTGAAACTCAGAGACGTGAAGCAGAGAATCATTCCTCTGCAAGTATTATAAAATTCATCAGGAAAGGATGAAAATGTTTTTAGTTCTAGAATGTTGACTTAAAAAAAATCTAAGAATAGTCATTTATAATCCAATCCTTCATTAATATATAAACCTATGAGTAGACTCAGTATACATTTCCTCAAGAGTTTAGCAGCATATTGAAGTTTGTTGTCAACATATAATAAAATGTCTTTCTGTATAGCCAGGTACAATCTAAATACCTTCTTATTTGATGTAACACAGACAACAACTAGCTGCCTGAAAAAACCCAAGGAAAAATTAGAATCTCCATCATGAAATAAAATCTGTCACTTGCAGAATGAAGCAGCCTTAGTGCCTTTCCACCTTGGTACTTTAGACAGACACTCTCTGCCTAATGAAATCGGGCAGATATAAAACGGTATCACTCTGTATTATTGAGAAGGTTCTTTTCACGTGCTGGCCAGTGCTGGTCGGTGTTACCTAACTGTGATCTTTGGAGGAAGAGGAGAGATAAAGATGAAAGTAAGCAGAGAGAAAAAGAGAGAAAGGATACATCTTACAGAACACAGTGGAATAAAACTGCTTCACCTATGCTGGGGGTGAGGGGGGCGGGGATTGCGAAGTTAAGCATATATTTCTTTCTTGGGGAATGTCTCTTATATGTGCTAAGGGACAAACCAGTATACAGAGTTAGGCTAAACACACCTTTGTGGAATTATACTGAGATCTTAGCTACCATTATTAACATTGTGAACTCTTGGAGAAACAAGGTCTATTAAGTTCCAAACAACTAAATTACAAACATATTTTTAGAACAAAAATGCCTTTACAGGTTGTAGAGTGTTTATGTAGTGGAAAGCCTTGAACTAAATACCCACACCATTAATATACCAAACACAAGAATTGAAACAGATTACACTATATTCATAAGTGAGACCTGTAAAAGGAGGAAAGTAGACAAATCAGCTGGATATAATAATTGATTAGATGATCATATATTAATTAGCACTGTCATGTTCTTCAAGTTGGACTTTCTTTTAATCTTCCAAATACTAAATTCTCTACTCATGGATAAATTTCTGAACTAAGTGTGTACTTTGAAATAATCTGAGTCCTCCTATACTTCATACCTACATATAATCAAGTGATCTTAAAGAAAGGAAAAAATGACAGAGGAAATGAAACAGAAATGTATAGCACATCATGCACTGCAGACTTGCCTTATCCTTCAGTGTCCTAAGGCAATTGTCTCTCCTATCGTCCCTTCACCTTTTCACTTTTTCCTTCTATATTATGTACCTCACTCATTTTATCTAAAACATTGTTATCCAATCCCCCTCCTTGAAAGAAGAAGAAAGGGGATGCAGGAAGAGAGAAAGAGAGAATATAGAGGGGAAAAATTCAATGGAAACCACAAGGTAGTAAGAGAAGTCACTTCTGAGAAGCAGAGTGATTAAGCATTAGAATGCTACACGTACAGCATTCATGCAAATAAAAACTGCATATGTCTATGTGTTCATCATGGCCTTAATGCTAAATTTGAACAGTGTGCATTATCTGATTAATTTTTAAAGAAGATAATTTTTTAAATTCCTAATCCCCATTTTTAATGAATGCAGTTTCATTCTTTTCTTCGGTGTCCTTTTCACACCAGTAATACTAAAAAGTTGAAATAAAAATTTAATATTTTCTCTTCTGCCCCTGTAAGTGTGTCTATTTATATATGTAAATGGCGCAGAAGAAACAATGAGTGTACAGTCAACAATTAGACTGAGAAAATTAGACTCAGAAAAGCTGATATATGGTTAGTTCATAAATATTACAGGACACAGTCTGTGGACAATTTCTTATAATTAAATCCATCTTTATTTTGACAAACAAGCTTGAAGACTATCAAATTCAATTTAAAAAACTGTTAATTAACCCAATTTATTGGCCAATTATTATCAAAGAGTTACTTATTTGCCTGAAGTTTTTAGAAATGGTTTTTGTTTTTTAAAAAAATGGCTAAAAAGTTATTCACCAATATGAACCTAAGACTAAGATTGCCTTCTCTGGCCTTAAAAAAATCCCAGAAAACAAATATAAGATGATTTACTTTTATGCTATCTACTATTTCGCATTTTAAAAGCTATCAGAATAAAAATTATGGCAATGAATATGTTTCAGGCTAATGGCTAAATATTTCAGTTTAAATAGACATTCTTTCTTCTATGTGCTTTACAACAAAACCTTTCCACATGCTATACTCAATGTTGACAGTTTCTAGTTAATTTATTGAAACTGAAATGTACATATTTATATGGTCAATAAATCAACTGACCATAGCACAGAAACAAATATTTTGCTGTTTGATTATATATATTTAGGAATCACAACTTTTTAAAATCTAGCCAGATGACACTAAAGTTTTAGGTGATGTTCTTTATAAGCAAGTATAGCTTAGAGCTACTAACAAAAGAAAAAAGCTTAATAAGAATTAAAAATTAAAAGGAGACATGAAGATCACCCCTTGAACAAGCCAGTTTTCTTAAAAATCTGAATTATTTTGAACTTTCAGATATCTTGTTTGGGAAAAATGTTTGTTTCTTTATGCTTTTCAAATCAGGTTTAAGGTTATTGTTTTCACATATAAAACCAGGTTACTAAAAAACATAATTACACTAAATAAATGTTTTATGCAAGAAAATTTAAAAAAATTAGGCAGTTTAAGTTATGGAAGCAAATTGACCAATCTGTTCTAAGAATAAAAACTTAGGTTGGTCAAATAATCAAATACTCATCCCAATTTGATACCTCATTCTCTGTTTTAGACAGCCATGAATAATAACTTTTATAATGCACTAGCAATGAAAAAAGTTCCTCATATTTACATTTTGGTTAGTACACCCACATTTGTAACTCTAAAATTCAAACCTTGTATTATCTATGTAATTTGTATCATTATTACTAGCATTCTAATTTTAAATAGGTGTTATTTTTGGTAACATTTTAAAAATGATAATTTGTAAAATTAGAACATATATAAGTAAAAATATTTTTTAATCAACAGATGATATGAATACATAGAGAATGAGTTATAAAGATATAGATGCGGTTACTCATATATTCCAGTGTTCATGGATCCACTGCCAGAGGCACAAACACAAACATGCTACTCTAGAAATGAATTTACTCACATACATATTTCTCTCCCCTTATTCTCTTCTTTTTTCTTGTTCTCTTCTTTCCTCTGCCTGTAAATGTGTAGATGTGATATTGAGAGACAGATGCATAAATACATTATTTTGTAGATGGTTTTTATTTGTCAGAAAGGTATAGTACTTAGATGAATTTAGTAAATTTTAGAAGCTGTAAAGTGGAAACCTATAAACAGATAAGGGGGATTCGAATCATTTTTATATCTACTTCTGTAGGTATACTGTGTATACATTCATACACATAGACATCCCCAGAGCACATGTTACCAATTAAAAGTTACATAAACTTAAATCTAAGTAAAAGCTTCAAAGCATACTTGCCTATGGAAAACATATATTGCCTTTAATTTAATGTTTAAAAAAACCTTTCCATAAATTAGCACAAGAATTCTTCCATTTTTTCCCTATGAATCTATAAAGTTAGGGAGGAGAATAGACAAAGATGAACTATTTCCCAATTTTTGTTAAGTATAATATTGATATAGTAGAAGAACTAACAGTGTAGTAGTGATTTTCCTTTGAAATCAGGTTTCATATTTTTTGCCATCATGAGATTTATAATCTCTTTGCTTAGAATTAACTCAAAATTTTACTTTTAAAAATTACAGTGCAATCATTCACTGATTTATAGAATATGTACCTGGACACCCATTAAATAAAAGAAAATTTAGAAAATACTGAAGATACAAAAAATTACTCTTTGAAGAACGTATAATCTAGAAGAGGGAACATTTGCATGTTCAGCTAAGTAAAATGCATGAAGTAATGGGGGTATGATCAAAGTGTAGGGGAAGCATTCAAGAGAGTGATGACTTCCAACGAGGGAGTTGAAAAGCTGGAGACTTCACAGATATGTTTCTCCAGAAACAGTAGCAGCAGATTTCAAAGAAAATGTCGTAACTTAAAATTTACAAAAAAGTCAGGGAACCATGGCATGTCATAACAAACAAGACACAGAGTGATGCTGTCTAGTCACATAAACCAGTTTGATGCTTTGACTGACTCAATCAGTCAAGTCAGAAGGAAAAAAGAAGGGCTCACCCTGTGATTGACTTGACTGGCATAGACAAAACAATCACACTTGTTTGTGTGTGTAAAGAACCAGTGTGCCTGTGTGTACCCTTCACACAAGAGAAGAGAGGACACAGTGACAAACATTAAGTGACAGAAGTAACTGTGTTAACACACTTTATGATCAGACTGTTCTCTTTACCCTGCAATAACTCTGAAAAAGAGGAGAGGAAGGCAAAGGGAGAAATAGGATAATGAGTTTTAATGGAATTATTAGTGTTAAGTAAATACAGAAGGAATGATGACAAGTCAGTGGCAGAAAAAGCCAAAGTCTAAAAGAAAGGCAAGATTTGATAAAATGGAGGAAAGGAAGAGAGAGAGGGGGTGGAGAAAGGGAGGGAGGAAGGAAGAATGTGAGTATGGGTCCCTGGAGGAAAATAGGAGCTACTGAGGAAAGAGGAAGGTGAGACTTCTGTAAGTCCTGTTTGTGGCAAGGGAGAAAGAACAAGCAAACTTAGGCTTACAGGCAACATAACTCATACACTAAAATGCTCTCTTTGATTGTAGGAAAAATTTCAGCTTATTTATGTCTGTTTAGTTAAGTCTCTGGTGATACAGATTCTACATATTAAGCATTTTAAAATTGTTGTTGCATTTGTGCACTGAAAATGCACATGTATGTCTTGGACAAAAATGAACCATACAAAAATGTTAATTAAAATAAACTGAGGTCAGCTATTTTATCTTGTTCCTGCTTTCTTTCAGTTTACAATGACAAACAATGAACGATAACTGTCATTTGAACCAGCTAGTGAATAGTATTTACCAAGCCATTTCACTCCTGTTGAATCGCTTCTGTATTACTTCTATTTGTTCAGCACAGTACCCTAAAGCATTCTACTGTGTTCATAACTGATTTTCAGAAGGATTTTTTTACCTTTCTCTTTATTATTTTGATGAAATGATTCACTTGACATGTCATTAAATTATAATATGTCATTATTTTCAAATACTATTTTCTATTTTATGAGCTAATCTATTGCATAACCAGGTAAAATATCAAGTTTTACATCGTTTGAAACACTTTTCAAAGGACAATATTTATGTAGCTTTAGACAGCACTGAAAAGATACAGACTAATTTACAAACAGCTCAGCTCTTCTTGCTTTTGAACTGGTAGAGTTCATGTTAGCACACCTAAATTTCAACTGAGCAGTTCAGGTATGGAATACTAACTGCTTTGTTATCTTTCACATCTCTTAAAATGTGCAGAACTCATTTACCTTAAAAAGACGAAATGGGGTTGGGCACTGTGGCTCACACCTGTAATCCCTGCACTTTGGGAGTTTGAGATATGAGGATCACTTGAGCCCAGGAATTCAAGACCAGCCTGAGCAATACAGGGAGACCCCATCTCTTCAAACAATTTAAACAGTAGCTGTGCATGGTGGTGTGTGCCTGTAGTCCCAGCTACTCAGGAGACTGAGGTGAAAGGATGTCTCGAGCCCAGGGGTTCAAGGCTGCAGTGAGCTGTAATTGTGCTACTGCATTCCAGCCCGGACTGGGCAACAGAGCGAAACTATGTGTCAAAGAGGAAGAGAGACAGAGAGAGAATTACTATTAAAAGTTAATTGTTTAAACTGTCTTAATTTAAATGTCTTAAATTAACTACCTTAACTTCAGGTTTTCTTCATTTTGCAAAATATCTGAAAAGAATCTGTATCAATGCATGCAAAATAATGGAGCAGTGACAAACACTTAATCATAAGGTAAATTAGCACAACAGTCAATACATCTATGGTTCAGCCACTCTAGTGATATGAAATTAGGCAGAGATGTCTCCACTCGAGTACCAACATGTATGCTGTAAGATACTCATTTCTTACGTTTACATGGCAACATTTTCAAGCCATTTCTTTGACTCAAGGCTCACATTCTTTGCTATTAAACTGACATGAAGGACACCAGTCAGAGCTTCCTGATATCTAACTATTGCACAACATGATAAAATGTGAGTTGTATTGACTGATTCCATTATTTATTAGTATTATCAACAATAGACTAATGTCCAGCATGTACCAGAGAATAATTCTAAAGATGATCATAAAACAGAAATAATCCTTCTTCTTACATTAAAGCCAAGATCCTGGGTACAGATCAACAATCCTTAAACTACTTTGCCTGCATACTAGGTTGAACAAATGAGTCAATAAATTATAGATAATGGGAGCTAGGTTTCTTGCTGTAAGAGAAAGAAGTCATAAATAAGCAAGACAGAAAACTAGAATTAAACTCTGTGGTGCTGGACTAGAATCACAGATATTACCTGAATGTATGTATTTATATACAGACAGACATACAAACAGACAGACATAATTGGATATAGATATGTGTGTATACATAGGTTAATATACATGACTGGGGCGGGGAACATACAAGATGATCCTGGAGCATCTTGCAGTGCCTGAGAGTAAGGAAGGGCTCAATAAAAACAAGACCAGAGTGTATCAAAAGGAGGCAGGAGCCAATCAGAAAGAATTTCCCAATAGCAAAATCTGAAACAATTTGACAAATGCAATAAATAATTAGGGCATTGAATTATAACCCAAATAATAAAAACAAATATCTATGAGGACACATGGGTATAAATAAATGGTTGAATGGACAAATAAATAAATGGGAGAAAAGGAAAATCTTCTTTACAGGAGAATTTCAAATAATATAGAAAAAATAAAGGAAATGGAAAATCACCATTAGAACACACTATAGTAATTATTAGTGTAGGCAAGAGCCATGAATAAATACTAAAATTAGCAGATGAAACTTTAAGAAGAAATAGGATAATTGAATAGCTGGCAAGTATCTTAGTGATCTGGTTCCCATTACCTGTCTGATCTCTTAACATTTTCCCTTTCACACAATAGGGACAATCCTGCCTCAGGGCCTTACCTCTGTATCTCTGCCTGCAGGGCTCTTCTGCCCCATATCCCCTTGACTCTATTGCAGCTCCTTCAAGTCACCTTTTCAATAAGGCCCTTCTTAATCCATCTCAATTATAAGTATAACCCCCTTTCACCACAGCAATTTCTTACCTGCCCCTCCCTTTTTGTTTTTTTGATTTAGCATTTATCATTTCTAACAAACTATGATTCCCCTTATTTCTTTAGAATATAAACCCATGGGACCAGATAATTTTGTCTGTATTGTTCACTGCTATATTCCAAGTACCTAGAACACTGCCTAGCATCAATGAATATATACTTCTTGAATGAATGAATGAATTCTATAAATATTGCATTTATTCTATGTTTCACATGCTGTGAACAAAATAGACATTATCCCTATGTTCATGGAGGATGCCAGTGTAGTGAGGAGACATACTTACAGTAACAATCATAATAAAGTATGACAATTGTTGTAACCCAGGAAAAAGAAGGTACTAAGAAAGCACTGAGCAGACCAACTAAGTCAATGTCAGCAAAGTGTCAGAAATAAGTGACTTTTAAGTTAGAACCAAAGGAAAGGAAGACCATTAGAAAGAGCGAGAGAAGATTTTTTCTTGGCAAAGGTAAGAGATAGGAAAACTTAAAAGATCAAACAAAGGGTATAGGGCATCCAGGAATGGAACAACATTCAGCCACTGGACTGGAGCATCCAGCAAGAAAGGCTGGAGAGGTTAGCAAATGCCAGATTACGGTAGGCATTGTTAACCATGATACTGGGTTTTGACTTTGATCTAAAGCAACTGAAGACACTGAAGAGATTTAAGCAGAGAAGTGACTCAATCCGACGTCAGCTTTACACTCTTTTTGGAGATAGGTTATGGATCATGATAGATAAAGGCAGAGTTGCAGTAATCCATGCAGACATGGTGAATAGATGACATTTTTATTCCAATGCGGAGAAATTTTCCTATTTATGTTGGTTTCCATGAAATATTTAGAAACAGCTTTTTCCTCAAACTAATGTTATTCATTAACTCATGAAACATATGTTCGGTACAAGTTCACTCTTACTCTCCTTCCCTCCACATGTGTTTAACTTGCACACATACAATCACACACAAATATACGTACACATATATATGTGTACATACATGTTACATTGAGAAATATTTTTAAATAGCTGCTATTGTATAGTAAAATAATTAGGGTCTTGAGAGAATTATTATAAAAGGTATTGATATACATATATTCATAAAATAGTGAAACTTCAATTTCTTTGTAGCTACATGAGTTTTTTAAAAGGCTGAAGGTTATCTATCCTCCCAATTGAAAGTTCAATATAACTTGAGGCCAGGAGTTTGAGAAAAGCCTTGCCAACATGGCAAAACCCCGTCTCTACTAAAAATACAAAAATTAACTGGGTGTGGTGGCAGGCGCCTGCAATTCCAGCTACTCGGGAGGCTGTGGCAGGAGAATCACTTGAACCCAGGAGGCTGAGGTTGCAGTGGGCGAAGATCAAGCCATTGCACTCCAGCCTGGGTGACAAGAGCGAAACTCCGTCTCAAAAAAAAAAAAAAAAAAAAAAAAAAAAAGAAAACGAAAAAGAAAAATAGAAAAGAAAGAAAGACAGTTCAATATAAAATGCTTTGGACGTGGCACGATTTATTTTTTTCATGCACTCAAGGTCAACTTACGGCAACTGACATCACATCAGACTGGCTTTCAAACTTTTGTTATGATCATAGTTAAACTATAAACCCCTTGATGGCAGGATCTATGTCTCAAAAATGTATTCCATTATCCTTTGCAATACTTAGCACAGGGCTCGACACAAAGTAGATATTCGGATTTGATAAATAACAACGTTGCCTATAGATGACGTTTAACTTAAATTAATTCAGCAGATTTTTATTGAGTATTTGCTATATGCAATTTATTGGGTAATGTATGGCTACCCATTAGAAATTCAGAGAGGAGCAAAAAATATATACATTTCACACAGCACTGAGTTTGTTAAACCTATCAGCATATTTAATTAATAGGATTATCACTACTAATATCACAAATGAAAGACATTATTTTTCTACTTTATTTATTTATTTATTTTTCTACACTCCTACTTTCATGAAGTCTTTCTCCAGGATCTCCCTGGCCTCCAAGGCTCTCCTGTCACTTTGCCTCTAAAGCTCTGTAATGAGGTGTCTGAGCCAGCAATAATCCCCAGGGGTTCTCAGTGTTCCAAAATCCCCTCTCTCCCTCCCTCCGCCACAATGAAAACTTGAAACCAGTATTTTGGAAAAGCATTTCTGGAACGTTGCCAGCCTCTACCCTGGACATTAGTGAGAACTGATTTTCATATTTTCATTCCATTAATTTGACCTTATTCCTTCTAGGAAAAAAAAAAAAGAAAGAAAGAAAGAAAAAAAAAGTGGTGGGTTTTTCAGAGGTGGGAGCATTGGTATTAAGGACAATAAAAGAAAGAGTTAAAGTTATTTAACAGGCACCAAAGGAGAAAGAAAGATAATTTAATGTGTTTAACCCTTGCATTTCTCTTCCTTTGAGGACCATATTATGTGTACTTATGATTAACTGCATATTTATTCTTTTAGATTACATTATAGCGAAACAGCCTTTTGCATATTTATTCCTTTAGATTACACTACAGTGAAACAGCCTTTGCCAAAAAAGCAAACACTTGATACTTTCTTTGCTTTCTTTTTTTGCTTTGTCAGTATCTTATCACATTAACTATATATTTCTTCTTTTATTGATCACATCCTTTGACATTGAGAGACAGAAGTATTAGGATACAGTAGCTTGATTCACACTGAAATAACCTGGAAAATGCCTCAGAACCCAGTGGGCCACAAAGAAAAATTCAGGATATTCCAGAGATTCTATGATACAATCACCACTTCATCCCTGCAAGCACAATGAGCTTATAGTAGTTATTTTCCATCCTGGGTAACTAGACCTCATAGTTAGGTTGCTGAGTGAGGGGCTAAGTAACACACCTTGGGGTTACTAAGGGTGTGTTACTAGAGAATATCTCTTAGTCAATGCCAGTCACCCAGTCTTCTGTGAGCCATAAGGGCATTTTAATGTTTATACTCAAAGTTCAAAAAAGTGATGAAAGACTTGGGGGCAGCAGGTTTCTCTGAAACTTGTACCCAAACAGCCATGCAAATCAACAGGGCCGGCACTTCAAAAAACATATGTTAAAAGTGAAAGGTTAGTTGAGGGTCGACAGGGGGGTAACAATTTACCTCATGTCCCTTCAAAATGGTTCACAGGCAAAAGTACTCATTTTCAAGGTTACCTAATTTTCTTCCTTTATCAGTGGAATCAAAAGTAATAATCCAGAGGAGCTCTCTTCTTCCTCTAGGCAGGAAGCTTCCACACTATGCCACTCATGTATTCCTTGCAATTGATTAAGATCGCCTTAGATGTGGGGAAGCTGTTTCTGATCCTCTTATCACAGTGTAAAGTAAAACATGCTTGACTGGTTAATAAAAATGGAAGATGGAGTTACAAAGGGAAAAGTTCACTTGAAAATAGGACCTTCAACTTCACTTGAAAATAAGACTAAAGACCTTTGGTCACACCCAAGAAAGTCAGACAAGCATATTTTAGACAAAGGGAATTGAAGGGTCCTTGGCAAAATTTTTCTAACTTACCATACTTAGGAATATAAGAAAAAGAGCACTCTATACCAGCTGTTTAAATTCAAATACATAAAACATACAAACAAACAAAAAATATTTTCCAGGTTTAAGGTCCAAGGTCTAGGAATGCAATCGCCAAAGGCATCTGTAAAAGCGATTTTTTCATATGCACCAGAACACTAAATGAATTCACTGTATTTCATGAGTTATTAATACGTATGATTTTAATTTCCCCTTTTATAAATAATCATTCTTTTTCTCTAGTTTTTCCATTTATAATATAATCCATTTTGGATACTGCACAAGTAGTCATTTCTCTAAGGTTTTGCTGTAACAATTAGAGACAGTCATAGAACGTTAGGCATCTGATAGATCTCAGGGCTCAGTTAGAGATTTCCTCGTTATTCAGATGGGGAATCCAAGACACAGAGAAACGAAGGTCATGGCAGTGTCAGAACTGGGTTTCCAACAATGCTCTTTCCACAGGAGACCATCTAGACCATAACATTACAACTGTTAACTGTTGGAATTGAAGTTAAATTGCCAGAATTTAAATCCTGGCTCTACCACTGACTAACTGTGTGACTTTGGATGAATTACTTAACCTCTCTAAAATTTAGTTTCCTTATCTATCAATGGGATAATAATAATAGGTGTCTCACAGAGTGCTTTCTAAAGTGATTAGTACTTAGCAGGATAAAAAAAATGGTATATTAACTTTTGTAGTTGTAATACATCAAGGATTATTTGTAATCTCACCTCTATTTGGGCTGTGAAAGTGGGAATTAATATTTTCTCCTGGGGAAGTTTGCTAGAAAGGAAATATTTGAAATCAAACAACCACCATGACAAATTCTTATTTTCTATATTCCAGATCCTCTTAGCAGCAGTGTGTCAGATATCACTCAATGTCAATTTTTTATTAATATCTATCTACATTACTCAGTCATTCAAAAAGATGTTGCAAAAACAATCATGAGATATTCAATGAGATAGTAATTAAAAACAGATATAAGAAATCAAAAATAGCTACAGAACATAAAGAACATTAAACACAAAACAGTTATTATGACTTGCAGAAACTTAATTTCTGAAAATTGAATTATTTTTATTGTCAACAGGAAGAATATCTTTTATTGGCACTTGTTTTTAAATAAGGCGATTCACCAACTTATATGTAGCACTTGTTATAGCACTCTGAATATATCTTTTTAGAGAACACTCCTCTCTGTGGTTGAAAAGTTCACAAGAGGCCTCTTTCCTTTCTCAAGCCTCACATAAATGGAGCCATTTCAGAACGTTGCTAAGCACTTAGGAAGAGTTTGCAATGTGGTTTGTTTTAGTGCTGGGAAATTCTTTTTGGTGTTACCCTGACCTCAAGTGGTCTATTTCCTAATGCTTTTAGGAATGAAAACATTATTTTTTATTCAAACCTATTTTATTTTTTAGACAGTTTATAAATTACATAGAGAACATTAAGTAAGATTTAATAGCCAGAGTGTTTCCTTAAAGTCTGAAATGGAATTGTTGCAAAGGCCAATTTGGTCTTTGGGGTTTATCCTACTTTATTTTTTGTTCTCTCCCTTCACCTCATCTCCGTATTGCCAAACTATATGTTCTTCTTGCCCTGAATCTCATATTTGGTGCTACTGCTGGCATAGGTAGTTTTACATAATTTATTTTTATTTTCTTGCAGTGAAACTATGTATCTGTTCCCTCAAGACCCTGGACAAAGTATGTAGACTTTTATGAGCATCAGTTGTTTCCATGATTAAGGTCCATACGAATACTTCAGCATCTATCCAAATTGGGGAATTATAATTATTCTTAAAGCATAGAGCTTCAAGAATGCAGGCTCACAGATCATATAAAGATCATTTTAAAGACCATCTCAGCCACTTACTATACCTCTTGAGTAAAACACTTAAGTTTTCAAAGCCTTAAGCATCATCATCTATAAAATGGATATAAAAGTGAAATTGACTTCAAGAAGGTATTGAAATAATTAAATGTAATAATGTAAGTAAAAAACTTAGCATTATGTGTAGCACACTAAGTGGTCAAAAATGTTACCTACTGTCACTACCATATAAAACAACTGGCTTATGTGGTTGAGTGAAATGGTACCTATTATTATTAAATATTAGTGCCGTGGCATGTAACAATAATGATAATAAACCTATACTAACTTCTAGGTTAATAGGCAGTAATAACTTGATGTGCCATCTTTCACAGGCAACACTATACATATTAACTCTTCTGGTGACACTCAACCTTATTCCACTGATGGAAGTAAGCATGATTTGGAAGGCAGCTAGGTAGATCAGGTCCTTCAAACTTCAGTTCACAGGTGGCCGTGTACTCTGATCATACATCAGGCCTGCCCTGACTGTTGCTTATGGGGGTGGGGGCTGGGGGATTTAGCCATACCACATGTGCTTTTCATTAGTGAGAATTATATTTTACCTTTGAAGTTCTTGTTTTAAAATCCAACATACTTAATGCTCAGCAATCCAAATTATATATAACTACTCAAGAACTTTACATATCTCTTTATGGGCTTACAGATTTCTGTATGAAATACAAACTTTCTTTTACATATACTAAATCCCAAGAACATTTATTTTGGAAAATTTTCGGTGCTCTACTTCAAAACAGATGAACGTGACCCCAGAAAGCTAGGTGTATTACACAAATTATGCAATCCCATATCTGAATCAGGCATTCCAAAAACTTGTTTTTAACAACAAAAATCAAGTAGACATACACATTTACCCTACAACGAAATCTATATAATTATTTCCCAAATTGGTTATTACCTAACAAAACTACTCTGTTCTGTTTAGATTAGAAAAATCACCTATTTTATACAACACCTTTTGGAAATTCACTACATAAATTGATATGTTAATGGTTCTGAAAATTCCTAGAGGATGGAAATTGGTTTAGGCTTGTTTTACCCAGCAGGTAAAAAAACTTATAATATTTTTGCTTTTGAAGAACACCTGTTATCAACCTGAACAATGAAACATCTTTGACACATGTTGTGGAGGAAAATATTGATCTAGATGACAAATATAGAAAAATCAATATTTTCTCCCTATGGATTGGGTAAGTGGGCAATATTTAGCATGTCATCTGTTATTTCCAACCTCTGGAAGGCAGAGGGAACCCAATCTTTGGCTGCAATTTCAGTAAGTTACAAATTTAGCAGCCTAGGGTTCAACTTCGTATGCCTTTGTGCTTAGGGAAGCTAAATTGCTATAGTCTGAATGTTTGTGTCCCCTCAAAAATCATATGTTGAAACTTAATACCCATTTTGAAGATATTAAGAGGAGGGACCTTTGAAGGTGTTTAGGTCATTAGGGTGAAGCCCTCATGAATGAGATTAGTGGCCTATAATGAACCTGTGAGACCAGAGTTTTTTCCTTTACCCATACGAGGACACAGTGAGAAGGCATCATCTATCAGTGACCAAATCTATCTTGCTAGTGCCTTGATCTTGGACTTCCCAGCCTCCAGACTGTAAAAATAAATTTCTGTTGTTTGTAAGCCACCTGGTTCATGGTATTTTGTTACAGCCTTAATGACCTAAGACATAAGGCTTGCCAGGAATTACTTGAAAATGATTGATATCATTTCAAAAATTCTAAACTAAAATTTCTAATTTAATTTTAAACACATCAAAATAGGTGTAAACTACATCTTGATATTCATAATACATCCTAAAATGGCTTAAGGATTTGAATTAAAGTTGTTTAATTCATTCATTCATTTAAAAATACCAAATAAATATTTATTGGGCACCAAGCATTGGATATTTAGATGCTGGAAACATGCTGCTGAAAAAGATAGATTCTTTGTCCTTAAGGATGATGACAGAGATGGATGTATTATACAAATAATAGATAAGAAATGAGTGTTGTGATAGAGTAAACATAGGATGCTACAGGAGCAAATCAGAGGAGTGTTTAGCCAAATCATAGGGTATGGTTTCAGGGAAGATATCCCTAGGACATAGCATTGCCAGAGAAAATAGAGAATGTCCAATAACATTTGATTTTCATATAAACAATGAGTAATTTCTTAATATAATTATGTCCCATGCAATATCTGTTGCTAGGTGTCTTGTATTTCCATTTGCTAAATTTGACAACACTACTTGAATACAACCTTTAAGTTTCAATCTGAAGGAAAACAAAGCATTAGCCAAATGAAAAGACAGAAAAGACCAATAGAGGCAAATGGACTCACCTGTACAAGGTGAATATTTAAGCACAGACACAGTGCCTGAAGAGAAGTACATGTAGGTCAGTGTAGTAGGATTAGAGATTTGGATGAGGAGAAGGTATGTAATCATATTTTGGATTGTCTGCTTTCTTTAGAGATGTTGGAGAGCCATTAGGTAGTTTTGTGTTTAGTGCTATCAGATTTGTGATTTAGAAGAAAACCATCTGGAGTGGGACCAGACTCAAGAATCATCCTGAGTGGGCCAGGTGCAGTGACTTGTGCCTGTAATCTCAACACTTTGGGAGGCTGAGGCAGGAGGATCACTTGAGCCTGAGAGTTCAAGATCACTCTGGGCAATATAGCAAAACTTCACCTCTGAGAAAAAGGAGAAGAAAAAGAAGAAGGAGAGGGAGAGGGAGAGGAAGAAGAGGAATAAGAAAGAGGAGGAGGAGGAGGACAAAGAGGAGGGGGAGGGGAGGGGAATGTAGGGGGGAGAGGAAGGGAGGAGAGGGGGAAGGGGAAAGAAGGAAGAAGGAAGAGGGAAGGAGGAGGAGGAGGAAGAGGAGAAGAAGGGGGAGGAAAGAAGAAAGGAGAAAGAAAGAAAATAAGTAAGGAGGGAAGGAAGGAAGGAAGGAGGGAAGGAAAAGAAAGAAAGAAAAGAAAGAAGGAAGGAAGGAAAAGAAGGAAGGAAAGAAGGAAGACACTGAGTGTTGTTAGTAAATTTACTGTGGGATGATAGTGGCTTGAATTAATATGATGGCAATACAGGTGAAGCGAATTAATGACAAAATAGATTTAGAAATTACAGTAATGCTTGGAAGTTCAGATCCCGAAGTCAAACTGCTCTGCCACTTATGAGATGTGTGTGGTAATTTCCCAAATAAGTGAAGAATACAGTTGTTTCAGTCTATATAAGCAGACTCCCTCTCTGAGCCGTTTCTCACTTAATATGGGCCTAATAATACAGAGGATTGTTGTAGTAATAAAATAAATAATACGTTAAAAATACTTACCATAAGTTTTGATAGCTGATGCCTATGAGGGAGAAGAGACAGGAATTTTAAAAAAAATGACACTCAAGTTTGTATTACAGAAGAAATAATAGAGGAATAACAGAGAAATGAAAAGCAGTAGCCCAAGAATGGACTCACACAAATATAGTCAACTGATCTTTGACAAAGGAGCTAAGATGATTCAAGGGAGAAATGATACTTTTTCAATAAAATACTTTTTTTTCAACAACTGGACATCCACATACAAAAGAAAAAAAATGAATCTAGGCATAGTCCTTATACTTTTCACAAAAATTAGCTCAAAAGGTATTAAAGACTTAAGTGTAAATCATAAAACTATAAAACTCTTAAGAAATAATATAGGAGAAAATCTAGGTGACCTTATGTTTGGCAACAACTTTTTAGATACAATACCAAAAGCCCGATCCATAAAACAAAAAATTAGTGAGTTAGACTTCATTAAAATTAAAAACTTCTGTTCTGTGAGAAACTTTGTCAAGAGAAAGAAATAAAAAGCGAAGAGAGGAGCCAAGATGGCCGAATAGGAACAGCTCCTGTCTACAGCTCCCAGCGTGAGGGACGCATAAGACGGGTGATTTCTGCATTTCCATCTGAGGTACCGGGTTCATCTCACTAGGGAGTGCCAGACAGTGGGCGCAGGTCAGTGGGTGCGCGCACCCTGAGCGAGCCGAAGCAGGGCGAGGCATTGCCTCACTTGGGAAGCGCAAGGGGTCAGGGAGTTCCCTTTCCAAGTCAAAGAAAGGGGTGACGGACGGCACCTGGAAAATCGGGTCACTCCCACCCGAATACTGCGCTTTTCCGAAGGGCTTAAAAAACGGCGCACCACGAGATTATATCACGCACCTGGCTCGGAGGGTCCTACGCCCACGGAGTCTCGCTGATTGCTAGCACAGCAGTCTGAGATCAAACTGCAAGGCGGAAGACAGGCTGGGGGAGGGGCGCCCGCCATTGCCCAGGCTTGATTAGGTAAACAAAGCAGCCGGGAAGCTCGAACTGGGTGGAGCCCACCACAGCTCAAGGAGGACTGCCTGCCTCTGTAGGCTCCACCTCTGGGGGCAGGGCATAGACAAACAAAAAGACAACAGTAACCTCTGCAGACTTAAATGTCCCTGTCTGACAGCTTTGAAGAGAGCAGTGGTTCTCCCAGCACGCAGCTGGAGATCTGAGAATGGGCAGACTGCCTCCTCAAGTGGGTCCCTGACCCCTGACCCCCGAGCAGCCTAATTGGGAGGCACCCCCCAGCAGGGGCACACTGACACCTCACACGGCAGGGTATTACAACAGACCTGCAGCTGACGGTCCTGTCTGTTAGAAGGAAAACTAACAAACAGAAAGGACATCCACACCAAAAACCCATCTGTACATCACCATCATCAAAGACCAAAAGTAGATAAAACCACAAAGATGGGGAAAAAACAGAACAGAAAAACTGGAAACTCTAAAACGCAGAGCGCCTCTCCTCCTCCAAAGGAATGCAGTTCCTCACCAGCAACGGAACAAAGCTGGATGGAGAATGACTTTGACGAGCTGAGAGAAGAAGGCTTCAGACGATCAAATTACTCTGAGCTATGGGAGGACATTCAAACCAAAGGCAAAGAAGTTGAAAACTTTGAAAAAAATTTAGAAGAATGTATAACTAGAATAACCAATACAGAGAAGTGCTTAAAGGAGCTGATGGAGCTGAAAACCAAGGCTCGAGAACTATGTGAAGAATGCAGAAGCCTCAGGAGCCGATGCGATCAACTGGAAGAAAGGGTATCAGCAATGGAAGATGAAATGAATGAAATGAAGCGAGAAGGGAAGTTTAGAGAAAAAAGAATAAAAAGAAATGAGCAAAGCCTCCAAGAAATATGGGACTATGTGAAAAGACCAAATCTACATCTGATTGGTGTACCTGAAAGTGATGGGGAGAATGGAACCAAGTTGGAAAACACTCTACAGGATATTATCCAAGAGAATTTCCCCAGTGTAGCAAGGCAGGCCAATGTTCAGATTCAGGAAATACAGAGAATGCCACAAAGATACTCCTCGAGAAGAGCAACTCCAAGACACATAATTGTCAGATTCACCAAAGTTGAAATGAAGGAAAAAATGTTAAGGGCAGCCAGAGAGAAAGGTCGGGTTACCCTCAAAGGGAAGCCCATCAGACTAACAGTGGATCTCTCGGCAGAAACCCTACAAGCCAGAAGAGAGTGGGGGCCAATATTCAACATTCTTAAAGAAAAGAATTTTCAACCCAGAATTTCGTATCCAGCCAAACTAAGCTTCATAAGTGAAGGAGAAATAAAATACTTTACAGACAAGCAAATGCTGAGAGATTTTGTCACCACCAGGCCTGCCCTAAAAGAGCTCCTGAAGGAAGCGCTAAACATGGAAAGGAACAACCAGTACCAGCCGCTGCAAAATCATGCCAAAATGTAAAGACCATCGAGACTAGGAAGAAACTGCATCAACTAACGAGCAAAATAACCAGCTAACATCATAATGACAGGATCAAATTCACACATAACAATATTAACTTTAAATGTAAATGGACTAAATGCTCCAATTAAAAGACACAGGCTGGCCAATTGGATAAAGAGTCAAGCCACATCACTGTGCTGTATTCAGGAAACCCATCTCACGTGCAGAGACACACATAGGCTCAAAATAAAAGGATGGAGAAAGATCTACCAAGCAAATGGAAAACAAAAAAAGGCAGGGGTTGCAATCCTAGTCTCTGATAAAACAGACTTTAAACCAACAAAGATCAAAAGAGACAAAGAAGGCCATTACATAATGGTAAAGGGATCAATTCAACAAGAAGAGCTAACTAGCCTAAATATATATGCACCCAATACAGGAGCACCCAGATTCATAAAGCAAGTCCTGAGTGACCTACAAAGAGACTTAGACTCCCACACATTAATAATGGGAGACTTTAACACCCCACTGTCAACATTAGACAGATCAACGAGACAGAAAGTCAACAAGGATACCCAGGAATTGAACTCAGCTCTGCACCAAGCGGACCTAATAGACATCTACAGAACTCTCCACCCCAAATCAACAGAATATACATTTTTTTCAGCACCACACCACACCTATTCCAAAATTGACCACATACTTGGAAGTAAAGCTCTCCTCAGCAAATGTAAAAGAACAGAAATTATAACAAACTATCTCTCAGACCACAGTGCAATCAAACTAGAACTCAGGATTAAGAATCTCACTCAAAACCGCTCAACTACATGGAAACTGAACAACCTGCTCCTGAATGACTACTGGGTACATAACGAAATGAAGGCAGAAATAAAGATGTTCTTTGAAACCAACGAGAACAAAGACACAACATACCAGAATCTCTGGGATGCATTCAAAGCAGTGTGTAGAGGGAAATTTATAGCACTAAATGCCCACAAGAGAAAGCAGGAAAGATCCAAAATTGACACCCTAACATCACAATTAAAAGAACTAGAAAAGCAAGAGCAAACACATTCAAAAGCTAGCAGAAGGCAAGAAATAACTAAAATCAGAGCAGAACTGAAGGAAATAGAGACACAAAAAACCCTTCAAAAAACTAATGAATCCAGGAGCTGGTTTTTTGAAAGGATCAACAAAATTGATAGACTGCTAGCAAGACTAATAAAGAAAAAAAGAGAGAAGAATCAAATAGACGCAATAAAAAATGATAAAGGGGATATCACCACCGATCCCACAGAAATACAAACTACCATCAGAGAATATTACAAACACGTCTACACAAATAAACTAGAAAATCTAGAAGAAATGGATAAATTCCTCGACACATACACTCTCCCAAGACTAAACCAGGAAGAAGTTGAATCTCTGAATAGACCAATAACAGGATCTGAAATTGTGGCAATAATCAATAGCTTACCAACCAAAAAGAGTCCAGGACCAGATGGATTCACAGCCGAATTCTACCAGAGGTACAAGGAGGAACTGGTACCATTCCTTCTGAAACTATTCCAATCAATAGAAAAAGAGGGAATCCTCCCTAACTCATTTTATGAGGCCAGCATCATTCTGATACCAAAGCCCAGCAGAGACACAACCAAAAAACAGAATTTTAGACCAATATCCTTGATGAACATTGATGCAAAAATCCTCAATAAAATACTGGCAAACCGAATCCAGCAGCACATCAAAAAGCTTATCCACCATGATCAAGTGGGCTTCATCCCTGGGATGCAAGGCTGGTTCAGTATATGCAAATCAATAAATATAATCCAGCATATAAACAGAGCCAAATACAAAAACCACAAGATTATCTCAATAGATGCAGAAAAAGCCTTTGACAAAATTCAATAACGCTTCATGATAAAAACTCTCAATAAATTAGGTATTGATGGGATGTATTTCAAAATAATAAGAGCTATCTATGACAAACCCACAGCCAATATCATACGGAATGGGCAAAAACTGGAAACATTCCCTTTGAAAACTGGCACAAGACAGGGATGCCCTCTCTCACCACTCCTATTCAACATAGTGTTGGAAGTTCTGGCCAGGGCAATTAGGCAGGAGAAGGAAATAAAGAGTATTCAATTAGGAAAAGAGGAAGTCAAATTGTCCCTGTTTGCAGACGACATGATTGTATATCTAGAAAACCCCATTGTCTCAGCCCAGAATCTCCTTAAGCTGATAAGCAACTTCAGCAAAGTCTCAGGATACAAAATCAATGTACAAAAATCACAAGCGTTCTTATACACCAACAACAGACAAACAGAGAGCCAAATCATGAGTGAACTCCCATTCGCAATTGCTTCAAAGAGAATAAAATACCTAGGAATCCAACTTACAAGGGATGTGAAGGACCTCTTCAAGGAGAACTACAAACCACTGCTCAAGGAAATAAAAGAGGATACAAACAAATGGAAGAACATTCCATGCTCATGGGTAGGAAGAATCAATATCATGAAAATGGCCATACTGCCCAAGGTAATTTATAGATTCAATGCCATCCCCATCAAGCTACCAATGACTTTCTTCACAGAATTGGAAAAAACTACTTTAAAATTCATATGCAACCAAAAAAGAGCCCGCATCACCAAGTCAATCCTAAGCCAAAACAACAAAGCTGGAGCCATCACACTACCTGACTTCAAACTATACTACAAGGCTACAGTAACCAAAACAGCATGGTACCAAAACAACTGGTACCAAAACAGAGATATAGATCAATGGAACAGAACAGAGCCCTCAGAAATAATGCCGCATATCTACAACTATCTGATCTTTGACAAACCTGAGAAAAACAAGCAATGGGGAAAGGATTCCCTATTTTATAAATGGTGCTGGGAAAACTGGCTAACCATATGTAGAAAGCTGAAACTGGATCCCTTCCTTACACCTTATACAAAAATCAATTCAAGATGGATTAAAGACTTACATGTTAGACCTAAAACCATAAAAACCCTAGAAGAAAACCTAGGCATTACCATTCAGGACATAGGCATGGGCAAGGACTTCATGTCTAAAACACCAAAAGCAATGGCAACAAAAGACAAAATTGACAAATGAGATCTAATTAAACTAAAGAGCTTCTGCACAGCAAAAGAAACTACCATCAGAGTGAACAGGCAACCTACAAAATGGGAGAAAATTTTCGCAACCTACTCATCTGACAAAGGGCTAATATCCAGAATCTACAATGAACTCAAACAAATTTACAAGAAAAAAACAAACAACCCCATCAAAAAGTGGGCGAAGGACATGAACAGACACTTCTCAAAAGAAGACATTTATGCAGCCGAAAAACACATGAAAAAATGCTCACCATCACTGGCCATCAGAGAAATGCAAATCAAAACCACAGTGAGATACCATCTCACACCAGTTAGAATGGTGGTGATCATTAAAAAGTCAGGAAACAACAGGTGCTGGAGAGGATGTGGAGAAATAGGAACACTTTTACACTGTTGGTGGGACTGTAAACTAGTTCAACCATTGTGGAAGTCAGTGTGGCAATTCCTCAGGGATCTAGAACTAGAAATACCATTTGACCCAGCCATCCCATTACTGGGTATATACCCAAAGGACTATAAATCATGCTGCTATAAAGACACATGCACACGTATGTTTATTGCGGCATTATTCACAATAGCAAAGACTTGGAACCAACCCAAATGTCCAACAATGATAGACTGGATTAAGAAAATGTGGCGCATATACACCATGGAATGCTATGCAGCCATAAACAATGAGTTCATGTCCTTTGTAGGGACATGGATGAAATTGGAAATCATCATTCTCAGTAAACTATCGCAAGAACAAAAAACCAAACACCACATATTCTCACTCATAGGTGGGAATTGAACAATGAGATCACATGGACACAGGAAGGGGAATATCACACTCTGGGGACTGTTGTGGGGTGGGGGGAGCGGGGAGGGATAGCAATGGGAGATATACCTAATGCTAGATAACGAGTTAGTGGGTGCAGCGCACCAGCATGGCACATGTATACATATGTAACTAACCTTCACAATGTGCACATGTACCCTAAAACTTAAAGTATAATAAAAAAAAAAGAAATAAAAATCCATAGAATAAGGAAAAAATGCAAAACGTATATCTGACAAAGAACTTGTATTTAAAATATCAAAGAACTCTTAAAACCCAAAAAGACAACAACAACAACAAAAATTAAAAATGGGTAAAAGATCTGGGCACCTCACCAAAGAAGATATACAGATATAAAACAAGTATATAAAAAGATGCTTAATATCATGTTATCAGTGAATTGCAAATTAAAGCAATGAAATACCACTGTGCATCTTTTATAATTACTAAAATCCAAAACACGGACAACACTAAATGTTAGAGAGGATGTGGAGCACGAGGAAGTCTCATTCATTACTGGGGCGGATACCAAATCATTGAACCGTTTTGGAAGACATTTTGGCAGTTTCTTATAAAACTAAGCAAACTCTTACCATATGATCCAGGAATCATACTCCCCGTAATTTACCCAAATAAGTTGAAATCTTATGTCCACACAATAATCTGCACATGATTGCTTATAATAGCTTTATTCATAATTGCCAACCCTTACAGCAACCAAGATGTCCTTCAATATGAATGGATAAACTGTGTTACATCCATTCATATGATAATGTGTTTTTCAGTGATGAAAAATGAGCCAAGTCATGAAAATATTTGGAGAAAACTCAGATGAAATGAAGTGAAAGAAACCAATCTAGAAAGACTATATACTGTGTGATTACAACTGTATGACGTTCTGGAATAGGCAAAACTATAGAGACAGTAAAAAGATAAGTGGTTGTCAAAGGTTTGGAAGAAGGAAAGAAGGTGGAACAAAGGGGATCCTTAGGCCAGTAAATCTATTCTGAATGCTACCATAATGGTGAATACACGTCATTATATATTTGTCAAAGCCCATAGAATGTACAGCACCAAGAATGAAACCTGTTGTCAACTGTAGACTTTATTTAACAATAATGTATTCATAAAGTCATATCAGTTGTAAAAATGTAGAGCACTAATACAAATATTAATAATAGAAAGAGGTAAACAAAACTCTCTCTGCTTTCTACTGAACTGTTCTGTAAACCTGAGACTGTTCTTGAAAATATAGTCTATTAACTGTATGTATATGTTGTACAAAAGCAGGGGTAGGTTGGGATTTTTTGTTCCATTTTCAGCCTCCTAATATCTGGTGTGCCTGTGAGCACAAGTAGGTGATCAGATATATAGCTCTGCTCTTTAGAAGGGAGACCCACACGTTCCCTTCCTCTTAAGGACTCCTTCGCTTTCCTCAAGATTACCCCCATGCTCCTAGTACTTCTCTGGTTTTCTAATTGGACTGTGTATTAGTTTTAATACTCTATGTCTTCGAGTTAGCTCCTTAGAAATCACTGAATAGATGGATGAGTGATTCATGTTAGTGAGGTAAGAGGGAACAAAGCAGAGAGCGCAGACTGGCTCAAATGCCTAGCTCCAATCTCTGTCCTATATCTCACTAGAAGTTTGACATCCGGAAATCTTAACCTCTCTGTGCTTCAGTTTTCTTACCTGAATAGGAGAATAAGAGAACCTACTCATCTGTCACATAGTGAGCACTGTTATAGTGTTTGATCAATAAAATTAGTGTTAATAAATTTATGTTCTTCCCTTATACAACTGTTGGGACTCCCAGATACAATACTTTAAGAGCTAACTCTATTGGAGGGAATTTCACACCAGCTAGCATTGCTGATGATTCTCTTGTCCCCTAAATCACATTAAATGTAAATATCTCTTACATCTGTGCAGTGCCACCTACTGGTAAAAAGAAATAAAAATTAAAAATAAGTGGATTTAATATTTTCCTCATTAATAATAAAATTTTTAAAGCACCCAAAAGTTTGCAAATATATTGAGACCTCAGATCTTTTGCTAGTCTGATATCTTTCCTTTGACCTATTTTTGGATTTTGAAAAAGCAGACTTTGCAAAACAAAAAAATTAATACAAGTACAAAATTTTAAAAGAAGAAATGCTTTTTTATTAATGCTTTGAACTGACTAGGTTATTTAGGGGTTAAAATAATAACTTTCAATTTGCATCTAAGTGTCAAAATTGCTGAATGGTTTACAAACTCAGAAAGACAAATAAAAGAGCAAGGCCAAAGTGTTGCAGGCCCATGGTAGATGAGCAGCTTCCATGGGGTTTATCAGCTGGGTTTACTCAAGATTGTGTCATTCACTTTAATAGCATTAGCTAAATACGTACTCTAGGGAAAGTAAGAAAGCTGCTTACTTACTGTGCTGTCCAACGAATTGGTAGCTGCTCTTTCCATGAATGTCACATAAGACTTTAAACTTGAAGAATGGACTTTAGCTAGGTATAGGCTCCAGGAAAGCGGAAAATAAAGTTAAAAAGAACAAGACATAGATAAAAAGCCTGGGAAAGACACTACAGAAGGGACATCATCAATAAGAGATAAATATATTAAAGAAGCTCATACAATGAGTATGAGACGCAAAGTACAATTAATCTTTCCCTTAGGTACGGTAAATTGCCCTAAAATTGGGTTTTTCCTCATTTTGCAATAGACCTTAATGCTGATCTCTAGTTTTTCTTTTATATGATGCTATCAAATTGGTTTTATCTATTTTCTTTCTTGATTTCTTGACTAATTTGACTTGTTGATATGGTATCTGAGGATAAACCTATGTGCCTTTTTTTAAGTGTCCTTTAAATTCTCTTACATGGAAAGGCTTAAATAGAAGATGATTTTTTCAATTCCGTGTTTTCGATTTTGTTGTGCTCAGATTCCATGAATTTACAAGATTGCTGTGGAGTACTAAAAAAAAAAAAAAAGCTTCTGTTAAAGGACTAGAATAAACTCAATCTGCCCCAAAGGGATTTGTTTGTTAATTGCTTTGGTCCACTTTACAAGGTCAAATCCATTCTCCTAATGACGAATCTCATCTGTTCTGGCAAAGAAAGAAATGTTTTCTTTCACTTCTACGTGTGGCAAGAGCTCATTCATCTCAGTAAGTTCTGAAGAGAAATCTAGCTACATCAGAGAGAGGAGTATTCAAAGGGCAACTGATGGCCAGGAAGATATATGGAATTCACTTTCTTGAGACAGACATTCAAATGGTAACAAGTGATAGAAAACAGCTCTATATTTCAGTGTGATGTGTGTTCGCTCCTGATGATTAAACCCCCTGTGGGCCATCTGCGTTTAATGGGTTAGAACTACTTTGTAGCTGCAGTTGTTTCCTTCCACTGCTTTCTTATTTATTTGAGAGGAGACCGATCTCCACTCTTTAAAAGTCAAGCATGTAAGAAACCCTGCCAAGAGAATCAGAAAGAAAAGGCAAATTTATAGCCTAGTGTTGTTTTAAGCATTTAGTAGTATAAATAAGAAGTGTAGATAAATGTGTACAAGTAGATGCATAAGTGACCTTTTGTTTATCTCAGTTACATTATTTGCCTAAATTCCAGAGCAGAATTAACCCAATTAGTTTATATAATGGCTTAATGCTGTCCCTCAGCTGAGCTGTTAGAAATATACATAACTGATGCTAGATGAGGGATGGTGTTCTTTTACCTATAAGTCAAGCCTTGGGGACTTCAGTTCATATCCAGTGATTTCTGTAGCTAAAAATAAGAATCCAGTGTGGAAATTATGGTAACTCGAAGCAATGTACACTATTGGTGTTATTAATGCAATCTAATTAAACTTTTGGTTTAAAATAGCAATGATGATAGTGGCTTTCTATATCTGTGGCTGTCTAACCCGAGACATGTCACATTTTACTAACATCTCATTACTTTTCTCTGACTTAGAAAAGTCAGCAGCCATAAGCACTCAATAAATATTTGCTGAATTGATTTGAACTCTGAGAACTGCGAGGTGAGATGGAACTGATCATCGGTGACATATCTGGCATCAGAATCTTGATTCTGTTCTGCCAAATAGTGACTTCAGCCAAAGCCAATGGAAACGTCACGTGAAGAACTTTAAATCTATGAAATCTTCACACAGCTACAAATGCTAATCTGAATCATGTAACTACATGAGCCTAGCAAATTCTCTTTTGCCATTATTTTCACTCTGAATACATTGACTATTTTTAGAGTTTCTTTTCTTAACGTTTAGTTCTCTTCCTAGGTCATTAAACATATTTCTAAGGTGTTCCTATGATTCCCTTTTTCCTGACTTGTTTTTCTTTGGACTAGAAAACATATCCACAAGGGTAGCTCCTCAGGACTTTAAAAACATCAATCAATATCACAGCTGGGAATAGAGGAGTTTAGATAAGAGATACCTATTCCTCCATTAAAACTCGGCTTATACAATTTAGAAAACAGTTTTGTATAAAGTGAGACAGACTTTAGCCAGGTGGGGCAAAGAGTTAAATTAAAGACACAAAAGCAATACCCAGCTGCCTCTTTTTCTTCTCCCATTCATGGAGTAGGGAGTATTTTTCCTGTAATGACCTCAAAATCTTCTCTCTCTCTTTTTTTTGGTCAGAGATCAAGGGATATACCAGGGTGAAACCTTATTCTTATTGAACTTTACTATCAGCTTTCTACAGATGTGCATTTTGAAGTGCACTTATAATTTTACCACTTTTTGTTATACATTATATATATAGATCTATTAAAATATGTATGCTATTTTTTCATATTATGAAAGTTTCAATAATGTCACCCATCCAACTAAAGTGAATATTCCTTGAAAACAAAGTCCGTGGCTTGAATTTATTCATAACCTCCATGGCTGGCATAGTACATTGTAGTATGAGCTCAGCACATTTTGTTTAAATTAATATTATTATAGAAAACTTGAAAAAAATTATTGAATAAAAAAACATTTTTCTGTTGAGCTTGAGAACTTTGGTCCAGTTAATAAACATAATAATAAAAACAAAATGAAATATTTAAAATTCGAGAAAAGTTGTGGAATGATACAAATCTTAAAGGATTACAAATATTTTAACTAGCATGAACATAGCTTTTCTAAACTTATTTGGGTTCTATTTAAAAGAAAAAAGAGAGAAAATGTCATTTCTATAAGTTCATATTCATCTTTCAAGGTCTGTTTCAAATGTCATCTCTTCTCTGTACTCTTCCATGACCTATAAAATATTAAATTAATTAATCTCTTACCTGTTTTCCACTAGCATTTTGCTTGAGACATGTTCATGTCATACTGTAATTATTTGTTTGACTCTCTGGTCTCCCCAACCAGCATGTTAGTTTCTCTAAGGTCTTGGATCAAAGTGGGTTGTCAATAAATGTTTGGTATATTGAGCAAAACTGAATTTAAAAATTCATAAATGAAGAGAAAGAAGTCTAACACTGACTTAACAGAAGGAAAAATTAAAGCCTATTTTAAAGGAATTTCATTTAAGTACTTCACAGAATACAATAAAATACTTTTAAAATGCATATCTAAATTATTTTTTTTTCATAGCTTAAAAAAAGTCTGCAGGATAAGGAGGCAGCAGGAGATGCTTTTGACAGGAGATCCTTATACTCTCTGACCCTAAGTTTCTTCATAATGTGAAAGGGAGATGATAATTATACCCACTGTCACAGAACTGTGAAAGTCAAGTGAGAAAATAAATATGAAAGTGCTCTGTTAATTTAAAACTTTATGCAACTTTTTAAAGGAGCTACCCTTGTGGATATGTTTTCTGGTTCAAATAAAAAAAGTCAGGAAAAAATATTCATAGAAACACCTTAGAAATATTTTTTTAGTGAGGTAGGAAGAGGACTAAATATTAAGAAGGAAAACCCTAAAAATAGTCAACGTATTCAGAGTGAAAATAATGGCAAAAGAGAATATCCTACGAACACTTTTGGCAATTCAGTAAAGTCTGTGAATTCTTACTTAGAAAATGATTTTAAGTAAAAGAAAATGCATAGGCTTAGGAGCGAAACCAAGTATGTTCAAATAGAGGCATCCAAATAGTTACAAAACTAACTCTTCGATGTAGTGATATCTGTGCATCTTTATGACAGATCAACAAGAGCCAGTAACAGAGCTAAAACTATGTCAATGTTGAAGTCATGTTTGAAAACTGCCTTAATCAAATTATGAATTTTAATTATAGTTATTGCAAGGAATCTACAATAACTTCATGAAAATATCTACTCTTTCTATTGGGGACAAATTCACAGGTATTGCGAATACTACTGACATCTATTGTCTATATACTAAATGAAAGAAAATGCTAAGATTTATTCCAGGTATTAGTGAAAATAAAGATTTAATTAGTTTCCATCTCAGTTCATGGAAACTCTAAATTATATTCAGACAGGCATCCTCTCCTATTTACTGTGTAAATAGCTCGTAGGGGGGTCCTTTTGCCTCCTACTGAAAAGCTGTCATGTTTTGACAATGCTAACAATTGTTCTGGATTATTCTCTTAAGCCTTTAAATTTTACCTCAAGGTAAACAGGTAAAATAAATATTGCAAGTATACATTATGTGAAGACACATGAAAAAACTTCAGTACATAAAGTTTCTTTTTTAAAAAAAAATCAAAAACATACTATAAAATAGAGTCATGATGAAATTTTCAAGTGAAATCATTTATTTGCCCCTTGGACATGGAAAACGCTTAGTGGTATGCAATTCTAAGAATAACAAGGCACTAAAAGGGCTTCTTTCAGCTCTTTACTATTTTATTCAGTAAAACTGAAGAATTAGCTAGTTCCTGTCTTGAAGCATTGTTCACCATCTTGCAGTACATTTCCAAGATTAATGACAATATGCTTATATAAAGAGAATTACTGAAACAAAAAAAACCTCTTTCAGCATTTACTATGTGCTATAAAATATCACATTTAATCATTTTTGAGATTTTGGGCCATAAATGGAGCTGTACTGCTAGGTATTTCATTTATGACTTCATTTGCATATTTGACCACCAGTGAAATTATTTAATACTACCTGGCGTATATAAAATATATATAATAGGACTTAGAGGCCAAGAGCTAAAATATTATTTAATATATCACTTTAATAAGTAGATTATCTTGCAAAAAGTCATACTTCTTAGTCAATGCAATATATGAATTTCTATAAGGAAATAATATCTGTTGAAGTTTTAAATGCCTAATTTTTAAAAGTAGAAATAGGTTAAAGAGAACAATTATGAGCTAAGTAATAAAGATATATTTTTACATTCTAATTAGAGAAAAGAGAGGTCACCACCAACTGGAATTTTAAAAATAAGATCATTTAAATTTTTCTCCTAAAATATTTGGTAGTATAAGTGACAAATATTTTAATACAAAATATGCTAACATAATTACTTATTGTATAGAATATTATCTGAATTAAATGTTGAAAGACAGAAATAAGAGCCACTGATAAATTTAGGAAATTAAAATTTTCAAAGCTTATATAAACACTGTAATTGATCTTTTCACTTCTTATTTCATCCAAGGCATTTTTTTAGTTGCTGGTTAACTAAAACTATAGCATTATATATAGAACAGCATTACATAAAACAGATGGAGGCTGGGCGTGGTTGCCCACGCTTATAATCCCAGCACTTTGTGAGGCTGAGGTCAGAAGTTCGAGACCAGCCTGGCCAATATAGCGAAACCCCGTCTCTACTAAAAATACAAAAAATTAGCCTGGCATGGTGGCAGGCGCCTGTAATCCCAGCTACTTGGGAGGCTGAGACAGGAGAATCGCTTGAACCTGGGAGGCAGAGGTTGCAGTGAGCCGAGATCACACCATTGCACTCCAGCCTGGGCAATAAGAGCGAAACTCCGAAAAACACACACACACACACACACACGCGCGCACACACACACACACACACACACAGATAGAGGTGATATGTGAATTATACCATGGCAATCACAACAAGCACCAAGTGTCTGAGATGAGAAAGTAAAGATACAAAGAGAAAACAATGGCATATTGTCTTGAGAAGAACTGTATTAAGTCCAAAGGTATTTGAGAGAAGAAAGTAAAGAGACAAAAAGTAAACAATTGCATATCATCTTGGGAGGAACTGTGTTAAGTCAAATGGTCTGCCTGTTATCCCTCCCTTGAAGGCAAAATAAGCAGTCAGATGAAAGGATGAAACTAATACATTCCCATAATTTATACACACAATTTCATGAGTTTCCTCAAGGTTATATAGGTTACATAACTGTTATTCCTTTAAGATATGTTGTCAGGACTCAGGGCAAAGACTGCAGTGACTTTATTTTTCTACTTTCATAAGATATTATGTAAGAATAAAATACTTACTATTTAATATTCATAACAAATAAATAAGACACTTTCAAAAATTTATAAACCATTTCTTAAATTTCATTTTATCCTTAAGAAACTGCAACCTTACCTAATTTTCCCATAAATTTATCTCTCCTCATGAGGTTCAAGGGTTAACCATGTTGCTCAAGAAAAAGAGTACAAGAAGCATCTTTTAAACCATGTATGCAAGGAAAATGTATGGAAGGGGCAAATAGGGGATGAGATAGCCATGGGAACAAATGTCCATGTGGTTCAAATTACTTATTGTACCAAAACTCCCAATAATACTATCAATAATAAGCCCAAATAAAAGTAAGTAAAATGTTCCTTAGTTTTTTCTCTTAAGAAAAGTATATAACATCAATATGAATTCTAGTATTGAAACTTAAATTCAGAAGGAGCAAGAGAAAATTCAGGAAATTCATTTTATGTACTTTGTTTTAGCTTTATCTTACCCTATTATATCAAAAGTTCATTTTATTTATTTTTGGCAACTTGAATACATAATAAAAATTCACTGTGTAAAAAAGGAAGTTGGAATGTTAACACAGGAAAATTCATGAGATTCTTACTGCCATAATACAATTTGAGGCATGGCTGAGGGTAAAAACTTCAGGCATGTGTTTGTCCAGGAAGATTGTGAACTCATAAAGGACAAGAACTATGATTCCATTACTTATTTTATTATTGCAAATAGTCCTTCATCTATGTTTTTAAAATATGTGAATTATACAGAGAATTATAGATGTAAAACCTTAATTAAAAAGATGTTTCAATTGAAAAAATAGTTATAGAAGCTCCAACTAATTATTACCTAATTATTAAGTATAAGGAGAAAAAGACTAGAAAAACTGAGGAAGAAAATGAAATTTGAACTTGACAATATGACTTCTGTCTCTCATTTGAAAAATATATGGTACTAGCCAAGGGATACTAAAATTTAAATTAAAGAGGAAGAAAATGAAAATGAACACTATTAATTTGTGAAATTTTTGAAAAGAAAATCTTACCTTTTTGTTTTAAGTTTTAGTTCACAAATTCCTATTAACCACATATATGAATATATATGAAAATAAGTCATTCTCTTCTAAAACCAAAAAGGATATTTAACAGCTGCCTAAATAGACTTTTAACAAAAGATCTTGCATGAAAGCATAATTCTCACAGCCAAATTGAACACATTTCTTTTAGAAACAAAAATAAAGAAAGGGAACACAAAAGTAATAAAGAATAAAGTATTATGAAGTCAGGGAATGTTTGTTTAGGACATTACTCATTTCTATCATCAGCTTGATTTAAAATTTTATTACAAAAGATGTTTAATTGCTATAAATATTTTCCCACTAAGAAGATACACTTACGGGATTTAAGTACTTTTTCCAAAATTTAATTTTAAAATTCATTTATTCTCGTCCTTTAGCCATTAGAGCTCCCAAGCATATTCCTAAAGTCTGCAGGAACCACAAGAAGATTCTACAGAGTACAAAGAGCTCAGCTCTAATCTGAGCCATGGAAGTCATCTTCATTTCAATTAATTTACTTTGCCTTTATGAACTTAAGAATCTTTCATGGAGGTTGACATTTCACTCATCTGAAAAAGCTTGGAATGTGACAGGGTAAAGGGAGGAGAAGTAAATCAAAGGGGTTAGCAATTTTCCAGATGCAACGTATTTTTCTTCTCTTCTTTTCCAACAGAAATTTTAGAAAGCTTTCTGACATTTTAATTCTCTATGCAAAAACCACAGTAGCAAAAAATGCTTAAGGCATAATATGTTGAGAAACAAACACACATGCATGTAAGCATGCACATACCCACAAAATACATATAAATTCCAACTCGCTGATGCTTTAACAGAAAATGTTACTTTCAGTGTAGTATTAATTAGTGGTTTATGTGCACAGTTTAATCAACACGATCTTAGTTTAAAAGCAACAGCAAGGTTTATAAATTTTTTCTTGTTTGTGATGATTAAGTAATTGAGTCTATGCTGGCTTCTTCACTGGAAAAATGACATTTATAAAGTCCGCTCCCATGACTATATTTTCAATCACACCAGAATACTTCAGTTATCACCTTTAGCCATGTGGCTTCAGGAAACCATGCCCAAATATCTCATGCGAATGTTGGTTATTTTAAAAGATCCCTTGTTTAACAGAGTGGAAATTCACTAAAACATCAAAGGGTAAAAACAAAAACAAAAATGAGGCTTGAAAATAAATTCTCAGCAACAGGGTTTTTGCCCACTGCTTTTTGGAGAGAGAGAGAGAGCAGTTAACTCCCCAGAACACCCTGATTCAATATTTACCTGACGACTTTGGCATCTTGACATTTTCCCCAGTGCATTTCCTTCTTTATCAGGTATTATTTTACATGAGATTTCTTGTTATACAGAAGTAACATAAATCAATCTATAACAGAAGAATTTGTTTAACACATTTATTCTTTAATAAGTTGCGTGATCATATTTCATTGACTTGTACAATAGAAAAAGAAAACCTTACTACTAAAACAGGGTTTGTGGAGACTGGCACATGGTAAACCTATTTAGTCTTTTCAGAGGTTCATTCTTAGATTTTAATGTTAAATAACAACTATTCATTTAAGCTGGTCTCACTGAATATCTTGACCTTTAGCAATTCCACACACAGCAGCTTATTGTGGTATCCTTTAAATATGAGAAATAAGAATGTTTAACTTTGCTATTAAAAGAAAAATAAAAGAGTACTGTATGTTACATGGCCCATGAAATATTGGCGGTGTGCTCCTTGGCTTTCATTCGAAGAACTGCGATACTGGAAGACCTCCTTTCAAACTCTGGCTTTGTTTCAAATGCATGTCCATTGGTTGCCCCAGTAAGAAGAGAGTCAGTGAAAAAATTGTTGAGGGGCACGTGGCTGAACTGGTTCTGGTGGTTTGAAAACCCCGTGTAACTGGAATCTGTCCGAGGCGAGTGAGAATAAGGTGTCATACAGGAGGAAGTGTCACGTGGTAACATGCATGAAGTAACCACAGAACCACCACTTGCATTTCCTGCCCACAAATTGTTCTGAATCTGGAATATATAAAACAACAAATATTACATTTACATGTTCTCACTTTTGTTCTCTTACTTTTGTTAAGTTGTATTTACTAAATTTGGTTAACTATTCATTGTTTGCTCCTATTGGGTGGTCTGTAATTACATACAACAATGACTAAAAAATAATTACTTGAGAGATCCTTCTAGTTTGTTATACTGAAATAGAGCAACAAATCTCACATTCTTGGCCACATAACGTACTCTCAAACATGTCTATCTCCTATAAAAAAGTATTATTTTCATAGTCATGATTTTAAAAATGAATCTGGAAGATTGAGTCATGACCAATTCATACGATTAGAAAAGTAGTTTAAAATCTGGTTTTAAGTTTAAAGATAGTTTTTGTCTTTCTAAACAAAATGACACAAATGCATTTTTAAAAAAAATTCTAACTGGGACTCCTGGTGTGGCAGTTTTCGTTGGAAACCATTGCTGACAATAGACTGTTCTGCAAAGATATTTTTGATCAAACTTATTCTGGAACATGTTTGCCCTCCTATTGCTTTTTCGTATCCTATAGTCTTGAAGAAACAGCTCTGAGAATCTGGGAAATTACAAAATATGTAAATATACATATTTTAAAAATTTATTCTGTGATTTATGTATGATATAATGAATTTGAAACAGACATGTGACATGTAAAACAAAGTTAGAATTTTAAAACATGGGCCTTTACCAAATAATGGAATCATAGCTGAGAAAGATGTGCAACTATTTAGCAAAAACATCAGATGAGTATAATGCAGTTACTCTTGTGTTATATAGTACTCCTATAGAGTAGAAACTGCTTTATCATTCACACCCGAGATATTCACACTTCGTATTATTAAATCTCCACAGGAAACAATTCAATGCAATATTAACAAGTACAAATTTATCTAAAGTTACTAGCATGTAAAAGAAACATGATATAGACCTTATGTAACATGAATTTTAAGTAGGACATATCTCAATCTTAATATACAAGCTATTTAAACAAACAAAAGCAGGAACCCCATACGTTACTGGGAAGCTCAGAGAAAATCATGACAAATGGCAGGAGCTGGGGAAGGTAAAAAAAGAAAATGTTGCATGGGATAGTAATACTATGATGCAGCCCTTTGAAGATGAAATAAAACTGAATGCTTTTAGCAACATTATTATAATACATTTGGACTAGAACATAGCAGCAATACACATGTTAATCACATCAGGTTTCCTTATCTTTTAAAATCATGATGTAAGAGTAGAATCATCAATGAGTAGGACACATATGTCTTCCTATATTTGTTTCTACATAAAGATTCCAGGCACCTACATATAAGGTCTGGTGTAGTCTTACAATACCCATGCTTGAGTTGTACTTTCTATGGCAACTAATTTTCAAATAAGAGCAAAAAATATGTTAATAAATCTTCTAGATCACACTGGTAAAAAGGTACTCTGTCACTCAAGAAAGGACTGATTAACCAGGTTCAAAACGTAAGAGAAAAACCTTAATAAGTAATTTCAACCTTTAGGTGGGGTTTCAGTGATTGGCAAGGTGCTTACATATCTGGGTTGTCTTAAAAAATAATTCTTTATATAAATATATGTATAAGCTGCTTTAAAGTTGTTAAATATATACATATGTAGAAAGAGACAAAGAGAGAAATCTACATATCCATATCTAAACATATATATTTTATATATATATATGATTTGCATATTTTGTTAATCCTTAAATTGTCTCAGGCTATGTTCTAATTCTGGCTCATTCTACTATATGTGTTCCACTTTAGGCAAAACATAATGACTGGTATCAGTGATTGCTGAGTTATGTATATCAAACCAACAAGAGGGCTGCTAATGTCATTACTCTGTCAAACTACCTCTTCTAACTTCATCTGCGTGATTTTCCTCTGACATTCAATCACACACATTGTGCTACTCGGCAAAAACCATAGTCACATGTCTGATAAAAGAGCTTTCAGAAATGAAAGTGAACTTTGCTTGCTTACTTAAAAAAAAAAAAAGGAAGACAACATAATGAAAGAGAAGGATTATTTATATTTTGTTTGTTAAAGAATTGCTTGATTTATACAGTTTCTTGAATTTTTTATTAAAATCATTCATTCATATTCCAAATGCACAGAAATATGTTCACCAACTAGATGAAAAAGCTAAAATCAGAAAGGTAAAGGCAAGGGAGGTAACCTATAGATATAAATTAAGAAAATATTGCCTCCCTAACATAATTAACATAAATCTACCTATAAATTGAAAAATATTCTGTAGAGTACATAAAAAAGCAAATTTTATTTTGATCAAAACTTCTTATCTGGACATGATCAAGCACGTTATATGCATTACTTTTGATGAAATAATTTCTAACATATAGACATGTTTTTCTGGGCAGAACAGACTGGTAAAGTAAATATGATAACAATATTTTAGTTGGGCTTGTGAAGATACCCTAAATATTTTGAAGATTGTCATTTATTCCCATAGGTAGAGATATCCTCACACATTTTTACTGATCTATCTTGTTTTCAAAATATCTATTTCTTCCCCCTCCCCAGCACCACTGCTGATCTTTCCTTTTTTAAATTTCCAGCAAATCTTTATTTGACTTTAGAAACATTGTTGGTTTCCACATTGTAAATTTATTTAGATGCAACTCATAAAAGATAATATCCTCGGTATATTGTGATTTTACTTCTCTGAAGCCTGCCCTCTGGGTGTTTAAACATTTGATGATGATGCTCAAGACCATGTTCATTATAGCTAATGGTTACCAATTAATTACCATGCGTGAGGCATTATGTTAAATATATTATGAACACTTTTAATTGTTTCAGTACACTAAACAGCGTGTTCTTTTGCTATCCCCCTTTTGAGGATGGTAACACTATAGAACAGAGCTGAAGAAGATCACCCAAGATTGCATAGTTCCAATGGTGGAGGTCAAATCTCAACCTAGGAAACCTTAGAAATGCTGTAATAATGACTAGTTTTATGAGTTGAAATTATTTATTTACTCATTATCCCTACTTTGTGTAGGTTCATAGTCTCTACTCTCTGAAAGAAAAACCCACAATTATTTCTCACAACTGTTTTGTCATCCTCAGGTCTAATGTGGTACAAGGTAAGTCCTTAATACAAAGTTATTAAGTGCTTGAAAAATATGGACTGATCCATCTTGCAGATATAATCAAAATTTTATGGATGATTTATGTTAATATATCAAAATTTTTGTTTCATAATATGAACTCCCAAATCACCATACTCAATAATCTTAACAGTGATCATGAAAATTACATTCCTAGACCTTGCTAACTGCATTTACCTGGGAAGTTCTTTATTTTTATTATTAAACACTGATTCTCCACAACAGATACATATCCTTGGAGACTCTGATTCATTTAGTATGGCTCAGGGGCTCTGTATTAAAATAATAGTAATAAAATACACACATGGAATTCTGAAAATCAATTGAAATTAGGAAACACTACTGGAGTCCAACTTCCTTCCAAATGAAAAATTCTTTGTACACCAATTTTGTTTACCTCTTGTGATAAGAAGCTCACCTGTTTAAAAAAAAATTCCATTTCTTTTCTATAAAAGTAAGCTGTTATATTCCTCTACCTCTACCTATGGCTTCCATTTATGTGCCCTATAATGACGTAGAATAAGATCATCTTTCTTACATGTAAAAATCTTAAAATGTAATCGGGCATGATGATACAACCCCCAAATCCTTTTTCTCCAGGTAAACATCTCCAGTGCTTTTAACCATTCCTCATATGACTTGGTTTCTAGACACTGTATCATTCAGATCATGTTATTCTGGATATGTCTGAGCTTATCAATACCGTTTACCCTTACCAATACATAGCATTTACACCAGAATATCATACACTGCATATCATCTGATTGCTGTAGGAAAAAGCTGGCAGATAAAATCTTTGTTCTAGGCCATCTAGATCTGATTAAACAACAACATTATTTGAGCTAAGGGTTGACTATAGTGCTATCAAGCTGGACTCACACTGTTCCTCCATCCCTACACCAATATATTCTCATATAGGCAGTAATTTTTAAACTATGCCCTGGAAAGTATAAATCCATGTGCATATTATCTAAAAGTGCCTATTACTTTTTTGTCAACTGGGAAGCCCATCAAAATCGCACTCTGATTCGTTAAAGGAAAAATTATATTGGTGGTTCAATTTTGGAAGTAAAAAAATATTAATTTTCTTCCTAAATAGGATAACTACTCTTATTTTGAACTATTTCATAGATACTGCAATGACAATACCTGGCACCATATAATTTTACGGTGTTTTCGTAGGCCTCTGTTTAATATTCAAGGGCTTTACAACCAGAAACAAATAATTCCCATACCCTTCTTGTATGTGTGTTTTTTAAAAAGAAAGAGAAAAAGATTGACTGCCTTTATTTTTTTTTCTTTGTTGTGTTTAAAAGGAGTGGAGAATCTAAAAACATTTCATGTTTTAACGTTCTCTGAAACTTTTTTTTTAAATATTAGGGGTGTGTTCAAAGCACTGTCCAGGGAACTCTGTCCAGGGAACTTAGCCAACTACCTCCCATTAGCATGAATGGAAGTACAGCGGATTTACTGCACTTCACTTTGAACGTTTGCCCCTTCATGTTTTTCTAACCAAATAAATGTTAACACTTAATTATCCCATGACTTTGGAATTTTAGAGAAAAGTTTTATTTTTGTCTTATTTATTCCAAACTGAAACCTAATTCATTTAATACTCATTTTTTTCCAAGGAATTAAAAGCAGTAGAGAGGAAGGAGAAGGGAAAATACATAAATATATATTAACATAAACATAAATACTAAGAGTTTTTTACTGTGGATATATATTTGTAATAAATTCAAGTACTACAGTAAGTTATGGGTAGAAAATTATTTATTTTTTACCTTAGAACCTTGATATGAATATATTCTTTGTAATCACAACTACAAAGTGGATTTTGTTGTTCTAACCCTGGTTTACATTTCTAATATATTTACTGATTTTATATAGTGAGTACTTTTTAATATATTTTTCTAAAAAAGCCTTTTAAAAGAATAGTGAGTTTGTTAGTTTTTTACTTAATTGTAAAATAGCACGGTGTAACAAAAAAATAGTTTCATGATAGCATTTTATAGTCAATATCCTAATATTAGTGCTATTTAGAAGAAACAACACTATCAAATTTCATAGAAATACTAAACATGAAAATATGTAAGTAACAACCTTCCCTTAATTTTAAAGCATCTCCAAAACAACTAATTAAGTAACGTTTTTCTACTAAAATAAGTTTATTTAACTCTACTTCTCATCTATATATAGAGTGCTCCTATCTCCTGCCACCAACATCGATCATATTTACTTGCATAAACACACATACATACCCATACGTCTGCACACACACTCCATGTGCACACTCACACAATTCTCGCATCACATGCTCACACACTTTCCTGTGGGAATTAAAGGATACTTTAAAAGACAGAGATCAGAGATTTATAGAGTTACTTGTGATGATGTTATAGCAATACCTCTTTACATGAAAATCTAAAAACTGATTTGGTTTTCCTCTTTGGCATAATGTTTACATTTATTAATTTTCTGTATATCATTTAATACTATATAAATGTATTAAGACAGTATCACTATGTAATTGAATTTACTAGATTTGTACATGTTCTCTTAAAAATGAAAACACTGATTTCTGGGAAAACAGCTAAATTTTTTAAGAGACTTTTATGAAATTCACTAGTATATTCCTGTAACATTTACATGACAAAATATTAATAAGAATCATATGCTTAGCAACATGCAGATATTTTTAGCTATTGACTAACTTTAGGATCCCATTAACTTTTCTATTTACTACATCAGTAAGTTGCTGGCAGGGAGAAAGAGTATAAATGAATCTTTAAATATTGAATTTACCACCAGTAACTAACACACACTGAGACTTTGTCTACCTGAAAAAAAAAGATCCCAACTTGAATTAATTAAGCAATGAAAAGATTAATCTGAGTATTTTTTAGGTACTGCCTAAGGTAAAAGTGAGGGCACATTTTCATCAGTGTCTTCTCATTAGATCTAATTTTCACCAAAAAATATTTTAAGGTGATATATAAAATATTTAGATTTTGATAAGTCTATTGACATTTTAAACATTCTTAAAGTACTTTTCCAATATATATTATTAAACTAAAGTGATTAGAAATCATTTATTCATCAGAAACAGATCATATACTAAATACTGTCACTTTTATTTTTTAGTAAAATTCCATCTTAGATATGTATACAGAGATTTGAAACAAGAAAGGTGACTTTTCCATTAAAAAAAAAATCACCATTAAATATCACACCCATATGAGACTGATAATTTAAGAGGAAAACTGCTTAGCAGAAAAATAAATGTGTATGTCTACTTTTAGTGCAAAATTAAAAGCACGAAGCTTAATAAGAAATTTTAATGTCTGTAAATTTTCAGCATAACATCATATAAATGTGTTTACATTTTTCATTATTCAAATAATATTTGAAAAATGCTCCAAGTCCAAGATATAAGAACATAAAGAACATTTTTCTTTGGTGTTGACTGTATTCTTAAATTCTATATTAAGTGACTTTTAAAAAGAAGATTTATAGAAACTCTCACGATTGCTTTAAAATGAAAGTTTTCAAATCAACTCATTTAAGGAAGAAATAAAATGGTAACACCTAACCTTTGCTATTTTATTACTATCAAGCAATAATTATCATATGGAGGATTTTCCAGACACTTGTTGCATTATTTTTCATGTATTTTAATACATGTATGATAGCTATTGCTGATTCATCAGTGTCTGATTCATTTTAGTGATGAAATTATCCTATTGAAACAAAATTCACAATATAAGAAATAAAGATAAAAATGTAAGCTTGTAAATTAAGCTTTTATGCATAAATAGCTTAGAATATGAATAAAATACACAAATATTTTAATTTGTACAGAAAATTTTTAATTTTAGAGATCTTGCTTGGAGTCATTTATGGACTTTGAATTTATTCTTAAAATATTAAGTGAAGCTATTGATTTTACTCATCATCTCTTTGTATTAACTACAAAGTCGACATTTTATTTTTGTAATTTTAAAAATCAACTGTGAGTTTGTACGGAAGTTTACCTATTTAATGTCTATGATGCAGAATAAAAAAGAAAATCCATAGACACATGAGGCTTCATAAACATGGCATGCATATAATTCTGGATTAAAGTATATCATAAGGTTCACACTAACAATAGGGTGAACTGCAGATTTTAAACAACAGTTCTGTGCTAATAGACTTCCTGGGCTTTGATGGCTTAATTTTCTGCCTGTTATTTCTCCATCTTCTTGTGAGGTTTTTATATGTATAAGCTAACGTTGGCACTCTGCAACATTCATTTTTATTTTCTTCTTATTTATTTGGTTATCTATTCAACTTACTGATTTAGTTTCCTTGTAAAATAAAAAATACTTATTTAAAAAAATTTTGTTAACTTACTGTGTACAGTCACATTAGAATATTACATTTTCAAAAGAACAGGCCTAATTATTTTCATAATTGACAGGAGTGCACTTTGTTTCTTTTGGAGGATATTCTTTGCCTCTTTAGAGTCTTTGTATATGCAACAGAATAAAAATTAATTAAAGTTTTAATAAAAATGAAATGTTTCATTTTTATTAAAATTTTTTTCATTAAATGAATTCCATTTCATTAAAATTAAAATATTTCAACAAAATAAAAATTAAGAAAAGAATTCACTGTAGCTAACTGTACCTTCACCTAATGATACTGACAAAAATTGTCTCATGCTACACATAACTTATATATATATATACACACATACATATATAAATATTTTATTCATATTTATTTAAACTATATAAATTTAATTAAATCAGTATATTTACTCGCTGCAAAAACTATATTTTAGTAAGGTAGATTATCATTATATTTCTTCTGTCACTTAAAATATTTGTGTTTATTATCAGTGACAAATTGTGCAATATCAATATGATATTTTGAAAATGATGGTAACATTTTGGTCATAAGTCATACAAGAATTTTCACTGTATCATTGTATGACCATTCATTGGTTGTTTCATGGATGTAAAAGCACTCATCATACAATGTATTAATTACCGCTATATTAGTAATATTTTTAAAAGATTTTGGTTTGTTTACTTCAAATATTTGGGAAAAAATAGAAATTATAGTGACAAAATTATATTTTCTCCAAAGGTAAAAAATGCTACAAATGCCTTTTAATTATAAACCACAGTGGTTGAAGGAGACAAGTCCTATGTTCCTTATTTAGCTTAAGTTAAGACAACCATTAAGATTAATATAGAAACTGCCATTAAAACCAGGGTAGATAAGCAATATGTCTACAGTCTATTATATGGGAACTACTATTACATGAAAACCTTAAAATTTCATTTTTTAATTGTATAATTACAATATTTCAAATAGAATGTGTTAAACTAAAATGTTTTACAGCTTTAATCTATGTATTAAATTATAAAAATGACCACAAATTACCTATAACTTGAATCTACCTCTTGGCGTGTTCAAATTCTAAGTGGCATATATTTATGAAGTCCTCAATAATACAACGGAAGACAAGACACTGTGTGGATTCCTTGGTACATTTGGTAAGCATAGATTTAGAGATAGTTTTCACTATACAATACTCAGTGAAACCTCATTCAAAATTTTGGTGGGAAAAGCACTTCAATTCTTTTTCTGAAATTTGTGATGAAAATATTTACAAGAAAATAATTCTGGTGAATTGAATATATACTTAAACTTTTCTAAAGTTACCGTATTTGGTTTTCAATTTAAAAAGGAAAGTATGTTTAACTGAAATTAATATTTCCCTAGATCCCTACATAGTAAATTTACTCAGAGATTGGATTAATTAAAACGCTACAACATAAGATAACAAGCAATTTAGCTACCTGGAGAGGCAGGTACTTTAGAACAAAATTAATAATGACTAATGGAAATGATAGAATTCCTACTACTTATTAAGTTCTGTTTTGTACTAGGCAATGCCCTAAGTAATTTGCATAAACAAGTTTGTTTAACATTCACAAGCATCGTATGAGCTTTTACCCCCATTTTATAAATGAAAAGAACTGTTCCTCATGGTAAATTCATTTGCCAAAGGTCTAAAAGCTATTAAACTGAAAAGCCAAAACTTGAACCCACACCTCTCTGACTGGAAAGCTCATAGTCATTAATGTTAACCCCTGGCCCTCTTCAAATCCCAGGATTCACCTCTGTAGTCTATAAACAGAGGGCTTTCCTTTTCGGAAATCCATTTAGTCTTCACAATAACAGAAAAACCATCATCGTCTTGATCATCTACACTATCAACACCACAAACACCAGCACCAACAATACTTCCATTTTACAAATAAAGAATCTGAAGATCAAGTCAAAGTTGTAACTCAAAGTTATCTATCTAGATAATAATGTCAATGCTCATGTAATCCAAACCTAAGAACATGAAATTGTAAAGTTCCTTGTAAGAAATGAATGGTAATTATAATTCTCAAGGAAATACTTATACCTTAAGATAAATTATTTTATTCACTAAAATAATTATTTTTAAAATTCTTTGGTTTTGCCATATTAGAAACAAGTTAAAATGTAATATCACTAGATCTTTGCTCACTTTTTAAATTTAAGGCCAAAATTATTTAGATTTATGGTTTCTTGGGCCTAGTTTGCACCAAGAAGTGTTTGCAAATTTAGTACAAATATTACCCAGTTTTTAGTCTTTCTACAAAGCAGGGAATTTTGTCTAGATCAGTTATATATTCCTGATCCCTGCAACAGTGCATGGCATATATTTGTTTTGAAAGGCAAATAACTTTGGAATAAAAGTCAGCTGAAAAGTGTCTGCAAAATCTTTCTAGCCTATTTTTTTGAACAGAGGAAGAAATTGAGGAAAAGTTAATTGCTTATATCACAAAACTGGTTAATAACAAATTCAGAATCTGTTTTATTGAAAATTGATTATTTTTGTTTTATGATACACTACTTAATATATTAATATATTGAAGTGAACCTGTACTATTACTCATATCTATCCAATGTCTATATAATTTGCTCAATTCATAGCAGACCATCCTTGGTGATACAAAGGTGACTAGTAACTGGGTCATCTTTTAAATATTTTACATTGTAAATGGGAAGTCAGACCTTTAATACAACCCAACAAAATGTCAGTGAGAAAGTGATGTGCAGACAGATGGCACATCCCAGAGGCTTCATGGAGTAAATATGGCTTAGGTGAGGGAGGGAAATTCAAGACAGAGGAAACAAATTCATCCCAAGCAATGAGAATGCTTTCAAAAACGTTAACTCTTGAGGAAAAATAAATAGATTAATTTAGTTAAATCACAGCATTGCCAAATGGCAACTGATATCTTGAGCCAAAATAAAGAACTTAAACAAAAAGATACTGTTGTCAGTACATCAAAATATACTACCTTAAAATATTTAAATATGAACATCACGTCTCTCACTTTCTTATTTGTTTGCTATCAAAGATAAGTAAGTTTAAGAAAAAAATCTTGAAACAGTCAATGAGGTGTTTAGGCTTTTTAAATGTTTATAAATTTAAAACCAGAAGCATTTTTACCTTCCAAAAAGGATGTGATATTTTAGGATCCAATTTGAATAATTTCACTCTTCAGTGATGAATTAAAGAGATAATGTTACATAAAGATCTTTGGGCTCCTGAGCTCAGAAAACCTGAGCTTAAATTAAACAGGTTAATAGATACAAGAAGGAAGCACAGTGTCTGGCTTTAAATATGCCCCCAATTATTAGTAATTATTTTTACTGTTACAGCTGTTGCTACTATAGTAAAAAGACGGCCAGTTGAAACAAAGTATTTATTAGAACATATTAGAAAGTATTAATTACTATATAGAAATAAACATATTATGCTTGTACATACTGAGCAGGCTTGAGGAGATCATTTTCTAAACTATCTCTGTTTTTCATGTATTTCTATGTATGGCTTTTCTTTCTGCCAAATTGCTAATTCTTTATTTCTGTCCTGCCTCTAACATTTTCTAGTTTCCAACTTTTCTGAAATTAATAATTTTTTCTGTAATTAACAGTCACCAAATCCAATGTCTTATTAGACTGAGATATTGGATTCTACTTCTGTTTCTATTTCTCCCATTACAAGTTCCTATTTTCAAGCCCCATGATAAAAAAAACATTTCATTTAGGCTAACTCTTGAGAGACATGATCTTGGCCCAATTATTTTTTCAAACAAACTAAAAAAGTATCTTGTATATATTTAAGTTAAAATAAAAATTCCCCCGGCTTTATCCAGTATCTACAGTGGGGAGTTGCAGCCACATAATTTCGGAAATTTTGGTAACCAAACATTAAATGATTTACCAATACAAGAAAGTACTATGGACTTCATGGTATTAATTTTTATTATTATTCATGATTGGCACTGTTGAAGTAATTCCAACATATGTTCTCCATTCTTAAATTATCAGGTGGTATAGCCAATGTATACAAAATTATGAGGAATAATTAGTGCAACATTCCCATGATTTGTGGGGGGAAATTTTTTAAATTAATTTTTCATTGGAGTGAAAAAGATGATCAAATATATAATTTGGTGTACCATGTCCGTTCCTCCATCGGTGTCTAGGTTACCTCATTCTTTTAATTAATAATATATAAAGCTTTGAGGTACAATAACACAATGGTAAGATAATCTTAGGGAAATGAGATGGTTACTCAGAGTACACTGAGTCATATTGAGCATTTATACATGTCTTAAAGCTGTATAAAGTTTTAGATTCAGAATATGCACTATTCTGAATGCTTTACCCTTTATATAGGTCTTAATTGATGCTAGGCCCTATTCTGATTGCTTTATCAAAGAAGCAAGAAGAGTCAAATATAAAACAACCAACGTACAGGGACAGAAAAGTTGAAAACAGACAGAAATGGGGTTTGAAAGGAAATGAAGACTGAAAGAATAAAATGCACAAAAAAGTAGTCATAGTCAAGTGTTGTGGAATATACTTAGTAAGAGTTTAAAATCCATGTGAAGAGCTCATAATTTGTTACTTTATTACGTCTAAAGTCACCACAGTCAAGTAGTTCAAAATGATATAAACCATTCTCCATTTCACCTATATTTTTATTGTTATTTCTCTGGTTGTGGCTCCTGACACTAAAGCGCAGACTTACAATAATGCAGCTCAAACTTTATGCTCCTTTGGTATCATTTAAATATATTCACAGGTAGAGACAGTCTATTGTCAGGTTAAAATCTGGCAAGTGGGAACCAAATTGTCTCTGGTCAAATCTGAACTTCACCTTACCTCTTTCTCATTTGAGCAATGGAGACAATTAGTAACACCTAGCACATAAGGTTGTTGTGAGGATTAAATGAGATAATATATGTAATCTGCTTAGAACAGTGCCCAGATATACAGTGAGGGCTACTGTAGTGTTAATAACCATGAAGACACTGCAGTCCCTGTCCTCATGGAGCTTGCAGCCTAGAGGGGAAAGATTTTTACAGAATTTTGTTTAGAAACTAACGGCACTCAAACTAACTCACACTGACTCAACTAAGGCACTCAAAAATATTTGGCAAACAAAATTTGACTAGCCCTATGATGGTAAGTAACCACCAGAGGTAGCCTCATGCTTTAAAATAGGAGAAAACATAAGGTAACCTCTTTAAGATAAATTTTAAAAGAGAAACAAGATTCCTCCTATGGCAAGGAGATAGGAGGCATTTATTGAAAAGGTATCCATAAGAATAGTCTTCTAGCAAGCCATTGGGTAAAGGTTTAGACGTAGCGACCTTTACAGTCTCTCCTGCAGGAACCCACTTGTATGATCACAAACCAATTCCTTAACTCAATTGAGCCCGTTTTCATAACTTTTTTAAAGGAAGGAGTTGAACAAGGTGACCTCCAAGACTTCTTTTATTTAACATATAATATTATATTAATAAATTTGGGGGATTTATCTGGAGGAGTGAGGTTTCTAAAACTGGTTTTTAAGAATCATAAAAGGCATAGGAACACAAGGAAAGAACAACATTAAAGAACTGAATTTGTACTCATAGTGTTGAAGAAAATGAATACTCAAGTTTGGGGTTCAGATCATCTAGTTAGTGAACTATCAAGGTATTTCTCCAGCATATATGTTTCATATGTGTTTTCACATGGGTCTCTTATAATGCATATCATTAAATAATAAATAACAAAATAATGCATAGCTCGTTGCTTATAACGTAGGTTTTTTTTCATCATGTATCAAATACAGTTCTGAATATCATTATTAAGTATTAGGAAAAAGTGACACAAAATAAATTAGAAAGACAAACATTTACATTCATTACAAAATATGAAAAAGAAATATATAGTCTTATATTGAAAAAGAAAAATGAGAAGAAAAAGAATTTCTAACACTTTTTGTAATGAAGTAAAAGAGCACCCATTATAAAGGGAAGCTGTTACTCATCTGTGATTAACTTTTAAAATTATGTCTGATACTAATTCTATCTCTGTTTTAAGTCAAACAGGACCAAATGTGGACCTTTAGAGAATAAGCAATTTGAAAACTGAAAAAAAAAAAACATAGAAAAAGAGACACATTTTTAAATGGAGTTAAGGGCTTAATAGGCCACATTTGACATCAGGTTTTAGTATAGTTCATAAAACAATATCCACAGAGATTGCATGCTAAGCAACACTCTATTTACAGTATTTTTAAAAGTTAACAAAAGGAAGAGAGTCTGAGTAATTAGAATGTAGGATAATTAAAATACCTGTATCATTAAATGATGCTATTTCATTGGTGGCAATATACAACAAAATTCAAAAGAAAAAAATACCCTGAAATATTTTTAAATGAATGACTCTGTAAGAAAACAACAAGAAAATAATTCAGAAAAATTAAAACTTAGCAGACATGAAGAATGTTTTCTGAAGCTTAGATTTTCATTCTTGGCTATTATCTTACATATAATAAAGCCTATGCTAACCATTTTAAGAATATACAAACCAAATATCCTTTTCTTGATCAGTATTCTGTGTAGTTTAGCATACCTGTGGGTAGCTGTCAGTCCTTGGCAAAACTGATATATCATAGGTGGCAGCAAAATGGCTTTTCGCTTGTTGTATTTGGCCATAACGTTCCCTTTTTCTCCATTTGGCCCTTCGATTTTGAAACCAAACCTAATTATTTAATAAAAATTAGAATTTTAGCTAAGGAATATTTGATAAAGCAAATGTGATGTTAAAAGACATCAAACAAGAAAGGTAAACCAGGTTAAAAAAATTACGTAAAAAGAAATGTATTTATGTTAGAAAAGGATCCACAGATTTTACTTTTTCTTGTATCTTGATGTGGTAAGTGATTTTCCCATGAGACAAAATAATTTAATAGAAAGAGGCAGGAGACTTTCGGGAAATACATCTGATACGTCTGAGCCTCTGTTTTCTCATTTATGGAAAACAAAAAGCAATTAGATTATATGATCCTGAATACTCCATATATCTCCACATTGTCATGGATAAGTCTCCTTTAAGAGAATGCTGCAAGTCTGGAAGATGTATATGCCGTAACGTAAACTCAGTCAATCTATAAGCAAATTAATATCTGAGTCTATTAAAACTTATCTTTAAAATATATCACAAAAGTGAAAGCTCTTCTCAGTTGTGCTCATACCTACATAATCTTTTAAAATTTTAAACATAAAGATTACACCTAAATATATGGCAGCAGCAGGAACATCATGATTATCTAGAAATAGGAAAAAATGAGATTACATATTATAATAAGCATGACAAGAATTATAGGTAAAAAGGAATCATCTAAAGTTGAACTATGGTTTTAAAATACGTGAATGTGCTTATTACATACATTATGCAACTTATTTTCCCTTATGAAAATGCTCGGATATCTTTACGTAATTTCTCTAATTTAAAGCACAGGTAATGGAAATAATATAAGAAATAGGGCAGATAGAACCAAGTGTCAAGAAAGTCTATCAGTTACTGTGGCAGCTAAGGTCACTAAGCTATCTTCCACAATTTCTCTAATTACCTATTAGAAGTATTTATTATAAGAACCATCTTCCTCAGCAGGTTGGATATTCATTAATTCATACCTGTAATATTCCAATATCTTCACTTTAATATTAAAGGGAGATGCAGAAGATTATATTCAATATATATACTTGGATGTTTTTAAATGAACATTATAGGAGTAGCTTTTGGGAATCTAGTCTTCTTCACACAATTATGTTCAGAATATAAAATATTTAGGAAAAAGGCTAGAAATCAAATATAAAAAATGCAAGTTGTAAAAGCCTTTTGTTGAAGTTTACTTGAAATTTTCACTCTTTTTCATACTCAATTCTAATCTTGTATATCTTTACCTTCACCATTATGGCAACATATTAATACTCAGTTTAATTTTTTAGTACACATTACAAATTTAAGATGGCACTTTGCAGAGTTTTCAGCAATTGAAATGAGCCAGAGAGCTACATGTTCATTATAGTTTTAGTACACTGCTGATAAATGCATATTATCCATTATGCCAAGGCTCAAGACATCAACAACAACAAAAAACAAATCAAATTTTCTTGCTGTCTCCGCAGATGAGCCCCAGGAACACACTAAGGGAATTTAGTAATACGTTTTTGGGTTTTATTTTTTTTTCCATTGACAAAAAGAACTTGACAATTTCCTTAAAATGAGTAATAGTTACCACTCTTATGTGCAAAGCAGGAAAGAGAACGACCTGAGTAAATTAAGTTCAAGTTGGCTCTCTGTGCATGTTCTCAGACAAAAATTAATCAAGACTTGGTGAATGTTAAGGGGAAAAGATGCATTATGTACAGTTGGTCACTCTGTGTGCAAACATATTTGTTTATGGTTACAAGTATAACTAATTTAAATATAGACAAAGACAAAAATCTCAAACTTACACAGCGGGTGTTAATACTCGACAATTCTAAAATTCTTTGTTAGCATGAACTTTCTACATATTTACTTCCTGAACCAAGATAAAGTAACCATTTGCTTCCACAAACTCAAGTAAAAATCTGCTGCTTGTTATCCGTGTGCCACCAGATGTTGTCTCTAATGATGTAAGAGCCTTACAATTTTAAGAAGAAATACCGTTACTCGATTTAGAACAAAAATTTTCACTATTTTATTCATTCCCCCATTTTAGCAGTTTATGGGAATTGCAAAAATCAATACTTTTGTAGAGGAGTCAGAACACACACAAAGACCAAGGCCATTATCCTGAATTATTGTTGCATTTTAAACTCTTACTACTTGGAAACTAGTAAAATATAGTTTAAGAATATCAAATGTAGTCAAAATAAAGTACTCCTAAGAGGTAAAATTTTACCTGGTATGATTTTTCTTTCTCAAATTATTTTTAAAAATTAAGCATATTGGATCATCCAATTTAATAACTAGAATATATCTTATAAACATAATTGAGTATACACAAAAATTTACTTTAAAGCCATTATTTTTATTGCCTATGCAAAATTCATATGATTTATCTAGACTTTAACCATTATAATGGAATATTTACATGTTGACAACTACTAGGACTATAAAATTGTAAATGAGCACTATTTGATCTTGTTTTTAATTATCCATAGTGAAAACATTCCATGGTATACATAACAATTGGGAATTTGTGGGATTGTTTTTTTTTTTATTATGCCTCCAAATCTAGAAATTTCTAGATGTATGGGCTATTATACAAATAATTTACAAATACCTGATATATAATCTAAAAAAGAACCTTAGTGGCTAATAAAACCGAAAAAAAAAAAACAAATAAATATACCAATTACTAAATAGTCATGATTCTGCTTTTCATCCTTTAAAAACTGCTTTTGAAAATCAGAGATATATTATCATATTGTTATGTTTGAATGATTGTTAATTTTTATGTCTCTGTAATAACTTGTGTTCTTTTGTTTTACATATTGCGTGAGTTGTCAAAATTTTTGCAATTAAAAAATAATTTTAGTAGACATATATTCATATATATTACTCCGTTTCTCATCTTCAGCTAGGGAATCAGTTTGTTTCTTTGTGGCAAAATGCACTTATTCAATTATTCTAACACCATTTATTTTCCTATCCCATCCATCAAGGCCTCTTTTTGGCTCCTACCTGGACCCTGGCCTCAGTGAGCTCTGTCCTCAGAGCAAGCTGTTCTCTGACATACACATCCGGGTAATGAGTTTTCTGAAAGACTTTCTCCAGCTCCTCTAGCTGCAAACTGGTGAAGGTGGTTCGGTGCCTCCGTTTCTTACTGCTGGATACATTGCTATCACATTTATCCCCAAGTTCATCCAGCTCTCCCTTCTCTTGCATCCCTTTCACGGGAGACATTCGGAGACTGTTACAGTTGTCCATAGCTCTATTCAGTTCGGTGTGAAGGGGCTGTCCTTCTACTTTAGTGATCCCATAGTTCACTGTACCCAGAGGAGGAAAAACAACAGTTCTCAGGATTGTGAAACTCATCTCAATTAAATCAATAAGTAGAAGTAATTGAGAGTATCAAGAAATTGGCCTATTAATAATTTATTGTGCTAGTATTAATTCAATTACCACATTTCTATACTTAATTCATTGTAGGACAGGTTTAAATACCATTTTAAAATGTGTTCATGCAACTGCTATGATCTGCCAAAATCCGCAGTTCTATTTTACAGGATTTATAAGTTTATGCACATGTTTTTTACTTAAATTCATGTACTCGAATTAAAAGATGATCTGGGTGTTTCATGAAAGAAACTTTAAGTGTCCATGATTTTTGAAAACTGAAGCAAATTTAATGTCATGTGTTTTATTCACAGCAGATAAAACCAAGCTACTAATGTGGCTCAGAAAATATATTTTAATCTTAAATAATACCTCTGTACTAATATCTGAAAGTTATTATCCTCCTCCACGTAAAACGTACTGATGATAGATTTCAGATGTGACATTATTTCCACTAAATTTTGAATATTTCAACTTTATATCCATGTCTGCATTTACACTTTTTCTTCAAAAATAATCTACTAAATTGACAAAATAAATTTCATGCCAAATTTTGAATACGCTTTCTATCGGAAATTAGATTTAAGCAGCATTTTTTTTTTTTACCTAAAAACTTACGCAGTTCTTTTTAAAACATTTCATATTTCTGCTTAGCTAGTTAGATAAGTTTTGGGATTGAAAACTTTTCTATTTTCTCTGCTGAAACACAGAAATTAAAACAGCTATTAAAACATTACAGAGCATGACATCTGGCATTCTGTTAAGGGATGTTTAATTTCAGTAATTTTCTTCAGATTTGATTGCATGCTTGCAGTGTGATATAAAACAAAGATATATCATATAATGCCAAACACCCACAAATGCAATGGATGCACATAGTGAAATGGGAAGCACTTTTTAAAAAGTAAAGTCAAACCAGCCAGAATAATAATTTCCAATAGATGATCATACTTTTTTCATTTGTTTCTTTTTTTAAAATTACCCCCATAATGTATTTTTACAACTCTTTTCATCATTATACAAATATATTCAAGTTTAATGCGCATATAACTTCAATAGCTAATAATTGAGTACTGTGCATTTCAATGTCACTAACGGAGTAACTCTCAAAAATGTTCTCATAATAAAAAATGTCAAATATTTGAGGTGATGGCCAATTAACGTAATTTAATCATTCCACATTGCATTAAAAAAACTTAACATTACTTTGTACCCCATAAATATATACAACTATAATTTGTCTATATATATATATAACAAATTTTTTAAATTAACGGTTTTCATGCAAACGAAGATGTGATGTTAAACCAAATATAAAGAAGAGCCATGACTGATTAACAAACGGTTCTATCTCCTTGGGCAAAATTAAAGGGGGAACTGCAGCAATTAGGGATGGGGGAGGGGAAGCATCAGAGAGGCTAAGGGCATCTCAAGAGAAAGACAGGATCTCTCCTAAATTAAGCGGATGACTGCCTATGTTCATCTTCCTTAACACTTCTTTGTTATAATTCATCTTAATAGTGTGATATTTGTTTAAAAGTTGATAACGCATCAATTATGTCTCTTATTTTGGATTCTCGACTATTCAAAATAAAATATTATGATCAAGTCCATCCAGAGTCAATACAAGACATTGCAGAATCATTAAAGAAAGACCTGTCAATTCAAATAACGTTAGGCATGCACCTAAGAATTCCACAAATACAGATACCAGGTCTGAAACGCAGCCAGAAAACCAACAACTCAGTGTAAGAATAACAAAAAGTATACGCTCGAATCTTTCTAAATAAATGACTGAAACGACTTAGCTGATTATTTTCTCTATCATTTGCACCTTTATTTTTGATTTACCCTTAGTCAAAAGTTACTTGCAACGTTAAATAAAATTAGTTAAATATGAGATTAATAAAAGAAAAAAACTTGTGTTCAAAATATTTAGAAAATGAGCTTCTACAGGCCAGTGTTTTGTCAGATTTTGAATTTCTATAAAATAGGGGGCAGGGGGCTTGTTGTAAATATTTCACACTTAATTCGTTTGTTATTTTAAAGCAACCCGCCCCTTATAGCTTAACTGTGGAATATATACAATGATAAGGAGAAGTTCTCTTGGAATTGTAAACGTGCTTTAGCTGTCGCGATCTGAAATAATAGGTTAGTATTAGGTTACAAGATAGAAAAGATAGATGGTTTGTTTTGATAACATTTTGACTTGGAGATACTTGGGCATTCAAAGTTGAAGATTTCACCCAGAAGCATTCCAAAGACTCCTTAGGTGACTTTTAATGTGAAGTCATAAAAATACAAAACGTAGAATCTGGGAATGAGTGATTAGGCCGGGGATGGTTTGCCCGAAGCTATTTAGTGTGCTTTAGTGTTTAACAAACATTCAACGCGTGTTGTATTGCAAACGCAAAAAAAAGCAGAAATTACAAATTCACACACGCTAGAAATCTAGGGATCCTCAAACTTTGAAAATATATCGCCACGTCTTGGAAAATTAAAAAGATTTATCTTTACCTAAAGGAGCTCAAAGGGTTTTTTGTTTTTTGTTTTTGTTTTCCGGTTTTTTTTTCCCTACTCGTGACGACAGTGACGTACTCTAACGAGCTGTGATCGATTTCAGTTCCTACCGCCCGGACTGCAAGGCGGGCTCGCAGAGGAAGCGTTCTGTCTTGACTCAATTACGCTCTATTTAGCGCCCTATCAGTTTACTCCAGGAACCAATATTACAGAAGGACTCAGGGATCCGTAGGCGACCAGACCCTACAGCGAAAGGAGAATCGCTCAGAGGCAACCCGGTGCTGGATCTCTCCCTCCCTCCGCCCTCCGCCCCCAAAGGCTGCAGCAGCAGTAACACCGCTTCATAAAGCGAGCACCTTCCACTACCTTCCTCCACCTTCCAGGTCCCTCGCTCCCACTTTTCTCCTTTCTCCCTCCCTGCCTGATCAGACCGATCCTGCATTTTCGATTGCGGAAGGGCTGCGGCGGCTCCGGCTGGGGCGCTAGCGACTCACCGCTGCTGTCCTGACAGGGCGAGGTCCTCTCCAAGCGCACGTGATGCTCGGCGCGGGGCAGGGGTCCGAAGGCCTGCACGCATTTGCCTGCAGACGCTTTGCTGTAAAAGGACTCATTGTCCAGCGTCTCCATAACGTGCTCCAGAGGACCTCCTGCGCCCATGTAAAAGTCACTGTTTTTACTCGGAGGGCTCTTGAGGGCAAACTTCTCGCTCAGAAACTCCATAATCCTGGAAGACTGTCGCGTAGCTCCTGGGGCACAGAAACTGGAGAGCGCTGGGGGAGGGAGCCAGTGGGTGGGAGGAGGGAGGGCCAGAGAGGAGGGAAGGGAAAGCGAGCGCTGCGGCGTCGGGAACTGCCCCGCTCCGGTCCCTTTAATACGTCCCGGCTGGAAAAGGAGCACCCGAAGTTGCTTTTATATCTTGAAACTCAGCTGGCCTCCTCGGGCAGCCTCCCAGTTCTAATGAATATGAAAATAGGCGGGCGACTAACTCCACCCCAGGTCCCCCTCCGCCCCTACCCCACCCCCATTTTCCCCACTTACCCGGGCAGAGGGCGTCCAGGCCTAGGATAGACAGACAGACAGCTCCATTTCAGACAAATGCCAGGAGAGACGAGCCCCTGACACCCAGATTCATTGCCGCCGTGACAGTGGACTGGCATTTCGGAAGATCTTGGTGAGATCGCAAAGCAGTTAAACCTCCACTCCCTACTGCCTGCGCCTTCCTGAGCCACCCGTCCCCACCCCGCCCCCATGCCGGCCACTCACTACCAGAAAGATTTAGAGGCGTCTTAAGAACTTGAAAGGAAATATTGCTCTAAAAGGCTTTTATTTCATCCGTAAATCGTTTACGTGGAAGATTCACATTAATCCGAAGCCCAAGGAACCAGATGCATTGGCAACTGTTAATCGCAGCCGCCGTAGTAGAGGGGCCGCTTCGGCTTCTAACCGGGAGGAGCTCGGGGTCCGGGCCAGCTGGGAGCTTTACGAGGCCGTGGCCTTTTCTTTTTCTCTGGAATGCGGCGGAGTGTGGACGCGGTGGCGATGGGTGGGAGAGAGAAGCCGAGCAAGAGGCAATGAAGCCATTATACTAATGCCAACCAATTCCCTACACCCTCTTCGCCACCCTTCCCTTTGGTCCACGATTTTATCATTAGACCCAAATTATTTTAAGAAAACCCGTTAGGATCAGTGCCTTTGAAAGGCTTTTACTCTAATGCCAAAGTGAGGATTGTTACAAATAGGGGTTTATGAAGAAGAGGAATGTCTGCATATTTTTACAGAAATTACTTTTAATTTTAAAGAGTTGCTGTGGAGTTACTCCGAAAAGCGCTCTGGGAGTGAGTGGTGAGCGCGCGGAGCTGCGGGCACTCGCGGCGCGGCGTCCTGGGCGCGGACAGGTCCAAGGCCTCCATTTCCACCAGAGGGGATGGTAGGGCAGGCAGGACAGCACTGCTAGGTTGAAAGCCCTTCTGTGTGACTTTTGGCACGACTCTTGGCTTCCTAGGAGCCCGCGGCGCTTGGGGGAAATGCGTTCGGTGCCCTGGGCACAAAATCGCATTTGCGTCAGGCACCCTAAGCTAGCAAATTTGGTGAAAATAAGCCAGACAGGTTTTGGTCCAGGTAGGCCTCTGCTTAGACGTCCTGACACAGCCTTTGTCAACACTGGCACTCACAGCGGCCGTCGCGTTTCCCCAGACAAGTCTGGCAATTATGGTGAGGCCTCGGGCAGGCCGAGCAGCCCGGACTCTGAGGATGGTGAGGCCAAGCCCAGCTGTGGTGGGCATGCTGATGGGTTTGAGAGTTTCCACCTTCTGCGGGGGTCTTAGCTGACCCACGCCTCTTTGGTGAGACCTTCTTCGAGACCTGACCAGGCCTCAGCCAGAGAGTAACAATCAGGGAGGGCTGTGCACCCCGGAGCTGCTCCTTAGCGTTGCGCGAAAGGCAGGGTCGGCCTTAAGCACCCAGATCCGACCGGCGGATCCCGAGCAGATCAGCTGGCAGCAGCAGCCTTGCTCGCCCGGCCAAAGTCCAACCCAGACTGTTCTCCCAAGGAGGCGCACAAGCTTAGTTCACATGGCGCAGCGCTCAGTGTGGCCTTGAGCGCGCACTCAGATTCAGGCAAGTGGACACTATTCCTGGGACTAACTAGCTTCTGCTGTATTATTATTACTCTCTCCAGAGCAGTGCTGCAAGAACCAACTGCAGATTGTTAAATTTCAGGGGAGCAAGGTCAAAGAAAAGCACTAGGGACTGAGCTTCAGCAGGAAGCCAGGCTGCGTCGGGCCGCAGGAACTCCAAACCAGACAACCTGGCATTCTGAGGTCAGGCCCAGGGGGAGAGAGTGAGGTGTCGGAAGAAGCCATTGAAACGCTCTTCTTAAAGTGTCCTGTAGCATCCCGACCTTGCGTGAGCAGTAGCCTCAGCTCTGCGTTCTTTGGACACTTTCCAGCGGGCCCCCGGGCAGCCTTGTGGAAACGTTGAGTGTTGCGTTATTCACTCACTCCTGTTGGGTTAGCCATTTTCGATTCTTTCCTATCCCCTTCGGTACCTTCTTATTTTCAGGTATCCTGAAAGTCTGACTTTCTCTACTAAACACGGGAAAGATAAGAAAATGGTCGTTTAATATGTTTTACAAAAATTCACAGCAGCAACAACAACACCTATTGCTGACTTGAGGAAATATACAAACTAGTTATCAACCAAGTTATCTTGTAGAGCTCTGTCAGCTTGTTTATAAATATATGTCTTAAAAGCCCTAAATTTCCGGAAAAACATTACGTGTCTTTTAAATGAAAGACATGTGATACAAGTTCTAGGATACTTGTATGCCAATAAAGGTCCAACTCATAGAGAAAAGTACAGCGTAGCCAAGGACAAGAGCTGTCTAGTAAACCCGTTTCTGCCCCATTACCAAAACTCACTTTTGATGGTAATGGTTGAAGGGGTGGGGTGTAAGGTGTCACCAAACCAACATAATATCCCTGGAGCTCCCTGGAAACTCAAATATACTACACAGAATCCCGTGTGTTTTGTGACATGTAACCACATGTGCCCATAACAGAGGAAACAGCTAATGGCAAACTCCCATAACGAATGTTTAATCTGCAGTTTTTGGCAAGAAGCTGGGTATTTGGTTGCCAACAGCTGCATTACATGAATTTTGAGAGGTTGAGATGGAGTTTATGGTTATGACACAGCTCTAGAGATAGGGGCATTAATAATACATTGAAAATAATACTAATCAAAACAATAATAATTCAATAATTTCTAAAAGTCACAAGAAGGGAGAAGAAATTACATTGGAGATGGTCTCACTTTCCCTGAGATCTACCTGGGCTTTTTCCACCAATGCTTTTAGGATAGCCTTCTTGGAAATTGGCCACAGTACTTTGATAAATGCTTTCAGCCGTCCAGATCCAGCTTGGCTCCTACCACCACAGCTTTTAAAAGTCCTCCTCAATTCCAGCAAGTCAGCTTGGCCCAGGCCTCAGGGGCAAGTGTGTTCTGAGGGGTAATCAGCTCGCCATATACATATATATATATACACACACATACATATACATATATATATACATATATATATGTATATATATATGTATATATATATGATCCAGTTTATTAGGTCAGGTTCTAGTTGGGGTTTTATCTCCTGGGGCCTCAGCCCATCAACCCCAGGCATCAGTTTTCTTCTTTACCCACTTATTTTGCCTTTGAGAGTATTGTTCATCTTTTTCCATATTCAGGATATAAACCCAGGATTCAGCTTTCCTTCTTTTATGTCAGTCAAGATATCTAACTAGAATAAGCTGCTGTGCATCCTTTTCTGATTTACTTCCTTCAGATCTGAACTTTCTCGATGGGCACTAACACTTGCAGGAAGTGGTGGGGTGAGAGAGGAGGTAGGAGAGCAACAGAGGTGGGGAGTCATTGATTTCTTTTAAAACCTAACAGAATTTAGGACATCCTAGGATTTCAGCACTTTTGGATCTTCACTGCGTATTGATGCTTCTTCACATCTTCTTGATGGGGATGAGGAGCAGTGCCTGTGGGTGAGGTGTAGGGCGGGGATCAGGAGGAATAATGAGGGTTAACAAGGCTATTACAGATTCAAGTCTCAGCCTCTCTGAAAAACTTTCTCCTCTAGTAATTGAGATGTGTTGGAGCAAACTTGATCATTCCTCTGGCACCATGGGATCCTAACAGAGAGGGGGAAGCTATTTTGTGAAGATAAAGATGACTGATGCTACCATTTGAAGTGACATCTAATATTATTCCTGCGACCAGTTTGTTGTTGTTGTTAGGTGGCAGCTCTCCCAAACAGTGATTTGGGATATTTTTAAAGTATTTTTTTTTTAGTTCCCATTTAGAGCCTAGAATTAAAATAATCAAAGAAGTTAAAATTATTAGAAAGTCCATTGAAATGAGTATTTGACCCTCCCCCACCCCCAAAGTAGTGCTTTATTAGAAAGTAAAATTCAGATAAAGGATTCGCAGGTTAAGGCATCTTGACTCATTTTACTAAAAAAGAAAAAAAAAACCTCACAGACTAAAAGCTGCTTTTAAAGCCAGTCATCCCTTTGAAAATATGTTTTGGGAAATGAAAAAAATATTTACATATGCAGCATTAAAGCAGTGGTAGAATAAATGTATAGACCACTCTAGTTTCTTCTGATTTCGACTTATTGAGAGAAATGTCACACTTACATACTAATAGTGGGAATGTCAAGATAGGATTGCTAGGATTTTAGTCTTAGCACTTCCTTTTTGCAGTGAGAGTTTGAGGCTTATTGTAAGTAGAGCAAGGAAAAAAATGTGTGCTGAATCAGGCGAACTATGCCAAATGTAGAAGAGCAATGGTCTGAAGAGGGGAGGAGCTGGTGGAGAGAAACTTTCATGAAAAAGTACTAAAATAATTGAATGTCATGTAGCATGGCAAGATGCCAGGTGGCCTCGTGTTTTTGTGTGCTCTGCTGCTGTTTTCCCTCCCTGCCTTCATCTTCAGCCTTCCCACAGCTCTGCAGACATAACAGATACTGAAATATATTTTGCATCAAAGCAGCTCAAGAGGTTTTCATCAAAATAAAAATATTTGGACACACAAAGAAATATTTAGGCTTTTCTTTAAAATATATGCCCAATCCACCATCATCTACTCCAGAAAACACACCTACAGACAAAAGTGTAACTTTGTGAGATTTTTGAAGTTTCTGCCTTTAAAAAAAATTACACAGATGTTAATCAATGTTGTAAGTCTTTAAAGTATGCTGCTGCAAAGCTGTCCAGTATGATGAATTAAATTTTTACACTTATTGTAATAATATTATTAAATGTTTTGGTGTTTCATAAACTTCTGTTTTTTCAAAAAGTGATACTTGTTTCTGAATACCAATGTGTTTCAATAATAGTTTTTCACACAGTTGTGTTTTCTTAAAAGAGAGAGAAATAAACTTCTGTTCTCCTAAAGGATCCAATTTAAATGTAAAAATACAGTATGACTCCTTGACCTTGGTGCAAATATCTTGATTTATCTAGCATATGTGTGCACATTACAATAGACATTGTTTGCTTTTACTATAAAATGTATTTTATTCCAAACTTTAAAAATAATTTATCTGCAATAATCTAGTCACCTTTATTTCTTTCTATGGCTGTCGTCATTTTTCCAGGAAGTTCTGAACATAATAAAGACCGTTAACGCTAGACTTCCTCTATGACACATATAGAAGTGCATAAGTAAGTTAAACTGTATTCAATTCATAGACTGGTATTTCACTATTAAACTATTAATCATGTCTCTAAAACGTTTTTCCACTATTTTGTTTGATAAGTGAATTGTTAAACTTCTACTCGATATATTTAAATACATTTTTTTCCTGCTGAGTTACTAGGTATGTCTGAAAGACAGGGCTGCTTATTTTCAAAAAGATGTGCGTGCGTATTCACTCCTTGAGCTTTCCCATTTCAGGGAAAGACTTCCTTAAAGAAAAATCTCAGTAAAGATAACTGAGACAAAATCATGGATATTTCTCCTTTGGACTGGAATTATGCAACGTAAATGTGAAGTCCGTGGTCATTAATCAAACCCGACCAGAGTATAGCCAATATACAAAATCAAAGAGAGTCGAAGGAGTGAAGTAGATTGGCCTCCCGTAAGTTCTCCACCTACTGTGCCCCTTCCGTGCCCATTGATACCTTTTATATCAGGACAAGAGGCTAGGGTTTGGACCCCAAGGTGTTGAGCTTAGAATGCATCTCATTGTGGCCATGAAAACGTCTCGAAATCTAGCTTATCCTCTGTCATGGTGTTTTATAAGTTCAACAGAAAGAGGAAAAACACAAACACATTTATTACATCAAGGATTATTCAGAGAGAAAAAAAGAGGGAGGAGAGAGCGCCAGCCCCTTTATTTCGAAAATCATCAAAGAACTTTAGAGAAAGGTAAAGATTAATATTCACTCCTTTTTTCCTCCCAACCTGTCTTGCCTATCCCGAGCAACACAGATTTCTGAAGCGAATTTTGATGAGTTTTAAATACTATCTGTCGTAATGAGAGTTTCGGAACAAAAAGCTCTCTGTGGCTCGCAAAAGGGAAGCCGAGCTTGTGGGACACCCCTCCTAGGGGTGCAGGACCAAGGGCTGCAAGCGGTGTCCCCGATCGCGCTGAACCACTTCCCAAAGCCTGCGCCCTCGCCCAGAGACAGCTGTAGACAGACATCTCGTTAGCCCTTTCTGATCAGGAACTGTGAACAGGTTGTGTGCGCAGCAAATTTTTGGAGGCAAATTGGTGCACCCCATTGCCTGGGTGGACCGCCGCTTGGTGCGCACCTCGGTGAAGGACCACCTTCCTGGCTCCCGGCCTGGAGGGAGCCATGAGCGACTGCCGTGCGGGACGTCTGGAATGAGGACCGGCTCTCCACTTCAACCAAGTGGGCGAAGTCCCTTACAATCAAGAACAACTCTGTGGTTAAACGCGCATAGGTGGAGGAGTCTCTATTCTGAGCAAAGAGAATGAAGTTTCGCTTCTCATGGAAACTTAAAAGAGCCTCGACGACGAATATGGAAAGGAGTTAGTGGTTAACCGATTTGATGCTAACATTTCATCAGTTGTGTTTTCACCCCTTTAAAGTTTAACCCTTGGAAAAACAGCATATTTTAAGCTTTCCCTCCAAATATTGATGTTGGCAGATGGATCATCTAGCCGTCCCTTGGTAAGGACAGTGCCCTTTTTGTTTCACATGTTGGCAATCAGAATTAATCCATATCACAAAATGCGGCAGATTTCGACTTTAGTCAAGAGACATGTAACTCTCTGACAGTAAAAAGAGCACGCCTGCACACACACACAAACTTGGGGGGACAAATTGGGGGTGGGGGGAGCGCCCGAAAGTAGCTCATACCTCACTTTTAACTACCTGTCCTCAACAAGTAATGATCCACTCCCCCGATTTAAAAAAAAAAAAAAAAAGCCAGGTTTCAGCCTGACTGCCAATATTTTCAATGCCAGGCCACGGTAATGTCTCTTCTTAAGATCTTGTTCCACACAGTAAAAAATTCTTAACCTTTACTGGATATTTTATGTCCTTTTTATTAAACAAAGTTGATGCATTACCTCTAGCAGGGTGGCGCCCTGGGCATCCGAAGACCTCTGTTGAAAAGCCTCAGAGACCTCATGGGATTACATCATCTTTCAGTTTCCAACATCAGATGCCCCCAAATGGACCCTCGTTATAAAATCCTAAAAAAATTAAACACTTTCTTACCTTCACACTTGCTCTCTCAGTTCACAAAACTTCATGAACGCACAATTTATTAATACAGTTCAAATATAATAAGCAATTAAAATGTTTCCTGCCATTCCACTAAACAAGTATTTTTAAGTTACCAAAAGAAAAAAAAAAGGCTTTAAAGAATACATTTATTTCCATTTCTTTGTGAGGTTTCAAACACTTTTTGCAATATTAAAATTACTATAAACTAAGTATTTAAAAAGGACTTGTTTTGGGTTCATTTCTGATTAATATTCTTGAAATTTTTTATTTTACACTGTATTTGATTCATATATGCTATTTTTGGGGAGAGGTACACAGCCACTCTTTTGCCACATTAGGAATTGCTTAATAATTGAATTGAGTTGAATTAAGCAAAATCTAAATAACCAATTACTCTGTTTTGAGTAGAAATGCCCTTTAATCTTGCATTCTTTTTTAGGTTAATAAAACTTTGAATATTTAGCTTAAAACTTAAAAAGAAACATAAATATTGGCAAATAAACTAAAGAAACTTTACTAATTTTTGCTTTTATGAAATAAAGTAGATCTATATGTACTGTTTCATTTAAGGTATATTAGCTTCTTTGGGCATCTCTAACTACTGGATCACAGTTGAGGCAAACCATATAGGATATAAAAGTGTCTCTATGGTACGTCATGCAACTATTTAGTTCTAGAGGTGAACACCATGGAATCCTGTAAATCACTTTAAAAAATTTCTTCAGGTATCATCCATTAAAGGTGTACCTTTATCCAATATTTTCACCAAAAACTTAAATATATATATTTTGTACTTACTGTGTTTTACAAATTATGCATTCCTAGGTTGGCCATCTAAATCTTTAGAATACCACAACAATTGGGATGCAGATATTTTGGGCAAAGGTAGCATGATAGGATTAAATTAATGGATGCAAACCCAAAATTGCAAATTAAAGTTAAAAAATATAGAGAAGAAAAACAAAGCTTATGGGGTTCAAACAATAAAGCTCTGAGGATATTTTTGAGTCTACAGCATGACTTAGTTGCTAAGGAAGCTTAAAAAATTAGCTTATATTACATTAACAGAAATGAAGCAGTCACACATCAAGGAAGACCAGATCTTCAAAATACACTGAAATACGAAGAAATCTAGAGAATTAAGAAGAGCTCTGGAAACTATTTTTATAGAGAAAGAATAATAATATGAAGCTATTTTGTGTACTGTGGCTGAGGCAAAAAGGATTTGTAAACCACATCATATTAAAGCATGGTTGTAAGAAAGACTTAGTGAATTTTAGCTAAGACATAAGAAAGAGTGATTAAATTTGTTCAGTTTTGCCCCAGTGGTGGAACTAAGTGGATTGACTTGAGTTAGAATTTTTTTTTTCATGTAAAAGACTAACTTTCTAACATTGAAAATTCCCTATAACTAAAGTGGCTGATTCTCAAAATTTCACATTCAGTTGCACTGAACAACGTGTGTTACAGGGTTAAACCTGTCATGCAAGTCTCTTTCAAATCAAAGCTTCCAAATGACATCTTTAATGCTCACAATAGTTTACATATCTGAAGTTTGTTCACAAATATGTTATAGTACTACTATTTCTTAAATTAGGATTAATTTTCTCTAAGAGGAAGAAAATAACTTCTTATATTTTGCCTTAAGCTGAAATTAAAGACTAAACTTAGAACACGAGTGTCTTCCGTCAAATAACTATTGTATCATTCTAGCCTATGTTTTCATTATACAGATAAGCAAGTTTGGCTAACTGGTTACACACTTGTATCATAATTTGTATTTATGCATATCTATTTCATCTATAACACCAAAAATGTAATAATGTAGAGACTACTTTCAGACTCACTGGGGTTACGTCCAGCTCTACCACTCGCTGGCTGTGGGATGCTGAGATTCTGATTCAATGTTATCTTCTATCAAATGAAGGCTATTTATCTCCAAGGGTAGGAGTAAATATAAAGAAAGTTAATGTATCTAAAGCATTTAGAACAGTGCCTGGTCATAAAATAAGCACTATGTGTTTGTTGTTGTTATATATTTTAAAATTCAGATTGTGAGATCATTTACTAAGGATTATGGACATAGAAAAAATAATTAACAAATGGTGCTGTGCAATGAAAAGTGACTTAAAAAGCAGAAACAGATTCAACTATTTACATTAAGAATATGAAGTATATAATTATGATTGTTAGAAGATGGAAAGAAAGAAAATGGATCACATACGAGAAATAAATTTCTGTGAAGTTGCTAGGTCCTGGGGTGTGTGTACTGCATTAAGGTAAGTGTGTTTACCCCAAAGTACTATTCAGGTAGGCTATAAACATAGGTATTGCCTCTAACATAAATTTTCCATGATTTTTGTGACTCAGGAGATGGGGATCCTACTCCTAACTCTGTCATTAACAATCTGTATAACCTAAAACAAGTACAGTTACCTTTTAAAATCTCAGCTTCTCCTGTTAAAATATTCCAATTGTAAGACTATGTATTTTTAAAAGTTTATTAGAAATATAATTCTTATTGATTAAACTATATGGTCTCTAAGATGCTGCTATGAGTGGACATGATCCTCCAAAATTCATTATGGTGAAACTCTAATCCTCCATGTGATGGTACTTGGAGATGGGGCCTTTAGGAGGTAATAACGTTAGATTAGGTCATGAAGGTGGGGTCCTCATGATGGGATTAATCACCTTGAAAGGGGATGAAGAGATACAAGATCTTTCTCCCAGATATGTGAAGATATAGTAAGAAGACGGCTTTCTTTAACCAAGAGGAAGGCCCTAATCAAGAACCCACGAATACTGACACCCTGATCTCAGAATTCCAGCCTCCAGAACTGTGAAAAATAAATATTTGTTATTTAAGCCATCAAGTCTATGGTATTCTGTAACAGGAGCCTGAGCTGTCTAAGATAGAAAGGCATTCCAATTCTTTGATTCTAATGTATTCCAGATAAATAATCTTAGAAATTCTAGCTTTTTCCAGCCAATACTAGACTTAGAGGACTCATCATAGTGCTCCTGAAGGCCTCAAGGAACTCAATCCCTTGAGTAGATTAGCTTGTTCAGGAAATCACTGTCTATATCAATATTCTTGTGAGGAAAGTATTTACAAATGGTTCTACCAATGTCTATACTTGGAAGCAGATTCACTGAGATTTAAGAGGAATCAGCATATGTAAAATCAACTATCAACAGAATGAAATGCCAATACCTCTGTAGATCAAGTTTTCTTGCACTTAATAATACTTATAAATTGATATACCCATTAAGTAGAGACTTCAGTGTAGGTAACTTGATTGTTATCGCTTCATATTTGAATTAAATTACCATTTCCCCTAACCATGTCTAATTTTATTTCAAAATACACCAATAATTATTGGAATGAACATTATCTGAGAATACTATTGCCTTCCTATTTTGAAAACCATCACGTAGCAGTTTTCCACCTAGAGATTATACAAATACCCTGAAGCCTATAGATTGGACAGGTATCAGGGTAGTTGATCCAATCCTGTTTCCCACTCACATTTTCCACTAATTTCCGGTATCTCACCAAACTATCTCAGTTCTGTCCAATAATCCAGTCCTTGGTTTGTTCTACTCTCCATTACCTGGATACATTATTGTGATCTGTCTCCAGGTATTTATTTAGGCTGTATTCTTCACTTAAAATGCTTTCGTTAATTCATCCTTCAATGTCAGTTAAATAGAATCTGGAAACACCTGCTCCCTGCCCATTATGATTAGAAACCAATCCTTCCTACCTCCAAAACATTTTTTTAATCCCCTTTAGGATACTAAACTATAAGTTCCTTATAGCGTTGTTTATTGGATCTAGGTCAATACTTTAAAAATAGTTTATGAAGGTAAGAAAACAAAAAAGTTTTTTATTCTCAATAGAAAATATAATTGCACAGTTTAAACACTGAATAAGATTAACAACGAAACAAAACAAAGTGGTGGATATCCTTCTCTTTGTCTCCCTAGAAAGACAACTAGCCAATATTTCCTTTAAAGGGAAAGGGATGAAAATGTAGCTACATAGTTACAGATGTTAATAATCTAAAACCACCTTATTTTATGTATTTTATTTTTCTTTAGGACATATAATTTAAGGGGCTAATACAGCTAAAATTTTCTCCTGTAGGACAATGTCCTCATAATTCTATTTAATAAAAGGTATATATTAAATTATTCTACCAATTTATTTTACAGAGAATATGGGTCACTCTAATCAATTATCTGGCATCCACTTTGGGATCCTGGTGGTGGAAACATTTTCTGGGTGTATTTTTGAGTATAGAGCATTGCATAAGGAGTCCTGGTGTTGACATTCCCACCTATTTTCTAGAAATGCGTCTTGTACTTGCCATGTGAAAAAATAAGTTAACATGCTATTAGAAATTTATACCTTTTACATTTCCAAAGATTCTACACACTTACAATGGAAGAGGCTTAAGATTTATGTATTTGAAACATTGAGTTCTACTTCCATTTCAAGACAAATCTAGAGGAATCAGGTCTCAAAGTATTTTTTTGAAAAATTTCCCATCATTTCATGGAAATATTTCCCATCATTTCATGGAAATATTTCCTAAATATGGTATGTCGAATTGATCCAATTTTAATCTGCTTAGAGTATTTTTGGTTTAATTTTGGAATATTGTTCTGGAAAGGTTTACTGTATCAAGTTGGTATTTGCTGAATGTTTATGAAAATCAAGATATTAGGCCAGGGGCTTCTCATTATACTTTCTCACTTGACGCTATTGAGTTATACATTAATCTGAACTTAATGGTAAGGAAACAGGCTCAGAGAGTTTGTCACTTGTTCAAGATGCCCATCAGAGCAAGGATTGGAACACAGCACAATCAGATTACAAAAAAACAAAAGTTCTTTTAACTTTCTTCCATATGTCTCACACCAAAATATGTGCTTAGCAGAACAAAATTGTTGTGCTTATTTCTTACTTTGTCTATGTATCACACTGAGTTATTCTAAGCACTGGTTTTATTTTGAAGTTAACAGAAAATCCATGGTTGGATCAAATTTGAATAATGTGGAGAAAGATGAGAAGGAGATTCACCCTTACTAAGTCTCCTTGTAATTTTCCACTGATACATGAGCTTTGGTAGAGAACTCTTGAATCCAATAACTTTGGGAGAAAACCTCACATCCATATGAAAGTTTAAAGTATTAATTTAGCATTTATTATTTTATTTGTAACATGTATTAACATTTACAAATAGCTACATACTTATAGATGTTAATCTAAAATTACTTTATTTTATGCATCTTTGTTTCTTTAAGACATGTAATTTTAGGGGCTAATATGGCTAAAATTTTCTCGTGTAAGACAATGTCCTCATAATTCCATTAAATAAAAGGTATCTGTTGGATATATTAGATTAAATAAAATACAGTATTAAATTAAGTTTACCAATTTATTTTTACATTTCTAATGTGACTTAAAAATGTAAAATTACATACATGGCTCACATCATACTTACATTGGACAATGCTGATCTAGATCTATCCTTTGGGGGTCATAAAAATAGTTTGAAAGTTTCTATTATAGCGTTTGTGGGAGAAAATTACTTTTCAGACGTATTTATTTTAAAAAATAGTTTTACATTTACTCATCTGGTTATCACTGGCAGCTGCATTCAGGCCTCCACAAGGAAATTATGAACTTGAAGTGCTTTCTCACCTCTGCTCTTGCAATATAAATGTGGTTATAACAACACTTCCTAAAATGTAGGAGTGCTATGCAGATTATATTCATCACTAATGGCAAATATAACCATGAAATGTAAGGAGAACTTTTCCTGTTGCATTATTAATTGAATTGGCTCACTTTTCTCAAAAGCTTCAAAGAATCTTCCTGTAGCACCTTGGCTTGTTATTGCCTTACAGCAAAGACTACTAGCAAGTAAGTTCTCACTCACTCTAACCTCCCACTGCTACAGCAGACATTGGCAGTTGTGACACTCTTCCATGCTGCCTTATGCATTGTTCTGTACTGAAATCTAATGAAGCCTCATGATCCTTTCCTACAGGTGGCTATTCCAGATCCACTAGAGAGGGCTCTCGAAACTTACTTGCTCCCTTGCTCTGAAGTGCTGACAGGGATGTGAATTATAGAGAAGTCACATGAAGCGTTTCAGTTTAACTTTTGGTTTGGGTAAAATTCTGGTTCCCAGTAATGTAGATGATCTGCATATTTGAAAAGGAAGTGTGAGTGGTTGTCAGGAAGTGCCACATAAAACATAATCATATGATTCTTGGAAGTTATAAATGCATTATACTTGTTTTTATCTTTCAAATATATTCACTTACGCGACTGCTGTTGGCTCTTATATTTTGTGTCTTTTAGATTAAAACTGGATTTATGATCCAACAGGATGTCAAATATAATATGGCTCTCATTACAAGAATCCATCCATATCACAGTGCAAATTGTGCTATTTGAATAATTAATAACTCTATCTATGTAAAACCTGATATGAAATAGATTACAAGTCAGGGGCTAATCCTATTTCTTACAACAAGTATTTTAATAACATAAAAGACTTTATCCTGACTTTGTAAGATGGTCTTTGATTAAAAACAAATAAGTACAGGAAATCAAGGGTTAAATTCAATTATGCCACTTTAAGGTCTAGAACCACAATGGAGGGTTATTTCCACTTTTTATTTCATAATATTCACTATGTTTAGCAGAATCCAAGTTCTCTTGTTTTATAAACTAGGATTTGTGTGCCCTGTTTTGTGTAGTCTCTGTGTCTCCTAATATCTTACCAATTATTTTCTGCATAAAACACCCTTTCTATATTATTTTACACAACAGTTTCAAGGTTAGTGTCGTCCAACAGAAATATGTTAACTGTATATAAAATTTGAATTTTTTAGTACTTACATTGAAAAAATTAAAAAGAAACAAGATATTATTATTTTAATTAATATAACATTATTGGGCAATTCTGTATTTTTATATGAAATCTCTGAAATCTGATATGAATTTTACACTTACACTTTATCTCAGCTGAGATTAGCCATATTTTAAGTACACCCTAATCACAATTGTCTAGTGGCTAATGTGTTGCACAGCAAGGTCTAGATTATGGTTCTTTCAGTGCTCGGAAAGGGCCTTTCTCTGAATTTCACAATAATTAGAGCAGAACAACTCCATCTAGGTAAGTAAAAATATCATGGCAGATAATAGATTTCATTGTATACTGAAAAGAAGAATAGAATTACATCTCATATTAGTGACTAGTTAGAAATTAGATTTGACAAATGCAATTCCATAGACCCCTTAGGGGTCTTCTTCCCCTAAATTAAAATATATTAATTATAACTCATTTTGCTCTCAGTGCAGTCATAAAAGCCATAAATCCAGATGATGAATAATTAGCTACATGATAAATAATAATGAATACTACTTTAAGGACATCACTATGTTTCTCTTTCCTAGGAAACCTATTACAGCTACTTGTATTATAGCACACTAGAGTAAAATATAATCAAAATATATCATAAATGTTTAATGTTATTTGTCTAAACTTCATGTCAGTATTACACAGACACAGTATTACACATGTCAGTATATACACAAATATATTGTTGGTGGATTGGACCTTGGGACGGGGCTATCTCCATAAACCAACGTAGTTGATTCTCATCAAAATATTCTGAAATCTCCAAACACCCCCTACCTAGCACTTCTACCAAGCTTTTTGTGATTAGCTATTCATTTTACCATTCTTACTAGCTAGAAGGCAGTGATGATAAGTGTTACATCAGTGGGATGGGGTATTTACAGAAAGGTGAGAATTAAATCTGTAAGGGGTTGGGGATAGGATATAGAGCACAGGAGAGGACAAAAAGTCATTGTGGGTCACATGTTTGAATAGTAACATTGCCTAGGTCCATCACTGTTAGTCCAAAATTCAGTGCCAACTAAGTGAAGAGAAAGGCTCATATTTTTACCTCCCTGAATCTTAAAAACAAATATTAGTTAAAATGTTGACTCAAGGAAACAGGAGAAAGACTATTTCTTGGTTTGATTTCTTTCATGTTTTATCCAATTTTTAAAATTTCAGTTTAACTTTTCTATTTCCATCAACATGAATTAAGTAGTGCTACAAAATGATAAGTTTGAGCATTGAAAGAATTTTTTAAAGATAATAATGTCAAGGCTGAACACAATAAACAGCACTATAAAAAAACTTCCAGTTTCACACCATAATTAGGAAAGTATTTTATTGACATATATATCAATCATTACCTACAAATTTAGGAGCATCAGCACCATTCATCATCCTCAAAGTTAATATTATGAAACAATTACACAGGTTACAGAATAAGGAAATTATAGATTAAAGCTGATCTTGATGTAGTTCCAACTATACATGGAGTGGAAATTCTAGGACACCACATATGAATCTACATCTTCTTTATTGATTGACAGCTGAAGTCTCATTAACGTTTCTATCTCAATCAAGTTAAAAGAGATTTATAGGTTTGCAATGCAATAGGGATCCAAAAGTAGATGGGGGATACAAATTAATACAAGTATCTCTACATCACTTCAGTTATCTCTAGATGAAATATTTTAATAAAATACAGGAAAAACAAAAAAATACTAAAGTTCACTGGATGCTATTATTGAGCAACACAGCTGTGGAAAGTAACTGAAATACTATGAATTTAGCTTTATGAAAAAAGTTCCAGACTCGGGAGAGTAACAGCTCAATGAGAACTAAGTGTAAACACAGCATTTTGTAAATTTACTAAGATAGGGTAGAACATTAATCACACAACAGTAAGACTTTAATAAAATGGGTCTGTAATTTTAGAAAATAGGTTAATATTACAAAATGGTAAGTTGAACTTTGAAAAAGTACTTTTAAATGACAATTTTAAGGTACCTTAATGAAAAATTAAAATGATAAAGTATTTCTTGAATTAGTATAATAATGTAAATGAACCAAAATTAGCATCTACCTCTATAAATAAGGGTAATAAACATCTGACGTTACAGATAAAATATCCAATTATCCAATTGGTAATTACTTAAATTTCTATTTTAATTTAAACTGACTATACATTTTATCATTACTCTCTAATCTATTTAAGATAATTTAAAATTAAAAAATAAAGGCCTTTGTCACTGTTTATTTTCAGTTATTCCATGTATTAATTTATCTTTGAAATACTCAAGTACGATAATCTAATAAAGTTTATTAATATATTAATCATTATTGCTACATTAAACAGCATCAGTAAGACAGTTACATTCTCTTTTATGTGTATAGCATTAATATTTATTATTGGTAACAAAAGCTATCTGGAATACATGTGTCATAAAAATTAAAACTAAAAAAACTGGATATGCAAGTTCCATTACAATATCTTAAGAATTTTCTGGAGGCCATTCCACATGAACACAGGAAGAAATGCAAAACTACATTTTATAGAAGAGAAATAAGATAGCTCCACTAGAAAACAAACTTGTGAAATACGTATAATAAACCAAATTAAATATAGGAGTCTAAAACCTTGTATCCAGTTGGTAACATGACTAGATATCCAGACTTCATGAAACAGTTTGCCACATGTTTTGAATGCTGAAGCCTTAAGGATTAGTTGGAAATGTTCGCCTTCTTTTTGCCACTTCCCCATCCACCACTGAGTTGTACAGGATTGTCTCGGAATGATATACGTTCTTTTTTAGAAGGTCTTGTATTTGTTATTATTGGCGATATTGGTATTCCCTTAACTGAACAACCTAGACAGTGATATTAAATATACACTTTCACTGAATATGAACCAAATACATTATATTTTAAAGTAAGAAATATATTTAAGTCAAAAACATGCAGTTGAAAAGTCTATGATCTTGGAGTTTAACAGACGTATCTTTGTTGAGCTTATTTTTGTTTACAAAGTAATACTGTATAATCAAGATTGGTATAAAATGTGTTTAGGTTAAATAGAGGGAGGGTACTAAAAATATTAAATAGATATAATGGTTTCCTTCTATCAACAGATTCAAATATCGTTGGTGTTTCACAACTATAAAATGATAAATCTTCTTAGTTTTAAGGTACTTATATTTGTTTATATTTTCATAGTTTAAATTGCTATAATTATTTATATTATTATAATAAAACATGTTAACATTTGTCTTATAAATAGTCCGGTTGAATGAAGGTCTTTTTCAGAAAAAGGAGTTTTTGGTAAAGTGGAAAGTACATTAGATCTAGAATATCAAGATATTCATGAATTTTACTTTGGCTACCTAAAATAGAGCTTTGTGACTCTGGACAGGTAACAGTCTTTCTGAGTATCAGTTTTATAAATGAGAGAAATAATATATGCACATCAGGATTATTGTGAAGACTGCCTTTCTGATTATGTTGTAAGTGGTAGTAAGATCAGTGAGACTGCTTTGTACACAGGGGCCATAAAATGGAAGAAATTATTATTTATATATAATAAAAACTTTGAGAGGTTAAAAACAATAGTCCTAGTCCTAAGAATAGTTCGTGGATTCAGAATGTTTACTCAGTAAGACCCCAGGATGCCATATCAAGAATACTATTAAAGAATTATGGCCTGGCGCAGTGGCTTACGCCTGTAATCCCAGCACTGGGAGACCAAGGCTGGCGGATCACTTGAGGTCAGGAGTTCGAGACCAGCCTGACCAACATGGCGAAACCCTGTCTCTATCAAAAACACAAAATTAGCCGGGCGTGGTGGCGCATGCCTGTAATCCCAGCTACTCGGAAGGCTGAGGCAGGGTAATCGCTTGAACCTGGGAGGCGGAGGGTTGCGGTGAGCCGAGATCGTGCCATTGCACTCCAGCCTGGACAACAAGAGCCAAACTCCGTCTCAAAAATAAATAAATAAATAAATAAATAAATAAATAAATAAAATAAACAAAAAAATAAAAATTATGATCCTCTGCTTTAAATCCCCTTAGGATTAAGCAAGAGCACAGGGCTGTATCTGTGGGGAAAGGGTTTGGAAGTAGCAGAGTGAGGCATTCCAGGGCTTCCTCAGTACTGGCTTGAGGCAAAGGTTGAAACTACATGATTCTCCATTGTGATGCTTTCGTGCTTAAGTAAGGTTAGAGAAAAAAAAAATAGAATGTTTTTTGAGATTAATACTTTTCCAACTAAAATTTTAAATATTTAAAAAATATAAATTCAAATAGAAGAGTCAGCAAACATTAGGCCATTTGAGGAAATTGGTCTGTAATTTCAAATTTGATGCAACATGATGGTGAATATTGATTGTAAATGTTCATTTTATGTTTAAAAGCTCTTTAAATACAGAGTACTGAATTTTGGTTTTTAATCTTAAAATTATGATTAGCAAAACAAATTCAAAGGAGTTAATGAACCTCCATACAGGGAATATATTTTACTTTTATTCCACCAAGAGAACAGCACTAAAAAGCAGGGATAAAGTTAAAGGCTAATGATTAAGTACAGGACATGCAGGATACAATAAAGACTAATGCTCATGTCTACAGACACTAGTCTGTAACGGAGCTAGAGACAGATCATGGCTCAGGAATTTAGAGACCTTCATGGTTGGCACTTGTGAAGGCAAATCTCAGTAGAGAGACTAACAACTGAGAGAGATGCCAACTGAAGTTGACTTCCACGTGTTAGCCAGATTCATTCTACGCTGAGCTACTCTCTATGAATCAGTCAGTAGTCCTTCAAGAAAGGGCAAGAACTCTTTCAAGCAACAGAAATATTACTAAGCATAGAAGCAAGAGTTTCTTAGATGATAAACTATTGGCCTAAAATGCATTAAGAAAGTGTCTTAAAAACCTATCCTCCTTCTACTTACTATTTATACATTGGAAACCTATAGCTTGATATTTTTTCCCAGATAACAGAATGGAATGTCTACTTTGGTCCATTTTAAAAAACAATAAAAGTAATAGTAAACCCTCATCTTGCCTCAGCAGTAAAAATTGTTTGTAAATATAACTGTTGCCTGGATACCGAATATTTATTTATGAGAATACATTAAATAGGGAGAATGCTGGGGCCACCGGTGGAGGTAGAGGGAGAAGGGTGTCTGAGTAATGAACTAATGAAGTAACTTTACAATTTTGATATATTTATTTAAGATAAAAAAGAGATTAATAAAACAGTAAGCAGATTTTCACAAATGACTAATACATTTTGTTCCACTACAGTAAGCTAAGTCAAGTGCCTTCCAAGCATTATTCAAGGTAATAAGTAGAAGTAAGTATGTATTTTAAAATTTAATTCAATAATATAATTTCTCGTTAGTTAATATTCTTGATAAAACTATCTTAGTATAAAGATGTCTTCAGGGTTTTCTTCATTTTATTTATTTTTTGATACAGTGTTTCATAGTCACCCAGGCTGGAGTGCAGTGTATGAATTGAATCTCAGCTCACCAAAGCCTCCACATGCTGGGCTCAAGTGATCCTCTCATCTCAACTCAGCCTTCCCAGAAGCCGGGACTAAAGGCATGCAAAGGGTTTTATTCTTAATATAAGCTTTTTTTTTTTTTTTTTTTTTAACCAACATGAAAAGTAACATGTAAGGAGGGTAGTACTTTTTGTATAAAGTATTGAAACACATATAGATAATTTCATATGCTTCTAAAATATTTCAAAATGAAATAGACTGAATTGCATTAAAGCCCAGCTTTTCTTTAGATCAAACTTTTATTCTTAACAGTGTTTCTACATTTTAAGGGACTTTTCTATTGACAGAAATTTACCATATGGTACATTTCCCCCCAATATTATTATGTTGTATTTGAAGCTGCTGATGAATCTTTAAATCTTTTTGTACTTACTCACAACGTAAACCTATATTTTAAAAACAGTTTGTAAACTTTCCATTGCTTGGTATAATTCCTTAAGCAAATAATAATTACAATTTAAAAAGCACATTGTGTAATATTACAAGACAGCTTTATAGCAGTTTTGAAGTGGAATGAAAATGCTATAGAAAATGAGTCTTTAACAAACACTTAAGTGAATATATAATGTTTTGTCAAAACAATATTTTAGGTGTGATTAAAAGCTTGAGTTGTATTGTTCTGCTATGTGTAAAGTAACAATTTGAGCAGTAATCTATATAGCTTATTCTCTCATTGCATTTAGTGAGAGTTTTTTGTTATCATATAAATTCCCAAATCACTACATATATAGAGAATAAATTGAGGAGCAAAATAACACATCTCTGAGAGAATCACATATTGGCATTCATTGCAAAGTCATTACTTTGTCCTATGATTACTCCAGAAATGAAAAAACATAAAAAGAAGCAATTTAATATGGTCAATGTATAATCATACTAAAATTACCCATATGAAAATAAAATAGCAAGAGACTCTGGCCTCAAAATATTGATATTGGAGCTAAACCTACTGATGGACTCCTAGAACAAAAATATGTACGACTAACAAATCTTTGACAATTGTTTTCCCTTTTCTGCAACATTATTGTTATAGATTTTATGTTTAACAACAATCTGCTGCTTATTTGCAGGTGAGCATATAAATCAACTCATCAATTGCTTATACAAGTGCTGAAACTATGTCTTGATGATTATGCTCTATTTTTCAAGAAGTCACTTCTTTGCTACATAATCTGTGTTCTGCTCAAGATTTGTTCTGGTCCTTTAAATATTTTATTGTTAAATCCTTGGTTCTTTAAAAAATGTCAAGGTCTATATATATGTTGTGTTTTGATAAGTAATTTAATATGTAAAATGATTTGAATGACTCTCCTGGTATGTATAAAAAACCGTTTAACAGGTCAAAATAGGAATTTCATGATGTATAGTAATATGTCATTGAATTTTCATTGATATACCCAACATTATGTGTCTGGATATAGAAATTATTTCAAAATCCTTTCCATATTTTATTACTTAACAGCAGATACAGCATAAATAAAGCATGGAGAAAAAAAATTAAACATTTTAATGAAAGTGACCAGAACCAATTTTTAGCAGCAAAGCGTTTACATCAATTTAAGTGCTGTGAATGAGTTACGTTGCGCAAATTTGGGGTTGAGGTAGATATTACAATATTCAAATAACAGTTGCTTTGTAAGGTCACTGCTGTGTCCAAGCTTGAATTATAATAATCATTTATAGTGAACTTTAAGTAGATAAAGTCTAACACTGAAAATAAAAAATAAATATTGAACAGGTTGTTTATACCATATTTGGATTTCCTCAACGTAATATTGTGATTTTTCTTGTTTTTGAGATTGCTTTTTACCTTTTCAGTGAATAAAAGTATTTTTGTACATTATAAAAAATTAATAAAACTTTTGTTTCTCCAAATCCCAATTGAACCATGACACATTTATTCTTCTTACTCATATAAATTTAAGTGGCATATAAATACGAAAATCACTTATGTTTGGTACTCTTGATAGTCACAAAAATATCCACAGTATTTGTTACTAGCATTATTACTGGTGTTAATAATCAAAATGTTTTAAAAAAAAACATGTGAGTAACACATTTTTTTGTCTGTGTATATTTATTTTGAAAAAACAATTCAGAATGACTGTAAAAGCTAATACATATCACATTGGGTTGGGAATCTCATTTTGATAAATGCATAGTTTTTTTAACTCATGTATTTTGCCTGTTTATTTACCTTTTATAATATCTACCATGCATATTTTACATTTGAATCTCTGAGGCTGCCTTATAATATGCACTGTTTTCCCAGGTTTTATTTTTAACATACCAGTGTGTTGATTTTTTCTTAAAGATGCCATGTGGCTGTGTTTGCAAAATGATGGCTGGAATGTGGCGCTACAAATGTGGTGCTAAAAAAAAAGTCTTCACTAAATTCTGTCATTCTTACATTGTTTTCACACTTTTTTCTTGGAGGGTTTTTCAAATTCTTTGAGTGAGTGGTTTCTAGTTATAAAATCTAAAAGGGTTTTGTGATTTGTTTCAGAACTAGATTGACTTTTCCTCATGTGGCCTGTAAATTAACTAAAACCCATCTTTCCATTGATAACTACCCCATGTAATGCTGGTTATTGTGGTTTTCTGGTTTCCCACTGAAATAGTTAATACCTATTGGGTGTTTAAACTTTTAAATTGACTGGATAATCAAAAGTGTAATCCAATAAGCAGTTAAGAATGCAATTTAACAATCCATAAGCTATCTAGGTCCCACATTTTCTACTGCACACAGTTCTAAAAGGAATTCTGAAAATCAGGTCATATAAGTCCTGTTTATTTTGTTAGTTTGGGAAAGGTCTATTCCCAAACTCCACAATCATTTTTTATTTTTTAATGTCCTCTTCAGGGCTCTATTCAGTTTCATTATATTTACAACAAAGCGTCTACAAATATTTGTAATTAAAGAACAATGGCATAAGTGACGCTTATAGTTGAGAGCATCTTTTTTTATGGATCTGGATGGATATGCATGTTCCTTTGAAACCAGTCTTTATATATATATATTTATATAATATATAATTAATACATAATTATTATATAATTATATATAATCATATAAATATATAATATATATTATATATTATGTAATTATATATATTTATATAATTATATAATATAATTATATATATTTATATAATTATATAATTATATATATAATTATATAATATATATTATATGTATATATATTACATTTCAGCCTCTAATTATCTTCTCTCACCCAATATTTCCCAAATTAATTTTGCCAAAGTATATTTTTAGCAAAATAGGAATTTTAAGTAAATTCCAAAATGCTTATTATTGAGCTATTTATTTTAGAATATAAACATTTAAAACTCAAATTAGATTTTCAAGATCACTTTTAGTCTTTGAAAAATTTAATTTAAAATCTTTCTTCTATTTACATATTCATTCAACACGTATTTCTTTCAATGGAACTTTCCCGTTAATTTTCTTCTGTGAGCCACATAATGTTAGAAACTGTCATACTGTAGTTGCTTTCTATTTGACTCTATTTTCTTAATTTCATCTTTACCATCTTCATATGGAACTTGTATAAAACAAATACTTATTTCCACATTCCCAGATAGTGAAGACTTGTGAATAGATCTCCCAAAAATTTTTCATGGAAACTTTCATTATTCATTTTCATACTTATTAGTTCTTAGCAGGGAGACATTTGGCAACAATAAACATAACTAGCCTGAGGATTTATTATGTTATTTCACTCCAGTTTCATTCATTCGACAAATGCATTTCATATTTAACCATATCCATTTATTTTTGCACATTAGCTAGTGTGAAAAATTGGTTTGAAAGAAAAAAATAACAAAAATACAAGTCAAACAATTTAAGAAAGAAAATGATCATATAAATGGATAAGAACTAAAATATTACAGTTAGAAACATCATGCTTTACTGTATTATCAATAGAGCATGCATGAATCCTGTCGTCAAAAAATGTTAAATTTTTAATAAAGAATAAATGTAGCTAACATATGTACAACTAGTTCTCTTACAAAATACAGATGAAATTTGTCTTTTTCTCGATAATGTCAACTGCTGTTGAAACTAGCTACTGTCTTAGCTCCGTAAACATTATTCTGTAGTTACTAATAACTGTGATATTTAACTGTGCCTGGAATAATTGTTGACTCATTTAACTGTCTTAGAATGTTGTTACTTAGGATAGTAACAAGTTGTTAAAAGACAGTAAATCAATAACTATTATGTGTTTACTCTTCTAAAAAGTAGATTTTAAAATTAATCCATATTACATGAGTCCACTAACCATGTAAATATGCTCTTGGTGTAACAGCAATTAATTTTCATCTTCTAGGTCTAGTCAGTAGACTATTTTAAGGGTTTAAGTGTTAATGTTTTTCTGTAATTAATTGTCCGGGTTCAGGAACAAAATATCAACACCTAAAAAATTTGTGTCTTAAAGTTCCTGGCCAAAAATTTCAGTCCAAGAATCAGATTTAATGGTTTAAACAATAATTTAAAAGACTCTTAAAATATGAATTTTTACATTGCTAGAGAATAACTCTTGCTGGCCATAAAGTGATAACAATAATAAAAATAATTTCATGAGATGTGGCTATAAGTTCGTTACTGATATATTACTTCAAGTTGAATAGTTGAGATAAAAAGCAAAAGAGGATTTTAAAAGACCCAGATTTCATTATGTATGGAACAAAAAAGTTTAAATTGGCCACAGTTATTTATAAGATATTACCATTTTATTGTTTTTATATGAGGAAAAAGATAAATCTAGAGTGGGATTGAAGTTTTAATATTTTAATAGGAAATATGAAAGTCAATGTTGACTTCTCCTGTGAAACTGTGCAACAATTGACATAGATAGTGGATATCAGGCAATTATTTTATTAGAAGAGTTTATAAGTAGAATGGCATCACTTACAAATTTGCCAGTTAATTAACAGTATTACTGTAATTCACATATTTTAAATTTTCTTATTTTGCATTTAATAATTACATTTTTATCATCAAATCTACTGGAGTTATAGTAGAGTATTATGTGCTTATTGCCCATATTTCCTCATTATCCATTTGCTCTTCAGCAATATATATTACCTGGAAATAAGGTCTATGAAACTAAAAATGAATAAAAGGCATCAGTGAAAAACAATACTACTTTCAATTCATAAGTTAGAAGAGAAAGATTTCTATATATAGAAAATTATATATGTACATATAACTCCAACATGATTTTTCTAATTTAAAAATTTTATCAAAAGGTTTATTCACACTTTCATGTCCTTTACTTATCTTGCTAAATTTCTGTTCACTCCTCAAGTTCTTTGTAAATTTGACATTACCAGAAGTTCTGGAGTTATTCAAAGAATATTCATATTTGAATGATTTTGATTATATTACATGAACACATATTTTAATAAAACATTAATGAGTAGTGACTACTTTGAACCTTGCAAAAATAGACTGAGAATACTAGAGACTTCTAAATGACATTTTCTCTAAGATGGTGTCTGAGGAAAATACATCAGAAATATATAACTATTTGAATTTTGTAAAGGCCATGTACAAGTAAAATTAATATGCTAGTTAATTAGTGGAGAGATGAAACAAAACTAAATTTCTTCTTTTTTATATATAGTTGCAGTCTATATTAAAAAGCATGCAAGCAAGGACATTATAATACATAACTTTTGCTCACTTTTTCAACACTATATGCAGTAGAAAATTAAGGTAAATGTGAAATGTTTCTAACATCCAGTGTAGAAATAATTTATTTGTAAATTTCAGTTATGAAATCTAAGGGACCAGTAGGAAGTAGCAGAGCTCCCAAAATGTTCAAAATGCTAGTTAAACATCATGGAGCTTTGGAAAAACTTTTTTCAAAGCAGATGTATTAGTCTGTTCTCACATTGCTGTAAAGCAATACCTGAGACTGCATAATTTATGAAGAAAAGAGGTTTAATTGGCTCGTGGTTCTGCAGGCTGTACAGGAAGCATGATGGCATCTGCTGAGCTTCTTGAGGCCTCCCCAGAAGCTCACAATCATGGCAAAGGTAAAGGGGGAGCAGACACGTGACATGGCCAGAGAAGGAGCAAGAGAGAGCAAGGGGGTAGGTGCTACACAGTTTCAAATGACCAGATCTCAGAAGAACTGACTCACTATTGCAAGGACGGTACCATGGGAGATGCCGCTAAACCATGAGTAATCCTCCCCTGTGATCCAATCATCTCCCTTTCAGTCCCCACTTCCCACACTGGGGATTAGATTTCAATGAGATGTGAGCAGGGACACACATCCAAACTACATCAGCAGATATATATTAGAAATAGAAGGCAGAAAGCTTGGAGAACAAGATGACAAAATGGGCAGGTAAATTCACTGATGAAGCATCAGTGATTAGTATATTCATAAATTAAAACAAAATAATTTATACTTGTAGTCATACATGGTAACAGCAAGGATTAGGAAGTAAAGTTCTGTGTGTGTGTGTCCATTTGTGTTTGTGTGTCTAATCTATTGAACTATCTGTCTACATCTTTGGCCTACTATTTTATGTAAAACTGTAAATTTATAATCCAAGTAAGAAACTTGGTAACATGAAAATGTCACATTATTATGATTTTCTCTTCCTTTAATGAGAAGACACTATAATGAGAATGTTGTGGTTCTGGCTGGCAAGAGACAATAAAGTATGAAAATCTCCACATTCTTTGTGTTGAAAGGTTCCTTAGATGGTTCTAAATAACAGGTGCTGGTCCAGTACCAGAGCTATACTTCCCTGAAATATATAAGGGACTTCTAGATTTGAGAATATTGCATGAATCTTGTGTGAGTAGTCTATTTTGGAATAGTCTTAGATAATAGTAACAGCAGTTACTCAAACTGTAATTTACTAAAGATAAATTCCTAAGGCATATGGGCCACAGTGAACCATGTATTTATGTTTAGTGGGGTTTCTTTGGAGAATACACCCTTCTCACCCAAGCACTCCTTGCTGTAGGAATGGAAAGAGAAAACTCAAGACCCCAGACGCAGGTTCTCCAACTTTAAACATTAATGCTGCAATTCATTACACAGTTTTAATTGGATGATGTTCATTATTAATGCTTTCAGAGAGAGAAAAAAAGCCTATTTCACGTAAGACATTGTTTTCTTTTTGAAATCCCATTACTTTTTTTTATTTTTGAAAATAAACTTAAGCTCTACTTTAAAAAAACTGTATCATTTACTTATATTAAGTGTAATCATAAGGTACAGAGACTGCCCTGTGGTTTTAATGTTTAGAACTTAGATATTAAATTAAATTTGAAATTATATCAACAATATATAATAGTGCTCAATATATGATAGTGCTCAATAGGAGTTTGTTGAATCAAATGGCCATATATAACTTCAAAGGTACAATTTTTAAGGGTAAATTTAAAGTATTATTAACTTTATCTTCAAAAAAGGAAACTTTCTGTCTCCTCCCAATTTTGGTCCATTAATATACTAGAGTTCTCTTCAAAACATATACTGTTGTTATTTTTTTTTCAAGAGAGATTTCAGGCCTGACTCTTTTAATATTCTTCATCAGAATTAATCAGATTTACAACCAAGGTCACCTTTCACAGAATTCCATAAATTGAAAAACTTAAATTTCTCTTAAAGAAGATGGCTGGCTAGCATCTTACTCCTTTGTTTTTCTCATAAAAACATTTCATACTTGTATAAAAACTTCATACACTTTAATAACCACCTTCAAAATAATCTAATTATTAAATTACATTGTATCTGTTGGTCTATAACTAGCTTCTTCCTCAGCGTCTTTAATTTTCAATTACAAACAACATTTTCCTAAAAAGTAAGCATCTAGCTATGGATTAACTAAAATATCATTTTCAAATGCCATTCTATGAGATAGGGACTGACTTTTCAATAGAAAACTACCTTTTTTCTTTTTCTTTGAAAATGGATTGGGACATTAAAAATCAACTACTAAATATTTATAGTAGAATATTCTTAAAATAGGTTATTTCTGTAGAGGTTGTGGGCTTTAATATGAGTTTTAGCATTCTAAAATTCAACTTGATTTTATAAAATAGCTGTAATATCTCACATATAATGTAGTCTTCTGATCTTTACTTTAAAATCATTTAAAGAAAATATTAAGATTTTCCCCTCTCAGTTGATTGTGCTGAGCTACAATAATTAGAGACCATTTAAACAATGTTTAAGATTAGAATCATTGCAAAGTATTCTGGCACAGAGAAAAGTTTGAGTTTCAAGCATGATTTTCATACTGAAAAATATCAGAAACGATAGTTTCTGTTGCTTTTTATTTGGGAAATTGTCGACTACAAAGTTGTATTGTTCTAGTTGCAGAATTATGGAATTTGAAAGCTAGAAGGAATCTTGATCTCCTCTATATCTGTTTTTTTTTTTTTGCGCCACTTCTCGTGAGTCCAAAATACACATATATGTCTTTCTAATTTTCACCATAATGTTCTCTTAATGGACAAACTAGACCTCAAATATCCTATTCAAGTTTACAAAGATCATATATGTAAGAAAACAAATTCAAATTTAGATATGGTCTACTCCAAATTTCTTTCCACTATGCCAGGCTGCCTTTACCGGCTAAATTTACATAAGAGTTGCAAATGATTTAACCAAGTCCTCAAGCTAGGAAAGAGCCAACAAGGACTAGGAATGAGACTGCCCAAACTCTAAACACATATTCTTATCGATACCACACTCACCATGTTTAAAACCTAAATCGGCATATTAATCATCTTTTACTACTCTTTACCTCATAATTCCAGTTTAATGAGAAGCTATATTATACTTTATTAGTCACTCTCTAGTTAACAGTTTTTCCTAGCTAATGACATAATCTTATAGGCTATTGCCAGTCTATAAATTTCTAAAACTTAGAGGAAAGGAAAGAGAAAAAGAATGATGAAACAATGCTTTCTTGACAATTTCAGTCCTTATGCTTTTCCTCAATTTCTCTCAAATACACTTTCTAGACTAAAATGTTGTGAATAAATAATACTTGGACTTCATGTGGTCCAAGCTGCAAATCTCTTTTAAAGAGAAGAAAATTGAGTCCAAATTACTTTTCATAAAGACGTTCTTCATAAATACACTTATAATTCAAATTCATACATATATGAAAATTATTATATTCAGAAAATAGTAATTTAAGGTATATATATTATATATAATATAATATATAATCTATAATATATATAATATAATATATAATATATAAAATATATTATATATAATATATAATATATAAAATATATTATATATAATATATAAAATATATTATATATAATATAATATATAATCTATAATATATATTATATATAATATAATATATAATCTATAATATATATTATATATAATATAATATATAATCTATAATATAATATATATATATTTTCCATATTCCATTATCTATTTATTGCCTCTTAGCAGCAGAGCCTTGCTCTGTTGTCCAGGCTGAAGTCCAGTGGTGTGATTATAGTTAACTGAGGACTCAATCTCCTGAGCTCAATAGATCCTCCTACCTCAGCTTCCTGAGTAGCTGGGACTACAGGTGCACAGAACCACACCTAGCTAATTTTTGTATTTTTTGTAGGGTAAGGATCCCACTATGTTGCTCAGGCTGGTCTCAAGGTCCTGGGCTCAAGCAATTCTCCCACCTCGACCTCCCAAATTGCTGGGATTATATACATGAGCCATTGCACCTGGCTCATAAATATTTTTGAATGAAGAAATTACAGGATTGGCTTCATATAGGCTAGGTCTGTGGAAATCTGCATCTTCTGATTGTGGTATTTGAAAACTTCACCTGAAATGAAACACTTAACATATGGAGCAATTATATTTTTTAAGGCTTATAAATGCCAGGGTTTTGCAAAGCTCTGAGAAGATATGATAGATGTCGAATGTCTACTAAATAGGCAATCTTCTACCCTGCTTCTTTGTCGGTAAAGCCTTCCTCTTACTACGGAGCAAGAAAATGTCAGATACTCATTTTCCTAGCTCTGATGCATCTAAAGAATGACAATATTCATCCTTCCATCCATCCATGTATCAATTCCTCCAATACATATAATAGACAATATGCCAGGGAATTGTTCTAGGTATCTAGAATATTTAATTAAACTCCCTGCTTCCCTGTAGCATACACTCTAGCAGAGGAGAAGAAGAAACAATAAAAAAAAAATTAGTACAACATTGTTGTTGACAATGGAATTTAAAAGAAAGTATGTTTAGGGCTTTTAAGAGAGATTTTCCTCCCTGATATAAGCCAAGCCCTTGAAAATTCCATCTTCATGTCGATTAAATTCCATCATAGAGCGCTTTTTATAATCTATGACAATATTACTTTAATATCTGCAACAATTTATTAATCTAAATCTCATACATACAGTTTATAAAGAAGTCCATGAATGTTAAAGAAAATGTTTTTGTTTCTGTGGAAAACAATATCCATTTAAAAATAAACTGATAGGAACACATGATATAGGAGAGTAGCAACAATGGCTCATATATTCATTTATTCACTTAATGTAAGTGCCTACTATGTGCTAGGCACATATAATTCATATTTATATTTTCTTAATGGCTTGTGGAAGTGATTTTCACATTGTAGGTATGTAACTGCTTACTATCATGATGTGTGGTTTATATAAAAATACCTAAATACATGCAATGATAGTTCTTGAGTTCACACAGTGTGGAATTATAATGCATGTTACACACATACACACAGATGCACACAGACACACACATTTATTTCCAGGTATGCAAAAATTAGATATTCATATACATGTATACATATGAATATATGTACATAAATATACATAAATACACAACATGCTACCTTCTTGATTTGCAAGTTTAAAATTATATTATTGAAATGTGCTTATTCTACTTGAAATAAACTTCAATATCCATCTTTGGAATCTACTTTTGCTTTAGGTACTATCCTTAGACTTCTACCTGTAAACAATATTAGGCATGAACTCCTAGCAATCTATTTCGTTTTGAAGTTTTTATCACAAAAATCAATATTTTTTCATAAGAGCTATAAAATTACTCTTTCAATATATTAGAGGAAGTATGTAATGTTAGAACAGATTCAGAATACCTTTCCTTAACAAATAGTTTAGTTTTCTAAAACACTTATTTTTTGAAATCTTCATTTGTTACTTATTATTAGTAGGAAATTTCAAGTCTTCTACTTTACTTTCAAACTTACTTAAAACTGGGCTTCTTCTTTCATCCAACCTTATATTACTTACTTCAGTATATGGAACCTCTGGCCCAGACAGACTCTTCAACATTCCACAATGATACATTCATATTTTATCCTTTACTTTTGCTTAAATGGTTTTTCTTCTACCTCTTTCCTTACTTAAATCCCAAATGTCATTCTAGGCACAAATCACGAATAGTGCCTTTAAGAAGTCTTTCTAAGTCACCTCAACCACTATAATTGCTTCTCTTCTGAACAATGTTTTCTGTCACATTCAGAAAATTCAATACCATATTAAAAAGACTAACTTTTCATAAGTTTAGATATAACCAAAGAACAACTTCAGGAGGGTCTGATTACTCACTATTACAGAGGTATTGTGGGTTTTCAAACCCCAACTAACTGTGAAAATGTAATGTATCCTGGAAAGTACAGAGATAATCAGAAGGAGACACCTGAAAACCACTCGTGGGTATGCAGGGAGCAGTGAGCATTCAATAAATGACTCTTGGATAATTTAATGATTAAAAATTATAATAATTTTTCTTCTACTATTTTACTAACTAAGCTATATGTTTTAGTCCATAGAAAAATTAAAGATGATATATCACTGGATTTAGAACAAAAACAAAGATAAATTCAAGTTGCTGCTCTTCTTTGCTAATTTTTGTGTGAAAAGCAAATTAGTTAGTTTCCTGAGTTTCATTTATGTTAGCTGTCAAAGAAATATGATCATTATACATGAGAAAAGATAAATAAAGATAATGTATAAAGCTATAAATTGCTCTAACAATAAAAGTATTATTATATATTGCAATGCATACTTTAAGCATTAAATGAGGAAATTGAGTAAACTAAAATCATTTAGTAAATTCAAATATTTTGACTAAATATTATATAAATGAGGAAATCTCTTGCTATGTCCATTTTATAAATGATAATTTTTGAATGAGAATGTAATCTCTTTCATAACTTTGTAAACCATAAGAAAGATTAGAAATTTAGATAGCAGAAGACTGCTTTGGCCTCTTTGTAAGGAAACAGTAAAGCCTAAAAGGAAAGGGACAGAACATTTAGGAAGTTTTCTAACAAAAGAAATATTGCCTGAGATGGCCAGTATGTTCAAAGTATACTCCTCCTGGTCTTATTATTTTTGACACACAGAAAAGGAAGACAATTCTACTGTGGGGTTGTTTCATAATGACTCAAGAGAATTACCAAACATACAACAAGAAACAGTGAAGACAACAGGTACTATTCTTTAGGACCCTATAATACCCAAGGCAATATATCATATGCTTTATGTATATTTTTACTCAATTTTTCCTCACTAAAACTATGATATAAACATTACTATTCCCATTTTACAGACAGTAAACTTAATGTTAGAGGTTAAACAATTTACCTAAGGGCACACAACTCATATGTGATGGTGGAACTGGGATTTTAAATCTGAATTTATCTGATTCCAAAGAATACATGTTATAAAATTATAACAACACTAAAAGAGAAATATCTAGAAAAGTTCAAAGGCTCAAAAAGAGTTTTACAGCTGTAGTCCACAAAGTACTCTCTAGATTTGGCCTGCAAAGCTAAAAGAAATATTTTATTAATAGCTTTATAAGGTGACAAATTTTGAGACAGAGAGAGAAAGCTAAAGGAAAAAGAGCTTTCAAGATACCAAAGCTGTTAACTGGTTGACCCAGGGCCATGGAGGCCTAGGGCCCAAGGACTTTGATTTCTACAGAAAAATAGACTAAGCCAAATATTTTAATTAAGCAACTAAGAGTAGGTTTTTTATAAGCTGAACCAATTAGATCATGTGCCTAGATACTTGAGACTTCCATACTTTAGCCCAAAAGATGCTTCTTATATAACTATGTTTAGGTGATGATTATAAAGAACACTTATTAAGCACTGATTTTGTACCAGTTTGTGTTCTAACTCGTATGCATTTGATCCCAACAACAACTCTACAAAGAGGTGCTTCTATTATCATTCCTATTTTAAAGATTAAGTCCTCATTCAAATCCAGGCAAATTGACCTCAGAGACCACACTCCTTATTATTATATAATACTGATGTTGTTATAGTTACTTAGCAACTACAGTGATTAAGCAAGTAGTATTTGATTCATAATCATTTTATTATTTTTTTAAAACTCTACTCTTCTAAAGTAGTTTGCCTTAAATTGTTGCTTATTAACACATTCAGAGATTAGTAGTGTTTTCAGTAATATTATTTGTTGACAAGTAGTTGGAATTACAGTGAGAATTGCATTATTTCAGCTTCTTGGAGAATGTGTTAAAATGAACTCTATATAATTATATCTCTAAAATCCATAATTAAATATCATGTAAGTGAATGATGAAACTTGCATATTTGAAACTAGTTGCTGATTTATTGAGCTATTCATGTGCTAACATTCAGGTAATACATTATAAACAGAAGTTTTGAAATTCTAAAGTGAAAAAGCAATTTTTTGTTTTTGTTTTTAATTTGCTTATTTCTTACCTACAATGCTCCAAAGTGATATCATATGAGTTTGTAATATGCAATGCGTAAAATTATCATTATTTATTAATATATATTGACACAGGCTGATTACTTCTGAAATGGAATAAAGATTTTGAAATTTGATAAAGTTAGTACATTATGTTAAAAACTAAAAAGTTTACATTAGGTGAATAATTTAAACTTAAAATATTTATTTCTTAACTATATTGACTAGGGCAACATTTCAATGACCAGATTCTATAATCATGTAAGAAAACTTCAAGCTCTCCAGGGTTTTTGAAACTTGGAAAATATTTCAAAATTAGATGTATTAAAATTATTATTTCAAAAGTAAATTAAAATTTATCAAAATGAACTTGCATGTATTAATAAATATAAATGATTATAATCTAATAAAGCCAAGTACTTGGATGAAAAGTGAAAGTCAGATAATCATTTTGAAGTTTTCATTTATCCGGAGAGCACAATCTGGATCACTGAATTTTTCACTTTCAATCAAATATTGATTTTGTATTGTGTGTGTGTGTGAGTCTCTCTCTCTATATATATATGTATATATGTAACTATAATACCAGTGAGTAATACAACTCTTTCAAAAATAATAATTATAATTAAGTATAAAGACTTAATTACGATTAAATCTTGAGTTTCACTATATATTGGGGAAATTAACAAAATGTAATATTAAGCAAAATATCTTTTATACTAATGTATTGTCACATTTTAGAAGAGATCTCAAACTCTCTAGGGTTAAATAAGGACTTTGAAAGAAATCGCTCTTGATTCCCGTGAAATACCACAAGATACAGCTATTTTTTAAATGTTTACATTTTTCAGAGTTAATAATTGCAATATAATTCTTGTTGAAATCATTATTTTTATATTCTTTCTCTACATATATATAACAAATATGTTATATAAATGTATTATATATTTAATATATATGTATATTTCTCACCAAGTTAAAGGTAATAGATGTGTGTGACAGGTTTATGAATTAAGAGTCATCATTAATAGACATAATCAAACTCTTACATATGCAATGGAAATAGTTTTTGAAAGCATGCTTTCTGATAGTATAATATTATTTAAAGCTCTTCTATTTAAAAAAATTATCTTTGGAAATTATCTTTACATACAGTATCTATTAAATCAATGGTAAAAGGCCAAGACACACTACTTTCATATATAAATCTAACATCTTACAATTAGTCTAAAAAATTCTTTTAGAATTAAATGATCAAAGAATTCAATATGATTCACAGGGTGTGGGGGGCAGGAGATATTGAAGCCCCAAATACAATTAAAATAAAAACTGATGCAGTTAATTTTAGAAATAATTTAATTTTGTTTATATCAAAAGAGGATATTTAAAGAAAGAAAAAATTTAAATACACATTTTTGGGCAGTTCAGGTTGCTGGCATCCTACCCCCTATCTGAAAAAGAATGCTTGTTGGCATTAGGTTCCATCAATTCGTTTGTGATTTCTAAATTAATTTTGAAGGAAACCACAACTTACTTGAAGATCCTGCTGAGTGTCTGTGTGCCTGATTTTTTTTTTCTCTGTTCACAGACAAAGCACTTCCATTGGTCATGGAAAAAAGGTCTAAATCCGTGTCTTCTCTGCTTACAAGTCTTGCCTGGGAGCAATGGAAGAGAATGTATACAATCATGAAACAAAATATGGCATTTTCTGAATGCAGCTCACATTACCCCAAATAAACAAACAGGCTCTGTCAAACAACCTTCTTCAAAATGATACCACAATCCTTTATTGCTGCCCAGGCAGAACAAATGCACTATGTCAAAGCATTTTTTGCAAATAAGAGTCGATTGTAAAATTGAGGATTGCTATTTGAGTCTGTACAACAAAAGAAAACATTTTAGTACAGTAATTTTGATGAAAATCAATATCAAAGGTAGCTGATGAAACTTTAAAGAGCTTAACATTATTTATTTGCCAAGTATATTATTTAATTTTTAATTGAATGTTAGACATGTCATATGGGGTTATTTTTTGCAAAAATTATATGTTGCCACTTATATGTATTAGTCTTATCAATAAAATTCTCTGAAATGCCTTTCACCCTATGCTTGCATACAATTAAGCTACAGACCATCTTTACCTTCTCATTAAAGCCATTATCAATATAAAAATATATTTAATACTAATTTTGGGATAATTATAAATATATAGATATTTCAGGACATTATTTAATGAACATAAAAATTATTTATTTTATCTCAAATTGCCTTTGAATTTGTATTACTTAGACCGAATCTAAGTGCCAAAAATAATTGCTTCTTACCTATAAAACAGTGTTGTACATAATGTTGAATATCATTACATAAAGATACATTAGGATTCAGTTCTGAAATAGGGGGAAATGCCATGAGGGAAAGCAAAGCAGCCTCAGAGTAGCTGGGATTTAACCAAAACCACACTATGCTTGAAATCCTGTGAAAATGCATTGTTCTTAATGTTTGATGTTAGGAAAACTTAAATATAGCAAAATAAAAGCATAAAACCACCACTGTGGTTAAAAAGCTGTCTCCATAAGATGAGCCACAAAGACTCAAGGAGCTAGTATCCAAAAATGACCCTCTTTAAAATTCAGATATTTGCCCTTCACCTTTACATCCCCCTCCCACCTTCTTCCTACTTTTAAACATATGAACTTACATTTATTTATTTATTTTAATATACTTCTATTTTTCCAAATTTATTTATATTTTCCCTGTTTATTTGGTCTTAATTGACAAACAAAAATTGTATACATGTATCATGTACAACACAATGTTTTAAAATATATATATACACTGTGGAATGGCTAAATTGAGCAAATTAACATATGTATTGCCTCACATACTATTTTTAAGTAAGCAAGTATTGCTCTTGCTGAGTTCAGAATATAAACCATTGTATAATGTCAATCATTCTTAATGTAACTGGCTAAGTAATATAATGACATTGTCAAAAAACCTCGGTAGAAAACATTAAAATAAAATAAATAAAAATCGTTTCCAATTTATACTTGTGATTTATATGTGCACAGGTACCCTAAAACTTAAAGTATAATAATAATAATAATAATAATAATAATAATAATAATAAAAGTTATACATTATTTTTGAAATGTATTTCAATAGTATCCAAGAGTACATGTCTAACATTAGAATAGCTGCATTAGAAAAGTTCCATCAATGGTAAACCTTAAAAAAAAAAACAGTCAAAAGTTAAGGGGAAATATCAAAGCAATACCACAATTTTGGAGAGGCTACTTAGGTAACAAGAAAAAACATGTGAACCACATAAGGGACCCTCCTGAAGACTAAAGAGGCTTTAAGATTATAAGCCTTAATATTGTAAAATGAGGTTTATTTATTTAAATGTAATGACATAATTTCACTACACCTATTTAGAAAGTAGAATTCCCACTCTCCCCTAAATAAGACAAAACCTACAGTCAAGAAAATATTTGTAAATAAACACCTTCCAAAAAATTTATTATCATCTAAGTAATTAACATCCAAAGATGATTTTTTCCAAAGTAGAAAATAACTAGTGTCAGTTACTAATTTGGTCAATTACATAGGAAATAAACTTTAGAAGTAAAATTACTGGAAACACATGGCTTCACAATGATGCCATTTAGCAGCTTAAAAGCAAACCTAGAAATTTCATAAATGGGCTAGTTAAATGTCTTTCAGTGAATCTGGCACAGCGATATGCAACAATATTTAGATCTTATTTTTGAAAACATTGGCTTCCCAACTAAACATCATTCTCTGCTTAGTGTTAAAAAATAGAGAAATGGTAAAGAAGATACAGATTTTCTTCAATGTCATGTAAATTGTATATACAGTCGTTCCTCAGTATTTGTGGGGATTTGTTTCAGGACTTCCACAGATAACAAAATCCATGGATGCTCATGTCCCTTATATAAAATGGAGAATTATTTGCATATAACCTATGCATATTCTCCCTTCTATTTTAAATAATCTCTAGATTACTTCTAATACCTAAATAAATGTAAATGCTACATAAATAGTTGTTATACTCTATTGTTTTTTTATTTGTATCATTTTTATTGTTGTATTGTTATTTTTTGTTTGTTTGAATATTTTCAATCCAGAGTTGGTTGACAGATATGGAGGGCCAACTTAACCTGAAGATAACTGATCACACATTCGACATTTATTCTACAAAAACGTATGTTGGATTCCAAAATAGTGCAATATTTTTTATGGTTATAATATAATAATCTCAAGTTAATGTCAGATAAGAATTTTCTCACATACAACATAATGGCAAATACTTATTAGACTGTAATTTTGCAAAATTCTTTTAGGTCTTTGTTTTTGGAACGGATCTCTTTTATCGCCCTACCTACAAGGTTTGTAATTGCCGCTCTCCCCACTTCCGCCCTATAATTTCACAATGAAATGACGGATGTACATTTTGGGACAGGACTTTCCAAGCATTTGGATTCTGATTCACCTCCAACTTTGGCAACTTAATTAAAAAAGAGATTCTCTCTCATATATTAAACAAGAGGGATTTCCTCTTCTTCTACATTTTTTTCATAAACAAGATTTTATTAATTATTAATTTTAAAAGTATTGTCTTTTTGGAAGTGAAGATATACAAAACAGCACACATAAAAACAAATGTCTATGTACTTATTACCCAGATATTTCTTTATAAAGGGAGAAAGCGAGTTTTATAAAGATGAAGTCCCCTTACATGCTACTTTGTTTTTCTACATATGTATCAAACATTTTAGAGTATTATTTCAAAATTAACATAAATGATATATTTTCTGCTGCTTGCTTTTTTCACTGTACATTATATATGTGAGATCTAGATTTAGTTCATTTATTTTAACTGTTAGAATAATTTGCAAATTATGGCAAAATTACAATATATACTATAAATATATCACATAATTATTTGTAATATATCTAGACATATGAGTGATTTTAAAAGCTTTTTAACTTCATGTAAAGAAAATGAATTATGCATACTCCTAAATTCATAATACATCATCTTTTCATAAACTCCTTTTCTTATGTAATAAGACAGATGTCTTGTTATATAACATATGTGGGTAGGGAAGGCACTTTAAATATTTAAAAGACATAATGTACATGCCGTAAAGTGCAAAGACCTTAAACATGAAGTTCAACTCCCATAGAAGTTTAAAACTCCCATAGAAGTTACAAAATATAGCAATGAGTTCCCTATGCACCCTACACCCAGCATGCCTCAATGACAACATTTCACATAACCAAATCATGATCAACAAAACCAGAAAACTGACACTGTATCAATACTATTACTAAACTACTGACCTTATTAGGACTTCGCTAGCTTTCACATGCCCTAATTTTTTCTTGTTTGCAGTTCTATGACATTTTATCATATGTATAAATTATGCATACATATATGTATAGATTATGTATTGTATTAATATGTATAGATTCAACTATTATCACAATTAGGACACAAATCTATTCCGTCTTCCCAAAGAAACTCTGTTGTTCTCCTTTATAGTCACATCCTTTCCCCAATCTAAGCATGGCAACTAATCACGTTTTCTCTATTACTATAATTACGTGATGCTTAAGGATCTTATATTAATGAAATAATACAGCATGTAATCTTTTGAGATTAGCCCTTTTTAACTCAACATAATGTTCTTGAGATCGATGGAAATATTTGTATATGTCAACAGCTTTCTTGTTTATTGCTTTTTAATTGTGTGTTGTATATCCACTGTATGTATGTACCATCATTTCTTTATTATTTTACCCATTCAATGAGATTTGAGTTGTGTTAAGTTTTGGCTATTACAAATAACACTGCTATGAAAGTTTATGTACAGTTTTTTGTTTGAATGAAAGTCCACTTCTCTAGGAAAAATGCTCAAAGGAAGAATAATTAGGTCGTATGTTAAGTGTATATTTAACTTTATAAGAAGCTTATAAAGCTTCTGAATGTACCAGAGTCTTTACAAGCTTATAAAGCTTATAAAGTTTTTTTCTCCAGAGTGGCTGTACCATTTTCACCAGCAATGCATGAGAGATACAGTTGCTCTGCATACTTGTCAACATTTGATAATTTCAGTATTTTTTATTTTAACCACTTTAATGGGGTAGAGTGGTATTATATAGTGGCTTTAATTATTTCTCTAAGTGAACACGTTTTCATTTGCTTTTGACAGAAATAAAGAGTATGAATGTTTCTCCGATAATGTGGTTTGACTTTTCATTTCTGTTTATTTTCTGAATTGTGTCTTCGTAAGGGCAAATGCTTTTAAATATGAACTATAATTGATTTGTAACTTTTGGTTTAGGCTTTTTGCCTATGCCAGGTTTGTGGATGTATCTTACTGTTTTCTTCAATAGGTTTTATTTTTATTTATTTGATTATATTTTACTTTTTTTGGAGTCAGGGTCTTGCTCTGTTGCCCAGGCTGCAGTGCAGTGGTGTGATCTCAGTTCACTGCAAAGTCTGCCTCCCCGGTTCAAGGGATTCTTGTGTCCCAGCCTCCTGAGTAGCTGGGATTACAGGCACGTGCCACCATGCCCAGCTAATTTTTGTATTTTTGATAGAGATGGAGTTTCATCATGTTGACCAGGCTGGTCCCAAACTCCTGGCCTCAAATGATCCACCTGCCTGGGCCTCCCACAGTGCTGAAATTACAAGCGCGAGCCACCATGCCAGGCCTCTTCAATAGGTTTTACAATTTTGGCTTTTAAATTTAGGCTCATAGTTCATCTTAATTTCATTTTTCATAAGATGAGAAGTAGGAGTCAAGATTCTTTTTCCATATAGTTATCTAGTTGTCCAGCACTATGTGTAGAAAGGGTTATCTTTCCCCCCCTTGAATTGTTTTGATACTTTATAAAAAATCAATTGACCTTACAAGTGTGGGTATTTTTCTGGACTCCCTATACTTTCCATTGATAGATTCTTGTATCTTAACACATATATAAATATATATACATACATATATGTGTGTGTATATATATACACGTGTGTGTGTGTGTGTGTGTGTGTGTGTGTATAAAACAGTTTCAATTACCGGGGATTGATAGCAAGTCTTGAATTCTGTGTAGCACGAGTCTTACTATTCTTTTTTCAAGATTGCATTTGCTATTCTAGGTCCTTTCCATTTCCATACACAGTTTAATATCAGTGTGTACATTTCTACCAAAAATTTTACTGGGATTGCTTTGAATCTACAGAACATTTGGGGAGAATTAATTTCTTACAATTTGAGTTTTTCAACTTATTTATAAATATGGTATGTCTCTGAAATTTTTTAAAGCAGTGTTTTGCAGTTATGAGTGTAGAGGGCTTGCACATTTCAATGTTAACATTTATTTTTAAATATTTTCCATTTTTGACATTGTCATGAATGAAATTTTTAAATTTAATTTTTAAACTTTATTGCTAATATTTAGAAACGTAGCATATTTTAAATTAAACTTTATTGTGTGTCCTTGAATAAATTCACTTATGTCTAAACTGTTTGTGAGGATTTCTTAAGACTTTTATGTACAAGAAGATGTCATCTGTGAAAATCAGATGGTTTTCTTTTCCAATCAGATTTTCTTGCCTTGTTCCTGATATTAGATACAAAACATTGGGCCTTTAACCACTAAGTATATCAAGTTAAGAAAGTGTCTTCTAGTCCTAATTTTCTATGAATTTTTACCACAAATCTGTTGAATTCGTGGTAAACATTTTCTGCATATATTGAGATAATGATTGTTTTCCTTTTTATGTTAATGTGGTAAATTACAATTCTATTTTTACTAGATATAGAATTGAAGGTTGACATTTTTTTCTTCCACTTTCTTCTGGATGTCAATATTTGTGATCGATAGTGAACCATAATCCTTACAAATGGTCCCCTGTATATCATGTATACTTTAGCTGCTTTAAATTTTTTTCTTTCTTGTTGGTTTTCAGCAATTTGATTATGAGGTGCATAGGTGTAATTTTTGTGTTAAGCTTTTTAAATCTGTTTTCTCGTATTTCTCATCAAATTTTAAATGTTTTCAGTGATTAGTTTTCACATATTTTTTCATCTCTAATCTCTCTTCCGGAAAGTCAACAACATATCTATTAGCTTGCTTGCTATTATCTGACAGAGCACTCAAGCTTTGATTTTTTTTAAGTTATTTTTTCTCTCTCTGCCCCACTTTGGAGAGTTTATCTTGCTTTGTTTCTGAGTGCACTTTTCTTCCCAATGTCTAATTTATTAAGTCCAGCCATTATTTTTTTTTCAATTAAGGTGAAATAGTTTGCAGTTCTAGATTTTCTATTTTCTTATTTTTTAAAGTTTATTTTCTCTATTAAGATTTCAATCTGTTTCCTCAACATTTAGATCTCTGAATATATTTATAATAGATGTTATAACTTGCAGGCAAGAATCTTAAAAAGGTTATCTGATTTGGTTCTAGTGATGATTTTTTTTCTTACAAGGCTCATTTTCCTGCTGCTTTGAAGGATTAGCAATTTTTTACTGCACACTGGACATTGTAATTTTATTTGCTGAATCTGTAGATTTTGTTAGCATCCTTTAAACTCTGTTAGCTTTTATTCTAACAGAGGCAGTTTTTATTCTAGCAGGCAGTTGATTTATTTGTTGATTAACTTGGTCTTTTTGAGGCTTACATTTATGTTTTACTATGTGGATCTAGAGGAGTTTTTTAATCCAGGGCTAGAGTCACCCCTTCCTAAAGTTTAACTTTACATGGTCTTAACTAAATGTCTGGGACGTTCTCCACTGTAGCAGGTCAGAACTCCAATGTTTCCCGGTTTTGATTGGTCTCTAGAGTCTCTTTTCAGTTCAGATATTCCCAGTAGCTGTTCCCTTCTGGACCTCAATGAGTCACATAGTGCAGTATATACAGAGCTTAGTACTTGGCCAAACACCTAAGGAAACCACTATACCAATTTTTGCAACACTTTCTCTAGTATTTTACCCTGTAAATACCATTTATCTCAGCAACTCTGAACACTCCTTTCTCTCTTTCTTTTCAACTCAGTGAAACTACTGAGCTCTCTTTAGGCTTCCCTTCCCTCTGCTGTAGTCCAGAAAGTGTTTCCAAGCTGTTACCTGAGTTGACTGTGGAACTCATGTGTTTCTTTTATCTCAGGGATCATAGTCCTGTGCTGCCTGTTTTTCAACTTATAAAATAGTTGTTTGATTAATTTTATCCAGGTTTTATAAAAACGTTTTTCTTCAGAAGGACTGGTCTATACTACATCATAGCCCAAAGCAGAAACAATTAGGAAAACAAATAAATTGGTATTAACATTTTGGTCATTAATTTTTAAACACAATAATATGTAATTTAAATATATCTATTTTCTGCATGGTTTTAATCTACTCCTCTTGCCTGCAGTACTGTGTTTCATAATATATATCCAACCAATTATTCATTTATTTAATAAAGAGTTCTTAAGTTGCCTCTATATGTGTATAAATAATACAGCAACACACTTCTTGGTATATATTCTTTGATGGCTGTATGTAAAAATAATCTGGGAGATATATATATATATATATATATATATGCACACATACACATACATATATCCAGAAATATATATACATCAAAAAGATACATATATCCAGAAATACATATATATATATCCAAATATATATATGTATCCAAAAATATGTATCTTTTTTTCCTCCAAGAACGGGCTTGCAGACTAATAGGGTATTCAAATACCTACTTTAATAAACACTGACAAGTTTCTTTCCAGAATGACTGTACCAGCTTCTACTTTCACCAACTGTACACAAGGATTTTCACATTGGTGACATCCTTCTGCAATATCCAGTTTTCCAATTTTTGCCATTTGATTAGTATTGTCATAAGACAACTTAATTTTCATTTTCATTCCTCTCATCTGGAAACCGAGCATCTCTTCACATACACTTGCCCATTTAGGCATCATCTCTGTGAACCACCAATTTATATTATTTTTCTAATGTATTCATTGGGTTACCTGAAAGAGATCTTTCTGTATTTAGATATTAAGCTCTGTTAAATGAGGCACTGAAAACAGCAGTCATATACCTGTTAACCTTTTCTATAAAATCCTTAATAGAAAGAGATATTTAATTTAACAGAGTCAACTGATATTTTTGCCATATAGTTTGTACTATTCATACCTTTTTAAAAATGTATTTTTAACTGCTAAGTTGCAAAGATATTATTCCTTGTTTTACCTGTTTTACAGCTTTACCTTTCATATTTGGATCTTTGAACCTTCTGAATTCTGTCCACTGTTGTAAAAGGTGTGCATTCATACTCCTGCACTTTTTCAATGCCATTTAGTAAACAATCTCAGCTTTCCAATCTTTATAGTACAGAGTCATAGATCTATTCCTGACCTTGCTATTCATTTCTATTGGTCTATTCATCCATTCCTGTGCCAGAACCATGAAGTTTGCTTTAGCTTTTTACTAAGCCTTTATGTCTTGTGACACAACTTACTATTCTTTTTCAAAGTTGACCCACATATTCTTGGGTTTTTAATCCTCAATACACATTTTAAGATGAGATTTATCAGGCTTGCAACAACCATTGTAATATTGGATGAGATTTCTTCTAATGTATAGACTTATTTGGGTACAACTGACACATTTTCTAGACTAAGTTGTTGCACTCATGAATACTAAACTTGCCTTGATATTATCATACCCTACCTAGATCATATTTAACAACTGAGTCAGAGATAGTCACTGAGAAAACTGCAGCCTGAGGGGTCTCAGCCAAATCCCTCTCTGGAAATTATCCTTCGCTGAAGAGAACTGCCTTATCAAAGTCATACTTTCTCCTGAGGAGATACAGGACTATTAACGCCTAGTCCTCTTGCCTCAAGCTAGGACAACCCAAAAGGGTCTTCCCCGTCTCCAGACCTCACTTTCTTTGATGCATCTCTATTGAAGGTCACCATTTTCCTCTGTTCCTTTCTGCTTCTTTCATCTCTCACAGGAGTCGTTTTGGAAAGCTCTGCTGAATAAACTCTCTGCATTCAAACATAAAACTATCAGAGTATGTTTCCTGGGAAACCTGAATTATAATTCTGTCTTCTGCAGGAAAATTCCAGAGTTTGAGGGGATCCATTTAGTCAATTAAATATAAAATTGTCTATATATTTGACGTGACTTCTGATATATTTTTGGATGTAAAGAAAATGATATTTTGTTTCCATTTTTCTAATTCCTATCATGCAATATGCTTTGCTCTTCCTTGAAAGACAGAAATGTTATTTACTAGTTTCCTCAATATCCAGAATTTAAATGTTTGATTATGCCTTATTCTTGCCTCACTATTGAAGGTTACTAAAGAGTATTCTGGATGATACTCATCCCTATAACTAAGAAATAAAATCCACTGTCTTTTGGCATTCATTGCTTCCGATATGAAGTTAGCTGTCAGTCTAATTATTGTTTCTTTGTAGATAATCTTCTGATTTACTAAATTTATCTTTTATAGAGTCCAGTCTAGTGTATATAAATGAAATGTTTTATTTCCAGAGTTTATAATTGGTTTGCTTGCATACCCATCTGTCTTTTCTAACATTTGATAACTTTCGCTTCATAATTTTCTGTCCTTTAATTGTGGGTGTTATTACTACATTTTTAAGAATCTTATACTAGTAACAGTTGCAGTGGTTTTTTCTTTCTGTTTTTACTTTCAGTTTTCCTCCTAGTTATAGCCTTGTACCGATTGTGTAATTATCTGCCTCCAGTTCCCTGGCACAAGTGGGCAAGTGGGGTGCTTTCATTCTCCAATACTCTTCTAGATACCTACTCTGGTCCTTTAGTCAGCTCTGTATCCTTTTGATAAAAGCCACTGATGCCTTTCCCTGCATCCACTCAATTAAAAAAAGAGACATCTGGATATTTCTATTCTACTACCATTTACCTTGTTTTTGTGTTCAGTTGTATCTAGCTCTTCAATGTGAAAACAAAATGTATCATTGTAATGTATATTATTTATTTGTATATAGTGGAAGATAGAGGAGTATGGAAAAAGGATTAATATCCTTGCATTAATCTCATAAACCTATTATGATCAGTAATCTATCCAATCAGTTTCCATTCCTTTTTAAACATGGAAAAATTAAATATTATAACTTTTTTGTTTTTTGAAAGAGAGTCTCACTCTGACATCCAATCTGGAGTACAGTTGTGCAATCTCAAGTCACGGCAATTTCCATCTTCTAGGCTCAAATGATCTTCCCACCTAAGCCTCCCAAGTAGCTGGGGCTACAGGTGTGCACCCCCATGCTCAGCTATTTTTTTTTGTATTTTTGGGGGTAGAGATGGGGTTTTGCCATGTTACCCAGAGTGGTCTTGAACTCTTGGGCTCAAGAAGTCTGTCTGCCTCAGCCTCCAAAAGTGCTGAGATTACAGGCCTGAACCACCATGCTTGACCAAAATATTATATCACTTCTTTATCCTTGCATTCCTTGGCAGATTTATGATCTCAATTCTTGCTCTAAGGTGGCCACTAACCAATCTGTGCCAAAGTGTTAATCAATAATATGTGTAGTGTTAATGGCCTAAATTAGCAATTTTCCTTGGATAATCTACAGGCCACTTTCTTAGAGAGGTCTCTATTAAAATGCAAGAAGATATTTGCTGAGTAGTTACCTCAAATCTGTGCTTAGATTCCAAAAATATTTTCCAAAACACACGCAATTTAGCTAGCGACTACCTTAATATTTGCTTCTCTTTCAGGAGAACTCCTTGCATGAGTTGTTCATGAAAATGATGAATATAACTGGTCTGGAAATCATAATACTCATTTCATTCAAGAATCACATGATCTTTTAATATAAAATTCTATAAGCCAAGCTAAATTATAATCAGTTTTTGGTGAATGCAGAATCTGAGCAAGGGGTAATGATTGGTTGTAAACTTAGGGTCACCTGATGCATCCATTTTCACCTACCAAAAAGGCCACACACTTCTGTCACTGGTCAGAATACTCTCTTCTCTGGAAATTTCTAGAAACGCACTGAAAAATTCTTATTTTATGTGATCAGTTTTCCTAGACTCCAAATTGACCATTCTCCTTCTGCTTATCTAGTAGCATATAGTGCAATTGACTTTAGCAATGCACATACAGTTATACTGCATAGCGTCTTTATTCTGATCATTATGTTGAAAACCTGGTTGTACCAAAAGCTTCAATATTTTACACTTTATTACATAGAGTGGTTGAGCTCACAATTATTTGTTAATTTTTTATATGGTTGGATTTTCTGAGTAATGAGGGTGCTTTGGTATTTCCTCCAGTTATAGCCTACAAATTCTACTCTTCTAAAATATCCAAGAAAAAAGTTTCAATTTTCCATCCACAGTAATTTTATTTTAAAGTTGTAGGATGCTAATATTTTTACATCTGTCACATAAAATTAACATTTTTAAGCAATGTCACATTTTAAATTGTATTACAAGTCAAGAAAACATGTTATTATTTTAACACATGATATTTTGATATTATCCCAAATAGATACAGTTGTGATATTTTCATAGTTTAATTATAAACATATCTTAAAGTGCCATTTATTTGAGCACTAGTGTCTACAACATTTTTCTGTAACTTTAAGCACATTTCTTACCACAAGCTGAACTCTTCCACCATTAAGTACATCTGGATCTAACTCAGGCAAAAAGTGATTGCTGCATAGTGACAAAAACAGAAAGTATTTTATAATGTAAATGTAGAGGAAGCATATAAAAGAAACGTCCAACTAAAAAGCTTGAGAGAAATTCGTTATTTACAAAATGGAAACAACAGTTTTCTTAAATTAGGTTATAAGTAAAAATAAGTACAAATGTACATCTTTCTCTAATTTAAAAAAATCAATTTGAGATAAAACTCAATTTCTAATAACACTTCAATACCACTCTTCTTTGTCAAACATAAACACATGCAAAGAGCCACAATTGATTAGTACTAGTAAAGATGGTTAACAAATTATAGAATTCTTCAACATTTTATTTGTATTTGCTTACATGTTTTAGTCGTCTTTTCAAAAAGTAAAGTTTCCTACTTTTAAAATAGCTCTAGTGTGTTTAATGTGTTATACTAATATTCAAAATAAAATTCTGTTTAAAACTAGAACAATGATATTTGGCTTTTCAAGAACTCTTGTCTTTGAAAATAATTTTTTTCTTAAAATATGACTACCTATTTAATATATTATATTTTCAAAGGAGAAAGTTTATTAACAATTGCTTATTGTTTAAAATTTTATATATAACTTATTTATGAGTAAGGGTTATTGTTAAATATTTAAGTATATCAAAATTTCATCATGAAACATTTTTCTTATATTTTTCTTTACATCTGTTCTAATGTTTTCAATTTTCTGAACAAGACCTCTTATATCTGGTTAATAGAAATAGTAAGTTATGAATCCTATCATTGTACGTTGGTTTATAGTTCTAAGGATGCTTTCTCTTATGGTTTGGATGTAGTCTCACCAAAACTCATGTTGAAATTTGATCCCCAATGTAGCAACGTTGGGTGCTGGAAACTAGTGGAGAGGTGTTTGGGTCATGAGGGTGGTTACCTCTCATGATTGCCTTGGTGCTATTCTTGCAGTGAGTTCGTTCTTGTTCTTGTTAGCCTGGATTAGTTCTGGCAGGACTGGATTAGTTCCCATGAGAATGGGTTGTTGAAAAGCCAGTATACCCCTTGGGTTTTGCCCCTTCATGTGTGTCTATTTCCCCATTTACCTTCCACCATGTTGTGACCTGGCATCAGACACCAAGCAGATTCTGGTGCCATGTTCCTTGAACAACTCAGCCTGCAGAACCATGAGCTAACTAAACCTCTTTTTTTAATTAATTACCCAGTCTGAGCTATTCTGTTATAGCAACACAAAACAGAATAAAATACTACCCTATTAATTAAATCGCTTAATAACAACATAAAATAAATTGTGCTTACATTAATTTGAATACTTAGTAAGATAAAAATTCTCAAATATTGATGCCTTTATTCCTACTTTTCTGTTCACATTACAATCTGACATAATTCAGATCACAAAGTTTTATTTTCATTTCCATATGATTTTTCACATTTTTAAATGAATTAAATGGATATAATTGATCACATATTAAAGTTAGGTTTATATATATTATTAAACGAGATTTGTTTTAAACCTATTTTGACTTGCTGTTAAACTAAGTTTTAACTGTAATAATGATAGCTTTTTGTTTGTGTGTTTGATACTCATGTGAAACAGTTACTACCCACAATGCCTGGAAATATTTCTAAAATTGTCTTTATATTCAATATTGGCTTACTTTTTTTTTTTTTGAGGTGGAGTCTGGCTCTGTCGCCCAGGCTGGAGTGCAGTGGCACGATCTCGGCTCATTGCAAGCTCCGCCTCCCGGGTTCGTGCCATTCTCCTGCCTCAGCCTCCGAGTAGCTGGGACTACAGGCGCCCCCTACCGCGCCCGGCTAATTTGTTGTATTTTTAGTAGAGACGGGGTTTCACTGTGTTAGCCAGGATGGTTTCGATCTCCTGACCTCGTGATCCGCCCGCCTCGGCCTCCCAAAGTGCTGGGATTACAGGCGTGAGCCACCGCGCCCGGCCAAGCTTACATTTTTAATAAATGCCTATAATAACACTTTTACTCCTTTGTGGATATATGTAGCTAAAACAAAAATCTTGAAAACCTATGTAAAAATATCATCTCTGGACTTTTATTTCCTTAAATCTTTGGTTCAGGATGCGTATATGCTTTATATCATATTGTTAGGGGCTGGATTCTGTCCCCTAAAATTCATATATTGAAGTTCTAACCCCTAGTACCTCAGAATATGGCTGTACTTAGAGATTGGAAAGAGGTAATAAGGTAGATAAGATCATATAGGTGTGCCTTAATCCAATATCACTGGTGTCCTTATAGGAAGAGAAGATTAGAACAAAGACAACACAGTCCACATCCTTGTGAGGATACAGCAAGAAAGTAGCCATCTGCAAACAAAGGAGAAGGTCTCCAAAGATACTAAACCTGCTGACACCTTGATCTTGAACTTGTAGCCTCTGGAGCTGAGTGAGATAAAATAATTTTCCCTTGTTTAAACTACCCAATCTGGTATTTTGTTATGGCAGCCCTAGCAAAATGGTACATACATTAATATAACAAAAATTAATTAAGCAACTTTTAGATTTAAGGTACCTTGTTGCTAGAGAATATAAACATTTGATATCTTCAACCTTGTAGCTCACCTGTACGCCATGAGTTAGAATTATTCTCTCTCTATTAAAGAGGAAACTGAAGCTTTGGGGCATCAGTGAAATGAATTACATGACTGGTAAAGTGACAGCCACAGGGTTGAATTATAATTTTAACTGTCAAACTTATAAATAACAAAAATAAAGCAAAATAAAGCACAACCTATAATATACATGATATCTAAAAACATTTAATGAATACCACATTTTTTACTTTATAGAGTAGAATTATTTTTGTGGCTCATCTGTTGGTTTCAAGTATTACAGAATAGAGTTGTTCCCAAACATTTCAGGGTGAAAAATAGAAGGAGTAATTAAATCTATTCTATATGAAAGGCCTTTGTATTACCCGGCAACGTAGCGTATTGGCCTTTGGCAATAAAGTCATGTTTGTTTTAGCACAATTAACCTAGGTTTCAATTTTCAAGATGTGTTTACAATACAAAAATCTAATTTAGAGGAAATGACCTCACCATTTCATATTTCTGGAACTAGTCGTTTCATGAACCCCAACCTGTGTGTGAAGCCATTGGTATGTATATTCTCTATTCCGTTCTAATTTTTCATTTGCAGTGGTATCTTTGTGGATAGGGTCTTCTTCTATACCTGTGAAAGAAATATGGAACGTGTACTTATTATTTAAAGAGACCAAACTTTGGCCAACCAGTTCCATCTGTGCTAAACATTTTATCACAAGAAAGAAAAAAAAATACTAACTTATGAGAGCTAAATCTGTAAGAAAACTAATGTCAGTAAGAAAAGTAATGTCAGTCACAGATTAACTGTTTTTCCTGCTTAGGTTTCAAACCCATCTATTTTGAAAAAAATACTTAAAATCAATCACCATTTATAGGGTTTGTTTTTGAGTTTTTAATTAGAAAAATCAGAGAGTTATTTTTTGGTAGACTGTAGAATTTTTCTAATATAAAAACATCTGTTCCCTATCTGTCTTTTCAGGATTAAAGTCTAATTGTTTTTATACCACTCTTATCCATATGGAGAATTTATAAATTATATTGAGTGTTTTTGAACCTGAATTTTCATTTACATAAAACTGAGCTTGCTTTGTGTAAGCTACTATAGTATTTCATACATATCAGAGTTACACTGAAGACTAGTTGTTTTAAAGCCTTCCTCCATGGACTTGATCTTTTAGACTGCTCCATTTTTGGTTTAGGGCTTGTTGGCTTCATAAACTTGATTGACAGTACACCAGAGGGAGACACCTCTTAAAACCTAAATCGCAGTAATCAACTCAGAACAATTCTGTAGTTTAAAAACCTGAAAATTTAAAGTCAATTTATTACTTTGAAATATTCTTTTGTTATAGATGTTTGTACATAAAAAGTCTACATATTTGCAAGTTGTTTGGAAAATGAATAAAGCATGGTGCAAAACCTATTTTGAATACTCTGTGCATGTACGTGCAGACACACATACATACAAGCTTAGCATGTGTCATTCAGAATATGTTGTGGATGATATATCTAACATGTCTTTCTTCTTTAAAAGTTACTGTTGTAATTAGTGAAATGACTCTAGTTTTCAATTTAAACAGATGTTGAAGCCAGGTCTCTGGAAAGCGTAAAATCTGGATGCTTTGGGTATCTAAAACTCTGTTACTTAGTAAAGTTCCTATTGCTTCTTATGCGACCTTATGTTTCTAAAATGACTTCAGCCCTTGAAACCTGAACTTAGGCCAACTCTTCCATAGTTGCTACAATTAGAGGAACACTTACTTCACATGAGGGGATTGGCCATTGAATCCATGAGCAGACTCCATTTTCATAAATAGCCTTATAATTATACAAAAGTTCTTTGTAGATTCTGGATATTAGCCCCTTGTCAGATGGGTAGATCGTAAAAATTTTCTCCCATTCTGTAGGTTGCCTGTTCACTCTGATGGTAGTTTCTTTTGCTGTGCAGAAGCTGTTTAGTTTAATTAGATCCCATTGGTCAATTTTGGCTTTTGTTGCCATTGCTTTTGGTGTTTTAGTCATGAAGTCCTTGCCCATGCCTATGTCCTGAATGGTATTGCCAAGGTTTTCTTCTAAGGTTTTTATGGTTTTAGGTCTAATATTTAAGTCTTTAATCCATCTTGAATTGATTTTTGTATAAGGTGTAAGGAAGGGATCCAGTTTCAGCTTTCCACATATTGCTAGCCAGTTTTCCCAGCATCATTTATTAAATAGGGAATCTTTTCCCCATTTCTTGTTTTTGTCAGGTTTGTCAAAGATCAGATGGTTGTAGATGTGTGGTATTATTGCTGAGGGCTCTATTCTGTTCCATTAGTCTATATCTCTGTTTTGGTACCAGTACCATGCTGTTGTGGTTATTGTAGCCTTGTAGTATAGTTTGAAGTCAGGTAGCGTGATGCCTCCAGCTTTGTTCTTTTGGCTTAGGATTGTGTTGGCAATGCGGGCTCTTTTTTGGTTCCATATGAACTTTAAAGTAGGTTTTTCCATTTCTGTGAAGAAAGTCATTGGTAGCTTGATGGGGATGGCATTGAATCTATAAATTACCTTGGGCAGTATGGCCATTTTCACGATACTGATTCTTCCTATTCATGAGAACTTAAACAAATTTACAAGAAAAAATCAAACAACCCCATCAAAAAGTGGGCGAAGGATATGAACAGATACTTCTCAAAAGAAGACATTTATGCAGCCAATAGACAAATGAAAAAATGCTCATCATCATTGGCCATCAGAGAAATGCAAATCTACCTAATACTAAATGACGAGTTAATGGGTGCAGCACACCAACATGGCACATGTATACATATGTAACAAACCTGCACATTGTGCACATGTACCCTAAAACTTACAGTATATAAAAAAAAAGAAATGCAAATCAAAACCACAATGAGATACCATCTCACACCAGTTAGAATGGTGATCATTAAAAAGTCAGGCAACAACAGGTGCTGGAGAGGATGTGAAGAAATAGGAACACTTTTACACTGTTGGTGGGACTGTAAACTAGTTCAACCATTGTGGAAGACAGTGTGGCGATTCCTCAAGGATCTAGAACTAGAAATACCATTTGAAATACCATTTGACCCAGACATCCCATTACTGGGCATATACCCAAAGGATTATAAATCATGCTGCTATAAAGACACATGCACATGTATGTTTATTGTGGCACTATTCCCAATAGCAAAGACTTAGAACCAATCCAAATGTCCATCAATGATAGACTGGATTAAGAAAATGTGGCACATATACACCATGGAATACTATGCAGCCATAAAAAAGGATGAGTTCATGTCCTTTATAGGGACATGGATGCAGCTGGAAACCATCATTCTGAGCAAACTATCACAAGGACAGAAAACCAAACACCGCATGTTCTCACTCATAGGTGGGAATTGAACAATGGGAACACATGGAAAAGATGGGGAATATCACACACCGGGGCCTGCTGGGGGGTGGGGGGAGGGGGGAGGGATGGCATTAGGAGATATACCTAATGTAAATGACGAGTTAATGGGTGCAGCACACCAACATGGCACATGTATACATATGTAACAAACCTGCACGTTGTGCACATGTACCCTAGAACTTAAAGTAAAAAAAAAAAAAAAAAGGAAGTAGAAAAAAAATAATTATACAAAAGTTATAAGACACACTCAAACAAAGGGAAGATTTGGCATTGCTACACACTGCATTGGGTCTCCTTTCTAGCAAAACCCCAGCTACTGATCTGGTTTCCTTAGTGACCAGGCCAGATGTTGGACAGCACAGTGACAGAAAACAGTGATGACTCAGTGACCCTGATGATCAACTGAGCCCAAGACTTGAAACTCACCTACTCCTGATATGGAGAGAATCCTTTTGTAATAAGCAAACTTTTAGTTAAAACAGAAATAATCTCAGTCTTCCTGTTCTTAAAAATAGTGACATATACTTGCAATGGTCACTTTTTAAAGTACTCATTTTGGAAAGCTTTCCTCAATTCTACAATAACACTTCATAAACACTAAGTAATTTTACATCAAAACTCAGCCAAAGTTCTAAACAATTCCTGAGTAAAAAGGAGAGATTTAATCATAAGGATCCAATTCTTATTAACCATTTTAACCCCAAGGCATAAATTGGTAGATTGGCATGAGCTCAGTGTAAGAAACAGAACAAGCATAGTGGTGAAATTGGCTGGATGTACTTGAAAATACTGCAATTCAAATGTTAGAGGAAGTGGTTCTGTCTCAGCAAAATCATTTCAGAATTACTCCTGTTACTGAGGAAGAGAAAGTAACATTTATTCTTGGAAGCTTCAGAAGTCCTTCTTTTAGCAACTTGTGTAGGAAGAATAAGGGTGACCTGGATAAATTAACGGATACTTATCAGTTTCCAGTTAGGCTGCCCAGTAATTCCTTCCTTTCAATATTAGAAGAAGCAACCTTCTGCCTGCAGAACACTAATCCCTTTGTCCACAATTCCTTGCTACTTCTATGGGTCTTGCATCATCAATTCCCTATATTATCAACCTAAGAAAAATGCCTTCCTTTGATTCTTGCTGTCCTCCAGTTACTACTGTTTATATATGCTTTTTACTTCAAAACACAACCTTAAGTAATTTTATTTAAACATTTTTTGACCTTTTATTATAAAAATAATACATACTCATTATAGGAAATTTAGAAAGTAAAAAGTCAAAGAAAAGACAATCTGCAACCACCATTATCAAGACAACCACTGGTTAATATTTAAAGGCATTTACTTGTAGCTGTTTTCACATTTTTTTGTTTTGTTTTGACTTTAGTTTACACACATAGTTGTTCCTCAGTACCCATAAGGGATTGGTTCCAGGACCTTCTTTGAATACAAAAATTGGTGGATGCTCAAGTCCCTGATAGGAAATGGCATTTGCTTATAATCTGTGAACATCCTCCTAGGTACATTAAATCATTTATAGATTACTCATAATGCCCAATATAATATAAACTGTTATACTAATTTTTTTAGGAAATAATGAAAGAAAAAATCTGTACATGTTCAGTATAAGTGCATTTAAAAAAAATTTTTTTAATCTGCAGTTGGTTGAACCTACGGATGCAGAACCCATGGATATGAGAGGCTGACTGTAATTATATGTCTTCTTCATATCCTATTTTTCAGTGAGTATTATAATAAATGTATTATATGTAATAGAAAACTGAGACACAATTTTCATGGTTTTATACTATGATCTACCAACTTATTATATAATAGGTTTTTAATTATCTCTTTTTAAATTTTACCTTAAGTTCTGAGATACATGTGCAGAATGTGCAGTTTTGTTATATAACTATACACGTGCCATGGTAGTTTACTGCACCCATCAACTCATCATCTACATTAGGTATTTCTCCTAATGCTATCCCTCCCCTAGCCCCCCCACCCCTCAACATGCCCAACTGTGTGTTTTCCCCCTCCCTGTGTCCATATGTTCTCATTGTTCAACTCCCAATTATGAGTGAGAACATGTGGCATTTGGTTTTCTGTTCCTGTGTTATCTTGCTGAGAATGATGGTTTCCAGCTTCATCCATGTCCCTGCAAAGGACATGAACTCATCCTTTTTGATGGCTGCATAGTATTCCATGGTGTATATGTGCCACATTTTCTTAATCCAGTCTATCATTGATGGGCATTTGGGTTGACTTCAGTCTTTGCTATTGTGAATAGTGCTGCAATAAACATATGTATGGATGTGTCTTTATAGTAGAATGATGTGTAATCCTTTGGGTATATACCCGCTAATGGGATTGCTGGGTCAAATGGTATTTCTGGTTCTAGATTGCCACACTGTCTTCCACAATGGTTGAACTAATTTACACTCCCACCAACAGTGTAAAAGTGTTCCTATTTCTCCACATCCTCTCCAGGATGTTGTTTCCTGATTTTTCAATGATGGCCATTCTAACTGGTGTGAGATGGTATCTCACTGTGGTTTTGATTTGCATTTCTTTAATGACCAGTGATGAGCTTTTTTTCATATGTTTGCTGTCTGCATAAATAATTAATCCATTTTAAAAGATGGAATTAAGAATAAAATATCTAATAGTATAAATATTTTAAAGAATTTGATATAATCTATATTGTCAAATGGTTTTAAAAGGTCTCACCAATTACATACTTTATGAGATTGCTTATTTTACTGAGTCCTGGTCAACAGTAAGAGAGCATATATTTTTAAACTGCTGATAATTTGATAACAATACTGTCTAATTATGGTCTTAATTTATACATCTTTGCTAGTGAAATGGAACATTATAATTATTTAATAATTTTAGTTTGTACATTGTAAAATATCTTTTTTGTTTTCTTCAATTATCTACTGGATTCTAGTTTCCTTTTTTGTTTTTGACTATTTATAATTCTTTTTCTGTTATCCCTGGTGCAAATATTTTCTCCTGACCATTGGTTGATTTTAGTTTCTACTCTGTTTTCAAAAGGGGCAATTTTCATTTTCTGTAGGCATAGATTTATATATTTGCCCCAAATCTTCTAAACTATAGGCTACTTTCCTCTCATAATTTATAGGTATTTCCCAATTCTATAAACTGCATGAGATATAAGAGGATTTCAGGGACAAATTGGACACTCTTCCAATATTTTGTTTTTCACAAATAATATCACTACAAGATACTGTAAAATGGCCTGAAACTGGCTTATCTAACAATTATATTCATTCCTTAATTTCACTGACCTCACTGCTGGATTCCAGACCACTTCCTTTGTCTTACAACTCTTTTTTTTCTGCAGGTCTTTGGGACACCAGACATCAAGTATTCCCTCCCTTCAGGATCCTTTTTAGATTCCTTTAGATGTTGGTGCTCCCAATTTTACAAGTACCTAGGAGTCAGTTCCCACTCTATATCTGGCACTGTGCTAGCTTCTGACAACAGTCAACCTGATTGGCATAGTTTCTTATCTCATGAACTAACAGCTGAGAGGACTAGGTATCACCAACCTCTATCTTAATCCTGTTCTTGTATCTCATATTTCCACCTGAACTTCAAAATCACAACTTGTCTTTACCATCATCATCCTACTAAAGTATGTTTTTTCCTCCTGGATTCCGAAGTAACTCAGATTACTCAGTCTGTAGTCAATATTGGCTACTTATTCTTTAAGTACAAATATCTAATCAGAAATAAGATCTAGTCCACCTCCTGGGTAAACTACTAATCTGGTTCCTTCTTTCTTTCGCCATTGCAACCATTTTACTTCAGGCCCCATTCTGAACGTGAGTGAGCAGTCCTATATGTGGTGATATATGTATGTGTAAGGGTACCTTTCTTACCTGTCACAACAGAAGAGGTTCTCTTCCTCTCAAACCCAACGCCTTGAACTGTGCACCAGATCCCAATCCTTCCATATTATCTAGAATACCTTGCCATCAGTTTCCCTTTTCTTCTATATTTTCAGCATTCTTAAAACTGACTTTTTACATTCCCCTCCAGTGACTCTTCTCTCTCTCCTTCCCTAATCAGATGAGCTTCTTGAAGACAAAGATTAGTCTCTGTTGACTTACTTGCCATCTGCGTTATGGCTTTCTCCCAACACCCTTTCACTGGAACTGTGCACATCAAAAGCATCATAATGCTAAATTTGGGGGACTTTTTGAAGTTCATATCTTACTGACTTCTCTATAGTATTATTCACTGTTATCCATTCCCTCCTTCTCGAAAGGCTTGTTTTCCCTGGATTCATTACCTTCTCCATGTTTTTATTCTCAATCCTTTGGCTAAACCCCAGTCTCTTCCAAGGGCCCCTCTTCCCTTGCCATCTTTTTCAATCTCAGGATTCTTCTCTGGAGTTCTATCTTGGCCCCATTTTATTTTTAGGCTATACTCTCTCCGTATAATGATATCCATTCAAATGCTTCAATTGCCATCTTTATTTCCTTCTGAGACATGTATTCAAAGACCCCTCACATATATCCAACAGATACTTCAAGCACGTCAAAAAATTGAACTCATGTTTATTATTTAACCTTTTCCTAAATTTTCTATAATGCTATCACTATCATTAATTTACAACTGAGAAAGCAGAGTGTGGCACTGATTCTTTCTCACCTCTCACCTTCCAACTGCATATTTTACCATCTATGTTAAATCTATCAAATCCCCTCCATTCCCACTGCCACTATTTTTAATTCAGGCTACCATTGTTTCTACTGAATTACTGCAACAGCCTTCTAACTGGCCTCTGCTTTTATTCTTCCTCCCACAGATATATCTCCATACTGCAAATGATCTTGCTAAAGTACAAATCTAATTGTGCCATCTCATAGGTTAAATTCCTGGTTCTCCACTGCCTTTAGATAATATTCAAAGTTTTTTTCCATAAAGTATAGGTCTTACTTTATATCTTCAGACACTTCTGTTAGGTTCCTGTCTCAATCCCCCAGACATAGTGTAGTTACCCCAAATGTTCTCTTTTGCCCACAGACCTTTGCCCATACTGTCTTCTATGCTTGGGACTATGCACTTTGCCAAGGGTATTCCTGCTTCAGGTCTTTAGGTCTCAGTTTAGAACTTCCATTCTTTGGGGTATGCTCCCTGATCATCCAACGCTGCATTCCTTATTTAAATTAGGTTAGGTATACTCATTCCAAAGAACTGTATAGATACCCCATGATAGCATTCATTACATTATATTTTATTTTCTTATCTATGTGTCTGCTTTCCTACTATTATCAAGGGCAAAAATTACAATTACTTTTCCATCAGTCTAATACAATATAATCTCCTTAAGTGGTACATAGTAGGATGGTGCTCAAAAATATTTGTGAAATAAAATAATTATTACAGTCAATTAATGTTGTCTCAGTACCCTGAGAAAAGTAGAACTAGAATTTGGATGTTTTTAGCATGTGGACAAATCTGTGCATTGTGGAGGATAACATATGTCTAAACATGATTAATTTAATTATTATAATAGAAACTTTAGCTCTGAAGGTCAAGATTAGATTGGGATAAAAATTAACAACTAATGGTATGGAATTAAACACAAAACCAGGCCAGGCGTGGTGGCTCACGTCTGTAATTCCAGCACTTTGGGAGCCTGATGGGGGCAGATCACCTGAGGTCAGTAGTTCGAGACCAGCCTGGCCAGCATGGTGAAACCCCATCTCTAATAAAAATACAAAAATTAGCCGGGTGTGTGGTATTGCACGCCTGTAATCCCAACTACTATAGGGAGGCTGAGGCAGAAGAATTGCTTGAACCTGGGGGGAGGGGTTTGCAATGAGCCAGGATCACGCCACTGCCGTCCAACCTGGGCGACAGAGCGAAACTTTGTCTCAAAAAATAAAATTAAATAAAAACAGGGGGGAGGGGGGAGGGATAGCATTAGGAGATATACCTAATGCTAAATGACGAGTTAATGGGTGCAGTACACCAACATGGCACATGTATACATATGTAACAAACCTGCACATTGTGCACATGTACCCTAAAACTTAAAGTATAATAATAATAAAATAAAATAAAAATAAATAAATAAAAATAAAACACAAAACCAAAAAAAAGAAACACTACTCATTCATATAAAATTACTTTATAAAATGTTTGAAATATACTCAATCATAGAGGAAAGCAGATTAGTTTTAAGAAGTTCACCAAAAGAAATGAAGTACTTTTTAAATTAATGGAAACATTATTCTTTTTTTCATGAAAAGCACAACAAAAGTGTTCATTAAACCCATATGCTTCAAATAAATCAGTTTTCTAAATTTTCAATATAACATAATATCGTAAAGTGAGGGAGATTAAGATTCAATTATCATTTAAGGCACAGAAAAATAAGCTAACTATTTATATTTTTAATACTTATGGCAACTTTCCCATGACTATTTTCTTTTCCCTTAATGGCTTTTCTCAGTAATATAATAAAATACTCTTGGTTTCATTAATAGAGATGAGTTCATTTCCTTACCAAAAGTTTTTGGAGGACATAGTTGTGGCTCAGAAAAACACTTCTTCATGCAATGGAAATATTTTTGGTAACTTTGATAAATGGCTGATTCTATGTATCTTATGTCGGCAATACTAAAATTTTGATTTACACTATAAAGCAAAAGTGGTCTGTATGTGTTTATTAAAATAAGTTATTGCATTATACCTCACAAATAAAGCACAACTAAAAATGGAATTTGGCATAAATGTTACACTAACAGAATTTTAATTTCATTAACATTCGTATAAATACTTGTTGATAGGCTGTTTATGGTTTCTTCCTTAACCAATCCAATCTGTTGTTGGAAAGTTGACAGCATTGGCACGAAACCAGTAACTCTATAAGAGCCATTTGTGTGTGACAAGCAACATCCCTATTCTTTAAAAATATATTTAAGTATATATGTAATTGATCACTCAGAAAAAATGACTTCATGAATAAAGAGAATTGTTGGTGCAAAAGTTTAAAAAACAGAAATTTTGGGAATAGTGCCAAACCTATATATAAGGTCAAAGGCTAACATTAGCACCAGTCACTCCTTTACATATTTCACTATATTTTATGGCAGAGAGGGAAAAAAAAACTAAAATGAAAAGTTATGTGCTAGTTTCTGACATTTGAATTCATTCTCAAAATTGGTCCATTTGGGGTATGGGATAGTACATAAAGTGTATGAATAACCTTTATGAAGGCAAAGAAAAATAAAATTAGTTATTAAATTATATCATGGAAAATATTTAGATTTTGCAAGACACATTTTTTGATATTACGGAATTACTAGATTTAACTGAATCCCTCTGCAATAGCAGAAACATCCTTTAACAAATCGACTATAGTTGTGCTTATTAACAAATTGTAATAAATAATCTGTATTCAACTTCTACACAACTCTACATTAAAGTAAATATGTTTTGCCATGTATATTGTTCAGCTGGGCTGTATTTCCTCACTAATATCTTTACTGTGCAGTACCAAATACTATATAAAGGGTGATTCTTTGGTTTCTTTCCAGAGAATCACATAACTCAGGAAAATCCTAGGTTGCTTAAGTCATATATACATTAACATGTAATGTGTCTCCATGTGTGCTATAACTAGGGCTGGGACTAGAGTAAGGTGAGTAGGACAAGTGAGGTACTTGCCTTAGGCATAACATTTAAGAAAGTGCAAAAAAACCTCAGTGATTAAGATAAATAATATTTTACTGTAATATTTAAAAATCAAAAGTAATGCAAAAATTTAAGAGAAGCAAAATATCAAAGTTTTAAATAACAGGATTAGTAACAGTGTTATGCCAAGTTGTATTGAAGCCTGATGCAAAAGGAAAAATCAGTAATACTAATTCTGTCCCTGTCCTGGTATTTATTCATTTCTGAGAAATATTAATGTAAATGTTAATAGGATATTGCTTTTAGAACTACCCAGTAGCCATGGAATTTATGATTTTTTCCCATGAGGCTGTCACACTACCTCATTTTCCATTACAAGAGGTCCTGGAATCTGACTTATAGGAAATTCATTAGAGAATAAATTAATTCAGTCTGTAAAACTAGGGTCTGTACCTTATCCATCTTTGTATCTGCCTAGCAACGAAACTGTACATAGTAAGTTGGCTTTTTCACTTACTAGCTGTATAATGTTGGGTAAAGTATTTATCTTCTCTCTGTCTCAGTTTTCTCCTTTTAAAAGGTAAATAATAACATAGAATGAACACAGAGTACGTAACATATAGTAAGGATTTACTAGCCATATTACTATTTTTTATTTAAAAAAGTAAAATGAATTCCATCATGCATAGCCTTAATGCTATCTCAAGTGCCAAAGGCCAAGACTTACTCTAAATTCAGGTCAACTTCGGGGTTCTAGGGGGTCACTGACAGGAGGGAAAGACTGATGATTAACACAAAACTAGCCAGAAAAATTGTCTAGGGGGTAAGTCCAGGAAGTACTCCTTACCAGAATTCTAAATATGTAACCCATATTTTTAAATGTATTTTATTTCATAATATATAAGGATTTTAGTGCATCCTTAAAAAGAAAAATCAATTTCCACACGATAAGAAGAGTAGATGGTCTTAATTGATTTTAAGTTATTACAAATTATTTTTATCAATTAGTAATAACCATGAAGGAGGCTCCATTGACATGATTCTCTCCTGTTTCACCATCTCAATTTAATTATCCTTGAAAAATATTCCTCTATCCAACCTAGACTCCCTCAGGGAGTGTTAATATAGTAAGTCATCCAAACTAGGGCCCGCTCAATAGCATAATGGAGCATCTAATGATGTCAGTAGGTTGGCTTTCAGAATAACATGGTGATAGTGGCCACATAAATATTACTGCCACACACATATATATGTGTGTATGAACACATTACATATATATATAGAGAGAGACACACACATTTTATATATATACACACACATTACATATATATACACATATATACATATATACACACACATATATACATATATACACATATATACATATATACACATATATACATATATACATATACACATATATATACATATATACATATATACATATATATACACATATACATATATACATATATATATACATATGTATACACACATATATATACCTATATACACACACACACACACACACACACACACACACACACACACACATATATATATATATATACATATATATATATATATATATATATACTTCAGGTCCCTGCTCTATCTAAAGGTTTTCACTCATTGATAAAAATGTATTTCTAATTCTACTGATTTACATATATTTATTAATTGAGGGACAAGTAGGTGGTTTTATTTCCTTTACAACTTTTATTTCAAAAGAAACCAATAAGTGTATGAGTTGATATGTTAGTGATAGAAGCTTGAAAAACTCAATAAAACATACTTTATATTATTACATAGCTATATAACAGAAATGCTTATAGCACATATGTCTATATGTTCATAATGAAATTCCCATTATGTGCATTTATATCATTTTATTATAAACTTCTGCCTATGATAATTTTTGTATTTGTCAAACTGAATTATATAGATAAGTTTCTGATACAGAGATAAGTTCAAATGAAATACTGAATATATATTAAAATACTGTTTGCATTATGCAAAGCAATAATTAAAAATAACTTTCACAATTTGCATGCCAACATATTAGAAAGTAATAAACCTGGTTCTAAAGTTGTTGTTTTCCATAAGCAACAATATTAAGCAATTATCCCTATAGCTGGCTGAATATTTAAGAGTTTTCCAGCTGAATACTTTATTAATGCCAAAGTTTTATCTTTTATTGTACTATTTTTAGAAAGACTGACTTTTATTTTATGTAGCAGAATTTCATTTGTAAATGAAATTTACAAATGAGGTCCTTTTTACAGGAATTTCACGTTTAATTTGAAAATAGGTAAAAGCAGTCCTTGTCTACTCATATTCTATTGGAGAAATGAGTCAATACAGGTAGGAATAATTGGTCTACACTGTAAAATTACTTTTTAGCTTTAAACTATTAATCATGTAAATATTAATTTTTGAAAGCTATTTTCAATGATTTTGTTTTGAAATATAACACATACACAAAATTTTACATATACTATGTGTATATTCAATTGCAAGATTTATAAATATACTATGAAATATAAAGAATTATATACATTATATATTAAATTATATGTAAATTAATTATATAAATGAAATTTCATAAAAATATTCCTCTGATCATTTCAAAATATAGAACACTGCCTGCATACCAGCGGTCCTGCTCAAAATCTCTCCTAATTCACCATGGAATACCATGCAGCCATAAAAAGAAGAAGTTCATGTCCTTTGCAGGGACATAGATGAAGCTGGAAGCCATCATTCTCAACAAACACAGGAACAGAAAACCAAATACTGCATGTTCTCACTCATAAGTGGGAGTTGAACGAGAACACATGGACACAGCGATGGGGACATCACACACCGGGGCCTGTCAGGGGGTGCGGGGGTAGGAGAGGGATAGCATTAGGAGAAATACCTAATGTAGATGACGAGTTGATGGATGCAGCAAACCACCACGGCATGTGTATATTTATGTAACGAACCTGCACGTTCCGCACATGTACCTCAGAACTTAAAGCAAAATTACAATAAAGAAAAGGTCTTGCTTCTCTTAAGGGCAACTACTATAGTTAAGCTTATAACCTTGACTTTCTTGATTTCCTTTATAATGTTTAGCACATACATGTTTAAGCACTATATTATAGCTTTGTTTGCTTTTGAACTATACATAGAACAATTCTGTAGGTATTATTTTGTTTTCATTTGTTCAATATTGTTTGTAAAATGTATCTGCGTTGCTGTGTATAGATACGGTTCTTTTTTTATTGCTGTACTGTATATTTCACTATATGAATGTATTAGAGCTTATCCATTGCATTGTTGGTGGCCACATCGGTTGTTTCCAGTTTGGGACTATTAAGAACAACACTTGCATCCTACTTCTGTCATTTCAGCAGGGACATGGATGGAACTTGAGGCCATTATCCTTAGCAAACTAACATAGAAACAGAAAACCCGATAATGTTTGTTCTCACTTATAAGTAGGGGCTAAATGAGAACACATGGACACACAGAGAGGAACAACAGACATTGGGGCCTATTGGAGGTTGGAGGGTGGGTAGAGGGAGAAGATCAGGAAAAATAATTAATGGGTACTAGGCTTAATACCTGGATGATAAAATAATCTGTACAACAAACCCCCACGACACAAGTCTAGCTATGTAACAAACCGGCACACGTACCCCTGAACTTAAAAAGGAAAAGAACAACACTGCTCTGACTATCCTTGTGCAAGGCTTCCTATGATGCAAATATCTATGAGTGTTGCTTGAAGGAGGATAGGGTATGCATATCTTCAACTCTACTGGAGTGTCAAAGTTGTTTGTCAAATGGTTACCCCAAATTATAATATATTCCAATTAGCAAAATATGAGTTTCATTGGTTCTTGTCCTCTATAATACTAAGTTCTGTTAGGCTGCTTTTGTTGTTTATTTGTTTGTGTGTTTTAATTAGCCTTTCTCTGGTTGCAAATGAGATTATCACTTGTTTATATGTTCATGAGTTATTTGGATTTCTTTTACAAGATGTACGTTAAAACTTCCTGTTTATTTTTCTCTTGAACTGTCTCTATTTTAATGCTTCCTCAGAATTATTTATACTGGATGTGAGTGCCTTGTTGGTTTGTGTAGCAAATACCTTCTCCATGTAGCTGCTGTTTCACTACTATTATGACATCTTTCGATGTATGTGGGTTCTTAACTATAATGCGTATATATTTATTAATATGACTAGTACTTTTTGCATAATTTTAAAGAAATAATTGCATATCTAAGTTTATAAATATATTCTTCCATATTATCTTCTGTAAGTTTTATATTTTTTCTTCTTACACACAGGTCTTTTTTAAGTAGGCAGAATAACTTATTTTAATATAGATAACTAACTTTAAAATAAGATTTAGAAAACCCTACCTATTCCTCACTGATTTGGAATGCAACCTCTATAACAATATCAACTAAACATTATATGTATGGGCCTCTGTCTTGGCTCTCCCGCTGCTGTTTTCTATATCCTTACCTTTCCCTACCCTGTCTATCCACCACACAATTACCACCATATCATACCATATCACATGATATTCACTGTCTTATATGATGCAGTTTTATAATAAGTTGTGGTGTTTGATATGGTGAATTCTTCCACTTTATCTTTGTTGAGTGTAATTGGCTATTTGTGGATTTTGAATTTCCATAGAAATCTTAGATTCTGCTTGTCAGCTTTCATAAACACCTTGTGGGATTTAATTGAGATTGTAGTCATAAGTTAATTTGGAAAGACTTAGTTCTTTAATATTTAGTCTTCCAATTTATAAATATACTTAAAGCTTTTCTTTAGCATTTTCAGTAAAGTTTTATGATTTTCTTCATAAGGTCTTATGCATCTCTTGTTAGATGTATCTTCAATATTTGATTAAAAAATATTATTACTGGTTGCATTTCTTTTCCTTCTGATTGTTTATTCATAGAGTTAGTTTAAGAATAGGGCCAGTTTGGGAAATTATATTTTTCTAGGTTTTTAAATTTCCTCTAAATTTTCAAATGCATTGACATAAAGTTGTTCACAATATTATTTTATTAAAGCTTTACAGTTGGTATCATCTGTCAATCTATCCCTTTTCTATTCATGATACTGGTTATTTGTGTTTTCTCTCTTATTTTCAGGATCAAACTTGCCAGGGTTGCATCACATTTACTAGTCTTTTCGAACAATTTTGGTCTTATTGATACATTTTATTACTTTTTTTATTTCATTAATTATTGTTGTCTACAATATGTGGTGTTTTTGTTATTGTTACTTTTTAAAATCATTATGATTTCTTCTACTCATAAGTTTTTAAGTGTTCTTTAACTTCCAATAAAATGATTTTCTAGTTACATTGGTATTATTGATTTGTAGTTTACTAGCATTGTATTCAGAAAACACCCTGCATAAGATTTTAATCCTGAAGACATTTTTTGATACCTGATTTAAGGCCAGTATAAGTTCAAGTTTGATAAAAGTCCTATGTGGGCCTAAGGATAATGTACATTTTCCAATTGTTGAATGTTCTGTATAAGCATTTTAGGAAAATTTTATTAAACCAGTTTATCAAAGCCTGTCCCTTACTGATTTTTTGAGTATAGATGTCACATGCTATATAGACGTGATAGAAATGTCCTTAAAATCATCCAATATAGTTGTGGAATTTGCTACTTCTTAGTATTCTTTAATTTTTGCCTTATTTTTGAGGTTGTGTTATACTAGTTTATTAAAAGTATCATATCTCTAGTAAATGGAACTTTTTATCATTTTGAAATTCTGCTCTTTATGTTTGGTAATTTTTCCCCCCAATGTGTATTTTTTTCTTATATAAATATAAGAACACCAGCTTTTTTTTGTTGCTGTTGTTAGAGTTTTTGTGGCATGTTTTTTCTATCTTTTTGCTTTTGAACCTACTGCACCTTTATAGTTTAAGTTTGTTTCTTGGATTTTTTTAAAATCTAGAAATAATTACTATTTGCTACCTGGGCTATTTAATCATTTATATGTAATTCAAGTACTTATATTTTGAGTTTAAGTACACAATCTCATTTTGTGCCTTCTATATGCCATCTGTACTGTGTTATTTTTTTTTTACTTTCTTGACTCCATATTCGATAGAGTACTTCTTTTCTTTCTACAGGTTTCTTTCTAGTAGTGTGGCAGTAATATTGTTTTAACCTACTCACTGAGTTTTTACCCTAGAACCCTCTCTCTCTCTCTCTTTCTCTCTCTCTTTCTCTCTCTCTCTATATATATATAAAATATATATTCGATACGTATTATAAATATATTCCATATATTTATGGAACATATATATACATATATATACATATACATACATGGAATTTAACGTAATCTAAAAGTAACCATTTTTCTCTCCTAGAGAATACAAGAATCATAGAACATTTTGACTCAATTTAGCTTCATTTTTCAGTTATATATTGATATTTCTGTGTTCCTTACATGTAACATTACATTTCATATTATTACTGTTATTAATATTTTAAATTTATGCTTGATTTCACCAACATATTCTCCTCTTAGTTAATTTTTCTATATTCTTGCAACTTGGATCTTCCATCTGCGACTTTTTTGGCCAAAAAGACTGCCCATTTAAAAAAACGTATTTCTCTTGAATATCATAAACCCATAGTGCCTTTCTTTGCCTAGAGTAATTCTGCACTATTTAGTTTCCCTGTTTTTTTTCTTTTCTTTTCTTTTCTTGTGGTGTTTTTTGTTTGTTTTTTTGAGACAGGGTCTTACCTTGGTTGCCCAGGTTGGAGTGCAGTGGTGTGATCTCAGCACCATCTGCAGCCTCCATCTCCTGGGCTCAGGTGATTCTCCCACCTCAGCCTCCCAAGCAGCTGGGACTACAGGTGCATGCCACCACACCTGGCTACTTTTTGTTGTTATTGTTGTTGTTGTAGTTTTAGTAGAGACGGGTTTTTGCCATGTTGCCCTGGCTAGTCTCAAACTCCTGGACTCAAGCAACCTGCCCACCTCAGCCTCCCAAAGTGCTGGGATTACAGGTGTGAACCACCATGCTTGGCCCCCATTTTTTTAAACCTTTTGTTTCCTTTTATCTGATCACTTAGAGCACCTTTTCTGAAGTCAAAGGACCACATACAACTGAATGATTCTTAATTTAGTAGAAGAAATGATAAACAGAGTTGGTTTCCAGTGTGATTCTCTATAAGGAAAGAAATATATTATTAAAATATTGCCCATCATTTATGAATGATCCAAGTTTAATATAACTTGGGGTATGGTGGAGAGGAAACTGTACTAAGAGGCAGAAAGTGACTATTACCATTTTAAATATCAATTTTATTAATTGTGAAATAGGAATAATACATGTCAATATGTGAGGCAAGATGTGAAATCATTTGAATACAGTAAATATAAAAATAACTGTCACTTTGTTATTTCTGGTGGATGCAAACTTTGGAAATGGCAATTTTGATTTTTGAGCCAAAGTTTGTGTGATTCCAATACTTTCTCTCTCTCTGCTACATAAAATGGCATGTTTTTAGGGATAAGGCTTGTTTGTGCTAATTTACATAACACGTATCCCAAAATCACAGCCACTGCTAGGTAAATTTGACACATTATTGCAGTCCTAAAATATTGTAGATTGGTGTTCCTTAAAACTACGACATGGGTAAGAAGCCATAATTATACACTTATGGTTACAAAGAGCATTTCACAAAGTAAATAAGTCAAAAGATGGGAAAAATATACATATGCTTAAAAACAACTCATAAAGCAAGAATGATTCGTTCTATAATTCCATGTATTCATCCTTGGGTATATAAGAGTGAAATTAAAGTTTTTCTATATCATGACTTCTGAGGGTTTGAGATTTTATCCTATTTTCAGGTTGATGTGAGCATGGCATAGTTTTATGAATGCTGAAAAAGAAGCAAGACTCCTAATTCAGAAAGAAAAAGTTTTACTCACAGCACAAGAAGAAATATGAGCATCAGCATATTTGTGTGGGTCTCCTTTGCCCCTCAATTTCTACAAAGGTAAAGTGAAGGAGTTCAGGTAGACACCATGCACATGGTTGGTTTGTGTTATAGCTGAGAAATCCCAACCTTAGGGAGTTCAAATATTTTATAATTGCTTGTAAACCAACCTATGCTTTGCACTAGAGGAAAACATTATCTTTATAGTGCTGAGCAGCAAGTGAATTAGTCCTCACCTTCAGTGGGCACACTATCTTTATCTTCTAAGTTTGTTCAGTACACAAACAAACATTTTTTAAAAAATAGTCTGAAACTAAAGGGCAGTACATGCCTCACTTCCAGAATGTTCAGAAACACGAGAGTCCCATGGAGATCGGTCTCCCAACACTAAGTACATCTTGTATACGAAACCAATGATTTGCTTCTTTCTTCTATTAGAATTCCGACTATAGTAACACTATAGATGTAGTTAATCTAACCAACTTATTTACTATCTGTGATCTTGAGTGTTCAATTTGTAAAAATTTTCTCTTGATAAAACTGTTTTCTTAATTTAAAAAACAAGAAGCTAAACCAAGACATTTACATTTTAGTTTAAAAAGAGAAAACAAAAATGGAAAAACAAGTCCAACAAATTCTACTATCTTTACATCAAAAACATCGTGTTTTATCATCCTTTTGCAGCGTGGAAACACATGTAACTAAAAATTATATTAGTTTTTCCGTAAGCATTGGCAAGAAATATGCTGTAAATGATCACAAACATATTTATTCTCCAAATGTGTGAAAAAGCTATTCTTCAGAATGTACTTACATAGGAAAACTATGGAGTTATAGAATACTGTGGTTTTTGACCAATTCATACATAATATCCTAGGACTGGAATGTTTATTGTGCTTTGTCATTTTCATAATTTAATATTTGAATAAATTTAGTAGAAATGTATAAGGTCCTCTGGGAACAAATATGAAAAACTATTTCAAAATTATTCCTTATTTTCTAAAAGTCTTCCACAAGAAAAAAAGAAATTCTGCATTATTTATTATAGCTAGTATATTAAGAACATTTTAAAATGTCATTCATTTCCATATTAAGAAATATGACATTAAGAGGAGTCTCATGGAAAAATATGGCTTCTTGATGAAGTGGAAATACCATGGGCTTTGGAGTCAGACCTAAGTTCAAATTCTCATGAGTCTTACATAAGCTCAAAATTTTAGTTTCAGTCTCCAAAAAAATGAGGGTAATTGTATTTTTTTTCATGGATGTTGTGAAGAAACAATCAGATATATAAAATCCCTAGATAATATTTTTTTTGCTCAAGAAATAGCATCTCATGCTCTTTTCTCCTGTGGCAGCTACCTCAAAATATTAAGAATAAATCTTAGGCATCAATTTCTTAGGTACAGATATTTACTAGAGCTCCTAATCAGTGTTTAACTACTAGCCTGAGGGTAGAAAAATCAACTTTAGATATTTACTGTAGCTATACTCAGATGAACTTACAAATAAAAATGCATTTTTTTAAAATAAAGAGAAGATACACAGATTGATATGGTTTGGGTGTGTCCCCACACAAATATCTTGAATTGTAGTTCCCATAATCCCCACATATGGTAGTAGAAATCTGATGGGAGGTAATTGAATCATGGGGGTGGTTACCTCCATGCTGTTCTTGTGATAGTGAGTTCTCACCAGATCTGATGGTTTTATAAGGGGCTTTTCCCCCTTTTGTTCACCACTTCTCCTCACTGCCACCATGTGAAGAGGGATGTGTTTGCTTCTCCTTCTGCCATGATTGCAAGTTTCCTGAGGCCTCCCCAGCCCTGTAGAACTGTCAGTGAATTAAACCTCTTTCCTTTATAAATTACCCAATCTTAGGTATTTCTTCATAGCAGCATGAGAACAAACTAATATAGATATATTTTCAAATGAGATTGAGAAAAGTTAAGTGACATCCAGGATGCAAGAGCTATTTAGTGGCAAATTAGGAACCTTTTTCTAAATCTTAGACTGGTCCCTTTTTCACTATGTTGCCAATATTAAGGTAACTGGTGAGTTTAAAGTTGTCTAAGTTCATAGCTGAGTGCTCTATGTGTTCAAAAGGGTCAAGAATGCTTGCTAATATATCTTTTTGAGTAACAGCACCAGAAGACAGAAAAAATTTCTTAAGTCTCTATAGAAAATTGCCAGTATTTTAGGTCATGTGAGTCCTAAGAAAATGTCAAGTTTATAACATTAGATAACAATCCCAAATAAAGTGTGTTGCCTTTGGAACTTAATATATAACTGCATAGATAATGCATAGTAACAATAGAATGGGTTCACTTTTGTTGGTCCGTAGTTCTAATTTTCTTTAATCCATCCATTGAGTTTGTAATATCAATAATAGTTTTCATTTTTAGAATCACTATTTTTTTAGTTTTCTAATTTTACTGGTCTCGTTGCTTAATTACATTATCAAATCAATTTTTATGCATTTGATTAAACTAAAGATACTTATTTCATATTCTGTATCTGATGAATCCACTATCTTAAGTATTCAAATGGGCTAATTTTGTAGTTTGTATTTCTATTTACTATCATTCTTGTGGCTTATTTCCTGAGATGTTTAGTGTTTTCTTATTTTTTTAGTTAATTTATGTTCTATATATCCGCATTAATGTGAATTTCTAGAAGTGTGAATTTAAACTGTTTCAACTCAGAAAGCTTTTTAAGTGCTTTTTGGCAGGTACCTGGAGGCACATTCCTCCTTACTCTAGATAGATAATTCTCAGCAATAACTTACTATACCTATATGTTTGTTTTCTTGTCATTTCTGAGTTTTGAGGAACTCCTTATCAACTTTCATTTCTTTTTTTTTTGACAATGGATATTACCTAACTTCAAGACCTACTATATAAAGCTACAGTAATCTAAACAGTGCATCGATTAGCCAGATTTAGTCATTTCACAATGTATATATATACCTCAAAATAGCACACTGTACACGTTAATATATGTATATATATAAAACTTTGTCAACTAAAAACATAAATTTGAAAAAAAAAGGAACATGAGAGGAAAGTTACTACTCTAAAAAGGAACCTATATTTCATATTCAATTTAAGCATTATTTAAGATAAAGAGTGTTGAAACAAAACAAAAAGACAGTATGGTATTGGTGAAAGAATATACAAATAGACCAGTGGAACATAATAGACAAGTCAGAAATAGATCCACAAAAATATAGTCAACTGATCTTTGCCAAAAGAGAAAAGGCAATACAATAGAGAAAAAAATACTTTTTTCATCAAATGATGTCGGAACAACTGGATACATGCCTCCCCACTCCCAAAAAAAGAATCTAAACCCAGATCTCACACCCTTCAAAATAGTACCTCAAAATGAATCATAGACCCAAGTGCAAAACACAAAACTATAAAACTACTAGGAGATAACACAGGACAAAATCTAGGTGTTCTTGGGTTTGGTGATAACTTTTTAGATACAACATCAAGGGCACAATCCATGAAAAAAATGATTGATAATTCAGACTTCATTAAAATTAAAAATGCTTCTGTGTGAAAGACATCAAAAGAATGGGCAGACAAGACACAGACTGGGAGAAAATATTTGCCAAAGATGCAGCTGATAAAGGACTGTTATCAAAAATACACAAAATACTCTTAAAACTCAATAATAATTTTTTTTTCAGGACACATGATGGCCAACCATATGAAAGTAGGAGGCACATCTGCCACCAAGAGACCAGGATAGTAGAAGACTGGTGCACTTCAAACACATCTTTGGAAGGAAGGCATTGAGAGTGGACGGAGGGAGGACACAGATGCTGGGCTGAAGTGGTTGGAAGCTGGGAACTCTGCACAAGGCTACTGTGTACTGGGATTTATTCCAGGCTCCCCAAGCACTCCTGGTGATAAGGTCAGTAGAGCAGGTGACAAGTGACCCACTCATGCCGTAAGACCTCTGGAATCCTGGCAGCAGGACACCCCACGGTCCTCCAGGACATGAACTGTCAGGAAGAGCTGCCTAGGGAAGTGGTAGTGGCAGGATTCTAGCCCGTTTGGAGCTCCAAGGGTTTGGTGTGGGAACATCTGCAGGGGAGCAAGGTCAGTGACACCCATCTTCCAAGGGTCTCCATGCTCCGCTAGGAGATGGTAGTCTTAGGGGAACTGTAAGACCTGAACAGAGCAGAGCAATCTTGCCTGTGAGATGAGGCCCGTTTGACCTGAGTTCCCCTCTGTCTGCCGGCCTCCCCTGGGGCCCAAGCTTGGCCATGCTTGCTTGCAGTGCAGCTTTGGATATCTAACAGGATGCCTCCTGGGGTCTGCATCATACCTCCTGCTGGCAGAGTGCACCTGATTGTCGGAGACCTCCAGGAGAGTGGCATTCTCCTGGAGTCACAGTCCACCCACACCCTCTCCAACCTCACTCTCCTCTGTGCCACTTTGCTAGCAATCACTCATGCAGGAGCACCCCCTCACCCCCATTGCTTTGCTGGTTAACATGTGGACAGACTTTGTCTCCCCTTTACTTCCTGCATGTGGGTGTGTGTGTACCCCACTGGACCATTGCTGTCAGTGCAAGCATACCCACCCCTTACTGCCACTGCACCACTGTGCTGCCATTGCCAGCACAAAAACAAACACAGACACCAGTGGCCCTGCCCCATATCCCTGCACTCTCACTGTCACTGGTATGAACATGGACAGGGAAACCAGCAGCCCTGCCACCTGCCTTATGCCACTACCACTTGTAGATGGAATGCACTCACCAGTGCCTGCCAGCACCCCACCCATGTGCCCACACTGCTGCAGGTGGAAACACACACATGGACCCCAGTAGTCCCCCTCTGCAACTCAGCACTGCCATTACTAACACTGCCAAAGCCCACCTGGAAGTCAGCAGTCCCAGGCTCACCAGTGTTCTGCCCAAGGTGATGAGCCAGTGCTGCTGCTGGCATGTGCAAATGAGCAAGGATCTTGCTGCCATGGCCTGACAAATGCTTTGGTCAGCACCATCCTTCAGAGTGTTGCGGCCAGTGGTCCAGGAACACCTCAGCCCTTACAATCCAGCAAGTTCCCAACCCTGAGGGGCCAGAGAACCAAATTGAGATGATAGAGATAAAAAACTCTCTCCAAGAATTTCACAATACAATCACAAGTATTAACAGCAGGATCAACGGAGCTGAGGAAAGAAACTCTGAGCTTGAAAACTGCCTTTCCAAAATAACTCAATCAGGCAAAAATAAAGAGAAAACAATAAAGAAGAATGAACAAAACCTCCAATAAATATAAGACTATGTAAAGAGATCAAATCTATGGCTCAATGGCTTCCCAGAAAGACATGGAGAGAAAGCAAGCTACTTGGAAAACATATTTCAGCATATCATCCATGAATATTTTCCCAACCTTGCCAGAGAGGCCAATATTCATATTCAGAAAATTCAGGGAACCCTTGCAAAATACTACATAAGGAGACCCTCCCCAAGACACATAGTCATCAGATTCTCCAAGGTTAAAATGAAAGAGAAAATGTTAAAGGCAGATAGAGTGAAGGGCAGGTCACCCACAAAGGAAATCTATCAGGCTAACAGCAGACCTTTCAGGAGAAACCCTACAAGCCAGAAGACAATGGGGGCCTATATTCAGAATTCTTAAGAAAAGAATTCCCAACCAAGAATGTCATATCCAGTCCAAGTAAGCTTCCTAAACCAAGAAGAAATAAAATATTTTTCAGACAAGCAAATGCTAAGGGAATTCTGTATTAGTCTATTTTCATGCTGCTGATAAAGACATACCCACGAATGGGAAATTTACAAAAGAAAGAGGTTTAATTGGATTTACAGTTCTACATGGCTGGGGAAGCCTCACAATCATGGAGGAAGGCAAGGAGGAGCAAGTCCCATCTTACATGGATGGCAGCGGGCAAAGAGAGAATGAGGAGGAAGCAAAAGCGGAAACTCCTGATAAAACCATCAGACCTCGTGAGACTTATCCACTACCAAGAGAACACTATAAGAGAAACCACCCCCCTGATTTAATTATCTCACACCTAGGCCCTCCCTAGGAATTATGGGAGTACAATTTGAGATGAGATTTGGGCGGGGACACAGAGTCAAACCTTATCATTCCACCCCAGCCCCTGCCAAATATCAAGTCCTCAAATTTCAAAACTAATCATGCCTTCCCAATGGTCCCTCAAAGTCTTAACTCATTTCAGAATTAACTCAAAAGTCCACAGTCCAAAGTCTCATCTGAGATAAGGCAAGTCCCTTCTCCTATGAGCCTGTAAAATCAAAAGCAAGCTGGTTATTTCCTAGATACAATGGGGGTACAGATATTGGGAAAATACAATCATTCCAAATGGGAGAAAATGGCCAAAACAAAGGGGCTACAGATCCCATGCAAGTCCAAAATCCAGCAGGGCAGTCAAATCTTAAAGCTCCAAAATGATCTCCTTTGACTCCATTTCTCACATCTAGGTCACACTGATGCAACAGGTGAGTGCCCATGGTCGTGGGCAGCTCCACCCTTGGGGCTTTCCAGGGTACAGCCTCCCACATGGCTGCTTTCATGGGCTGGCACTGAGTGTCTGCTGCTTTTCCAGGCGCACTGTGCAAGCTGTTGGTGGATCTACCATTTTGGGGTCTGGAGGATGGTGGCCCTCTTCTCACAGCTATACTAGGTGGTGCCCCAGTAGGGGCTCTGTGTGGGGACTCTGACCTCACATTTCCCTTCCTTGCTGCCCTAGCAGAAGTTCTCCATGAGAGCCCTGTCTCTGTAGCAAACTTTTGCCTGGGCATCCAGGCAAAATTCTGAAATCTAGGCAGAGGTTCCTGAACCTGAATTCTTGACTTCTGTGCACTTGCAGGATCAACACCATGTGGAAGCTGCCAAGGTTTGGGGCTTGCACCATCTGAAGCCACAGCCTGAGCTCTACATTGGCCCCTTTTAGCCATGGGACAATGAAGCAGCTGGGACACAGGACACCAAATCCCTAGGCTGCACACAGCATTGGGACCTTGGGCCCAGCCCACAAAACCATTTTTTCCTCCTAGGCCTTCAGGCCTGTGATGGGAGGGGCTGTCGTGAAGATCTCTGACATGCCCTGGAGACATTTTCCCCATTGTCTTGGGGGTTAACATTTGGGTCCTCGTTACTCATGCAAATTTCTGCAGCCTGCTTGACCTTCTCCTCGGAAAATGGGATTTTCTTTTCTATTGCATTGTCAGGCTGCAAATTCCTCATACTTTTATGCTGTTTCCCTTTTAAAACAGAATGCCTTTTACAGCACCCGAGTCACCGCTTGAATGTTTTGCTGCTTAGAAATTTCTTCCACCAGATACCCTAAATCATCTCTCTCAAGGTCAAAGTTCCACAAATCTCTAGGGCAGGGACACAATGCCACCAGTCTCTTTGCTAAAACATAACAAGACACACCTTTGCTCCAGTTCCCAACAAATTCCTCATCTCCATCTGAGATCACCTCAGACTGGACCTTATTATCCATATTGCTATCAGCATTTTGGGCAAAGCCACTCAACAGTCTCCAGGAAGTTCCAAACTTGCCCACATTTTTCTGACTTATTCTGAGCCCCCCAAACTGTTCCCACCTCTGCCTCTTATCCAGTTCCAAAGTCACTTCCACATTTTTCGGTATCTTTTCAGCAATGCCCCACTCTACTGATAGCAATTTACTGTATTAGTCCATTTTCACACTGCTGATAAAGACATACCCAAGAATGGGAAATTTACAAAAGAAAGAGGTTTAATTGGACTTACATTTCCACATGGCTGGGGAAACCTCACAATCATAGCAGAAGGCAAGGAGGAGCAAGTCCTGTCTTACATGGATGGCAGCAGGCAAAGACAGAATGAGGAAGATGCAAAAGCGAAAACCCCTGATAAAGCCATCAGATCTTATGAGACTTATTCACTACCACGAGAACACTATGGGGGAAGCTGCCACTATGATACAATTATCTCCCACCTGGTCACTCCTACAACATGTGGGAATTATGGGAGTACAGTTTAAGATGAGGTTTGTGTGGGGACACAGAGCCAAACTGTATCAAATTCCTACCACCAGAACTGCCTTATAAGAAGTCCTGAAGGGAGTGTTAAACATGGAAAGGAAAAACCATTACTGGCCACTACAAAAACACACTTAAGTACATAGGCCAGTGAGACTACACAGCCACCAGAGAGAGAAGTCTGGTAATAACCAGCTAACAACATGAAAACAGAAACAAATTCACACATATCAATAGTAACCTAGAATGGAAATGTGCTAAATGCCCCAATCAAATGGCACAGAGTGGCAAGCTGTATAAAGAAGCAAGACCCAATTGCATGCTGTCTTGAAAAGTCTCCATCTCACATGCAAGGACACCCATCAGCTCAAAGTAAAGAGATGGAGAAAAATCTACCAAGTAATTGTAAACAGAGAAAAATCAGGGGTTGCTATTCTAATTTCAGACAAAATAGACTTTAAACCAGGAAAGACCAAGAAGGATAAAGAAGGCCATTACATAATAGCACAGGGCTCAATTCAACAAGAAGACCTAACTATCCTAAATATATATGCACACTACATAGGATAACCCATATTCATGAAGCATGTTCTTAAGAGATCTATGAAGAGGCTTAGATAGCACAATAATAGTGGGAGACTTCAATACACCACTGACAATATTAGATTGATCGTTAAGGCAGAAAACAAAGATATCTGAGACTGAACTTGACACTTGACCAAATGGATGTAATAGACATTTGCAGAACACTCCACTCAAAACAACAGAATATAAATTCTTTTCACCTGCTTATGGCACATACTCTAAAACTGACCACACAAACAGATGTAAAAAAAATCCTCAGCAAATTGAAACAACAACAACAACAACTGAATTTATACTAACCACAATCAAGACCATAGCACAATAAAAATAGAAATCAATACTAAGAAAATCACTCAAAATTACATAATTACATGGAAACCTGCTCCTGAATGACTTTTGGGTAAGTAATAAAATTAAGGCAGAAATCAATTATTTGAAATGAATAAGAACAAAAATACAACATACTAGAATATCTGGGACACAGCTAAGACAGTGTTAGGAGGGAAGTTTATAGCACTGAGAGCACACATCAAAAAGTAAGAAAAACCTGAAATTATTATAACAACCTATCCCCATAACTAGAGGAACTAGAGAAACAAGAGAAAACCAACTTAAAAGCTAGCAGAAGACAAGAAATGACCAAAATTAAAGCTGAACTGAAGGAAATTAACAAACAAAAAAACATACAAACGATTGATAAATCCAAAAGTCATTTTATGAAAACATTAATAGGAAAGACAACTAGCTAGACTAATTTTTTTTAGTAAAGAGAGAAGATCCACACAAACACAATCAGTAATGACGAAGGGGACATTACCACTGACCCTAGAGAAATACAAAAAACCTTCAGAGACTACTATGAACACCTCTGTTCACACAAACTAGAAAACCTACAGGAAATGGATAAAGTCCTCGACACATTCAGCCACCCATGACTGAACTAGGAGGAAACTGAATCTCTAAAGAGACCAATAATGAATTCCAAAAATGAATCAGTAGTAAGTTGGCCAATCAAACAAAGCCCAGGATGAGGATTCCCAGCCAAATTATACCAAATGTATAAAAGAAGAGCTGGTATCATTTATATTGAAACTATTTGAAAAAAATTGATGAGGAAAGACTCCTTGCTAACTCATTCTATGAGCCCAGCATCATCCTGATACTAAAACCTGAGGGACATTATTGAAAAAAAAAAAAAAAAGAAGAGAAAGAAAGAAAACATCAGGCCAATAGCCTCGATGAACATCGATACAAAAATCCTCAACAAAATACTAGCAAACTAAATCTAGCAGCACATCAAAAAGCTAAACCATCGGCCAGGCGTGGTGGCTCATGACTGTAAACTCAGCACTTTGGGAGGCAGAGGCGGGTGAATCATTTGAGGTCAGGAGTTCAAGACCAGCCTGGCCAACATGGTGAAACCCTGTCTATACTAAAAATACAAAAAAAAAAGAAAAATTAGCCAGGAATGGTGGCGTGCACCTGCAGTCCCAGCTACTCGGGAGGCTGAGGCATGAAGATCGCTGGAACCCAGGAGGTGAAGGTTGCAGTGAGCTGAGATCGCTCCACTGCACTGCAGCCTGGGTGACAGAGTGAGACCCTGTCTCAAAAAAAAAGAAAAAAAAATGCTAAGCCATCATGATCAACAAGTAGGCTTCATCCATGGGATGCAAGGTTAGTTCAACAAACCGAAATCAATAAATGTGATTCATCACATAAACAGAACTAAAACAAAAACCACAAGAATTCTCAATAGATGCAGAAAAGGCTTTTGCTAAAATCCAACATCCCTTCAACGAACTAGGCATTGAAGGAACATGTTTCAGAATAATAAGAGCCACCTATGACAAACCCACAGCCAATATCATACTGAATGGGCAAAAGCTGGAAACAAACCTCTTATAAACTGTAACAAGGCAAGCATGTCCTCTCTCACCACTCCTATTTAACATAGTACTGGAAGTCATGGTCAGGGCAATCAGGCAAGAGAGAGATATAAAAGGCATCAAAATAGGAAGAGATTTGTCAGACTATCTCTATTTGCAGATTTCATAGCTAGAAAACCCTAGAATCTCGCCCAAAAGCTCCTTGATCTGATAAACAACTTCAGCAAAATGTCAGCATACAAAAATCAATGTACAAAATTCAGTAGCATTCCTAAAGACCAACAACATCCAAGCTGAGAGCCCAGTCAATAATGCAATCCTACTCACAATGGGCACAAAAAGAATAAAATACCTAGAGATACAGCTAAACAGGGAGGTGAAAGATCTCTACAACAATAATTATAAAACACTGCTCAGAAATCAGAGATGACACAAACAAATGGAAAAACATTCCATGCTCATGCATAGGAAGAATCAATATTGTTAAAATGGTCATGCTGCCCAAAGCAATTTACAGATTCAATGGTATTCCTATCAAACTACCAATGATATACTCCATGGAATTAGGAAATACTATTTTAAAATTCATATGATACCAAAAAGAGCCTGAACATCAAAGGCAATTCTTAGTGAAAAGAACAGAGCTGGAGGAATTACATTACCTGACTGGTATGTTTTGGCTGTGTTCCCACCCAAAATCTCTTCTTGAATTGTAATCCCCATAATTCCCATGTTTCAAGGGCGGTACCAGGTGGAGGTAATCAAATCATGGGTGCAGTTTCTTGTGATAGTGAGTGAGTCTCACAAGATCTGATGGTTTTATAAGCATCTGGTATTTCCCCTGCTTGCACTCTTTCCATCCTGCTGCCCTGAGGTGTCTGCTTCTCCTTTGCCTTCTACCATGATTATAAGTATCCTGAGGCCTCCCCCAGCAATGTAGAATTGTGAGTCAATTCAACCTTTTTCCTTTATGAATTACCCAGTCTCGGGTATTTCTTCATTGCAGTGGGAGAACAGACTAATACACTGACTTTAAACTATACTATAAGGCCACAGTAACCAAAACAGCATAGAACTGGTACAAAAACAGACACAGACCAATGGGGCCAAATAGAGAGACCAGAAATAATGTCACACACCTACTACCATCTGACCTCTACAAAGTCAACAAAAGCAATGGGGAAAGGACTTCCCTATTCAATAAAAAGCGCTGGAATAACGGGCTGCCTATATGCGAAAGATTGAAACTGGACCCCTTCCTTACACCAGATACAAAATCAACTCAAGATGGATTGGAAACTTAAATGTAAAACATAAAACTATAAAAACCCTAGAAGAAAACCTAGAAAACACCATCTGGCACATGGGACCTGGCAAAGACTTCATGATAAAGACACCAAAAACAATTGCAACAAAAACAAATACTTAATAAATGGGGCCTAATTAAACTAAAGAGTTTCTATACAGCAAAATAAACTATCAACGGAGTAAACAGACAACTTACAGAACGGGAGAAAATACTTGCCAACTGTGCCTCCAACAAAGCTCTAATATCCAGAACCTATAAGGAACTTAAATTTACAAGAACAAAACAAACAACCCCATTAAAAAGTGGGCAAAGGACTTGAACAGACACTTTTCAAAAGAAGACATACATTCGGCCAACAAACATATAAAAAATGCTTAACATCGGCCGGGTGCGGTGTCTCACACCTGTAATCCCAGCACTTTGGGAGGCCAAGGCGGGTGGATCACGAGGTCAGCAAATCAAGACCATTCTGGCTAACATGGTGGAACCCCGTCTCTACTAAAAATACAAAAAAATTAGCCGAGCATGGAGGCAGGCGCCTGTAGTCCCAGCTACTTGGGAAGCTGAGGCAGGAGAATGGAGTGAACCCAGGAGGCGGAGCTTGCAGTGAGCTGAGATAGCACCACTGCACTCCAGCCTGGGAAACAGAGCGAGACTCTGTCTCAAAAAAAAAAAATGCTTAACATGACTAACCATTAGAGAAATACTAATTAAAACCACAATGAGATACTATCTCACACCAGTAGGAATGGCTATTAATAAAAAGTCAAAAAAATAACAGATGCTGGTGAGGTTGTGAAGAAAAGGAAATGCATATACACTGCTGGTGGGGATATAAATTTGTTCAGCCATTGTGGAAAGTCGTTTAGCAATTTATGAAATAACTTAAAACAGAATTACCATTTACCTCAGCAATTCCACTTTTGGGTATACACCCAAGGAAATATAAATGAGAACCATAAAGACACATGGACACGTATGTTCATTGCAGCACTATTCACAATAACAAAGACATGGAACCAACCTAAATGCCCATCAACAGTATTCCAGATAAAGAAAAAATATATATATATAAATATAAATATAACATATAATACATAATATAATATATTATATATAATATATATTATATATTATATATAAATAATATAATATATAATATAATAAATTATATATAAATAATATGTTATATATAATTATATAATATATTATATATGTTATATATAATAATATAATATATTATATATGTTATATATAATATATAATATAATTATATATATTTATATATAATATATAATTATATATAAATATATATAATTATATTATATATATTTTTATTATATATTTTATTATATTTTTATTATGTTTTATTAAATTTATTATATTTATTATATTTATAATAAATATAATATTTTTTATTTTTTTATTATAAAGTTTTAGGGTACATGTGCACATTGTGCAGGTTAGTTACATATGTATACATGTGCCATGCTGGTGCGTTGCACCCACTAACTCGTCATCTAGCATTAGGTATATCTCCCGATGCTATCCCTCCCCACTCCCACCACCCCACAACAGTCCCCAGAGTGTGATATTCCCCTTCCTGTGTCCATGTGATCTCATTGTTCAGTTCCCACCTATGAGTGAGAATATGTGGTGTTTGGTTTTTTGTTCTTGCGATAGTTTACTGAGAATGATGATTTCCAATTTCATCCATGTCCCTACAAATGACATGAACTCATCATTTTTTATGGCTGCATAGTATTCCATGGTGTATATGTGCCACATTTTCTTAATCCAGTCTATCATTGTTGGACATTTGGGTTGGTTCCAAGTCTTTGCTATTGTGAATAATGCCGCAATAAACATACAGGTGCATGTGTCTTTATAGCAGCATGATTTATAGTCCTTTGGGTATATACCCAGTAATGGGATGGCTGGGTCAAATGGTATTTCCAGTTCTAGATCCCTGAGGAATCGCCACACTGACTTCCACAATGGTTGAACTAGTTTAAAGTCCCACCAACAGTGTAAAAGTGTTCCTATTTCTCCACATCCTCTCCAGCACCTGTTGTTTCCTGACTTTTTAATGATTGCCATTCAAACTGGTGTGAGATGGTATCTCATTGTGGTTTTGATTTGCATTTCTCTAATGGCCAGTGATGATGAGCATTTTTTCATGTGTTTTTTGGCTGCATAAATGTCTTCTTTTGAGAAGTGTCTGTTCATGTCCTTCGCCCACTTTTTGATGGGGTTGTTTGTTTTTTTCTTGTAAATTTGTTGGAGTTCATTGTAGATTCTGGATATTAGCCCTTTGTCAGATGAGTAGGTTGCAAAAATTTTCTCCCATTTTGTAGGTTGCCTGTTGACTCTGATGGTAGTTTCTTTTGCAGTGCAGAAGCTCTTTAGTTTAATTAGATCCCATTTGTCAATTTTGTCTTTTGTTGCCATTGCTTTTGGTGTTTTGGACATGAAGTCCTTGCCCATGCCTATGTCCTGAATGGTAATGCCTAGGTTTTCTTCTAGGGTTTTTATGGTTTTAGGTCTAATGTTTAAGTCTTTAATCCATCTCGAATTGATTTTTGTATAAGGTGTAAGGAAGGGATCCAGTTTCAGCTTTCTACATATGGCTAGCCAGTTTTCCCAGCACCATTTATTAAACAGGGAATCCTTTCCCCATTGCTTGTTTTTCTCAGGTTTGTCAAAGATCAGATAGTTGTAGATATGTGGTGTTATTTCTGAGGGCTCTGTTCTGTTCCATTGATCTATATCTCTGTTTTGGTACCAGTACCATGCTGTTTTGGTTACTGTAGCCTTGTAGTATAGTTTGAAGTTAGGTAGTGTGATGCCTCCAGCTTTGTTCTTTTGGCTTAGGATTGACTTGGCGATGTGGGCTCTTTTTTGATTCCATATCAACTTTAAAGTAGTTTTTTCCAATTCTGTGAAGAAAGTCATTGGTAGCTTGATGGGGATGGCATTGAATCTATAAATTACCTTGGGCAGTATGGCCATTTTCACGATATTGATTCTTCCTACCCATGAGCATGGTATGTTCTTCCATTTGTTTGTATCCTCTTTTATTTCCTTGAGCAGTGGTTTGTAGTTCTCCTTGAAAAGGTCCTTCACATCCCTTGTAAGTTGGATTCCTAGGTATTTTATTCTCCTTGAAGCAATTGTGAATGGGAGTTCACTCATGATTTGGCTCTCTGTTTGTCTGTTATTGGTGTATAAGAATGCTTGTGATTTTTGTACATTGATTTTGTATCCTGAGACTTCGCTGAAGTTGCTTATCAGCTTAAGGAGATTTTGGGCTGAGACGATGGGGTTTTCTAGATATACAATCACGTCGTCTGCAAACAGGGACAATTTGACTTTCTCTTTTCCTAATTGAATACCCTCTATTTCCTTCTCCTGCCTAATTGCCCTGGTCAGAATTTCCAACACTACGTTGAATAGGAGTGGTGAGAGAGGGCATCCCTGTCTTGTGCCAGTTTTCAAAGGGAATGCTTCCAGTTTTTGCCCATTCCGTATGATATTGGCTGTGGGTTTGTCATAGATAGCTCTTATTATTTTGAAATACGTCCCATCAATACCTAATTTATTGAGAGTTTTTAGCATGAAGGGTTGTTGAATTTTGTCAAAGGCTTTTTCTGCATCTATTGAGATAATCATGTGGTTTTTGTCTTTGGTTCTGTTTATATGCTGGATTACATTAAATTGATTTGGGTATATTGAACCAGCCTTGCATCCCAGGGATGAAGCCCACTTGATCATGGTGGATAAGCTTTTTGATGTGCTGCTGGATTCGTTTTGCCAGTATTTTATTGAGGATTTTTGCATCAATGTTCATCAAGGATATTGGTCTAAAATTCTCTTTTTTTTGTTGTGTGTCTGCCTGGCTTTGGTATCAGAATGATGCTGGCCTCATAAAATGAGTTAGGGAGGATTCCCTCTTTTTCTATTGATTGGAATAGTTTCAGAAGGAATGGTACCAGTTCCTCCTTGTACCTCTGGTAGAATTCGGCTGTGAATCCATCTGGTCCTGGACTCTTTTTGATTGGTAAGCTATTGATTATTGCCACAATTTCAGATCCTGTTATTGGTCTATTCAGAGATTCAACTTCTTCCTGGTTTAGTCTTGGGAGAGTGTATGTGTCCAGGAATTTTTCCATTTCTTCTAGATTTTCTAGTTTATTTGCATAGAGGTGTTTGTAGTATTCTCTGATGTAGTTTGTATTTCTGTGGGATCGGTGGTGATATCCCCTTTATCATTTTTTATTGCATCTATTTGATTCTTCTCTCTGTTTTTTCTTTATTAGTCTTGCTAGCGGTCTATCAATTTTGTTGATCCTTTCAAAAAACCAGCTCCTGGATTCATTAATTTTTTGAAGGGTTTTTTGTGTCTCTATTTCCTTCAGTTCTGCTCTGATTTGAGTTATTTTTTGCCTTCTGCTAGCTTTTGAATGTGTTTGCTCTTGCTTTTCTAGTTCTTTCAATTGTGATGTTAGGGTGTCAATTTTGGATCTTTCCTGCTTTCTCTTGTGGGCACTTAGTGCTATAAATTTCCCTCTACACACTGCTTTGAATCATCCCAGAGATTCTGGTATGTTGTGTCTTTGTTCTCGTTGGTTTCAAAGAACATCTTTATTTCTGCCTTCATTTTGTTATGTACCCAGTAGTCATTCAGGAGCAGGTTGTTCAGTTTCCATGTAGTTGAGCGGTTTTGAGTGAGATTCTTAATCCTGAGTTCTAGTTTGATTGCACTGTGGTCTGAGAGATAGTTTGTTATAATTTCTGTTCTTTTATATTTGCTGAGGAGAGCTTTACTTCCAAGTATGTGGTCAATTTTGGAATAGGTGTGGTGTGGTGCTGAAAAAAATGTATATTCTGTTGATTTGGGGTGGAGAGTTCTGTAGATGTCTATTAGGTCTGCTTGGTGCAGAGCTGAGTTCAATTCCTGGGTATCCTTGTTGACTTTCTGTCTCGTTGATCTGTCTAATGTTGACAGTGGGGTGTTAAAGTCTCCCATTATTAATGTTTGGGAGTCTAAGTCTCTTTGTAGGTCACTCAGGACTTGCTTTATGAATCTTGGTGCTCCTGTATTGGGTGCATATATATTTAGGATAGTTAGCTCTTCTTGTTGAATTGATCCCTTTACCATTATGTAATGGCCTTCTTTGTCTCTTTTGATCTTTGTTGGTTTAAAGTCTGTTTTATCAGAGACTAGGATTGCAACCCCTGCCTTTTTTTGTTTTCCATTGGCTTGGTAGATCTTCCTCCATCCTTTTATTTTGAGCCTATGTGTGTCTCTGCACATGAGATGGGTTTCCTGAATACAGCACACTGATGGATCTTGACTCTTTATCCAATTTGCCAGTCTGTGTCTTTTAATTGGAGCATTTAGTCCATTTACATTTAAAGTTAATATTGTTATGTGTGAATTTGATCCTGTCATTATGATGTTAGCTGGTTATTTTGCTCGTTAGTTGATGCAGTTTCTTCCTAGTCTCGATGGTCTTTACAATTTGGCATGATTTTGCAGCGGCTGGTACTGGTTGTTCCTTTCCATGTTTAGTGCTTCCTTTAGGAGCTCTTGTAAGGCAGGTCTGGTGGTGACAAAATCTCTCAGCATTTGCTTGTCTGTAAAGTATTTTATTTCTCCTTCACTTATGAAGCTTAGTTTGGCTGGATATGAAATTCTGGGTTGAAAATTCTTTTCTTTAAGAATGTTGAATATTGGCCCCCACTCTCTTCTGGCTTGTAGGGTTTCTGCCGAGAGATCCACTGTTAGTCTGATGGGCTTCCCTTTGAGGGTAACCCGACCTTTCTCTCTGGCTGCCCTTAACATTTTTTCCTTCATTTCAACTTTGGTGAATCTGACAATTATGTGTCTTGGAGTTGCTCTTCTCGAGGAGTATCTTTGTGGCGTTCTCTGTATTTCCTGAATCTGAACGTTGGCCTGCCTTGCTAGATTGGGGAAGTTCTCCTGGATAATATCCTGCAGAGTGTTTTCCAACTTGGTTCCATTCTCCCCATCACTTTCAGGTACACCAATCAGATGTAGATTTGGTCTTTTCACATAGTCCCATATATATAAATATATGGTCCCATATATAAAAATATATATAATTATATACTATAATTATATATAAATATATATAATTATATATAATAAAATATAATATAATATTTATATTATATTTATTATAAATATAATATAATAAATATATTATATAATTATATATTTATATATTATATTATATAATTATATATTTATATATAATTATATTATATAATTATATATTTATATATAATTATATTATATAATTATATATTTATGTATAATTATAGTATATAACTATATATTTATGTATAATTATAATATATAACTATATATATTTATATATAATTATAGTATATAACTATATATATTTATATATAATTATAGTATATAACTATATATATTTATATATAATTATAGTATATAACTATATATATTTATATATAATTATAGTATATAACTATATATATTTATAATTATAGTATATAACTATATATTTATATATAATTATAGTATATAACTATATATTTATAATTATAGTATATAACTATATATATTTATTTATAATTATAGTATATAACTATATATACACAATTATAGTATATAACTATATATTTATATATAATTATATTATATAACTATATATATTTATATATAATTATATTATATAACTATATATATTTATATATAATTATATTATATAACTATATATATTTATATATAATTATATTATATAACTATATACATTTATATATAAATATATATAAATGTATATAATTATATAAATATATATACACTATATATATTTATATATATATAACGGAAGAGTACAGAGCCATAAAAAAAGAATGAGATCATGTCCTTTGCAGTGACATGAATGGAGCTGGAGGCCACTATCCTAAGCAAACTAACACAGGAACAGAAAATGAAATACCACTTGTTCTCATGTATAAGTGGCAGCTATACATCGAGTACAGGTGGGCAAAAGAAGAGAATAGCAGACATCAGGGCCTACTTGAGGGTGAAGGACAGGAGATGGATAAGGACTGAAAAGCTGTAATACTTATCAGATACTATAATACTTACACTTATTACCTGAGTGACAGAATAATCTGTAAACAACCCCCCGTGACACGCAATTTACCTTTGTAACAAATCTGCATGTATACCCATGAATGTAAAATACTTAAAACAAATTTTTAACTCAACAATTAGAAAACGAACAACCCCATTAAAATATGGTCAAAAGACCTGAATAGACACCACACCAAGGAAGATACAGTGATAGCAAATAACATATGAAAAGATGCTCAGTATCATATGTCATTAAGGAATTGTAAAATAAACAACAATGTGGTACTACCCCCCACTTAATATAATGGAGAATATCCAAAACAATGAGAATGACAGGACTGTCATTCATTGCTGGTGAAAATGAAAATGGTACAGTCACGTTGGCCATTTCTTACAAAACTAAACACACTCTTGCCATACAATTCAGCAGTCACTCTTACCTAAATAAGTTGAAAATGTGTGCACTCACAAAAATTTTAACATGGACATTTATAGCAGCTTTATTCATAACTGTTAAAACTTCAGAACAACTAAGATGTCCTTCAGTAGGTGGATGGTTACATAAACTGTGGTACTTCCATTCAATGAAACATTATTCAGCACTAAAAAGAAATGAGCTATCAAGTTATGACCAGACATGGAGGAACCTTAAAAGCATGTTACTAAGTGAAAGATGCCAATCTGAAAAGGCTATATACCACATGATTCCAACTATGTGACATTCTGGAAAAGGAAAAATTATGGAGTCAGTAAAAAGATCACTGGTTGCTGGAAATCAGGGAGGGAAGGATGCTTATAGATAAAACACGTAAGATTTTTATGACAGAGAAACTATTTTGTATGGCACTATGAGGCTGGATACATGTCATCAAACATTTGTCAAAATCCATATAATGCACAACAGCAAGAGTGAGATCTAATGTAAACTATGGACTTTGGGTGATAATGATGTGCCAGTATAGGTTTTACCACTCTACTAAGAGATGTTTAAAGCCAGGGAGACTGTACATTTGCGGAGTACATGAAAACTATCTGTACTTTCTGCTAAATTTTGCTGTGGACATAAACTATACTAAAATATAGAGTCTATTTAAAAAATGGTTTTTTACTTCAGCACTTTTAGGTGAGCTGCACATGAACATTTAGCTCACCACACTGCCAGAAACAGAAACCTGTTTAACATATGCTGTGCAATCAGAAGCTCAATATCACAGAGACAATACATGAGAAAGTCTGTTTCATATGGCTAGAGGTGAAATTTGGAGTTAGAGATAAAAGGCTTTAGCAGCAACAGAAGTTATCATCTACTAAAGACTACTGTATGCTCAGCAGTGGTGTCTACACTTCCAGTACATTATCTCACAAAAATTCCGAGAGGCCCACATTATTATTTCCATTTAAAAGATAAGAATGCTTTAGCCCAGACAGGTTATGTATAACATTTAAAGTGGTAGAGTTACAAATTTAAAATCAGTCTGAAACGCCCATCAGAATATCTAACTGTACACTTACATACATAATATAGATAATATATGCATTTATGTTACCTTATAATAGCATATGTATTATTAATATATACTATTATTTATGTTCACTTATATTAATGCACATAACTATAAAATTGTATATAATATAAATATAATTACATAATATACTATTTATATTAATATTAAACTATTTGATATAATTATTTATATTAACTGTATAGTTATAGTTAATGATATACATTAACTGTATATTTATTAACTGTATAGTTACAGTTAATAATTTATGTAATTAACTGTAGTTTTTAACTGTATAGTTACAGTTAATAACATAAATTATTAACTGTATAGTTGTTAACTGTGTAGTTACAGTTAATATATAATATAATGTATATTAATATATCATTATAAAATTATAAAATTATAATTATAATATATTGAATTATTATAACACATCATACATAATATATTGTTATATTACTATATTATATATAAATATAATATAATTATTATTGATGTGAGCTATAGTTACAGATATAAACTAACTATATTACATATTATGTATAGGGGTTATATAACTGTTATATAGGTTATATATTATATATAATTAAAATTATAACATATTAAATTATATATAATATAATATACTGTTATATTACTATATGTTACATATTAATATATAATACAATAATATAATTATTATTTATATTATTAACTGTAGTTACAGATATAATATATGATATATAATATATAATCTTATATAAATATATAAATTATAATATATAATTCAATAATATTTAATTATTATTTATATTAACTGTACAGTTACAGATATAATAAATAATATATATTATTAGATATTATATATATTTTTAATCTTCCCACCAGGAAAAGGAAATTCAATTCCTTATTTTATCTAGTACCATATGTAGGTTTTTGCAGTCAAGAATTACCTAAAAAGTTTGTACCAAAAATAATTTTTTATCCAGTCACTAATGTTTATATTGTTATACTTTTCATGGTGACTTTCAGAGGCTGAGTATTATTTGGAGGATATACCTTTATGCTTCTTAATCTCTTGATGTTATAATCGATGTAATTTTGTTATTTTGCTTTTCAAGATTTCTCATAATTCCCCAATACTTCCTTTCTTAAAAAATCTTCACTTGTTTTTTGTTTTTCCCTACCTTTACTTGTATTGTCTTTTCCATTTGAATATTTCCTTAGTGCTCATACTGTGGCAAGAATACAGACATCAGAGAGCAGTAAATGAAGCATAGTTACAGTGTGTAAAGGCACTTCTTAGAGGGGTCATTTCATTAATACAGTAATGCCAGAGCTGCCCAGAGAGGGCTGATATGCAATCTGTCTCTTGATACTGAATTTAGCCATTTGCTCTTTTCTTCATTTCATCTGGAGGCCCCAAGAGCTAATCATTCTTGGAAATGGGCTGCTTTGCTAACAGGAGCATATCTTGGCATTCCCTGGTGGAGTTGCATCTTTGAATTAGCTAACTGTTTATGTTTTTTTCTGGGATTTTTGCTTACTTTAACTTAATCTTACGATCAAGTTTTGTGCCTGTACTTGCTTGGATTTGAGATTCTCCACCTTGTGCAGTCTCTATTACCAAAGGCGTCAGTTCAAAATGAAGTTTGCTGAATTGGATAGGTAACATTGCCTTGCTGAACCTGATTTCTTCATCTATAAAACCTGCGGATCATAATTCCTATGACTCGCTCTCAGAGTTGAATCATATCAAAAATTTTATGTGTAATAGAGGTGATAGTAAAGAACTTTAAGCTGTATGACACTGGCACTGACCAATCAGGAAGGACACTGGCTTTAAACAGGGACAGAGTTCTGAAGGGCCTCTGCTGTGCAGGATGTAAATCCTTTAGTTACTTAATATTGTAAACTTGCAAGGGGTTTTCAAGGGAAGCACTAAGACAGCCACAGTTGTTGGCATTGCTGTAGTGGGAAGGGGACTCCAGGAAGTAGCTATGTAACAATCAGATAAGAGAGTATTTCAATATTTTAACTACTGCTTCAGTCACACATATGTCAGTCTTATGAGTACTCTGCAAATTTTAGAGGGCTACATTATTTCATAGGATCTATAATGCTTTGATCTTGATTTTGCTGGAAAATAACAATCAAAGGTTTTTATATTATTTGCCACCTATCACCTGGTTGGCAGCAACTCTGAGTTGCCACCAGTTGTGCCATTTATTATGCTGTTTATGCATTCTGTGTTCAGAGTGGTTAAAATCTGAATAAGATGTACATCTTGTAATCAATGAAATACCAAATAGTTAATACTTTAACAGCACCTTGTATTCTATAATTAAAATGTAATTATCCATACCAGTCAATCTTGGGTCATTAAATTAGCCTAACCAGAACAAGAATCATGTTACATGATTTTTGGTTGTTACTCTAATATAATTTGATGTATTTGCAAGGATTACTTGATTTTTTTTTTTTTACTGAGTGCTTACTATGTGCCAGGCTTATTCTAAGTACTGAGGACCTAGCAGTAAGCCAATAGAGTCCCAAACTTCAAGCAGCACACAGCATAAAGACATTCTAGTCATAGCTTTTAAATGTATACTTCTGTGTGTGTGATAAACACTAAGGACATGTAGGTTGGTCCTGAGTACAATGAGAGTGTTTTAATGGGGATTGTTCTTTGGTAAGGTCTAATCAGGGTTTTAAATTGTGCTCTGTGAAGCCCTAGGAGGCTTTGCAAATGCATCTTGGTGGCTACTAGGGAAGCAGCAAAAAGATCAGACCTATTTTCTTTCTTTTTTTTTTTTTTTTTGAGATGAAGTTTTGCTCTTGTTGCCCTGGCTGGAGTGCAGTAGTGTCATCTTGGCTCACTGCAATCTCCGCCTCCCAGATTCAAGCGATTCTCCTGCCTCAGCCTCCCGGGTAGCTGGGATTACAGGCATGAGCCACCACGCCCAGCTATTTTTTTTGTATTTTTAGTAGAAACGGGGTTTTGCCACGTTGGCTAAGCTGGTCTCGAACTCCTGACCTTAGGTGATCCACCTGCCTTGGCCTCCCAAAGTGCTGGGATTACAGGCGTGAACCACCGCGCCCGGCTGACCCACTTTCTAAACCAGAGCATGAGTACTCTTTGCTGATTTACATCCTATATTGAACTGTGAGCAATATTTCATGGGAAAACAGAGGTTTTCTGCTAAAATATGAAGTTAGAAAACCACTGATCTGGTGGACAAGGCACTAAATCTCAGCATGAAAATGTTTAAATTTCCATTTCTACTGCCCATTTATAATTTAACTTAAAATAACCAAACCATGTCTAAACACATGACTGACAAACAAATGATTCCACATTATCTTGATCCTAGCTTTTAAACTGTAAGGAAAGCTATGTAAATTGTTCTGTTCAGGTTGCTGTGCATGCAACATCCTTCATTCCATGCTGTGAGTACAAAAATTTAGGAACTATCCTGTATGTACTGATGTATGGGTTCCCATGTTTTTTCTCCTTTGGGAAGCATAGAAAAATATCATTATCATAATAATAATTATAGTATGTTCTGAAGTTGTGATATGCCCTTTACAGTACATTAATTTTCATTTAATTCTGATTAAAACTCTGAGTGATGCTTTACGGAGGTTCAGAACTAGTTTGTTCATGGTGACAGTGCTGAAGCTGCAATTTTAAGGCAGTTTAAAATATATTTTTTCTTATAATCATTATCATTATCAAATTATGCCATGCTACTTCTCTACATCAACTCTCTTTATACTAGATATTGTAGGATTAAGGGGATGAGGGATGGAAGAGGTGTGCACTTCTCTGAGGCAGGCAAAGGTATGTATGTGGGTGAGAAATTGTTACATACATATAAAACAATGCTCTAAGACAATAAACCTGCTTGAAAGTAAATGAGCATTTATTCTAAGAACTAATAAATTACACAGGCTTCTTATTAAAAAAATATATTTTTTGCATATTTCACTAGTTGTGAAATGCTACCATTAAAGTACTCGGAGAGATGTATATAAATAAAATAACTAGTATACCATGGCAGGGTAGATAGCATATGTTACTCAGACTAAAGGGGCTGACAAATCTATGCAGGCAGACCAACCTTCCTGGCTAAGAACCAGGAGTTACGCTTGTTACAGAACTCTCAAGGGTACCATGCAATCAGAGGTCACAATCGAGGCAACAGAAGCAATGTCACCATATCAGAGAATGGGCCAATTCAGACTTGGTCCCTGACAATCACTGAGGTCAAGGCTTGCAGCAAATAATTGTGTTAAATAGGAATATTCCCTATACACTTTAAGAACTGTCATCTGAACAAACAAGTCCAGGTCATCTGTAGGTTAAATCTAAGTTACTTTCCTGGTACTTAGAGCTTAATTCTAGTCTTAATCCCTGACAGTTTTTAATCTTATAACTATAACTTTCTTTTGAACAAGTAGATGCTTAATAAATTTTTGTTGTCTGACCTTAACAACAATAAAACAAACTTTCATAAATGTATGCATTTGTAACTTAATTGCATTTTTATTATTTGCTCTTCAATGTTATTTAAATATTATTTAAAATTATGATTACAGTGGTAATATGATTTAAACTTCATAATATTAAGTATAAAGTACATTATACTTAAAACAATAAAAATAGTCTTAAACAATTTCAAATTTTATCAGTTACTTATCATTTATATATCATAGCATGCACCTTATATATATAAGCAATTAAAATTCAAAAAAGTAATTTTTGATAAAATACACAAAATTTATAAATAGTAGTAATATGTAGCAAAAGCTGTGTTTATAAATAGGTAGCTGAAACATTCATTTAAATCAAAGAGCAAAAATAAAATGTATGTGGAATAAAATTGTATTTCTGTTTATATGAGACAGATAATGCACAATATTAGTTCACACTTTAACAACAATTTGAAATTTATGAATCATTACCACCACTTTGCTAGAAACCTCAGATCACACTTGAAAATTTACTTTATTCATACTTTTATTCTAGGCTGTTAATTTAATAATAAATGTTTAAAACATCTCTAGTTATGCTATAATTTTTGTTATTGCTGTAACTTAAATATTTAAACTTTATTATTATGGTATAAATTTTATTTCTGTACATATTTTTCACAAATCATCTTTAAAATAGAATGATTTTAAGGGGCTCTCTTTTTGTTCAGATAAACTCTAAGAAGCAAATCAAGAGTTTGATGTTTTGTTTTATTTTATATTAATTTATATTTCACTTTTGAAAATCCTTACCTTTAATATTTAAATTAGACACATACATATACACATTTCCATGATATAATTCCATATGAAACACACAGTAAAACAAATTAGAAAATTGTAAGTGTGGAATTGGCAATAGTTCAACATTCATCTGAAGAAGAGTGAAATTCTATCTTTCCGAGTGTATAATTGATATATTATCAATAAAAATGTGTAATCCTTATGAGTAATATGGCATATCACATTCTAAAACAGTATCTGAGATAACGCTTTCTCACTGTTTAATCAACCCTATAGTTTTTAGTTGCTTAGTTTATAATCATTCTTTAGAATGCTTGAGACCAACACTGAGAATTTCTTTTGTTTGATAAATCATATGATCCTTATGAAAAGTGTAAACCTTAGCTTACTTTAAATAGCTCAGGCTAAGTGTCAATTTCAGAGGCTTTTCTTAATATTTACTTTTTAAAAATCATATTTTAAGTTTAGTTCTTATATATTTTAATCCATAGCTTTATTAACTGTACAAAGAGAAAAAGTATCAAACGTATGTTTAACATTAAAACTGCTATTTTAAGGAAATACTTCTTGACCTCATTAAAATAATTAACATTTCATAACATTATATTTCACATCCAAGTTACAGAAAAGCAAAAAAAAATTATCAAAACAAACTATAGTCAATTACATTTTCAGATCAGCAAAATGCACTTGTAAGGGTCTTCCTTCCCTTAATCCAATCGCCAAAGGCATTTTAACAGCTCAAATAGGTGGCTAGAAATATTCCTGCCATATTGTCTGAAATGTACAGGTCTTTTGTAGTTACTGCTCTTTAATAACTTTCAACTTTATGTAGTTATAAATATTAATAAAGTTTAGATTATTACACTCATACAGACAAATACACATACACATCTATATGTATAAGTTTAATGTATAATTTTTAACATCACTTGTTTTCAAACTATTCTGGTGATTTATTCAAATAGTGTTATTATTACATGTGATGTATTTACTTATTTATTTTATAATCTCAGTTATCATAATGAAATGGAAATGAGGAATTGCACTGCAAGTTAATCTTTCAGAGACATCTGGTGATAAAATCAATGATTTCATAGTTTTAAATATGATGGATAAATACAAGTTAATATATTTCAAGTTTTTTACATATTTAAGATACTCCACTTTAAAAGAAAGAATTTCAGTCGAACTGTCTTCTACTTCTTTAATTCTATGGTATTTGGCTTGTTTCTAAAATTATCTGAGTTTCGCACTCTAAGACCTGGGTCACAACCTTATTTAGGGACAGGAAATAGTTATCAGGTCACCAAGTGGTCAAATGAAAAAGGATTTGAAATGCTTCAGCACTTAGGACTCTATTCATTGAACTGATTGACTTTTATACTGTTTAAAGTTTGAAGTTTCTCTGCTAGAACTAGTAAGGTTATGCCTGTATGTAATTTTAAGAAAAGTCTACATAGAACATAAACAGATTTTATAAGAGTATAACAGTAAACAAACAACCTTATATGTCTATAAAAAGTAAGCATCTTTAAGACATGCTCAGGTATTTTAATTAAGACCTTACCTGAGTTTAATTCCCTTGGCAGTTGGGTGCAATAAAATTATGTATAGAAGCAAAGGGAACTAAAAATTATTTCTTTATGCTATGTTTCTTCTAAAGTGGATTTAAAACTTGTCATGGTAACTTAGCAGCACATTGAACTTCCATACAGGATAAAATCACATAATTATTCCTGTGCTAATAATGATTAACATAAGCCCATGATATTTTCTTTTTATATTTTTATATTCACTTTATTTTATTTCAAGTGAATATACTCTAGGTATGATGATGAAACTGAAAAAAAATCAAGGAGAATTTGGGGCAAAATGAGCAAATATCTGAGTTGAGCTAGTTGGCATAAGATCAGTTTAGTTGGAGTTCACAATCATTATTGATAATTAAAATGATTTTTTTTTCAGTCTACAAGGCATGTAGTGTCAGGGATTTTAGACAAAGAGAAACTTGTCGCTGGAAAAAACACTTCAAAAATGTATGAAAAGTGATAGAAGAAAATTAATCCAAAGTACTGCTTAAATAACTCACGTTCCAAAGTTCAGAAGCCTACAAATAGGACATCACGAAAACTGCATCAAATACAAGTGTGCTATATTTCCAAATACTTTTCTATATGATTACTAAAACTTAAGAAATTGTTTTATTCTACAAATGTTGAAGGAAGGAATCCTGTCATTGATGGACAGAAGGTTGGAAAATTAGGCACAGATTTTATTTTTAAGTTTTATTTTATAATAAGAAACTAGGCCATTAAAACTATGTAACCAAAGCTGGAGTGCGTGCACTGGAAGGCTCCTGCAGTCTTTTACAACTTTTCAGAGGCCGCGGTTGTGAACTGGGTTTGCACTCTGCCAGCAGAGCAGCTCTGACCCATGGAGAGCACTCCTTCAGATCAACACTGCCTCGGGCCTTTCTGCTTTCTCCAAGAAGTCTTACATTTCAGGCATCAAGTTGAATTTCTTCTGGAGATGATTAACCCAAACCCATGACAGATTTTTTCCAAGATATCCAACCCCTTATGTTTATTTTATCCTGGCTCTTTTTTGGATGTACTGGACACAAGTAACCTACTCATTTTACATGTTAAAGGGCTGGTGGAGAGCCATTAATTCCCTTAAAAATGAGAAAATATTTCAATGTGCGGGCCTCTATTGTGTGAGCTCACATTAGCTACATGATTTAGAATTTTAAGAAAGATGTTTCTCTTTTATGATATAATTTTTTAAAGCATTTCATCACATCTCAAGATAGGGATCTCACACTTTTGGGGAAATGCATTCTTGTGGTGTATTAAAAAACAAAATGTTAGAAGGCTCAGTTACTATTTCCATAAGCCCAGTTTGTAGGGCTTTCAACTAACCTAAATCTTGGCACACATAATTTTAGTTAATAGCCAAACAAAAACATATAAAAGGGTCTACTCTCCTTCTAATCTACCAACCTCTGTCATGTTTCTATTTCTTCAACATTTTTTTTTCTTAACTTGGGTGAGATGAGTTGTAATTCAGGTGTTTTTATGTCCTCAAACTATTTCAAACTCAGAGATGATCGGATGACCTTTTTGAACATGACTATTAATATTTTTAAAAACAGAAACGGTTTTCCTTCTTTGAAGAAATGGTACAAAAGGGGAAGATTTTCATTGACTTTTTTGGGAACATGTTCAAATAGTTAAGAACCTAAGGTTCCAGTTGCAATGGGATTTGTATTATAAACATTTGAGTTAAGTTTAAATATTTTAAACATTAAAATACTTCAGATATATAAATTACTGACACATATAACAATAGAAAGGCTTTCTCAATATTTCAATAATATATTTCTTCTAGTAGTAACAGAAATATATCAAAGAAAAATACATGAAAAAATAAGGGATATTTTAATGCAGAATCTTGGTTTCAATACAAAACCTGATAAAAAGGCAAGCAATTTAATGGAAAAGTTATAAATTCTCATTTAACTTTTCCTGCCAAGAATAAGTACTCATTTCATCAGATGGAAATATGTATGTATGTACATGTGCAGATTCCTCACAATGAGATAGGAGAGTAGCTTAAATGTATAAACTACCTCAAACACAGATAAGTCCATTTGAACATAAGTGTGTCATTCAAAAGTTGCAATTCTGAGAAACTGACACTGAGTTTAGCATTTGTGTGATGATAAAATGTTGACTTTATGGTACATAAATTTTAAATTCTTAAAATTAAATCTAAATGTTATTTATAATAATTCACTAATGTTCAAATAGTAATTGATATAATCATTTCTCTTTAAATAGAAAAATCTCATATACAATTTAAGGTCATTGGTACAAAGAACCATAGGTTATGTTTTGGAAAATTTCAAAAGATAATTTTATTTCCCTATAATATTGATAAATGCCTCAAAATTGTTAAAAATTAGATCCTAGACTCACAAGAATTATAGAAAATATATTCACTCTTCCAGCTCAGCAATTCTAGAAGGGTTGGTTTTTCTATTCTTCATGAAAAATATTGCAATATAAATTTTATCTTTATAAAGCATATATCAACATCTGAATGAAAATATTTTATCTCTAAGTGGGGGATAAAAACTAAGTTAATTTTTATAATTAGATTTATTACTGGAATGTTTAAAGGTATCAGTTTCTTCTTTAATTCATGTTTCAATGGGCTACCTAAGTTCAAGGGATAGTATATATACTGGGGGTGGTAGGTTAATGCCAGAAGTGTGACTGATTGATTGATTGACATCACCTTGAGACATGTGGATTAAACCTGCTTATCAAATTTGTCCAGCTAAAATTTAGAGTAGAATAGATCATTTATCAGAATCTACATCGTATCTATCAAGTATTTGTATTCACCATTACCGAGAAAATTCCTTTCCATTGAAAATTGATTGACTATGCAGAATAATAAATTTCCCCAACACACACACACACAAACACACCATATTTTAAAATGTAATATTTCAAAATGTATCCAGTTACTATAATCAAATTCTAAATTTTAACACATTTCATTGCAAATGGCTACTGTTCCTGATAATAGCAATAGCCAAGTTCAATACATTCATTGAACTTGTATGCATTAGGTATTGTTTTCAGCATTTTACACATACTAATTCATTTACTCAACTCTGTGAGTTATGCATTATTTTATCTCATTATGGCAAATTCAAAAATGAGGAAATGGACAAAGAAATGTATGGGGTTAATTAAAATCATATCCCTAGCAAGGGACAGAGTTAAAATTCAAACCTAAATTGTCTTGCTCCATAGCCCACTCTCCTAACCATTAGGTTGAACTATCATTTTTTTTAATTAAAATAATGATCTTGAGAAATCTTGCAGAAGGTATTGAAGCTTTAGGGAAAATATGTGGGATCCCCCAGTTCTATTAAAGTACTATAAAATTTTCATGGAAAATATTATTTAGTTTTTTGAGAAACATAAAAACACATATTGATGTTAGTATAGTACCCCTTTCCATTCTTTCAGAAAAATGTTTCAGAAGCTATGAAACCTTAAAATGAAGGGACAATGGTTATAATGATTAAGTTTTTCAGGGTCCATAACCTCACAGTTGGTTGAACTTCAGTAGGAAATGATTAAATAAATTCCAAAGTGTGCTAAATAGATCTCAGAGGTGGTTGAGACAGGGAAACTTATAGCTTGAATGTGAACACTGAATGAGTTGTAAGTTTAAGTTGGAAATAGGCCAGTATCTGACTTTGAGTAATAGCAATTGGCAGGAAGAGTGTTTCTGAGAATCCAAAGATTTTTTTAAGTCAGAAATGTTTATTAATTCAACAAACACTTATTGAGTGCCTAGTATAGATGAATCTAATACAGCTACTATGTTTTGAGGATGGGAGGAAGCAGAAATATGATTAAGATTTGATCCCTGACCTTGAAAAGATTAACAGTTGGGAGGAAATAGATAAAAACATAGTCACAGACGATGTTACAGAGACATGGACAAAGGCCTGTGGGAGGCTTGGTGTATTAGGAATGACTTGCAGATGAAATGACATTTATCTGAATTGTGAAGGATAAATGGAAGTGTCGGATGGAAAGGTGATGAGGGTCATTTCAGATAAAGGAAACAGCATAAAGGTTTGTAGAATAGGACATTTTAGAAAGAACACAGTTTATCATAGTTGGGGATATACTGAACTATTTTAGTATAATTAGTGAATATTTCAGGAGATGGGGAGGAAAGTACAAGGATGAATTCCAGTCTTTCATATACAATGCCCTTCACTTATTGTTCCTAGTCCACTTTCTACCATCACCTTCACAAGTCTGTAATCACAGAATATTATAATCACAATATTGTAATAGTATCCTTTGCAATATCTACACATCTCTCAATCTTGCAAATGCTATCATCTACTTCTTTACTGCAATGTCTTCACAAACCATAACACTGCTTATGGCACACTGCTGTTGAAAAGCACTGCACAAGGACACTATTACAATATTTCAAGGCAAGAGACACTGAAGTCAGTGGGATATGTGAAGGTAGTGCTTGTATTTAGGGAATGAGAGAGAAAGATAGAGAACAGAATTAAGAATGATTCTGACTTTCTAAATTAAGTGGCTAATGATGCTATTAACAGACACAGGAAATAAAAATAATCAAACAGATTCTGATTAGAATGAATATAATATACTTTATGGTATAAATAAAAAGAGGAAGGACAGAGGGAGATATTCGGTTGTTATTGCCTGTAACCATAGGTTACATAACAGAATTAGGTATTCTATCTTGATCTTTCCATTGTGCCATAGGAATAGGTGTGTTGTACACTCCTAAAATATTTTGTTTTGCCCATTTACATAAGGTTTCTCAACTGGACTCAGAGGCTGTTTTTTTTTTTTTAAAGACAGAGACTATGTGCTACTCATTTTTGTATCCCTATATTCATCTTTGTATCCCTACAGCCTAATATAATGTCTGACACACTAAATATTTGCTGTATCAGTAAGTAAATATGTGTTTTGAGTAGAGAATGAGGTCATATATGAACAAAATTCTATGTAATATTTATATTTAATGAACAGGAATAGATGGAGAAGATAATTAAAAAGGAGGGGTCCCAGGTAAATAGAAGAACCAAGAGAGAATGGAAGCGAAGATGTAAGGGACTAAGATAAATTATGGGGAGAATGATGAATGAAATACTGAAGATAAGTAGAATGAGGATAGAAAAGAGGTTTCTGAATTTAGTAACTAAGAGGTTAACACTGATTACTATAATGAATGTAATTTGAGTAGAATGTGCACCATGAATCCTGTCTCAAGGACAGCGGAAGAAAATGAAAGCTCAAAAGTGAGTTTTGAAAAAATAAAAAATGCAGAATAACTAAAGGTGGGGCATAAAGACACTGATTAGACTGCCTAAGAAGGTTGGCAAGGATTAAAGACAGATGAACGGGATAGTGGTCTGAGGAGGAGGTGGAATAATATTTTCAATGGCAGTATTACAGCTTGTCTACATATTTATTTTAACAAACTAAGGTAGATGATGGAGACAGAAATTTAAGAAACAAACTACAGGAGATAACTAAATATGGGATCACCATGGAAGATCATCATGTATCAGGTAAGACAACATCCAAAGAAAGATGAAAATTTTAGCCATAAAAAGGAAATGGGACACCAATTGCTAAGAGAGAAGGAAAGAAAGTGATAGAAAAATTTTGAACGATAATGGAAATAAAAATAATAATTGCTGTCATATACTGAGCACCGCTTACTATGGTAAGCAGTTATCTCACTCCTCACAACATCTCTCTGAGATAGGTATTATTCTTCTCATTCCATAGGTGAGATGCAAGTTGCACATACTCATACTTGGTAACCATGATTTATTTGCTGTTTTTCCACCTAAATCTCCATATCTATTATGTTTTCCCTGGTCTAAGTTACCATCTCTGTGCTGAACCACTGCCATGATCTTTTGACTGATATTGTGTTTACTCTTGTTTCCTTCCTATTAATCCTTCACACCATATGTTCCATAATTGTTACTTGGAAAACAAATCTGACCATTTTATCTTTTGCTTACAATCCTACAGTGGCTGTAATCATTGGAATATAGAAAGTCAAATCCTCAATATGGACTAAAAAGGACAGACTAAAATTGCCCTGTGCCTTACCAATTTTTCCAGCTTCATCTCACTCCTTGTTCTCTAGCCATACCAACCTTCTTTCAGTTCTTTGAATGGCCCAGGCTAACCTAGTCTTCAAAGTCTTTCAATAGGACCATGCCTTAGTCTGGAATAGTCATTCTACACAACCTCCCCCGCTTGCCTAGTTACTTTTACTCAGCCTTCAAACTCAGCCCAAGTGTCACTTCTTCCCTCATGTCTCTGGGCTAGATTCAAAATGAGCTTCCCTCCACAGACCTTTACTCATTTGTGTTATACACTTACATGGAGTATTTATGTTGCCCCTCACCCCCAACCCCTGCTTCTAGATAGAGAACTCTATTACAGGTGGTTTGTGTTTATGTCATTGATCACTGTACCCTCATCTTTTTCCGCAATGCCAAACTCAAAGCAGAAATTCAATAAACATGTACTGGTAGAATAAATAGGGAAGATAAGGAATTAAATCTTAGTTAACACATTCTAAAGGTGAGCTCATTCTTGTAGATTTTATACATTTTTATTCAATTTACCCAGTGACTTTATGTGGTGTATATTACTTGTTCCAATTAATTGATGAGGAAAATCAAGTACAGGAAGGTTTAGTAACTTAACCAAAATCACGTAGGTTTGGACTAGAGTCAAAACTCTGTCTTACATAACTCCAAGTTGGTGAATATGATTTTTATTCCGCCACTGCTGTATAGATAGCAAAAATAGAAAGAAATGTAAGACTCATCCAAAACAAAACAAAGAAACAGGCCAAAAACCATTTTAGGCATAAGTAATTTAATGCATAGTTTAAAAAACCCAAAGCATAATGTTATTGTTACCATGACTATAAATATTATAGACCCATCTAAAATTCTTATTTTTTTTAAAATTTTTTTTTATTTTTTATTATACTTTAAGTTTTAGGGTACATGTGCACATTGTGCAGGTTAGTTACATATGTATACATGTGCCATGCTGGTGCACTGCACCCACTAACTCGTCATCTAGCATTAGGTATATCTCCCGATGCTATCCCTCCCCCCTCCCCCCACCCCACAACAGTCCCGAGAGTGTGATATTCCCCTTCCTGTGTCCATGTGATCTCATTGTTCAATTCCCACCTATGAGTGAGAATATGTGGTGTTTGGTTTTTTGTTCTTGCGATAGTTTACTGAGAATGATGATTTCCAATTTCATCCATGTCCCTACAAAGGACATGAACTCATCATTTTTTATGGCTGCATAGTATTCCATGGTGTATATGCGCCACTTCAGCAAACTCTCATGATACAAAATCAATGTACAAAAATCACAGGCATTCTTATACACCAATAACAGACAAACAGAGAGCCAAATCATGAGTGAACTCCCATTCACAATTGCTTCAAAGAGAATCAAATACCTAGGAATCCAACTTACAAGGGATGTGAAGGACCTCCTCAAGGAGAACTACAAACCACTGCTCATGGAAATAAAAGAGGATACAAACAAAGGGAAGAACATTCCATGCTCATGGGTAGGAAGAATCAGTATCGTGAAAATGGCCATACTGCCCAAGGTAATTTACAGATTCAATGCCATCCCCATCAAGCTACCAATGACTTTCTTCACAGAATTGGAAAAAACTACTTTAAAGTTCATATGGAATCAAAAAAGAGCCCGCACCGCCAAGTCAATCCTAAGCCAAAAGAACAAAGCTGGAGGCATCACACTACCTGACTTCAAACTATATTACAAGGCTACAGTAACCAAAAAAGCATGGTACTGGTACCAAAACAGAGATATAGATCAATGGAACAGAACAGAGCCCTCAGAAATAATGCCGCATATCTCCAACTATCTGATCTTTGACAAACCTAACAAAAACAAGCAATGGGGAAAGGATTCCCTATTTAATAAATGGTGCTGGGAAAACTGGCTAGCCATATGTAGAAAGCTGAAACTGGATCCCTTCCTTACACCTTATACAAAAATCAATTCAAGATGGATTAAAGACTTAAACATTAGACCTAAAACCATAAAAACCCTAGAAGAAAACCTAGGCATTACCATTCAGGACATAGGCATGGGAAAGGACTTCATGTCTTATTATTGTTAAAACCCCTGAACGAAGCCAATGATTATTTAGATTTAACCATATAGAAACCCTTCTTTGCTTTTTATTACTTCCTATATCTCCTAGATTTTACCTGGAAGTCTTTTTCTTCTGCCCGAAGAATACTCTTTAGTATTTACTTTAGAGTTGATCTGATATACTTGAATGTATTGATAGCAAATATACTCTTTTTCTCCCTGCTCAGAAGGACTGCTCATGGTGTTCTCTGTCATCATGGAATGTTTATTCTCTAAGCCCGTGTGAGCTGTCATCTTGAGATCTCTTTTCACTATCATCATGAAATTCCTTTGCTTCTTTCTCTTGCTGGATCTCATGTATTAGTTTTTATTGGTTTACCACTTCAGTGGAGCAGTTCCCTCAGTAGCTTTCTGAGCAAGATTGCAAGGGAAATAAATTAAGACTTAGCATGCTTTTATATTCTTAAATTTTATTAATAGTTTCCCTGTTCATATAATTTTAGGTTGGAAATAATGTTTTCTAAGAATGTTGAAAATACTGTTCTATTGTTTTCTAGGATCCAAGGCTACTGTTGGGAAATTCAATATATTTTAGATAACTGACCCATTGCAAGAGATCTGGTCTTCCTTTTGGAGGACTTTGAGGTTCGTTTCATTGTCCTTGGTTTTATGACATTTTTCAAATATGGGCCAAAAAGATTGGTTTATTTTCATTCATTTTCCTAACATTTAGTGGGCCTGGAAAATGGTCCTTTAGTTTTGGAACATTTTTTTGGAATTATTTCTTTGATAATTTTCTTCCATCTGTTTGTTGTTGACATTGCTGCTATTCTCTGTTTCTGGATCTCAGATTTTTTTTTTTTTTTTTTTTTTGAGCTGTACTCTTGCTCTGTCACCCAGGCTGGAGTACAGTGGCGTGATCTTGGTTCACTACAGCTTCTGCCTCTCGGGTTCAAGTGATTCTCTTTTCTCAGCGTCCCAAGTAGCTGGGACTAAAGGCACACAGCAGCATGCCCAGCTATTTTTTTTTTTTTGTATTTTTAGTAGAGACAGGGTTTTGCCATGTTGGCCAGGCTGATCTAGAACTCTTGGCCTCAACTATCTGCCCACCTTGGCCTCCCAAAGTGCTGGGATTACAGGTGTGAGCCACTGCTTCGGGCCTGGATCTCTGATTATTTATCAAATGTTGGACCTCCTGAACTGAGTCTCTATTTATATTTTCTTTTGTATGTTATTCTAGTATTTTGTATTTTTCCTCTGGTTTCTGGGAGACTTATTTATCAATATCTTCTGCCAAGTTTTTTTTATTTCTGCTATCAAAGAGATATTTTTGGGTCTCTGATCTCCCTCTTTCTTATTATAGCATCTCATTCTATTTCATGGGCATACCCTTTTTTATGTCTATTAAAATATTAATGGTATTCTTGAAGATGTTTTTCATCTGGTATCTTTATTATGCTTGCTACTTTTTTCCCTAATTTTCATGTTATATATTTTCTTTAGTTTGTTTAATGATCGTCATTTGCTTCTTTTAGAGTGGGGGTCTATAAAGTTGATAGGAAACTGCAAACCCTACTGTCTGAGAGTTTTACCTAAAGGTGACTTACATGAGTCCTATATTGTAATACCTGATATCAGTTTTTAGATGTTTCCTCTTGCACTGATAAGAATCTTCAGAAAGACTCTTCTAATCTCTTGCCTGGAGATTAAAGGCATGGTGCTATGGTCTAAATATTTGTGTACCCCCAAAATTCATACGTTGAAACCCTAACCCCCAATGTGATGGTATTTGTAATGCAGTCTTTAAGGAGGTAATTAGGGTTAAATTAGGAAATGAGGGTGGGATCCTCATGATGGAATTACTGGTCCTATAAGAAGAAGAAGAGAAAGACCTCTCTCTCTCTCTCTCTCTTTCTGTGTGTGTGTGTATGTGTGTGTGCGTGTGTGTGTGTGTATGAGAGATTGCGTGTGTAGTCTCTAGCTTTCTGAGTGAGCAGGGAGAAAAAGAGTGTATTTGCACATGTAAGGATATGGCAAGCAGGTGGCTGTCAACAATCCAAGACAGGAGCCCTCATCAGGAATTGAATTAGCTAGAACCTTGACATTGGACTTCCCAGGCTGCAGATTTGTGAGAAATAAATTTCTGTTCTCTAAGGCACCCAGACTATGGTATTTTGTTATGGGAGCATGAGCTCACTAGGACACATATATCAGCATTCTGGAAGCTAATTAGAAGAATGGCCTAGGGCCTTAGCATTTAATATACATTCCTACAATTACTCTTAGTTTTAACAAGACACCAAGAATCTCAAATAAGCCTGGTATTCTCAAATACAGAGACAGTATTTACAGAATTAATGTTAATGTTAAATTTACAGAATTTACAGAATTTTATTACAGAATTAATGTTAAAAATTTTGTTGAGGTAAGACAAATAGTATTTTATTTTATTTTATTTATTGTTTTTGAGACGGAATCTTGCTTTGTCACCAGGCTAGAATGCAATGGCATGAACTCGGCTCACTGCAACCTCTGCCTCCCAGGTTCAAGCGATTCTCCTACCTCAGCCTCCCGAGTAGCTGGGACTACAGGTGTGCACCACCATGCCAGCTATTTTTTTTTTAATTTTTAGTAGAGATGGGGTTTCACCATGTTCACCAGGATGGTCTCGATCTCTTGATCTTGTGATCCACCCGCCTCAGCTTCACAAAGTGCTGGGATTACAGGTATGAGCTGCTGCACCCGGCCAATATATTTATTTTAATGCCCACTTCATCTCATATCAAGAGGGCCTAATATCATCAATTCCCGAACCTTTGACATAGAGACAGATCTCATATTTTCCCATTGCTGGTTTAAGCTTTTGCTTTCTCATTATTACTCACATATTTACTTTCTAGCCTAAAAAGTTCTATTGCTGTTGCCCCTTCCTAATATTCCCATATTTGCTCATCTATATCTTAAAAATACCTCCACAGAAATTTTAGGGAGATTTTCAGCAGCATCATTTTTATCCAGAAGCCCTTAGATTCTCATTTAATTTTCAAAATATCATGAGAAGTAAAGGCTAGTATTCTGATTTTGCAATTGAGAAAAACAGGACATGGAGTATTTAGCTAGTGAGTGTCTATGCAAGATTTAACACAAGACTTTCTCAGTCTAAATCCATTGTCACTTCATTAATTCATGTAGCCTAGTTTAGATAAAAGGCAATATTCTTAAGGATGACAAACTTTCCAAGATGTTGTAGTAATTCTCTGAGACTTGGATATAATTTCTAGCTATTCCAGAAATACAGAGTGTCCTATGAGACAGGTAGGGGGGTACCTGATACAGATGACAGAGAAGTTTCTTACAAGGGGCAAGGGACAAAGGGGTGCCATGGACTTCACCAAAGTTACTATTCTTCCCTACTTTCTCTGTGAAGCTTTGGCTCAGGAACCCAGGTGCCTTCTTTCTTCTTCCTTGTAGCTGTCCAGGAAAGCAGCAATTGGGGAGTTGGGTGGTATGCGTGCTTTGCTTTCTTTTTGATGTAAGAAGTTTTGCTAGATATAAACTTTCATGGTGGAAGATATTTTATTTTAGCACTTTGAAGCTACCACTACATTATTACATTAGTCAGCTTGGGCTGCTATAACAAAATACTACAGACTGGGATGCTTAAATAACAGAAATTTATTTGCTCACAGTTGTAGAAGCTAAAAGTCCAAGATCCAGGTGCTGGAAGGTGAGGTTTCTTCAGAGGCTTCTCTCCTTGGCTTGCAGATGGCCACCTTCTCTTCATATGTGCTTGCCTCTGTACCCACACACTCCTGGTGTCTCTTCCTCTTCTAAAAAGGACATTCATTCTATTGGATTATGGGCCCAACCTTCTGACTGAATTTTATCTCAATTACCTCTTTCAGTTCCTAACTCCAAATACAGTCAAATTGGACATCAAGGCTTCAACCTATGAATTTTTGAAGGACACAACTCAGTCCACAACAATTATCTTCTGGCTTTGTTTCTCTGAAGAAGTTAGCTTTATTACTGATGCTTCTTTGAAGATAATGTATCTTTTTCTGTGGCTCTTATTAAAATTTCTGTCTTTGTCTTCGATTTTAGCAATTTTATGATGATATGCCAAGATGTGGTTTTTATTGTATATATTTTCTTTATGCACATTAATTTCTTGCATTTACAACTTCAGCTTTTTCTTCACTTTTGGTAAATATTCAACCATAAATCCTTCAAATGTTACTTGTACTCCACTGCCTCACACTTCTCTTTATTGGATTCTAAATGTGTTTCAGTTGATAATTATCTCTTCAGTTTTGATTAATCTGTAGCTGAATCCATCCATTGAATTTTTAAGTTCAGTCGTGGTTTTAAGTTATAAACTTTCAATTTGGATATTTTTATAGGTTTAATATCCTGCTGAAATTCTCAATTTCTTCTTCCGTATCCTCAAAGATATTATGTACATTTATTTTAAAATCTCCATTATCTAAAGTCTCATTGGCTCTACTTACATCGTCTCTTGTTTCTCTTGTTCAATAATGATGTCTCATCTCTTTCCATGTTTATTTTTCACTGTGTGCCAGATATTTTATATGAAAAACTGTGGAGATAAAAAGAAGTCTAGAATTATGTTATCTATTTTTGGAGATGATTTATTTTTGTTTCAGGTAAGAGGCTAGTGAAAAATCTATTTCCAGTTGACCTAGGCAAGTAACATCAAAAATTTTTATCAGCTTCTCAGCTCTTTGGATTTCCTTCTTGACTTATAATTTCTTACTTGTTAGGTCTCCAATGACTTCACTGAAATTTTTAAAACAAAAATTTTCCAGCTTTTGTAGTTGTTCTCTGAAGTACAGTTGATCAGAATTACATAGTCCTCTATTATGAGAAGTGGAAGTCCTCTTTTTTTTTAACAAAAAGTACACAGGCTACATATGGTCCATTTCAAAAAACTCTAAGAGCTCTGAAATCTCTTCCTATTTAAAAATTTAACCATATACATATCTCTCATATATACACACATATATGTATAAAAAGTGTATCTATAAAGTATATATGTTATATATATATTTATACATGGGATATGTAAATTATATATACATATAATATGTGCATATACTATGCATATACAATTTTTTGTATATGCATAGTATATATGACTCCTTATTTTGTTAAGAACACGTTTGTGCATGTATATGCTTGTACTAAGAAAATATCTTCATTTTATTTCCTTTCTTTTTCCTTTATTATGTGATGTAAGTTTTACTGACTTCATATCAGCATTTAAGTACATATATATATATATATATACAATATGCACATACAAATACATACTTTGGAATAGAACACAAATATTCAATTATGGCAGAATTAGGGGGAAATACAAAAAATATGAGCTATTTATAACTGATTTGGATTAAAAAATAGTTGAATAGGTTGCTCTCAGACCTTAGATTGCCATTCCCTGAATCTACCTTATCCAGATATAAACGTTTTAAAAGTTATAGTTTGTTTTATGCTTCACTGGACCAAATTCTCTAATCAGATTTATTTTTTCTGTAGAAAATTGAAATTTATTTCAAACCTTGTATTACTAAATGATGTGATACTGCCTAGAATATATTTAGGAAGTTTTAATTATAAGATGTCATGTACATTTACATTCTTTCTTAATCATATATTTATTGAGAACCAATATACTACTGGCACTGCTCTAAGTGCTGAGGATATAAGAATAAACCATTCTGACATGGCTCTCCTTCCATACTATTGTTGGAGCCACAATATATAAGTAAGCAGTTTAAATTAATAAATGAGACAATAGCAAATAAATGCCACAAAATGACAGGTGTTATGAGAGAGAGGAGCTGGTAAGAGAGGAAAAGGCTATGTGAAATAGTGTTACAGGGAAAGGTTCTCACACTGGATAAATGTGAAACTAAACAATAAGACAGCCATTTGTGTAAAATGCTAAGGGCACTGTTTAGGCAGAAAGAGGATGAAATACGAAAGCTACAAAATAATAAAGTACTTATCATACTTGAGGAACAGAAAGAGGGCTTGACAATTACAGTCCGGTAGGACATGATATTTAATATCAAGTCCAGCTTTTATTCAAAGGACAACAGGAGGCCATGAAAAGATTTTAGATACTTAATTATATCAAGAGCTATCATATCACATTAAAAAAATCAAAACATAGCTCCTGATCTTCAATTATCTAAGGGCTTCCAACTTACATTTCAATTTTATTTAGTTTTGTTACTGACTCTTTCTCCAGGTTCCTCTCTCCCTACTAGTCAAGACTTATAAAAAAAATCATGCAAAAAACAGATTACAAGATTTTGCTATTTTATCCTTCATTCCTTGCAAATGCAGGCAGATTTCTACTGATACTATCTTTTCCAAAAGGAATGAAGTTTTGTCTCCTATCTCAAAAGCCTGCTTGTGAGAATGTCATTAATTAGTAGAGATAAAATACTTAGAACAGTGCCTTGTACAAATGATAAATGATAAGCAACACTAAGGAGGCTATTATATTATATGGTATATAATAATTTCCTCAGGATACTATTGAAACATAGTGAGTGGTGTTGTGAGACAGGTTAGTTTTACCCTATTGATGATATGTTGTTGCCATGGTATTCCTCACAGTATTGCCTCTGACCAAGGCACAAACTTCATAACTAAAGAAGTGTGGCAGTGGGCTTATGCTCATGGAATTCACTGGTCTTACCATATTCCCCATCATCTGAAGCTGAAGCAGCTGCATTGATAGAATGGTGGAATGGCCTTTCGAAGTCACAATTACAATACAAAATAGGTGACAATACTTTGCAGGCCTGGGGCAAAGTTCTCCAGAAGGCTGTGTATGCCCTGAATCAGTGTCCAATATATGGTACTCTTTCTCCCATAGCCAGGATTCACAGGTCCAGGAATTAAGGGGCGGAATTGGAAGTGGCACCACTCACCATCACCCCTAGTGACCCACTAGCAAAATTTTTGCTTCCTATTCCTATGACATTATATTCTGCTGGCCTAGAGGTCTTAGTTCCAAAAGGAGGAATGCTGCCACCAGGAGATACAACAATAATTCCATTAAACTGGAAGTTAAGATTGCCACCTGGCTACTTTGTGCTCCTCCTACCTCTAAGTCAATAGGCTAACAAGGGAGCTGTAGTGTTGGCTGGGGTGATTGGCCCAGAGTATCAAGATGAAGTCTACTACTTCATGATGGAGGTAAGGCGGAATATGAGTGGGACAGGAGATCCCTTAGGGTGTCCCTTAGTATTACCATGCCCTGTGATTAAGGTCAGTAGGTAACTACAGGAACCCACTCCAGGCAGGGCTACAAATGGCCCAGCCCCTTCAGGAATGAAGGTTTGGTTCACTCCTCCAGATAAAAAACCATGACCTGCTGAGGTGCTTGCTGAAGGCAATGGGATGGGTATTAGAAGAAGGTAGGACTGTGATTGTCAAGAGTATTTTCTTCTTATTTCATTAAGAACTTGTTTGTGCATGTATACACTTGTACTAAGAAAATATCTTCATTTTATTTCCTTTCTTTTTCCTTTATAATGTGCCATAAAATTTATTGACTTCATGACAGGATTTAAGTGTTGTTAACTTTATGTAATAGCATTTAGGTTAAGGATTAGTGCACTTCCGATTGTATGAATGCTAGCTGCGTTAGGTTAGGCATTATTATGACCTTATTATTGTCTTTATTTGAAGATTATGTGTGATGTCAGGACATGTGAATGGGTTCAAGTTGACAAGGGGTGGACTTGTGATGGTTAATACTGGGTGTCAACTTGATTGGATAGAAGAATGCAAAGTATTGTTCCTGGTTGTGTCTGTGAGGGTGTTGCCAAAGGAGATTAACATTTGAGTCAGTAAACAGGGAAAGGCAGGCCCACCCTCAATCTGGGTGGGCACCATCTAATCAGCTACCAGCTTGGCTTGAATTAAGTAGGCAGGAGAAGATGGAAGAGAGACTTGCTGAGTCTTCCAGCCTTCATCTTTCTCCCATGCTGAATGCTTCCTGCCCTAGAACATTGGACTCCAAGTTCTTCAGCTTTTGGACTCTTGGACTTACACCAGCAGTTTGCAAGAGGCACTTGGGCCTTCAGCAAACGACTGAAGACTGCACTGTTGGCTTCCCTACTTTTGAGGTTTTGAGACTCGGGCTGGCTTCCTTGCTCCTCAGCTTGCAGATGGCCTATTGTGGGGCTTCACTCTGTGATCGTGTTAGTCAATACTTTTTAATAAATTCCCTTTATATATACATCTATCCTATTAGTTTTGTCCCTCTAGAGAACCCTGACTAATAATACATATGGCATATAAAAGTTTATTCAGGACACACAGTGAGTGGTGTTCTAAACTAGAATCAGAAAAGTCTTCCTAAAAAATTAAATGCCTGAGATAATACAAATTAGCCAAGTGAAGAGATTTTTCTGGATTGCATAGGGCAATGAGTCTAATTTGGCAAAGCAAACAGCATGTTAAAAAATATTATATAAGCATATTGCAACTCCATCTATGTTTGACACTCTTTAATGCCAGGGTCCTTTGTATTTTTCAGTTATTCATCAAAAAACATTTATTAACTATCCATTATACATTAGGCACTGTGCTAAGGGCTAGGGGTATTAAAGAAATACATGGAGCTCAAAACTTAGTAGGAAAACAGTAATTCAAAATATAGTGTTTGTTGGAGACTGACATACTGATAAATCACATTTTATAAATCTTTGCATCCATGATAATTTTGACTAATTATTGAATCTTGCTCAGTGGAATAAAATTATGAGCATCTCTTCTTACGGGGCTGCCTTCAGGTATTTTGTTGCCTGCATATGCCCTGTGGCATTTATGCTGCCATCTCTTAATACATAGTCATTGGCACTATTAGCAAGTACTATAAACAGCTAGGGAAATGCAAGACCTCCTTTAAAGCAATCTACACAACATAAACTGTTCTCTAAGCTGGCATTAAAAAGGAGAAGTCAGGAGGAGAAAATGCTTATAATTCTAAAGTAAAAAGTATCACAAAAGAAATGTTCTGGAGTAAAAATTATAGAAGTTATAGGTTTCTTAATACATTCAATATTTAAACATTTAATACAAAAATATTTGAATATATGTTTATAAAACCATGAGTTATCTGCAAATCTTCTATTTTATAAAAGAACAAATAGGAAGCATGTTAGTGATGACAGCAGCAGACTGGGAATTAAGAAAATCTGACTTGAAATCGAGTACAATTGTCCCAGGGAATGGAGGAGCTAAGACTAAATAAACCCGTATTCCTCAGAAAGTTGTTGCGCCAGACTAAATTTTTTTCCTGGCTTGGCTAACTTCCTTCCCTGACCAAAGCCAGAAGTCTGAATTTGGCATTGACTTTAGAAGTAGCAAATTTAGAAGTTTCAGTAGATGAGGGCAGGAAAGTGACTTAATTTATGTATAAATAAAAATAGGAATAATGAAGCAAAAATATAGGCTCTGTGGGGAGGTTCTCATATATCTGAAAATTAAAACATGTGATTCAAAATGTGGGAGATTTCTCAAAGAACTGAAAATAGAACTACCATTCGACACAGCAATCCTATTACTGGGTATAAACCCAAAGGAAAATAAATCCTTCTACCAAAAAGACATGCACTCGTATGTACATCGCGGCACTAGTCACAATAGCAGGGACCTGAAATCAACCTAGGTGCTCGTCAGCAGTGGTTTGGATAAAGAAAATGTGGAACATATATACCATGGAATACTATGGAGCCATTAAAATGCATCAAATCAGCCGGGCGCGGTGGCTCATGCCTGTAATCCTAGCACTTTGGGAGGCCAAGGCGGGTGGATTGCCTGAGCTCAGGAGACCAACCTGGGCAACACGGTGAAACCCCGTCTCTACTAAAATACAAAAGAAATTAGCTGGGCGTGGTGGCGTGTGCCTGTAATGCCAGCTACTTGGGAGGATGAGGCAGGAGAATTGCTTGAACCTGGGAGGCAGAGGTTGCAGTGAGAAGAGATAGTGTCACTGCACTTGAGCCTGGGTGACAGAGCAAGACTCTGTCTCAAAAAAAAAAAAAAAAAAAAAAAGTAAGAAATCATGTCCTTTCCAGCAACATGGAGGCCACTATCTTAAGGCAATTAATGCAGGAACAGAAAACCAAATACCGCATGTTCTCACTTATAAGTGGGAGCTAAACATCAGGTACACATGGACGCAAAGACAGAAACAATAGACCCCAGGAACTACTAGAGTGGGGAGAGAGGGAGGAAACCAGGGGCTGAAAAACGGTACCTGTTTGTTACTATGCTCTTTATCTGGGTGATGAGATCATTTGTAGCCCAAACCTCAGTATCATACACAATTTAACAAAACTGCCCATGTTACCCCTGAATCTAAAATAAAAGTTGGAATTATTTTAAAAATGGTCACTCTTTACTAATAATCTCACAGACTTGATATTTAATATTAGGTTATCATAATAATATCAATAATAACATTATCCAAGATAGCAGCTAACTATAGGTCACAAATCAAATCTTCATTACCATGTTGGCACTAAATGATATCCTAAATTATATTAATGCAACTATGAGAAAGGAATAAAAACCAAAATTGATTATGGTTTTCTCAGAGTTTTACCTTATTTTAATAATTAGTCTTTACTTTTTTCCTAAGTATTTTAATTCTAAGTGGTATAAATTTCATGGTTACCTGGTAATCTTTTTTCTCTAACATTTGTATTTTGTTTTGATTTTGCAAGCTTTATTTGTCAAAGAAATTATTACCATTTCCCTTCAGCCACTTGTTTTCTATGTAGAAACCTTGGTCAAGTCACCTATCAATCTCTCAATACTACTGTTTTATCATCTGTAAAATGTTGACAGTCATAATACCTTTCTCAAAGTTTCTGAAAGCACTGAATCAGAGAACGTAAGTAAAACTCTCAGCACAGTACTTAATAATAAATGGAATAAAGAGAACTAATTGTAAACAAGAACAAGAAGGGATGCCATACTTTTAAAATGACTATTGCTAATGATTACATTTTGAGCACTTAATATGTACTTAGATTGTGTGTTCCAAGATTCTCACAAATAAAATCTATGTAATCCTCACAATACTCCCCATGCCTAAGTACTGTTCGCCTCTTATTTCATAGATGAAAAATAATGAGAAACAGAGAAGTTAAACAACTTCCCAAAGGTCACAGAGCTAATAAACGATAAAGACAAGATTCAAACTGTGTTGGACTAACTCCAGAATCTACACTAATGTCCATTAAGCTATGCTTGTTCTTATGCAAGTGATGAATATAAATGATGTCAGAGCTCCAAACTAAACAATTAAGACAGAAAAAAAAGAAACTTGGCTGCAGATCTTTAAGGCAATAACCAAGAAATTGTTTTGAGTTCTAAGACAATATAGGATATTGAAATCCAAGTAGGTATTACAGGTTGGTAACAAAGGTAAACAAAGACAGGCATCTGATTCAAAATAAATATAAATAAACAAATAAATAAAATAAGCCAATGTTAAATCTGCAAAGTGTTCAGGCTCTCAGACTTGTCTCATAGGAAAAACTGGCTAATAGGTGACACATGGCACATATATGAGGTGACTCTGGGGACAGGCGTGGTCAAAGGCTCCTCAGACTTGATTAAGTTAAAGATCTAAATCTGGTAGCCAGACAAAAATGGTCAACATTTTATGAATATAGAAAAAATAGAAGAACATCCTGTAAAACATAGACTGTAAAAATGGTATAATATTTTACCTTATATTTTTAATATAATTTGATATTTAATATCAACTATTCCTTGAATTTAAGCATATTTTTAATCATAGACCAACAGAGATATATCTACCATCCTTTCTTGCTACTAATGTTTTTGCTAGGGATGTTCAGAAAAAGCCACAATAAAAATCAAATTTGTAAGAAGAATCATGGAAACCCCATATAGTCAACATTGCAGAGTGGAGATAGAAAGTAATTTTTTTTTAAATTTATACAATGTTACTAAAATAAATGTGGATTTTGGAAAGCAATAGTCAAGCAGTTCTACAGTATGATCCAATTTCAACAAAACCAAGGAAATTATAAGACAGTGTTGGCATACCATTGTGCTGAGATACTGTTCCACATGGAATTATTCAATATGAACCTACAGGAAAATTTAATTTTGATCTTCCTCACTTTTCTGGGGGGCATCAGATGCCCAACCACTAATTTTATTTGATTTTTTTTCTTAAGGAATAAAAGATCTTCCAATGTTCTAAAACTAGATTTGGTGATGGTTATGTAACTGTAAATATAGTAGAGTTCATTGTATTGCACTTTTAAAAGAGGTGCATTTTATAATAAAGTTGTATCTCAGAAGAATTGGGTTCAGGAGGCACTCTCTACTGGGCAGTAGGGGTAAGTTGGGATATTTCTTTGGAAGCTGCACTCTGTGGCATCAGGAAATATCTGTGATTCTGTGAAGTGAATAATTCCAGAGCAGCAGTTAAAGACAACATGGGGTTCAACTTGGCCAGCAATGAACAAATGATTTTGCCTCACTTTTCGTCACTGTTTTCCCCTTAAAAAGAGGGACAAGAATAAACATATTAACTGTTAAAAAAAACTTCCATATAAAACTGTTTTTGCCAAGCCTATTCCTAAACAAACAACAACAAAAACCTATAGCACATTAGAAAATCTGGTAAATACATAAAACTCATTCAGTGAAATTAATGAAATGCCAAATGTACTTTACCTGGTTCCAAAAGAAAGCAAACGAAACAAAATTCACTTGGGGGAAAGAAAACAAAATCATAGAACATCACATCGTAAAGCTTATGTGGAAATGTTTTATATTCTATAGGCCACTTTGAATTTATCACTACTTTGAACTATTTCTAGCATATTTTATACCAGTACACAATTCAATAAACATATCATACATACATATTATACTATTCTAGATGGTAATGTAGCTTCACATTTAATAGAACAAGATAGGATGCAAGAGAACCTATTAGGATAGATTCTCTTTATGAGTCTGAGATATGTGTTAAATTAAAGGATAAAAACACCCTGCTTATCTTTCTTCCTAGGCAGTTCTTTTCTAATGCAACAACATTCCTATTTAATAAACAATATCTGTAGAGTTATTACTGATTTTAGCAGAATTTCTACATTTTTTAAAAAAAGACTGAAATGGTAGAGTTAAGACTATAACAATGAAATATACTCAATGATTAAAACCCAAGCCTTATTTTAAATTGGGAATATATTTTAATTCTATCAAAATATTAATCCATAAATATTTGTTGAAATAATATTGTGTTTTGACATGGATAATGGGCACCAAAATTTTTAAATGTTTTACTATGGAAAATATTTAATATAAAAAAAGAATGTAAAGGAAATCTTTACACACTATCATCTGTTGGTCCAACAATTTCAAAATAATTTCCCACACTTGTTTTATTTATCTTTCTATGTATGTTTTTATTATTAATTTTTTTTTTTTGAGGTGGAGTCTCGCTCTGTCGCCCAGGCTGGAGTGCAGTGGCGCGATCTTGGCTCACTGCAAGCTCTGCCTCCCGGGTTCACGCCATTCTCCTGCCTCAGCCTCCGAGTAGCTGGGACTACAGGAGCCCACCACCACGCCCGGCTAATTTTTTGTATTTTTAGTAGAGACAGGGTTTCACCGTGTTAGCCAGGATGGTCTCGATCTCCTGATCTCGTGATCTGTCTGCCTCGGCCTCCCAAAGTGCTGGGATTACAGGCGTGAGCCATCACGCCCAGACTATTGCTATCTACTTTACGGAAAATTCTAGACTCCATGACTTCTACCCCTACATACTTCAGTAGGCATTTCTAGGATGGTGTAAATTTGGTGGTTAACAAACTTTTCTTTAGTTTTAGACATTACAAAACAGAAATGTAAATCAAACTGTTTCCATTTTCAATCGTGCTATGAAGATGCCTAAATTTTAAGATTTATTTAAATCTTATAGAAGACAAAATATTGAAAATGTTCATAGGTCCTTTTCATTAAAATATGATTCCATTTTTCTATTAAAATTGCTATCCAAACTATAGGTTAAATTATAAAAAACTTATACTAAAATGAAAATTTAAAACTAAATAAAAATTTTATACTAAAAAAGTAGTACAATTTTTTAGTATAAAAACTAAAAAACATTAATATTAAAAGGAAAGCAGATGGCAAACGTTTTAAGTCATGTTTGCTGCACTGTTTTGCATCATGCTTGCTACTTTATTACATTTAAATATTTCTGTTTAATAATTTAAGTTCATGTTTTTTCTGAACGTTGAAATCAGAGATATAATCAGAACTATCACCACCTAGATGTGCAAATCCTTCACTCCAACAGTGAGTTGGGCAAACTTCAAATATTGTAAAATATTTTAAATTCCAGAGTATAATTTATAGGGCTTAATACAATTTGTGTAAATTGGCAGTAAACAGAATATCATTTCGACATGTGATCACTTCCACTGATACAAGTTAATATATCTGTCACTGTAAAATTTAAATAACATTAATGTCACTGATGATACATCATTATAAAACGTTCATATATAAATAAAAAAATTAAAATTTATGTAAACATTGATACAAATTTTCAATGACTATATCAATATTTCAGCACACTAAATTAGCACTTCAGCTTTAAGAGCCATATTTTGAGTTATTCAAGTATATGTTATACATAATTCTTTATATATATACTTTATGATTAAGAATTAAAAATTTATTGTAAATATAATTCTTTTAATCTTTCTTTATCTTTTTACCTCTCTATGTATCTGTTATTAAGCCATACCTTCAAAGTAACCATCTCTTCTGGGCTGTACCATCTTTGGTGATTTTGGAAGAGACACTTTATTTTCATTGTTTTTGAATAAGGCTAGACGCACAGTGGAATCTAAACAAAACGAATAAGAAAGGAGCAGAGTTCATCTTTGGTTAATTCCTTCTCTAAATGTCCACATATTTCTTATATGGTGGTAGTAAAAAAAAAATCCACTTTATAAAGCTCTATGAAATTGATGATGATGTTATATTAAGCTTCATAACATGGAAAGGTAGCCAACCATGTACGTATTATTGGTTATCTGATTAAACAAATAGCCAATACTTAAAGAACAGAAATACTCTACTTTTCCATCTAAACTGTGGGGAGATGGGATACAAAAGATGGAAGCAAGACAACTAATGGAATAAGAAACAGGTAGGAAAAGGTTATTTCATTAATTTAACACCTAAAATAGTGGTTTTTCTTTGCCCTAATGTATTTTCAGATAACAAAGATGTATAAATTTTCTCCATATATTCAAAGACAAGAATATTCAAGATCTATTAATATTACAAAAAATAGATTGTGAATGCAGACTATACATATCAAATTAAGAAACAAGATTTTTAATGTTGTAAATACCAAATTACATATTTTAATTAAATGCTAAAGTAGCAAAAATAAATAGTATTTGCATAGCTATTCTCCAGCATGAGCAACCTGACAATTTCCATTAGTCTTCTAGTAATAATTCATCTTTACTAAGTATGATTTACATTTTTCACAATGATTGTATTTCTCAAGATTAGGGAAAATGTTGGACAATGTTTAGGTACATTTCATAAGTATTAATATATGTAATCTCAGGTGTTATTAAATGTTTCTTATGAATTCAATATGAACTATCAGTAAGAATAATAAAATCTGTGTATATATATTTCATAAAATAAGTATTATATATCATCTAAGTCATTTACAAAAAAAAATGACATGTCAAAGAACAATTAGTCAATGAGGAAAGACATTACCATGGGCTTGCAAACTGTTCGGTGTCTTATAACCATCTCTCTACTCTCTTGCTCTTCTTGCCTTTTTATTTGATCTATGTATTTTCTGACAACATCACAAACAATTCAGCAGACCTGGGTTAGATCCTAGTGCCAAATTTTACTAGTTGTATGACTCCGGAAAAACTGTTCTCACCTTCTGTCTCTTCCTCTGTCCAACAGAAGTAATATTGTTTTTGAAGTACTAGTAGTACTGTACAAATTAATGAGATCATTTGTGTAAAAAAAATCAGTCCCATGCACACATTTGTGTAGGTTCTCAACCACAGACATAATTATGACATCAACAATGAAACATTTCCAGTTTATATTCTTAGAAAAAAAACTTACATTCTTCATAAAATTTACTGCAATATATAAAAATACATAGAACCATAATTGGCTCCATTTCATTTAACACAGTGCACTGAACAGAAGCTATGGATATTTTATAAGTTCTTTGGCATTTCTTTGGCCAAATAATAAAACAATCATACTTTCCTCATACTATTATCAAGGTCAAATAATTTAATATGTACAAAATATTTAGAAAGGTTATCTAGCTAAAGTTACTCAAAATAATTTTATTCTCCAAGAGCAATAGTGCTACATTATCAGTCATTCTGATTGCATCAGCATAAATTGATTTAATCTTGAATTAATTCAAATTGCAAAGGGATAATTATAAGAAGTAAGAAACATAGTACTTTTAGATAGAAAAAAAATCACTTGATTTTGATAGTCCCTGAAAATACCACTGGTAATAATGCAGTATTCTTACCTCAATAAAAAAATGAATAAATAAATAAAAACACAACCCAGTTAAAAAAAAAGCCAAGGGATAAGGTAATTGTAAACAGTATAGTTTGTTACACGTTTTTATTCATTATAAAGTCAGTTTTGTACACTTAAGTCTACTCCTCTGTGGTAATCAACAGCAGGTGTAAGTTGCCTTATAAACATAAATCTTTTTATCTCCCAGCAATGACTTGCCCAGTGTTGGGGAAATAGGTATTAAATAGATGTTCAAAAATGTTTCAAGAAACCCCTAGGTAAGTAACCATGTCCCTATTATGCATGCATCTCTATACTTAACAGTTTATTATTTCATTTAAATAATATAATTTTAGTTAAGCATTAGAGTATCCATATTATTAAATTCCTTGTACAATCCCTTTTCAACTTCTATAATTCTAATTTATCTCATTGTTTTATTTTAGTATTTTTCTTCTTACATACAAATCTGGTTATTATTACCCATTTTTTGCAGGTGTAAAATAAGGTGTATAGCAGTGCTGTAAAATAAGCTTGAATAACTAGCAATATTTCATAATCTTAAAAGGAGTACTATTTACTAATTTAAATTTTCCCAAATATAAGCATATATTTACATGACTAAAATGCACACACATACTGTAAAATGTATATTAGTGACTTTTATCTAGTTTTTTTTTTTTAGTCAATTGACATTCATTGGATATCTACCAGGTGCTAGGCATGGTGGTAGTAGGTCTGAGATGTCAAGAGTGTTTCAGCCCTCAAGGATTTTACTATTCAGATGAATTTTATTATTAATTTTTTGTGGTTGAGAGCATAACACAGTAACATCTGATCAAAATTCTTGTAAAATCTTTCTGAAAATTGATGTGGTAAACAAAATAAATCTTGAATAAACTTCATTTTGGTAGAGTTTTGTCTATACTATTCCCTGCTGGTCCCTCCCCCTTAACATTCTTTAGTTACATTTATTATCATTCTGCAATCTGATGGCTTTGCTATAGCCCATGAGTTGTTTACTTGACATAAAAAATTAGCCTTTTTTTAATGCTGGCTTAATTCCTGGCAAAAAATCCATGTTAGGTCTTCGTACTATGTTCCTTAAACCTCTTACCAGCTAATCTCCACCAAAATCCCTATACTCAGACCCCATTCTCTCTGAGCACTCTGAGGAGTGCTCCACATCAAAACCAAACACCCACTCCCTTTCTGCATCCACCTCATCTCAGTCTTGCTACCAATTACACTCAGTGTTGTGAGATTATTGACCCTGCATGTTTTCAATAAACCAGTAACTCTCACCTTACACAGGATCTTCTTCACTGCACTACTGAATTCTAAACTTCCCTGGATATCTGCTAAATTTCAACACAGATCACCAAATTCTGAAACTGCTTCTGTGTATGAAGCAACAATAAATACAAACAAACAAACAAATAAAACCCAGAAATACAAGACCAGTCATTATTGGTTCAAGCTTATGCCAATCAAGAGGTTAAAAGCAATTACTCACTAGGAAAAACAACCACTATAACCCAAACATAAACTGTATAAGTAATGATAACTCCTCACAATTTTAGATTTTACCGTGTAGCTTTCAATCAATTCCTCCTCTTCCTTCTCCACCCTCCTCCTCTTTTAATCAGATGGTCTCACTTCTACCAATAGAAGTCATCGATACTAAGTCTCCCCTAGTAGCTGCCCATACCACATCTTTCCTCGCTCAGTTTGTTGCCTCTTCATAAATGAGCTTCCTCATATTCTTCCCTCTCTCTGCAACTGATTCCATTACATTCTACTTTCTTAAATTAATTGACCCTCTGCTTTTTGCTGTATTTTCATTTTCATCTTAAATAAATAAAATATTATTGACTCATATCCCTTGACTGATAAAAACATGTACAAAATACAAACAGAAAATATGAAGTGCTTGCTACTGAGCGCTCTAAGGTTTTCTGTGGCAGAAATTTGAATTAAAGCTACCATACTTCTTGCAATTGTGCTCCATTTCCTTGAGGATTACTACTTTGTTAGATTGTAGGCCATAATTTATTACATTAATTAATTGTTTGTATTCTCTGACACCCCTCCTGCCATGCTCCCCACTCCCGTAGATCTAGTTAGTCTCGCAGCAGTTTTATAGACGATGTTGCTCTCTAGTGGCTTAAAAATTTCAAGTTGGCAAGTTGTCTATGTAAGATATGTATCTCCAAGTATATTTAAAAACTGCTAGTAAATCTTTCAGTGTTTAACCAAATTTAGATATTTAAAACATTGTTTTAACTCATTAGTGAGTAAAAATTTAAATTATGGTCATTATTTGAGACAGATGCAAGTAAGTTAATGGTATATCACAGATCGATTGAATTATAAAACTGGAAAAAGTACTGAACATTTTTTATTCTATAAGAAGAAAACCTGAGGCACAGAATCTTAAATAATTTGCTCACAGATACAAAATGAAATAAGTTCTACATCATCAACTGAACAGAAGATAGACAAAATGTGATGATTAGAAAATATCTCTCAGATTTTCTTTTTCATGCTTTTCACCATTAATCCTCTCTTTAATGTTTCTAATCTGTATATCTGTTGTGAATGAAAAATAGAATGAAAAAAGTGAGAAGAGTATAAAACTTATCACTAAATTTTACATTTCAGCGTTCATGTTTTAAACATAAAATGTTTTGTTTCATTATTCTAATATATTGATAAAAAAAGCAAAACAAAAGTGATACATAGAGATACAAAACCTTACACGGTAATAAGAATGCAATTTGGATTATAATCATGTTATTGGAGTAACAGTCCCCATAAATATTATACAATTGCCATTTAGGATTTTAACCTAACCCAAAATGTTAAGTTAAAGATGTGGTCATTAAGCTGGATGTCTGGTTACTTTCTTTCATTTGTTACCCTGTCATGCCCCCTTGTGACTGATAAAAGAGGTTTAATTTTTGCCTGATAATTATCTCTAGTCGTGGCCATTAAAGCAATGATTTTTATGTACTAGCATATATTCCTTACTGAATCCTCTGCTAAAACACTTGCTATGCTGCTTTATAAAAAATGTTCTCACCCCCAACAAAACCCTCAATTACAAGAGTTGGCAAGAAAGACCTATATATTTCCCAGAGACGGAATCATATGGGAAGTCTGACAAGCTAAGCTTTTCCTCTGCTTTCACTACTGGAGGCTATTTATTGCAAACATTACAAATACTTTTAAAAGTGGGCCTAGCAAAATTCCTTGAATACAACTATGTCATAATTATTTGTTGAATATTGGCTGAATCAGTTCTTAAACCACCTCTGATATTTGAACTTGCCCCAGGAGTTTCAGAAATTGTTATTATTCTCAAAACAGTTGTTTAAAGAATGTTTTTGATACTGCTGAAGATGGGTAGAAATAGACATCAAAGCAATAATAGAGTTTATTACACTACCAGATTTACACTACTAGATTCTATATCTAGAGAACTGAAAGAGAATCTCACTATCGTTAAGAGTCTGGAGTTACTATTTCACTGGGTAACCACCACATAGCATTCAGTTCAGAGAAGCCTGATGAACTTAATAGGAGCTTACAAAATGAGAGTGCAGGAGGTACAAACAAATTAAAAAGCAAGGTGTTTATATTTTCTTTAAAAATGCTTGAAATGTTAATGTTTTAAACCTGAAAAAATTTACTACTCAATAAAAATGTTATCACAAAAAAGTAAAAAAATTAAGATATCACTAACATAACAATAAGGTATGCAAGTTGAACACTTCAGAATATAAAAATGAATCACCAGTAACTTATCAATGGCTAGTCAGTGATGTGCCAATAAATATCAGTTATTCCTTGAAAATCAAAAGCACTTTTGCAACATTTACTTGTTTTAAAATGTTATATTTATATCTGGTTCTTAGAATTTACTGAATTATAATTAAAATATAATTAATAGAAAAAGATAAAAATAGTTTTATGAAATATTTTTTCATATGATTACATAAGCTAGATCTATAGGAAAAGTATACATTTATTGCACTGCTCATGAGTAACTGGTCTTTTTTGGAAACTTTTTACTAACAGTAAGAACTTTAGAAAACAAAACTGATGTACAAAAGAAATACATGTTCTTATATTTATATGAGTAAATATTTACAGTTATATATAAAGTTACATGCAATTATTTTAAATAGTTTTAATTAAAGATATCATAATATCCTGATATTTCTTCTCTGACTCCATATATTAAGTAATTACACTAAAATGATTAGAGGTATCCAAAGAAAAACAAATGATTTAAAGAGTAGCCTTGTAAGTGGGATAGAATAAAAGATGCTTTAGAACATTTCGCAAGTCCTACAAAATCATAAAATATATAAACTTTGCTTTTCCAAGATTCTAAGTTGTGAAGTCTTCATAGCTAAAATCCACTGAACTGATAAATTTATACAATTTATTGAATAATCAAGCAATTTAAAAGCACGCAAAAGACTAAGGAGTGAAACAGATACTCTTTAGAGTCAACATTTGCCAAAATGAACCAGTTTTAAAACAACTTATAATTCTCAGTACACAATAGCTAGAACAATCAATAGCAAAGTATATAAGAAAGAGCCGAAAAAGTAAAAATAGTGTTTAAGAGTATAAATCATTCAATGGCATAGCATAATTTTCTCTTAAGTTTTATTTTTTTTCAGAGTATCTTAGACATAGTCATCTGTGAATTGATTACTGTTCTTATTAAACATAATTTATAAAATATATTTTAAAGAAGTTATCTTCAATTTTCCATACACAGTTATTATTCAAAGAGCACTAATTACTCACCTATTTTTTTCTTTAGTTTCTTCGATTTCATTTTCTGTGCCCTCTTCAACATTTGCTGAGCAGTAGAAATATCCTTAAAGCCCCTATTAAAAGATTAAATATAATAAAGGTAAAACAAATACCCGGATCATATTTAGATATGCATATAAAAATAGACATGCATATCTGAATTATAGCATACTAAAATAAATGTGAATTCCCATTTAAGAAACTAAATTGGATGGACAATTTATAAAAAACTAATATAGGTATTCTTAAAATCTTGAAAAGTATCTGTCTTGGACTTTTAGCAATCTCTCAATTTTTTAATTTATTAGTGTCAAATTGACTACATACCATTCTTCTGAAATTTTTTTTTCTTTTTCAGATTTTAGCAAACTCTTTCTACTGGTCTTTGATTCAGGTGTCCAGGAAGAAGTTTTATTTTCTGATCTGGCAATAGAAAAAAACCACTTTTAACTGAATCAACACAAGTATATCAGCACTTTTTAAAACTACAAACTGTTTATGTTGTCTCAAACTTGGAAATAAAATCTAAGTTAGCAAAAAACATTATCTTGAAAGGCAATAAAAGTCTGCCATTAATTTAAAATGTTTACATTTCAATTACTTGAAGCATATTTCAATCCCTTTGTGAAAAGTAACATAGCACTGGAATTTTTAGTCTAATCATTATCTGTACCTATATAGTATTTAAAGATCCACTTGTTTACAATAATTAATTACATTGTTTCCCTGACATATAAATTTTGTAGTTGCTTTAATGTACCTACTTCATTCATTTTCCTTACACTGAAAACTCTTCATGACCATGATGTTTTTAACACTAAATATTCTGTTTCCTAAACAAGTAAATTCACATCTAGTTTTATAATTGTACTACTTTTGTATGATATGTAATACTGTTGTCATTCACAAGTTGATTCTCTAAAACAATAGTTTAGCTTACCTGCTATTAAATTGTGTGTGTTCTGAAGAAGACAAATTTTCTTTGTCATTACATAACCATGCTTGAGCTGGATTACTTGGTAAATTAAATGAAGTATCATCCCATTTTAAGTTTCCAGGAATCTTTTCACAAAAAAAGTAAATAAGTGTGAAGTAAAATAAAAAATCCTAGCATTTATGTTGTATTATTTTACATGCATATTACCAAATAGCCTCCTAAGGGAAACTCATTATAAAATTAAAATTATAATAAAATGAAATTTATGTAATATATTATACATGTCCTTTGTTGTAGTGGTGGAAATTATGCTTTTTGGGATAGCTCTCACATAGAAAATGATTAATTGCAAAGATCTTTAAAAATCTCAGAAAACTAAAACTTCAAAGATTATCAAATAAATAACAGATATTGCAGTCCATTGACCTCTGACTGAAAATCTTCAGCTGTTGCCCTCTTAATGCATATTTTTGTATTTTTAAAGTGCTGTCAACTAGTGATTTTAGTCTACTGCCAAATATGCAGCTGAAGCATATCATTTTTTTTCTTTTGCTACTGTGAAATAAAGTGTTGAAAGAAATCCAAAATAAAGAAAAAAAGGAGCAAATGAAAGAAAAGCTACATGAAAAATTACATCTGGGGATGAGGAGGAAGTCAGAGGCTTCTAAAAGTAATTATGTTTTTCAAGTCAATAAATTGTATTATTAATCACTGCAACATAGCATAACCTTAAGAAATGAGCAAAGATCGAGGACTCAGAAGTTTCCATGACATGTTACCTTTGGCCAATGCAGCTGGTTTGAAAGAAGCAGTGTTTGTGAAGGGAAGCGGGTGGAATCTAATGCTAGCCATTCTTCTTCTAAGGCAGCCTGCACAAATAATATTAAAATGTATGTAATTTAGCTTACATAACTTTTACAATGTTTCTTTTAATTCATCTTATAGACTACAAATGTTGACAAAGTATATCAGAATTTTTATTTACAGGAAATTTTCTACTTACTATTGTGAGATGATATTCATCTGTTTAATGAAAACATGCTAAAAATGGGATAAGACTTTTCATCCCTAAGTTTTGGATAAAGTGAAAACTTGATATTTGAATGCTCTAAAAAATGAGGTGCAGACTCTTCAGTGTATTTAACTGTTTATAACTATGACTCTGAGCCAAATCTAGATGGAACTGAGTAAAGTCATTTTTTTAGCTCTTACACTACAGACATCACTATTGAAAATTTATAGTATTTTAATATGTTAGTGTCAATTTTTCTATAAAGTCTATAAACCAGCTTTTTCTTAAATTTTTTTTATTTTCACAAATTTTCTGAATAGAGTAAAAAAACCACATTTTGTGGCAATGAATTAAACAATACAAGGAACATGGTCCCTGATTTATATTCTCTAATTCAACTGTTCAAAAAACAAAATTATAAATTTAAGCCCAAATTTGGAAATTCCTGTTTTAAACTCCCTCTCTTAAGACATATTTCTCCAATTTATGGAATTTCCAAATTTACTCTATCTTTCCACAATGGAACCTGCTAATTATATTAGTGTTGTATAATTTAGGATGTAATTATCTGATTTTTACTTGATTGAATATATAATATGGCTTAGAATTAATTTCTATGTTTCTGTAATTTTTTGGGGGAAAAAAGATGCTTAGAATACCAATTTTTTTTAAAAAAGGTTGTAAAATAATCAAACATTTTATGATTTAAAACTAGAATAATTTATTCTGAGGGGATGTAAATGCAATTTTTCATTCACACAATTACAGTGTGTCTTGACTGCCTTTTGAAAGACCATTGGAAAGGCAGGCCTAGGACATATTGACTACAGGCAGGTAGTGCAATGACAGAATTTCACTTAATGAAATTTAGTCTTAGGATACCTAACCAAACTTGCACCATTTGAATGTTATGTAAATAGTGTGCCTCTATTCAGTTGCTAGACAGATCAATTGTTAAATTTCTTCTAGGTAGCGAATATTAACATATACATATATATATATATCATAGTTATATATGGTTTAATATATATTTGGTTGAAGAATTGCTATTTGTCAGTTATATGAGAGGAATAAATTCAAGAGCTCTTTTGCACAACATGGTGACTATAGTTAATAACAATATAGTATATTCTTGAAAATCATTAAGAGAATACATTTTAAGCATTCTCACCACAAAAAAAATGTTAACTATGTGAGGTAACGCACATGTTAATAAGCTCAATTTAGCCTTTCCACAATGTATACATATTTCAAAATCTCATGTTTTACACAATAAACATATACAATTTTTATTTGTCAATTAAAAATTCAAATTTCAGTATTTGTAAATAATTCAATATTTGTTAAAAAAAATGCGTTATTGGAAAAAGAGAGAGGCAGAGAGAGACAAAGCTCTCTCACCAGAGCCATGAGTATTCCTCCTTCTCATCCTCACAGAAAGAAAAGGGTTGAAAATGGCAATCTAGAAACAATGGCTACAGTTCAAGGAGACTCTAAAATAAAAGGAAACACATATGCTTTGGTACTTTTGGAAAATTACAGAAAAAAAAGATACGGCCATTTATTTCTAATGTATTTAAGCCATTTATGTTGATTGCTTGTTAAATCAGGCTAGTAACTCAGTAAACTCCCACTGATTTATACAATCAGAATTCTCTCTTTAGCTCATCATGAATGACAAATAAATCTAATGACTTTTCTGTTAAAATAAGGTGGGGATGGAAATTTTTATTTGATGTAAAATTGTAAACAGGATTTAGAACTTAGAGTTTTTTTGTTTTTTCTTTTCAATGACAAGGGAAAATCCAGTCATATCTCAGGGAAGATCAAGGGCCAGTATATCAGCTATAATTGAATTAGTATTTTTATTCTGCTGAAAACTGCTAAATTGATGAGAAAATGTGAAGGAGACAATATTACAAAGGCAACATGCCACCTGAGGAGTGGTTATGGAAAACGACCAGCACTGTCAGGCAAGTTGCCTGACTCTTACACTGATTTTATACAAACAGCCTTTTTAAAATTTTTGTTTTCTTAAACACCTGCCAAACCATCTACTTTTTATATTCTCTAGAAATCCAGCTGTTTTCTCTCTTCAGCAGGACAAGATCCCACAAAGCACAATAAACTTCTTTGCCACATCATAGAGATGTTGATAGAGTGCTCTTCCTTGGAAAGGCTACATAAAGTCTGGATAAAATTGACATTTTCTAATTAATATTTAAAAGTACAGAAAACTTTGAAAATACCTTTTTTTCCTGAATAGAAAGTTTATAGAAACTTTTATAGAATCCCAGAACAATTATTTAACTACTATCTCTTAGAAATTTCTAGAAGCATAAAGAGAAGGTTTTATATAAAATGTTAAAGATGCTTTTGGTAATTATATAATCGCAACAAAAATATGTTACCAAGACAACGAATTTATATGTACTCAAGCTTATTAATATCAAATAGATTTGGCATTACCTAGTATGCTGAGGGAAATAAAATCTCAAAATGTCAGGAGGAATTGGCTAGGAGTTATAAATATACCACTGTTTTTTAAAATGTATGTTAATATATCATGCTTACCACTGCAAATTTATACAAATTTCAGTTGTTGCTTAATAAAGCCTTCTACTCACATAGACCAATGGAACAGAACAGAGACCTCAGAAATAACACCACACATCTACAACCATCTGATTTTCAGCAAACCTGACAAAAATAAGCAATGGGAAAAAGATCTCCTGTTCAATAAATGGTGCTGAGAAAACTGGCTAGCCATATGCAGAAAACTGAAACTGGACAACTTCCTTACACCTTATACAAAAACTAACTCAAGCTGGATTAAAGACGTAAATGTGAAACCTCGAATCATAAAAACCCTAGAAGAAAACCTAGGTAATACCATTCAGGACACAGGCATAGGCAAAGACTTCATGACGATAATGCCAAAAGCAATTGCAATAAAAGCCAAAATTCACAAACGGGATCTAATTAAATTAAAGAGCTTCTGCTCAGCAAAAGAAACTATCATCAGAGTGAACAGGCAACCTACAGAATGGCAGAAAATTTTTGCAACTTTCCCATTTGACAAAAGTCTAATATCCAGAAGTTACTAGGAACTCAAACAAATTTACAAGAAAAAAACAAATAACCCCATCAAAAAGCGAGCAAAGGACATAAACAGACACTTCTCAAAAGAAGACATTTACATGGCCAACAAACATATAAAAAAAAGTTCAACATTACCGATCATTAGAGAAATGCAAATCAAAACCACAATGAGATACTATCTCACACCAGTCAGAATGACAATTATTAAAATGTAAAGAAACAACAGACGCTGGTGAGGCTGTGGAGAAATAGGAACACTTTTACACTGTTGGTGGTAATGTAATTTAGTTCAACCATTCTGGAAGACAGTATGGAGATTCATCAAGGATCCAGAACCAGAAATACCATTTGACCCAGCAATCTCATTACTAGGTATATACCCAAAGGAATATAAATCATTCTACTAAAAGACACATGCACACATATGTTTACTGCAGCACTATTTATAATAGCAAAGTCATGGAACCAATCCAAATGCCCATTAATGATAGACTAGATAAAGAAAAGATGGTACATATACACCACGGAATACTGCACAACCATAAAAAGGAATGAGATCATGTCCTTTGCAGGGACATGGGTGAAACTGGAAGCCATCATCCTCAGCAAACTAACATAGGAACAGAAAACCAAACACTGCATGTTCTCACTCATAAACGGGAGTTGAACAATGAGAACATATGGACACAGGGAGGGGAACAACACACATCAGGGCCTGTTGGTGGGTGGGGAGGCAAGGAGAGGGATCTGTGAGGACAGGTCAATAGGTGCAGTGAAACACCATGGGACACGTATACCTATGTAACAAATCTGCATGTTCTGCACTTGTATCCCAGAACTAAAAGTAAAATAAATAAATACATTTAAAAAAAAAAGAAAGCCTTCTGTTCAGATATTCTTTAAATTACAACCGAGGATCTGGAAAGCTTTCTAGCTACTTGAGAATTATTATCAAATGTACTTATTACTTATGTATTGAAAATGAAGTTGAACTTGGATAGATTTGTAACTGGCAATGGAGGCAGTGTTCATCTGGAGACATCACTTCTGGTTTTGGATTTGCAGCCTTTCTGATACAGCAATCAGGTACACTCCTATGGAAAAGCACCTATTGTCGTTCTATTTGATTCCTTTAGAAACTAAATGACTGGCACTTAGAGTTCTTGTGACTCACTGGCTTGATAATTCCCATTTTGGGTGGGACAACTTGAATTCAATGACCAACAAGGTGAGAAGGTCCCAAAAGGTTTCACTTGTAAAAAGAAAATGGTATACTCAAAAATGTGCCTCAGTAGCATTCGGTTTCTCATGAAAAAAAAAAAAAATAGCAGCTATCTATCTCAGGGAATACTCATCTCCACTTCACTGCCTGAACCAAATTTGATGTCTCACAGGGACCTCAATTCACCCAAGTTCGCTTAAATTCTTGAGCCTGGTTCAGTGATGGTTTGGCTAAGCTGAAAGCAAGCTGATTCTTGGACTGTTGCCAATGGCTTAACAGTTGGGTCTGCCACATGAAAAGCCAAAGACACCATGACTTGGGCCCTCAAACAGGGAAAACAAATCACAGCTGCCTATAGCCCTGTCTGTGTTATTCATACAGATGCCTATGGTAAGGGCCCATTCCCTAATAAGAATGACTGGAATCAAGTAACTGATTGGGTCTAACTTTATATCTAAGGTAGACCTACTTTTTATATCAGACTTGTGATTCCTGAAAAATTTTCTCATTTGTCTTATAGTGAAGGATGTCTCTCATCTCGTGGATTTTTGCCCCTTCCTGTTGGAAAATTGACTACACTACACCTTCAAATCTTTGCCACTGTTAATATCTTTTAGGTTATCCATCAGCTGGCTTTGGCCATACAAATGTGGCCTTTGAAATTAGTTGCCTAAGTTTTCAGTTTTCTGTACCATTTGATTGTGACAGTTGTGACACAAGCTAATCAACAATGAACTGATAGTCTGCGCCTACCTCTATCACCTCCTTCTATCGACACATCTATATAAAGCAATTTTATCAGTGAGCATGGCTCTCTCCCAAAAAATATCATATTCTTGCAGTCACTTCCTAGGCAATGATTAGGAAAAATGCATGGAAGGTAATATAGATCTATTTGGACAACTCAGGATTCTATCCTGACTATTCCTGGGTATGATGAGTATCTCTTTTCTCTAACAGCGAGTATAGGCCAGAATGATTAAACAAGGTACAGCCTGGCCAAAAGAAGAGTAAGAGTATTCAAACTAATCTTAGTTATGGTTTATAAAAGTGCACTTGTTCCTTGTTCCTGAACTTTCAAGATGAAAGGTCTAAGTGTTAATACAGAATGATTAGAAAAATGGTGAAGTTATAACTATTGAAATGTAACACCCTAATTTTGAGGGAGTAGGTGGAGAACAAAAAACCAGAATCTTTGAAAGGAATACCTTAAATCCTGGGAAGCATGAAAGAGGGAGATTTTTATCTTTTGAACTGCCCCTATAGCCTCCTTCAAAAACAAAAACAAAACTTCTGCAGGACTGTCCCAAACTGCTGCAAGCACCTTAAATTTAACTTACTAATGGACCTGCCATCCCCTTCCAAGGGGCTCTGAACAGAATTTCATAGTAATTTATCTTAAGTTTACTAAGAAATCCATCAAGACAGCAGGGCATGGCCCCAGATGTTGTACTTCCCTTGTGAAACAGATGTGGATATTTTCCCCATCCCCATCCTCAGTCATCCCATGGGGTGGACAATTACCACCTAGAAGGTGTGGTGGTCATAACATACTTTTAAGTGTTAAGTCAACAGCACTATAGCCCTAGAAAGCATTCAGTTCAGCTTCAACTCGCTGACCAGGGTTATTCTGGATGGCAGAATTGTCCTGTAATTCCTTCCTGAGGGAAAAGAAGGAGTCCAGCTATAGTTGGATTAAAGTCTCAAGCCTATTGGGAAGATCAATTTAAAAATTAAGGAGAAAACACCTGGACTATTGATAGTAACCTTAATTGCATGAACCATGAGGCAAATCTAATTGATTTTTGTCCCAGCCCCTGTCAGATTATTCAGGGTGGCCACTGGAATAGTATACTTATTAGAAAATTTCTCATGTAAAAACAAGGGATGGATATTTTTGGGATACAATTCTCCATGGATCTCTAACAATTCTGCATGACTTACGACAGATTTTGTTACAGACTATCTTTCCAAAGATGTTCATAAAACTAACAGAATGGGAAGGCAGAGACTGTGTTTCCCTTTGGAGTAGAGGGCAGAAATTTGTTTGCTGTCTGGTGTAATAAAGATAACAACTTTCTGTGGAGCACAGGATGGGCAGGGTTGCTAACAGCCGTTTAGAAGACATGGGATATCCTAGGCTCAAGACTACTAGGAAGACATTCTTCAGATTTCCTCCTATGGAACTTGGGGGAAAAGGAGAATTGGTACATGAAGCTCTTGCTGCCTGCTGTTACAGGTAATAACTGTATTTGTCTCTTGAAGTTTCATTCCTTCTATCAGCATCCTAACTTGTTAGAGTTCATGTAGGATAAAATCTCAGATCCCTCATAGTTCTTGGCACTTAATAAATTAGGGTAAACTATACTTAACAAAACTAAAATAAAATGACTCTTGGTTGTAAGTGTTCGTGGTTAATCACTTGTTAAATGAAATCACATTTCAGAGAGGCAACAAATCAATCTAAGGAAATATTTCATGGACAGTTGATCTAGGCTTTTGGATCCTGGCTAATTTATCATGATAATTTTATATTTACTCCTCTTATAAAAATTATAATTAACTGAAAACATTCTAATATATTTCTGATATTCCCTAAACTTAGAGCTATGTTTTTTCTGTCTATTTACCTATCCTGGCACTAAGCATGGTGTCTGCCATATTGTAAGCATTGTTGGCAGGAAAGGAAAAAATAAGTTTGAGAAGATTTTATATAATTACATAAGGATATGTCTTAAAAATCCAGAAGTTTTAATCCTAAAGGCAACTATTTTTTTCAACTAAATCAGTGAAAAAAGGGAAATCCTCGTCAGGTAAGTTTTGTATACAGAAAAATTTAAGCAAGAAAAAAGAAAACAAAAAAACAAAAAACAAAAACAAACAAACAAAACAATTCAATTACATCATCTGAAGTTTTAAGATGATTTTAAAATAAAGTGATGGCAATGGAAAAGGGGTAAAGATAGGTCACATGAAGTAATCTCCGCATTGCAAACAAAATTATCCACTTAAAATATGAACAATATTTAACTCCCTTACTTGAAACCCAATAATAACATTCTATCACACTTGAAATAAAATCCAAAGTGCTTGACATCATATCCTAGGCCTAATGTGGACTGATCCCTGGCTACTTTTGTATTTCTTCTCTTCTCTATTTTTTCTCCTTTACTAATCAGTCTACCTATTGTAAACTTTCTCTTCCTTTATTACGCTGATTTCCTATTTCAAGCCTTACATACTTGCCTGACACTTAGCCCAAAATAGTATACTGTTTTGTTTATATGAAACTTATTCCCTCACTTTATTTTCACATCTCTAGTAAAGTGTTATACCTTACACAGGCCTTTCTTGATCAACCAATTAAACACTATGCTCTATATCTTAAACTTTCTTAATTTTTACAGTAATTTTCAATATCTTATTTTCTACTATATATTTATATATGTATTTATTGTCTGTTACCTCAAATAAAATGTAAATACTATGAAGTCAGGGATCTTATCTCTTTTCTTCACTGTGGTAAGAACAATGCCTAGAAGATTTAAAATGATTGTTTAGTACTGAAATACTCATTTATAAATATTTCAATTCTGGATTTGGAGACCATTATCCTAAGTGAACTAATGCAGGTTCAGAAAACCAAATACTGCATGTTCTCACTTATAAGTTGGAGCTAAACAATGAGTACACATGGACACGAAGAAGGGAACAACAGACACTGGGGCCTACTTGAGGGCGGAGGACAGGAGGAGGTGAGGATCAATAAACTAGTTGTCAGGTACCATGCTTACTACCTGGATGATGTGATAATCTGTACTTCAAACCCCACGACACGTAATTTACCTATATAGCAAAGCTGCACATGTACCCCTGAAACTAAAATTTAAAAATTTTAAAAAGATTTCAGTTCTGGCTCAATACAGGGACACACCTCTTGCTTCTTTAAGCTGACTAAAAAACAAAACATAAACACCTGATAGAAAGATATCTGCAAGTGATCCAGGTATTGCATTAAATTACAAAGGTTTGAAAATACCATACTTATTATGTTCAACAAAATAGTGGACATGATAGAAAATTTCAACATATAAATGGAATTTATAAAAAAGAATCAATTAGGAATTTTATAACTAAAAATAGAATAACAAAATAAGAATATAATAGGCTAAAAACATCATGAGTTAAAGTAGGGAGCATGATTAATGAACACAAAGTAGGTCAGTAGGAAACATCCAAATTAAACCACGAACACTCCATGACATTTGTCTGAGCAATGATTTTAAAAATATGAACCTAAAAGCAAAGCAAAGATAGATAACAAAAGCAAAAAATAGACAAATGGAGTTACATCAAATTAAAAAGCTCCAGTGCAGCAAAGTAAACAACGAAGAAAATGAAGAGACAACCTACATAATGGGAGAACATATTTACAAATCATATATCTGATAAGAGGTTAATATCCAAAATATATAAGGAACTCAAACAACTCAATAACAAACAACAAATCAATCAACTGGAAATGAGCAAAGGACCTGAACAGACATTTCTTAAAAGAAGACATACAAGTGGCTAATAGGTATATGAAAAAATGCTTAACAGCTTTAGCCATCAGGGAAATGCAGATTAAAACCACAATGAGATATCACCTCACACATGTTAAAATAGCTATATCAAAAAGATAAAAGATAACATGTGCTGGTAAGGATGTGGACAAAAGGGAACCCTCACACACTGTTAGTGGAAAAGTAAATTAGTATAAGCCATTATGAAAAGCACTATGAAGGCTCTTCAAAAAAATTAAAAATAGAACTGTCATATGACCCAGCAATTCCACTACTAGGTATACCAAAAGGCAATAAAATCAGTATGTTGAAGAGATATCTGTATCGTTGTCTTCACTCTAGCATTATTCACAATAACCAAAATATGGAATGAAACTGTGTCCATCAATGGATACATGAACAAAGAAAATACACAATGGAAAATTATCCATCCATAAAAAAGATGGGAACTTGGTCATTTGCAACAACGTGAATGAACGAAGAGGATATTATGTTAAGTGAGATAAGCCAGGCACAGAAAGAGAATACCTCACGGTTTCACTCAGACAGGGAATCCAAAAAACTTAATATCACAGAAGTAGAGAGTATAATGGTGATTACTAGGGTTTAAGGTGGTCAGTGGGGGTGGTGGTGGCGGTTGCAGGAGATCTTGGTCACAGCATACAAAATTTCACTTAGAGAGGAGGAATAAGTTCAAAAGATCTGTTATGCAACATGATGGCTATAGCTAACAACAGATTGTGCTCTTGAAAAATGTTGAGAGCGAATGAAAGTATTCTCACTATAAAAATGTGTTAACTAATGCATATGCTAATTAGCTAGGTTTACATATTTCACAATGTATATATACTTCAAAACATCAAAGAACAAATATTTGAAATAAATTTGGACAAGAGATTTCCAAAACTAATGAAAGATATTTACCACAGATTCAAGAAGCTGTATGATCTCACCAACTCCAAGCAGGGCAATAAAGAAAATCATAGCCAGTTTGAAAAACAAAAATAGAAAATCAACCTTAAAAGTTACCTGGGGGATGGGATAGGAAGCCAATATCTTCAGAGAAGAAAAGTTAAGACTTAATACTGACTTTTCAACAGGAACTATGGAAGCCAGAAATGCTAACAAAATGGCATATTTAAAAATTGAAAGCCTAACTAGAATTCTATTCTTAGAGAAGATAAATATTTAGATAAATATTCCAAAATATTGAAAAAAGAAATAAATTTTCAAGCAATCAAAAACTGACTCCTACTAGAGAGTGTCTTTCAGGCAAAAGAAAATGATCCTAGATGGAAGCATGTTAATGGCAGGAAAGAATGAAGCACACGAAAAAATAAAACTCAATTAACTAGTGAATAAAGGGAAAAATAGAAAAACAAAAATACTTGATAAATGCAAAAGAGGGTAATAAAAAGGAAAAAATCAACATAGAACAAATAGAAAACAAATGAAAATTGTATAAACCAAATTATATTCTAAATTAAAATCAATTAAAACAGTCTAAATACTCTAATAAAAATAATGCCAGAATAAAATATAAAAATAAGCAGAACCCAACTATATGCAGTTATAAGATACATTTTAAATATAAAATCACAGTAAAGTTGAATGAGAATGGTTAGAAAGATATACGTTATGAAAACAGTAGCCAAAAAAAAAAAAAAAGCTGCTGTAGGTATAAAAATATCAAAGGAAATGGCCCTTAAGCAATTAGTTAAAGAGAGAAACTATTGTTCAAGAGGAAAATATTATTATAAGAGGTTCAGCGATACAATAATTCAACTAGCCTTAAAATGTGTATGCCCCAAAAACACAGCCCCGAAGTATGAGGCCAAATGTGACAGAAATAAAAGCCAATTTAGAGAAATCCACCAGCAGAGTAAGAGATTTTAGCACTCCTCTCTCAATACCTCATAGAATGCCCCTCCTGCAAATCACTTAGGATACAGAAGATTAAAGAAAAAAAACCATAAACTTAAAGTAAATGAGATTTTTAATAACAATATACTTACCTACAGAATACATACTCCTTTTATGTTCACATGAAACATTTCAAAAAATATAGTATATGCTGAGACAAAATTTTGAACAACAAAGAACATCAATCTTATATCAAACTCCCCTTGAAAACAGAAGCAGAGGAAACACTTCCCAACAAAATGTATAAGGCCAACATAATACGATACTAAAACCTGAAGAGGGAGCTGTATAAGAAATAGAATTTACATAGTGAATTTCTTTTTGAATAAAATGAGAAAATGCTAAATAAAATAATAGCAAATATAAGCTAGTAATAGGTAGAAAAAGATGATGCATTATAGCTAAGTTAGTTTATTCTAAGAATACAAGGTTTAATGTTTGAAAGTCAATGTTAGATGTATTAAGAAGTATTTGATAAAATCCAAATTGCATATAAAGTCACCATCATCATCATTATCAGTAGCAGCAGCAGCAGCATCTTAATCTCTAAGATTCTAAGGAAGTTAACTTCCTTAAACCATACAGAGTTTCTCTAAGAAACCTATAGGAAACATCTTACTTAGTGGTGAAATATTGAAAGCTTTCACCCTGAGACAAAGAACTAGAAAAAGACGCTTGCTAATATCATCACTATTTAACATTATAATGGAAGCAGTAATCAGGATAATAAGGCAAGAAAAATAAATAACAGGTATAAGAACTGGAAAAAAAGAGAAAACTGTCATTCTCAGGTGATATGATTGTGTATACAGTATATTCAAAATATTTGACAGATAATCTATTAAAATTAATGGGTGATTTCAGCAAAGTGGTTGAAGATGAGGTCAATATACAAAAATAAATTGTATTTCTATATATACTTAGGAACAAATCAACTAAAAATGTACAAGACCACTACGAACAAAATCTCCATGGTTTCTTGCTATTTCAGATATTCCAAAACGCTTTGAATATTTTATTATAGTCAGTACTAACACATCAGAAAGAAGAGAAACTGACTTCTTATTAATACAAGTCATTATGAAATAGTATTTTCCACATTGAGGTTTGTTGTGGAAAACTGAAGTGAGGAAAGCAGGCTTCGATTTACTCAATATTTTCAAAAACAAGGTAAATTAAATTCAGTTTTGAAAAACATTGGAGATAAATTTAGAATAGAAAGTAGCCAGAAAGATTTTGCATATAAGTGTATTTTAAAAGCATTTACATTGTTTTCATGATACCTAGTTTTTTTCATTACATAGAAGTAGAAACACAGTTTTTTTTCCTGAGAATAAATAGCTGACCTTACCAAGAATGTGAAGAAAGAAACAGTTCAATTTATTTGAGCATTTAAGATTTGAGAGAGTGCAAAATAATGGTAGATTTTACAATTATACTACCCAAATATCAACTAAAAATATTAATGCTGACATTTCTAGAAACGTGCTAATCAGCAGCATGTTCCAAAAAAGCAGTTTCCTAACCTAATAGATTAATGTTGAATTTTTAAGGGCTTCCTTTTGATTAAGGTATGATTATGCCTATGAAAATAATTCAGACGTGAGCAATAGTGTTCTGTCTCTACAACACCTTCATCTTCATAGTCTTATTGATAATATTTTCACAAATTCATAATTCATTATTGCAGTGTAATTTGGAGACTTTCAGTAAATTACGTTTGATAGAAAAAATTGAAAAGTTTATAAAATGGAGTTCAAGTCTCCTAGCTGAATTCTGAAAAATACCATACAATTGAATATCAAAATTCTCACTGACGTGTCACATATGTACACATGAAACCATAAGACTATATTTACCTCTTGCAGTTAGGGCACGTAGTGATATTACTTCCATTTCATTTTCCTATCAACACATTAAAGTTACCAGAAATAAATTAGACCAGTTATTGTGAGATGACATCTGGTAAGAGAACCTTGAAGCTCATTAAGATACAATAAATGTATTCTTACACATATCTTTGAATGATTTAGTAACAGAATGTCTACAGTTGATGCCCTTTTTGTTACATAGCATGGGTGTGCTGAAAAGATCTTTCCTATTCTGGGCCCTTTTTAAACCTGAAGCAGTATTCCCAAGAATGATCTATGCAGCCTCTAGAACCTAAAGAGGTTTACCAACTCATTCTTCTTAGTGGTGGAAACTACATGAAGCAACAATCCACCCCTTACTTTGGAAGTAATGCCAACATGTCCCAGTTTATTACAGTCCTAGAAATTCCATTGCTGTGATGAGTCACTGAATCTTCATAGGTTTCTCTCTCACCATCATATCCTTGTTCACTCCTCATGAGCCTTGGCTAAGTGCTGCAAAAAATTAACTAGAACTCCATTCACACATCTGCTACGTAAGACTACCATGATTACAATGATCAGAGTATAAACTTCATGGTCAGGTTTTAAAAAGATAAGGAGAACTTTGGAAAAATGATGGTCATATAGGTAGATGAAAGAAAATAAAGAGAAATTTGTATGTTTCATGTTTGTTTAACATAGGCTTTTTTTCTAGCATAAAAGATTTTAAGTGTTTTTAAATTATGGAATTACAGCATTTAAAAATTTCTGTTTTATATCATATGACCTTTACGGTTATATTAATTTATATCCCATCCACTTACAAAAAAGTTTTAAGGCAGGGGATTTATAACTGTGTAGCTAAGCCAAATGCAGTTTAGGATAATTTTATGTCCTGAGAAACTTCATCACCTTCCTGCAGTGATACATTGAGAAGAACACAATATCACCTCTGTTGTATTCTCACCAAAAATACATAACCTGAATACAATGAGAAGAGACTATGTAACAAACACAAATTCAGAGATATTCTACAAAATAATTTTTCAGTAGTCTTTAAAAGTATTAAATTTGTAAAATACAGAGAAAAGATGAGGAACTATTCTAGTTTAAAGGAGACTAAGGAAAAATGACAACTAAATGCAACTTATGATTCTGGATTAGATCTCAGACTAAATATAGGGCATTAGTAAGACTACTCACAAATTTGATAAGGTTGATTAGATCATAGTATTACATCAATGTTAATTCCCTAATTTTGATAACTGGAGAACATGGTTGAAGGGCACAAAGACGCTCTTGTAAGTATTTTGCTGCCACCTTTGCACACTATACAAGCTTGTAGGATAAAAGAAGATGATGTTAGGAAAAGTTTCTCAATGTTAGGAAAAAAGTCTGTAACAATATTAATAGGATAAACACCTTAGAAACTGGTTTATCTTCAAAATAGTACACTTAATGTATTTTAAGACCAATATTTATATACTATAGTTCGTACTTACTTCATCAAATATAAAATCCTCTAAATCTATTTCTCTGTATTCTTCATCGGATTCTTCATTCTTAATAGCCTCTAGAGCTGTTGTCAGTTTCTTTCGCAAAATAAAGCCCTTCCAAACTGCCTAAACAAAAATGTAAAGTATGTTATACAAAGTTATAGATCAAACCCTAAACCAGATTATCTGTGTTATCCCATTAGGAAGATAAAACATCTTAGACCTAAGTTTAATGACACAATAATCTGTTTTCTGAACTTTATGTGACACTTAAAACTGAAAGATAAATTAAACGACGACATGTGTCTAAAGTTCTGAATCTCAGGAGACTTTCCTTGTAGTAAGCAAAAAAGAATCTTTAAAACTCCCTCAACTGCACATGTAGGTCAACCAATCAATTATGTTACAATTCCTCCAGGACCCATTCTAAACTAAGAAGAAAGAGATACAAAGCAAAACCCATTTTGCTAATGTTCAAATGATTATGTATAAAATAAAGCACAATTAAGAAAACATCAACATATATAAATGGCCATATTATACAGGGAGTATTATGGCCTATAATGATGAATTAATTTCATTTTTAAATAAATTAAGCATAAAATAACAAAATTTAAAATATTCAGATTCCTCAGTAATCCTGGAGTAGGATGAGCTTTCCTAACTATAACTCCAAGTACAATGTAGCTTGTAAAAAATGGATATCTTTATATTTATAAATATAAAGAATATATTTATGCTCATGTGGAATGAGCTTCAGAATATACTGTGTAAAAACCAAGGGAGAAATAAGTGTTTTTTATGTTACTGTTTAGCTATGAAAAACTGTGTATAAATATATACATTACATTAACACATATTTTGAAGTATATATGTATATATATAAATTTTAAAAAGCTCGAATTATAAAATTAATTTTAAAAATGGTTACCTATAAAGGCATAAAACAGGGTAGAATGTATAGCAATAGAAGCCAGACTTCTCTAAATACATCTTGCTTGGATTTGACTTTCAAACTATGCACATGCTTAAGAGAACTGTGAAACAAATTAAGTAAATATGAAACAGAAAGAAATGCCTAAAATATAAAAAATGTTTCATGCTGTGGAATAACCATACAAGTTATTTAAAGTGACTTAAAATAGATTTATTTGGCTACCCCCAGGTGAAATATACTCAAAAGACAAATTTGGCCACAAAAGAGATTTTAAAATGGTTTTCAGTAATCATATTGTTAGTAATGAGATTGGTATTTTCATTCTGAAATATATATATATACAGAAAGAGAGAGAGAGCAAAGTGAAATATACAAAATGGTGAAACCCTCTATGACAATAGCAGTCACCCACAACCTTTGTTAACAGCCAGCCTAGGAAGCCAAACCATAATCTCTGAAGCAAATAACCCAGAATGCTAAGTGACAACCTCTGCAGCAATTAGCCAAGAATGGTCAAAACTTGATCAATGACCCAGCTTCCTTGTTTTTAACTCTGCTTCTAACTCAGGAACAACCAGAGAAAGCCAAATATGCTTCCCAAACCAATCACATAATATGTTCTACTTCTAGTCTCTCCCTACCCACTTTCCCCATGCCAACAACCTCCAATAGAGCATACCTGAAGCGTTCCCTTTTTCCACTAAAAACTTTCCCACTCCCTTCCACGTTTTGGGGTCTATGCCAAAGGCAAGTGATGATGGCTGACTCCTTCATTAGCATATACTCTGAGTAGCCCATTTTTTTCTCATTTGTGTGGTCTTTATTTCCACTGTATACGTATGTGTGTGCACACCCACATACACATACACAAGTACACGCAGGTTGGAGGAGTGAGGGAGAGGAGTAAAGAAAGCAATTATGATAATGTCAGTAAAAAACAAGATTTTCTATAGAAGAAAAGAGATGCAAATATACAATTAAATAAGTAAAAATCCTATAGTCCTAACTATAATTTCAAAACATCAATATGTACCCATGGTATATTTTTTTTCCTAAAAATATCTATCTGCAAACTAAGTACATTGAATGTACATTATATAAATAATGACCAAACCAGTAGAAACAAGTATTTCTAAAATCCAGATGGGGTGCTCTATATGTCATTTCCATTAAAGAAACCAAGGATCTTTAGACAAATGACTGATTCTAGGCCTGGGGCAAAATGTATGTCAAATGAACCTGGAACATTGTGTCACATTAGAAAGCAAGGACAATTTTAAAGACTACTAAATTGTGGCAAAAATTGAACTTGATGAGACTACTAACTGCAATGAAATCAAACACATATATTTAAAATCTGTGTTTATTATCATAGTACCCATTTTGGTGACCTTTGGAGAATGCTAGGAGACCTCATTAATCTAAAAATTGGTAAATTAAGGAAAATTATTAATATCAAGCATTTAACTTGCCTTTCTAATTTGAACTGTACCTTAGGATAACTAGTTAAATAAAGTATTTTTTTTGTATTTTTACATACTTTAGTTAATAAAGAATAGTAGATAGAAAGTATCACCATTGTGCAAACCATTAATACAATAATCGATCTAGGCAATGTTTACCAATGGCCAGTAATATTCCTTAAAGAGAGGCAACCAGATACTATGTATCTCATTTTTGTAATACAACCACCACCTATGAAATATTCTTGCTAAAAAAAAAACCTGAATCAGAACAAACAGTAGATCTTAGTATCAATTTACAGAAAACCAGGAGATGATAAACATGTTAAATGATGTCATGAGGATGCATTTGGCAAAATTCAGAAATTGGAAAACCCTATAGGACAAATGACCTGGTTACTTCAATAAATAAATTGCAAGAAAAAGAAGGGAGTTGCTGTATAATAAAAGACTTAACATATAAAAGTTTGAGTGATGACTTTTATTTTGATTAAGAAAAATCTGCAAAGACGTATTAAATGCTACAGGAATTTGTAATACTGATATGATATTTGGTGATAGTGAAAAATAATTGTTATTTTTAAGGTTGGTAATGTACTGAAATTATATTCAAAGCAATATAATTGCTTGAATTATAGAAGTTCATGCTAAAATATTTATGAAAGGAATAATTTATTTCAAATAATCTAGTGATGAGGAGGTAGATGTGAATGGGTTTTAAAAGAGTCAATATTGACCAGTAGTTCAACTCATGTTGAAGGTAGGTATATGGGGTCTTGGATCTTCTCTGTACTTTTGAAATGTTTTGTAACTAAATGTTTAGAAAGTCACAGATAGTGCACTTATCTTTTTTCTTACAATCAATAAAATTACATAAAGTGAGAAATCAAGCTTCACGTGATCTTACAAGCTTCTTTTGCTGGTTGTCATTCATAATTTCCAATGATTAAGGATATAACCACGATTCTTGATGGAAATGCAAAGGAACAGTATTCTTCCATGGAGCCCACCCCATACAAATCAAGGAGGGTAAATAAGTAGCATGGTTTTCAAAATTTACTGAATGTCTATTATATACAAGGCACACATGACATAGCAGTGACTAAAACAGACAAAAAAATCTCTAAGCATGGACTTCCCATTTTAAAGGGGACTGAGACTGAAAATAAAATACACAAGGGAACTAAACTGTATGCTAAATAAATGCTATGGACAAAAATAACAGTCACAAGAGATGGGGAGCATTGGGGAGGTATTGCTATTTTAAATAGGGTATCCTAAGGACCTCCCACTGTGTATTTAACATTTGAATATATGTGCATAATGGAGCCTATGAGCCACCAACCTAAATATACCATCAGCAGGCAAAATTAATAGCCGGAATGTTATTCCTTATACCCTTGTTCTGGCTTAAGCTCAGTAGAGCAAGATTTCTGCAGTGGCCTACAACTGCTGTCTTCTATGCATTCTTGCACTCTCATTCTGTGGCCAACTGGTCTTGCACTAATCAAATCAGAAGCTGTGCTATAGCTTCTACTGCTGCCAATAGTCTTGAGACTGTGGTCCTGAGCAGGAGTTGGAAGATGCTGATACAGATGGGCATACTGTGCCTCAGTGATACTACTGTGTTGGAATTTACAAGCTTTTCACAAGTGGTGAACCCAGTCCTTAATTATGCTTATTAATAGTCTGATTTATCTGATACAGTATAGTAGAGATTTTCTTTTCCCAGACTGTGATAAATACTTGAGTCATTCAATGTTAACCTTCCTTCTTCCCAAAAAGCTGTGAGAAGCTCAGGCTTCTAGGAATAGGTATAGTTACCTACCCTACTTTCTGAGTGGAGAGACAGCACTGTCAAAGAGGCTAGTTCCTCATAACTCTACTCCTTTACCCATCCAACATGTCTGGCTTGAAAATTCAATTATCCTTTTCAAACCCTGAAACATATCCACTCCGTCTACCCCCAGTGCCACTTTATCTTCCTGGAAGAAACCTGTTTCAATCAAACCTCACCATCTATTTCAGCAGCTTCCTTCATAGCTTTCTCCAAGGCAACCTCACCACAGGAGAAGTAAGAAATATATTGTCACACCCTCGGAAGAATTACAATTTATTTTGCTATTGCTTATGTGTCAGGTTTCAGATTCCATTTACACATACTGAGATCTCTTTTCCAGGAAAGTGTGCGTAGGTTTGAGACTCCAGGAGGGGCTATGTTATCTAGTCTATTTATTGCCTAAACTATGTTTTTCTACTTTTTACTGATACAACTTTCTTTTTACCCAACCTACAAAATTCTAACTCAAATTATGATTGTTATCAATATTTTCAAGAAAGGTCAAAATTATTTGTAAAGGGAAAAATATAAAAAATCATATAGGATTGCCATGTAGATTAAACTAGAAAATTTAAACACAATGATAAGCATGTGATTATCACCTAATATGCACTCAATAAATATATTTCCCCCAATTTCCTTGATGCTTTATTTCTGACAACTTTATTCACTTAGTTCAACAAATAAGAAAATCATGTGATATTTAACATTGTATAATGTTAAAAAATACAGTTGATTAATTTTAATCATATTTACCTCTAACTTTTTTACTCTTTTTAACTTACCCATTATGGAGCATACCATCAGCTCTTTGCCCTCTTTATGATTGGCATGTCACATGGTCTGGATGACTAGTGCATGCAAGCTACCACAGAGATAAATAACACTATTTTTCTTTTACCTCTTTCATTTTGGTATTTTAAAAAATTATTTTTATTTCTATTTTATTTTATTTATTTATTTTTTATTTTTTTGAGACAGGGTCTCACTCTTTCACCTAGGCTGGAATGCAGTGGTGCAATCCTGGCTCACTGTAGCCTTGACCATCCGGGCTCAAGAGATCCCCTACCACAACCTCCTGAGTAGCTGAAACTACAGGTACATGCCACCCAGTTAATTTTTGTATTTTTTATAGAGACAGGGTTTTGCCATGTTGCCCAGGCTGGTATTGAACTCCTGAGCTCAAGCAATCTGTCCAACTTGGCCTCCAGAAGTGCTGAGATTACAGGAGTGCTCCACCAGGCCCAGCCTTAGATTTTCATATCTGGGTATTTATGCTCTCTTGGTTACTTGCTTTCTTTCAGAACGCCTTCTCCCTAACATGGCAAATGGGCCAAGTGGCTTCTTCCTGCTAGGGAGGTACCCTGCATATCCCTTCCTCTGCAACCCTGTCCCGAAAGGTTCCAAGAATCAGGGAAACATGCTCTCTTTCTCTTGATTATCTTTTTTCCTGAGGTCATCATATCTTTTTTTTTTACCTACCTTCCTCCCTTTTTAAAATATCAACATAATGATATCAAGATTGAGTGCAGACCTAGTGAAAAGAAGCTGGCAAGGGCAACCTTTCATCCAGCGCTAAGTGACATGAGCCAAAGGATTGATTCACTGTGGCTCAAAATGGATCCTGCTCAAATCATCAGGGTCTGGGCTTCTGCAAAGCTCCAGACTATAAAATACATAGCATGTGTGTTTTCTGGTGTGTCACACAGAGATATCTATATCTCCCTCATGAATCTGCTTAGGGTCAGAAATTCAAGACCCAGCCATCTCTGTTTAGTTTATCAGAAATAATGGTCATGTAAACATGTGGGTAAGTAATATTCATATTCTTCTTCTAACTTATTTATTTCTGACTAAGTCACATTTTTATCCTAGTAATCTATCTATGATTAACTCATCTCTCTTTCTCATATATTCAAATCAATTCTCTGGCCTGACAATTCTCTACTGGACATATCTAACATCTTTTTGTTCTCCAACTATCATCAACTCTTACCCCCTGTAGCATACTATATACTTGCTCCTTGTTGAAACTGCACACATCTCTCACCATGTTACCCCTACATTCTCTTAAGATTCTAGTTCTTATGGTATTCTTGTTGTGCTGAAGCTTACTACCATTCTAGTGACATGAAATCCTATGTTAAGTAACATTAAATCCTATGTTATTTTACTTACACTGTCCTTTATACCTGGAATTCCTATCTCTTACCTATCTACATTGAGTCCTACTATTACTTAAGGTGTAGCTCATATCCTTTAAGTGGGGTAGGGTAAGTGCTATAACAGAGTAAAAATGCATAATAATCCAAAAACAAGAGTTTATCTCTTGATCACATAACAAACACTGAGAGTAAACAAGCCAGTGGGACAGCACTTTAACATGAGGTGACTTGGGTGCTGTCTCCATTTCAGCCAATCAGAAAGGGAAAATGAAATGAAGGAGTGTCTGTGGGAGATTTTATGGGGTAGATCTGAAAGTGATATGCACAAATCTACCATTGAAATTTTTTTTTTTTTTTTGAGACAAAATCTCACTCTGTTGCCCAGGCTGGAGTGCAGTGGTGTGATCTCGGCTCACTGCAACCTCCTTCCCCTCTGGGTTCAAGAGATTCTCATGTCTCAGCCTCCCAAGTAGTTTACAGGCACCTGCCACCATGCCTGGCTAATTTTTTTTTTTTTTTTTTAGTAGAGATGAAGGTTTCACCACGTTGGCCAGACTGGTCTCGAACTCTGGACCTCAAGTGATCCACCCACCTTGGCCTCTCAAAGTGTTGGGATCTCAGGCATGAGCCACTGCGCCCGGCCTATCATTCACATTCTAATGACGAGAACTCTGAGAGCTCAATTGCAAGGAAAGCTTGGAAATCTAGTCTGGCTCTATGCCAGGAAGAAGAGAAGAATGTGGTTTTGGTGAACAGAGAGCAGTCTCTGGCACATCCTTCACAAAACCTTTCATTTTGATCCTTCTTAAGCCCCGGTTGTTTCTGCTATATCACACTGTACTCCCTCAGAATGTTTAGGCAGTCTAAAATTCATATTTTAAGATGAGTCATTTAAGAAGCTAGATGATTGTTCCCAACAGATGTGAAAATGGAGTTCACTTCAATGATGTGAAGTAATAGGATGTACAAAAGAGACTTACATTAAGTTACAAAGAAAGACTGAATGATGCTTCCTTTTGTTACTGATACAAAGAAGCTCAACCAAAGAACTCACAACAGAGGTATCAGTCACAACTAGACTACTTCATAAGGTAATGAACCTTCTCTTTAGTGAGAGGAATGAAGCAAAAGTTGAATAGTTGTTTACTGTCAATGCTGAAAAATGTATTGTTCATCCACCGATGACAGGCGGGAGTTTGGATGCATGGTGTCTACATTCCTTAGGTAGCAAAATAACATTTGGAGATAGTAAGTGAAGTTTCTTTTTATTTTTTCTCAGAGTTTCCTTGAATCAATTGCTGTCTCCTCACTCCCACTTCTATCAGGTAACAAAAACAGGTTTGCCTATGCACTGTTCTCAGGAGGAGTACAGTATAGACAAATTAAGTAAATGGAAATACTGGATACCTTGATTAGCAACTCAGCAAAGGTGTTTCTCTTGAAAGCTATGTCTTTAATATTAAGAGCTGAGAACTTGAGAGGAAGGGTAATTTCTTTTTTTCTGAATTTTAAGGCCATTTTTCCAGTTGCTCTTCCTAAATAACTTGGAGACCTTCCTGATTCCTATCTCTCATGTATTTACTCTCAAGATAAAATCAACACATATTCTGGAATGTGATATTCTTACCACCTCCGCTGCTGATACTCGGGTCCGTGCTGACGTTATCTCTTGCCTGGTTTACTGTAATAGGATGCTAACTGATTTGGCTTTTTCTGCCTCTGTCCTCTTACAGTATAATTGTGACAGAGAGTAAACTCGACCACGTCAATCCACTGTTCAAATTCCACCAGTGTCTTTCCATATCATATAAGACCTTTGACTTTTAAATCCTACTTTGCTCCTTTTCATCACTCTCTAGTCACACTGGCCTCTTGCTAATTCCTAAACACTGTGAGTAGGCTACTAAATCATGGCCTTAGAATCTGATGTTCCTTTGCCTCGAATATTCTTCCCACAGATATCGAATGGCTAAGTCTCTCTCCAATGTCACATTTCCTGGTCTTACACATCCATCCTATCTAAATTGATAAGCTTTTCTTTGATACTCCCATCCCACTTTTCCTGCTTTATATTTTCACCCACAATATTTCTCATAGCTAACATATTTATGAACTGCATATTCCAACAGAATGTAAGCTACAAAGATTTTTGTAGCAAGAAATATTTGCTGAATGAATAAAGGGAAATGCTAAATTTTGTTTAATTACTATCATTTAACACGAATTTCTACAGATCTTATTTTATTTAGTTTATATCTGCATCCTCCACCAGGATATAAATTCCATGAAGGTAGGAATCTTGTTGATTTTAAGTTTTATTTCCCGAGCCTAGAACAATTCCTGACAAGTTGTACCTTCTAAAAAAATTTGATGAGTAAATAAATTTTTAAAAATGAGTGTGATCAACATGAACTTCGTTTTAAAATCTGGTCTTGGAATATACTTTGTGAACTGCCTGTGGGGACCAATTGGTAAGGTACCGCCAGTGGTATCTAAGAGTTGAGAGAAGTTCCTGGACAACAGAAAGAATGAAACTGGGAACCTCAGTCTTACAGCTGTGAGCAAATGAGTTCTTCTAGCAACAAGTTGGATTGGAAGAGGACCCAAGCCCCAGACGAGATCTAAGGCCCCAGTCAACACTTTGATATCAGACTGGTGAGACACTGAGCAGAAAATCCATCCATGTTGTGCTCGGACTTCTGAGTTACAAAAATTTTACAATAATAAATGGTAATGTTTTATACTGCTTAAAAAGAAAACCCTGGTCTTGGTGAGATTGAGTCAAGTCTATTAATTATTTGCTTTCTAAATTTTTAAATGAAAGTATTTGAAAAACTTTAACAATTATTTTGGTAGATTTTCAAACATATAGAAATAGCTATCAAGGCCAAGCAAGACCTGCTTTGGCTAATCAAATGTTAGCAGATGTGACAAATGACATACTTGATGAGAAGTTGTTGTTGTTGTTTTTTGAGACAAGGTCTCACTCTATATCCAGGCTAGTGTGCAGTGGTATGATCATAGCTCACTGCAACCTCACACTTCTGAGCTCAAGCAATCCTCCTGCCTCAGCCTCCCAAGTAGCTAGGACTACAGGTGTGCATCACCACACCCACCTAATTTTTGTATTTTTTGTAGATATGGAGTCTCGCTTTCTGGGCCAGGCTGATCTCAAACTCCTGGCTTCAAGCAATCCTCCTGCCTTTGCCTCCCAAAGTGCTGGTATTACAGGCTTGAGCCACCACATCCTGCCTTGATGAGAAGTTTTAAATATGGTTGTGTGGTCCAGCTTGACCCTCAGTCATGCAATGGTATTTTGTATTTAAGGCTTATTCCTTCAATCCAGATATCAAGCAGAGCCACAGCCAACCCGCAGCTAACCTGCAGCTAACCTGCAGCCAACATGTCACTTGAATAAGAAATAAATCTACATAACTGTAATCACTGAGATTTGGAGGTTATTTTTAATACAGAATAAATCATGAAAGACAACTAATATATCTTTTGTAACTATGTTACCAAAAGATTGAAATTAACCTGAATAAGAATAGCAGCCTTCTCCCTCTGTTTTCGGATATTCACAATATTTTCTCTTTTTCCTTTCTTTAAAATAGTCTGATTCTTGATGGAAGAATTTGGCAGGCCTTCTGTTGCAGCAGTATGTAGCCTTGTGGAGAAATGAGTCTGTCTGCGCATGAGGTAACCACGCCAGTATGACTGGATTACCACAGCTGCCATACTATTAAGAGGAGAAAAAAAAACACACACTTTTTTTATTATCTGTAAATACAGAGTTGTAGATAAAAGGTCCTCCTAAACAAGATTTTAAACAAAGAACACATAAAGTATTATTTAAAAATAAGACCACTTCTTTTGTTTAACCATTGTCATAGAAGTAAAAATAGTAAGAAAACCTTCCAATCTGAAGAAAAGAAATGGGCCAGTAGTTGGGTATGTGGGTAAAAGGGAGTTTCATTTGTTTCTTTTAAGGAGAGAGATTTATAGAGATCTTGTATCATTCTGGGGATATTTGTCCAGAGAGAAGGGGAAAAAGTGGTGAGGCAGAAGAGAGAGGACAAATGTAGGAGCCAATGTTTACTTGGCAAGAGCGGGTAAAATCCTATTCCTTGTGGAGAAATTACCTTCGAATGTAAGAGGAAGGAGGCTTCCTTTACTGTAAGAGGAAGGACCCTATCAGGTGCTTAGGAGCTTCACTTTCTTCTCTGCCCACAAACAGTTAAATTACACTCTTACAGACTCAGTAGTAAATACTTAACATTTTTCTGGTCCACATCTATTTGCCAATTTCAGGCACTGAATGGATCAATGTTATGTGTTTTCCATATCTCCTTAAGTTGCCCAGCAACATTAGCAAAACGTGATTTAAAATGTACATTGATTATAAAAGTGGATTGTCAGTGTGTTTAGTAATTTAACTCTTACTAATCAGAAATGTTTTACTTTCCCAACATAGATTATTAGAGGAATATTACAAGGTAAAGAGTGTAGTCAAAGTGCTGACTATTCTCTCTTACTCTCTTTTCAAATTCCTGACATTGGCTTAAAAAGATTAGTAATTCTTGACCTATCTCCATTTCCTAATGCTCCCTTGAAATAGTTTTCAATAATTTTATAATTGCCAAATCCAATGAAACTTCTCCATTCCTTATACAATTTAGTTTAAGGCAAAGTGGAATGAAGTGATAAACTCTACTAGATATGACCACACATTTTTTTTCTCATAGTAATACATTTCTGGGAAATTAGAAAGGAATTATGAAGCCATTTTCTATTGTTGTTTTGGCTTATTATCGGTATTACTATCATCATCATTGTTAACATCATCATCCCCATTTTATGTAAGGCCAGTAGAAGGCTCCAATCTGTTTTACTACGAATAGAATATTGAAGTTAAAGGCTAAAATATATGGTCTAAGATAAGCTATTTGAATTTCCAGTACTTTGAAAAAAATATTCATATTCCAACAAATCATTTCCTCCTCCTAGGGTAAACAGAACTTTGTAAATTTTGATATAAATATAATTCACATTTATTCATTCAATCATCCATTCATTACTTCATCTTTTGAACAAAAATGGATTAGGGGATTTCAAAGCACCTTTAATAGGCACTTTGGGTGATAAAAGAATCAGAAAACACATTTGTAATATGTAACCAGTAAAAATTAAAAGGCTTATGGGAAAACACATCAAACCTGAGACAGTATCTTATATTTCTTTATAGACACATGCAAGTTTCACGAACTGTAACTGTGAATTTCTTGTAAAGTCATTGATTGCATGAATTCCTCAGCCTAATATCATCAAAATTCCCCAGGGAAAACAAAAACAGAAGGTAGATGAGGGGTATTTTCTTCAGTGACACTAACATATGGACTGCTTTTCACTACATTGAAAGCAGATAAAGAAGCTGACTTTATGGTTTCCTGAATGTAGGGTGCACTACAGGTTAAGAAAAACAACTCCATGATCATCATCATGATCATCATGTTTTTGGCAAAATTATAATGTCAAAAGTGTCTTTAGAATAAGAGCACATGCAAATAATTCTTAGGAAACTCTTATACAATTGGCAGTGAATCTCCTGAATCACTGAATGTTAAGATTCAGCAACGGGTATACATTTTCTTTCCCGTTTATTCTTTGGGTCTTTAGTTTATCTATATTTTCAGTTCTTCTTCCTTACTTACTATCATCATTTGGCTATTTTATTTAGGATTAAGAAGTTAAAAATATTGTTTATATGAAATTTCAATAGGCAACGTTTGAAGTGTTTGGAGCAAAGGCAACCAATTAAATAAACTGATAAAACATAAATCAGAAAATATTAAAGCCACTTTTGATAAATATTAAAAATTTACATTAGGAAACAAGTTAGTTTCAGCATATCAAATTACTTAACCTAGCTCCCAGAGTAATAAAAATTACTCTTTACCCTGACAACTTTTGAAAAAAGGAAGACTGGGAAAAGCAAGATTTGCTAGTTACTGTGATATTCTGATATTTGCACTGCTCAGCACCAGTAATTTATAAAAGAAGATAAATCTGAGCAATTTTTCTTTTCTTAGCTTGACTCTGAGGCCAAAAGTAAAAAGAACAAGAAGAAATTGACAGGCCAAAGTAAAACCTAATCCTTGCTGGTTCAATAGTCATTAGCTTTCTAAAATTATTTAATGGTTATAAGGGGGTTTACTTGATTAATCATACAGAATATTGCCCTACCTTATAGATCTATTAATGCCAAAAAACTATAGCACATACATTCAAATATGTGCAAAGATGCTCTTTAAATGTTTATTAAATCAATGGGCAAATAAATGGCATGTGCAAAGGTATATATATATTTTTATTTTGTTTATTTATTTATTTTTGAGATGGAGTCTCGCTCTGTCACCCTGGCTGGAGTGCAGTGGCGTGATCTCGGCTCACTGCAACCTCCACCTCCCGGGTTCACGCCATTCTCCTGCCTCAGCCTCCCAAGTAGCTGGGACTACAGGCACCCGCCACAACGCCCGGCTAATTTTTTGTATTTTTTAGTAGAGACGGGGTTTCACCGTGTTAGCCAGGATGGTCTCGATCTCCTGACCTCGTGATCCGCCCGCCTCGGCCTCCCAAAGTGCTGGGATTACAGGCATGAGCCACCGCGCCCAGCCTGCAAAGGTATATTTTTAAAAAATGAAAATACTTGATTACTCAGAAAATGTTTTTATTATTTTTAGACTGTGATATTTTATTTCTCCTTAAAACATATTAATTATTTAGAAATTACAAGGCAGAAAAAAACTCACATTTACTCATTTAAATACTACTAGAAATTAAATGAGAATTTAATCAAATTAATATGCACTATAATTAATGATTTGTGCACCTCATGAAAACATAATGCACCTCACGAAAACATAATGGAATCGGTATGAAATATGATTGTGATTTGAATCCTTCAGCAAATTACTAGGTACCATTGACTAATATCATCCATCAAAAGGAGTAAACATACATCTATAAAAGAAACATTATTTATATATCTTACATTTTTTCACTAGGCTCAATATTTTGGTGATTCCTCAGCAAAGAATTTGTCATTACTACTTCCTTAAATGGGATTCTTATGGTGGGAATACTGCTTGCCTTGCTGTCTTCTCTCTTCTGACATACTAATATTTCCTGATGTCTTCCTTCCATATTTTCACATGTGGCGGATTTGCTTAATGGGGAGTGGCTGGAGACAGAGTCCATCCATTTCTCAGGAATATCTGGTGAGTCTGGCTCACCTTCACGTGCACAAGAGTAGAAGACTCCATTTTGCAGAGTGCTGTCACTGTTTGTAGGGGCCAAATGATTTTTCTGGGCTTCTGATTCATCTTTCTTGGTGATAGTTACATCCCCTCGTTCGTGTGCATGTCGGTATTCAGTACTAAGTATCATCAATTTCTTAAAATAATGACAGAGATTTTCTGCAGTATCCAAGGTAAATACATCTCTGAACAAATAAATGATGAGAACATTTAATAAGAATAGTACCAGCAAATATTAAAACTTGTGCAAGTTTTGAAAATTTCACTGTATGGCCTCAAATGAATATTAAACTTCAGTACAACATTCATTATAGATTATTTCTAGTTGTTTATATAAAAATTGATCTCGTTTATAACAAAATTTGAAAACATTTGTTTAGTTAATTTAGAACCATCAGTCCAGACAAAATGTCTGGAAGTTTTAGGACCATTTTTATTCTAGGTATTTTTGGTATAAATGAATGAGAAAAATTCATGCTTTTATTACCATAAACATGAGAAATCATGGCTGACTAAATTTGGAGAAGTTATTTATGAAATAAAGTTAAAAGTGCTTTCTACATTGACTTTTGCCACGCAAAATATTTGTATTGGACTTTTAAACAAAGAACTTACATTATGGGAAAATTTTTATTCCCATTTATCTCTGGAAAAATAATAATCTATTGCAAAGAGAATTCAAGTACTTTAAGACATTAATGGCTAAGATTCTCTTGAACAATGATTGGATTTCTAGCTTTTGAATTTTATAACTTGTATAATTAATCAAAATTTAATGTTGGCTGGATTTGAAGTTCTCAGTAAGAAATGTAAAGGACTTTTCACTTGTATGAGCCTTATTCTTGGCTACATTTTGTCTTCCTTTATTTTTATTTCATGTCTAAAAATTTTTGCTTATTTCTAACTTGTATTTTCTGGCTATATTTAATATATTGCCACAAGCTGCCTAATTTTTTTCTGAAAAAATACAGTATATAAAAAATAAAATGTTAATCACATCAAACAAAATGAAAGTTACAATTATTTCCAAAAATGTAGAGACAATTTGATAGCTCCTATGTTCACAAAGGTAATTTTAGACATTAGCATAGGCTCATCCAATATATGTTTTATATTTTGTATTTCATTCATTTCATTGGCTAATAATGCAAAAAAAGTTCAATATTAGAATATTAAGTGTTTATGGTTACTTGTTGAACTCACCACCACTTATGCATTCAACATATAAAATATAGTCTATTTTACATATTATAAAATTAGAATTTTCTTTCTTCCTATAGTCTTTCCATTTTCAATGCTAAAATAAAACTTAAGTTCCAAAGGACTACATTTAAAATCTCATGTTGAAATTTGGACTTCAAGGGAATGTGAAGAGTCACCTTTACATACAAAATTGTATATTACCACATATATACAAGTAAATATTATTTTAGATTTGCATAAAGACAAATGTAAATAATCGCAGTATTTGTTACATTAAACATTACTTATAACAATTGAAATTATTTTTAATGATGTGAGATTTCTTTTTAATCAAAATAGACTATGTTCAAAAATATTTACACAGAAAACGAACTTTTACATAGGACAAGCATATATAAAAGTATCAATAGCAAAACCTTAAGAATATAATTTAGTAGGAAAATTTAGACATTTGGAAGTGCATGTTATTTTTCCAATTGCAATGAAGAGTCATTGTAAGTGAAACAATACAAAATCATCTTTGTTTATAATTTACATTTCCTGACATAATGCAAATTAAAAAGTACAGTTTTAGAAATATCAATTATAATGCATTCAGAATTCGAGGTGGGGAATAGGAAGTTTTCTTTCTTCAACATTTGATTCTGATTACTGTCAACTTCTGTAGTCTAAATGGGTGCAAGTGCTGACTGCTTTTTTCTACTGTGCTCCCATGATACCTTGATACGTAAGTATATGTACACTATTTTAATATGTAATATAAATTACATGTGTTATAAAACTTACCTCACTCTATTCTAGGTGTTTACCCAATTTTCTCTTATGTTAATTTGTGAATTATTTGGGGATAAATAGTCTTGCCTACAATAATTATTGAATAAAATTATGACTGAATAATTATGAATTTTTGCCTCTTGTCTTGATGCTATCCACATGCTTTCATTTTCTTTATCTAATATTGTAGCATTTAAATATTTGAAATTATGTTCAAAATACATATTAATATATTTCAAGAATAAAAACATGATGTCCAAAGTTTTTAAAGGTAGAATATCCCCAAAACACACTGTTCTAATCCAAAAAAGTATAATTGTGTTAATCAGAATACTTTAAAATCACATTTATAAATTACATTATTGATTCTAAATACATCAATGGGAAGATCACAATCTTACCCTTTTCCAGTTATATAATTTTCAATTAGCAAGTTGAATTCTCGAATCTGAGACTGACAAAGTGCCAGGAAACCTGCTGATCCCAGTTGATTGTGTTCTTCAGTGCGGCTTTCTGAATTAGAGTTTAGTATATTGCCATTGAGGATTCTCAGAGCAGGCAACACTTTAAGTAGAGAATCCCTATTGAAAACAACAAAAAAGTTAATAATCCTGATCTTGATAAGGAGAGTATGTATCTAAATAACCATATACTAATCATTTAAATAATACAAGCATAGGATATATATCTCAGAAAATGTGACTGTAGGGAAAATGATAGAGTTAGATTTTGTTTTTGTTGTTGTTACATTTCTTTAAAAAGCATGGCATCAGGTCATATACAAAGTAAGTTTTAGAGTTAGTTCTTTAACCTTTTTCTTCTAAAACACAAATGAAAGATTGAAACTTGGAAACTCAGGCTGGAATTTGGAGTGTAAAAAGATGCATTATGAAAAGAATAATAATATTAGATAAACTTTTAAACAGAAGATAACTATAATAATCTTACCAAAAGTTGTCTTTTATTTCAGAAATAGAGGTATATTCTGTTTCTCTTAGTAAAATATACTGAGAGTAGGACTAAAACAAAAGAGGTAGGATATTACCCTGTTTATCATGATCTGGAACATCTACAATTATATTTTCTCCTGAATCTTGCTAAGGATTATAAAGGTAAAAATCTTCAAGGTATTTGCAAAAGTCTATATCAATTTTTGGTGGTGCGCACCTGTAATCCCAGTTAGCCGGGAGGCTGAGGCAGGAGAATCACTTGAACCGGGGAGGTGGAGGTTGCAGTGACCCAAGATCGTGCCACTGCTCTCCAGCCTGGTGACAGAGCGAGGCTCCATCTCAAAAAACAAAAACAAACAAACAAAAAAAACAAAAAACAAACAAACAAACAAAAAAACAAAAACTAATGCTGTGAAAAAGCCAGGTCAGACAGCAAGAGCTTTCCATCAAGCTCAGCCATTTAGAACTACTAGCCGAAACCCTTCTCAAGGAGAGAGTGTAGGTCTCTTTTCACCAGGCTGCTGATAGTTACAGGGGAAAAGTGAACTCCTTCAATAAAGTTAATCCCCTAATTAAAAACTAATAGTTCCTATGGGGAAACTATACAACTCTAATGAAAGATATCCAAGATGAACTAAATAAATCAAGAGATATCCCACTGGGGGGGTTCATGGATAGGAAGACTCAATATTGTCCAGATATAAGTTATTCCCTTATTGATCTATAGATTAAACTCACTGCCAATCAAAATTATAGCAAGGTATTTTGTGGATATCAACAAAGTGTTTCTAAAGTTTATATAGAGAGGTAAAAGATCCAAAATAGCCAACTCAATATTGAAGGAAAACAACAGTTAGAAGACTGACACTAACTGATTTCAAGACTTAATATGAAGCTATAGTAGTAGAGACAGTATGGTATTGGTGAAAGAATAGACAGATCAAAGGAACAGAATAGAAAGTCCAGAAATAGATCCACACAAATATAGCGAACTGATCTTTGGCAAAGGAGCAACACCAGTACAATAGAGCTAAGATGGTCTTTTCAACAAATGGTCCTGGGACAACTCAAAATCCACATGAGTAAGCATGAAGCTAGACAGACTACACCCTTCACAAAATATTATCTCAGAAGGAATCAAAGACCTAAATGTAAAATATAGAATGTTAAAACTCCTAGAATATAATATAGGAGAAAATCTAGATGACCTTTGGTATGATGATGATTTTTTAGATAAAATGCAAAAGGAAGGAGAGTTCAAAAATCACCAAAGGTATAAATCAAGGAAAGAAAAAATACATTTGACTTCATTAAAATTAAAATTTTCTACTGTATGAAAGACAATCTCAAGAGAATGAGAAGACAAGCCACAGACTGGGAGACAACATTTCAAAAGATGTATCTGTTTAAGAACTGTTATCCAATATATCAAAGAACAAAAGTCAACAATCAGAAAATGCACAAACTAATTTAAAAATAGGCAAGAAACCTCAACAGACACCTTACTAAAGAATATATACAGATGACAAGCCAGCATATAAGAAGATGTTCGGCATGATATTCATTAGAAAATTGAAAATTAAAATAACAACGAGACAATGTGATACCACTACGTACCTATTAGAATAACCAAAACCCAGAAATACTGACAATACCAAATGCTGGTGAAGATATAGAGCAAGAGAAACTCACATTCGTTGCTGGTGGGAATGCAAAATGGTACAGCCACTTTGGAAGACAATTTGACAATTTCCTATAAAACTAAATTAAATCTCACCAAATGACCCAGCAATAATACTCCTTGGCATTTATTCAAATGAATTGAAAATTTATATTCACACAAAAATCTGTAAACAGATGTTTATAGCAGCTTTATTCATAATCGCCAAAACTTGGAAGCAACCAAGATGTCATTCAGTAGGTGAGTGGATAATAAACTGTGCTACAACTAGAAAATAGGATATTATTCAGTGCTAAAATGAAGTGAACTAGGAAGCCATGAAAAGAGGTGGAGAAAAGTTAAGTGCATATTATTAAGTGAAAGAAGTCAATATGAAAAAATTCACATACTATATTGTTCCAATTTAATGACATTCTAGAAAAGGCAAAACTATTTAGACAGTAAGATCGCTAGTTGTCATGGGTTGGTGGGAGGCAGAGATGAATAGGCAAAGCACAGATTTTAGGGCAGTGAAACTATAGTTTATCATACTACAATAGTGGATACATGTAATTATACGTTTGTCAAAACTTATAGATTATGAAACACCAAGAGTGAACCCTAATGTAAACTACGGGCATTGAGTGACAATGTCAATGTAGACTCATTGATGGTGACAAATATACCTCTCTGGTGCAGAATTTTGATAGCAGGAAATGTTGTGCATGTATGGGGTTGAGGTATGTGGGAACTCTGTACTTTCTGCTCAGTTTTGCTGTTAACCTATGACTACTCTAAAAATAAATTTTATTAATTAAAAAAAGAAAGTAACAATTCCTAAACACTAAATGAAGAATGACAAAGCGAGATTATTAAAATGTTAAGATTTAAGAAATAAAACTTCAGGCAGATCTCTACCTAGATTGTATAGTCTGAGATGAAATATTCATTTATACAAACAGTTATGAAATATAATTTTAGCATATGTATATGTATTACAAAAGAAGTGGCCCATGAAGGCAAAAATGCCTAGGGCCAACCAAAGTAATAATGTATCTCTGTGTATAGTTATAATCTTAGTAGTCTTGGTAGTAATAGTAAATTAAAAAATAATTACAAGAGATAGATAAATACATTTTCCTCTATAAAAGCAAAAAAAAAAAAAAAACATAGTTTTTCATGTACTGAGAGCAGAAATAGCTCCCAACCCCCACTCTGCTCCCTCCCCTGAAAGAAAACTGAAACCTTTTTTCTCATCAATATTTAAATAAGGGAAGAGGGAAATAAACTGGATTTGTTTCTTCAAGGTAATTATCAGATGATCTACATATTATGAAGCAGATAAAAATCTTGACGCTTTGCTAATAAATAGTTTGATCAAGTTAAGAAAATATGAGTCCATATATTTTGAACTTGTTCAGTAGTTTTGAAGCTACCAATGTTTACCAAATCATAAACTACCCTATTTGCCACAAAGGAATAAATAACATACATCGTGTTTCTGGTTGCATTAATTTTAAGACATGGTTCAAAGGCAGAATGTTATGTTAAGATAACAGCTATTCATCAGAGGGGTTAGGAGATAATCAGAGATAATCACCAGGGATAATCTTTGACCAGGGCTTTCTTCAAAACAAAGAAAGGTTACTTTCTGAAAATAAAACTGGTAATAACCAAAAATAAATGAAGAAATCAGCTGTCCATAACCCACCTCACCAAGTTGTTTACTGTATTACTGATGAAGCTACATTGTATTCTAAATCTCCATAAAATTACTCAGTCAAGTTTTCTTAAAGGCATGACTGTGATGCCAAAATAACTTACTTAGTTATGATTATAAAATGCCAGGTATGAACTAATGATGTTTTTAAGATGTGACAATAAAGTGTACTGGCAGTTAAGAATGCATCTCTTCAACCAGTATCAAAAAGAAGATACTCTGATTCTGTTGCTGGACCTTTTTCAAGATTCAATTTCCTAAATTAGAAGACTAAACATAAAGCTTCAACAACTTGATGGAAATAGCTCTTGAGAATAACCCACAGTTTATTCTAATTCTTTGGATGCCAAGCAGATTTTTGTCTGACACCTTGATCTCTAGAGTGGACCTGAGTGAATGAATGTGAAAAAAGGAGGTCTGCCAAAGTCATGTTCTAGTCTTTGAAATAGATATATCTTACAAGAAAAATTAATAAAGCAGATTTTCTTTTTTAAGTTGTATCTTTTTGGAGTTATATGAAGCAGATTTTTTCTTCTCCTACTATAATAATTTCTAGTTAAATAGTAACAGTAAGCTGTTGAAACTTCCATACTTTTCACCGGGAAAAGTGATCCTGGATCCACAGTGGTAGTGCAAATGCAATAATGCCTGTGAGACCCTTTTGAGTAGCCATCTTTCAAGTCTCATTTTGGCTGAATGAGGAGACGTCATCAAAGCAAGATAACACTCTGGCTGCTACCTGATATTCCCAAGGTCTAACAAACTGCTTCTTATTCACTCTCTATATCCCTCAAGAAAGAAATTCAAGGCTAGATCCTTATAGTGTGCCTCCAACACTGCAGGGCAGTGTTTCCGAAATGACTGTTTATGAACTACTGTATCAGTTGTACCTGGGATGCTTTGAAAAATGCAGTCTTTCCACATGCACGCAAATGTTCATTGCAGCACTACTCACAATAGCAAAGACATGGAATCAACCTAAATGACTATCAATGACAGATTGGATAAAGAAAATGTGGTACATATACACCATGGAATATATGCAGCCATAAAAAAAAAAAAAGAACGAGATCATGTCCTTTGTGGTAACATGGATGGAGCTGGAGGCTATTATCCTTAGCAAACTAAGGCAGAAACAAAATACTACATGTTCTCACTTTTAAGTGGGAGCTAAATGATAAGAATTATGAACACAAAGAAGAAAACAACAGACATTGGGGTCTACTTGAGCCAGGAGTGTGGGAGGAGGGAGAGGAACAGAAAAGATAACTATTGGGTACTGGGCTTCATACCTGGGTGAGGAAATAATATCTACAACAAACCCCCATGACATGTGTTTACCTGTGTAACAAACCTTCACATCTGCTCCAAAACCTAAAATAAAAGTAACAGAAAAAAAGAAAACTGCTGTCTTTGATTGTATGAAATAACCCTGCTGATAGGTTGGGGTAAGCTTTATTTTTTAAATATAGCCTTCTTTATGCACACTAAAGAATAAGAACCCGGCCGTGCCCGGTGGCTCACGCCTGTAATCCCAGCACTTTGGGAGGCCGAGGCGGGCGGATCACGAGGTCAGGAGATCCAGACCAGCCTGGCTAACACAATGAAACCCCGTCTCTACTAAAAAAAAAAGTACAATTAGCCAGGCGTGGTGGTGGGCGCCTGTAGTCCCAGCTACTCGGGTGGCTGAGGCAGGAGAATGGCATGAACCCGGGAGGCGGAGCTTGCAGTGAGCCGAGATCGCGCCACTGCACTCCAGCCTGGGCGACAGAGCGAGACTCCGTCTCAAACAAACAAACAAACAAACAACAACAAAAAAAGAATTTGCTAAGTACAATAAGAAATATTGTGGCACTGCTGCAGTTATACTACGATAATTTGTTCACCGGTTAACATTTCCACTTGTTTTACATAAAGAGTATGACCGTGTCTTAGAACAGTATTCCTGGAACTCTGAATTTAGAGAGTACATTTCAAATACATAGAGACACTGGGCTTCTATGCAGAATAATTAATGACAAAATGAAGAGCTACTTTAACACAATAATCTAATATAAATATTTGTTTTATCAGAAAAATGAACAGATAAATATATTTTACTATAAGCATATTTTATTTAATAAAAAATATTTTATACTCCAAACAATAAAAATAAATACATTCAAAGATAATATGGAAGTATAGGTTTGTTTCTAGTTGTTGCAACTGTTACTACACAAAAGTTGTTCAGATGGAAACTGATACCAGATCAGCAAGGAACAAAGTAATGATTTTATCATGAAATACTATATTTTGGTCATAGATGCTGATATAAATATTACATCCAATATTTCAGGTATGGGGAACAATTCTAGGGAATGTGGATCAAGAGAGGTTGAATTTTTACGTTAGGAATACTTTGATGTTATGTTTATCACCTTTATATAAAAAGTTTCCAAATGATTTAGTATTTGGAATTCCTTTGAATGTAGATATTTAGTTTGCTTGGATATTTAAGACTATAACAATATCTTGAAATTTGTGATTTATATAATCAGTATCCAGATTGGAGTTAGTGTTTTATTTTAAACATTTTCTTCATGTTATTTACTTATTAAAGAACAATCCTCAGAACTGCATAACAGAGCAGTGCATGGATTGGCCTCAAGTTCTAAATGCAGACTTATAAGAGTTTATGATGAATATATTAGAAAGTGTCATAACAAGTTGATGAATGTTGGAAATGAAGTATCAGAATACTGTGAGATCTCAACATTAGCTTTTCCAGCTGGGCGCCTCCTAATCAAGGGCTGAACCAATATTTCATTTGGTGAAAATTTCCTGGTGAATATTCCACCACTTAAGAAGCTCTATTAATCATGAATGAATGAGAGAAATTCCCAAAGGAGATTTCAAACTGAGTCTATGGATTAAGTTTTAAAAAGAGATTTTTTTAGTACATCAGCATTGTCCCTGTTATCACTGGCTAGACATGAAAGTAAGAAGCCAGTTGGGAAAATTTATAACTAATCCTTTTGTTGGTATCATGGGGTTATGTAAAGTTCATTGGAATACACTGCTTAAAGTTTGAGTTGATCCTTTGATTAATAAATCCATATTTTATAGATTTACAGATTTAAAATCCTTTAGATAAATGAATTTCTCAAATTAAGTATAGGCCAACTGATGTAAATGAAACTTGACAGCCAACATTCTAAAGTGGGAATTACTCTAGTCCAGAAAAGTTCATTTAAATATAGAAATTATAGCCAAATCATTTTTCATACTTATAAATATTATTTATTTTCTTTCATATTCTTATGTATTTTCTGTAAAACTCTAAATCACATAAACTCAACAAAAGCAGTAAAATGTGAATATTTATCTTTACAAATTTGTAATAAAATATGTCAATTTATTTTCCCACAAGTATGTTTTAGTCAATAAAATAAGTGTTCATGCTTCATGCAAACAAAATGATAAAAAATACATTGAAAGATTATTTGAGACATTAATTTTGTTTCTGGTTGTTGAAACTGGCAATGTGGCAGCTATTTGGATGGAAAGTGACACCAGATCAGCAAGATAATTCATGTCATTTTTGCTCAACAACTAACAAACAATTCATGGCCCTAAAAGGACGTGCTCTGAATCATGGGAAAAGCTAGTATTTTTTATTTGTCATCTAGGCTTGGCCCGTATAGTTACTAGGAAAAAAAAATCCACCTAAAAACAACCCATCAGATATTTTCATTATAAACAGTATTACTTGCCAAGCAGTGCCTTTTAGATGTAATTATACTCTTGTTTTTGTATGAGAAGTTTCACTTTAAGATCCAGCTCCTAAAAGTGAGGATCCCAAACTTGGAGATTAGGAGTACTTTAAACCCAGTGTAAAAGAAGCATAGCCCCAGAACTTGAGTCACTACAGGTAAGTGGAAATATCGATTGCTTCTATTCCAGATGAGGGGGTCCTATACCCAGTGCACGAAAGGTCTAGAAACACATTTAGGTGGCCTTTCACACACACACACACACACACACACACACACACACACACAAAACTCATTTGAATAATTGAAATTTCTGATACCCTTATGATTTGACATCAACAGTTGACATTTCTTGTAGTAATATGTCCTATAGTTCAGTTTCTCAGGAAACCTGGGGAATGTGATAAATACTACAGCACTTTAGAAGTCTGAGTACTGTAGTTTCACAATTCCTGATACTGACAATTACTGTGAATTAGCAATAACACCAGTTGTCAATTTATCAGGAATAACATTTCTAATCACTAATGTAAAATTAAATGAGTTCAATAGAAAAACTTGGCGGAGGGGGGCAGAAACACGCAATTTCTCAAGCCTTTACACATTACAATGTAATTAAATACTGTAATGTATTTGTTCAACAAATATTTTGGGGTGTCTATTACATACAAGGGACTGTGCTGGTACTATGTAACCGAAGCAAAAACAATAAACAAAATTTTTTCCATTAGGGATATAACATTTTAGTTGGCTGTTTTAGATTATATCCTTTTAAAAATTAATGGATATAAATAAAATTTCTCAATTTAACAGATCTCAGTGAAATGCTACAACACAAACCTGAAATGGACAAACTAAGTGCAATCTACACAATTCAGTACTGCAGATCAAGCTGTTAAACTCTCTGCGTAAATGAATATATGTCCTTTAAAAAAATAAAGGAAATGTACTCTGCACCCTCCAGAATTTGTTTCCAAGATATAAATGGTAATTCTGTCACCAATTATGTTTCCTTCTGTTCTCTTTAAAATTGCAATTCTGTTCTTGTATTCAACAAAAGTTAAGGAAACTGGTCTGAACATTTGTACTCAAGGTGCCACAAATGTCTCCGGATTGAGAATTGACCATATGCATCCAAAGGGCACATGGTGAAGGACTAAAGTATAATATTAGTAAGGAAAAGTGATTATATCCTTTCCCCAATAAATGAAGAGAGATATTTATCTCTGAGTAAACAGAATGCCAACTTGCTAAAGCAAAAAGACAAGAGGGAAGCCATAAGCTTATTATAAATTAAATAAGAGGCAAGAAAAGCCATCCAGACATTCGGGAGAACAGGGATTTTGTGCCCTAAAGATAGCCTGTGAGATAGTAAGTTAAAAGATCTTATCTATAAGAGAATGAGAGGGGAAGAGTATGTTCTCATTACATGAGTCCAACTAACGCATTTTTAATGGCTTCCCTGAAATCGCATCTGAATGAGTAAAATATTTGAGACTTCCCTAAAATAACCCATGCCTTGAGGCAGTGACCAATTTTCTCTGGTAGAAATAAGAAGTGCCTGGGACAATGCAAGAAATATATCCAGAAATAAAAATGTAAACTGCCATTTTTATAACTACAGAATCCCCAGTACCCAAAGAGATTATTTCAGAACATAAAATTCTTCTTGCTTTGTCTTTCAGAAGCAAAACTCTTAAAAAGCAAAAGAAAGCCATGAGAAAATAATAGCATATGTTTAGTATGAATGGGAAAACAATATATATTCCAAGTTAGAAATATTTCTTATGCTATTAATATAAAAAGTATAGAAATAGCCTATTTATACATTAACTTTAATATTAATAGAAAATATTAATATTGATTTTAAAAACTATGTGTAAATAAAAGAGAGGAAATAATATCAAGGGTATAAACCCTATAAAAATCATTTTAAGAGAAAATAGATCCAAATCTAAGAAGATGTAGTCTAGCTATTCAGGAGATGATAAACTATGCAAGATTGAAGAATGTCCTATCCAAGGATATAATAAAATGAACAATATTTATTTAATCTTTCCATCTCTGGAAACTTTTATACTTCAGATGTTTTTAGAAATCATTTTTTAGATATTTTGACATTTTTTAGAAAACTGTGCATGCAAACATGTCGTATCTAATGTATGCTAATTAATCTCTGCACCTCAATTTTTATTTATTAACAAAATGAAAGAATTGAGAGAGAGAGTGTGTGTGTGTGTGTGTGTGTGTATATATATATAAAATGTCTAATACCATATACATATATATGGTACATATGTCCCCTTCCAGCTCTATTCTGGAAGAATCTGTACAATAATTTGGGGCTATTTCCATGACTGAATTTTAGCCCTTTATAATTCCTGGACTCTAATAAATTTGGTCACTTGTTTCCTAATCTCTTATCGGTTTGCTGATGAAAAAAGTCTTCCCAAAATGCTTATTTCTGGTAGAAATACAAAATGTCTGGGACAATGCCAGAAATATATTCAGAACTAAACATGTAATCTACCATTTTTATAACCACACATATATTCAAATGTTCTCTATTGCTCACTAAAAACAATAGTTAATATTTTCTTAGTGTGGCAGGTGAGAGGCACTCTATAAATTGCTTTCATGTGGTAGCATATTTAGCCTTCACACAGACTGTTAGTGTTGGCTGATGTTCTTTACCTTTTCTAGCCTCTTGTGAAGTAGGTTTGGTGATATGACTAGTTACACGAATGGAACTAGTCAACGGAGTGGAATATGAGTGAAGTGATGACTGCCTTGTTCTTTACCTTTTCTAGCCTCTCGTGCAGTAGGTTTGGTGATATGACCAGTTACATGAATGGAACCAGTCAACGGAATGGAATATGAGTGAAGTGATGACTGCCACCTGTGAAAGCAGAGTGGTTATATGTCAGTTGTACCCTTCCCTATGGTCGGTCCCTTTCCCTCTCTCCTACCACAATCCACTAGCTTACAAAAGCCAAGTACAGTGAAGCCACATGAAACAGGTCTACAAAATGGAAGCAGCCTGAGTTTCTGAGTCTGCCTACATTATACAGGCTGAACCCACATCAAATGTAATGTAAACAAGAAATAATCTAGTATTGAACCACACAGATTTCTGGGTTATTTTTTATGAAGCCTAACCTATATTACCCTATGAGATAAGTACTATTCAAATCATAAGGTTTCTAGGCTTTTGTAAATACCTCTCTAAAATGAGAATGACAATTACAGAACCCAACTTACAGGGGTGCTGTGAAATAAAGTAATATATAGAGAGAGTACTTCGTCTATTCTCTGACCACTGTAAGTACTTGATTTCTCATCTCCTTCCAATGGTATTTCCCAGTATACCCATTTTACATCTGAATAGACTAGCTTCAAACAGAGTCTAGCTACATCTGACCTTCCTTACTTTTCTTGGATATTCCTCCCCCAGAATTGCTTTTATTAGTTCTTTATGATTTTAAATCTTAGCAAACTTCTGAGGTTTAACTAAAAGTGTGCCCCTTTAGCCAAGGCCGTTTCTCCTTGTCACACTAAACTGAGATGATTTTTCTAAATTTTTAAAGCTTATATGTTGCCTACAATAATCATTTGACACTAGTGTTTTATTAGACACAAAAACTCTAAGAGTTACAAGCGTAGATTTTGCAGCCAGACTGCATGAGTTAGATTTCCTGGCTCCTCTACTTGATAGCTATGTAACCTTGGTCAAGTTATTTAGCCTTTATGGGACTCAGTTTCCTCAACTATAAAATGGGAGGCTGGGTTACATACATAATTATTAGGCATATTGTATAGATTAAATGAGAACAGTGTTGAGCACAGAGTGAATGTTGTATTAGTGGTTTTGATCATTATTATTTTTCATGGTTATCAATTCTGTGCCTACATTTTATCTCCCCAGTATGATTAGAAAAATGTCTTAAAATTATGGGTTACATTAAATCTCCTTCATAATGTCCAACATGTTAGGACACTGAGGACACTGCATACAGGAGGAGTTCATAAAATACTTGGTGATTAAATAAGATCCCATATATAATCTGGTTAACATGGTAATGGGAAATAGTAAATTTTCATTATCTTACCACGTTCTAAGAATTGTTCTAAATAAATTATGCGTATTATACCATTCAGTTCTCATAACCACCCCATGAGACTATCATCCTCATTTTACTACTGGGGATTCAGAGACATAAAAAAGTTAAGTTAGAGCTGGACATGGTGGCATACACCTCTTGTCCCAGCTACTCAGGAGGCTTTGGTAAAGGAAATGCTTAAGTCCAGGAGTTCAAGGCCATCCTGGGCAACATAGAAAGACCACATATCTAAAAAAGAAAATTAAGTTACTTGTCCAGGATCACACAGTATGGGGTAGGGGTAGAATATCCTTGTTTTAAAATGGTGGTTTTCAAACTTTAGTATATATCAGAATCATCAAAAGGGCTTCTTAAAGTACAGATTACTGAACACCATTCCTAGGTTTCTGATTCAGTAGGCTTGGATGGTGTCAAAAATACTGCATTTCTGCTGGGTTTCCAGGTGATGATGACTGATGCTGGTCAAGAGACACACCTTTGAGAACCACTGTACTAGGTCATACTCTTTCATCTGTGCTGCACAGCTTAACGTACACTTGGAAAAGACATTTCTAAACTGGAAGTTGACAAATTTTTTTCTAAAACGTGGAAACATGCCAGATTTCCCTAAATAACATTGTACTATTAGAAACTTTTTTGGAAACCTGGCTCTAAAGAAAAAAGAAAGAAAAATGGACTTTCTGGGCCAAGATAATAACTCTTCTAAGATATACAAGTTACCAATATGCAGTAAATTACATAGGTGTTTGAGTTAGTGTAAAAATGCTTCTACCTTCTTAACCAAAGACCAAGTAACAAATCCAGGAAACAAATTAACCTAGAAAGAATGTCAGAGGTTTGCAGTAGCCTCAGACAAGAGTGGGAAGACAGACTATTCCCCAGACTCTAATAGCTTGTTCTACAGGTACATTAAGTCAGATATGGGAATTTTAAACATAACCAGACATTTAATTCTTCTGTAATATATCTTATACTCCTCTGAAATTGTCAGATCCAGGATCTTCCTGGACATGGCCACACCTTGCAGAGAAACCAAATCAGGGCAAAAATTCAACAGCTTCTGCCCTAGGATCAGGTGTTATAGCTATTTTTTTTTTAGTTTGTGTTTTGTTCATAAATGTATTTTAACTGCCTGAACAAATTGACAAGTTTTCCTGATTTGATTTAAACTCTAATGGTCCTAATACATATTTTGCTACCTAATATGTATTTTAGTAAATGTGTGCCTTCCCCTATACTTAGCATGTTTGTATTGGCAAACTCATTTTCCTAAATTGTAGCCTTGTTTATGCTTGGCTTATCCTGCCTTGATGTACCAGTGAAATGACAGTATAAAAATGTCAAATGTACAATAAATAATGTGAAACCATCTCAAAAGTGAATGTTCTGAGCATAAAAAAAGACAAAAGTGTAAGCCAGAATGATCACCAATTCCACAGTGGAAAATTTCACAGTGGACATATGCAAATTCTCTCAGTATTCTGGGAGGTAATTCACTTAAACTTGGCAAATCAGTAATCTTCTGTTGATGTGTAAGAAAAAGCCATCTAAATTCAGGGGAAAGGACCAGTAGAAACTGAAGGCAGAACTATAGGAACTGACATAGGAGATTAGTTCCCACAGGCAAAGTTAAAAGAATACATAGAAGACCGGGCACAGTGGCTCACATCTGTTATCCCAGCACTTTGGGAGACTGAGGTGGGAGGATTTCTTGAGCCCAGGAGTTCGAGACCAGCCTGTCTCTATATGAGACATCTGGAAAAAATACTCAGAAAATTGTCATCATAGTAGTAGGGCTAAATTAGCATTACTCCAACGATTTCTTTGGACCATTCTAACAGAACTTAAAAGCAAGCTTAGAAAGTATCGCATTAGTGCCAAGTAACTTAGCCACTGCACACCAAACATAAAATAGAGGCTATTTAAAGTAATACAATGAAATTAAGCATTGGGAATATAAAATTCAAAATGTCCAGAATACAACCAATACTGACCAGGCATGCAATGAAGCAGAGAAATATGATCCAGAATCAGTGAAAAAAAATTCAATACAAGTAGACCTTCAAATGATAGAGATGATGGAAAGAACAGATAAGGAAGTTAAATTAATACAGCTATTATTATTTTCCATATGTTCCAGAAGGTTCCAGAAAGCATGAGCATGATTAGAAGAGAAATTACAAATGTTAAAGAAATACACAAATTTATATAGAGGAAAAATATATCTGCAATCAGAAATGAAAAATAGATGAGTCTGAAAGCAGAGTAGATACTTAAACAGAAAATATCAGAGAATTTGAAGACAAAGCAATAGAAACTATTCGGAGTGAGTGAGGCATGGAAAGGGAAATAAATAATAATAAGTAAAAGAAAACAACAGCAACTCCTGGGATAATTCAAGTGGTCTGATATTGTTGAAACTGGAGTGCTACTAGGGCAGAATAGGTAGTGAAAGGGAGAACAAAAAAATCTGAAAAAAAAATGGCCATAAATTTTCCAAATTTTATGAAAATGGCAGATCCAAAAAGTGTGATAAATCCCAAGTAAACTAAATGCAACCACACCAAAACATACTGTAATCAAATTGTTGAATACCAGTGATCAAGAGAAAATCTTAAAATCATTCTTAGAGAAAGAAAGACAAGAATGTCAGTAGACATTTCTCACCAGAAACAATGAAAGCCATAAAAGAGTGGAGAGATGTTTTTAAAATACTAGGGGAGGGAACTTATTGCAAAAAAGCATGAGGTATTTCTTAAGGTGATAAAAATGTCCAGTTTTTCACAAAATATTCATATTCATAAACAAAAATGATAAAAATTATGCTATGTAAGTTATCACAAAATAGCTAATTTTTGAAAAAAGATGGTGGTCAATTTGGGGGAAATCGTGTTAGTATATTATTAGAAGTGTAAATGAGAAAACTTTTTTCTACAAAAATGTATTAAAAATTACAAAATATTTTTCTTGGTTTACATTTAGGTATTGCAATATTCCAAAGAGGAGCAAGAATTTAAATATGCTTATAACACAAACTTTTTAACAGACACCATCCTTCTCTATTAGGAAAATAAAACAAAACCAAATTACTCTCAAAAAGGAAACAATTTAAGTAGGAAGCTATGTAATTATATTATTGGCAAAAAAGCAATTCTCAACAAATATATTTTCTATAAATGCAAAACCCAAGTTAATATCACACTAAACTTGTCACATAATTAATGGTTTACATTACAATTTTAATTTCAATTTTGTATTAGTTCACACATGTGCAAGAAAATTATTTTAGAATAAAAACATTTTTAAAACTACTTTTACAAAACTTTTTTGGTTTAAAATGACTTTTAATTTTTTAATTAACTTATCCTAGGTAATTGTTATTCACAGGACAATTTTTATCAAACTTTTTTCTGCAACTATAATAATGGATATACATGGGGTGCAACAATGCCTCTTTACCTCCAGTTTGTTTCTTGAAGAAGTGGGTTTCCAGTAAGAGACAATTCATGGAGAGAATAGCATGCATCAAACCATTTTATGGCACTTTTAAGATCTACAGAAAATAAAATCATTTTGAAAGGTATCATCACAGATTTAGAACAAATATCATAAATCTATGACCACTGTATTTACTGGTTTGCTATTAAAGAAAAGCAATATTTTTATTTCTTCTGCAGAATGCTATATGCTTTTTAAAGAAGACTGTGTTAAGGACACAGACTATTGTCAGAATATATGTTTCTACCATTTAACAGCTGTGTGAACTTTTGCAAATCTGCTTTACAATTCGGGTTCATATCTGTCTTATAGGGTTAGGATTAAATGAGATAATGTGTGTAAAAGACTTAGAATAGTTTGTGACAGATTGTAAGCACAAAATCTGAAGAAGTAAAATCTAAAGTAATAGGATAAGTGTTAAAATTGTATATACAACAAAATAGATTGCATGGACCTTTTTACCTTAAAAAAGTCAATATAGGGCCGGAGGCAGTGGCTCACACCTGTAATCCCAGCACTTTGGGAGGCCGAGGCGGGCAGACCACCTGAGGTCAGGAGTTTGAGACCAGCCTGACCAACATGGAGAAATCCCATCTCTACTAAAAATACAAAATTAGCTGGGCATGGTGGCGCATGCCTGTAATCCTAGCTACTTGGGAAGCTGAGGCAGGAGAATCACTTGAACCCGGGAGATGGAGGTTGCAATGAGCTGAGATCATGCTATTGCACTCCAGCCTGGGAAACAAGAATGAAACTCTGTCTCAAAAAAAAAAAAAAAAATAGAAAGAAAGAAAACTAAAATGACCTGTCCTAAAATAGAATAAAACTAAGCCCGGCAGGAAAAAAATTATTTAAAAATTATTCATAATTAATTTGACTTCCTGCAAGAATAAAACTTATCATCCTTTAAAGGAAGACAACAACACCCTGACTTACTGAACTATCTACAATGTTCAATGTAGAATTATCTACAATGTTCAACAAATAGTTAAAATTTACTAGACATCCAAAGAAATAGGAAAACATAAGCCATAGTTATGAGAAAAGCAATCAATGGAAACATATCCCAAAGAAAACAAAATGTAAAACAATTTTTGCACAAAGGTGGCAAAGTAATTCGATTATGAAAAAAAAAGGTTATTCAACCAGTGTGGCTAGAACAATTCGATATCCATATAAAAAATGAACTCAACCTCTACTTCACACCATACATAAAAATTAATTTGAGAGGGATCATAGGCCTAACAGTAAAAAACTGAAAGTACAAAAGCTTCTAGAATAAAGCACAGAAAATTATCTTTTCAACCTGGGAGTGAAAATTTTATTATAAAAGGACACACAAAAATAACGAAAAAATTAAAAATATCTACTCATCTAAATATACCATTTAGAAAATTGATAGGTAAAACAAAGGCTAGAAATTTATAAGACAATGATGTCCAGAATATGTAAACATTTTTATAGATCAATAAGAAAAATAAAAATAGTCACATTTCCAAAATGGTGAAACACTTGAATAGACACAACAAAAGAGGGTGCAAAAATCACCAATAAACACTTGTAAAGAAGTTCAACGTCTTTATTCATCAGGTCAATGCAAACTAAAACCACAATGAGATAACATAGTAAATTATTAAAAGCTCTCAAGAATGGAGCAATTGTAACTCTTATTTCTGGTGTGGTTGTAAAATGTTCCAACTACTTTGGAAAATAGTATGTCAGTTTCTTTTAGAGTTACACCTACTCTATTATCCAACAATTATACTCTTACACATTTACCCAAGAGAAGAGAAAACTTAAGCCTGCAAAAATACTTGTACAAGAACCATAGGAACTTTGTATTCATAAACCCCCAACCACAAACAATCAAAGTATGTTCAACAGGGGAATGGATAAACAAACTGTGATATATTCATATATCCCTTACACTTCAGAAAAATAAATATATTTAATAAATATATAAAGTGGTAGAATGTCAGATGCTAATATCACACAAAGAAAGTTGTAGAAAAAAAGGAATGTACTGTTTGATCCAATTAATATAAAGACAAAATTAATGTGTGGTGATAAATTCAGTCTGTGGCTGCCTCTAGGAGTGGACTGACTGGGACTGGGAATGAGGAAATTTTGAAGAAAGGAAGGAGTCAATTCAAGTCATGATTCTTTAATAAATTTTTAATGAGTGACTACTCTATACCTGTTAGAAAGGTATACTGTTTGCTCATCTTCATTAGGCTATATATTTCATAAGTAAAAGATGTATGACTTTTAAATAAAAGGATAACTGTGACTTTGGCTAGGCCTACCAGAAAGATGTGGAAGTAATATGACTGTAAAAGTGGAAATAAAATTTCAAGTGAATTATTTCAGCATGCTTTATTTTACAGGTTTATTATATGTAAATGCCATTAACTTATGCATTTAAAACAACCCCTTATCATATTTGAAACAGAAAGTCAAAAGTCTATTATTAAAATATATATATTATGCTAAACTTACCAGAAAGACAATTGTGGCTGACATCTAGCTTTTCCAATGAAACAAAATGAAAAAGTGGTACGATTTTAGTCAAGCTGAAAACAAAAACAAAAACTTCATCAAAATTCTAAATTGGAAAGTCCTTAATGTTACCATTGTAACTATATAACAATACATTTTTATAATACAATTATATAATTATACACATTTTATACAATTTTATATATACAATTATAATTGTACAATAAAATTATAGCACTTGCTAACAGTGCTTTTTACAAATGCAGTAATTATAGACTTCTACGTATTTATGATGGAAGACTTCTATTCATTTTGTAAAAGAAATCCTGAAATTACTAATTTCAATCACAAAAATCATGGATTTTCATGTGTATTCGCTATTTAAATAAGAATAAGTGTGTTTTCTTCTGATTATTTTGTTTTGTATTCATATAAGGCCAAATTTACAAAGAATTTACATTTTTTATTTATTTTTCTCCCTGCCTAAAACACATAACCAAAACTTTTAAGGTACAAATGAAAAATCACTTTTCAACAGGAGAAATTACTACTTTTCAACAGGAGAACTAACTAATCACTAGTTTTGTTTTAAAAAATCTTTCTTTACTAATTGAAAGTATTATAGTACTGTAAGTATTCAAAATTAAACTGGGCTTACTTTTAAATTGGAAATATACTCAATATGTAAATAAATGAGTATAAGAACAGAATAACACAAAATGTTTTACCTCAATAGAATGGACTTAAACTTGGCCAAAACACACTGATATTTAAAATTAATACTAATTAATTATGCATATTATAATATAGTAATAATTAATTTTCCTCCATTTAAAGGTTTTTATTGTCTTCTAAGTTATAATTGTTATCGAAAACCCATATTCAAACAAAAATAGTGATATTAAAAATACCCACGTCATTGGAAACAAAAGCTATAAAGGGTAAATTAACTCTACTTTGATTTGCATTTCCAACTAGGACAAGTCTACACTTACTGTGTAACATAATATCACATTACCTGTAGCTATTTGGAAATTAAATGAAGCCAGCTCATCTGAATCTTTAAGCAAGATAAAAACTCCTTAGTAAAATATATATATATATATATATATATATATTTTTTTTTTTTTTTTGCCACAATTAGAAAAGCCTTCTGAATTAATTCCCACTATAATTCCATAGCTGTTCAAAATATGCTTTGGCTCAAGGTCTATCTCTGTTACAAAATAAATAAGTATGCATTAATTTTCACTTTTATTGCTTTCGTGTTTTTTATACTCTCCCTCCAGTTGTCCTGGAAGGGTCCTTTACCTCTTTATTTCTACAAACTCACTGCCATAGAAAACACCACCACCAACAACAACAACAACAAAATCTCTTATTTTTATATTCTCAGGTCAGAAGCTCACAGAGTAACCCTGTGAGTGGAAGCCTCATGGGGTGTGGCAGAAGATTAACCCTTGTATTGACCTTCACTCTTCCCTTGTACTATCCCTTTCAGCATTAGCAGAGAGAAAGAAGATACACTACTGATGAAAAAGTAGATGATATAATGAGGCTGGGAGAACATTTCTCTGCATGTTGCCAATCCTAAATACAATATTACATTCATATTAAACATATAAGATCCCACTTCTTAAAAGCAATTTCCAGGAGAAAAATATCCAAGGTAATAAAAGTGAGAATGTATTGGCCATTACATACACTGAATTATTTGTACATATACTCCATAACAGTGAAATTTACTGAAATTTCACATTGATATTGAAGTAAAGAAAAGGAAAAAAAAGTCAAGGGAAGGGAAGGGAAGTGGGGTGGGAAGACATGGAGGGATAGAGGAAATTCAGGCTTTACCTTTACATAATTAGTGGGTTTAAGTCTCAATTTTATGACATTTCCTATTCAAGCACGTTCTGTATAATTGTTACATGCAATATATATATAAATATAATTCAAGTAAAAATAAAATTTTAATAAATGTACTTATTAAAAAGAAAATTGTTTCTGTGCTCTACCCTTAATATATTTCTAATACTAACTCTTCACCCTTCCAGTGAAAGGATTTTGAAATATTAATAGTAATGGCATATTAAACCATTCAGAATACAACTTTTTTTCTTTTTTCAGAGTATCTCATGTTTTTAGCCAGTAAGTTATACGGTAACATATAGGTTATAAAAAGACCTCAAATGCAAATAACCAACAATTTTTTTTAGAATCAAAAATCAATAAATCTTTGCAAAAATCAATCAAAGTGAAGAAATATACGCTTTGAAAAAATCTTTTTGTAATATTGAAAGTAATCTTTTCAGATAACCGTGCTGTTAATATCATGTTTGTTTTCTTCTTCTGAAATTTTAATCAAGAAAACTGGCTACTCATTCACCTTTATAACTATTCATTAGGATGGTAGAAACTTAATAGTATAATCCTTTTTTAAAAAACCTCTAGAACTTTTCCTTTTACCGACATTCTGTGCATATTATTTCCAAGAAAATTCAAACCAGAAAGACAAAGGACATTAGTGAAAACCTAAAACCATTTGACCTTGTCACATTAGCCCTGGGCATTAAAAAGATATAAATTTCAAAGACGACAAAAAGCAAAAGATTTGTACAATGAACAGCCAATGGGTAATAGTTTCCACTTTGTGCTCCTACTTAGAGTCTCACTGGAAGTAAAAAGGCTTATAAAGCCAGAGAGTCATCCAGTTAGAACTCCACTAAGTCAAACTTAAAACAGTCACATGTCTTACTGAAAATTTAAAACAGAAATCAGGATGAAACAAGTATTTCAAACAATATGTACTAAGTATCATTCTTTATATGTATTCCATTTGTTGGGAAAAAAAGCATATGGACACATAATATCTTCTTTGTGATGAAAATATCAAAAATTAAAGGAAAAGTATATATAATTTAAAATCCATACCAAACACAAATCCAAATATCACATTATAAAATTATTCTCCCTTTCCTCTTGGATCATCATTAAAATCCCATAAACTAGGTAAGATAGGCATTACCACTTTTATACTTGTGAGAAAAAACTGAGGGTCAGAGAGCAGAATTGCTCAACATCTACTGACCAAGTTGTAGGTTCAATATTTAAACATAGATTTGGTTTTATCAAACCTAATATGGTTTTTTAAAAAGTCATTTCACATGTAAGAGCATAAATTAAAATAAATTAAAATAGATAATTTCTACAGTCAATGAAAATAAACTTGTGAAATATTCTAAGGTTGAAGATTATCTTTACACTATGACATTACAAAATCATTTTAGTATTCCATATGTCCTTTGCTATCAATGACATTTCCCTGGTGCTCTTGGGCCTTCTCCCTTCATCCTCTCAATAATGGCAGAAGGTTACAGGTACAAAGAGCTCTGACAGACTCAAAAGAAATACATTCCAGTATCAGTGACAGTATTATTTGAAATGTCAAAATCACATATATTATACAATAATTTTACTTTTTGGTATAGATGAGTTTTAAAAATTAAGTTCTTTTATGCCAAAATGCTCTGTGGGTGTAAGAACATACATTACTCATTTTTTTATCCCCCAAATAGCAAACCCCATCTCAATAGTCAAACGTTATAAGATTATGCAAACAAAATTATAAATAGAAAACATTTGTATTAATCATTCCAATTATCATGCTCAGTTCTAAAAAATATTTAATTCTCTAGTTTATATAATTCCCATTTTATCAGCTTGATATGCATATGTCATATCATACTGATAGAGCAAAAGTCTATCAGCTAGTATTAAATTTAATTTTTAGAAATAGACTATCTTTGATAACTTAAATTGCCCAAATAAATTAAAGGCATTACTTGTCAAAAAATTTCTTGATTTTCTTTATAATCTCTTTAAATATTTTATGCTTATTAATGTGGCTTGAGGTCCACTTTTATAAAATACGTTAGGTATCTCAATTCCTCCGTGACTTACTGCGTATGTCCAAAACATAGCTGAATATTTCATTTTGAAAGTATACTCTGTACCTGGAAAATATTCTGAAAAGATCCAAGGAGTTTGTGAATTGCCCAAATTACTTACACAGTATTATCTGATGGAGCTGGCTCTGGGAACAAATGTCCTTTTAAATTCAAGTCAAATTTTAAATTTTACATTGGATTAAAGTAATTTGAGGGGATTTTTTGAATACATATTTGTTTTTCAATGTCAAATTGTAATAGGTGGAAGTTAAGTCATTTAGTATATGCCTGCTTAAAAGATGAACACTGTTGTGGAAGAGATTGAGAGATGATTTTATATGTCTTGGGGGAAAATAGGTATATATGTAAAAATGATATTGTCCTTATTCGTGTGTTTTGTGAGCATTGTATAACTTAAAGAAACAATTTATTGTTAAAGGTGGTTTCTTTCCCCTACTCCTTGTGCCTTTGATGAAGAAATTAATCATATTATAGTGAATGGATTACAATGAAATATTAAGCAGAGGAGAAATACACATATTGTGCTCCTGCTTTGGTTTAGCCAGTTATTCTCAGCAAAGATCCAGATGTTTGGTGGTTTCAAATAGATCTTCTGAGGCAGGTACCCATTTCAATTGAATGTTAAGGTATTTTTTTAAGTGTTACTTTATATCCTTAGGGAAAACAAATTTAAATCCATCCTAACAGTTTCAAAAAGACAAGCAAGTTGAGAGCAGAGTAAAAATTGTCCTTCCAGGACTTAATAAGTACCATTTGAGAGAATGAGACATCCTTCTGAATTAAATTAACTACCTCCTGTATTTTCCAAGGACTATGCTCCGTATAAACATAAACAAATCTTCCCTGAGAGATTTATACAAGTGCATCTTTGAGAAGAAATAAAATTAGAAAGATAAATGGACAATTAAAATTCTACTAAAATTTTAGGGTATGCCAATAATTCATCTTAATTTTTAAAAATTCTATAATGTTATTTTTATAATTTATATACTAATTTATTTTGATGCAATCTCATTGAATTATTAGAGAAATCTAACTTTTATGGTAGTTTATGAACATCACATATTTATTTTAAACAATCATTCACTGAATTTATTTCTTAAGTATGCTTTTACCTGTTTTGAGAGATAGTAATATTTTGTAGTAAAGGCAGCCAGTATGAAGAAAATGCTTCCACAGTTGAAATGCTGTTATCATCCAAGTGCAATTCTCTTAGTAAAACAAGATTCTCCAAGGATGGAAGCTATATTTAAATTTGGTTCATTAGTTTATATTAAGCAAAATATTTTATCATTTAGCCCAATTAAAAAATACACAACCTTCCAAAACTAACAACAGATAGATTCTGATAAAGTGCATATCATAAGGTATAAGACTTTTTAAATATGAATAAAATTTCTATTAATTAACTGTATAATATTTAATATTCTTGATAAAGGTTACTTCATGGTGAAAAATGAACAAAATAATTATTCAAAATTGCTTTTAATATGTGATTGGTATTTCTATCAAAAGAAAAGTGTTGCTTTATCACAGAAATCAATTAATTCAAAGCAATTACCTCACTCAGATAATTTCCCTGTAACTTCAATATTTGGAGCAATCCACAATTTTCAACGCCCTCTACATCAGTAAGATGATTATGGGAGCAATCTAGGTATACAATGGTAGGTGTATCACAAAGACCTTTTGTATTAATTAACTGATTGTGGTCCAAAATTAGTTGTTGAAGATTTTTCAAAGATTCTAAACCACCTAGAAGAAAAAAGTTATAAGATCACCTGTGTCATACAGTCTTCCAGACTCTAGAAGAAAGTTTCCATTTTTTTTCTAAATAATTGCACCTTTGTATTTCTCACTATCATTAATTACAAGTGAGGACTTAGTCCAAATTCCTGGTGAAACATATCTTGTAAACTGTGTTATTATTTAAACTGGCATCTGGGTGACATATTTTTGAATGACATAATTATCTATCAATTAAAAATTGCACAAAGTACTAAAAGGCATACACTGGGAATGAATGCTTTATATTCAAATAAGAACAAAACAAGGGAGAGATATAACGACTTTTTTCTTAAAAGAATAGTTTTTAACTCATTCCAGAGCCTTTGAACTTTGAATCCTTGCTTCAGGTTGCATGTATAGTATTAGAATGTCATTTTCCTACCATTTGAATACAGAACCAATGAATTAGTAGCATATTCTTCAGGTATTTCAATATTGTCATGAGGGACCTCCTCTTTGACCAGATAAACTTAAAATCAGTATGATACTATCTACAAAATATTAGATGAGCCTTCGAAACTGTAACTCAGTGGTCATAAGGAAAAAACTGAGAAGGTTGCTTAAATCAGCCATCAGGAGTTAGCATGAGAAAAAGATGCTGAGGAAGTGTGTAAAGTTTCATGGAAGATATTAAAAATCTAGAAAATGTTCTTTAAATTAGATACTAGACTATGCATTTTTTTCTGTAGGTGTTACTCTGTTCGTTAAAATTATGTAGCCATAAAAAAGGATGAGTTCATGTCCTTTGTAGGGACATGGATGAAGCTGGAAACCATCATTCTGAGCAAACTATCGCAAGGACAGAAAACCAAACACCGCATGTTCTCACTCATAGGTTGGAATTGAACAATGAGAACACTTGGACACAGCGGGGGGAACATCACACACTGGGGCCTGTGGTAGGGTGGGGTGAGGGGGGAGGGCACTGGAGATATACCTAATGTAAATGATGAGTTTAAAAGTGTGTGGCAGTTCCCCCTGCTATTTCTCTCTCTCCTGCCACCATGTGAAGAAGGTGCTTTGTTTCCCCTTCAGCTTCTGTCATGATTCTAAGTTCCCTGGGGCCTCCCGGTCATACTTCCTGTTAAGCATGCAGAAAGGTGAGTCAATTAAACCTCATTTCTTTATATATTACCCAGTCTCAGGTTGTTCTTTATAGCAGTGTGAGAATAAACTAATACAATGCCCCCTTAAAAGGCACAAATTGAGAAGCTGAATAAAAAACAAGACCCATCTGTCTGCTGTCTTCAAGAGGTCTACCTCACATTTAACAAAACATATAGGCTCAAAGTAAAGGGTTCATGAAACGTCTATCATGCAAGAGAAAACATAGAAGAGCAGGAGTTGCTATACATATGTCAGATAAACTATGCTTTAAACCAACAACAGTTCAAAAGGACAAAGAAGGGCATTGCATAATGATAAACGGTTTAATCCAACAAGATGACATAATTACCCTAAATACATACAGATCCAACATTGGAGCTCCTAAATTAATAAAAAGAGTACTTCTAGACCTACAAAAAGACTTAGCCACACAGTAATCATGGAGGACTTCAACTTCCCATGGATAGCATTAGACAGATCATCACTTAAGCAGAAAACCAACAAAGAAATTCTAGACTTAAATTTGACACTTGAGCAACTGGAACTAATAGGTGTCTACAGAATGCTCTACCCATAAACCACAGAATATACATTCTTCTCATCTACACACAGAACATATGCTAAGGTCAAATTCATACTCAGCCCAAAGCATGTCTGAATGAATTAAAACACACAGAAATCATACCAATCATACTTTCAGACCAGAGTAGCATAAAAATACAAATCAACATCAAGATGGTCTCTCAAAACCCACACAACTACAGGGAAATCAACTGGCTTCTGAATGCCTTTTGGTTAAACAACAAAATTAAGGCAGAAATTTACAAATTATTTGAAACAAATGAAAAAGGATATACAATATACCAAAATCTCTGGGAAACAGCTACAACAGTGTTAAGAGGAAAGTTTATAGCACTAAATGCCTACATCAAGAAGTTAGAAAAATCTCAAATTAACAATTTAACATCATGCCTACTGGAACTAGAATACCAAGAACAAACTAACCCCAAAACTAGTGGAACAAAAGAAATAACTAAAATCACCACAGAACCAAACATAATTTAGACCTAAAAATCCACACAAAGAATAAACAAAATTGAAAGCTCTTTCTTTGAAAGGATAAACAAGATAAATAGACTACTAGCTAGATTAACAAGAAAAAATGAGAGAAGATCCAAATAAGTGTCTTGAGAAACAACAAAGCTGGTACTACAACCAATCCCACAGAAATACAAAATATCCTCAGAGAGTAGTATAAATAATTCTATTCACATCTATTCACACAAACAAGAAAATATACAGGAAGTAGATAAATTCTTGGAAACACACAACCTTGCAAGAGTAAGTCAGGAAGAAACAGAAACCCTGAACAGACCAATATGGAGTTCTGAAATTGAATTAGTAATTTTAAAAAAAAGAAAAACTAAACTAACTAACCAAAAAGAGCCCTGGACCAGATGGATTCAAAGCTGAATTATACAGTACCAGGAAGAGCTGGCACCAGATCTACTTAAGCTATTCCACAAAAAAATGTGAGGAGTAGGGACTCCCCCATACCTCATGCATGATGCAAAGCTTTATGAAGCCAGCATCACTCTAATACCAAAATCTGGCAGTGACAGAACAACAACAGAAAAAGGAAACTACAAGTCAATATCCCTGATGAACCTAGATGCAAAAATCCTCAACAAAATACTAGCAAACCAAATCTAGCAGCACATAAAAAAAGGTAACTCACCACAATCAAGTACACTTTATTACTGGGATGCCAGACTGTTTTAATACATGCAAATCAATAAATGTAATTCACCACATAAGCAGAATTAAAAACAAAAATCATATGATCCTCTCAATAGACACAGAAAAAGCTTTTGATAAAATCCAACATCCGTTAATGATAAAAACTCTCAACAAACTAGGCACTTAAAGAACATAACTCAAAATAATTAGAGCCCTATATGGCAAAGACACAACCAAGATTATAATGAATGGGCAAAAGCTGGAAGCATTCTCCTTGAGAACTGGAACAAGACAAGGATGTCCACTATCACCACTCCTATTCAACACAGTACTGGAAGTTCTAGTCAGAGCAATCAGGCAAGAGAAAGAAATAAAAGGCACACACACACAAAAAGAAGTAAAATACCTCACTTTCTGATGATGTGATTCTACATCTAGAAAATCCTAAAGACTCTGCCCAGAGGCTCCTCGATTTGATAAATGACTTCAGTAAAGTTTCAGGATACAAAATCAATGTAGAAAAATCAGTAGCATTTCTATACACCAGTAATATTGAAGCTGAGAGCCCTATCAAGAATACAAATCCATTTACAATAGACATACACACACAAACACACACGTACACACCTAGCAATATATCTAACCAGAATGTGAAAGATCTCTACAAAGAGAACTACAAAGCACCACTGAAAGAAATCAGAGATAATACAATGGAAAAACATTCCATGCTCATGGATTAAAGGAAGCAACATCATTAACATGGCCATACTGCCCAAAGGAGTTTACAGATATAACACTATTTCTACCAAACTACCAACATCATTTTTTATAGAATTAGAAAAAAAACTATTCTAAAATTAATATGGAACATAAAAAAGACCATATAGACAAGAAAATCCTAAGCAAAAAGAAGAAAGTCAGAGGTATCACACTACCAGACTTCAAACTATGCTATAAGACTATAGTAACCAAAATAGCATGGTATTGGTACAAAAACAAATAGACCAATGGGACAGGATATAGCAGTGGTCTCCAACCTCTCTGGCACCAGTGACCGGTTTCATGGTGATGGTTTCTGGATTATTCAAGCAAATTGCCTTTATTGTGAAATTTATTTTTATTATTATTACATTTTAGTATATAATAAAATAATTATACAACTCACCACAAAGTAGAATCAGTGGGAGCCCTGAGCTTGCTTTCCTGCAAATAGATGGCCCCATTTGTTGGTGATGGAAGACAGTGACATGCAAAGTGTGTTGCTTATGTCCAGTCTACAAAGTAATCTCATTTTGGTTGCTATCTCTCCAGAAAGCCCTGTTTCACAAAGATTAAATGCTGCAAATTGAAGCAGGCTTTCCAGCGCTTTTCTGGCAAACTCAGGATATCTAGCTTTGACTTTAATTCAGAATGTATGGAGATTTGAAGTTGTCTCAAATGTACTTTTAAGGCCACCATCATTTGCAGTCTCAAGCAGTTGATCCTCTTCTAGCCTGGCCAAAGTCAATTCACCTGGCTTATTCACAAATGGTCACAGATCCATTCCTTCTCAGTTCAGGGGTCTTTTGTGGTTGGGAAATAATGCTCAAACTCTTTTGAAAGCTGAGATAGGCAATGATGCAGCAGCTCGGAGAAAGGAGGCCTTGGCTCAGTCTCTTTCAAAAATCTCTGCTACTGTCTGAATCATATAAAAAATCTCTGTGTTCACTTGTTGCATCCAAAATTCCAGTTTGGCTTTGAATGCAGTCACTTTATCTGCCGACTTGAACACAATTATTGTTCTCTTCTGAAGTGACAGGTTGAGTTTGTTGAGGTGTCATATGTCATAGAAGTAAGCAAATGTGAGGACACTTTTTGTGTTACTGAAATGTGCTGCCAGTGGTGGGTGTTTTCTAAAATAAATCTTTGGAGTGGCTCTTATAGCTCAAAAACTCTGGCCAGTGATCTACCTTTAGAAAGCCATCTCACTTCTCTGTATAAGAGAAGACATGCATGCTCTGCATCCATCTTCTCACGTACGTGTGCAAACAGATGTGAGTTAAGGGCATGCACTTTAATGTGGTTGACAATTTTAGTCATATCCTGCAAAACATTAATTTCAAGTGACATTTTTGAGCTAGCCAGCATTTCTTTAAGGATGCCACCATGCATAACTTCCATTCAGAAGCAACCTCTTTGACCTGAGTAGTGAAACCAGAAAGCTGTCCAGTCATGGTAGCTGCTCCATTTGTGCATATACTGACACAAAATGATCAATTCCATTCTCCTGAGATGTAATTATTCAAATACTTGAATAGTTCTGCAGCTGTTGTGTTGGTTGACAACAAAAGTGTACATAACATATCCTCATGCACACCCTCCTGAAAAATATATCGCATAAAGACAAGTATTGTTACCTTGTTGTCAACATTAGTAGACTCATCAACCTGGATTGTGTACCATGGTGACTCATTAATCCTCTCCAACAATTACTTCTCAGTATCCTCTGCTATTTCATCTAATTGTCTGGTTATGGTGCTAGCCAAAAGAGGAACATGTGTCATCTTTTAAACTGCAGCCTCTCTTAAAACTTCATGACAAATGTCATTAGCAGCAGGCAGGATTAACTCTTCATCAATAGCAAAGGACTTCTTTGCTTTAGCGATGTGGTTAGTCTCTAAGAATGATGCCGTCGGCGCAGGCACGTTTGATAAAGTGGTGGCCTTCAATAACTGCTTCTGTTCTACATGTTTTTCCTTTTGACAAACACCAAAGGTTAGTGCAGGGTGCTTGGTCTCCATGTGACAAAGAAGTTTTGAAGGTTTCATGGGTTCATTGTATAGCCAGATGCCAAATATTATACAAAATGGACTTGGAGAATGTGAATCATTTGTTGCAATGAACTCGTGATTTAAGTGGAAATCTTGATATTTTCTTTTAGATGCAACTTTCCTTTTGTTGGCAGTCTTACAGAGTCTTCTGATGTCTCATCATTTGAAGAGTCTTTCACGGTTTTCAAATAAACTCTCCGGTGATGTTTGGCTTTTACTCATTTTGGCTGAGGTTATCTTGTGGGCTTACAAAAACTGTGACTGAGGCAAGTGCACAGTGCAGGAAAGAGGTGTGGATGGAAATGATAAATAAAATAATGAGTGGGCCACACACAGACTAAAATAAGTGTTGGATTCTGACTAAAAATCTGCCATAAGTTGCAGCTGTATAATTGAAGTACATCAACTCTCTTGACACCATAAAGCCTGCCACCAAATGCAGTTTGATTGTTACTTGCCACTCACTGATGGGGTTTTTATATGATTCTGTAAGCAACTGATTTGTTATGATCTCTGTGCAGTCAAAACTCTCTGCAAATGTTAATCTGTATTTGCAGCTACTCCCCAGATTATCGTAAGGAGTGTGCAACCTAGATCCCTTGCATGCTCAGTTCACAATAGGATTCACGCTCCTATGAGAATCTAATGCTGCTGATGAACTGACAGGTGGTGGAGCTCAGGCAGTAATGCAAACAGCAGTGAGCCATTGTAAATACAGACAAAGATTCACTCACTTGCCTACCACTCATCTTCTGCTGTGAGGCCTGGATTCTAACAGGCCATGGACCGCTACTGGTCCATAACCTGGAAGATGGGAACCCCTGGGATACAGAACTCAGAAATAAAGCCATACACGTACAATTATCTAATATTTAACAAATTTTTTAAGAAGCAAGCAATGTGGAAAGGGCTCCCTATTCAATAAATGGTGCTGGGATAACTGGCTATCCACATCCAGAATAAAACCGGACCTTTACTTTTCACCATATACAAAAACTAACTCAAGATGGATTAGATCTAAATGTAGCATCTAAAACTATAAAAATCCAGGAGAAAACCTAGGGACCACCATGCTGGATATCAGCCTTGTCAAAAAATTTATGACTAAGTCCCCAAAAGCAATTGCAACAACAACAACAACAAAAATTGACAAGTGGGACCTAATTAAACTAAAGAGCTTCTGTAAAGCAAAAGAAACTATCAACAGAGTAAACAGACAACCTATAGAATAGGAGAAAATATTCCCAAACTATACATCTGACAAAGGTCTAAAATACAGAATCTATAAGGAATTTTTAAACAATTCAACAAACAAAAAACAACCACATTAAAACACGCGCAAAGGACATAAACAGACACTTCTCAAAGGAAGACTGTATTAGGCCATTCTTGCATTGCTATAAATAAATAACCGAGACTGGACAATTTATAAATAAAAGAGGTTTAACTGGCTCCTGGTTCTACAGGCTTTACAGAAAGTATGGTGCTGGCATCTTCTCAGCTTCTAGAGAGACCTTAGGAAGCTTACAATCATCGTAAAAGGCAATTAGGGAGCAGACATGTCACAAGGTAAAAAAAAGAAGCAAGTGAGAGAGAGGGGGCAGATGCCACACACTTTTAAACCACCAGATCTCATGAGAACTCACTATTGAAAAGACAGCATCAAGCTATCAGGGATCCACCCCATAAGTCAAACACCTCCCACCATACCTCACCTTCAGCATTGGGGATTAAAATTCAACATGAGACTCGGGCAGGAACAAATAACCAAGTTGTATTTAGATATTTATCCACCCCTGCCCCCTCCCAAATATCATGTCCTTCTCACATTGTAAAATATAATCATGCCTTCCCAACAGTCCCCTAAAGTCTTAACTCATTTCAGAATTAACTCAAAAGTCCAAAGTCTCATCTGAGATAAGGCAAGTCCCTTCCACCTATGTGTCTGTAAAATCAGAAACAAGTTATTTACTTCTAAGATACAATGAAAGTATCAGAACTGGGTAAACACTACAATTCCAAAAGGGAGAAATCAGCCAAATGAAAGGGGCTACAATCCCCATGCAAATTCAAAACCCAGCAAGGAAGTCATTAAATCTTAAAGCTCCAAAATAATCTCCTTTGACTCCAGGGTACAATGCTGTAAGGGTTGGACTTCCAAGGTCTGGGAAAACTCCACTGCTGTAGCTTTACCGGGTTTATCCCCAGAGGTTGCTCTCATGGGCTGGAGTTGAGTGTCTGTAGCTTTTTTGGATGCAAGGTGCAAGCTGCCAGTGGATCTACAATTCTTGAGTCTGGAGGACCGTGGTACCCTTCTCTTAGCTCTACTAGGTAGTGCCTCAGTAGAGACTGTGTCGGGCCTCCAATCACACATTTCCCCTCTGCCCTACTTTGGTAGAGGTTCTCTATGAGGGCTCTGCCTTGCCTGGACCCCCAGGGTTTTCCATACATCCTCTGATACCTAGGCAGAGGCTGCCAGGAATCCACCACTCTTGCACTCTGTGCACCTGTAGGCTTAATACCACGTGGAAGATGCCAAGGCTTATGATGTGCATTAGGCAAAGTGGAAGTCCAAGCTGTGCCTGGGCTCCTTTGAGCCACAGCTGGAGCTAGAGCAGCCGGGATGTGGGGAGCAGTATCCTGTGGCCACACAGGGCAGTGGGGCCCTTGGCCTCGCTGAGGAAACCATTCAGTCCTCCTAGGCTGCCTCTTAGATCGCTGTAATGCCTTCGTAGCTTTTTCCTTATTGTCTTGGCTATCAGCACTTGCCTCCTTTTTAGTCATGCAAATATCTCTAGCAAGTAATTTCTCTACAGCCTGCTTTAATTACTCCCCCCAAAAAAGCTTTTTTCTTTCTCTACCATATGCCAGACTGAAAATTCTCCAAACGTTTATGCTTTGTTTCCCTTTTAAATACAAGTTCCAACTATAAGTCATTATTTTGCTACCACATCTGAACACAGGTTGTTAGAAGCAGCCAGGCGAAGTCTGGAACCCTTTGCTGCTTAGAAGTTTCTTTAATCAGATAATCATAAATCACCACTTTCAAGTCCAAATGCCCAACAATCACTAGGGTATGAATACAATGCAGCCTCACTCTTTGCTAAGGCATAACACACATAATCTTGCCAATTCCCCATAAGTTTCTCATTTGTATCTGAGACCTCTGCATCCTGGATGTCACTGTCCATATCACTATCAGCATTTTGGCAACAACCATTTATCCAGGCTCCAATAAGTTCCAAACTTTCTCTCATCTTCCTATCTTCTTCTAAGCCCTCCAAACTCTTTGAATGTCTCCCTGTTATGCAGTTCCAAAGCTGTTTCAAAATTTTTAGGTATCTTTATAGCAATGCCCCTCTTCTTGATACCAATTTTCTGCATGAGACCATTCTTACACTGCTATAAAGAAATAACTGAGAAACTTCTCCATCATATAAACAGAACCAAAGACAAAAACCACATGATTATCTCAATAGATGCAGAAAAGGCCTTTGACAAAATTCAACAGCACTTCATGCTAAAAACTCTCAATAAATTAGGTATTGATGGGACGTATCTCAAAATAATAAGAGCTATTTATGACAAACCCAGAGCCAATATCACACTGAATGGGCAAAAACTGGAAGTATTCCCTTTGAAAACTGGCACAAGACAAGGATGTCCTCTCTCACCACTCCTATTCAACACAGTGTTGGAAGTTTTGGCCAGGGCAATCAGGCAGAAGAAAGAAATAAATGGTATTCAATTAGGAAAAGAGGAAGTCAAATTGTCTCTGTTTGCAGATGACATGATTGTATATTTAGAAAACCCCACTGTCTCAGCCCAAAATCTCCTTAAGCTGATAAGCAACTTCAGCAAAGTCTCAGGATACAAAATCAATGTGCAAAAATCACAAGCATTCCTCTACACCAATAACAGACAGAGAGCCAAATCATAAGTAACTCCATTCACAACTGCTTCAAAGAGAATAAAATACCTAGGAATCCAACTTACAAGGGATGTGAAGGACCTCTTCAAGGCGAACTACAAACCACTACTCAACGAAATAAAAGAGGACACAAACAAATGGAAAAACATTCCATCATCATGGATAGGAAGAATCAACATCATGAAAATGGCCATACTGCCCAAGGTAATTTATAGATTCAATGCTATCCCCATCAAGCTACCAATGACTTTCTTCACAGAATTGGAAAAAACTACTTTAAAGTTCATATGGAACCAAAAAAGAGCCCACATTGCCAACACAATCCTAAGCCAAAAGAACAAAGCTGGAGGCATCATGCTACCTGACTTCAAACTACATCACAAGCCTACAGTAACCACAACAGCATGGTACTGGTACCAAAACAGAGATATAGACCAATGGAACAGAACAGAGCCCTCAGAAATAATACCACACATCTACAACCATCTGATCTTTGACAAACCTTACAAAAACAAGAAATAGGGAAAGGATTCCCTATTTAATAAATGGTGCTGGGAAAACTGACTAGCCATATGTAGAAAGCTGAAACTGGATCCCTTCCTCACACCTTATACAAAAATTAATTCAAGATGGATTAAAGACTTACATGTTAGACCTAAAACCATAAAAGCCCTAGAAGAAAACCTAGGCAATACCATTCAGGATATAGGCATGGCCAAGGACTTCATATCTAAAACACCGAAAGCAATGGCAACAAAAGCCAAAATTGACAAATGGGATCTAATTAAACTAAAGAGCTTCTGCATCGCAAAAGAAACTACCATCAGAGTGAACAGGAAACCTACAGAATGGGAGAACATTTTTGCAATCTACCCATCTGACAAAGGGCTAATATCCAGAATCTACAAAGAGCTTAAACAAATTTACAAGAAAAAAATCAAACAACTCCATCAAAAAGTGGACAAAGGATATGAACAGACACTTCTCAAAAGAAGACATTTATGCAGCCAACAGACACATGAAAAAATGCTCATCATCACTGATCATCAGAGAAATGCACATCAAAATCACAATGAGATACTATCTCACACCAGTTAGAATGGCAATCATTAAAAAGTCAGGAAACAACAGGTGCTGGAGAGGATGTGGAGAAACAGGAACACTTTTACACTGTTGGTGGGACTGTAAACTAGTTCAACCATTGTGGAAGACAGTGTAGTGATTCCTCAAGGATTTAGAACTAGAAATACCATTTGACCCAGGTATCCCATTACTGGGTATATACCCAAAGGATTATAAATCATGCTGCTATAAAGACACATGCACACATATGTTTATTGCGGCACTATTCACAATAGCAAAGACTTGGAACCAACCCAAATGTCTATCAATGATAGACTGGATTAAGAAAATGTGGCACATATACACCATGGAATACTATGCAGTAATAAAAAAATGATGAGTTCATGTCCTTTGTAGGGACATGGATGAAGCTGGAAACCATCATTCTGAGCAAACTATTGCAAGGACAGAAAACCAAACACCACATGTTCTCACTCATAGGTGGGAATTGAACAATGAGAACACTTGGACACAGGATGGGGGACATCACACACCAGGGCCTGTCGTGGGGTGGGGGGATGGGGAGGGATAGCATTAGGAGATATACCTAATGTAAATGACGAGTTAATGGGTGCAGTACACCAACATGGCACATGTATACATATGTAACAAACCTGCACGTTGTGCACATGTACCCTAGAACTTAAAGTATAATAATAATAATAATAATAATAATGAAGAACAATCTGAGATTCAATCGTTGAATGCAAAGTGGAGGAGAAAGTAGTGAGTAAGGCAGTCTGGGCTTCTACTCCCCCTGTAAGCCAGGAGGAGGAGAGATTTCCATTGTTGAGTACAAAGAACCAGGCTTTAGTTTCAGACAGACTTGTTTCTATAACACTCTGTCACTTTCTAGTTGTTGAGTTCTGGTGAAGTGGCACCACCTCCCTGAATCTCAGTTTCATCAACTGTATCTACACAAATTTGATATTTATTTTGTTATTTATAATCACAACCTCCTTCGGAGGAGGGTGCATCTCTCCAGAAAAAAAAAAAAGAAAAGAAATACCTAAGACTGGGTAATTTATAAAGAAAAGATATTTAATTGTTTCATATTCTCCAGGCTTTACAGGAAGCATAGTGCTGACATCTGCTTGGCTCCTAGCAAGGCCTCAGGAAGTTTACAATCATGGCAGAAGGCAAAAGGGGAGCAGGCATGTCACATGGCAAAAGCAGGAGCAAGTGACAAGAGTGGGGGTGAGGTGCTACACACTTTTAAACCACCAGACCTCACGACAACTCAGTATCCAGAAGACAACACCATGCCATGAGGGAGCCTCCCCCATGACACAACACCTCCCATCAGGCCCCACCTCCAGCACTGAGGATTACAATTTAATATGAGATTTGGGTAGGAACAAATATCTAAGCTATATCAAAGACATACATGCAGTCAACAAATATGTGAAAAAAATGCTCTGCGTCACTTATCATTAGAGAATTGTAAGTTAAAATCACAATGATATACCATCTCACACTAGTCAGAATGGCCATTAGTAAGAAAGTCAAAAAATAACAGATGTTGGAGAGGTTGCAGAGAAAAGGGAACATTTATACACCATTGGTGAAAACGTGAATTAGTTCAGTGACTGTTCAAACAGTTTAGAGAATTCTCAAAGAAATTAGAACTACCATTTGACCCAACAATACCATTACTAAATATATAGTTAAAGGAAAGTAAATCATTCCACCAAAAAGATATCTGCACTTGTATGTTCATTGTAGCATTATTCACAACAGCAAAGACATGGAATCAACCTAGATGACTAGAAACAGGGAACTGGATAAAGAAAATGTAGTACATACACACCATGGAATACTACACAGCCATAAAGAAGAATGAAACCATGTCCTCTGCAGTAATATGGATGCAGCTGATGACCATTATCCTAAGCAAATTAACAAAGAAACAGAAAACCAAATACTACATCTTCTCAACTATAAGTGGGAGCTAAGCATTGGGTATGTATGGACATAAAGATGGGAACAATAAATAGTAGAAACTACCAGAGGGGAGAGAGTGAAGCAGGGAGTGGTTGAAAAAGTACCTATTGGATACTATGCTCACTATCTGGGTAAAGGGATTATGCATACAACAAACCTCAGCAACATGCCATTTACCCGTGTAACAAACCTGCACATATTCCCCCTGATATGGTTAGGCTTTCTGTCCCCACCAAAATCTCATCTTGAATTGTAATCCCCAAGTGCTGAGGGAGAGACCCAAGTGGCAGATCCCCCTATGCTGTTCTTGTGATAGTGAGTGAGTTTTCATGAGATCTGGTGGTTTTGTAAGTATTTGGCAAGTTCTTCCTTTGCTTACTTTAACCATGATTGTAAGTTTCCTGAAGAACTGTTGCAGAACTGTTCCAGCTGTGCGGAACTGCGAATCAATTAAACCTCTTCCCTTTATAAATTACCCAGTCTCGGGTATTTATCACACTGTGAAAACAGACTAATACAATCCCTGAAACTAAATAAATTGGGGGGCGGGGGAAACACGCAAAAAAACAAATACTATGTCTCATCTTAGTAAATTATCTGTAGGAAAATTGTCTGAGAATAAATGTTACAACCATAATTGACAAGTGGATGCTTTTTGGCATTATAAAATGATTTTTAGTACCATAATATATTTCCAGAATGACTTACTTTATAAATCATTGTACTTCTTTTTTTTTTTTTTGAGATGGAGTCTTACTCTGTTGCCCAGGCTGGAGTGCAGTGGCGCGATCTCAGCTCACTGCAACCTCTGCCTTCTGGGTTCAAGTGATCCTTCCACCTCAGCCTACCAAGTAACTGGGACTACAGGCATGCGCCACCATGCCTGGCTAATTTTTGTATTTTTAGTAGAGACAGGGTTTCACCATGTTGGCCAGGCTGGTCTTGAACTCCTGACGTCAGGTGATCTGCCTCCCTCAGCCTCCCAAAGTGCTGGGATTACAGGCATGAGCCACCATGCCCAGCCTCACTGTACTTTTAAAACATTAAAATTGATATTCTGTTTCAGTAGTGTAAAATTCAGACTTCATTTCAAAAGCAGTACTAAAACTTTAAACATTTCTTTAATATTAAAATATAAAATCTATGCGGAAAACATATCAGTTTACATATACCCTAGCAATAATAAGTATTATTATCAATTAAAAGTTACTTAATTATCCACTTGAACTTTTTCTAATTAAACTGTACCCTAACTACATTTACTTATATAGAAAAAGTAGGCATCATTGGCTGAATTATTACAATGTTCATTTCAAAAAAATTATTATTTTAATCAACTTTTTTCATATGCTATGTCTCCTTCATATATGAGCACATTTTGTTTAGTGTTTACATTTGTTGGTACTCAAAGATTATTGAATTTCTATTCAGGTGTTTGCTATTTTTATTGCAATTTTATTTTAATAGTTGTATGTGATTTTTGTTTCTAATTTCTTGAAATAATAGGCATAGAATGTTATATGTAAGCAGATATAAACCAATTATATTCTCTACATTTTTACAAATATGAAAATCTATTTTTCCAAAAATAGCTTTACTCTGATATAAAACTCATAAGAGACTGGTTTTACTAGTTTCAGCACTGTGTCATGTCATCTGGGAGACAGAAAATAATACAAGACAGAATCTCTGCTTTCAAGTATCTCTTATATGATAAATACAAGTAGAAAAATAATTACTGACATATAAAAATACAATTTATTGTTAAGAGAATTACAGCAGTGATTTTCCAAATGCACAGAAAACAATCTGGAAGGCTCATACATACTGGCTGTATCTGGATGACACAATTATAGATTACTGCTTTATCATTTTACAGTATAATTTTTAGACAATAGGCAGGTATTAATTATGTAGACAAAAATTACCAGGCCGGGTGCGGTGGCTGATGCCTGTAATCTCAGCACTTTGGGAGGCCAAGGCAGGCAGATCACGAGGTCAAGAGATTGAGACCATCCTGGCCAACATGGTGAAACCCCGTCCCTACTGAAAATACAAAAATTAGCTGGGCGTGGTGACACATGCCTGTAATCCCAGCTACTCGGGAGGCTGAGGCAGGAGAATCACTTGAACCTGGGAGGTGGAGGTTGCAGTGAGCTGAGATCAGGCCACTGCACTCCAGCCTGGCGACAGAGTGAGACTCCGTCTTAAAAAAAAAAAAAAAAGTTACTTAGAAAAAAATTAATAATCCATTTTCAGAAATTTCTGTTCAGATAGCCTGATCATCCTCACCTCTGCAAATAACTAAAAAGTCATCTTTTTTAGAATATTTCCAAAAGAGCTGCTATGAAAGTAATGAATTCTCATTCAAAAATCTAAATAAATATGGCAAGCAAAGAGAGATAAGCAAAACAATAAAGCTACTTTTTAAAGTGAGAAAACTTGTTAAACTGATGAATATGACAATCCATTTCTGCAGCCTCAGAACTTAAGGAAACAAAATTCAAAATGCACCTAAGGTGGACAGGTATAACCTACAATCCCACACAAACCTGGAACATCAATCAGCTATACATTGCTGAAAGTTAAATCTCTTATCCCGAATCTCAATATTCAGTAGAGTGGGATAAAAATCTCATTTAAAAAATAATAAACACAAGCTGACACTCCCATAGGTTTGTAGCTCAGATTTGCTCAGATAGTGATCAGAAAACCGCCACTAGAAACGTACCATAAATGACTGTAGATTGTTTGTGTCCCCAGCCACCTGAAAAATTATTTCTAGAGGCCAAACTTTCATTCCAAATCTAAGAATAATCACAAACTTATGTTCCAGGGCAAATAAAAAGATGACAATAAACAAGAAAACCAAACCCAAACAATAAAAGGCATGAAATACACAATGCAATATGGTATCATAAGAGTTAGCAGAAATAATAAAACACACAGAAACAGAACTACATGGAAATTAGAATTAGCTGAAGTTTTAAAACTCAATGAGCTCGATTAAGAGCAATTTCAAGTTTGTCAACTGGGACATAGATGTATACATATAAATTACCTATGGGCATCAAAGAGAGATAGAGATATAGAATACAGGCAACATGAAGCCTAGAGTCAAGGATATAAAAATAAATATATCACACATACATAATGTTTCAGAAGGAGAAAACAAATGAAAAGGAAAAAATATTTGAAGAAATAATGGCAGACAAATAGATACAATAAAAAAGCAATCCACATATTCATGAACTGCAATAAGCCCCGACAGGATGAATCAAAAACAAATCCCTGCCTAGACACATCAATGTAAAGGTGCATAACCGCAAAGACAAAGAAAAGATATTTGAAGAAGACAGAAAATATCCTCAAAAGTCCAAAAATAACCGATAGCATTCTTAACTGCATTGGTGAAAGTAAAAGTTAATAATAATAACAATAATAATAATAGATTGATACTTCAAATTACTGAAATAAACTTCGACCTAGAAAAATACAAATTATAATTTAAATAAGTGTTAAGGAAAGATATTTACAGACAAAATCCAGTAGAGTTTCCCACCTACCAATTTTCTTACTAGAGAAAAATGTAAAGGATCTACATCAAAAGGAAGAAAAGTGAGTCAAAGTTTTAATAAAAGAAGAGGCCCTGCACAGTGGCTCATGCCTGTAATCTGAGCACTTTGGGACGCCGAGGCGAGCAGATGACTTGAGGTCAGGAGTTTGAGACCAGCCTGGCCAACATGGTGAAACCCCTTCTCTACTAAAAATACAAAAAAATTAGCCAGGCTTGGTGGTGTACACCTATAGTCCTAGCTACTCAGGAGGCTGAGGCACAATAGCCTGAAACTGGGAGGCACAGGTTGCAATGAGCTGAGACCCCACCACTGCACTCCAGCCAAGGCAACAGAGTGAGACTGTCTCAAAAAAAAAAAAAAAAAAAAGAAGAAGAAGAAATAAAGGGCATAAAAATGACAAATGTCAGCAAATATAATTAAACTTTATAAAAATAATCATTATGTTTTCCTTGCGGAGTTAAATAAAAATACATTTAAAATCCTGCAACACACACACCTTTAAGTCAGGAAACAGGAGGTAAAGATATTAATTTGAGATAAATTAAGTGTGTACTTTTAATTTCTGCAGTAACCATTAAATTAATAAAGTATATAGCTACTAAAGGAATTCATGAATAAAACAAGAAATGACAAAAAAAAAAGCCAATCCAAAAGAAGACAACAGAGGAGAGGAAGGAGAAATAGAATATGTTGCACAAGCTTTCTGATTATAGTAATAATGGACTAGGTAATGAAGGACAGTTCATCTGTTGAGAAGTAGAAAAACTGAAAATTATATAAACATATCTGCTCAAGACATTAAAGGATTAAAATGGTACTACCGAATCATACGGTTAAGATTCAAAAGTGAGAAGATCACATCTTTCAGGATATCTAGTAATCCTCAGAAAGAAAGCTTACAAACCTAGGAGGTCACAATTTGGCTTCTAGGGCCCTCTTCATCAGAGTAGACCTAAGAAACCCCTACCTTACTTTTGGTTGGGATCAGCATGCACTATCCCTTAAGAGTAAGAATCATTCAAATACAGAAAGGGTTCTGAGGGCCTGAAGCTAAACTTCAAATAATCTCAATACCAATGTATAGATTCAACTACACAGAGATTGCCCTAAGTAAAAACTAAGGACCTCTAGAGGAAAATAATAATATACTAGCCTCTAATTGGTTCCACAATTTTATTTTTTCATAGTATTCTCTGTCTGCCAAATAATAAAAAATAAGCAAGAAAATAACACTAAGTGACCAAAAATAAAGAAAAACAACAAGTAATAGAAACTACCCACTGGAAATCCAGATAATGAAGTTACCAGACACAGAATATAAAAAAACTTTGCTGAACACGTTAAATAAAAGTTAAAATTAAATACCTGAATACTAGATACTATAAAAATGCAAATTGAATGTCAAGTAAAAAAAAAAACAAGTAAAAATTCTAAAACCAAAAACTACAACAACTGCAAACAACACTTTCATGGATAGATTGAACATTATATTAGATGTGCTTGAAGGACTAGGAAACTGTAAATTGAGTTAAAAGAAAATATCCAGAGAAATACATGGAGACAAATGAAATATACAATAATTTTGAGTATAATTATAAAAAATATACATATATAAGAAAAGTATAGGACATACATCTCATATAAAAGACATTAAATATATTATGCCCTCTATATTACATTAAATATATATTGTTACATATAATAATTATATCTGTTAACATATATTAAATCATAAAAACATGTGTATTTGGAATTTTTCAACATTGAATACAGACACTGAGCCACAGATTTAGGAGGCACAATGAATTCAGACAGAGTGAATATTAAGGTAACCAAAATGGACAAAGAAAAAAATCTCAAAAATGGAAAAAGAAAATTATATTTCAAGGATCAACTTAAGCCAGGAAAGCTAGAATACAATAAAATATATTTACAATGCAAAAATTGCAATACAAATGGTAAGTCTATACCTCAAATAGACACACACACGTACGTATATGTATTTGTGGGTACGTGTGTGCGCGTGTGTATTAAAAACATACTTAAGCATATAATATCTGAAGAATTCATCACCAGCAGACCTACAATAAAGGAAATACTAATAGATATTCTTTGGGCAGAAGGAACATTGTAGATGAAAGACAAAATAAAGAGCAATGGAAAGTTTATACTATATTATTACATAATAATACTACCATTGGTATAGTCATCTTTTCTATAGTAACCTAAAAGAATAGAAAAATAATATGTAGCTGGTAAATATAAGAGGAAAAAATGAAATAATTTAAAACCTCAGTCAAACCAAATAAGGGCAAAAAGAAAAAAGCAGGCAGAATGAACAGAATAAAAAATAGTAAGATGGTTTAATCTCAAATACATCAATGATTATATGAAATTAATGATATAACTAATTAATTGCTAAGGACTAATGGCTACAAATCAAAGCTAGAGTTTGTAAGCCAGTCCAGATAAAGCAATAACAAAATCAACAAATTTTCGTGTTACAAAAAAGAGACAAACTGGAAACAAAATTTGTAGACATATTTTAAGTAAAAAGATAGAGGCTGGGCATGGTGGCAGCTCTTACACCTGTAATCCCAGCACTTTGGGAGGTGGAGGCAGGCGGACCCCAAGGTCAGGAGTTCGAGACCAGTCTGGCCAACATGGTGAAACCCCGTCTCTACTAAAAATACAAAAAATTAGCCGGGCATGGTGGTGAGCGCCTGTAATATCCCATCTACCCAAGAGGCTGAGGCAACAGAATTGCTTGAACCCGGGAGGCGGAGCTTGCAGTAAGCCGAGACAGAGTGAGACTCCATCTCAAAAAAAAAAAAAAAAAAAAAAAGATAAAGATACATCATGTGAACACTAAACTAGTGGTTCTCAAAGTGTGGTCCAGAGACCTCCCAGAGATGCTTTTAAAGATTCTGTAAAGTCAGTACTGCTTTCATAATAATTCCAAAATGCTATTTGGTTTTTCACTCTCATTTGGTCAAGAGAGTATAGTGGAGTTTTCCAGAGGCTACATGACTTGTGATATTATAGCAAATTGACTGCAGAGGCAAATATGAGAACCCAGATGTCTTGTGTTAAGTCAGACATTAAAGAGATTTACAAAAATGTGTAACAACACCCTTCTTCCCAGTATAACTCTTTGTTTAGAAAACAGAATTAACATTTATAAAATTTTTGTGAATCCAAAAGTTTTATTATTTGAAATTCTAAATGAATTAATAAAACGTAAAAAAATTTTTTTTCGACTACTTGGCAATATTGCTAGACATAACCCATACAAATAAGTTATTTGAGAGAGGTCCTCAATAATTTCTGAGAATGTAAAACAGTCCTGCATCTAAAATAAAGCTCGTTTAATTATATAAGACACAGAAGACTAAAGCAGAAAGCTTTACTACCTATGAAAAGAGACGTTTTAAAATGATGAAACTGGTCAATTTAACAGAAACATGTAACAGTTATAAATTTGCAGGCACCAAATAGCATGCCCTCAAAAACATTTAAAGTAAAAAAATATATAAGAATAAAAAGATTGAACTACAATAATCATGAAGTCATTGCTAATATTATCAGTACCACACTTAATCAACAGGCAGGTGGCATAACAAAAATATATAGGTTCTGAAGTAGGCTGTCCTGAGTTGTAAAAAACAAGCCTACTCCCAAACTAGCTATTTGAAGGTAGACAAGTGACTTAACTTCTCTGAGCTTTAGCTTTTTTATTTATAGAGTGAGGGTAACTTCACCTCATTATGAGGATTAAAAATAATATTATACAGGATTTTCACAAGATAGCTACTAAAAATGATAGCTATTATTATTTCCCAATAATTATTCTTAATAAAACAAGGAGTTTAAAACTATAAATTTGTGGTGACCAAATAAGGCTTCAGAGAGGGCTGAATTTTGAGTCAAACATTAAAGGAGAAACAATATTAATATACATTCCAAAAACTCTATTCACAACTGATTAAACAGTAATCGATTCCATAAATGCACTTGGATGGAAGGGGTGGGCGGGTTCTAGATGTAAATGAAGTTAGAGTAAGTTGCTACCCTTTGTCTTTAATCAATTTTTTTTTTTTTTGAGACAGGGTCTCGTTCTGGTGCCCAGGTTGGAGTGCATTGGTGTGATCTCGGCTTACTACAGCCTTGATCCCCCAAGCTCAAGTGATTCTCCCATCTCAGCCTCCCAAGTAGCTGGAGCTACAAGCATGCACCAGCCCACCTGGCTTATTTTTTGTTTATTTTATTTTTTTATTTTTAGTAGAAATGAGGTCTCACTATGTTGCCCAGGCTGGTCTCCAACTCGTGAGCTCAAGCCATCTGCCCAGCTTGGCCTCCCAAAGTGCTGTGAATACAGGTGTAAGCCACCATGTGCTGTGATTACAGGTGTAAGCCACCATGCCTGTCCTAATTTTACAAATTCTTTAATGTCAAATAAAGGCTGACAACTGAGTAAAATAAACTTATAGCAAGTCCTATCTTAGGATACCATTAATTCCTTAACACCTCTAAGAAAATTATTCTTTCCCAGATAAAATATCCAATATTTCTTCCCCTGCCCTATTCAAAATAAAACAAACAATAGCCACAAAAATATTAAAGAGCCTTTTCAAAGGACTTAAATATAATACAAATAAAGACTTGCTTAAATATTGTTTAGCTTACTGGTTAAATATATTCTTTTAACAGCTCTTTTAAAGTTTCCTAGATCTCACAAAATAAAACTTAAGTCAAGTGTGTTTACTCTTCAAAGGGCTCATGCCCATGGCAAAATTAACTTTTGGCCATACTTTCTACAAATATCTATTTCAAATAATTCTTCCCACAGAAATGAGCCAATGGTCTAATAAAACATTCCTGCCACAGGGGAGAAAATTCTGTAAGGAACAGCAAAATTAAAAATGTTAAATTAGGCTGGAGGTTTTTCACTGAAGATCAACCTCCTTCAGCTGTTCACTGATTGCCATGTCTGATGGTTTTTCATTCACACATACAAATATACAAAGTTGCACTTGAGACTTTTTAATTTTAGTGCAAAAGTACTTCAGGATTATACATGTTGTATAGAAAGAGTAATACTGAAACAGGAATCAGGAAACTTGGATCCCAGCCCTACCTCTGCCATGAGTTAGATGAAAACTATGTGGGTGTTTTTTCATCTGTAAACTAAGCAGCCTAGACTGGCGAGATACCTAAGATCCCTTTCAGCTTTACACTAAGCATTGTGTTGCCCTTCAAAACTAACAAGTAAGCTAGCACCATCTAGTGGACTCCAAAAAAAAAAAAAATCACTGAATAGGTAATAGTGAAAAAGATTCTTATAAGCAAAATGTCTAGAGTTCTTACTTTATTTTTCCTCCCAATGATTCAAAGACAATATTTGAAAGCAAGAATTATTCCAAGCACTATGAGCCACGACACAGCAATCAAGCCTATGTGAAAATGTTAAATTATTTCCATATCTTTCATATTTACAATACTAGTGGGCAATTTTCCAGAAAGCAGTATTATCTAGAAAATAAAGAAGGAAAAAAACTCTTAGTATCTCTACTATTTACATGATAATTTTTAGGAATATATGATGTGAAATTTATAAATTGGCAAATATATTGCTTAAATTAAAGAAATATTTTTTCAGATTAAAGTTTTCCTAAACAGAAACAGATACATCATGAACAAGAATATAAAAATGATCATTTACTCTTACATGTTAACATTATATTTATTTTTATTTTTATTCAATATTTAATAAAAGAAATAACTTATTCCAATTCCATATATATAGAGAAAATGTATATCACTATGATATTAAAGTCAAGAGAGTCGTTTGTTTTGTGTGGAAAAAGTCAAGATAATCATTTATTTTGTTTATTGCTACATCCCCAGAAATATTTCAGTGCTGAAAAAGCGCTTATACATATAGGTACTCAATAAATTTATTTTGAAAAAATGTCAAAATCATTACATTTGTTCAGCATAAAGAGTTTTAATGTAGTATAAAAATAGTAGTAATCTTAATTATGAAATGTATATTTATTTAAAAAGTAGAAGAATAGAAGAATAAGGTAATTTAAAAATTAGGCACTAGAGATAGACTGCTGAGTTTCAAATCCTGTCTCTATCATTTACTAGCTGTGTAATTTTAGATAATCTACTTTACTTCTTTGTGTCTCAGTTTTCTTATCTGGTGGGGTCAGAATTTTTTTTTTTGTTTTTGAGACAAGGTTTCTCTTTATCACCCAGCCTGGAGTGCAGTGGCATGATCACAGTTCACTGCAGTCTCATGAGTTCCTCTCAACTCAGCCTCCCGAGTAGCTGGGAATGCAGGAGCATGCCACCATACTCAGTGATACAGTTTGGATATTTGTCCCTGTCCAGATCTCATGTGGAATTCTAATCCTCAATGCTGGAGGTGGGGCCTGCTGGGAGGTGTTTGGATCATGATTGGGGTAGGGGGGATCCATCAGGGCTTGGTGCTGTCTTGGAGATAGAGTTCTCACAAGATCTGGTTATTTAAAAGTGTATGGCAATATCCCCACCACCACCACATTCTGTCTCCCTTGCTCCTGCTTTTGCTTGCAACTTGCCTGCGCCAGCTTCGCCTCCTGCCATGATTGTAAGTTTCCTGAGGCCTCTCTAGAAGCCAAGCAGATGTCAGTACCATGCTTCCTGTAAAGCCTGCAGAACCATGAGCCAATTAAACCTCTTTTCTTTTACCTAGTCTTGGGTATTTCTTTATAGGAAGGCATAAATGGCCTAATACACCTAGCTAATAAAAAAAAATTGTAGAGGCAGGGCCCCACTATGTTGCCCAGTTTGGTCTTGAACTCCTGGCCTTAAGTGATCCTCCCTCTTCAGCCTCCCAAAGTGCTAGGATTATAAGCGTGAGCCACTGTGCCCAGCCGAAAATATTTAATAGTACCTAACTCATGCCAGTGATGTGAAAAGCAAATGAGTTAATTTGTATAAAGCACTTAAATACCTATTGGTAAGAAAGCTATCTATTACTGTATAACACTTAATTGTATTTTTATGTAAATAAAATGTAAAAAATAACTTTTTTCAAATATGGATTTATTCAAAATTAATTTAGTTTCAAAATTTTCTGCTAGAAAGTCAATGAAATTCAACATAAAATAAGAGAAATAAAGACAACTAGATTTTAAGTTATAAATCCCATTTTTCATTTGCTTTGGCTATTCTTACTTTAAAAACTAACTGAAAAATACTGACTCAAAGGACTAAAGGTTTTCCATGAACCATTTTATAAACTTTAACAATCATGTGGCAACATTCATTCAATATATTTTTTGCCACATCTCATATAGAAAACACAGTTTTACCAATTTTGCCTTAAATTTACTTATGGGAAATTTCAAACAAAGGACAACATGAAAGATTTTCTTATTTAAAATTGGTCATAAAATAGAGAGTAGAAGGATGTTACCAGAAGCTGGGAAAGTTAGTAAGGGGCTGGGAGGAGTTGGGGATGCTTGCTTAATGTATATATATATAAAAAAAACAGAATGAATGAATAAGACCTACTATCTGATAGCACAACAGCATGATAGTTAATAATAACTTAATTTTACATTTTAATATAACTAAAAGATTGTAATTTGTTTGTAGAAACAAAGGATAAATCTTTGAGGGGATAGATACCCCATTTTCCATGATATGATTATTTCACATTGCATGCCTATGTCAAAACATCACATTATCCCATAAATATATACACCTACCATGTACCCACAAAAATAAAAATTAAAAAATAAAATAAAACTGGTATGAATATTTCACGTTATATTTTTGTTTTTACAATTGCATAGTTTAATTAGAATGGAAAACATTCATAACTAATTTCAAATAAATTGCCTTAAAAAGATTGATACATTCACTATTCTCATTCACTTAAATGCAAATAGTATCAACCAAATAAATATGTACATTAATATTTTCTAATAAAAAGAATACAGTTAACATTACATATTAACTACTGTGATAACTATAGCACAGTAAGAATTAGAAACAAATTAAACTTGAAACTACCAATGTGAAATATTGTGGTATTGCTTCCAATTTTATTTCACCTCCTTAAGAAATATTATAGCATGGAATAGTAACTCACTAACTTACAAACACAAATCTATCTTTGTCTCCCTTCATAAGAGTTCTTAGCATCAATATATCACTGAAAGACAAAATCTATGCTTTTCACTTAGCTCAACCAGAATCTCTAAGCATTTCCTGAAGATGAAAAACAGACTCCAACTGCTCTTCAGAAAATCTACTTTCTCATGTATACTATTCTCACACTCAATAAATACAGTGTTTTCATTGTACCCAACAGACACCAAAGAAGTCTTTTACCTTGTTTGCTCTGTACTGCATGCACAGAGATATCTCAGGTTTATCAATTAATACTATGGCAGTTTTCACATAAATCTTGCTGATATCCTATGCCAGGAAATCCACTACTTACCAAAAAAATTCGTACAGCACTGCTGGCAATGAAAATGAAGTAAACGGGAATTCAAGCATTTCTTTTTTTACAAACAGCCTTTCTTTTCTTTTTAAAGTTTGCTTCAGTGTGTGCCAATATAGTAACATACATTATCAATGCACTTGCCTTCACTCCAACAACAACAAAATTATTTTAAACTAAAATTTTAAAGTAAAAATATTTGTGTCAAAACTATCAGCATTTCCATATGGAAGAAGTCATAGTAATCCAAAGCAGGCAGCACAAGAACGCAGGCAAATAAACACATTAAAGCATGTTATATGTTATATTTTCAAAAGTATGCCTTGAAATGTTTGCAAAATAAAGCTTATTTTGTGAAAACAGCTATATTTTACCTATATTTAAAAAAATAAAGGAGATGATGGTGACTGCCTAGATCCAACCCTCCCCATACCTCCTCTAGAAATCCATAAAGAGTAACAAAATAAAAAATAAACACAACTTACAATTCCAGTATAAGTGGGAGATAAGGAAATTACAATCTGAATTTTTTGTAAGTGAGGTAATAGGTATCCAGGACCAACATAATCCAGTTGGAATCCAGACTTGTGCCAGGGATAAGTAAGAAGTGGAGGTGCCCAAGTGATGGCAGAACCCTGCATTGTCAACAAGTTTTTCTTCCAGAAAGAAGGAATATCCTGAGTAGGATGACAGAATTAAGACCAAATATATAAGACGAATTAATAAATGCAAGTGGTTATAGCTTATATGAGAAAAAAATTTAAACCTGGAGCAAAAAATAAAACCTAAATCTATACTGTATAAAAATAAATGTCTAAACTTGATTCAAAAGGTTAAAAATAAAAAAGATGGCCAGGTAGGCAAACAAAAATAAAAATAAACCATATCGGACAAGGTAGAATTTAGTTTCAAAGGCATTAAAGAGAGAATGAAAAAAACATAATAGTCAAAGCTAAAATTTACGAAAAAGATAAGACATTTATAAAATTGCACGGCAGTAACATTCACAAAACAGAAACCAAAGGATTTACCAAAAAAAAAAAGGCTGATTAACGACAAATCAATAACAAGCAAATTCACAGGCAACTTCCTCAGTCCAAAGTAAATCAAGCAAACAGATCACCTTTAAAAAAATTATCAGTAAGGTAGATCTTACACATGCAAAATAAACTCTTTATCCCAATAATAAAAAACCCTGCCTCCTTTTCAAGTACACCTAAAACATTCATGAAAATTGACCACATATTAGATTAGCAAGACAGCCAAAATAAGTTCCAAAAACAGAAATAGCATAAAAATTATTCTCTGGCTATAAAGCAATAAAACTGAAAAGAATCACCAAAAAAAATGACCTTTCTATATGGAAATTTTAAATCTAAGGTAAAACATTTTTAAAAACCCTAAAATTATGAAAATGATGAAAATATCTACATGTCACAAGTTACAGAATAAGCATTGCTCAGAGGAAAATCTATAGATTTAAGTATGTCAATACGATTGAAAAAATTTAAAAATAATTGTATGAAATATTTAACTCAAAATAGAAAAGAACAGCATAATAAACAGAAAAGAAAAAGCCAAGAAACTAGTATTACCATGCATTTGTGGTAAAAGTACTAAATGGCAATGATATGGTTTGGTTGTGTCCCCACCCATATCTCACCTTGAATTGTAATAATCCCCACACGTCAAGGGCAGGCCAGGTGGAGATAACTGAATCATGGGAGAAGTTTCCTCCATACTGTTTTTGTGGTAGTGAATAAGTCTCACAAGATCTGATGGTTTTAAAAATGGGAGTTCCCCTGCACAAGCCCTTTGGCCTGCCACCATGTAAGACATCCCTTTGCTCTTGCATTGTCTTCCTCCATGATTTTGAGGCCCCAGCCGTGTGGAACTGTGAGTCTATTAAACCTCTTTCCTTTATAAATCACCCATTCTCGGCTATGTCTTTATCAGCAGCATGAGAATAGGCACAATATATATAAAGGGAGTCTGACACTATCTTCCTAATTATAGGTATCTTTTGACCCATTGATACAAATTGCAGGAAATTAACCTGAAGATATATCTGATCAAATATGAAATTAAATAGGTGTCATATTCATTATGGTAATATGGAAGATTGGAAACCATTCAATATCCATCAGCAAGGCAAAAATAGGAAAACTCTGCTCATTTCACACAATAGAATATTAAGTAGCTATGGAAAAATAATTATAAGTTCCATAATATGTTGTTAAGTAAAAAAAGCAAGACAAAGAACAGTACTTAAAATATGCTACATTTTGTGAGAGGATTAGCATACATAACATGTATTTCCTTAGATACGTGCATATATATAGATGCACACATATATATGTTTTACGTATTATATATGTACATATTATACAAAAATTCCACATATAAGAGTAAATGCGAGAGAAGAGTGAAAAGGATGGACTAATGCACAATATCTTGAGTATGCTTTTTTAATGTAGTTTTCATCTTGGAATCATGAATCTGTGTTACATATAAAAGTTAAACACAATCAAATGGGAAAAGTGAATTAATTTATCAAATTAATTTAGCAAACTAAATTATCAATTTATAATCTAATCCCAAAGATAAACTATTTCAAATGATTTTATAACATACTATTTTAATCATATCTGTTTGGGATAGTGCAAGGACAAAAAATGTAAATAAATCTTAAAATTAGTAAGCTATATTATAAATAGTAATAGTGGCATTGTTGTTTTGAAGCTATTTTATGGATAAGATATGGCACGTGGTTATATTAATGTTGCCATAAACCAAGGAATATAGTGGAAGAAAAAATGAATACAGCTATAAGTCTAAAGCATATTTGCTATCCTCAATTCAAGTTCACAATACAAAACAATTAGAGTATCAAAACGAATAACAGAGCAACTGACTGAAATATTCTGAGCTGTAAAAATGTATATTTTCATAAGAATATTGAGAGAGAGAGAGAAAGGTAGAACAAGTAGTAAAACAAACTAAACAAACAAACAAAAAACAAGTTGGCACCACTGAAAGTAACTAGAGTCACTAAGACTTTAAGAATTTCTCCATACAATAGTAAGCATTTAGCCCTGTCATTCTGCTACAAACCATTTCAGGATAACAAAATAGTTCTAATTGATTAAAGAATTCCAGCTTAAAGGCTGTGGAAGAAATGATCAAATAGAAAATTCACAAATCACATCCTCTGCTGCATTAATTGATCCAGGTCATATTAATTAACGGATGAACATTAGATGAAAGGTTGATGGCGAGCTTTATAATGGAGCGTTTAGGCTATCATCAGCTACACCAAACACTCAAGTGTAGCATCACTAAAAGTAAATCGTCAAATACTGTATGACTGCGGATGCAATCAAATATAAAGCACAGAACACCACCTATGAAGAATTCCCGCCAAAGCAGCTTACTTTTTAACTTAATCAAACCGTTTTTAACTAACTTCAATTTATAGAAAATACAGAGCTTATGGTTTTAGGTCTAACATTTAAGTCTTTAATCCATCTTGAAGAAAACCTAGGCAATACCATTCAGGACATAGGCATGGGCAAGGACTTCATGTCTAAAACACCAAAAGCAATGGCAACAAAAGCCAAAATTGACAAATGGGATCTAATTAAACTAAAGAGCTTCTGCACAGCAAAAGAAACTACCATCAGAGTGAACAGGCAACCTACAGAATGGGAGAAAATGTTTGCAACCTACTCATCTGACAAAGGGCTAATATCCAGAATCTACAATGAACTCCAACAAACTCACAAGAAAAAAACAAACAACCCCATCAAAAAGTAGGCGAAGGATATGAAGACACTTGTCAAAAGAAGACATTTATGCAGCCAAAAAACACATGAAAAAATGTTCATCATCACTGGCCATCAGAGAAATGCAAATCAAAATCACAATGAGATACCATCTCACACCAGTTAGAATGGCAATCATTAAAAAGTCAGGAAACAACAAGTGCTGGAGAGGATGTGGAGAAATAGGAACACTTTTACACTGTTGGTGGGACTGTAAACTAGTTCAACCATTGTGGAAGTCAGCGTGGCGATTCCTCAGGGATCTAGAACTAGAAATACCGTTTGACCCAGCCATCCCATTACTAGGAATATACCCAAAGGATTATAAATCATGCTGTTATAAAGACACATGCACATGTATGTTTATTGCGGCACTATTCACAATAGCAAAGACTTGGAACCAACCTAAATGTACAACAACGATAGACTGGATTAAGAAAATGTGGCACATATACACCATGGAATACTATGCAGCCATAAAAAATGATGGGTTCATGTCCTTTGTGGGGACATGGATGAAACTGGAAACCATCATTCTCAGCAAACTATCACAAGGACGAAAAACCAAACACCGCATGTTCTCACTCACAGGTGGGAATTGAACAATGAGAACACATGGACACAGGGTGGGGAACATCACATACCGGGGACTGTTGTGAGGTGGGGGGAGGGGGGAGGGATAGCATTAGGAGGTATACCTAATGCTAAATGACGAGTTAATGGGTGCAGCACACCAACATGGCACATGTATACATATGTAACAAACCTGCACGTTGTGCACATGTACCCTAAAACTTAAAGTATAATAATAATAAAATTAAATAAATAAATAAATAAATAAGAAAATACAGGGCTTAATGAAACAATTTCATTGAAACTAAAAAAAGTAAATGGACAAAGCCTGAGGCAGGACATTCTGTAAGACAATTCACACAGGTTCTGCAACAAATCAACGGAATGGGAAAAAAAAAAAGCCGTGAGGACTGCTGCAGATTTAAAGGGACTTCAAAGACCTAGATAAATGTAATATATACTCATTGATGTTATGATTCCAATAAACCCAGACACTTAGAAAATCAGAAAAATTTGATTACGTGCTATCAGTTGATACAAGGATTCATTATTAATTCCATTAGGTGTTATAATGCAATGGGGTTAAGTAAGAGACGGCCATATTATTCAAAACTGTCTCCTGAAGTATGAAGGAATGGAATTACATGGTCTGGGGATCTCCTTTATGAAAGAAAAAAATGAAATCAAAACCCCAAAAAAGTAAAGATGAAGCAAATGTTTAATATAACTAATGGTTATATGGAATTTCTATGTATTATTGTACATTTATAAATGTTTGAAATTTTCCACAATAAAAGAAGAAAAAACAAAATATACACAAACAAGCAAAACTAATAGTATAACCAGGACTAGACACAGAAATTAAGCTTATTTCTATTCCTCTATCTACACCCTTTCTACTCTGATATTTCAGTCTAGATTAAACTTTCCAATGATTATAGGACTGAAAAGGTGGACAGTATGGTATCCTCTGGGAGCCCAGTATTTCAGCCATCTGTCCCATATCAAAGTAAAATTTTAATCCAGTTCCCAACTTTTTGGCGATACTCGATTGTTCATTAACCATTATTAAGCCTCTACCAAGGCCCTTGAGAATTTCATCATGAATTAAATAATAAAAAACAATAGAAGAAATCAAGCCAGGAGGTGAATAATACAATTTTTATTTCAGCATCATCACGCTGGCAATAATGCAGAAGTAACCTGAGTCGCATTTCAGTGGGTAGAAGAGGGAAGTTGGGTGATAAGAGGTAAAAGCAAACACAAAACATTCTTTCTTTCCCGAAACTTGACAATAAAGGGGAAGAAGAGATGGGAGGCAATGACAGAACTCAATGTGAGGTAAGAGGAAAGGTTTTCTTTTTTTTCATTTTCTCTTTTGTTTTAATTTCATTTAGAAATGTGAGAGAAAGGACACAGCAATAGAAACACTTTGACAGAAGGCTGATGTAAAATAATGGAGTAAGGTCCTGACGGGCTGATGGGAATATTTATAGAAAATAGGACTGGTTGACTGTAGTGGTACATGTCTGTAGTCTCAGTACTCGGGAAACTGAGGTGGGCAAATCTGTTGAGTCCAGGAGTTCGAGACAAGCCTGGGCAACATAGCAAGACCATATCAAAAATATAAATAAATAAATAAAAAATAAAAGATAAAAGTTGGGTCCACAAAAAAATTGCTAAAACAAAAAATAAAAGGACTGGTCCTTAAGTAAGAAAAGAGATTTTCATTGCTACCTATACAAATTATAAGATATAAGGAAGGAAGTCAATATAGTTACATGTAGATATAGCTCTGGAGGGACTGAGAAGTTTAGGGAGATGCAGCCTGATGAATCTTTCATGTGGTTTTAGCAACTTTATCTAAAGAAGGAAAGATAAGTCCAAGTGATGTATGTAGCTAATGAGAGTGGTGATGAAAAAGGTTTACCAGCAAATAGTTACAACAATTGCTGAGGCATTTGGGAAGCAGATGATCCATAAAAATATCATGGCACAATATCAAGTTGTTATATTCCCATAGAGCTCAAATTACTATTGGTTGTAGGAAAAGAAACAGAGAAGTAAATATACTAACTGCTAAGAACTACAGAGTTGCCAGTGGTGGGAGAGCATATTCCTTTTATAGACATTAAAAGTAATTTTATTTTTTTAATCTAAATTTTAAAAGTATAACATAAATAAAATATGCAGATTTGTGATGGTGGCCTACTCCTAAAAAGGAATAAATAAAACACAATAAATTATGAGAAATATATCTTTAAATATTAAAATTTCATTGTTCTTACCAATTCGAGTAATTTTATTATATGAAAGTTCAAGACACTGAATATTAGTACAGCCATCCAAACCATGAAGAGAAGTCAGTTGATTTTTATTAAGAAGAACAACACAGAGATTTTCCAAATTTTCACACTCAATAGCCTCAATATGGTTTTCCTGAAGCAAAGAACAAATGTAATTAGTTTTATTTCAATGGCTTATTAATGAACTATTTAAAGCTTTCAAAAAGAGGAAAGAAAGATGAGATAGGATCTCCAAATTAATATCTGAATCTTTAACTTCTAAGATAACCCTGCAAACTGTTATACTATTTGGATGAAAATATTAGGTAAACTAATAAATAATTAATTTTTAATATATTAAATATTATTGTTTTAAAATACAGAAAATACAGAGGATAACAAGTATTTTAAACAATATAAATTTTAAAAAGTTAATATATTGTCATTCTTGTCTCTCTCATCTTGAATGAGAACGGCTATTGTTGTTAATCAGGCCCTGTCTCACCATTGTATGTGGGGTGGCAGTAGATAATTTTTAATTTTAGATTGCAGATATCTGAGTTGAGAGGGCTTCACCTCAGTGGATGCATCCAAGGAACTGGACCTGGTGAGCCTCATCTCCACCTGGATCTGATTTAGATGAGAAAAGCCTGTGCTTTGAGCTTGAGCCTGATGCCTTAAGTTAATGATACTTTGGTGTATTTGGGATATGAATGTATTTTGCATGTGGGAAAGATGTGAATCATTATAAGCCAGAGGATAGATTTTAATAGACTGTTACCTTGGTAGCTCCCAGTACACATCAGAAACCAATATTCGCATATCCATATGGTCCCCTTCCACATGACCTCAGGGCTTAGCCAATAAAACATTAGCCAACATGATGTAAGCAGATGTTTTATAAGCACTTGCATACTGCAGCATGTCTTTTAGGAACACTCACTCTTCAGATCCTGCTCTTGAGTAATACCCTATAAGCACCCTGGAAAGAAGCCCCAGATAACTAGAGAGATTCCCATCTTCCGGACAATCCTGCCAAGGCAGCAGACATATAAGGTAAGTGATTTAGGACATTCTAGCTCTAGCTTCCATCTCACTGCAGTTACATAAGAGACCCAGTAAATATAATAGAAATCAGAAAAAATGCCCAGCCAAGTTTAGTCAAATTAATGGCCCACAGACCCATGAACAAATAGGATGGTTGTTGGTTTAAACTACTAAGTAATATAATCATTTGTTGTGCAGCAAAAGTAATGAAAACAATAACCATATTAGCTACAAAAAGAGATAGGTCATTTTAGGTTGTATCATCCAATAAACTTCCCTCTCTGCTTCTCAAAACTTTACCATACCACCTGATCTCTTCAGGCTCTGAGTTACAGGTTAGTTTAGTAATTGTTTCTTCAAAAGGGTCATTTCTGAAATGTAAACATAAATCCATTTTATATTTTATTATAAAATAAATAACAGTAGGGCAGAGAGCATACCTGTGCATCAATGTACTTAAGTTTTTTACAATTACTCAGGCTGTGCAAAGAAGTTAATCCACAGCGTCGAAGGGATAGAAACTGAAGATTTGTACACTCTGCCAGTGTGGAGAGAACACAGCCTGGCAAATCTTGAAATGTAACTGTTGTAACCTAGAGGAACCAAGAAAATTGGAGTGTGTAGTGTTATTTAACAAAACTGAATATAAACAATATTAGCCTTACAAAACTGTTTAGAAAATTCATTTAAGAAAAGTAATACTATATGTTGAAGCCTACATTTATTAACAACTCAATTTGTTAAGCTATCTGGCCTCTTTTGTTCCCCACATACAAGGACAAAATATTGCAATCATCTATGACAAATTCAAGTCCAAAGGTAAGATACATAAAAGCAACAACATAATCATGTATTAGCTCACTCCCTGAGTTTTCAACAATTTTTGATTTTTAAAGTGGTATGGACTTCAAATTATACTACACAGCTGTAGTAATCAAAACAGCATGGTACTGGCATAAAAACAGACACACAGACCAATGAAACAGCACAGAGAACGCAAAAACAAATTCATACATCTACAGTTAACTCATTTTCGACAAAGGTGCCAAGAACATACATTGGAGAAAGGCCAGCCTCTTCAATAATGGTGCTGGAAAACACTGGATATCCATATGCAGAAAAATGAAACTAGACCCCCATCTCTTACCACACACAAAAATCAAATTAAAATAGATTAAACATACTTAAATCTAAGACCCCAAACTATGAAACTGATAATATATTTTTTTAATTGGGGAAACTCTCCAGGACACAGGACTGGGCAAATATTTCTTGAGTAATACCCTACAAACACAGGCAACCAAGGCAAAAATGGACAAATGGAATTACATCAAGTTAAAAAGCTTCTGTACAGCAAAGGAAACAATCAACAAAGTGGAGAGACAGTCCACAGAAAGGGAATAATACTTGCAAACTATCCATCTGACAAGGGATTAGTAACCGGAATATATAAGAAGCTCAAACAACTCAATAGGAAAAAGTCTCATAATCCAATCTAAAATGGGCAAAAGATCTGAATAGATATTTCTCAAGAAAATATATAAATGGCAAACAGTCATCTGAAAAGATGCTTATTATCACTGATCATCAGATAAATGTAAATCAAAACGACAATGAGATATCAACTCACCCCAGTTAAAATGGCTTATGTGCAAAAGTCAGGCAAATGCTGGAGAGGATGTGGAGAAAAGGGAACCTCTTACACTGTTGGTGGGAATGTGAATTAGTACAGCCACCGTGGAGAACAGTTTGGAGATTCCTCAAACAACTGAGCTACCATATGTTCCAGCAATACTGCTGCTAGGTATATAGCCGAAAGAAATGAAATCAGTATAATGAAGAGTTATCTGTACCCTCATTTTTACGGCAGTACTCTGCACAACAGTCAAGATTTAGAAGCAACCTAAGTGTTCATCAACAGAGAAATGAATAGAGAAAAAGTGGTACATATACACCATGGAGCACTATTCAGCCATCAAAAACAATGAGATCCTGCCATTTGCAACAATATAGATAAAATTGGAAGTCATTAAGTGAAATAAACCAGTACAGATAGACAAACTTTGCATATCCTCGCTTATTTGTGGGAACTAAAAATAAAACAATTGAACTCATAGGATTAGAAAGTCAAATGATGGTTACCAGAGGCTGGAATGGTAGTGGGGTGGGGTTGAGGGAAGTGGAGATGATGAATGGGTACAAAATATAATAAGATAAATGAATATGATCTAGTATTTGATAGCACAATAGGGTGACTAAAGTCAATAATAATTTATTGTACATTTTAAAATGACTAAGAGTATAACTGGATTATTTGTAACACAAAGAAAGGGTAAATACTTGAGATAATGGATACCCCATCTACTATAATGTGATTATTATGCATTGTATGCCTGAATCAAAATATATCATGTGTCCCATAAATATATATATACCTACTATGTACCCACAAAAGTTAAAAATTAGATTAAATAAAATCATTAGCTTTTGTAGGATTTTCATAGTTTGAGGTCTTCTATTTAAGTCTTTCATCTATCTTAAATTAATTTTTATGGGAAATACCCTTCTTTATGTCACCTTTGGCAAATAATGTATGGCTAAGTCCTCAAAAGCAATTGCAACAAAAAAAAAAAATTGACAAGTGGGGCCTAATTAAACTAGAGAGCTTCTGCACGGCTAGAGAAACTATTAAAAGAGTAAACAGACAACCTACAGAATGGGAAAAAAAATCTGTAGACTATGCACCGGACAAACATATAATATGCAGCATCTACAAGGAACTTAAATCAGCAAGTAAAAAGCAAATAACCCCATGAAGAAGTGGGCAAAGAACATGAACAGAGATGTTTTGAAAGAAGACATACACGTGGCCAACAAACATAAGAAAAAATGCTCAACACCACTACTCATCAGAGAAATGCAAATAAAAACCACAATGAGATACCATCTCACACCAATTAGAATGGCTTTTGCTAAAAAGTCAAAAAATAATAGATGTTGGTGAGGTTACAGAGAAAAGGGAACACCTGTTCATTGTTGGTAGAGATATAAATTAGTTAAGCCACTGTGGAAAGCGGTTTGGAGATTTTTCAAAGAACTAAGAGTTGAACCACCATTCAACCCACCTATCCCATTACTGGATATATATCAAAAGAAAAATAAACCATTCTACCAAAAAGACACATATATCGGTATGTTCATCGCAGCACCATTCACAATACCAAAGACATGGAATCAACCCAGATGCTCATCAACAGTGGATTAGATTAAAAAAAAAAAAGTAGTACATATATAGCCTGGAATAACATATAGCCATAAAAAATGAAATCATGCCTTTCGCAGCAACATGGTTGCAAGTGGAAACCACTATCCCAAGCCAACTAACACAGAAACAGAAAACCAAATACCACATATTCTCATTTATAAGTGGGAACTAAAAATTGGGTAAACAAGGACATAAAAATAGGAACAACAGACACTGGGGAAAACACGAAGTGGTGAAAGGAAGGGGACAAGAGTCGAAAAACTACCTACTGGGTACTATGCTCACTACCTGGGTGACAGGTTCAATCATGCTCCAAACTTCAGCATCATGCAATATACCTTTATAACAAAGCTGCATTTGTACCCTTGAACTTAAAGTAAAAGTTAAAAATCATTAGCTTGATAGGAATATTCTTGTGTATACCATACTTAAAATTATAAAAACATTATATTAAAATTGGAAGCACTATTATTTCAAAAAACACTGAAAAAGTACAAAATTTTAGAATGCAGTAACTCCTCTTTGTACGGAACATTTCCTGTGCATTAAATTGAACTAAAAGTTTTAAATTTACATATTTATGTAAGTAAATTGAAGGACCATGTGTTCATGGTGATATAAAGAAAGGAATTAGACCACTCCATTTTAAGTACCAAAAGCAATAATTAAAACTTCAGATAAATAAGACTTCTAGTTTCAAAATCATTTTAAGAATGTCTCAACTATTCATAATCTAAAGCAATTTTGAAACAAATTTATTTTTAATAATTTTTTCAGAAAGAAAATATACTCATCAATTTGTAGGGAGATAACTTCTATATACTGCCTAGTTAATCTGTAACAAACAGATATACATTCTGTAATTGGAAAACTGGCTCTACACTAAAAATGAAAACATTATTTAGAATTGAGCACTCAAGAATTGAAAATTCAACAATTACAGCTGTATAGTAACAAATGCTACTCAACATTATAATTTATATTATTCAGTGTGATTTAGTAACATGTTGCTTTCAATCAACTATACAAGCACAATTAAGTTCTAGTTATTTATGATGTGGCAATTTCTGTCCTTTAATCTTATTATAGTACAGAAGTAACTGCTACAGTATCCTTGTTAGTGGTATTTACTTTTGAATATGAGGAGCTTCCTATTTCCTCCTTTAATTGAAGCTCTTTTCATTGAACATTTAAAAAAAATCTTTATAGTATAGCAATATAGTCCCCTACTCGACCACAGATTTTTCCAAATACATGAGATCAAAATAAATTTTTGTATTAATTATGGATACATGTATGACAGGAGCCACATACATAAAACCACTTTATGCTTCGAAATTAAGGTCAATATAGAATTAGTAATCGTATGTGTTCATTACTGTATGGTCAACTAGAAAAACAGCAATTGGAGCATAATGGGTGTTGGGTAAATGTTTCTTAAAATAAATAAATGAATGAACTTCCCTAGCCTGTGGCAAAACTCAACTATATTTATAGCTCTCATACTTTACTTCCTTTTTCTTATAAAGAATTATGTAAAAACATTTGAAAAAGTTATACTTTCAGACTCTCATGACTTGAGAATGAACTATTCCACCTATAGAAGCTATGAAACTCTCATTATATTTTAATAACAGATTCCAAATCAATTTTCTACTTAATCATCTGTATTTTCCCAAATCCTTTACAGCCCATTGTAGATAAAATTCCCTAACTCAGCAACATACATTTAGAGATTTTATTCTCAATTATTCTTGAGTTCAACCTAAGAAGTGTCAGTCATCTATGGTAAACGTAATTACAAAAGTAATGCAAGCAACAAGTCTATTTTATTTTTTTTTTACTTTTTCAGAACATTTATTCAGTGGTCCAATCTCAAATCTATTTGGCAGGGAAAAATAATATTGTTTTAAAAATCAGCTGCAAAGGGACTGAGTCCAAGGTTTGATTAGTGGTTTGAATAAAACAGCTACAAAACAATTTCAGGTATGTCACCTATTATTCCAATAGCAGTTCATTACAATTTACTTTGTATAAGAGAAGTGAGACTTCTTGATCTAAAAGTTAATAAGCAGCTAAAATATTATTATTCACGTTATGGTATAAAGAAATATTTAAAAATCCTTAAGCTCAGTGCCCTTTTTTGTGGTGGTTATTACTTAATACAAGTTACCATTAGTAGCAAAATGCCAAAAATAAAAAATAGTTAAAACATTTAAAAATAAAAAATAAAAATATATTCATTACCCATAATTATTGCTCTTTAGTCTTCTCTTTTGAGATATTACTGCATATAACCCAATGGTCTAGTATTTTCAACTTTATAACTTTTTTGATGAAACGGGCTATTAAGCAGCCCTCGAAAACAATCCATTTGCCTTCTCTTTGCTTGCTTGAGACCCACATTTGACAAGTGGTATTAGAAGCCCTGGGCCATGTTCTTTACATACAGCATTTTAAAACTCAGTGATCCTATATAATAGATATTGCTGTTCCAGTTTGTGAAAGACAAAACTGAGGCTCATACAGGTCAAGCATTTGCATAAGGTGTCACAGCCATAAGTGGCAGAAATAAAATTAGAAACAGTCTTAACATAGAACTTAGTAGTCTAATAAGCTACACTTCAGTAATTTTACATTCATTTCCTCTTCAGTCAATATACTTTATCTAAACTGTGAAACTGGTAGTAATGAGGAGATAAGATTAACATTCAATTGCAGTTCTTTTTTTTAATTATACTTTAGGTTACATGTATACATGGGATACATGTGCAGAACATGCGGTTTTGTTATATAGGTATACACGTGCCACGTGCCATGGTGGTTTGCTGCACCCATCAACCCGTCCTCTACATTAAATATTTCGACTGGAATTCTTTATTCATCAATTGATTCATCCCCCCACTCATCCATCCTATAATCAGGTAATGAAAGTCATTACAGATAGTTCCTGACAAGAGATAGTTTAGCGTAGAATTTTTTTTAAATTTTATGATGGTGTGAGATCAATAGACATTTAGTTGAAACCATACTTCAAATTTTGAATTTTGATCTTTTCCCAAGCTAGCAATATAAAGTATGATCATTTCTCACAATGTCAGGCAACGGCAGGGAGCTGCATCTCCCAGTCAGTCACATGATCATGAGGGTAAACAACAAATACTCTACAGTGTACCACGTTGCCAGATGATTTTGCCCAGTTGTAAGCTATGTAGGTTTATCTGGATGTAACTTCATTGTAACTTGAGGAGTATCTTTATTTGCCTGGCAATGTGTAAAGAAGTATGAACAACACGAAGATCCGATTTATGTCTTGAAGTCTCAAAGTAAGAGATTAATGTAAGCAAAATGAATGCATTACTGGGAGACAATAAACTTTTCTAAGTTGATCTCCAGAAGGACATCCCAAGGATGGCAGTGAGTGATCAGGATAAGGATAAAGATCTGAAGCTAAAAGATCAGAAAGTCAAAAAGAAACTGAGCCATGGATCAGTAGTAACAGTGGTGAATAAAGACACCATGGTAAGCCATCTACCAAACAGAATCTTTACAGGAGTTGTCTGGTAACAAAAGATGATATTTTCTTAACATTTTAGCATCTATATGGCACATTCACATGTATTTTTCATCTTTATACTGCCTATTTGATGCTTCAAAGCTAAATTAAAAGCTTGAGATAGTTGCTTTAAGAAGGGATGAGAGGATTATGGTGCCCTTTAGAACACTGCTACTCAGATTAGTCCACTCACCAGCACCAACATCATCATTTAGAATCATTGCAAGAATGGAGAATGGGTGGATCACCAGACCTATTGAATCAGAATCCACATTTCTACAAAGCTTCAGGTATTCTATAGATTTTAATAGTTTGCCAGGCCTTGCTCTAAGAAGTAAAAGAAAGAGTTAATTATCATTTTATGTAAATTGACAAACGTTCGAAAGAAGGAACAGAGAGTCAGCTGGAGAAGAAATGCCAAGGAGAAAGAGGCTCACACATCTTAACTTCCTTCTCATTGGACAGAACAGAGACCTACAAAGCAAGGGAGGAACACTACTGTTTCTGTAACTTCATTTTCACTTTTGAAGCAAGTACACTGTAGGCATGAAGCCATCACTCTTGCCTAGCTTTAACAGATACTCATGAGGAAAACTAAATAATTGCTAATGTTATCATATTGGAAGGCCTGCAGCAATATGTTAGAGAAAGAAAAGTGCTAAAACATGATTCCAGAGATAACATGCGCAAGGAAAAAATTGGAGAAGAGCAGATGAGAGATTCTATATGTAGCTCTGCAGACCTGACAGATGTGGCAAATACATTACCCAGGAAATAAAAGACACTTAAAAGTGTATGTCCCAGTTCTCATCTCTTATATTGCTATTTCATATACCAGAAATATCTTCAAAATCCCACTATTTTATTATTCTCTCACAGGATACTCTGAAGCCTTATTTACAGCAATTCTCAAGATCCATAATAACGTATTTATGTGTGTTTAAGCTCCGTAAAAGACTGGGTTTTCTTTGTTTATTAGTCAACCAATAAATATTGATCATCTTATTGGATAGATGAATATTTGCTGAGTGAATAAACAAAATAATGTTTATCTATTAATATGATTGTTCTTTCTCCTAGGCATCTGTCTAGCAAGAAAGTCTATCAAGAAACTAAATAAACTTTATTGAATACTTTTGACTTTCAGGCCTTAGCTAAATATATGTATTTTAATCATAAGTGCTTTCTAGTGTTACACTGTTTAAAATATTATTTTCTCTTTTTCTATACGTTTATTAGTTTCTGTGTCTTAATTTTGGTTGAAACTATGTTCTCCATAACCATATAAAATTAGTAACATTTGATGACAACTATTTTACATTTCAGACATATATGCACCACCTTTAAATAGCACACGCTAAATAATTGTTGCTAGATGGGAATTCTAGGGTCTTCAGGGTCTTCTATCATGCAAGCCCTTCTTTCACAACAGTGGTCATGGACATAAAATCCACTTTATTCCAAAAGCAGCCACTAGGTGGTGTGGTGGCTCAAGTCTAAAGCAAACTTCTGTTTACTTAGGAGTTTCCTACTATAATTCTAACCCTAACTTTCTATATGCTTCCATTCTTAGAGGTTTAAATAATGACTGGAGGGCCCTTGAACACAGGCTTCAAGATATTAAAAAATATAAATCAAAGCTTTTTATAGAGTGTCACTTAGGGAAGATGCCTCGAACAATTTGTTGAGATATATCCCCTCCCAAATGGGGTAATATTTCATTCATAACTTTATTAAACAAGAGACAATTCTTGTATACAAAATATTTCTTTTTCTAAGATCTGAAAAGTTATACTTTAAAGAGCTAATTGTAATTAAATGTGAAAAATTATTATAAAATTAGAAATACCTGCTGTAAAGTATCCCAAGGGCCACATCGAAGAATTTCCAGTTTATCCAAAGCGGGTGTCATGTTGGCTGGGCATTTCACAGGTCTCTTTCTTCTAACAATTTTCTTTTGTTGATTTTGCTTGAAAATTTCAAGCCAAGGTTTAAATGATTTTATCCAGGCTAGTCTCCTTTCTTCAATAGAATATAGAAGGGTTGACTCTGATACACAGCAGGTCATGCTATCAGGTTCAGGTGCATTTTCATGGCATTTTTCTGAAATATTTCTAATCTCAGATTTAAGAGAGTTGACTTCTTTAGATACCATGGAGCTTTCTGCATTATAGTTACTCAAGCCCTCACAAGGAGCATGTCTACCTAACACATAATCTTGGTCATTTCTTTTGCCTTCTATATTTATCATGGTATCAGTTGTGTTAAAAATCACAATGCCACTATTCCAAGCATTGTCTTTTGGGTTCTCCTCAATTTCTTTGGATTTTGAATAAATTTCTTTTTCTTGTAATATTACGTTTTCTCTTACATCTTTGGAATTTTCTGATGTTAGTGAGAGTGATCTTTGTTTCACTGAAATAACTAAAGTATCCTTATCTTTATATAATAATCCATTCTGTTCTTGTATCTCTTCTTTTTCTACTTTTTGTATCTTTTTCTGCTGATTATCTTTGATTATTTTCTGCTCTTCATTGGTTTTCACCTCACTGATTTCTTGGTTATGTCCTAATATTATCTGGGTTTTTTGTCCTGTATTCTCATTTATGACATGTTTCATGATTTTTTCTTCTTTTTGTGCATCAGACTTTAATTCTTGCAATGGAAACTGTTCTTTCAGATTTCCTTTTAGATCAGAGTTTCCCAATTCAGTTTTGTTATCTGTATTTTCATATTTTCTTTCTTGCTTGACCAATTCTTCTGAACATCGTTTTTTTGCTAGGTTTTCATTTTTTTCTTCCATTTTAAAATCTGCCAGAATTGTTTGGCTTGATATAGATTCTTTTAACTTTACTTGTATTGATTCTTTTAATATAGTCTGTCTATCTACATTTTCTTTCATATTTGATTCCTCAACTAGCCAAAGGAGAACATCTTCCTGCTTCTTTGAATTTTCATCCACTAGATTTTTGGCTATATCACCCTTATCATTTGAAATATCTTCAAGACTTAAATGTTTGTTATTATATCCGCTCTTCTTTAATGCACTACTTATTATTAGCTGTTGGCTTGCATCTTCTCTTAATATTATTTTTTCCTTGCTTATTAGTTGCTCTCTTTCCTGTTTCACAATATTCTTTTTTTCTTCATATTCTTTTTCTCTCCTTTTCCTTTCCTCTTCCTTTTGCTTTTTTCTCTCTTCTTTTATCCTTTGTTCCTCCTCTAATCTTTTTCGATTTTCTTCCTCCTTTTGTCGTATTTTTGCTTCCTTTTCCTTCCACTCTTGTGCTTTCCTTTTCTTACTTTCAATTTGCTCTTTAATAATTGGGCCATATTTTTGATAGGCAACAAATGCTTTATATTTAGCTTGAATTTTAACAGCTGCATTATTCTGCTGTTTTAACAAAGAATTTTTTTCTTTTTCTTGTTGGTCTTTAAATCTTGTTCTTTCTTCTTCCATTTGTAAATGCAAGTTTCTAATATACTCCTAAAACAAAGTAAGATACATGGTAGTCAGCATAAACTAAACATGAGATGTTACTAAAATGTCATCTGAAATGTAGATTGAAAACAAATACTAAAACTGAAGTCTTAATAAAGTTTCTATAAAATTTATTTAGAGAAACTAAAGTCATTTATCTTAAAGGGTATTACTTTTTTAATATTTAGGAGATTGAATCATGTTAAGTTGATACTCTAATGTTACATGTATTCTAAGCCACCCAGATATGAATTGAAGATTTCCTTGAAGATAGAAAGCATATAAAATCAGAAAGACACAGAATAAGCAAGCAAACAACAACAACAACAAAAGGGAAACCACAGGCTAAAAACCACGTAAAAGAAAAGGACTTCAAACTTTCTGGAATGAGAGTTCTGATAAAGAAGACTCAGAGCTAGTATTGAGACTGCAAAAACAGGAATTATTTTGTGAAACTTATGGTACCAAGAAAGCCAGATAGTCCCTACATACAAACAATATACAGAACCAGCCTACTCACATATCTTATCCCTTCTCAATGATCAAAATAGTTGATAACCACATACTACTGCATTTAATGAAATATTTAGAGTTAGGTGAGAAAATATTATTTTTACTAGAGTCCTAAACCAAAAGTAAGAAGATCAACAAAATTGAGCAAATATCTAACGGAAACTAACAAAAAGGATATGAGACTATATTTTAATCAGCAGAAGGAAGAACCAATTTCTGAGAAAATCAAACTATTAAATAAACTAGATAAAAATTTAAATAAAGATATTTTAGAAAAAATATTTAAACAGGAATAACCTCATATTTCAAGTGTTCAAATAAAAACGACTCACTTAAACCAATAATCAAAATAGAATGGCTGGATAGCTGATTACTTAAAAAAAAACTTCAAAATGAGATGTTTTCCCCAAACAACAAATAATAACAAAGATAAAAATTATATGTCGGAGGTAAAGAAGATTAACACAGAAACTCCAACATATGACTAGTAGGAGTTCCTGAATAAAGAACTGAGAAAAACTGAAGGGAAGAAAATAATAGAAAAATACGTTTTCTTAAAAACAACAACAAAAAGCCATGGGAGAAAGACCGAACATTGCATGCACACATACACAACACACTTAGACAGATGCTAGCAATATTTCAGACCTCTGGGGAATGTAAGCTGTTAGTTTTACTGTGCTCCTTTTTAGGTGGTGTGTCTTTTTGCCTCTGGATGCTTCCAACACTATTTTTCCTTTGTCTTGAATTTGAATAGTACTATTTAATTCCAAGGTGTGATTTTCTTTGTATCTCTCCTCCTTGGAAATTGTGTATCGCATTTGAAAGTAGGGATTATTTTCAATTTTATGTACTGTCATATCTTAAACACTCAGAGAAGTGCCTGACCTAGTAGAAAACCAGTAAATATGTGTGGATGAATGTATAAAATGAAAAATCCTAAAGCTTCAAAAGAATGTAAGGAAAAGGCATCAAATTTGCAATCATAGATAGCACAGGCAAAAATAAATATGCAACAAAGTCATATCTTTACATTGTTAAGGGTGGTAATAAATCTGTATTCCACACCCGAAGAAACTGACCATTCATTTTTAAAAGCAAACTAAAAATATTTTCAATCCTGGGTAACACGGTGAAACCTTGTGTCTACTAACAATACAAAAAATTAGCTGGGCGCAGTGGCGGGCGCCTGTAGTCCCAGCTACTCGGGAGGCTGAGGCAGGAGAATGGCGTGAACCCAGGAGGCGGAGCTTGAAGTGAGCCGAGATGGCGCCACTGCACTCCAGCCTGGGCGACGGAGCGAGACTCCATCTTAAAAAACAAAAAACAAAACAAAATATTTTCAAATATGCAAACAAAGATTGAGAAAATCTAGCATCCAAAAATGTTTTTTGACAACTATTTAAGTGTATACTACAGGAAATTAAAAATTGAGTCCAGAAAATGGAGGAAGAGTCAGGATTCAAAGAACACTAATAAACAAAGAAACCATTATCATTGAATACTTACGTTTTTTGAATCGTCTTCTTTCTTCCATCATTTTACTTAAAGATGGCTATTTGTTTTACTGTTACTCCTTTTTAGGTAATGCGTCTTTTATCCTCCAGATGCTTCTAAGACTTTATTTTTCCTTTGTTTTGAATTTCAATAATTGTATTATTTATTCCAAGGTAGCATTTTCTTTGTATTTATCCTACTTGGAAATTATTTTTCATCTTTGAATATGCTGGTTGATTTTTTAAAAACAATTTGAAATCTTTTTAACCATTATCTCTTTACCTCTTTGCTTCTGCCCCATTCTCTGTCTCCTCTCAAGATATGATACAAATTTTATATCTTTTCACCATGTGTCACATATTTCTTGTGCTGTTTTCCTCTTCTTGCAATTTTTTTTCTTCTCTGTGCTTTAATTTGGATATTTTCTATTGAACTGTCTCATTTCACTAATGGTGTCATCTGCTATGTCCAATCAAATTCACCCACTAAATTTTAATTTTATATACTGAATTTTTTAAACTCTAGAATGTAGAGTTGGTACTTCATTATAGATGCTATTTTTCTTTTCACATCACCTGTTTAAGTATTTTGCTACTGGATGATAATTATAGGTATTTTAACAGCTCTACTATACTTACCATTTGGATTATCTATAGGTGAGCTATTATTGTCTTTTTTTGTCACTTGTCATTCATATGACTCTGTCTCTTTACATGCTTAACCAGCTTTTTAATTTGACAATGTGTAGTAGACACCTACTTTTGCAGGAGCGGGTTTATATAAATTTTAAAAAGATTTGAAAGGAATACAAAAAAGGATAATGTTTAGCTAAATAACAGGATTATGGAGATATCTACTTTAAATTTGTAATTACTTAAAATAATTGTATATGAAAACTCTAGAGTAAATAAAAACTAAAACATCAGTATATGTATCATCAGAATAATCTTATATTCAAAACAAATTTAATTGTGTTTAGGAAAAAGAGTAAGCTTTCATAACAATCTTTGAACATAAAGAAATATTCAAAATGGTACATTTCATCAAACCTTAAAAGAAATGTTAGAATTACAATTTTATACGGACAACACTCACCAAACCAGCTAACTCTCATTTTTAAGACATTCTATTTCAAGGAGTGTTTCTGAGGATTAATAAATTTTTAATGCTGTAATAAACTAAAATCTTATACTACTTAGGCAGCATTATCTAAAAATAACCATTTCAAGCATAGTAATGTATTTCAAATAAAGAAAGCTTAATGTGCTAAATAAAAACAACAAATAGATACCTCATGCTGTTTAAATTTCTCTTTCCAAATTTTCTCTTCTTTATAGAGTTCATCATTCATCTTGTCCTGTTCTTGCTGAACATATGATAATAATAAATATGACTATACTCAAATATCAAAAATATTATGTTAATTATATATGATTCTCATAACATATATTTGTAAACAATAGTTAAAGCTGACAACCCAACCAATGGCTTTCAATTTTTAGTACTGGGATAACAACTTTAATCTCAAACTGAAGTGTCACATAATACCTAGGGTTTCCATTCTGAGAACATAAAGAAGTTTGCAACCTAGGAAAGTTGTATTTATTTGAGTATGTTTATTCACAGAATATAATGTATTGGCTCGAAACACTGTTAGGCATTGTAAAAATTACAATAATGTTTGTAAAATGGGTTTTGTGTTACAATTGTTTTCTCACCATGTCATACCATTTAATTCACATAAATCAGTTCAGTAAGTGATGGTTTTCTTTCAATAAGTTTTTATCAACACATTCGATAAGACTCCTCAGAATAAACAGATCAGTAAAATACAACCCCCTTCTTCAAAAACTCTTCTGATAATGTGAAGACACTATCATAAATTTACACATTACCCAAAATCTAGCAGAATAAGTTTATTGCAAGAGAAAAATATAAAAAATAATAATGGGCATGATAATTAGATCATGAAAGGTTTTATGCAAAAGACTGTATTTGAAATCACTAGGTTTTCAAGAAGAGAAACATTTTTGGCACTTATTAAGCATTTTGAGCTAGGAAAATAATTACATCACTGTTTTTATGAAAATCATCAGTTTACATTAGATAAAATTAAAAGAGAACCAAGGAGACAATGAGATCAGTGAGCAAATTATATTAGTGTGTTGCTGTAAAGGAACACCTGAGGCTAGATAATTCATAAAGAAAAGAGGTTTATTTAATTCACGATTTTGCTGGCTGTACAGGAAGAACGGTGCCAGCATCTGGTTCTGGTGAGGCCTGAGGATGCTTTTACTCACGGTGGAAGAGAAATGAAGCCAGTGAGTCACATGGCAAGAGAGGGAGCGAGAGAGAGAGAGAGAGAGAGAGGAGAAAGTGCTAGGCTCCTTTTAACAGTCAGATCTTGTGGCAACTAACGGAGCAAATACTCAGTCATTACTATGGGGAGAGCACCAAGCTATTCATGAGGGATCCACCTCCATGACACAAATACTTCCCACTAGGCCCCACCTCCAACACTGGTGATTCCATGAGATTTCAAGGGGATAAACATCCAAACTGTATCAGAAAGCATCGGAAATGACCATGTGAGAATGAGTAGGACCTTCTGTAGATAGGTAGCAAGAGTGAGAACAAATGCAAAGACAACGTAAACATGAAATTGCCACAAATTACCAATTCATTAGATATTTTAAAAAGTGGGAAAAGTTCTTTGATCATTATCTCATATGAGCTATGGGAATTTTTGATGAGGTTTAAGCATGGAAGTAACGTATTTTTAAATAAATAGTTGTCTGACAGTGCTATGGATAAGTGTGAGAAATGTAAGACCAAAGGTAGGGAGACCAATTAGAGAATATAGTAAATATCCCAAGTTAGACCCTCAGGCAGCTTGAACTACAAAGGAGCTGTAAAGTACATGGATGCGAAGATGGATAATACAATAATTGGATCAAAGATAGTAATAAAAAAGAAGGAAGAATAAAACATTACCTTCATTTTTCTATCTTGGACTAATGATAATAGTGTGGCTTATCAAAATTAAGAATTCCAGGGAAGAACAACTCAGAAAGAAAGACAATGCATTCAGTTTTAGATACATAAAGTTCTCTGAGTATGCAGTTTTTGTAGGAGAGTTATGTAGTCTACCTTGTTTTGATACAATTGTAGATTTGGTTATCAACGGTCATTTGTTTTAAGCACCAAGTCATAATAAAGGACACATTAGGGAATTCATTAAGATGAAATTATCAAGGTGGAGGTATATGGAGTAAGAAAAGAAAGGGACAAAAATAGAATCCATGATGTTAGTTCCTACCCAAATCTCAGGTTGAACTCTACTCCCCAGTGTTGGAGGTGGGGCCTGGTGGGAGGTGTTTGGATCATGGGAGCAGGTCCCTTATGAAGGTCTTTGACCATCCCCTTGGTGATAAGTGAGATTTTGCTCTGAGTCCACATTAGATCTGGTCATTTAAAAGTGTGTGCCACTTTTAAAAATTACCCAGTGTCAGGCATTTTCTTTATAGCAATGCAGGAACAGCCTAATGGAAAACACAAGGACAGAGAGAGAAAATGAAGTCTAAAATGGATATCAATGAGTAATTGCCAAAGATGTGACAGAATCAAGACAATGTGATCTCACAGAAGTCAAGGGAAAGTAAAATGGTCAACCATCAAATTTTTGCTGGCATAAAATGCTACAGAGTCCAAAATAGCTGAAAGAAACCTGTGAGTATAATATATAGAAGTCATTGGTTATCTTCCTCAAGAACAGTTTCATTCAGTGTGGTAATGCTGCAAAAAACCTAGCAGGATTAGAATTGGATGAGAAATGAAAAAATTGATACAGTATAAATAACCACTCTTTAAGAAGCCTATCATACACAGCCTTTAAAAAGCCAATCAAAGAACAGCTAAAGAAAAACATAAGAATGATCTCACGATTTTTCTTTTGTTTTATTTTTAGGATGGGAGGAAATTGAACATGCTTATAAACAATAAAAAAGGAGGAAGATGATAGGAGTGTTTCAGCATATAGAAAAAGCAGGTGTAGGTTGAAAACTGATAAAATATAAAGTAGAGGAGGAAAAGCTAACCTTTGGCAGAAGAAAGAAGCATTTCTTACTGGGATAGGAGGGAAGGCCAATAATAATTTTAAAAAGGATGAGTACAGATGTTGATACTAAATAGCTGTGTAATTCAAAGAGGAAGTTTGTATTTGATGCAAAAAAATGTTATGTGGTTATTTGCTAATAATGAGGGGGGAGGAATTGGGTGTAATTCTTAAGAGATTTATGATTGCTATTTTGGGGAATGGAGAGGCAGCTAACAAACAACCCAGGAAAGAACTACTGACAGAAAGTAAATTATATATTTAGAGTCAATCATACAAAATATGGGCTAGAACCATTGGAAACTTTTAAGCTCCAAGGCATAATGAAGGACATATTTAGGAATTCATTACACCTAATATTATTGCATTTCCTTAAATCATAATTATATGATAAATTGCAAATTAGTTTCAAAAAAATAAGTTATAATTCTTTGAGGGTGGGATTTGCTGTTAGATCTCTTTTGCATCATCTAAGCACACAGCTGAATGCTTTGCCCTTAAGGTAGTCAGCAAATTTTGGTTATAAAACAAATAAAAATGACAACTTTGCTGAATAGGATTGAAATCAGATGTTTCTTAAATCTGAAAATACTACTAACACTTAATAGCAATTATGTATTTTAGTACAAACCAACAAATACTACTCCAATAATCTACATTATACTCAATCCTATTTTGGATTTCTTTTTTTTAAAGCTTTTGATCTCAGAAATGACTATGTCATTCTGGTCTATGGGAAAGAAAACATAACTAAAGGAAAATTAAAGATTCATATCTTACTATTAGAAAAAGTCATGGCATAACTGGTTCTACAATATTACAATTTAATGTGTTTATTTTCTTTTTTCTTCTTTCTTTTTTTTTTTTTTTGAGACGGAGTCTTGCTCTGTCGCCCAGGCTGGAGTGCAGTGGCACGATCTTGGCTCACTGCAAGGTCTGCCTCCCGGGTTCACGCCATTCTCCTGCCTCAGCCTCCCGGGTAGCTGGGACTAGAGGCGCCCGCCACTATGCCTGGCTAATTTTCTCTATTTTTAGTAGAGACGGGGTTTCACCGTGTTAGCCAGGATGATCTCGATCTCCTGACCTCGTTATACACCCGTCTCGGCCTCCCAAGGTGCTGGGATTACAGGCGTGAGCCACCGCGCCCAGCCTTTAATGTGTTTATTTTCTACACAGTCAAGAAATGAAATGTCCTCAACATGGAGGATTAAAAAATGTTGAACAAGCTAATGTTCTTTATATGCAACACTCAAACCCAGCAAGTTCTGGATAATGTATAAATCAACTTTAATCATGAAAGATAGAGAAGTCAGTCATGCCTGTTATCCAAATATTCTAAGGTTCTCATGACCTGCAAGTGGTGTCCTAAAATCCACCAGTTTCTCAATACCGATATACCACCACTATGATCTGATTGTGTGGATCTCCTAGGGGGAAAACAACACCAACAACACATACGACAGAAATGAAAACAGTACAAAACTTCACACCAAAAAGTTGCCAGTTCAAGGAAGTAGCTTAATTATGAAGGTGGGGCGCAGACTGACTCTAAATGGTTGAACTACTTTTAAATATGTTTTACATGTCATATGCCAGACCACAGAGCAAGGTTAATGCATACTCAAGAATTTTTCATTGCTTTTTCCAATGTTTAGAAGCATATAAAGAAAAACAACAATTTATATTGTAAATTTCAGGCTATCCATGATGACCCTTGAAATTCATAGACTCCATTGGCCCCCAAGATCAGAAGTGTGTCTGACCTTCCAATGAATTTCAATAAAAACTAATCAAGGACCTCATATTAAATACTGTTAATTCACAGTCAATTTCTTCCTCTATCAGAGAGTAATTAAAAGTCATACTATTAAGCTCAATCTGCAACACAATCCAAATATCAATATTCTTCAGAGGTAGCTACTGATTTTAAAAATACATGAAAAACAAAAGCAAAATACCTTCTGAATGTTCTCTAATTTCTTCTTTTCAACTTTAAATTGTTTCATCCAGCAATGTCGCTTTTCTTCTTCTTCTTGAAATTGTTTTTCTTCTCTATCCCTCTGAGCTTTGAGAGTTTGTTTCTCTTTATCTTCTAATTCCTTCTGTTTCTCTTGCCAAGCCTCAAAAGACTGTCTACATTTTTCTTCCACTTCACAGTATCCAAAATTTATATCAGCATCATCTGCACTCATGAAGAAAAATAACATCATCATTTGTAAGATCAAAACTGTCAAAACTAATTCAAAGTATAAAAGTAATTTTTTTAATTTTTTTTTAATTTTACTTTAAGTTCTAGGGTACATGTGCACAACGTGCAGGTTTGTTACATATGTATACATGTGCCATGTTGGTGTGCTGCACCCATTAACTCATCATTTACATTAGGTATATCTCCTAATGCTGTCCCTCCCCCCTCCCCCAACCCCATGAGAGGCCCTGGTGTGTGATGTTCCCCTTCCTGTGTCCAAGTGTTCTCATTGTTTAATTCCCACCGATGAGTGAGAACATGCGGTTTTTGGTTTTTTGTCCTTGCAATAGTTTGCTCAGAATGATGGTTTCCAGCTTCATCCATGTCCCTACAAAGGACATGAACTCATCCTTTTTTATGGCTGCGTAATATTCCATGGTGTATATGTGCCACATTTTCTTAATCCAGTCTATCATTGATGGACATTTGGGTTGGTTCCAAGTCGTTGCTATTGTGAATAGTGCCGCAATAAACATATGTGTGGATGTGTCTTTATAGCAGCATGATGTATAATCCTTTGGGTATATACCCAGTAATGGGATGGCTGGATCAAATGGTATTTCTAATTCTAGATCCTTGAGGAATCTTAAAGTAAAAAAATAATGTTAACATATTCCCAAAGCGAGAATATGCAACAATAAAATACATTGTTGAATAGACGTAGAAATTTCACCAAAGTGAATAAAGTTACATAAGTTGACTTAAAATATTCCACAAAACTTAATATAAAAATAAACCCACAAGTGTGTGTGTGTATGTGTGTCATTAAGAGATAGTTAAGAGATACTAAATAAAGTCAGGGATAGTCAAGTCTATTGCAATCAGCTGAACATGTGGAAAAAATATTTAAATCAAGTAAATTTAGAAGGCATAAAAGTATGATGATATGTAATTTAATAAGTATAGCAAAGGCACAATAATCTTCAAACATTGTAATTGCTTTTCTAAATATCAGAACAAACATCAACTGTCCAATTTTTTTTAAATAACTATGATCAATCATATAAAAATCAACAAACATATCATTGAGCAATTTAGTCCACCTGGTAAAACATGTTCATCCATAGGCAAGTCATGAGGACTAGGCTCAGGAACAAAATCAGGAGTGGCACAATCGGTTTTACTTCTCATAAATTCTTCTTTTTCTATTTCAGATAATATCTAAGAGGTTAAATGAGTACCAATGATTAAAGAAAATCAAAATAGAGAGTAAAGCTGTCGTTTTAATAATACATTAAATATTTATATGTATATACCAAGAATTTTAATGTACTCCAGATATCTCTCAAATACAAATCTGCAGCACATTGATAATTATTCTCTTTACAATGAATAAAAAATTTTCCCATGCAAGCATTAGTAACCCTCCTTATGTTTTTCGGAACTCTAATAAGTCTTTAATATTATTTAGTATTATTCCACAATATTCAATTAAACCATCTGACAATCACTTCAAAATGTTTCTACTAATGTTTTCCTTTTAATATATTCTATTTTTCTGACTGTAGTGACTGTTCACATACACAAACTTTTTATATATTCTATATGATACGAAAGAGAACTATTCTGTAACCTAAATTATATATACATCATTTATATCAATTATTTTCCATAATTATATTTTCACCATACTTTAGTTGGAAAGATACAGGCTATTTATTCCAAGGAAGTAACAGTATAATAATTGAAAATTAATATTTCAAATTTGAGTATTACAAAAAATTCAATAGAGTAAAACATTAAAAAAGAATGAGATATATAAGAAATTTTCAAATTATGTTAAACACATTAGGGAGGAGAAATAGGTAAAAGGAGAGAAAGCTGGATAAAATGAGAGGTAAAAGTCAATCTAAGAAGTGAATCTTTAGGAGAGACTTTCTCTTAAATCCATTTGTGGGATTTTTAACTTAAACTGCTAAGGCTCTTCTTATTTTTTAAGTAAGTTTTTCTTTTATTTGTTTCTAAAAACTACTATAAAGTATTGTAAATTTAAATTTTCTATAACGTCTCTGCAGGAACATAGTACAATCCTAAGAAAGAGTAAATAAGAGTATATTCATTATTTTCCTCAGAATTTTTAGACAACAAAATTTGTGTAATATAGTTCTCCTATTTTATCTACATGCACATTAAATTGCCAGGTATAAATGGCTCAACCCACCACTTTTAATATTCTTAAAGACTGAAAATTGAGTGTTTTTATATCATATGCCAGAAGAAACCATAAAACCACAGATGATTTGCTTAAGAATAATTAAATTTTTAATATTTAAATCAGTGAACTTAAAATCAGTGAAGTATCAATCTTGTGTAAGAGAGAAAATTTCTAATTGTAATAGTGAATATTTTAAGTCAAATATTGAATATATACCTTAATTAATTGCTCTGAACTTTCTTCATATTCAGTTGATAGTCCTGTTCTTAAATGCATATGATTATTAGAAACTGCTCCATAACTACAGCCTAGAGAAAGAAAAAATGTATATAACTTCCAATATTAGAGTACAATACAACATCTCAAAATTTCAAACCCTTTCTTAATTTTTAACCTCAAATTCTATCAGGGTATATTGTTGATCAGTAAGAGTAACTCAGAATAACAGAAAAATTATTAAGAATAAACAATAGAGGAAATCTGATATATTTATTCTAAAAATAAAAGTAATAAATTTCTAAAGTGCTTTGACTCTATCATTTTCCATATTCTAGTGCCTGAAGTTTATTTCCCAGGCAAAAAGGATCATGCCTGGCTTGATATTGCAACGGCATCTTGATTAGAAATCAACAAAAATTCAACTCTATCTGCCACAAACCAGACATGACCTTGCACAAGATATTGAAAACATTTTAATAAAAATATTAATTTAAAAATTATAATTATTACCATGTAAATGAAGAGGAATTATATTTCTTATTTTATGAGTTGTTGAATTTTATAATTTTTAATTATGTGTGCAGATGTAGTTATGTTTATTTTCTTTCATTCAATTAATATGTTATAACATGGTAATGTTTCCTAATAGCAAACTAACTTTACAGAGGACCATTCTGCTGGCTAACTGATTATTCACACCTATTTTGTCAGATATTATAGATTTTCTTTTAACACCTATTCACTACCTTTCTGGCATGCTTTCCTGTGTGAGAGGTCAAAAAGAAAAAAATGACATCATCCAGATACCTTTGCAGCTAGATTTCTGAGAGTGATTTAGTTTATGTCCATAAATATATTTACATAACTCTTTTTTTCATAAATTATTATGTATAAAGGGAGGCAGGTGATGATGTTTTAATTTCTATGAGCCAGAATGTGGTAGAAGGAGCTTGGAGTTGGGAGACAGGAGTGTATAGTAGAGGATTAATGTCTCTGAACTTCTTAAGTATAGCAGACAGCAGCTTCTGATGCAGCCCAGTTTTATGATATATGTGTGGGGTTTGTTCTACACCTTGGATGTTTAGACTAGAGACTGCTTCTTCAGTCTTATTAATAACTCGGTTACTTATTCTAGTAGATAGTCTCTATCTACTATAGAAACAAAGATGTTTCTCCCAAAGAATCACACCTACTGGTATACATATCCCGTGTAGTTCCCTCTCACATAGGACATAAGCTGACCCTGCGTGACCATCAGGATGTGGCAGAAATGACGCATGATGTCTGAGAAAAGATCATGAGAAGCCCTACAAGGTTCCACCTTGGTCTCTTGGTATTTTGCTGTAGAACACTTCTCAGAATCTACATGATCTGAGGAGCGAAAGCCACAGAGAGAGGCTACATGTAGGTGCCTCCAGTTGAAAGCCACATCTGAACTCTCCAGCCAACAGGTTGCATCAATAGCCAGACATTTTAATGAGCTATTTTTTTTGTAATCCAGTCAAGCCTTCAGATGACTACAGACTTAATCAACATCTGACTATAAATGCATGAAAAACCCAAGCAAGAACTGTCCAGGTGAGCCCAGTCAACCAACAGAACCAAAAGATATAGTAATAAATTATTTTAACTTTCTAACTTTGTTTCACAGCAATAAATATTCAGAACATCTCTCCTTATAAAAATAAACAAAAAACCTTACTGCCCATAAAGCAGCTAGTGCCCGTTCTCTACAACTGAGAACCCCGATCAATACATCTATATTCATAACACAGCAATAAATATTTAGAACATCTCTCCTTATAAAAATAAACAAAAAAACTTACTGCCTAAAGTAGCTAGAGTGTCTGTTTTCTACAACTGAGAACCCCAATCATCTATATTCATAAGTGCAACTAGCTTCTAGTTTCTTTTATCTGTGCTATGCTTGTACAATTTTGATCTGAAATATATAGCTTTTAGAAATAAAGTATTTTTGCTCCTTAATAGGTTGTAAGAATTTAGTTATAACATCTTTCCTAGTTTAGCAACATTTGAAAAATCTCTTTCCACCTCTTTGCCATATTATTGATTTGTTTTTCACTTTTTCAAATAATTTTGATAATTTGTTTTCTTGAAAAATCATTAATTTAATTTTAAACTATCATCCCGTGTAACAAATAATGTAATAAATAATTTAAATTAAATAATTCATATAAGAATGAATACATAATGTAAATTATTAAATTATTACACAGGATAATTTAAATTAAATTTCAATAAATTCAAATTTAATAAATAATACATATTAGTATAATTTAATGAATAATAAACTTATGATGATAATAAATTTAATAATTTTAACAATTATTTTAATTTAATAAATTAAAATAATTTTAATAATTTATACTTAATTTTACTAAGATAAATTTAATAATTTTAAATAATTTAAATAATTAACGATTTTAAATAATTAAATTAATTTAAATTTTCTGGGAAAATTACTTTATTCATTACGATTGTCAAATATCTTTTATAAGGCTCTGATTTATTTGATCTTATTAGAAATCAGATTAGATTAGATTAGGTTAGAGTTATATACAAGATCTCATAATTTTCTAAACCACTGCTGTAACTGTAGTTGTATCTCAGTTCATGTAACTAATTTCTACAATTGTGTTTTCCTTGATTTTTTTTATAATTAGGCTATAAATAGGCTGTATACCTGTCAATGTATTTATATTTTCAGTGTTTAAACCTGAGTAAAAATAAACAAAACATGTCAACATTCTTCATAATTCAACCATAGATAATCATTGTCAAAATATACAGTAAATCTTTACATAGCAATTCATGCTGGTGTTCGGGACAAAATTCTTGGAGCCACCTTCCTTTCTTCATTTTGTACCAGTCCACCAATATATGCTTCTCTTTCTACCTTAAAATAATGTCCAGAATATGACCATATTTCTTCATGTCTACTCAAACCACTCTCATCTCTTGTCATATTATTGCAATAGTCTTGTAGTAGCTTGACTACCTCAAGGCATATTCTCTACACAGTCAACAGAATGATTGTTTCCAAATAAAATTCAGATACTGTCATTGCTTACTCAAAATTTTTTATATGTTGAGAATAGAATCCAAAGTCCACAAAATAGTTTGGAAGAGTCCTATATCATCTAATCCTTTGTTTTCTCACATACAACCAGAAACGTTTACTTGCTGTTATTCAAACATATTAAATCCACTCAGTGGGCCTTTATACTTCCCTCTTTCCAGAATACAGGCTTCCTAGATAACCATGTGGCTCAGCTTTACATTCATTAAGTCATTGCTCAAATATCACCTTGTCACAGAGACCTTCCCTGACTATTTAAAATAGCAAACTCCAGTCTCTATCTCCTTACATTTTTTTCCTTCATAGCAGTTATCACTATTGAAATATTGCATATTTGTTTATTATCTGTCTCCCTACACTGGAACATTAAAACAGAGAAACAGAATCTTTGCCTGTTTTGTTCACTGCTGTATTCTTAGTGACTAGAACACATTCTATCACAAAGCAATATTTATTGAATGAATATGAATATCTACATTGTAATTTATACTAATACATAAATGCCATTTAATTTTAAAATAGCTTTTAACATATCATGAATATTTTTTACATTAAATATTTGTCTGTCATTTTTAAAAATAGGTTTATTAGTCAACAAAAAAGGTCTTGTTGAACATTTAGAATGCTGCCATTTCTCATTATAAACCAAGCCAAGGTTAATTCTAATTAAATCTTCGATCTTTCCATTAGTCTTAGAACAATTCCAAGAAGTAAATTTGCACAATTCAAGCAAAATACTGTTGGGCTTTTCAAATAAGTGATTATATTTTTCCCAAAAAAAGATGTATATACTGATACTGCCAAAAAAATTCTCTTGATTAGTTTTATTTTCTTTAATATAAAATAATAGGATGTCTGGTATTAATTAGGACTGCGGAAACAAAATGCTGATGGTATTTACTGAAGACCTAAGAAAGATAGTAAAAAAAAAATGAATGAACTAAACCCAACAGTCCAATATACTGTAGATATATTAGAAATACACTAAATGTATACACATGTGCACAGTAAGAGATAAGAACTTTAAGCACTTTAGTTTACTAAATTATAATTTGTTCATACTTACAGAAAGCTTATCTGCCAGACAGATGAAAATAGTACTTACTTAAAATATCAGTATCTTCCAGGTCCTGAAGAATGAGCTCTTCAACAGCTTTACTCCTGTTCTTTATGATGTTAATACAGTGAAGAACTGATTCTGGTAATTCAACTGAATCCTAAAAATTTGAATAATACAAGAAACTGTGAAAGTGTTTATTATCAAAATTATGTGTCAAATTTTGGACCCTTCATTCCACAGCAAAAATGTGACCAAAACATGTAAATGAAGTAAAAAGATTCCATATAAACAGCACAGTTCAGACAAATATATTTGGCTAGAGTTTACTTTTAATTTTCAGGTGGTTGTGCATTTCTAGAAAACTCTAAGAAAACAAATGAAAAGAGTTACCTACACATCACTTTCGTTAACTTTATTACAGGCTGTTTATTTTTGAATGCCCTCAATAGTTGTATATATTTTTAGATTAATTCCAACTTCAAATAAATATTATCAAATATTAATCAAAACTGCAAGATTATTTTTTCAAAATATTTAATATCAAACTAATACCTGATATAATTATTTATTACATTCAAAACTGGCTTTGTGATTATCATACACAAATTTAGTCACATTTGTAAGCTATTATAAAATATCTACCAATATAGCCTATGTAACTCGATTTGTAAATTTTCTAAATAGCTAAATATATTGATATGCAAAATGCAAAAATAAAATTCCTTCCTCCATAAACACCGTAACTAGTTAGAAAATATAATGCAAATAAATAATATTCATAACAACAAAATACTTGAAGCATCTAGGAACAACTTTAATAATAATCTTGAAGTTACATATATCTACATGATGACAACACTTCACTGAGGGACCTCAAGCATGGCATCAATGAAACGATATAAATGCTTCTATATAGAAGAACATGATATGCACCTGCTTTTATTTAACTAAAAACAAATATTGTCTGCCATACTGGGTTTTCATGTGTTGAATTTAGGATTTACAGCCAGCTTTATTTTCTCTATCCTAACTAATGGAATTCAGTGTTTAGTTTTGAGAATGAACATTAGAAGATAATGAGAAAATATTACCTTTCTTTTAGTACTACAGAAAAGCATGTAAAATTATATGTCATAAAATGAGTCCTGATAAAGTAGTGTATTAAAAATAGTGACAAAAATATCAATTCTACTTTTCTGACATCTGTCCTGCATTGAGATTTCTATTTCTTGTTTAACTAAGAAATAGAATTCTAAGCTACCTGGATTGTAGAGATTGTTGTTATGTCTTGGGAAATATAGTTCATAATCTGTAAATCCTTAGTTAATAATTTTTTCCCCTGGTAATAATACTTACACTGATTCTAAGTGATATAAATAATAGTGAGGTATCTTAATTGAAACAGAAGGGCTTTAAAATTTTCTTCTTCCTTTATATAAAAAGGTATAATAAAATATAAAACAATCCATTATTCTGTTGGATTTCATACTCAAATAAAGAATTTCAGATTTTTTTGCCTCATTTAAATGAGCTCTGGATAAAAGACATAATAATGTAACAATGTTAATTTTTCTAAATGTAATAGGTAGGTTTAGTGCAATCCTAATAAAATAACAAAGTTCTCAAATCTTTAAAAAATTTTCTTTTTCAAAAAAAGCTTAGTTAAGATTTTCAAATGATAAAAAGATGTGAAGAATTTGGTCCACTCAATATTTACAAATATACAACAGTAGGAAAATAATGAATAAAGTAATGGAAAAGAACAGACAGCCTTGGATAGATCATATGTACAATAACTATCAGTAAGACATATGATAAATCAATTGAGAAAAATTAGATTATTAAACAAGAGACACTGGAAATATTAGCTCAATATGTGCAGGAGATTTTCAAATTAGTTCTACATTTCATAACATTCCTGAAAATAAATTCCAGTTGGATTAAGGATATTGGTATAAATGAATAAATCTATGAATAAACTCTGAAGCATATAAACATTGGTAAATATACACAAATAAAAGGATAATTTGTTTTATTTCCAAAAGTAACCATTTTGATATGTCAAAAGATTTCATATACATTTTTCTTCCCATGTAATTTAATCATGCTAAAATGTTCACAAGTAAAAACAAAAATCAGGATATAAATATATATAATGATAATCCCAATTTTACGAAGATGTATAGGTGACTATATATATTCAATATAATTTATATTTATATAAATTGTTTATAACAATGCTGCTAAAAATGAGAAGTACATAAAAACATCCTGAGAAAAGTAATATTTCTCCTGAAAAGCCTACTCCTGTTAAAAGGCTCAAAAGTGCAATACTCACTGTATCACTATCATCACTCTGGGTTTCTGATTTTGCATCACTCTCAATGTCTTCTTTTTCCAAGGAGGAAATGCTGAGTTTATCCAATTCAGCTTCTATTTCTGCTTTGAGCTTTGCATCATCATCGTCCATTATTCTTCATAATAAAGCACAGAACTGCTTTAAAAAATGAAGAGGCTAATATGTCACTAAAAATTATGTGTTCTCTAATTTGTCATACCAATCCAACATATTTATTTAAATATGTTTTAATTTAACAAACTTTTATCACACCTTATTATGGTTACACCAAACATTGTTTTATCTCTTCAATCATTCTTTTTAAACTTTGACTACAAAATGATCAACTGTAATTGTACGCTAATACTCTTATTGATTTATATGTTTATATAATTTTACTATATATAATAAAGATCAGAATTGTTTATAAAATTTTTGTTTCAGTTATTAATACATATAAATGTAGGTATGTATGCATGAGTTGCAATGTAATATGTGTTGTTGTTAATGTTCTGTTTTTTATTTTTCACTGTTGGTCTTAGTCCCAAAAAAGGTTTGAAAACGTACTAGTCAGCTATCATTTTATTTTTCATGACACTAGTTTAAACCTTTCTTTCTTTACTCAAGGGCCTGACCTTTCCACCTGTCTTCTTGTTCTTTTCTTCATTCCTTCTTTCCATCCTCTTTCCCTTTCGTTAATTCCTCCTTTCACTCTACTCAATCATCTCAAAATCAGTTCTACCCATAACTTCCACCCTCACTCACTCACTCAAAAATAAAAAATAAAATAAAAAAAGGAAAAGAAAGAAAAGAAAAGAAAAACAAAGTGAAATGGAACTCCAGACAGAACCAGGGCAAAATATTATCCTGCAATGGAACTCAAAGTGCATTTAAAAAGCTTTATTAGAAGGAAAGCTAGATTTTTTTTTTATGCCTACAAAGCAAAATGCACGGGTATACTAAACTTTATATAGAAAGAGAGGCAGGAGAGTATGGTGGAGGTAAGAGTCATTTCCTTTACATGACTTTCTCTGTTCATCTACTGGCTCATTAGATCACCCCTGTCCAATTACATATTTGAGCACTTACGCAAGTTTAAATTTTCTATTAGCAACTTTTTAAAAACAAAAGAGAAGTGCAATTAATTTTTATAATATATTTTATTTAACCCAATATATCCAAAATATTTCAACGTGTAATAACAAAATTAATTATTAATATCATTGCAAAGAGTTTATATTCTTTCTTTGGACAGTAATTCTTAGAAATCTGTTGTGTGTTTTACACCTGCAGCACATCTCAGTTAGGATTAGCTGCATTTCAAGTCCTCAGTAGCCACCTGCAGTTAGTGGTTACTGTATATGACGTGCAGTCATGGATGGGTCTCACTGTAAATGGGCTACATTAAAGTGCTCTAAGTTGATAACGAATCACTTGGAGTTCACTAAAGCTGTCAAAAGTAGAAAAGCTTAAGGAACTCCCCCTTCAACCCCTGTAAAGAAAGGGGAGAGAAATCTACTTTATAAGGTTCATATAAATTATATATTACCAAAAAAAAAAGAAAGAAAGAGAGACAGAAAAAGAAAGGGTGGAAAGGAGGGCGACAAGAAGGGAAGGAAGGAAGGAAAATAACGTCAATTGGTTTGTGGGGAGCGGTGAGTGAGTAACCATCGAATGATCCCTACATAGCCAAGACATCTCTTTAAGTTTTGAATGAGTTCTCGAAATCTCCAGGGTGGAAGGGAGCCTCGAGCTTCGCAGAGTCGCACAGCCATCCCCTGACCCGCGGTCTCTCCCTTTGCTGGAAGTCTGGCCAGGCAGAGAGAGTCCCGGCTCGGCCTGAGCTCCCACAGCTGTTCACCTCCCTCAACGGGAATCCCAGTCTTAAGACCCCGGCTCACCCCTCAGCAGCGAGATTCCTTGGCTTTGTTGTAAGACAGCGCCCATAGCCGCTACACAAAGCGTATCCATGGCAACAGCCAATCACAAGGAAGAGACACCGGTTTTTCCCTACAGGTGCTCTAGAAGGACAAACAATCTCGATTCTAAATTGAAACGAACGCAGCATTTCAGGGACTGGATGAGGAGCTTACGGTTTTTTACAGGTAGATTTTAATATTTAAGTAACTTTGGAAAATACTTAATAAAATGAAATTTTGTTATAATTACCCAAGTAGATGTAATCTCACTTTTAAATTTTTTAAATTGTTTCTGAGCTACATATATTTATATTTCCATCTGGTGATTTGCCCATGTATAAGGTGTTCATTCCACAAACCCTTAATCCTGAACAGTGATTTGTGGGACATAGAAGTATGGAAGAGAAGTCAATAAGTTGTTTGCCTTCCATGACAACAGTTTTTTAAAAAAGAAAAGAAAAGAAAAAGGAAAAAAGAAAAAAATCATCAATCAATGCCCATCAAAAACCTCTAACTGAAGGGATGTGGGTGAGAAATTTGAAAAATTATTTTCTGGAGTTATTTTACTGTAAAAATATTGTCACACAGTATTTCAATATAAAACCTTAATTTCTAAGTTTATGTCATGCTATTTAATTTTAACTTAATTTATTAAAGTTTTTTGTGGAGCAAATACATAGGGTACAAAATAATATTTTAATTAATAACATATTTTTTACTTTAATTTTCTTTTAAAGTTTGCAAATAAGGCATTAAATTCTAAAAGGAAGTAGCCATAATTGTAAAAGGTATCTGCTATAAAATAAGCTAAAAGCAAATATTTCACTGAGCCTCTGGAAAAAAAATAGACTACATTTCCTGGTAACAATAAACTTGAATTGCATCAACATAAGAACTAATAATATAAAGTGAGACGTTAATAGATTTCTCATATTAAAAGCACACATGTTAGTTTCCTTTTCAGGAAAGATGATTTTAAAAAATAAACTACACTTGGTTTCAGGTCTAATTAAATTCAGAGTATTTTCATTATCAAAGTCCATGCTCAAATGGAATTTGTTCTTTTTTTTAAGTTTGGTTTTATTGCTGATTTATAGACTATTGAAATTATCTATTTTTTATTGTTTTTTTAGAGACAGGGTCTCCCTCTGTTGCCCAGGCTGGAGTGCAGTGGTACAATTATTGCTCACTGTAGCCTCCAACTCTTGTACTCAAGTAATCCTCCCGCCTTGGCCTCCCAAAGCACTGGGATTATAGGTATGAGCTACTGTGTTCGAACCTCAAACTGTTCATTTAAAATAGACTTTCATATTGTGTTGAAGTTCACATAAGAATCTTAAGATTAGTTTTATTTTTGATTGTGAAACTATCCAGACTTCTAAAAATTATAAATCCTTTAATAATTTCAAAATTAATTTTGAATAACTAGTTTTCATAATCAAATAATTTTGGAAATAATGCCTTAGTTCCTTTCCTTCTCAAAGCTTACTTTGTCAAATATTGACAGCAAAAAAGAAAAACAGTGAAAGATTTTCTGAAGATAAATTAATTCATGGTGATAGATCTCCTATATTGTCATGCGATTTTTTACTTTGGAAGAAAGGACAACTTTATCAATTAGTCATAATTTCGCTAGAATATAACTAATCAAAAATAAAAGGCAGCAGTTATCTAATACATTTGTAGATTATAAGTAAATTTAACTTGACACTGTTGTTTATCAACCATGTAGTATTTAGCAGAAGTCCATTTTAATTGCATTATTCCTAGAAACGGTAACTTCAGATTGAGTATGTTGGTTTGCCTATGACTCTTTAACCTGAGTAGACTTTTGTTTCTTTTGAACATGTTAACTTCATTTCATTTAAATTTTAAAAACAATTTGTAGGTGTGGTTGATTTATAGCATATTGGCTTAACAATGCATATTTCCTTTAGAGAGTACATAATAAATATTTATTGAGAGAATGAAAGAATGAGAGATAACTGTTTGTTCTTTGTTATCTGACAAGACTAATATTCCTTTGAAAATGTGTTGTAGTGAAATCATTTTAGTTTAAGAGCATTTTTCAACAACTGCTTTATTCTTCATATGGCAGTGATATAATTTAAATATCCCATAATATCATTGTTGTGTTCAAAATAGTTGCAGAGCAGGTATTTCTTTGTTTCATTTTCTTGAGGCACCGTAATTATTGAGTAAAAGTAATTTACTATGTAGCTCATAGTACCACATATTGTATTCTTAGGCCTCTCATTCTCTTGTTCCACTTAAAGTGTGTCTCAAGCCTTCAGATTCTCTAACTCTCTTTGTGCTCCCTCCCAGCTGCTGTCATGACCAACCACTTCACAGAAAAATGAGAATTTATGACTTTCCCACAGTTTCCATCCCATTCCCCATTCTCACATGCATGACTCTTGTATAATCTTAATATTTCTATACTGAGATATGATATAACGAGATTCTAGCCTTATGATATAACGAGATAACTAACATCTAGCCAGGCACTGGGCTAAGAGCTTTACAAACATAATCTCATCTAATTTTCACAACATCTCTTTGAGGCATGTACTATTACAATCTGCATTTACAGATGATGATACTGGGGCTTGGGAAAGTTATTGAGAGGGTGGTTTATATCAATGGAGTTAAATCTCATCTCTGCCATTTATTAACTAAGTGACCTTTGGCAAGTAATTTTGCCTTGCTGAGTCTTTCTCTCCTCATTGATGATATTGGGGATAATAGCATTTGCAAAATATCGACGATAAAGGGAATCAATTTAAATGAGACAATGTAGAATATGAGATAATGTTCAAAGTTTAATTACATCATTTCTACAGACTACATTCCATCTTTGATTCTTTGGTTATCCCAATGCTGGCAATTCTACTTCCTACTACATCTCTCATATTGTGATACTGTTTCCATTCCCACAGCCATTTATAAATTATCCCCCTATCTTAAGTGTCTTTTCTAATTTGGCTTCCACATTGAGGCCAGAATTACGACTCCCTATTACCTTCAGGAAAAAAAAAATCTTTAGTAAAGCATATAAGATTTGTCACAATCTTTACTGAGTCTACTTCTTTAGCTTATCTTTCATCTCTTGCCACTCTGATCCATGCCTCCTTACACCTCATTATAAAGCTTCTGAACATAGTGTTCCCTCTGTCTTGAATATTTCCTATCTCTCTCCCATTTTTATCTAACTAGGACCTTCTTAATCTTCCTTCAAGAGTCATCTCAAAATCATCTTCTCTATGAAACTTTCCTGTTTCCTTTATTTCCTGTCCCCACCTCAACACATAATTCAGGTTTTAATATTTGACTCCTTGACATTCTCTTACTTGTTCATTTGTGTGTTCCCATCTCTTGGAACTTAGAATATAAAAACAATAACAAGAAGCAATTAGAGTTTATTAAACTAGTGCAAAATAATACCTATGAATAGATTAATTATTGTAAGTTGTCCATTCCTATAGCATCTCTGCTGTTGAGCTTTCAACATCAATTAACTAATCAGGAACTGAACAAAATAAATGCCACACCAGGACCTTATTTAATTAAGTTAGAAACAAATTCTTTGTTTATAGCAAAAGAAAATATAGATCTTTCACACTACAAATATTTAAATAAGAACTACACTTAACTTACTGTGTATCTTTGTGTTGGCACGTCATTGTTCTCATTGACGTTGTTTCCAGTATGTGGAGCTTATGGCTGAAAAAGCCAACACATGAACATCTCATTTTACCATTCTTTGTAAACATAGTCATGGGCTTCTTTGAATCGTTGCTTGGATGCACAGTTTGTTGTGTTTTAACTTTGTAACCTTGAACCACAGTTTTGAAATTACCATAAACATCTTCCTTACCACGTTGCCTACATTTGCGCTTACTAAGTTCTCACCCCTTTTGACTTCTATACCATGTAACACCATGATATGACACCATGATCTAGAACTGTCTTTCTCTATTGGTTTCCATGAGATCATGCCTTGATTGTCTTCTCAGTCTGTAAAAGTCAGCTTTAAAAATTCCAAATTCTTAATTGTATCATTTCATTCTCTACCATCAAACCTCTGCCCATTTCCATCTATAGACAGTCCCTCTTCTCTTTCATTCACACCCATGACACTGGTTCTCTATGAATGACTTTCAAGTCTGTACAGCCTATGCTACCCATTTATCTGCACTCCATTTATAGTCCTTATGAGACATAACCCACAGATATTCTTTACCAATTCAAATTTAATCATGAAATATTGAATTTATGAATTTTTCTTCTAAACCATTTTCCTGAATTTTTAAATTTCCAGTGATTACCATTATTCTTTTATTTTCCCATCCTACATGAATCTTTCTGATTGTCTTTGATTCTTTTCCACAGTAAAGCATATTAAAGCTTAATCCAAGCTCTCTTTTTTTTCTAATTATCTTCTGTAATTGGCCTTTTCTGACCAGTGGGCATTTTGTTTGGCCCTCACCACCCTATTTTCTTTTCTTTATCCTGGGTACATGGTTGCCTTCAACTGGAGCTGAGTATTGCTGTGGGACCAAGTCTGTGCTGGTGGACTCTAAATGGAAGAGAAGTGTACAACTTCAACCTCACTTGCTTAAAAGATGCCTGCCTGAGTTTACTCATCCCCTTCCCTTTCTGTTAGCTATAAAAGATGGCACCTGGAGCCAATTTGGAAGCCACATGTTGAACAGGCCAGAGTTAGCTCCAAGTTTCTAACATGATTTTCTAGAAGTGAACCAATCACCTACTTTGAACTGAGATAAATAAAAGTTTACTTCTATATTTGGGTCCTTTGATAAAGTATTGCAGCTTGACCCTGCCTAACATGCTAATTATTACCACATCAACACTCAAGTCCATGCCTTCAACATTTCACATCAGAGTTACCACAGAGCTTTCTGGTTCATTAGTATCCATTCTCTTTCTTCTTCACAGACAGGGGCCAAGACCTTGTGCCTATCTTCTCGTTCAGGCTGTGAGAGAGCTTTTCACATGTGGTAGTAAATAGAATTGGAACCAAAAATGTAGATTTATAGCATCTTTGAAATAAACTGAAATAAAAATCATGCAGTCTTTCCAACTGAGCGTCCCATCAAAACATGCCAGGCATTAGAGGAATTAAAGAATAAGACAATAGGATGGAAAGTAGAAAAAACAAATGACAGCAAGAGAATTCAAAGCATAGGTAGAAGATATAACCTGTAGTGACTCCGTAAACTGAGAAGAACACTGGGAGATTTTACGAGGAAGATGGTTTACGATAAAGTAGGGAAGGTAGTACATAGACTAATGTAGACATCTCTTTTTTTTCCACTTTTCAAAGGATCCTTCAGTTCAATAAACAAATTGCTTTCTGCCTAATTAGGGACAGACAAATAGCTTTAAAATAATCTTATTAAATCTGCTTCTATCATGTCAATCATGCGCTACATATATTAAAACATTGTAAACTACAGTATGTTTAAAATTATAGTGCTAGTTAGAATTAAAACAGTGAGAAGAGAAAAGAGAAAATCTGGGAACATACTCAAGATTAGATTTGAAACTTTCATCTCTAATGAAACCAGCACCAAAAACCAATGGAGTAGGTATTGATTTTTCCATGAAAGTTTTAGGAAAATTGACTACCTGGAAAATAAGTTTTAATGAAAGCTACTTTAGTTTTTTTATATACTGCATACTAAACTAAATTATAGATTAAGTAATTTAATTCATCTATCTATTCATGCATTCAACAAATATATATCAAGTACCTGCTGTGTGCTAAACCTGGAGGTTACAATGGTATATAAGACATACTCTCGCCACTTAAATACCCCTGACTCTCTGTGGGGAAGAAGACAGGTCAATGAGAAATTTGAGAGGCAACAAATTGGGTTAAGAGAAAGATCCCCAAACCAACACCTCAGTGAGGAGCTAATATTATTCTGAGAAAGGGGAAGGGCATGCAGAAGTGAGGAAAACTTTCCAGCCAAGGGAACAAGGTATATTAAGACTGGAAATGTTCCTGGCTATCTAATGGTTAGGATTAAAATAAAAATTTAAAAATACAGTAAGATGGAAAACAAAATATCTTATACTTTTTGAAACTGCAAGAAATTCAGTAAGGCTACTTGACTTGTTATACAAATGTCTTCTTACTCTTGATTGCCTAGTCAAAGCATTGCAGATATATATTTATTATTTTAAGTACAGATACTCTCTAGTAAAAAGAAAATGCAGGCAAGGTACAGTTTCAAGATACCTTCAATAAATCCTTTCATTTAGAGATGGAAGTATGTTATACTGATAATTGATTTGAGAAGAAAAATGTGCAAATAAAGAACATAAGTAGGGAGAAATATTTAAAGTTGTTGTGTAGAATGTTTAAAAAGTTATGGTTGTCTTTTCAGAATCATCAATATCTTGGAAGAAAAAGAATGTTAAGAAATAACAAAACAATAATTATTAAGTACTTTCTTAATCTCATTAATGGAGCTTTCTTGGTAAGAATCTTCATAATTATACAGTAAAGAAAATGTAATCTATTGTATAGGCAATTACAAAAAAATAAGCATTGACTTTCTTTTTTTAGGTTCTTGGACTTTTATTCATGGGATTTGGTGCATGGCTCTTATTAGATAGAAATAATTTTTTAACAGCTTTTGGTATGTATCTATTTTTGTTTTTCTCTCAGTGAAATAGACATTCAATTTTTAACAGTTGTATACACAATTTATTCAGCAGGTGGCAGTATTTCTCTGTAATTTATTAAGTGTCCAGCATTCCTTCTGAAAGTCTTCATCAGTTGTAGAGATTTTTTAAAGGATACAAAATTACAGCTAGGTAGAAGAAAAAAGTTCTGGTGTTCTATACTACTGTAGGATGACTGTAGTTAACAATAATGTATTACATAGTCACAAATAGCTAGAAGAATATTGAATATTCCCAACACACAAAAATGATACATATTTGAGATGACCGGACATGCTAATTACTCTGATCTGATCACTATATATATTGTATGTATCAAAACAACACCCATGAATATGTACAATTATTAGTTGTCACTTTAAAAAGAAAATTTAAAAATGCAATTTTAACCATGTAACTTTCCTATTAAAAGCTTATGTGACTCCCCATTGCCACTATTTACTCGTACAGCAAATATTACTAAGCATCTTCTCTGTGTCAGTCATTGCCCTAAGAGCTGAGGATATGGTAGTGAGCAAACAAAATAAAGTTCCTATCCACATGGAGCTTTATTTCAGTGAAGAAGACTGAAAAACAAAGTGCCTATAATGTCATCCTTGCAAACATTTTTAGTCTCATCTGACTCAAACTGTAAGTGCCAACAAAGCTGAGTTTCTTACACACCCTGTGCTGCTGGATGTCTCAGAAATGCTCCACCATTCCAACCTGGTTATTTACAATGACCAATAAAGCCTATGCTCAGATGTTACCTTTTCCAGCAGCCTTGCCCAAACCTTCTAACCTTCTCCCCCAACTGGTTTAGGTGCCTCTGTTCCCAGTAGTATGCCGGCAAACGTTTAACAACCAGTTCTGGAATAGAGAATATTGATTTATGACATCTGCCCATTTCCATGGTTTAAACAGCTCCTCAATGGCCAATTTCAAGGTGTCAAAGTGAATTCAGTTGGTTTGCAGATTTCCTGAAAATATCACAATTGGCTTTTATGAGCCAGTACAAGCTCACTCCAGCACACTACTGCCTACACTGTTCTCCCATAACACCTCCCACATGTTTAATTTATTTATCCGTCCTTCTTTTTTAAAACAATTATTTGTTGAGCATTTATTGTTCTGCTGTTTGTGCCATAGCACCAAGCATTCAACAGTCAGCCTGTTGACTGGATAAATATATATAATCTCTAGCACTGAGGGCTCACAGTCTAGATGGGGAAAAATAAAATATAGTTTGAAAGGGATCATATTAGCAATAAATTCAGGGTGTATACATCTAACTCACACATATTAAGTTCTAAAGATTTTTGATGAATGAATGAATACATGAATGTTTGAATATACATTGGACATAGATGAAATCTTAGAAAAAAATTTATTCTATCATAGAAGACAAGGAGGATAAGGGTAAAGCGATCTTCTGAAATTTAAGAAATTCTCTTCATGTCAGAAAAGGAAGAAAGGTTGTTTCTAAAAGTAAGAGCTGGTACATGAGGTCAAAAATTGAGAGACAGAGAGAGACAGAGAATCCTAGTGGTTTGGCAACAGCTGCTCAGAAAAACTTTTGATTGCTGCAATTATTCTTAAATAGAAAATAAATAAAATACCACTTCATATAAAATACCACTTCATAATAAGTAAATTTGTACTTTTCACAGATGAAAATAATCACTTCATAGTACCTATTTCTCAAATTTTGATTGGAATGGGATCTTCTACTGTTCTTTTTTGTCTATTGGGTTATATAGGAATTCACAACGAAATCAGATGGCTCCTAATTGTGGTACGTATTTCATGTCAATAGTTTGAATTTTTGTCTTAGATTTTTAAGTATCTAAGTTACACAAATGAATACTGATTTATATTAGCATGGCACTGCAGTAGAGTATGTCCTTAGAGTAATTCAAATGAAGCACACCCTCCTCCCTCCAACAAAGTCACTTTTCCTGACAGGATTTTCTTAGTGCGTTTTCTATGAATTGAATCTGTACCTCAGCACATTTGGACATTTAATTTTCAACACAGAGTCAATAGGACTCTCCATCTCCTAGGGTGAACTACAATTCACCAAACTTAAGAATCTGAAGGCTAGAATTAGAATAAAGTGTATTCAAGTCAATGAGGAATGTAGCTTACCAGGGAAAAAGAAACATGATCTATAGTCAGCACATTTTTCTCTCTGTGGGCATGGCACGCGGAAAGGTAACTTATGTATGTATGTATTTTTTTATAATTTCAACTTCTATTGTATATTCAGGGTACATGTGCAAGTTTGTTACATGGGTATATTGCACGATGCTGAGGTTTGGAATTCGATTGATCCTGTCACCCAGCTAATGAGTGAGCATAGTACCCAGCAGTTACTTTTCAACCTTTGCCCCACTCTTTTCCTCCCCTCTTTAATAATAGTGTCTACCATTGCCATGAAAGGTAACTTATAATTGAGATCACAAATTGTTATTTTTAAAAGAGAACTATAATTACTGAAAGAGGCAGACTCTAGCATCTGGTTGCCCACTGTTTCTCTCGAGGCTTGTAACGTGAAAAGGCAAATTATATTCCAGAGTACTGACTTGGACATGAGCCAATTACCATACATGTGGCAGTTATGGATCACAATTCACACACTCAGATGAAATATAGCCTTTACATTTTTCTCTAAATCAAATTGATTTTAATTGCAGCCAAGCAGATGGGAAGTTCAGCTGCTGTCATTTTGTCCCTTACCAGGAAGAATGCAGAGATACTCAGCTTTTATGGAGCACTGAAAGTCTGGGTAGTCACCCTGGACACTAGTTATCAGTCTATGCCAGTTACCACAAACACACTCACTTTCCCAGCTCACATGGTCCCTTCAGGTCTACTCACTCTGCTCTTTGAATGGCCATGAGTGCCAAAGGTAGGGCTGCTATTCATCTAGTATTTACCCATACAGGCATATCAGTGAAACCCTTTTGTGAAATATTGGTAAATAACCAGTACCTCAGTTCCATTCCTTCAGTCTTCCTTCCCTGAGGCAGTCAGACCTCCCCAGTGACACAGCAATTGGGAGGTACACCTGGCATAGGAATCAGTTGCTTCCTATTAATAGTAATTTCTACTACTATTTGAATATTACCCTGGCACAGGCATTTTAGGTATGGACCCTGATTTCCTTCTGGGGTTTTACCACCTTACCAGGGCAGTGCCAGGATTCCAAGGACTATGCTCTGTTGCTCTGGAAACCCACAGACTTCCAGATTCCACCTCAAAATCTTTTTAGTCTAAGAAGAGACTTTATTCTTTCTTCTTATTCTCCTCCAAGGCCAACCCTCTCTTCTCAAATCTTATCTTTCTCTCTTTCCAGGATCCTTAGCATAATTTTCTCACTGAGCTTCAGATTTTGGATATAAAAACCAGAACAGAAATGGCTTGCAAGAAAACCTTGATTTTTTTCTTCTTGTCACAAATTTCCATATAGGCAAAGGAAATGCAGAGTCTACTACTTATACAATGTAGTGGGCAGGGGATAGGAAATGAAGGGGGAAAGTAGAGGGAGTAAAACAAACATTTCCTAAGTTTCTGCCTCATATAATTCAAGCATTAATGGCATCTGAATGAGAAAGCCTGATAGACGCCATCATAAGGATATACATGAACATAGGATCTGACAGATTAGGGCCTGGAACCAAGATACTACCATTCCTTTTAGACATTCCATGGAAGGGTATTGCTAATTTGGCCATTGTGACACTTTTGCTATTCTCCTCTGAATTTACCAATATTTTTCTGATGAATATATCTTTCTCTGAACCAAATTAATTCACACAGTCAACTTATGGGCAAATATTATAGGCCTAAAAGCTATTCCATGTCTTGGGCCAGGTGCGGTGCTCACGCCTGTAATCCCAGCACTTTGGGAGGCCAAGGCAGGCAGATCACGAGGTCAAGAGATCAAGACCATCCTGGCCAACATGGGGAAACCCCATCTCTACTAAAAATACAAAAAATTAGCCGGGCATGATGGCAGGTGCCTGTAATCCCAGCTACTTGGAAGGCTGAGGCAGGAGAATCGCTTGAACCTGGGAGGCGGAGGTTGCAGTGAGCCAAGATCACACCATTGCACTCCAGCCTGGGCAAGAAGAGTGAAACTCCATCCCCCACCTCCCCCCCAACAAAAAAAGCTATTCCATGTCTTAAAGGTGATTTAACATACTCCTACTCTAATCTAAGATACCCAGTAATTTTAAAAATTGTTTCATATGCCGGGTGTGGTGGCTCACGCCTGTAATCCCAACCATTTGGGAGGCCAAGGTGGGCAGATCACCTGAGACCAGCCAGTAGTTGGAGACCAGCCTGGCCACCATGGTGAAACCCCATCTCTATTAAAAATACAAAAATCAGCCTGGTGTGGTGGTGGGCACTGGTAATCCCAGCTACTAGGGAGGCTGAGGAACGAGAATCGCTTGAACCTGGGAGGCGAAGGTTGCAGAGAGCTGAGATGGTGCCACTGCACTCCAGCCTGGGCCACAGAGTGAGACTCCATCTCAAAAAAAAAAAAAAGGTTTCATATAATTTTTCCTGCCTCTACCAATCCCTTATTAGTATAAGATTAAGTGAGATATTGCATGTAGAAGTTAAAAATCTAAACATCTAAATAGATGTAAAGATTACATTTTTGTCTCTGAATTTTTTTTTCTCTGAAACTAGGAAACATAACTTATCTCAAGAAGAAAATTTTGGTCAGATATTTTAAAGTATTAGATGTATAAAATATGTGTAATTAAATAATTTTTATCTCTGAGGGTCAAGTAAAAAGTAAATAAATAATACAGTAAATCATTAGTACTTATATTTTGCCTAGTAAATATTCAGACCGCTTACTTTTAAAATTATTATGAATTCTAAATCTTTTTTTTTTTTTTTTGAGGTGGAGTCTCGCTCTGTCACTAGGCTGGAGTGCAGTGGCACGATCTCGGCTCACTGCAACCTCCACCTCCCGGATTCAAGCGATTCTCCTGCCTCAGATTCCGAAGTAGCTGGAATTACAGGTGCGAGCCACCATGCCTGGCTAATTTTTGTATTTTTAGTAGAGAGGGATTTCACCATGTGGGCCAGGCTGGTCTTGAACTCCTGATCTAAAGTGATCTGCCCATCTTGGCCTCCCAACGTGCTGGGATTAACAGCCATGAGCCACTGTGCCCAGCCAAATTCTAAATCTTATATATTAATATGTGCTGTGTAAAAGTTGCAGTTACCAGCAGGAAATCACTTTTGTCAGACCCAGACAAAATAGAGCCAGGAAAGCCTAAAGGAGAGGAGGCTCATGCTTACGTGTCTGAAATAAATACTGTTTCTAAGGACTTTCTGAAAACTCCCAGCTAGAGACTGTCTTCAGTCATCTCCTGCTTTTATAAGGTTTATGGCTAGATATTCCTTAGGACTGCAGTAATTCAGATAAGATGTTCTTGGAAGAGCACTTGACCAGTAATGACATCTCTACCAGTGAACTGGCAACAACTCTGGCTTTCAATCTTTAGAACCAATAAACTCTGTTTCTAAGTAGTTTATGTAAATCTCGCCCATTTTGCTACTAAATGCTTCTCTCTACCCTCTCCTCACAGAATGAACTGGTAGTTTACCATTTCATGCAATCTGGACTATAATCTTTATTTCTTATTCTTGAATAACTCAACATATTTAGAGATAATTTTCTTTTGTGCCTTTTTTTTAGGTGGACAACAGCTATGATGAAGAAGACTAAATTGGCCATTTAAAAAAAAATTAAATAGTCTAATAAATGTAAAAATTATTTTATTTGGTTTGGATACAAGTATTTTCAGTTTTCAGGAAATAGCCCAAGTATACGTAAAGAATTAAGTTTATTATTGCAGTTGCTTTTGTTATACGTTCTACTTTCTGCATAAGTTTAAATAGTACATCAGAAATTTAGTGAGTCTTTAGTTTTAGCAAAATAATGTGAGGTGAAGATAATTAAATTCACCCTATAATAGCTTTAGAACTGAATTAAGATGGCATCATCGACAACTCTATTGGACCAAGGTGCTCATTAATTACTATCACTTCTTTCTCTCTTGCTCTTATCCAAATGTTCATTTGTTTTTTACTTTGCCTTGCTATTTCACTAATTTCATTCATATTTGTGAAGGCAGGAAGCCTCAGCAATACCCATATATACTTTATGGTTGCATATTTCCAATGGTGTGTGTTTTCCCATTATTTGAGCATACAAAACATATATTAGTAGCATAGTCATCATCTCTATTTTTCTTTTGTTTTAGTATGCAGTATTGATAACATGGACCTTTGCTGTTCAGGTTGTACTTTCAGCATTCATCATCACAAAGAAAGAGGAGGTATGGAAAGTAAATCCTTTTCAATACATCCTGTTATTTGAAGTTTAAAGGAAATTGGATACCTTAGAGTATTGAGACCATTGATCCTATATTAAAAGCCAAAGGTAAATTTCTTTAGGGGAAAATAATATTTAACAAAAGTACTAGAGTATAGGAAGGGGCCAGGAGTCACATTGAAAAGGGTAGATAGGGGAACTTGCCTTTAACTCTGTTTGCATATGATTAGAAAGTAGCTTTAAATATCAAACAGTATTGAGGAAGAGGAGGTGGTACTGAGATTTAGGAGTTCAAATTTTTACCTTCTCCTCTTACCAACTCTGACTACCACTACTGACCCAATCACTGTATTATGTTTTTGCAAAGAAACAAATTTAGACTCTAACTAATTTGAAATTTAGCAATTTCACTTAAACAAGACATACTGAATAATTCCTATATTTTCCACAGGTAGAGTGATGAGTGATTAATTAGAGCAAGATTTAGGTTTATCAAATTTAGTTCAAAAAAGCATATAATAAGCCTGAAAAAACTTTTGATCAACAAAACTTACCTATTACAACCTACAGTTACTTTTAATCCTTTAGGACATTTCAGTATTTCAGTTCAGTCAAGGTCTGTCTTATATCACGGAAGATTAATTGTCCTATAGTAAAATGAACATGTACTTGAAGTCATACAGATATGAATATGGTTAGGGATCACCAACTTGCTTTACAGCAAGTTGTTGCTGTATCTGTAAAATATAATGTCCTTATCTGTAAAATATAATTAATACCTACCTACCTTACAGAGTTGTCATTAACTGACAATTTATCAAGTTTCAGTTGTAAAGTAGCTACTCAAGAGTTCTCTTACCTCGCCTTAATTAATCTTGAAGGATCTCCTGATTAATTTATATGGTTCCTAGATTTTCTTTATATCTATCTATACTCTTCTGTAATGGCCAAAGTTCAAAAACAATCTTTTCTGTATGATACCATTGCCCTCCAACTTCATTCTTTACTGGACAGCTCATCATCCAGTGCCTACTGTTAATGGCCTGGCATTTAGAACTAAAATTACTTTTCTCCACATCTAAAATGTATGTGTGTGTGTGTGTGCGTGTGTTTGTGTGTGTGTGAGTTTTAAAGGTATGTTAGCTGCAGCAGGTAAGTTTTGGAAAGCTGCTTTGCTGGCAAAACACCAAATCCCAATCTATCATCCTCAAACTTTTCAACCTCATTATAGAACATAAATATGACACATAAGAGCTATCAATATGTAAATATAGTTTATCAGTCACCCATATTTGCTTCAATGTTATGCACACACTCCTGTATCTCTCTATATATTAGAAATAAGAACTGATTAATAACTACCATGTGCCAGAGACTGTGATAAACACTATAGGCATTGTATTATTAATCCTCATAGCAACCCCTAAAGAAGCACTGTAAGTCCTACTTTATAGAAGAGAAAACTGAGGCTTTGAGATGAGAAATGCTTGTTAAAGTATTTCATGGCCAAATGACAGAGCCTAGACTCAAATACTCATTAGCTGACCCCAGAGCTAACAGCTTTGTTTACATCAATTTGTCTTCTGCATTCAAACTGGATTAAGTTCTTAAAAGCCTCTAAATCTTTTATGCCATTTACAGTACCTAACTCAGTGTGGAAGATAAACTAGGCCTTTCATAGATGCTTACCAAATTTGAGTAAGCATAAGGGAATTTTATTTATACATTAGTCACATAGGTTACATAGGAAAGTACTTATGTATGAAATTGTCATTTATATGCATTCTGGATCTCCCAAATAATGTTTTAGAAACAAAACGAGGCCATATGTTTCACCCCCAACACACTCTCAACAGCACTATATATCTTATTTATTCTAAATAAAAATGAACAGAGTATAAAGTAGATCTAAAATCTCCTTTTCATTATTCTAATCTTCTTAAATGTATTAAAATACAGATATATAAGTAACTAAGTAAGATTTTAGCTTACATGCCTTTTATAATTACTGTGATATTCCCACCAGTTACTTAGTTTTTATTGTCAAAGACAGCATAATTCAGTAAAAATCCTTAAGACTAGTATTCAAATGATTATATTTAAAAGTCTCAGCTCCTTGTAAACAAAAGTAAATAATTAAATTCTCTGAGTGTCTGTATTCCATTCATAAAACAGTAATAATATCTATTCTTCCTACCTTTTGGTATTATTGAGGACCAAATTAGTAATTTGTTATAAAAAATTATATAAATTTGTAAATGCTTAAGTTACTACGACAATCGTTCTACCTTTGCATTACCTAGATTTTTGAAATTGCAGAGTTTTGTTTATCCCCATCCAAATCTGATCATTTTTGTGTTAGTATTGGAGAGAAAAAGTTATATCTCATTCATCACAAGGCTCTTGGCTGAGATCCCTATAACAAAAGACAAACTAACAAATGAAAAGCATAACAAATTTACTTAACCAAAAAATAAAGACTCCAAAAAATAAAGACCAAAAAATAAAGATCCAAGGAAATCTATTTTTGTGGACAGTCATGTGAAAGTGTGATTGGAGGACAAAAGCATATAATCTAATGGTAATAAACTAGGGGAAATTTAGCAAGGCTTGTCTGTTCAGATGCTTCTTGGCTTCTGCATATAGGACAGGACCCCTCTGGAATGAGGATCTGATGCTATACCTTCAGGGGAAATGGGTCAGAGAATTCTATTATGACCTGCCTCATGGGAGAAAGGCAGGAGAAGGTCAGAAAGTGACCTTCCTGCTTCTGCAGTTTTCTCAATTTCCTTGAGCTTAAAATACTCACATACCAAGGTGCTATATTTTGGAGCTGTTGTATTCTGAGCCCTGATAGTACTATGAAAGGATAATATTTAAAATTTAAAAATCATAACTTTTGTAGAAATATACAGTAGATTTCAAAAGTCAATTATTTTATTTAACATCTTAATTAATGAGGGAACCAGTATGATAGAAAACTAATTCAAAGGAGAATCCAAAGAAGACATTTATATAGGCCATCACTTAATAGACGCAAAACAGGCTTGGAGAGAGAAGGAATTAAATATACCTTCACCGAGAAAAATGTACATTTGTCTGACCAAGTATAACTTGCATAACTATAGTTTTCTACAACTTCTAAAGTTGTAAAATAAATTATAAACCATGAAAAGTACAGTACAAACCCCCACAGAATCAAGGAATGTTGAAGTTTGCCAGAAAAAGCCTAGTGTCCATTGAAAAGACACTCAACAAACTTTTTTGGCTTATATAAAATACTTTTACAGTTTTTTTCCTGAGAGTATGAGAAGAAATCTCCCTTAGATATGCATGAGAATAGCACATTACTTCTTCCTTAATTGTAAAATGAGCCTAATATATTCTTCCTATAGATTATGAATTGAAAAACCATATGATTTGATATCCACTGAAAGTGTTAAAAAGTTATTTTAAAAAGAAATAAACAGAAAACAGAAAAATAATATTGAATATTCTTTTCATGATGGTACTCTTGAGGAACCATCAATTTCTATGAAATTTTTATGGATACATTCCTATGAAATTTTCATTTTTAATACAATTTTCTACAGGTTCAGCAACTATGGCATGACAAAATTGATTTTGTCATTTCTGAGTATGGATCTAAAGATAAGCCTGAAGATATAACCAAGTGGACTATTCTGAATGCCTTACAGAAAACAGTAAGATGAAATTAACTAAAAAATTAGATGTCAGTATTGACCACTGTGGGACAGAAGAGAGAATAGGTCAGGGCAGGGGATGGGGCAGATGGATGAAAGTTTGTTGTATTTCTTTCAAACAAACTGGGCAAAAAGGGCATTCTCCACACTTACAAATCTTGATTTATATCCTCCTTTTGTAACTCCTATCTTCTTTTCTGTGTTAATGGATGTGCATTTTAACTTAGTTTCACCTGGAAAAGTGCTGCTGGTCTTTTGCCAAGTGGGATAGTCTATCCTGCTGCACCTGATGGGAGATAAGTTTAAGCAGTAGTCTCTGCTGGCAGCATTGTGGTTACCATTTGAGTCTGAATACCAGGATTGCTGTGCAATAGCTTTGTGGTTCTGGACAAGTAACCCTCTTAAACTCCAAGTTCCACATTCGTAAAGTGGGCATACTAACCTCTAACTCTGGTTGGCAGGAATAAATGAAGTAATATATAGATATTCTATATATTATAGAAAGGCTATATATAGAAAGGCTTGGATCCAGGGCATAAATGCAACTAACACTTTTTAGCTAATTTTTAAAGATTATTATTTCACAGTGCAGATTTTTCCAGACAGGTGCAGTGGAAGGGTAAGAGAAGGGTATTGTCGGCTAAATGGTTTACAGAAATAGATCAGCACCTGGAATATAATAAGTGCCCAATTAAAAAAATACCAAACATTTACATAGTCCCAGACTTTTTTGTAAGTGCTTTGCATATATTAGCTAATTCAGTCCTCCCAACCCTATAACATAGGAACTGTTATCCTCATTTTATAGATGAAAAACTGAGAAATTTAGTAATTTAATGAGGATTGCGCAGCTAATAAGTGGCAGAGCCAAGATTCAAACCCACACAATCTGGCACTAGATTCTGTACTTTTTACTGCTATATTATATGCCTCACATAAAAAAATAGGTTTTATTTATAGTACATATGATAACGGAAATACATTTTAAGAGAATTGAAATGTAATTACAAATACTTTTACTCATTGTCTTTTTCTCTTATGTATGTGATCCGTACATGTATTGTATTTTCAAACTGCATTACAACTTACAGCAGAGAAGTGAACCTTCCTATGGGCAGAAAATGATGAGGAAACAATTCTGTCTATCATATCACTACTATTAGTGAAATTCCAGCTTTCAATTCCTAGCCATTAATATAACTGAGATAATATATGTAGGTTTGTTTGTTTAAACTAACTTTCAGTAACCTAACTCTCAATCAATATTTTAGTCGTCAGCATTTCCTAGAATTGTCGTAGATTGTTGGTATATATTGTAAACATAGGCAGTACTAATGTTATCATTTTCCATAAAAGTTTAGAAAACAATTACTTCACCTTTCTCTTATTTCCTAAGTGACAAATATGTAAACAGATTCTTTCATATCCTCCTAACTCTGCTTGATAGGATTCCAGAATCAGCACTACAAATGAGACATTTCTTAAAAGTTGGATCATTTTATGACTATTTTTATTATCTTATTTTGGTTCTTTGTGGTAATTTTCACACAATACAAAATTGAAAGTTAACATCTCACATTAATCCTAGAAAAGTAGATATTACCCTGCATCTCTTTTTAGGTATACCAAACAGTTATGACTGCATATTCTTTAAATACAAAGAGAACTGCTACAGTTGGGAGCAAGATATGGCTCCAGTGATTGTTTTATATTATGGTCCTAAGCATCATTTATACATAAGCATATCAAGTATATCTTCTATCCTGGATAAAATTCAGATGTAATAATTCTATCCAACCACAAGCCACTAATGTGAGCAGAGATCTTTATCTATGGCTGACAACAATAATAGCAGAAACAAAGTAATGAATTAAACAAGCACAGATATACTTATTTAATTCATTACATGTTCATGGGGAAAAATTAATGAGTTATCTTCATCACAAAAACCACTTCAATATTAATCTCATATAATTAACTGCATTTTGAACATTTTATGGTAAAATTCATATAAGCTTTTTCCTAGTTACAGTGTTGTGGCCAACATAATTACACAGACTGGATAAAGAATAAGAACAAAGAAAATTCAGGACAGGTGCCATGTTCTTGCACAAAGTCAACTTTAAGAAAATGGTTTTGTGATGAGCCACTGAATGCAACTTACCTTGAGGTAAAGATAAATCTAGGCTTCTACAAGTATTTATAGTATTTTGTTTGTTTATTTTGCAAGTCAATTTAGAATTCTGAGCAAATTTTTATATAAAAATAATGTTGTTGACGGTGGCTACATTCTTAATCCACTTCCCTAAGTTGAACACGTAATTAGGTAAATTGTAGTGTCATTTCCAGTGTATAATACGTAAAGTAAATAAATTTCCTGGGAGTATATGATTTATGTATTCTTGGAACTTGGGATATCATCAGTCTTTCTCCCCAGCCTTCCTTGAGAAGTCCTGCAGAAAGAGGAGGCACTTCTGTCAAAGCCTTGGTGCATAAGATTGGAAAGGGAGCTAAAACACCAGGAGTAAAAGAATAGGCAAAAACTAAAGGGAGTGGACCCCAGCAATGATGAATGTGGTGTTCAAGTAAGTGTAGCAGAAGCAAGAGTAAAGGGTTGTCTGGAGCAACTGCGATTTACAGGTGTGGGATACTGATAACTAGATTTTTTCATCCTAAGAACTGCGAATACTTTGTATAGTTTACATATTAAGCTTATTCTAATCTTAAGATGTATTGTTTCAATTGCATAATTAATTCATAAATAAATGGAACATTACTTTTTTTTTTTAAAAAAAAGCATCTACTCTTTGGGAAATAACCATTTTATGTGGTGATATATACAGTAGTTGCCCCTATCTGCAGTTTCACATTGTGAGAGTTCAACCATTGAAAATATTAAGTGGAAAATTCCAGAAATAAACAATTCATAAGTTTTCAATTGCACACTGTTCTGGGTAGTATGATGAAATCTTGTGTCTTCCTGCCCTGTTCCCTCCTGGGACATGAGTCATCCCTTTGTCCAGTGTATTCATGATGCAGATGCTACCCACCCTTAGTCACTTAGTAGTCATCTTCATTGTAAGATCGACTGTTGAGGTATCACAGTGCCTGTGTTCAAGAACCCTTAATTTACTTAATGATGACCCCAAAGTGTAAGAATAGTGATGCTGGCATATTGTTATAATTGTTCTATTTTATTATTAGTTATTGTTTTAATCTCTTGTTGTGCCTAATTTATAAATTAAACTCTATTATATATATGTTTCTATAGGAAGACATGTAATATATTTAGGGTTTGATACTGTCTGTGTTTTCAGGCCTCCACTGGGGGTATTGCTGGTGGGTAAGTAGGGAAACTACTGTATCCTGATGAATTACAATAGTCTGCAGAAGAGAAAATCTCTTTCTAAAGTGTAACAAATTTCTGATTTTAATTACATGATAACATCTTAGCAATTTTAAAATTAGCAACTGAGGTGTCCTGCTGCCGTAGAAAGCTTTCTGGACTAAAAGTCCAGTTCGCCAATTAGATATTGACTTACTATTTAGACTTTGGTAAATTACTAATCTCTGTTTACCTTTTATTTTTTGTAAAGATTTATGTATAAGATCATTTCCATCTCCATGTCCATCTGAATAACTTCTTTTTCTTAGGGTTGTGAAAATAAAATCAGTGCATGGTATAATGTTAATGTGTTAACCTTAATCGGAATTAACTTTGGACTTTTAACTTCAGAGGTAAGCTTTTGTTCATATGTTAAAATGAAAAATATTAAGTATAAGCTATACAGAATAGACTGCAGAGCAATCAGGTGGAGACCTAATCAGATAAGTTCATATAATAGAGCCAGGACTTTGAGGCTCTTTACATCCAAGAGTTGTACAGGTGATTCCTTAATCAGCCAGGTCAGGGGAGCCTATTAATAAGTGGTCATCCTGGAGGTAGTGATTTTATTACTATGTATAGTACCTATGTATATTTTTATCTTTCTTTCTATATATATCTATAAATAGATCTATTGATGTATAGATATATTTACGTGTGTGTGTGTGTGTGTGTGTGTGTGTGTGTGTGTGTGTGTGTATATGTTCATATATTGGCAGTAAGAGCACCATGTTGGGCAGTCTGCAAGTTGCCAGACTTCTGAAATCTAGGCAGATGTTTGACTTTAGTAAGATCCACTATTCACTCATATGTTCATTCATTCAATGTATTTGGAGGGACGGGGAGCATTTACTGTGTGTCATGTACTGTACTAGATGTTGAATATACAATGAGATGCAAAATAGACACATTCCATGACCTAAAGGTGTCAACTGCAGAATTAAGTTTCAGAAGCAAGACGCTATTCTTCAGTCTCAGTGAAGACTATTAAGAATAAGTGCAGGCTATGGATTCAAAGAAACTTTGAGAGTAAATAGAGTGTTATAGTGGGGACTATGCCACTAAAACAAATACATACTGCATTTGACTTTGTATAGATCCATGAAGCCCCTGACCTAAGTTTTCATCTCTTCAATTGGTAACAATTTTAGTCTCAGAATGGTAGTAAACCAAGACATTCTTTATACACATTAATATCATTGTTTTTAAATGTTTATTCTCTACTGTGTTCATGCTGGAATATCTTAAGACAAAACTGCAGAGGTAATATCCATGTTCCATTTTATCTTCTGCCCTTTACAAGCCACCTTTCATTATCTATAAAAAAAAGAAGCAGTTTTGTACATTTAATGACATAGTTAGAAAGATATCGAACAACAACAACAAGAAAACCATCAGCAGTTTGTCCAGGCATGTAGCTCAGTGATAGCTAATGTAATTAAAACCTAAAGGTTTTTCCTTATTCTCCTCTGTACGTGAACTTGGTAACAGGTGGGTTATTCTTGAAGACTCATTTTGCAGACTTCCTATTCACAACTGTATGTACCTTATTCTGAAATTTTCTCACCAGTTTTGATCCCTTTTCCCTTTACAATACGCATTTTGGTGACTATATATTGTTAACTTTGCAAATTACTCTTATCATTGATTAAATTTTAATCTCTTATTGTTCCCTTTTCTTCCAGGTTTTCCAAGTCTCATTAACAGTTTGTTTCTTCAAAAACATCAAGAATATAATCCATGCAGAAATGTGACCTTTGGATTTCAATTTGTTCAGAAGAAACCAGTTAATTCTTAAAAAATCACATTATATTATTTTATTCCAAAAACGTTTTGAATTGTATTAAATAACAGATGTATTCAAATTATTAATTATATGTAATATTGAATTACTGAATACTATAATAAAACATTCATGAAATTATATTAATTTTGTTTTTCAAAATATTAAATTCTACCGTTCAGAAGTTCACCTGAATTTAAAGGGTACTATCATATATACCAAATTCAAAAGTATCACCATATGTTTTGAGTTTCTTTTGTAGAGAAAATACCTATATGATGTTCAGAAAATACTAATTAAGTAATCAATCATATCATGTACCTTTTATTTGCAAATCTTAAGAAAACAATACTGATTTTATAGGACATTTAAAAGAAAAATATTTTATGACACTAACATCTGTACTAAATCTTCATGACAGCAAAAGGCTGTCTTGACCTTGAGGACATGAAGAAAAGATAGATTAACTGAAGATCCTGCATTGCTCCAACTCCTATAGAAAGCTCTCTCTCATTTACAAATTCACTCATATCTCTTTTCATCCATCTATTTAGAACATTGAAGATTTCAGAGACTTATGGACTTTTTAATGTCAGCACAAAAGAAAATACAATAACCATTTTCCTCAATGAAACCTTCTTTAGGTTTAGATATGTCAAGTAGATGTACCTTCTATTTTTTGGGAAATATTCTGTTGGGATTTAAAACTCATCTTCAAATTTCTGTTTTCTCTAAAGTATGTCACAGGATCACACTGATAGCAAAAAGCTCTCTCTTAGGAATTGAAAACCAAACTATTGTTAATCAAATGACTATTATAGATCATTTGATTTTACATCAAAAAAGTATATAGTAGATTGCCTATTCATAGTTAATACAGTTAATTCAAAAATTATATGCACCACTGACTGAATCAATCACCTTTATGATTCTAGGGAATATTGTTTTGAAGGAAGTTGCTTTATACCTTGGATATAATAACTACTTATTTGGCAAAATGAAATAGAGTAGATCAGAATCATGTTTCTCTTCTTAATCTTGTTTTTTTATTTAAATCTGAGATAGAACATTTGGAAAGGCCTAAAAATTAATCTGGATCAGAAGTGAAACAGTGAATTAGAACCTAGGATAACATCTAATTCTGAGTTTCCCTTCAAATGGTCGTATCATTTACACAAACACATTTAACTTGCTTCAGGCTCCCCATTTTAATTATGTTTCAAAAATCAGGGTTATATTGAGATGGTACTATGTAAGTAGAATATTTTAGAATTGTTCTCGATAAGGATGTATGCATTCAGTCAACAAGCATTTATGGAGAACATATAATACATTCACCAGTGACACTGCTAATTATTGGGATATGAAGATGAAAAGATATACAGGGCTGACTTTAGGGGCATGCAACCTGCGTTTAGAAGAGGCCCATGTAAGTAGCTTTGTAAGTAGCTGGCCCTGTCCCTGTCGTTAAACTTTGAGTCCCGTCATGCAGCCAGATATGAAAACAAATACATTTTATATATGTAATAATTTTTATAGACACCAAGAGAGGGAATGCCAGTTTGCCTTAGAGGTTCAGAGAGCACTTCTGAAAGAAAAGTCATTAATTCAGCAATTACTTATTCAGCAACTAGTATATGTCCAGCACTGTACCGAGTGGTAGGGAAATGGCAGTGAATCAAACAAAACAAAATAAAAAAAATTTAAAAAAACATTGCCCTCATGAAGGTTACCTTCAAGTCAGGGAAACCAAACAACAAAATATAAAGTTGGCATAATGTCATGGCAGGAAGTGCTATAGAGAAAAAATGAGGAAGTAGAATAAGCAGGAGATGGGGGATTGTGGGGATTGCAGTTCTATACAGGATATACAAAAACAAACAAACAAACAAAAAACCTCACTGAGAAAATGACTTTTGAGTAAAGTACTGATAGAGACAAGAAAATAAGGGGAAAGTGCGCTGTGAGCATGTTGAGTTCAAAGAAAGGCAGAAAAGCAGTGTGCCTAGTAAAGAGGCTGGGGAGGAATGGAGAAAGGTTCAGAGGGGTAAAAGGTCTTGACGGGACTTGACAACCACTCTCAGGACTTTCATTTCTACTCAAGTAAGATGTAAAGCAGTTGGCAGATTTTTCATAAGTGACATGGTCAGATTTGTATTTAATAGGAGCAATATAGCTGCCATGTTAAAAATAAAGGGGGCAAGTGTGGAAGCAGGGAAAACAGACTGGATTTTATCTAATAATCTAGATGGTGGTGGATTAGGCTGAAGAGTAGAGGTGAAGTTACTGAGAAGTGATCGGATTCTGTATGCATTTCGGGGTGGAGTTATCAGAATTTACCCACAGTTTGAATGTAGGAATATGAAAGAGAGGAGTTAAGGATGACCAGAGTAACTGGAAGGATGGAATTACCATTTTCTAAAATGGGAAAGACTTTGGAAGAAACAAGGTAATTTTAATACTTAACACTTTAAAAATCTTACTGAAATGGTTTCTTGAGTGTCTGCATCCCCCACTAGTCAGCAAAAAAACTTAAGGCTAGCTGTTTTTTGAGTCATTTTTAAAACTTCAAAGCCCTGCTCAGAACCTAACAATAAATGTTAATAAACTTTAAAAGTTCAGGTTATTCCATATGCCATCAGCGTAAGCCCAGTTGTCCTCTTAGTTTGATGCTGACTATATTCCATAGTTTTGATTTCATTAGGCTATCATAAAGTCCAGATGTGTTTGGTAAATAAGAGATGCGAGTTCAGTTACTCGCTGCCACCCACATCTCCTCTCTCTAGGAACCTGAATGAGAGATATTTGTGAATCAAAACTTCTTTAAAAAGATTTCGTTGAAACAAATGTTTAAGAGAATAACACAATAGAAATCATATTAGCCAGTCCTAAGCTTTTGTTTAGTGTTTGTGGCATTTGTTTAATATTTGTATACCTTCATTTTATCTTTCTGATCTTAGAGGAGTAACCGTTCGGGGATATAAGAGTCCCTGGCAAAAGGAAGACACACACTAAAAATCAATGTTCTCACTACCATGATAAAGGTCTGGAAAATATTTTTTTTAAAAAACAGATAAACTGCTCTACACCACTTGTTTTACTGATATAAGTTTAGCTTCTTTATTTTGCTTCTTTATTCTTTTTTTTGTGGGGGACCACCTATTATATTAGAGAGAATGATAGCATATTTTTAGTAGAACTATAAATAACTACTGAACAATAACGGATTTTAACACTGTATAAATGACAAAAACGGAGAGCAGAAGCTATTTTTTGACAAATTATAGAGATGAAACTTTCACCAGTTTCAATATTTCAATAATGAAAATATTAGTTGCATTTATAAATTGAAAGTGCTTAACAATTGTTGGGATGTATTATTAAACCTGTAACTGACCATATTCAACTATAGTAGTAATTCATCCTCCTTAATGTTTGAGAAGACACATGTACTGAAATATGCAAAACTATTGATTTCCTTGATTAATGATTCCTCTCAGTAGGATATTTTATTTCAGGGGAAACAATGTAAAAGATACTAGACAATAGAATATGTCTGTAAGAATCTATACAGGTTTTTATTAAAATACAAATCTTTGTTTAATATGTGTATAAATATATGTGAATATATAACACAAACTATCATATGTAGTAGAATTAGAATGTTATATACAAAATTAGAATGTGCTATATTCAAAAGAATATGTTATATACAAAATGTATATTGTATACAAATAATATATTATATACAAAAGATTATATACAAAATGCCCACAAAAAGATATACACAAAACAAAAAGTATCATATGCAGTAGAATTAGAAATAATATATACAAAATCAACAGAGTCTTTTATTGTTAAATTTCTAGGATAGAGACACATTAAAGTGTTGGCAAATCAAAATTTATCACCGATATTCCAATGTAAGTGGTTTACTATTTATTCATTTATTTCATCCAAGAGGATGAAATATAACTTTTTTCAATGTTGAAATGTGTTATTACTATTAAAACTCCAGGAACAAAATGTATTAGGAAATGTTTAAACAACAATGTCAGATGTGAGTAAGCAATTTTTGTATTCTACTAAGTATATTGCTATATACTGTGCCCAAATTCTATTAAGTAAAAGTATGGCTAGCATGTCATGGATCAATTTAAACCTATTGAGGCTTATAAGAATTTCTTCCGTGTTAAAAAATAAAAAATGTTTTAAAAGTGTTAGAGTAATTCTACAGTAAAATTTGGAAACATTATTAACAACCTCAAATGAATTAAAAACAAAATGGTAACAGGATTGGGAGATTATTTTTCAAGTCTGTAGTATATAAAGATACAAAAATTTAGTGTTTACTTTTGTGTCCACTGTTAGCTGACTTTTAGGCATAAAGCATTTTCTTCAAATCTAATCTGCCTTTCCTTCAAATCTAATCTAGTATTGGATATCTGCAACTATGCATTTAATTAGTAATTCTTAACAAACATAAGAAGTTACCCTGTAGATCATCATACCAATTAATTATGCATTTATAGGGTCATATATTTATCCATTTTAATTAAAAACATTACCAAAGTTATTTTTTCACCTCAGCAATTTCATTCTTGAGTTTTAGTATATTTCAAAGCCAACTAATTTTTTTCCATAATATCTCTGATTTCTCTTCAACCCATAGACCTTGTACCAGATATAGATTTGCCTTCAGAAAGCGTAGGTGTTTCAGAAACATCACTTATCTTTATTTTTTCTGAATTAAACCTGTGAGCCCCAATACTACAGTCGTTGCTGGGTGGAAATTTTCCTTCCCGAGTCTCCTAAGGGAGAGTTGTATATCGCCCAGAGGATGAAAAAAAGAGGCCTTTCATCTTCTGAGCATCCAAATCTCATTAAGCCCTCTACCAATACACTTTATAAGTTTTCTTTTCCTATTTAAAACAAGAAAAAAAAACATTATTTTTACATCCCACACTACACTGATGTGTATAAGTTCTTGAGGTATGAGATAGACTAAGGTTTGCCCATTTCATTTGGACGACCCTATTTGCAAGACTTGCAAGAATCTCTTGCAGTATACTTAAGAATATGAGAGAGGTGCTATGGGGTTTGAATGGCTCTCCAAAATTTATGTTGAAATTGATTTGCCACTGTGATGGTATTAAGAAGTGGGACCAATAAGAAGCGATTAGGATATGAGGAGTCTGCTCTCATGAATGGAATAATGTCGTTATCTTGGGAATTAATTCATTATTTTGGAAGTGGATTGTTGTAAAAAGCCAGTTCAACCATCTCTTGTTGTTTCTACCTTGTCCTTGCTTGCCCTTTCACCTTCTGCCATGGGAGGATGCACCACAAAGGCCCTTGCCAGATGACAGCACTTTCTTTCTTGCTTTTTTTTTTAAGAAGAGTTTCGCTCTTGTTGCCCAGGCTGGAGTGCAATGGCATGATCTTGGCTCACCGCAACCTCTGCCTCCTGGGTTCAAGTGATTCTCCTGCCTCAGCCTCCCAAGTAGCTGGGATTACAGGCATGCACCACCATGCCCAGCTAATTTTGTATTTTTAGTAGAGACAGAGTTTCTCCATGTTGGTTAGGCTGGTCTTGAACTCCCAACCTCAGGTGATTCCCCCGCCTTGGCCTCCCAAAGTGCTGGGATTACAGGCATGAGCCACTGTGCCTGGCCTGACAGCACTTTCATATTGGGCTTCCCAGCCTTCAGAACTGCAAGAAATAAATTTTTTTAAGATAAATTATGCACCATAGGTATTCTGTTATAGCAACACAAAATGGACCAAGACAGGGGGTTCTCCAGCTATTTATTCTCAGCTTTAAGGCCTCAATCACAGTCTACACTTAGACCAGTTTTGGTTCTTGTGATTTGGTACCTCCATCATATCACAGGCATACATCAAATAAATGAATATATTTAAGAAAACATGGATATCTTTTTCACTTAGACTCTCATACTCAAAATAGAAGGCAATATTCTTTACCTGACAAATTGTGGACTTTTTTTTCTAGTGACCCTTTGTGCAGAAAAGAGTTAATGTGGCAGGCCTGAGCCTGTCTAGCCTTAGAAAGTCCTGCTTGCTAGGTTGACCCTTAGCTGACATCTGGGAACTTGGCTGATACAGAGTTTCCAACATGGATATAAAACTTTTCTTAAATAAGAATGGCTTACTGTACCTAAAAAGTTGCTACAAGCAACGTGGTTTATGCTGAATACTTGCTTTCCCTTTGGGATTTTGGAATGTAGGTATCTGCTAGGCAGAAGGTGCCTATGTGAGCCATCTCCAACGAAAACCTTGGATGTTGAATCGTTAATGAGCTTCCTTGGTAGAAAATATTTCATATGTGTTCCCACAACCTCCTTACTAGAGGAAATAGATGTGTAAAGTGTGACTCTATTGGCAGAGGACTCTTAAAAGCTGGTGCCAGATTTCCTCTGTACTTTGCCCCATTTTTTTTTGTTTGTTTTGGCTGACTTTTTTTGGTAATCCTTTACTGTAATAAGTCATAGTCACGAGCTGAGTTCTGTGAGTTCTTCTAGTGAATCCCTGAACCTAGATTCACACTGGGAACTCTCACCACACTCTCTGAAAAAGGATAATTCTAGTCTACCAAAACGGCTTGAACATGATGCTTTCAATACATGGAAATACATTACCTTCACCCAAAATATTTGCTTTGAATCTTTATTCCTTCATTGATGTCATTACTATCTTGTAACTATTTTCATTTAACACTCTTATTATTAATTTTTTGACAAAATTCAATAGTTTGACTAAAAGTTTTAGATTCAGGGGATACATGTGCAGGTTCATTACAAAAGTATATTGTGTGATGCTGAGGTCTAAAGCACAATTGAAGTGCCCATTACCCAGGTAGTGAGTATAGTAACCAATAGGTAGTTTTTCAAACTTTGCCCCACTCCTTCTCTCTCTCCTCCTGTATTCCCAGTGTATACTGTTCCCATCTTTATGTACATGTGGACCCAATGTTTAGCTCCCCTTACAAGTGTGAACATAGAATATTTAGTTTTCTGTTTCTGCATTACTTCACTTCGGATAATGACATGTAGCTGCATATATGTTGATGCAAAGGACATAATTTCATTCTTTTCTACGGTCGTGTAGTATTTTATGGTGTATATGTATCACATTTTCTTTATGCGATCTGCTGTTGATGGGCACCTGGGTTAATTTTATGTCCTTACTATTATGAATAGTGCTGTGATGAACATAGAGTTGCATGTGTCTTTGGTATAACGATTTATTTTCCTTTGGTTATGGACCCAGTAATGGGATTGCTGGATTGAATGGTAGTTCTAAGTTCTTTGAGAGATCTCCAAACTGCTTTATACAGTGGCTGAGCTAGTTTACATTCCCACCAACAGTGGATAAGCCTTCCTTTTCCTTCACAGTCCTGCCAACATCTGTTACTTTTTGACTTTTTAACAGAAGCCATTCTGACTGATGGGAGATAATATCTCATGGTGGTTTTGATTTCCTTTCTCTGATGATTAGTGTTGTAGAGTATTTTTTTCATATATTTGTTGGCCACTTGTATGTCTTCTTTTGGGAAGTGTCTGTTCATGTTTTTTGACCACTTTGTAATGGGATTAGTTGTTTTTTGTTTGTTGAATTGTTACTTATAAATACAGGATTTTAGACCTTTGTCATATGCATAGTTTGCAAATATTATCTTTCATTCTGTAGGTTGTCTGTTTTTACTCCCTTGACAGTTTTTCTTGCTGTGCAGAAGCTCTGTAGTATAATTAGTTCCCACTGTCAATTTTTGTTTTTGTTGCAATTGCTTTTGAGGACTTAGCCATAAATTATATTCCAAAGCTGATATTGAGAAGATTTCCTAGGTTTTTGTATTAGTCCATTCTCACATTCCTATGAAGAAATATGCAAGACTGGGTAATTTATATAGAAAAGAGGTTAATTGACTCACACGTCCCCATGGCTAGGGAGGCTTTAGGAAACTTACAATCATGGCAGAAGGCACCTCTTCACAGGGTGGCAGAAGAGAGAATGAGCATGAACAGAGGAAATGCCAGATGCTTATAAAACCATCAGAACTCATGAGACTCACTCATTATCATGAGAATAGTATGGGGGAAACTGCTCCCATGATTCAATTACCACCACCTGGTTCTGACATGTGGGGATTACTACAATTTAAAGTGAGATTTAGGTGGAGACACAGAGGCAGATAATATTATTCCACCCTTGGCCCCATCCAAATCTCATGTCCTCACATTTCAAAACACAATCATACCCCTTCAACAGTCCCCCAAATTCTTAATTCATTCCAGCATCAACCCAAATGTCCAAGATCAAAGTCTCATCTGAGACAAGGCAAGTCGCATCTGCCTATGACTCTGTAAACTCAAAAGCAAGTTAGTTACTTACTAGATACAATGGGGATACCTAGGCATAGGGTAAATACACCTGTTCCAAATGGGAGAAATTGCCCAAAACAAAGGGGCCCCAGGCCCCATGCAAGTCTGAAATCCAATAGGATAGTCATTAAACCCTAAAGCTCTAAAATAATATCCTCTGACTCCATGTCTCACACCCAGCTCACTCTGATGCAAGAGGTGGGCTCCCACATACTTGGAAAACTCCCACAGCTTTCAGCAGCTCCACCCCTGTGGCTTTGAAGGGTACAGCACCCCTAACAGCTGCTTTCATGTGCTGGCATTGAGTGTCTGTGGTTTTTCTGGGTGCACGGTGCAAACTGTCAGTGGATCTACCATTCTAGGGTCTGGAGGATGGTGGCTCTCTTCTCACAGGTACACTAGGCTGTGCCCCAGTGGGTACCCTATGTGTGGGCTTCAACCCCACATTTTCCTTCTACACTGCCTTAGCAGAGTTTCTCCATGAGGGTTTCACCCTGAAGCATACCTCTGCCTGGACATTCAGGTATTTCCATAGATCCTCTGAAATCTAGGCACAGTTCCCATACCTCAATTCTTGACTTCTGCACACCTGCAGTCCCAACACCATGTGTAAGCCACCAAGGCTTGGGGCTTGCACCCTCTGAAGCCATGGTCTGAGCTGTATGTTGACCCCTTTTAGCCATGTCTGGAGCTGAAGCAGCTGGGATCCAGGGCACCATGTCCTGAGGCTGCACAGAGCAGGGGGACCCTGGGCCAAGCTCGCCAAACCATTTTTCCCTCCTAGGGCTCCAGGCTTGTGATAGGAGGGGCTGCTATGAAAGTCTCTGACATGCCCTCCTGATGTTTTCCCCATTGTCTTGGTGATTAACATTTGGCTCCTCATTACTTATGCAAATTTCTGCAGCTGGCTTGAATTTCTCTCCAGAAAATGGGCTTTTCTTTTCTGTCTCATCGTCAGGCTGCAAATTTTCCAAACTTTTATACTCTGCTTCCTCTTGAATGCTTTGCTGCTTAGAAATTTCTTCCTCCAGATACCCTAAATGATCTCTCTCAAGTTTAAAGTTCTACAGATCTCTAGGGCAGGGGCAAAAAGTCTCCAGTCTTTTGGCTAAAGCGCAGCAAGAGTGATCTTTACTTCAGTTCCCGATAAGTTCCTCAGGTCCATCTGAGACCACCTTAGCCTGGACTTCATTGTCTATATCACTATCAGCATTTTAGTCAAAGCCGTTCAACAAGTCTCTAGGAAGTTCCAAACTTTCCCACACTTTTCTGTCTTCTGAGCCCTCCAAGTCTCTGGGAAGTTCCAAGCTTTCTCACATTTTTCTGTCTTCTTCTGAGCCCTCTAAACTGTTTCAACACTGCCTGTTAGCCAGTTCCAAAGTCACTTCCACATTTTCAAGTATCTTTATAGCAGTGCCCCACCACCTCAGTACCAATTTACTGTATTAGTCTGTTCTCATGCTGCTTTGAAGAAATACTCAAGACTAAGTAATTTATTAAAAAAAAAAAAAAAAGAAAGAGGTTTAATTGACTCACAGTTCCACATGGCTGGGGAAGCCTCAGGAAAATTACAGTCATGGCAGAAGGCACCTCTTCACAGAGCAGCAGGATAGAGCATGAGAATGAGCAGGGAAAATGCCAGATGCTTACAAAACCATCAAATCTCATGAGTCCCACTCATTACCATGAGAACAGCATGGGGGAAACCACCCCTATTGATTCAATTACCTCTACCAGGTCCTGCCCTTGACAGATGGGGATTATTACAATTCAAGGTGAGATTTTGATGGGGATACACAGCCAAACTATATCAGTTTTCTTATAGGATTTTAATAGTTGGAGGCCTTACATTTAAATCTTTAATTCATCTTGAGTTAATTTTTGTATATTATGATAGGAAGGGGTCTAGTTTCATTTTTTTCTGTACATGGACAGCCAGCTGTCCCAGCAACATGTATTAAATAGGGTGCCTTTTTCCATTGATTATTTTTGTTGGCTTTGTCAAAGATTGGATGGTTGTAGGTGGAAAGTTTTTTCATGGGTTCTCTGTCCTGTTCCATTGGTCGATATGTCTGTTTTTGTACCAATACCATGTTGTTTGGGCTACTGTAGCAGTATATTATAGTTTGAAGTCAGGTAGTGTGATGCCTCCAGGTTTGTTTTTTCTGCTTAGGATTGCTTTGACTACTCAGGCTCTTTTTGAGTTCTATAAGAGTTTTAGATTTTTTTTTCCCTAATTCTGTTAAAAAAAATGCCGTTGGTAGTTTGGTAGGAATAGTGTTGAATCTGTAAATTGCTCTGGGCAATATGAACATTTTAATAATATTGATTCTTCCAATTCATGAGCATGAAATATTTTTCTATGTATTTGCATCATCTCTGATTTATTTTTGCAGTTTTTTATAGCTCTCTTTTTATGGAACTTTTAACTCCTTGGTTAATGTATTCCTAGGTATTTTAATCTTTTTGTGGCTATTGCAAATTAGATAAATTTTTGATTTGGCTCTCAACTTGAACATTATTGCTGTATAAAAATGCTACTGAGGGCCAGCCACAGTGTTTCACACCTGTAATCTCAGCACTTTGGGAGACTGAGGTGGGTAGATCACATGAGGTTATGAGTTTGAAACCAGCCTGGCAAAGATGATGAAACCTTGTCTCTACTGAAAAGAAAAAAAAAATAGCCAGGCGTAGTGGTGCATGCCTGTAGTCCCAGCTACTTGGGAGGCTGAAGCAGGAGACTCACTTGAACCCAGGAGGCTGAGGTTGCAGTGAGCTGAGTTCATGCCACTGGACTCCACCCTGGTAGACAGAGTGAGATGCCATCAACAACAACAACAACAACAAAAGTAAGAAAGAAAGAAAAAGAAAAAAAGAAATGCTACTGAGAAGCCAGGCATGGTGACTCCTGCCTGTAAGCTCTTTGGGAGGCCAAGTCAGGTGCATAATTTGAGCTCAAGAGTACAAGACCAGCCTGGTCAACATGGTGAAACCCCATCTATATTGGTTGATTTTCATGCTGCTGATAAAGACATATCTGAAACTGGGAACAAAAAGAGGTTTAATTGGACTTTCAGTTCCACATGGCTGGGGAGGCCTCAGAATCATGGCAGGAGGTGAAAGGCACGTCTTACATGGCCGTGGCAAGAGAAAAAATGAGGAAGAAGCAAAAGGGCAAATCCCTGATAAACCCATCATATCTCATGAGACTTATTCACTATAATGAAAATAACATGGGAAAGACCATCCCCCATGATTCAATTACCTCCCGCTAGGCCTCTCCTACAACATGTAGGAATTCTGGGAGATACAATTCAAGTTGAGATTTGGGTGGAGACACAGCCAAACCATATCACCATTGAAAGAAAGAAAGAAAGAAAGAAAGAAAGAAAGAAAGAAAGAAAGAAAGAAAGAAAGAAAGAAAGAAAGAGAAAAAAAGAAAGATTGATTTTGTATCCCGAAACTTTACTGAAGTTCTTTATCAGTCCTAGAAACCTATGTATGGGTGGAATCTTTAGGGTGTTCTAGGTATAGAATCACATCATCAGTAAAGAGAAATGCAGCCTGAGCTCTGCTTCGGCCTACTCTGCAGGCAGTTTCCCCCACCAATTCAATTGACTATGGGGATTGTGGAATCTCTTGTAGTGAGGATCCCAGAGGTCCACAATGGGAGTGTGTTGTCCTGCAGTTCCTTCCCTTACCCCTTCCTAATTACCTTTTCAGGGATGGGAGCTGGTCCTGGTGCTCAGCAACTCTATTCAGAGTTCCCAGCTTCCTCTGTCTTCCATCTCAGTGTTTCTGTTGCATGTCTGTCAACTTTCAGTGTTTTCTCTTAAAAGATCTGTTCAAAATGTGACGGTTTACTCAATATTTTGGTTTCTTTCAGTGAGAGAGTTGCTTCCCAGCTGTGTCTAATAGGCCGTCTTGTCTCTTCATACCACTCCTATTTCATTCCAGCATCAGATCAGTCACATCTGAGCACGTTAGATTTTTTTTGTAAAAATGTCCTATTGCTTTCCATGCGTTGGTTCATTCTGTTTCCATTGCTTAAAGTGCCTCCTACAAATCTGTTGGTAGAAACCTAATGTCCTTTACAGACCACTGAGAAGCAGAAAAGTGGAGTGATCAATACGTAATTTTGGAGTCAGATGCCCTTGGTTCAAATCATGCCACTTATTATGTGATGTTAAGCAAGTTTCTTCACCTTTCTGTAGTTCAGTTTCCTTATTCAAAATATACATATAATAAAAAGTAACCCTATGAATTAGGTATTACTATGTTAGGATTAAATGCTTTGATGTTTACAAAGTATTTAAGAATGTGACCTAATGCCTTGTAAAGGAATATTATTCACATATTGGTAAAATAAACAAATTATACTGAATTCCAAATTGCTCTGAGGAATATAGTATATTGGTATTTTAATTGCTCTGAGGAATATTCATGATATGCCAGTCACTGGAATCCATGAAGTAAGGGTGACAGAGTAGACTTTGAGAGAGAAGTGTTTTCATGTCTTAAGAAGCTGGACTGAACTGGTCTCCTAGTCTCCTGGAACAGCTTAAATGGGGTAAGTTACTACTGTGCCTGATTTCAGGAACACCTCAGAGGGACATTCTTTTAAAAAGTCTAGAATAATTTCACACAAAAATCCATCAAATTCTACCAGTCACCTCAAAATGAACTGTGAACAAAACAGACACAGCATTAGGAAGTTTGCTTTTCAGGTATGTCGGAGTTTGCAAGAAAAAAAAATACTTTTAGTGTTTACCTCTGAATTTACCAGTGTTTGACTTTGAGTTATATTATTTTCTTCTAAATCCAACCAGCTAGGGTGATTGGGCCTCTTGGTCCTCTGAACTCAGAGGGCTTAAAATGAGACTAGAAAAATATGTTGGTATCTCCCCACACTTCCACCCTGCCTCTAAGTGCCCCATAGAAACACTTTTTTTACTCTGTAGTCCTCCAGTCTATTGAGCCCTCCACATCCTCGCTAATCATACTGCCAACTAAAGAATGACAGGTTCATAAATTTGGAAAGCAGAGCTTTATTTCTTATAAAGGGTTGCAGCCTGCAAGTGGCCATTTTCACAGCCTGGGAAGCATAGCCTCTGGGCAGAGGCCAGAAACAGGCACTTGAGGAGGCTCAGAAGAATAAGACAGATGTATGCTGAATGGGTGGCTACATATACATATTCAATGAGCTATAGAAGGAGTCATGAATGTCATAAATATTTCCAAAAGGAGAAACGTGCACAGGCACAATTGGGCCTCATGCCTCTTCATGGGTCCAAGGGTGGAGTTTTTGGCTGTCTAAAAAACATGAAAGAGAAGACAGGAAGATACTTAATGTGGATCCTCTGTAGACTGTCCAGAATCACTCCATAGTTGCTGGTCTCTTATTAAGAAGGAATGCAGGTCAGTAGTGTTGAAACTGCAAAAGGGAAGAGCAGCAGTTGAAATCAGAACCAGTTTAAATCAGTCGGTTGAAATCGGAGATGGAGTCTTTTGAAAGGGATGACTTCTCTTTATCCCTTAGGAAAGAAAGCCTAATAGTGGATAGCAAATTAGGGATTATAATGAGGCATGCCCAACCTCCTATGCCATCATGGCTGGAACTCAGCTTCCAAGGTTTCTCTGGGGTCCCTTTGGCCAAGAAGAGATATGTTAGGGGTGCTTAGAATTTTTTTTTATTTGTCAACACCAACCTCCTGTCCTCATCTCTTTTTTAACTTAGATTCAGGATTCATTAGTAACATCTTTCAACCACCCTTCTCTCACTCTTGATTTCAGTAGCTAAGTCTACGCTGACTCTGGCGTAGTTGAAGTTTGCTGGATAAAATATTACAACTGCACAGAACAGAATAAAATTACGATAACTGACATTAAATCAACACTATTTCCTGACAATACTAGTGGATTTCTGATAAGGTCCATCTCTTACAGGGAATATTACTGTCAGTAGGGTTTGAGAAGTGGACTTTATAGGATTTGTAAAAACGATAATAAATAATGAATATGTAAATACATGTTCCCTGTTTATTGACTTAGTGGAAGCCTATTTTTATCCTTAGGCCAGTATGTTATAGCAGAAAAACACCACACAGTTATGAACTAAATGACCTGAATTTGAGCCCTGGATCCACTTCTAGACTCTTGAGTCACATAATTGCTTGAGCCTCAGAAGCTTCTTCCCACCTAACTTACTTCAAATGACTCCAATGGCATATGAAATGTTTTGGAAGTACTCTGTCCTTACTGCAGAATAAGGTGCAGAAGGAATTCAGGTATGGCTGTCTTCATGTGCAGCTGCAATTCTCTCAGTCTTCAACTATGAGCTATGAACAGCAGCAACTCTAATTTAAAAGCTGTTTAAAAATATCTCTCTTCACAAATCTTTCATTAAAGTGTCTCCCAAAAGCTCAGTGCATTCCATAAAATTCTTCTTAAATCCTTGCTATACTTTAATGAAAAAATGCCAAGGGAAAATTTATTTTTTCTTTAAATATCATTGTATTAGATTTGGACTTGAGATACATTTTTTGCTTAGATTTTTTTAGTTCCTGAAATTTTATTATGGTGTTTATGTTGTTGTTCCATTTCAGCACAAATTGTCTAAAACCAACTGGGTGCACTGCAATTCAATTCTGCAGCTGACCAATTGGAGTTAGCACAGATTCCACAAATTATAAGACTTGGTCCCTAAGAAGGCTGCCCTGACTTGATACACTACAGCCACACTTTAGAGTTATCAGGAGACACTCATACTTCTTATGACTGACTGGCTATAAATTCAGAGGTTTCCATGACTCTAAATCAGTTTTGATAACTTGCTAAAAGGACACAGAAATCAGGAAAGCACTATACTTATGATTACAGTTGTATTACAAAGGACATAAGTCAGGAGAGCCAGCCAAATGAAGAACACATACAGTGCAACCTAGAAAGAAACACAAGGCTTCTATGAACTCATCCTACGGAATCAGAGCACATCACCCTCCTGCCACATCAGTGTATTTACCAACCAGGAAGATAATCAATTTTTGATGTCCAGAGTCATTATTGCAGTTTCATTAAGTAGGTATTATTGGTTAAATCATTGAGCACCTGATTGAATTCAACTTCCAGCCTTTCTTTTTTCCCCTGATGTTGGAACTTGGGCTGATACCATGTGAGTCAAAGCTCCAATACCTTTATCACATGGTTGGTTTTTTGGCAGTGGCTTATGCCCATCACAAATCATCTGGCTAACAGAAGCCAATAGTAATGACCATCATGGGTCATCTCATTAACATAAATTATCAAAGCCTGCTGTGAATAACAAAGAAATACTATCACTTGGAAAATCCCAATAATTTATTGTTTCCTAGGAACCAGAGGCAAATGCCAGTCAAATTCTTTATAATTTAACAGCTATTTTTTTTATTACTAATAGAAATGCCCATAAACAGGTGGGATTTATTGGTATATGAATGTAACATAGACAGCACATAATATTTACTACTATGTGTTGGCTGACAGTTCATATAAATCAAAGTAGCTTGGTCTGCAGCTCTATACTCCATCAATTCTGTCACCTCTCTAGGCAGTTATTTAAATTTAATTCCTCAGGTTTTTTTAAATAATGACAATAAAATATCTACCTCCTTATTAATTATTTGTTACCCATCCTGGCCTTTGTTAGTTTCTAGGCTCTATCAAGGCTCCCCTTCCCTCCAAAAATTAGAGAAAAATATGTCCAACTATGTTGAGTTTTTGAGGGAATGAGAAATAAGTATTAGGATCCAGTATGCACTGAGTGGCCAGCCACAAGTGCATCTGGTGAGGGAAAGGTAAAAGGAAGCTCTTATTGGTAACATGGGAAAAGTTCACATAAGCTACTTATAAACAGAGTTTATTCGTTCTAGAGACTCAAAGACAGAGTTGTTGTCAGTTCATTGGCAGAGATGCCATTACTGGGCAAATATTCTTTCCAGAACATCTTATCCGAATTACTACAGTCCTAAAGAAAATCTAGTAATAAGTCTTGTCATAGGAGTATATGAATATGTGTGAAACATACACGCTGTGGAAAACAGGAAACATGTGAAAGATGTGAAAGGATTTCTTGTGGGGTTTTTAGAAAGTCCTTGGAAACAATTTCTTAGTTAAGCGTGTTTGTATGAACCCATCTCCTTTGTGCCTTCTCAGACCTATTTTGTCTGGATCTAGCAAAAGTGATTTTATCCTGACATCTGCAGATTTCACAGATCAATGTCATAGATGTTGTCTTGTTTATTTTTAAATCCTTTCTGTTGCACATGGGAGGTGACAAATATGAGTTCAAGGGATTTTCATGGAATCCTAACCCAAAGAGATGACCATTATTTTGTCTTAATTACTTCAGTTACCTTCATTTGGTTCAAAGGGGTGGGACGATTTGGGAATCAAGGGAAATTTTATTAGCATTCTTTTACAAAATAAGAAATGGAAAACTCAGCTCAAACTGGTTCAGTCAAAATAAGGGATGTAATTTCTCTTGCAGCTCATGGATAGTTCTGCCTTCTGTTGTAATCGGTTTGCTAATGAAAAAAAAAAAATTAAGTCCTGTAAAACATTTTAAAGAGCTTTATTCTGAACCGATATGGTGACCATGCCTCAGGAACACAGTTTCAATAGGTCCTGAGAAAGTGCACACAAGGCAGTTGGGTTGCAGTATGGTTTTAAACATTTTAGGGAGACAGAAATTACAGGTAAAATCTTAAGTCAATACATGGAAGTTGTACATTGGTTTAGCCTGAAAAGGTGGGACATCTCAAAGCTGGGATTTTTAAGTCATAAGATGTTTTTAAGGATTGTTAGTTTGGCATTTGGTTAAAGGAGCTAAGCTTTGTCTAAAGACTTGAAGTCAGTTAAAAGGAATGCTTTAGTTAAGGCAAGGGGGTCTGCTATCTGTCATGTGATGCCATACCAGACTCACCTTGGAATGTAAGCCACATTATACCAGGTGTATAATTTTAAAAAACTGTTCAATGAGATTTTATGGTTGTAGGGCAGGGCCTGACTGAACCCTTGCCTTGCATGGCCTTAGGCTTTGTTTATAACTTGTTATCTTATTCACACAAAGAGTGTTCTGTCAGTCTCATGACCTCTATTTTTAACTTAATGTTTGTCAGTTGTGCTTAAACTCCAAAAAGGAGGGGGTATAACAAGGCATGTCTTTTTTTTTTTTTTTTTTTTTTTTTTTTAAGTTTTCTTGAGCCGAAGTCTTGCTCATTTCTCCTAGGCTGGAGTGCAATGGTGCAATCTCCCCTCCTGGGTTCAACGGTGCGAACCTCAGCCTCCTGAGTTCAAGTGATTCTCCTGCCTCAGCCCCCTGAGTAGTTGGGATTATAGGCACCTGCCACCACTCCCAGCCAATTTTTGTATTTTTGGTAGAGACGGGGTTTCACCTTGTTGGCCAGGGTGGTCTCGAACTTCTGACCTCAGTTGATCCTCCCACCTCGGCCTCCCAAAGTGCTGGGATTACAAGCATGAGCCACTGCACCTGGCAACAAGGCATGTCTGATAAGTCTTCTGATCACGGCCAAGAACTCAGTTTTTAAGGTTTATCTAGGGTTCCCTTGGCCAGGAGTGGGTCCATTCAGTCAGTTGAAGAGCTTAGAATTATATTTTTTAGTTTACAGGTTTATTATAGAACCAACAGGTCCATATGCCCACTGTGCAGTTACAGACCAATACACTGAGACAGCAGGGTTTGTAGCAGTGGAAGAGTTGAATGATCAAAGAGAGGCCTAGTAAGGAGACAAGAAGAGACCCTTACATCTGTCTCCTTGAGGACTTCTGGGCTGGGATTTTTAAGGGGATTGTGAAGGGCTAGGGACTGGAAAATTGGGGTCATTAATTGGTTAAGGTAAGGGGGATGAAATCATCAGGTTGTGGAAACTACATTTCTTTTGGTGTGTCGGCTCCTCATAGGGTCTTTTAGATCAGCTGGAATTAGTGATATCCTTCAGCCCAGCTAGCATCAGTAGTTTCATTAGTATGCAGGACCTGAATGAATATCTCTAATGGAAAATGTAACTTTTCATAATGTTTAAGTTGTCATCTATAGAACATTTAGGGAGAGCTGTAATCTTGTGACCAGGTTTATGTGATTCTGGGGTGGGGGTGGAGTAGGCAGGAAACAACTATTAGGAAGTGGGTCAGAGATCAAGTTTACCTAATGATTAATGCTAAGTTTGGTGCAATCTTGGTTTATTTTTGTTTCTCCACCTCCCTTCTTCCCTGACTAATTTTTATAATGTTTATAGGATTGGTTTCAGATTCAGGGCTTAAATGTCACTAGATGCAAGTCACCTTCTCCTACGATGTCTCTATCTTCAGACTTCATTGATGGCTTCTACCAGTTTCAAGCTTTTTCCTAGTTGTACCGAGATGGCTGCAGAGAGACCTCAAATTTTTGTATTAACAATCCAGGAAAAGGTTAAAAGGGCTTTTATGTTCTAGGAACAAAAAAAAAAAAAAGTATGCTCGGATTGGGTTAGCTGCCTGTCCCTGAACTAACTACTTTTTCCAGGGAAGAATGGGATATATTATTAGCTTAAACCAATCAGATGCTGTACTTAGAACAGCACCTTGAGTTAACCTTATCTAAACCAAATTCAATAAAAATGGTGAAGTGTGAATTCCTCATGAAAAACAGTTCAATTGTCTGAAGATGTGAGGAATGATTAATGCTGTTAAGGCAATTTACAAATTTCCATTTCAGCCACTGTCTTGCAAATGGCACCCTCTTCCTTTCATCAGGAAGACTGACACTTCCTAGTGCCCGCCCTTCCCTCCTTCCCTCCCTCACTTCCTCCCTCCCTCCCTACCTACCTATCTCCTTCCTTCCTTCCTTCCTTTCTTCCCTTTTTCTTTCCTTCCTTCTTCCCATCATATTTCTTTCATTCTGTCTCCCCACTGAACTACTGGCCAACTTTACTCCATTTCTTCCCACCTTTCTCTCTCTTATTCCCTCTCTCATTGTAGTTAGATCTTCCTTAATTGCATTTATAAAATTTTGTCAAAGTACAAGACTAATTAACCAACAGATATTTATTGATCATAGAGTTGATCTTCCTTACCCTGGAGTAGTTTATTCAGAGATGAACTACCTTCAAGAAGAATTTTTCAATTAAATATATCCTTATTGCAAGGAACACAGAAGAAACTGATAGAAACACTTTCATCGTGTTTCAATCTTTTAAAATTGAATTGCCAATATGCAGGAAGGAGAGTATTCTTGACCTTGAATGCTCCATTCTCACAGTACAGCTTGATACATCATCCTAAAGATAAATCAGTCTGTCTTTAATATCCTGAAACTAGATTTCACAACTCTCATTTGGCTTATGATGTTTACAAAAGCATTTGATTTTAATATGTGGTTGTTTTGTCAGTATAAACACTTTCTGACCTATATCCTTTCTTCTGTATAGCCTCCTCAGCTGGGGAGGAAATGCTACCATGGCAACATGTCAGCTGCTGCCACCTCTTCACAGCTTCAATCATCTATTCAAAAGCAATTAAAGTGTTCAAACCAACTTTTAGTAAAGTTTAGTGGCAGTACAAGTGACTTTAGCATCTTCTTGCCTCAAAAAATTATTTGTAGAAAATCTTGAGTTTCTTTAAATTACACTGCCTAATCACATGGAAAATTAGCTACATTTTAAATTTTACAAAATCTGTCTCTTGTGGGTGAACAACTTTTGCAAGGAACAAAACCCTCTCTGAAACAGTTTCATGAATCTTGTATGAACAGAGTGACATTTGATTTGCCACTCTAAAGTTACTTTTTTTTTTTTTTGAAAATCACTAGTTTATCTCTTGACTTTATACTTTCATCACTAACCTTAGGAATTGTTTTCTTTCTTGATTTTTTTTTCACTAAGAAATGCAATTTTGTAAGTACATGAGTTAAAGCATACTCAGGTATATGTTTAGATATGGTTGGGTTGCTTGCTCATAAGTTAACTGACTCATCTCATACAACACACCATATATATCTATTTCTATCCTCCATGTCTTTTAGTTTTTTGTTATTATTATTAATTTTAAAAATTTTACATTATTGTTTCTTGCTGCCTTCTGGAACAGTTCTTCAATCTGACCTTGCAACTCATCATTTCCTTCTTGAGCTGCTTCTATACTATTATTTTTCACATTAACTTATTTTGAGTATTTCTTATTTTGAGTATTACCTCTGTTATTTCCTCTGACCACATTTCCTTGGGACAATCAATGTTTTCCCTTAAACTTTAAAAGTTGGAAGCAATAGCCTAGATCATAGATTGTTAAAGGTGCTAAATTAGGAAGCACAGTAGATTTCACAGTTACAAATTCGAAACTTGTAATAAACAACAATTGCTTATTGTATTCTACTCTGAAGATCATCCAGAGTAATCACATTAACTCATTAGAGCAGACACAGGCTAAAACCTGGTTTTGGGCCCTTTCTCACATCTGTTATAATAACATAACATAACTCTAGAGACAAAAATAACCAGAAGCCAGAGGACTACCACTACTAGAGTGGAAAAAGGAAAGAAAAATTGAGCAGCATATGCCATCTAAGGTAGCATTATTATAACATATAAATCAAGAATTTAAAATAAGCCTGATAAATATACTTAAGGAGACAAAAAATATAGGATCAATTTGAAACTAGAACAAAATATTCCCCCAAAATTCCAAGTGAAAATATAAAGTATGAAAAATAAGTGTTTGGGAAAAAAAGTCAATGGAAGAAAAATTAGCATACATACTGATGGAGAATAAACTAGTGAATCGAAAAGTTCAGAATGAAAAACTCTCCCAGAATGAAGCTAAAGTATACTACACAAAAGAAAAGCCAAGAGGTTTGGAAGATAAACCAAGAAGTGACAAGTTTAGAAAGTAAAGAGGCCCCAAAGAGCAAAAGGAGAAAAATAAAGAGAGCAAAATATTTCACTTTGGAAATGTTCATCAGTGTCAAACAGAGATGCGGTGATTGAAAGTGTTGAGATAAAATTTCATAATGTGCAGAAGATATCATCATGTATTTTTTTAAAAAGCAATAGAACCAATGGCAATACTTTTTGAAGTAATGAGGTAATTGAGGCAGTTTTCTATGCTCAAAATCTTTCCTATTTGCTTTACCAATCATAATGAATTAAAAAATCTAATAAGAGGCACCACTTATCATAGTAACAATATCTATACAGTATGTTTCAATTAAAATCATCCAGAATGCAAAAAACTCTACAGAGAAAACTTAAGACTTTTTAAAAAGAAACATAGAAGACAATAGGAAAAATAGGAGTTCCATGCTCTTGGATGGAATGATATCATTTCTTCACAAATTAGTTCATCCATTTAATACAATCCCAATACAAATTCCAGTTGAACATATTTTTATTTGTTTATATTCTCTTGCATTTTTTAATCTGTAATTCCTTTTTCTTTTTCTCTTCTTACGTTGCTCCTAGTAGAGAAAAGAAAGCAAGATGTCATGCCCAGCATATTCTTCGTAGACTCTTTTTTAACACTGAAAATTGAAAATTATTTCCAACTTCCTTTTCCTTAAGTCCACAGTAACATTTTGCTTCCCCTGCCTGGGGGTCTTTCCCAGGCTGAACCCCTAAACTGAGCTTTATTTATGCTTTACTCTCCATTCAAAATGAAAGCTCAGATGGCATTAAACAATGTATTCAAGAATAAACTGAAAAATATTTTTCTCAGAGTCATTATTTATTGTTCTGTACATAAACCTAAATTTTTCAGAAAAAGTAAAATAGGTTGGCAAACAAGATCATCAGCAAGTTTTGAATCTGTGGATTCAAAAGAATTGGGCTTTGCTGTACTATGTTAGAGACTGATGTTTCTGTCTCCAATTCCTTTTCTCCATTTCATCTACATAAGCCTTAGCTAGACTTATGCCTACCTAGCTTAGGCTACAATTCCTAGCTTCTCTTTCTGCTAAGGTGGTGGATGTAATCACTTTCTGGTCAATGAATACAATTGGAAGTTATATTTTCAACTATAGGGTCATGCCCATAAAAATAAAAGTTTGTACCCTATCTCCCTTCCCCTTCCCACGGCTGAAATGTGGATGTGGTGGTAAACTACCTTTTGCTATGTGGACGAGGACCATATTTTAGGGGTGACAGAGCAATAAGATGGAAAATATCTGAGTCTCTAATAGTGAAGTCTCTGATAGCGAAGATGGCATGCGAACCCAGGAACATGGGACCAGACCACCAATTAAAAGAGAAACCTCTTTTAAGTTACTCTATGTTTAGTTTCTTCTTATAGAGTTTATCTTTTTATCTTTTTTTTTAATCTTTTTTGAGACAGGATCTCTCTGTTGCATAGGCTGGAGTGTAGTGGTGCCTCACAGCTCACTGCAACCTTGAACCTCCTGGGCTCAAGCAATTCTCCCACCTCAGTCTCCTGAGTAGCTAGAACTATAGGTGTGTGCCATCATACCTGTCTATATATATATATATATATATATATATATATTTTTTTTTTTTTTTTTAAAGAAATAGGGTCTTGTTTTGTTGCCCAGGCTGGTCTCAAACTCCTGACTTCAAGCAATCCTCCCACCTTGGCTTCCCAAAATGCTGGAATTACAGGCATAAGCCATTGTGTGCCAGGCCTTAGCTTTTATCTTATCATTCATAATTTACCTCCATAATTTGGTGTGTGAATCTTTGTTTGGAAGCAGTGAAATAAATAAATAATGAAACACTGTCCCTTTCATACCTGCCATAGGAGTGAATTGTACCAATGGATATAGTTGAGCATTGAGCTAAAACTCCAGCTTTATGCACATGCTGTATATGTGTGTTTCTGTGCATACATATGTGTAGATTTAAAATTCTTTGAATTATTACTTTAAAAAACCGAAGCTGTGACAAAGGTAAGTATAGTACTAGAGTTTAATAAAGAAACATCATTTTATGTATAAGCTTTCAGCTTTCTACATATTTAAAAATCTCCTCTTAAGATTTAAGAAGTGTATCTTATGTTTTCAAAACTGTTTTTTACAGTAGTTTAAAATTTTTAAATTTGTTAATAACCGTGTAGTTTGAGTGAGTTAATACTTTTTCTTAAGAAAAAAACAAAGTCTGGGTAGAATAATGACTGCATATGTGTAAATAAAATGCAAAAGTTTAGGATATTTTAACCAATATGCATCTTAAATATTCTTTAACTGTAATTACATAAATCATCTCATTTTCCCTTCACAACAACCTTTTCCACAGATAAGGAAACTGAGGCAGAGAGGCATGAAGTAACTTGCACTGTAACCTGCTTTTAGGACGTGAAAAGATCTGGGATTTGAACAAGCAGTCTGACTACAGAGTAACCTTTTCAACTTCTATTCTCTGAAGGTTGTTACCAGCTAAGCACCAGTCATGGGATTTACTGACGGCTAAGATTTGAGAAACACTGGAGCAAAAGTGTTCAAAAGCTCCCTTTTCTATGAAAACAGTAACTGATGAAAGGTTGTTTCTAAATTCGTTTATAATGACATAGCAGTGTTGCACTAGTGAATGTTCCTTTTATTGGGAACAAGCAGAGGTGACATACTTTTGTTCTGAAAAGTAGCTTCAAATCTATGAAAGTTTTTTATTTGTTTGTTTTGTTTTGTTTTGAGACAGAGTCTTGCTTTGTTGCCCAGGCTGGAGGGCAGTGGCGCTATCTCAGCTCACTGCAACCTCCACCTCCTGGATTCAACTGATTGTCCTGCCTCAGCCTCCCAAGTGGCTGGGATTACAGGCGCACACCACCATGCCCAGCTAACTTTTTGTTTTTTAGAGACTGGGTTTCACCGTGTTTCCCAGGCTGTTCTAGAACTCCTGAGCTCAGGCAATCCACCCACCTCGGCCTACTAAACTGCTAGGATTACAGGTGTGAGCCACCATGCCCGGCCTTGAAAGTTTGCAAGTTAGAGAAGTTTGTAAAAAGAGGAGCTCCTGATTATGACAAAGTAATGGCTAGTGGCTAGGACAAATTACAAATGAATCTAATCAGACTTAGTATGTAGACTTGGAGTAGGATCACATTTAATTATAATTCCCCTAAGACACGGGCATGAAATGGAATAAGCAATTTTTTTAAGCTAGTATTCCATTAATTATAGTCCCTTAAACTACTTATTGATAATTTATTAGATATTTGAGTTGGATTAGTAGATATTTTATTTTTAAGACGATAGACATTTGAATTAGAATTCAAATAAGAATTTTGTTATCAGGAGACTAGTGAAATGTGCAGAGAATTAGGAATTGGATATTTCATCTTTGAACTCTGTATAAACCACTTAATAGCTGTGAGACAATGGACAAATACATGGCCTCTCTGACTCTACATTTCTAAAACCCTAATTTAATAAAATTTATCTCTGAGCATCATTATCACTATTAAATAAACTAATATAGTTAAGTTACCTAATATTGTGCAGGACTCACAATATGTACTTAAAATGTCTTTATCCTTAACAGCATCCTCATTCCTCTAGTACTAAACTTGCTCCTGTATATTGCCCAATTTTATTACGTAAAAATCCTATTACCAATTAATAGAGCTGTCTCTATATAAATTTAGATTCACAGAGCCATATTTATTAAATAAGGTTTGACATTAGTTCATAGATAGGCATTGAGGAATGTTAAAATAAGCAGTTGTATAAAATACAATATATGTATTTTAAAATGTTCTTGAATATATCTTGAAGATATGAGGATCTCAAAAGAAATTTCTCTCAAGTGTCAGAGCCAGGAAAGACTGCTATACATATTATATTTTCATATATGCAATATACAGTGTGATTCTTTATTTTTACAATTTCTTATGAACCTTACTTATTTATTTTAACTATGGTGCCTCTAACTTCTCCCTCCACTGGATCCTTCCTAGGCTAAAAATGTAAGCTAAAGAAGCATGGGGGAAAAGAGACTCTAAAATAAAGACATTAGTAATAAGATAAATGCTTATTTCTCTCTTACCTAATTTGTGTGGTGATGAACTGCAGGCTGTCTCTGATACATTCAGTAACCTCCATATGATGGAATTAAGTCCCCACGATTTTACCACATTATAGCCTGTGAAAGAGGGAAAGGGAAGAAGTGGAGAGCACAAAGTTTGCTTTTAACTAAGCCTTGTGGAGGTTGCGAAGATCACTTTCACTTGTATACCCCTGGCTAGAGTCTAGAGCCACACTTAGCTGCAAGGGAAGTTAAGAAATTTAGTCTCTAACTCACTGGCCATGTGCCAAGCTAACACTTTTTATAGAAAAAGAGAATAACTTTTGGAGGACAAGTAGCATCTGCCATACTTCTAATCAACGGTTAAGCTTATTCAAATTTCTTCTACCTTAAGAAAAAAAAAAAGCAAAGTTAAACTCAAAAATTTAAAACTTTTTATTATCTCTTCTTTTTTTCAAGCTATCTTATCTTGTTGTTCCCATTGGTAGCCAAACTTCTCAAGTGTTCTTTCCAATTACTATCTCTGTTTTCATATCTCTTCTTCATTTCTGAAGCTATCTGGCATTTTCTCTGCTCCTTATACAACCAGTATGCCTCCTTCCATAGTTTTAATTACATAGTTAGGTCTAATTTCTTTAGTAATTCATTAGAGCATAATTATGGAGTCAGACACAGTTCTAGGTTATAGCAGTGAAAATAAGATCACTTCTTATCATTCTTATTAGAAAACAAAACTAAAGATAACACTTGATTAATGTTGTATTTTACCATTTTGATGAGGACTAAGAGGAAAGACCATGGTAATTCCATGAAGACACAAATACATGAGGCAAGGCTGGAACACATAAGGCAGGAACCACACCTGTTTTACCTGTATTCTCTTTCTAGTGACTAACACAATGTCTGACATAGAAACAGTACTAAATGAATATTTGTTGGAAAAATTAGAGAACTAAAACTTGTCATGTACTTATTGGTTTGACTTTTTGGAAGCTCAGAGTTCAAAAGGACTGCTCATTTCTTGCAGTTGTACGAGACACTGTGATATTGAATGTGCATGCATACACACTTCCTTCTATCCAAGTGAATTAGTGGAGAAAAAGAGTAGGGGACAAGGCTTGGGTGAAAATATAGACTTAATTACTGAGTAGAAGCAATGGGAAATTAACACACTCTATTATAAACACCCCACGTTTCTCATCTCTAAGATGGGTATAATTTCACAATGAGGTAATATAAAGGAATTAGGTATCACAAATGCTCAGTATTTTGGGCTCTCCTAACAATTGAACTATCTGGGAAGTGTAAAGTTCATCTATTGATTTTCTTCTTTACAATAGTAAATATACGATAGTAAAAGTGAAGGTATTTTCCCTTTTGAGATTTGTTCTCTCCACCATAGTTCTCTTCACAGTAGACTATTAAATGCACTGAAACTTTGATTGAATAATTAAATGACCCAGATGCATATTTCTTTACATGCTATTTATCTAGCACATGTCCTCATGTTGTCACGTCTGCATTTTTTTCTTTCTGGTTGAAGATATATAGCCAGAGTTTCTTAAAAACAGGGTGAATAAGTTGGGTTTGTTTGCAAATGTACACTACAGAATTTTCTCTTTCCTACTTTTATTATTGAAGCTTCCAAAACTATATATATATATATATATATATATGAGATAACTTACGGTTTTGCATTAGGCCTGATTATATATTATTCCATATATATGATTTTAAAATGAATAATTCTATACATTTTACTCTGTTGTATGAACTACAGAAAATAATCTTGTCCGAAAATTCATTTCTCTAGCTTTTTGAAAACGAGTATGGTAATAGTTAATAGAATTCTTAATCTTGTTCTTAACTGTGATGGCAACAGAGAAAGATGTGTGTGACATAGAACTACCCCCTTTCATGTCCAGCAACAGAGTAGGGTTTAACTTTATTTACTAAATGCAAATTATAACATGATGATGCAAAAGAAGAAAATTATTATATGTTATACATGTACATAATTTAACTTAAACTTTATAATAACTTCTAGAAAATATACCTTTTATATTACCATAGTCTCTCACTCCAAATAGTTTTCTTGGCTTTTCTTTGTTACCTTCCTCTCTTTCCTTTCCAGTCGTCATTATCATTGCAATACACTTGAAAATTCCAGTTGTCTGGATCAATATTTCTGTCTGTTTCATTTTGCTTAAATCCTTCTACACACTGTTGCAGGCCAGCAGAGTCACATAAGCACTGTCACATGCTTTTCTGTTGCTAAGGGCAACACTACAGATGGCAAAAACTGGCTATTGTATGTCACATTACACACGCAAACACATGATGGTTGGAAACAGCTTAAACATTTCAAAGGCAGTTTGCCTTTAAGTTTTATGATTTTATATGCCGTGTAATCATGTGGCCTTTAAAATATGGTTCTAAATTCAGTTAAATAAAATTTATTTCCTTTCTATGTTAATGTGTAATCAATTCATTGCCTCTATGACTAGATAAAATGAAGAGTCAAAACGGGATTCATAACAAACTGAGACTTTTGCCTGAATAATGAGAATAGACTGTATAAACTCCTCGATTCTTCAGTTGCTGTTTCTCTTGATTTTAGATAGCAATTTGTTCTCAACCTTATTTAAAAGACAATAAAAAATACATAAAATATGTAAAATACAAGGTCATATGTAGAAAAGGGTATGGTCCAGTCGATATCAAACTTTAATTTTTAATTTTCATATTGCTGCATAGTTCATTGTATATGCTGTTTTTCCTGTGATTTTACTTCAAGTAAATGTGTCTCAGTCTTGGGGATCTCACATATTTAAAAAAAATTACTACTTAATATGCACATACAGATATATAAAAGCATAAATATATTTAAGTAGATGACAGTTATGGTATAAATACATATAAGTATATAAAATGATATAAAATGTTTTAAAATTCTAAATCCAACTATTTTTTTTTCTTTCAGTGTAAAGAAACCATTCTTTCATGGATCAGTAATTCTTAGTGTAAAGTTTTATCTGAATTTTGTTCATTCTGAACAGTTGTCAATCATTTTGGTGAAGAAAGTTGAACAGATTCTCTGAGAAAAAAACAATGTGATTTTCACAAAACGAAAGTTGAATCTCAAGTTAAGTCTCCATGGACAAAGAGAATTGAAAAGTTGAAGCAATTTTTCAGCTAATTAAAGTGAGAGAGGATTGAGCACATTAACTAACCTAACTCACTGAGGCATTACTCAATTCTCACATTGCTATTGCAGGTATAGATTAATAATGCTATTTAAATAATCAAATCATTGGAAACTTTTAAGTATTTGATGGCACAAAAAGGGAATTTGGTTTTTAGGTGTCATTTGTCTATATCTATATTACCTCTATGTTCTTCAGTTTTTGGTGATGTTGAAGGAAAATGGATTTAAATCAGAAATTAGGATTTGAATTTCTCCTCCTTCACTACCTCGCAATATAATATTTGACCTCACTTAACCTCTCTGAGTCTCAGTTTCTTCATATGTAAAATAGAGCATCACGTGGGATTAGAACATATAAATGTAAATATTTTAAAAATAGCTTTTAAAAATACATATGATATATTTATATATGATGTATATCATTTGTATATTATGTATTTATAAATATGTTATATATTTTTACATAAATATGTTGGGCTATTATATAAATATGTATATTTATATTTGTATTATATTTAAATATATATACTACCTACATATATCAATACACAAATATATATAATTTTTAAAATCTTAGTTTTGCGTTAGGCATAGATAATGTTACTCCATGTATATGATCTTAAAATGAATAATTCTATTCATTTTCATCTGTTGTATAAACTACAGAAAAAGAATTTCCTCTGAAAATTCATTTCTCTAGCTTTTTAAAAACAAGCATCGTAATAGTTAATTGAATTCTTAATCCTGTTCTTAATTGTGGTGGCAACAGAGAAAGGCACATACTACACACAGCTGCTGTATGTAGCACCCCCTCACGTCATCCACCACACCATAATGGTGTAGCTTATTGGCATACCAGTGTTGGTGTACCCTGCTCCCATTCCCCCTCCTAGAGGCAGCAGGATCTGGTATCGGACCTCGCTTAACCTCTCTGAGTCTCAGTTTCTTCATATGTAAAATAGAAAATCACATGGGATTAGAACGTTTTCATGTAACTATATTTTTAAACAATATATTTTCACATATATTTGTGTTGTGTCATTATTAGGTACTGACTTACTGTTTTAGGACTTTGCTAGATTTAGCAATTACACAGAAAAAAAAAGAGAGAGATCAGGCAAAAGTGAAAAACAAAAACAGAGAAAGGAATACTCACAAACTAACACCAAAATATAATCTGAATTTTGAAATTATTGCTTATTATTGTCTAATAGAATATTTTGAAATATTATCAAACTGACAAATGTGCACATTTATTTCTATATGTAGTTGAATCATGTATTCCAAATATAATAAGTGAAGACATTTAAAATAAGGATATTAGCTGGTCGTGGTGGTGCACACCTATAGTCCCAGCTACTCAGGAAGCTGAAGGTGGGAGGACCACCTGAGCCCAGGAGGCAGAGGTTGTGGTAAGCCTAGATGGTGCACCACTGGACTGCAGCTTAAGTGACAGAGAGAGACCCTGTCTCAAAAAATAATATAAAATAAAATAAGGATAGACAAATATTTTTCAATTATTTATTATAGGGAATAATAATGTCATTTGGTACTATCATAGAAAATATGCTTTTATTTTACTTTGCCTACTCAGATATAATTTTCCATAAGAGCCCTTCATTAAAATTAAGAAAATTGAACTATTTAATGGCATCCATTTTACTAATCAGTATGTGCTTCTTTTAGCTAATAATATATATTCAAATATTTGATTCGGTTTTGCAGGCAAAAAGCCATAAATCTGTGAGATCTAATGGTCCTAGGAGATTAGCTCTGTCACATGCTGCAAACATTATCAATTACATGCTATAAATGAGACAATTTGAACAAGATTGTGAAACGATTTGGCTTAAGATAAAACCTTAAATGGAAGAAATAAGATTATAATTCACATTTTAATAATTTGTAAAAGTTAATAAAGTTATAAAAATAATTTAGTGATTCAAGCCAAACTCCCTCCTTTTACTTAGCCCCTTCTTTGACTATTTTACTAACAGTCACTGAATTTCACACTTTGTTTTCCTTCAGAGATGGTCTTATTTTTTCTCAAAAGAAGATAAGTTGGGGATGCTAGTTTTAGGCTCCAACCCCTGTGCAGCCACCTAAACATAGTGTAAACTGTGGAGATTAAAAAATCTTACCACTTTTTTTGGGGGGAGTATTTAGAAGTCTCTGCTTCTGCCAGGGATGCTTTCTCTTTTGTGTTCCATGTTTTATCTCAGATCGACACAGACGTGAATCTCAGCCCCTTCAGTGGTTCACACAAGCAGTCCACTTGGACAAAATATTTAATGGGCTTCCGTGTACTCAACTGGAGATTTGGGAAGAGTCTTTGCTGTAGCAGATTGCAATCTCTCATGTCCTGCCCCCTACTGTTCCCTTCTAACTCCTGGCCTGGCCCCTAGCCCTGTCACCTAAATTTCCCTCCTGGGGTGCCTAACACTTCTTTGGTTTTGATGGACAAGTTGCTTTTTTTTTTTTTTTTTTTGGTCCCTGAACTCAAATTTGCATTTCCAAACCCACAAAGAACTCAGCACCTAAGATCCCCAGTACATAACTATTCTGTTTTAAAAGAAGAATTTGGCACTGAAACTCTACTTAACACACACACACACAACAACAACAACAAACTCAACAAACAAAACAAAACAGAGGTACTGAATAATTTGGCAGTGGTTAACTGATTCTGGTTCCAGGCTCTGTTAGGGTTTGCGGTCAGGAGAGTAGCCCCTGGAGTTTCTGTTTTAGATGAAGCTAAGGCTCTGGGCTCTACCAGTTTAAAATTCCTCTCACTAGTCACATCTCCATTCCAATCCCAAAGCTCAGTTTGTCTCCTCAATCTGGGCTGTGGACTGCTGGTCACCAGTACAAGTTGCCTGCTGCTTATGCCTAATTATGGAGATGCAAAGGTATTGGATTTAGCCTATAGCTAACTAGATTAAATTCCACTAAACTCAGGCTTAATTATATTTTTGTTTTCAAATTTGATTTTTGATTTTTCTCGACCTTACCACCCAACACCAAAAGCCTATTTACTTGATTGACTTGACCTTTGAAAAGATCAGTTGATAATAAAATAAAATAAAAACTACTAATACTTATCATCATGTAAGAGAAAGTGGTAATTTAAAAAAATGAATTCAACTTCTTGTTTAAATTTCATTTAAACAGATTATTTTTTATGTATTGCCAGATTTTCTCATGTCAGTTATAAGCAAAATAAGCAGAAAGTAGTTAGGAAACTAAGAACGTTTTCAATATTCATAATTCAAGAGGCCAGGCACAATGGCTCATTTCTGTAATTCCAGAATTTTGGAAGGCTGAGGACAGAGGACTGCTTGAGGTTAGGAGTCCCAGACCAGCCTGGGCAACATAGGGTCCCTGTTTCTACAAACAATTGATGTGTGGTGTGGTGATGTGTGCCTGTAGTCCTAGGTACTTGGGAGGCTGAAGCAAGAGAATCACTGGAGTCCAGGAGTTTGAGGCTGCAGCGAGCTCTGATTGCATCATTGCACTCCAGCTTGTGGACCAAGCAAGACCTGTCTCTAAAAATAAAAATAAAAATGGATAAAATAAAAATAATTTGATTATTAGTCAACCATCAGTGGTGATATTTTTATCCTCTCTTCTGTTTCCGTCAGTACAAATTTTTGTTTTGACTCTCTGTCCTTCCTTCTTTTCCAAATGATCAGAGTTGCGACTCTTCAACTGCACATTTATCTCAACTGGTATATTTTTTATGCCTGCTGTGTTTCAGAACTGTTGTATGCTATATGGATTTTAGAGAAGTATAGAATACAGTCTTTAACTTGAAAGAAATGAAATGTGCTTAAGAAAATAAAATTATACCGCAGGAATAATTCAAAGAACAAGTAAAACTCTACCCATAGAATAAATTAGGCTTTCTTTTTTTTTTTTTTTTGTCAGACCACAATATGTTTTTGAGTTTCCTGCTTTTGCCAGGCATTCTGCTTGGTACTTGGGATACAGTAATGAGAAATAGAGACATAGTATTTGACCTTGTGGAAGGCAACAAATATTAAACAAATAAAAGCAAGAATGAGGGCGGTGATTAAAATTGTCATAAGCACTGCAGGGAAAAATATCAGATACTGTAAGCCTCAGTAATAAAGTGAACAAACCTAAGTGTACCTAGAGGAAGTTACAGTTACAGGAATAACTGCAAGAAGAATAGAATGTGGGTATAGAGAAAAGACCAGAATAACACAGAGGAAGAAGGATATAGGATAGTGATGATTAGGAAAGAAGTTTGGGACATTTGAGGATAATAGTGAACAAAGGTGATGGTGTTGGAACTAGTGAGAGATGACTGAGGAAGAGTGGCCAAATCTTATAGGATATCTTAGGACATATAAGGAATTTTATATTCTGTCCTAAGTGTACCAAAGTTTGACAAAGTTTTAAGCAAGAGAATAAGTACTGTAATCAAATTTACCCTTTAAAAATGTCACTAAGGCTTCTAAAAGAGAAAGAATTATGCACAGTAGCAGGTACTATTCATACCCTGGGTAGCACAGGATTAAGACGTGGTCTCGATAGGTGGCAGGATAAGAGACTTAAAAGTGTATTTATGAAGTAGAATTAAGAGTATATGGGAAGATTCAGATGAGCTTCAGTGACTGAGTAAGGTTCATGCAGGGCATGAGTCAGAAGGATAGGTAGGTTTTATATGGAGAAGAGAAAGAGGAGACTTTAAGGAAGGGTCTTTTTGCATACACTTGGGAAAGGTAAATATATCACTGGTGTTCAGGATAGTGATACTTATTGACAGGCTGATAGAGTTTGGATATTTGTCCCTACCAAAGCTCATTGAAATGTGATCTTCAGTGTTACAGTTTGGGCCCAATATGAGGTGTTTGGGTCATGGTGGCAGATCTCTTATCAATGTCATGGTGCCATCCTGTGTTTATGAGTTAGTGAGTCTCCTGTGCATTCACAGGAGAGCTGGTTTCTCAAAAGAGTGTGTGATTCCTCTTCTCTCTCCCTTTCTTTCTCACCATGTGATATGTCTGCTCCCCCTTTGTCTCTGCCATGATTGGAAGCCTCCTGAGACCTTCATCAAAAGCATATGTCAGCACCATGCTTTTTGTACAGCTTGCAGAACTGTGAGCCAAATAAACTTCTTTTCTTTATAAATTACTCAGCCTCAGATATTCCTTTATAGCAATTCAAAATGTACTAATACATAGGTAGGTAGACGGGAATTAGAATGCTTGAATGTTGAAGTCTTGACTCTGTAGGGCAATACAGAAACACTTACAATGTGGACAAGCAAATACTGTATTGGCAATATTTCTCTTGAAATGAAACACAGGATAAATTAGAATTGAAAAAATTGTAGACAGACATCCTGATTATAAAGCTATGGCGGCCGGGCGCGGTGGCTCACGCTTGTAATCCCAGCACTCTGGGAGGCCGAGGCGGGTGGATCACAAGGTCGGGAGATCGAGACCACGGTGAAACCCCGTCTCTACTAAAAATACAAAAAATTAGCCGGGCGTGGTGGTGGGCGCCTGTAGTCCCGGCTACTCGGGAGGCTGAGGCAGGAGAATGGCGTGAACCCGGAAGGCGGAGCTTGCAGTGAGCCGAGATCGCGCCACTGCACTCCAGCCTGGGGGACAGAGCGAGACTCCGTCTCAAAAAAAAAAAAAAAAAAAAAGCTATGGCAAACAAATAAGCAAAGATCAGCCCCTCCGATAAGAAAATTTACGAATTGGTAATTAACAATAAAGAAGTATAAGTGATCTGTAAAACTTATGAATAAGGGAGTAATTATTTTATCACTAAGCAAATAGGGCTGATCAGTATAACAAGATAAAATTTTAAGCTACACAATTGATAAGTATTACTTATAAGTGATAATGCCGAATTTTTTTTTTCAAGGATGACAAAACAGATACTCATACACGGTGGGAAGTAGGATTGAAAGGAAATTTGACAAGATCACTTTAAGTTTCAATAATTAATACTATTTAAGTCACTATTTCCACTTCTTTGTATTATCTTTAGGAAATAATCAGATGTTTGTACAAACATATATATATATATGTTTATATATAGACACACACAGATGTCTATATCAGTTATTTATAGTGAGACAAAATTAGTAATAAAATAAATATAAAAATGTAGATTTAAATATATATGATGTATTTACGAAAAAGTAGTATACATATTTAAAAACTGTTTTCAAAGAAAAGGGAGAAGGAACTAGAAGCATATGCAATAATATGTTAACAGTTCTTTTAACAAGAACAGCAATACCAAAAACTATGCTTTAAATAATTCATATTTTAAATTATTTCTATTTGTTTTTAATAATCAGAAAAACAATAAATTCTACTTTTAAAAGCTATTGCAATAGTTCAGTGCAAGGTCATTAAACTAGACTAGAGACAATGAGTATAAAAAGAAAAAAAAAGAGGCATAAGAAACTTTAGAGAAAACAATCTAATACAATTCAGTGGCTTAATGTACTAGATTAACAGAAGAATGAACTGAATTTAACTTCTGGGTGATGAGAAAATAGTAGAGCTATGGTTAAGAAAGAAAATTGCATGTCCTTTTTGGGAGAAGGATGAAAAGTTTAGTGTTGGAAATATTTAAAGAAAAATACATAATATTATTTAGGCAAAATAAGACTGGAGCTTAGGGAAAGGACCAGTTGGGTAAATTCACAAAAGAAAAGAACAAAGAAAAAGAATGGAGTAAGACTAAGGACTGGACCTAACATCTCACTGATTAAAAGCTTGGTATTAGCATTTCAATAATAGAGATAATAGGATTTGTATTTCAATCAGTAACTAGAAGACTAATGTTTTTTGACAGCTGCATATACACTTACTGGACGAGATTACAAATTAACTTGCTTAAAGCTATTTAGTTTGTCTGGACACTGTGACTTTACTGAGGAGACATGCCAGATATAATTTATATTATGTAGGTATTAAGGATAAATCTTGTGATGTTGCTGGCTGTGTTTCAAAAAGATTTTCTTTTTGGTTTTCTTAAAAATGTTCTAGTTTGTACTTCTTAATGATTACTTATTCTGCTGGTTTCTTTTCGGGTACATTTATTTTATGGGCTAATATTAATGTGCTTTACATGAAACACATGAAGAATATTAGTGGGAGACAAATTGCTAGCTATTGGTTCAATATAGAAAGCACCAGAAAACCAATTTCTACAACATATTTTCATAACAGTTCCTTATTTTTAATTGCAAATATTTCAAATCAAATATAAGTAAAATACTCAAGCAATATTGGGAATTTTACAAGAAAATTATTTTTAAAACATTATTTTAAATACAAATGTTATATTATTTATTTGTGAAATAATTGTAAAATAAGTACCTTTTCTTCTTCCATTAGAATATAAGGGCAGGAATAAACTATTGTGCCTGTTCTCACTGAAGATTGACAATTAGTTACTTAATAAATAATTATTTAGTTAATAAATTCATCTTTTATAATAAAACTAAGATATTTCTATTGTTTGAATTTTTAAAATATGAAAATATGATAATAAAATATCATATGCCCTGCTCAAACTAAAATTTTTTCTTAAAATTTTATTTTGAGAATTATCACGGTCACAGAAAATAAAAGAATTATTTAGTAAATAAACATGTACCCATTACCCAGATTCTATTTTTAACCCTTTATAAATTTGTTTGATCATATAATTATTAATCCCACTACCCCTCTAACAATTCATCTTATTTTTTGATGCTTTTCCAAATAAGGTGCAGAGAGCAATATATTTCCCATATATTTAAACATGCATGGCATTAACTAGAGCTGAGGTAAAACTTGCGTATAATGAATTGCAAAATTCTTCAGTGTACCATTTAGTCCGTTCAGGAACTGCTCACAGGGCATACACCTGTGCAACCCATAATCCCTATCAAAATAAAGAAGACTACTGTAACCACAGAAAGTTCTTTCATGTTCCTTCCCTGTCAATCCTTGCTCCTACCATCCCAGAGACAACCACTACTCTTATTTTTTTTCTATAGATTAGTTTTTTTTTTCTGTTCCAGAACTTCCTATAGATCATGTAGTACATACTCTTTTGTGTAGTATTTCTTTCACTCAGCTCCATGTGCTGAGATTCCTCTGTGTTGTTTCATTCCTTTTCACTGATGACTGGTATCTTCTATGAATAAGCCACAGTCTATCTATTCTCTAATTGGTGGGCAGTTTCTTGTTTTGGACTATTATGAATAAGCTGTTATGAATATCATTGTATTTTTTTATATATGTGTGAACATGTGTTTTCTTTTCTCCTGAATAAATTCTATTCAGGAGTTCACATAGTAGGTGTATACTTAATTTTATAAAAATTGCCAGATCTTTTTTTCAAAGTAGTTGTACTATTTTCCACTCACACCAGTAATGTATGAGATCTCAGATTGGCCTACAGTCTTACTCACATTTGGTGTTGTCAGTCTTTTTCGTATTAGCCATTCTGTTAAATATAAATCCAACAAGAATTTTAAAATGACACTAGTGTTTCTAGGTTCTTCTTTTACAGATCACAAAACAGTATTTAATTCTAGTTAGAAAGAATCCAAAAACACATACAAGCCTTAAAAACAGATTTTTTTTTTTTATCATCCTTTGTCCCCACATCTGCAGGATACCGGAACAAGTCTCAAAGATTTCTTGCTTTAAGAATCAGAAAGGATCATGGGATAAGGAGCACCATGTAAGACTACCTCTCCTCAGCCTCTAAAGACTCCATCAGGAGTTAAGAGGAAGTCCAGAAGATCTGTGTTCTTCAAATAAGGCTACTCCTTGCTAGTCTCAACATCATCATTGCTCAGCAAAAGAGATGGCACCAGAACTCTGCATGCTCCCAGTGAAAGCCTCATTCTTTCCTTTCCTGAATACTATTCACAGTCCCATAACCACTCTGTGCCTGAGATGACTGGAAATCATTTTATGTCTTAAATATGGGACTACTTCTGTCACAACAAGGAAGTGCAGACACACAGGCCATTACTCCTCTCCTGAAGTCAGTTCCCATGTGGTTTTATGAACAATGAAGCAACTGTAAGACATAACACATATTTCATTTGTTTTCTGGGTCCTGTCAGCAGTGTATAATATACCTGATGGCAGAGATGATTTTTTCTGTTTTTGTTCACTGCTGTATCCTCAGAGCCTAGAGAACCTGGTACATAGTATTTGCTTAATAAGTACTTTATTGAATAAATACCTTTCATTCAATAGGTACCTATTGAATAAATATCTATTGACATAGAAGTTTTGATGCAGGATTTTTCTCAGTCATTTTGCCAGCCAGAGACCTCTGGCTGGTGATGCCCCTGCATCACCTGGGGCCTGGGCTCACCACAGGAGACACCCCAACCACTTGGCCCACTGGGCTGTGCCAGGCCTGCACTCCAGTGCAGATCCTGCAGCTGCCATGACCGCATGCCCAACCCTCATTGGGAGGGGAGTGTGAGCAAGTGAGTGTGGGGTCCGGCCAGCCATTCCAAGCACTGACACAGGAGTGGGATCCTTGCGGGGCTTGTGGCTGGACCAGGCATGTAGCAAGCCACTCCTGTGGTGGACTCTGGCACCCAAATGAGGGAAATGTGGTGGGTGTCTATGACCCCAAAGCCCCAGAGGGAGTGTTACAGCATGCTAATTTGCTCTTTTAGTCCCCTGTCTGCAGCCTGACAGATGGAGGTGCATTAATAGTTCTGCCAACCCTGTTACCTCACTCTGTTCCATGGCTCCAAGGCTGGCTCGGCCCTGCCACTGCTTTCTGTTGCATGGGGTGGCTGCCTTCACTGGCAGAGGGAAGAGGGCCACAGTGTTACAGCCTTTTTTGTACCTGCGTTCGATGTGTTCCGAGTTCTTGCACCACATCCAAGAAGAATGAGGTTAGGCTGATAATTGAAGGGTCAGGAGGATGGAGAAGAATTTTACTGAGTGACAAAACAGCTCTCAGCAGAAAGGGAATGCAAGGGTGGTTTCCCACCCAAAGCCGGGTGGTCTCTCTCCCAGTACAGCTGAGTCCAAGGGTTTTATGGGCTCAGATTGGTTTGTGAGTATGCAAAAAGGGTTAAAACTAAGGTATGGCTCAAAGATGGCCAAGACAGTGTAGAAAACAAATTAGGGAAGGGGAGTTATATGTAAAATAGCTGAAAGGTGGGTATCAGTTAGAGGAAAGCACTCCAAATGGGAAGAGAGGCTCTCAATCCAGTCCAAGGATTTACCTGAGACTTGTAGCTAGGCTTTAAACTGTCATGGGCTTGAAGGTCTGGTTTTACCATGGACCTGGCTCTGTCTGCCTAGGATTTGTCTGCCTCCTGCTGCCATCAGTTCCATGTCCTGAAGCGGGAAAAACTATGAAACTTACATATAAATAAGAAATCTAAGCATACAAGTTATTAAAGAATCTTCCTTAGATCACATTGTTACTTAGTAGCAGTATTGAACCTTTAGCTAGGTTGCCTGGATAATTGAATCTGAGTTTTAAAGTTAAAGTATCCTTAGACATTCACCTTCCTTCCTCTTATGGAGGGAAGTTCCCTAACATATTTGACATTCCAGCTTTTGATTGACATTTCTGGCAATAATGATAATGTTAACAGGGTGTTAAAATAAGATTCTTCTTGTGTTGACTTCTGGGCCACTCCTTTCAGTGTCCTATTTAATCATCACGAAGAACGTAAGTAGGCACTATTTATGCCAGCTAAGTGAGACCATTTTATTGAAGAGGTAACTGAACACTAGCAAAGTTAAGTATATTGGAATATGAAGCTGGGAAACCTAGCTCCAGGGCTGTCCTTTTGACCACTACGTTACTCTGCTTCTCAAATACCAAAGTAATGCAGATGGTGCTCAAGGATTTCCAAGGAGCTATAATCAAAACCACTTATATGAATCTTGAACACCTTGGCTCACCTCAGGCACATAAAAGAGCTGAAAGACCAGATCTTGACTAGAATCTTCCCCACGGGAGTGAAGTGGGGTTCTCCCTTTTCCTTTCAAATTTAGAGCGAGAGTGAGAACGAGAGTTTGAGGGACCCATCAATGGGCCTTTCAGAAAACTTGACTTCCACTTTTGAGTTTGGGGAAGCATAGTAGATTTTTTCCTGACCCTCATCTGTGAGTAGTAAACAGCAGGGATGGCCTGGGAAACTGCTCCAAAGGCAAGAGTTAAAAGGTTTTGCCACTTAGCTAGGATCAGCATTTCCTCTTACTAACTGTTGAAACAAAGGTTGTGTGAGTGTTTCCTGAAGGCCATGTGTGGGGCACATGTAAAAGAGCAGAATGCAGATAGTCCTGGGCCTTACCAGTTGGATCAATTTTGAGGAGCAAGAGAACCTCAGCATTAAGTGCTAGAAACTAATATATTTTTGGGGTTGCAAGATTAAGCAAAAGGTCCCATGAGAGAATCATTCACTCAGACTGAGGAAACTGAATGTGAATGTGGAGCCTCTGAGGAATGTGTGAAGACAGCCACTAGGGACTTTGTCAGCTTTAAAAACTTGGAAAGCTCATCAATAATGTAGCCAGGATAAAAGAATACCAGTCAAGCATGACTTATTTTTCTCTCCTTACTCTTCTGCCTCCCTTTATTTCAACTCTGAAAAATCAGAGTTACAGTTAAAAGATGGGACAGAAGAGTTAGAAGCTTCAGGAAAAAAAAAATTGGCTATTATCTTGAATGAAATCAAAAGTTTTGAGTAGTATGCAGGACCAGATAATGTAAATATTAAATTGACACTGTTTTATGACTTAAAGACACCCAGGAAATTTTAATTGTCTAAAAACAAGGTGTAAACTTCCCATGTTTTCACCAAGAAAAATTTCTCCACAGATGCAAAATCAAATATGTTTTATGGTTACATTTCATGACAGCCACTTGTTCAATACACTGGTTATAGGAAGAATCTCTTGAATCAAGGGATTACTGAGGCCATGACCCAGTCTTTTATCCTAGTCATGTGGTGAAGCTCTGTCATGGTACCCAGTTTTCAGAGAAGGTTAGGAGATTTTTTTTTTAACCATTCTAATGTAGAAATATAAGCTTGCTATTTTCTTCTCCTCTTCCATGATTCAAAGAGAATTATATTCAGGCATATGTGGACTGACTCCCTGGCTCACCTCAGAAATTTCTTAAGTAATTTTTGGATTAAGTATTCTTGGTTATTGGGGTTTTAAAAAATCATAAAGCAATTGTTAAGTCTGAGCATTTAGGTTTTTTTCTACGATTATTTTGTATTATTAGAAATATAGAAATAGAAATAGCAGGAAGCAGCAGTTCAGACAATACAAAATCTATCTCATACCTCCAAATCAGTCTCAGGAAGAAGTAAGTCTATAACAGATACATCTCTTTAGTTTCTGATGGCACATCCTTGAGAAAAGAAGGCCCTTTAAAGCAATCTTCATCTGTCTTAAAAAAAAAAACTATTAGAAGAAGAGGGAAGAACCTTAAAATGTAGAACCCACCTCATGGAAAATTAGGGCTGCTCTGGTTTGTCTTCCATCTGTCTAGGATAATATCTTAAACCCTGCACTATTCCTGTAACTCTCCCTAGAATGGCAAAGGTCATAGTCTGGGTAAGTAAGCATCCTTTACACATCACATCTTTGTTAGGGATGTCAGTTCAGAGAGAAAGAATGTTTGTACCCACAAGAATCTTTCATTGTGGGATTGTGATACCAGCAAGGGTCTAGGAGTTGATGTGTGAGTGATAAGAGGATTTCCAGCTTTTCTTCTTTGTCTGCTCCACACAATCAATTAATGCTATTCTGCCTTTTTGTAAAAGTACATAGATAATACTGGATAGTATAGTTTAACCATATAAGGCTTCAGAAAGAATTCACAGAAATACTTTCAGAAAGCATCCAACAACTGTCCTCAGAGATCACAATAATCTGTAATCTGGGTATATCAATATTTCCCTAGAAGATCCATAAGTGTGGTAGCGAATTTCCAAACAATTCCACTCATCTGTTTTCCTGAATGCTGTTCCTCCTATTAAGAGGTGCCGGTTATGCCCCTTCCCATTGAATCTAGGTTGGGCTTGCCCCTGCTTTGACCAACATAATGTGAATCAAGAAATGCTCTGGGACTTGTGAGTCTGGGAATGTAAAAGTCTGCCTTGCAACTCCCCCTTTCTCCTTCTTAGAACACGAATCCCCACATTAATGAAGTTTAGGCAGATCTGCTGGATGAAGAGAGGCCAAGGGGTGGAACAATGAGCCAGATGTCAGTCACAGCCACCATTCAACTGTAACACTGTGAAGACTGAAAGCAAGACCAGCAGAGAAAGTGCTAAAGAGAAGTACTAAGTAGTAATCCTAAATCTGAGTATCACAGAAGCTGAGATATAACAAAATGGTTGTTATTTGAAGCCACGGTATTTTGGGGTGGTTTGTTAGATGACCGTAGATAACTAAAACAATGAGAATACTCTTGCCTCTTCTTGAGTATGTTAAACTTGTTTCTTTTTTTTCAGTAAATAAATCTACCTCTGCTAAAACATTAAGTATTAATTATGCCTTGAATTGACTCCTAATGTTTTGCCTTATTCATATGGCATTTTATCTGTCTAAAGCAAATCACATGAAAAATCTCATCCCCTGTACACTGCGACAAGCTAGATGACAGTATCCCCTTTCCTCGGGAGCAAGTGACTAAATTAAATAACTATTCACTCCAGTTACACATGTTGCTATCAAGCAAGGCCATGTAGAAAATAAGGAGACTGACAAGAGATTGCCAAGATAGCCTTATCCCAGTTGTTTTCAGACTTGTGCATCAGAATTAAAATGGTGAGAGTGTGTGTTTTGCATTTTGTGAAGATTTAAATCATGCGAATTTGAGCTAGTGTGATATAAAATATTAAGCCTCATTTTATGATGTAATTCTCACAAATAAAAATAAAACAAGAATCACATGATTTCAGATGTTACTAGCTATTGTTTGTAACCTGTTACATTATTGCCATATGATAGGTATACATTAAGTAGTACACAGAAAGACTCATTAACTCCAAAAAAAGTAATCTGGAATTATTAAGATTTTCAATCATACAGGCTGTAAGTAGCAAAATTTTTTGAATAAAATGGGACTTCCTTGAGCATTTCAGGATATGTTGCCTATGGCGGTAGTGGAGATGAGGCAAAAGGAAAGGCAGCCCTTCACACATTTTTAGAGACATAAGAGCTAATTTTACAAAGAAGCACAACACAAATGTTTAAAAGCCTCTGTTAGGAATGAAGATATCTGACCATGCCCTAAAAATAGATCTGCCTTTTAACAAGTGAGTCCAGTTCTTCACTGAGTCTCTGTCAGTACTTCAATGATGGAATGCATTCTTTTCCATTTATTTATTCTCATTCATTCAGTGTCCTTTTTTGAATGTCTACAGTGAATGAAGAACTGTGCTACCAGAATACAAACAGAAAGACACTTGGATTGTTGGTATCAGGGAGCAGATAACACCTTAGAGGGAATAGAAATATTTATAATAGACAACCTCTAAAACTTCGTAATTTTGATTCCTCTTGATGTTCCATTACAAACTGAAATGAAAAGACAAGGTACATATTCATTTTATTTCTGTTATCACCTTGAATCTATAAGAGCTCAACACTTTCAAACAAGAGTATTTGTTCTGATATCATAATACAATCTCTGTATAGTCTTTTAATATTTAATAAAATGCTCCATGACCTACAATATAACCACTAGGAAGGTATATTTTCTCTTGCAATACTCTGTTGACTTTTAGAGTGGCCTCTACATAGATGTTAAAAAACTGAATGGATGAATTGGAACACATTGATAATATCAAGATTCTCTCTACTTTACCTTTGGGAGCCAGAAAATTAGTTTTCACTCATTTTATGGACTCTAAGGGAAATATTGACCTGGCGATTTATGAGAGATGGAAGGAGACTTGGAGAGAATTTGTCATATTTTCAGGGCTTCTAAATAAGATATGTAGACTACCAGCTTCAAAAATATTTAGGGGTGTATTAAAAACAACCAGATTCAGAGGGTTACCCCAATCCTACTAAATGAGGATTTCTGAAGCTGGCCTTGGGAAGCTGTATTTTAACAAGCTTTCCATGTTGATTCTTACACACACGTAAAGTTTGTGGGCCACATGTTCTAATCCTGTCACCTTATGTTGCAGATGAGAAGACTGAAGCACTGAGAAGTTAAATGACTTGTTAAATAGTCTAATAAACTTATTTCTAAAAACCAAAGAGAGCAAGGGTTGCATTTTTTAGTAGATTTTAAAGTAAAGAAGAAAAAGAGAAAATGGTATGAGGAAGACAAAGGGAATTTTTCGTAGCTTGTTTATTCTATGTTAGGATCTATGAAAAGTCTATTCATTCCTTCTCATTCTTCCTGGAAAATTCCTTCAGCTGTTCACTATTTAATAGAAATTTTAAATGCTGTTGACCTAAAGTCTGCTTCAAATAATTTGACAAGTAAGACAAATAAAGTCACAATAACTCTATTCTCTCAGCCTGTATATTCTTAGACTGAATACGTAATCAAAACATAACAGAAGGGTGGAAAACACTTAGGTACAAACAACTGAATATATTTAAAATCATTTGTCTTATGAATAATCTGAGTGACACAGTATGCACTTACTAAGACCATGCTCACCCCATTAGTTTTTGTTTATAATTATCCAACATAAGATAGCTATTACTTTTTAGAATTAATCATATAATTTAGCAAAATTTCTTAGTCTTTAAGACTCTAATCTATGAAATCATTATCTACAACAAACTAACCACATTCTGCTTTAGTCTGCACTATCCTTATTTTTGATTAATAAGAAATTTATACATATTTCACATAGTAGGCACACAACTCATATTTAACGATTGTCGAAAGCCCTGATTTGTTGGAGATTTTGAGTAGGTACTAAATTTGTATAAATGAATAATACTTTTAATATTGCTAATGCATTTATTCTTATAATCCTACTGTTAATTTATGAAGGGCTAAGAATATTTTGTAGCTACATATGTAAATGCTTTACAGAGATGGATCACTTCCTTTGAAGGAAAATAAAATTTTAAAGTCTTGTCCTTTAAAAAATAATCTAAGAATGGGATGTCATTTGTTTGATACTCTCTTCAAGGGAAATGGAAAAAAGAGAAACACATTTTACAATTAGCTTAGAGGCAACTGTGTCTTGGAGAAAGAATGTAGATGTTAGTAATATCGTCCTGTCTGGATTAGGGTTTCACGCATCATGGCTGGTAGAAATTAATTTTTATTGATGTTGAATTCTTGATGAAGTTTGAACTTGTCAAGAGTTGTAGGCTTATAAATGGGTGTATATGGTGAAATTTTATTCAATTAAGCCTCATAATGCTTTAGGGTATTTCATTGTTCTGAAAAGGTGATCTCTTGAACATGTTGTTTCCTGTACCCACAGGCTAATCCTCAAAGTGTACATTCATAACTGAACATTAGTCTACAATGTTGAAATAAATCCTTTGGCATTTATTAGTTAAACGTGTTATTTCCTGTACAACACAGCTTTTTATTGACTTATTTTTTTCTTTTGAAAACAAAATGAAATTAAGGTCCTTTTATATTCTATTTCTTAATTTGAAGATATGAATAGATCTGATTTTAAATAAGATTATCAATGGAGATGAAACTAGAAGGGCATAGTTGATGCATATATACTTTCAAAGTGTCAATATAGTGATCTAGTACACTCAACATTATGAGTTCATGCAAATATTTTATATTTAAAGACCAACTTTTTAGAGGCCTTTATTCATCTCCCATGAAATATGTGTATTTTTGCAATTAAATAATAAAGCAATAGGTAATCTTTCTAAACTATATGTTTGATCACGAGATTTAACAACATGCTACCCAGGATGTTGAACCATAAACCTTAACTAAATATGGGAGGAGATTTGGCACAAATATTGCAAATACAGTAATTATGTTAGAATCCTTACAAAATGTATTATTACTATTTATATTTATTGAAAGGCTATTATATTTTGGGCACTGTGTTAAGTACTTTAAAATGTTTTTTCATCTTATTTAACTTCAGAGCAGTTGTATTAGCTGTGTCACAGATTAAACAATTGTACTAAAAGAGGTAAAGATAAGTAACATAGTGAAAGTGGCATAGTTAATACGAGGCAAATATAAAATTTGAATCTGGGCCTGATTACAAATTTTGTAGATGGAAAATATATTTTTAAAATACAAACGTTAACTTTTAAGCAATATATTTGAGATATAAGCATCAATTATTTATAAGAACTTATCTAAGGAGAGGCTCTTATACAATGAGAGCTACGTTGATTATAAAAGTGAATCATAATTTAAATCACACCATAGTGGTGAGGCAGCATAAGATTGCAGTGGCTAGAATGTTATGTTAGAATACACATTCTGGAGTCCAATGGGCAAAATTAAAATCCTAGTGTCACTAGCTGTATGACCTTAAGCACATTACCAGTTTCTAGGTGCCTCAGTTTCATTATCTGTGAAATAGACATATTAATAATCCCAACTTCACATGAGCTTCAAGTCAGTGACAAGTTAAAAAATAAAAACACCAGCACAAATATATGGAGTATTAAGTGAGTTAATGTATGTCAAGTTCAGGGCCTGCACATAGAATCTTGATGTGCATATGAGACACTATTCTATTACACAGAACCATTTGTGGCTCATGATCATGACATTATGAGATGGATACCAAGGTTAGATAAGGAGAAAAAGTGAAGAAAATTTGGAGTAAAAAGAAAAAAAATGTACATTAAGCTAATTAATGGGAAAAAGAGTGGGAATGACTTATAAGTAGTGTAGAGAGATGATTATTGTATTTGTAATTAATCTAGCATAAATTAATTTATTCAATAAGTATTTACAGAATGAATTTTGCATGCCCAGCGCTATGTTAGTTAGATATAAGAAACATTAAAGAGAGGGACAGAGATATGACCCTTGCCTTCTTAAGACTACAGTCCAGATTTGCAACAATAACAAAATTAAGCTGAAGTCAAACATTTCTTAGTGTAGCCATAAAATTGAGACTCATTGGAGTCTCCAGCATCTGTTCAGCATAGCCAATGTCTACTGAAGTTACTTATTACTGCAGCATTATGTGAAGAAAAGCATCTTCTGAATTAGCCTGACTCTCAGTTAATGTGGCATGAATTTACCTGAATATAAATTACTCTATAAATTTAGGAGATTAAGCAAGAGTAAAATGTATGTGGGTAGTTGTGGATTTAATCAAATAGAAATTGATAGTACAATAAAAACTTGAAGTATTATAAGTGGCATGAAAAAGTGTCCAGAATGTTATTTTATTTTCAGTTTTTCCATAATATATGTAATTTTCTGTAACTTCTTACAGAGTAAAATTGGAAACATAAATATGTTCAATTCAATGAATTATATAGACATAAAATCAAGCTGTATCAAATCAATATTTTTAAAGTTTCAGTAATTAGTGACTGAGAAGTGAAAGCCTGACCATACAGTTTTCTTTTATTTTGATGTGAACCAATGCACTGGTGGAAATAGACTTCACTGGCACTCTGAATAGTCCTGGACAGTTTAATGAATGTAGAACTTTGGTCAAAGGAAGGATTAAGTGCTTGCTGATGGCTTATGTCAATGGTGACCATGCATTCACATTGTGTAAGAGTCTCACTTTAAAATGTTAGGTTTTGGTTAGCCATATGCAGAAAACTGGAACTGGATCCCTTCCTTACACTTTATACAAAAATTAACTCAAGATAGATTAAAGACTTAAACATAAGACCTAAAACCATAAAAACCCTAGAAGAAAACCTAGGCAATCCCATTCAGGACATAGGCCTGGGCAAAGACTTTATGACTAAAACATCAAAAGCAATTGCAACAAAAGCCAAAATTGACAAATGAGATCCAATTAAACTAAATAACTTCTGCTCAGCAAAAGAAACTATCATCAGAGTGAACAGGCAACCTATAGAATGGGAGAAAAGTTTTACAATCTATCTATCTGACAAAAGTCTAATATCCAGAATCTACAAGGAACTGAAACAAATTTACAAGAAAAAAACAAACAACCCCATCAAAAAGTGAGCAAAGGATATGAACAGACGCTTCTCAAAAGAAGATATTAATGCGGCCAACAAACATATGAAAAAAAGCTCATCATCACTGGTCATTAGAGAAATGCAAATCAAAACCACAATAAGATAACATCTCATGCCAGTTAGAATGGTGATCATTAAAAAGTCAGGAAACAACAGATGATGGCGAGGATGTGGAGAAATGGGAATGTTTTTACACTCTTGGTGGGAGTGTAAATTAGCTCAGCCATTGTGGAAGACACTGCGGTGATTCCTCAAGAATCTAGAACCAGATATACCATTTGACCCGGCAATCCCCCTACTGATTATATACCCAAAGGATTATAAATCATCCTACTACAAAGACACATACACATGTATGTTTATTGCAGTACTATTTACAATAGCAAAGACTTTGAACGAACCCAAATGCCAATCAATGCGATAAAGAAAATGTGGCACATATACACCGTGGAATACTATGCATAAAAAAGAGTGAAGAATGAGTTCATGTCCTTTGCTGGAAACCATCATTTTCAGCAAAAGAACACGGGAACAGAAAACCAAACACCGCATGTTCTCACTGATTAGTGGGAGTTGAACAATGAGAAGACATGGACACAGGGAGGGTAACATCACACACGAGGGCCTGTCAGAGGCTGCGGACAAGTGAGGGATAGCATTAGGACCAATACCTAGTGCATGCGGGGCTTAAAACCTAGATGACCGGTTGATGGGTGCAGCAAACCACCATGGCATATGTATACCTATGTAACAAACCTGCACGTTCTGCCTGCACATGTATCCCAGAACTTAAAGTATAATAATAAAAAATAAAAAGTCAAAACAAATATAAAATAAAAAGTTTTACCATATTACAAATTTGGCTAAAAAAAGTGGTCATCATTTATGTAGCAAATATACAAGGATCTATATTTTTATGAATACTGTAAGTTGAAGAGGTATTTCACTGTTTTGGTGAAATTTTTAGTTTTGGGCAAAATTTGACTTGAGTTGAGTCAGTAAATGTGCTTCTGTGTATATATGAATATTTTGACGCTTGAAATTTACAATTAACTTTCCAGTACAATAAAACTTCATTATTTTTATTGGCTTAATATACATTACCCTAAAGGGAAAAATGCTATTGAATAATGCCATGTCATTTTAAAAGGATTATAATAACCATAAGGAAAAATAAGTACATTAAGTTTTCATAATACTGCTTAATATTAAAAATGCCTTACAATCCATTACCATGAAAACATAAAATCACGTGCTACACCATATGTCTTTTTGAGTGATGTAAAGAATTTCACAAGAGCATTTCTGTTCTCAGCACATTTACAATTTAGCCGGGTAGAGATGAGAAGATAGGAAAGTATGAAAAGCTAAAAGTCAGCAGAAAATCTAAATAATATTAAAACAACAATGTAATATATGTAAATATGACCATTATTGATTTTCAGTAGAATTCTATAAAAATTTACTGGAAATAGAATTTGAAATGGATTTAAAGCAGAGTTTAGAGAAAGCCATTCTCAGTAGACAATAGAATGAATAAAAACATGGAAAAAAAAAGGTCTATGATGTGTTCATGAGATGGTGGCTTTTCAGGGCTAATTTGAATGAAGAGTTCACAAAGGGAATCTCAGTTTAGCTCGGTTCAAAGAATATTAATTGAACTTCTCCTACATGCTAAACCTGCACTGGATACTGAAGGAAGGGAATACAAAGATAAAGAAGACATTTATTATTTCAAAACTATCATCTAAATACTGTGAGCAGTGCTAATGAGAAACTCCTTTTCTCCAGTGTCTAATCAAGGAAGACAGACCCTACATAGTAGATAGGACTCTTATGATCTCCATCCCCCTGCCTGGTATTTACACCCTTATGTGATCTACTCCATTGAGTCCATGGGTTAGACCTAGTGACTCCCTTGAAAAAGAATAGAATACAGTGAAAGTCAGTGGGGAAAGACAACGGGTTATCCTGTCCATTTAATGATTAAAATTTTCCTATGCTGGGGTCACTCTTTAGTGAACATTCACAAGGGACATAAATATCTTCACTTTATTTTTTGACATTTTTGGCCCATTCATAGAAGTCTATCCATATACCTCTTCTCCAGACTTCCCTGTTATCAGTTTTCCAGTAATGTTTCTTCCAAGTCCCTGACCATTCAGTCAAGTCATTTGTCCCAACTAATGAGTTTCTATGCAATTGTACATCTGGCCATTTCTTCTTCTAAGCAATTTATGCTCAGTCAGGGTTCTCCAGGGAAACAGAGCTAATAGGGTGTGTGTATGTATATGGAGAGAGAGGCAGAGAACAAACTCTGTGAGAGAAGGAAAGAGGGAGAATAAAAAAGAGAGATTTATTATAAAGAATCATCTCACGTGATTGTAGGGGATGGCAAGTCCGGCAGACTGACAATTCTGCCATTAGTCAATGTTGCAATCTTGAGTCTGGAGGCAGTCTAGAGACAGGATTCCTTCCCAGCTGGAAATCTCAGTCTTTGCTCCTAGGTCCTCCAACTGATTGAATAATGCCTACCACATTACAGGGGGTAATCTGCTTTACTCAAAAATCTACTGATTTTGATGTTAATCTTTATTCAATGTGTACTGATTTTAATGTTAATTACATCTAAAAAAAAACTTCACAGCAATATCTAGACTGATGTTTGCAAAACAACTGGGTACCACAGCCAAGCTCAGTTGACAAAATTAACCATTCTTGCCACCATAAATATTCCCATTCACATTTTTGTGTGAACATAAGGTTTTGTGTGAACATAGGTTTTTGTTTCCCTTGGGTAATATCTAAGAATTGATGGTCATATGGTAAGTATATCTTCATATAAAAATGCCAAACAGTTTTTGTAATATTTGTATTTTAAAGTCATAATTTTTCAGATTTCTTATAATTGAAACTAATATTAACAAGTTTTACACAGTGGAATTTAATTCTAACTTATAGAAATTACTAGGTGAAGTTTGAAGCCATCAAATTCAGAAACACAATAGAATATTTTCTTTTTGTTGTTCGTTATCCTTTGGTTTGTTAGATTGTGAGCGTATGGCAGAGATAGCTAGTGCTAACCAATTATCCACATGTTTTTCCTGTATTTCACAGAAACCTACAACGTGTCTAGCTGGGTACAGGTAGGTAGTTATTTAACATCAATGTATTAGGAGCAGAAGTAAAGCAATGGGTCACCTCTGCTTTGAGGCAGCCAAGGATGTTTGGGTCTTTTCTCTTCATTCTTTCTTTTTTCTCCTCTGTGCAGCTAGAAACAATTCAAAGAAGGTAGATCTGCAAGATGGAAATAATATGGGTATCTTCATTATTATTAAGAACAGATTTCTTGTAGGAGAAGCACCTAAGCCACTTTCGATGTTATGTGAGTGAGGGAAAAAAAATCTTTGGTTATAAGTCCCTAAAATTTTGTTGCAGTAGCTGGCATTAATTATTTTGGCTAATATATTATCATTCATTTTAATCCAAATTTCAGGCTTTCCCTGGGGAAAAATTATATTCATTCCTGTTATAACTGCCTTCTTACTCTTGATGTTGCTACTGCTGTATGATATCTTTATCTAATTTTTGTTAGTCAATATGTAGACTCTGACCATCTATTCTAGATGATGCAAAGTGGCTCCCTCTCCCCACACTTTTCCATGCTCATCCTCATTATCTCCAGGAAGAAATGAAACTCTGGTGACATCATATGGGGTTTTATTTTACCCTGTCTCTGGAGATCAGCATACTGTCATTTAAAAGTCTCAATCTACATAAGTGCTCTGAAAAATTGCATCCCTATTTATCTCAGCTCCTTTCTCCTTCAAAACATCAAGAGAAGCAATTAATTATTATTCTATGCCAATGCTATCTAAACATCTATTCTGGCAGTTTTAATGTCGTGATTATTGAATTGTTTTTTGTAATCAACCCCAGCAGCTAATCGAAGCTTTTTCATATTGTCCCAGTTATGACCAAAGGAAAGGCATTTGGAATAATGGGATAGCAGGTGTGTTTATGTAAAATTTCCGCTGGGGGTGAAAAAAAGAAGAATAGAAGATAGTCCTTCGAAATAGGTGGAATGCAGTATTTCCAGAATGGCATAGTAAGGACATCAAAAATCTATTCTTCCATGAGCACAATGAGAAAACAGTCAATAATTGTTAAAATCATTTTGGAACTCTGGAAATTAACCAAAGGCTTGCAACGGTCTGAGTATTTATTCATGAAAAATAGCAGAATCTTAGCAAAAGCTGTGAACCTCTTAGTGTCTTAATTTGCCCTCTCAGCTCCATAGCAGCCTTGAAAACCAACAGGTTCACTATGATGACAGCTATTGAAACCAACAGTCTAGCCATCACTGAACATAGAGAACATAGACCAAGTTAACAGCACCTCAAAAATTCCTTATTTCTAGAGAATTGTCACTATTTGATATGTCTGGCAGTTCCCTGGAAAAGTCCCATTTATAGGAATTGTCTTTATTTGAATGGACCCAGAGCTCACTCGATGAAAAAAAAAGGAAAAAAAATTAAAAATAAACATCCCTAGGTAATTTTTCAAAAACAATCAGCAGCAATTATTTAGGATCTCATCTATGTGAGGCAGTGATAGCAACCGGGACAAATGAAAGGCTGGCCAAAAAATCTGAAAAGGGAGATCTGGAAATCAGGTAACTATAAGAGCCTTGAAAAACACGGAGATCTTTCTGATGATCTGGCCCACATGCATGTGTAAAAATATGTACATGCTCAGGAAAGTCATGCAGAATCACTAATCTTTTAACTCCAGCTGATTATGAGCCTCTGAATGACCAGTAAAGAAAGACAAGAAGGCAGAGCTGTAAACTGCCAAAGCATTGATTCCATGTTCCAACACAAGCACAGAATCATTTGGCAAGGGGTAGAAAACTTACTGGATTAAGTCATCCAAAGATGACGTCTAGTCATGAGATTATCACTAAGATAGTCTTTTGAGCAGAGACTTCAAAAGCTGCACATGACAGAAAATACAGCTTTTACAGAATAAGTCCAGGAAAACCACTAAAAACCAGCATTAGCCACATCGAAACAGCAATAACAACCAGCTATGGATTTGATTTACAAATTTGCCACATTATGTGAATTAAAATGTTCAGTTTTCAATTAAAAAAATGAGACATGCAAACAGACAGGTAAGGGTGGCCCCTACATAGAAAAAAAGTAAAAATAAATTATCCCTGAGGAAGTTCAGATTTGAACTTAACTAGGCAAAGAATTTATATAAGCTATTATAAATTTATTCAAGAAACAAAGGAAAAATCTTTTTCTACAGAGTGAAAGAAAAGTGTGAGAACAATATCTCACATAATAGAGCTTATCCATAAAGTGAAATTATAAAAAGAAAGAAAGAAATATTGTGGTATAGGTAAGTCCAATACATGAAATTAAAAAAAAAATCACTAGATGGAATTAACAGAAGATTTGAATTGACAGAAGAAAGAATCAGTGCACTTGAAAATTGGTGATTGAGTATATTCAGTCGGAATAATGAAAAGGAAATAGAATAAAGAAAAACTGAACAGAGCCTCAGACACCTGTAGAACATCAACAAGTGTTACAATATACACATAATGGAAATCCTAGAAAGAGAGAGGGAGAGAAATGGGAAGAATATTTGAAAAAAAATTCCAAAAACTTCTCAAAAAATTTATTTTTAGACAAAGTTTCTTTCTGTTTCCCAGGCTAGAGTGCAATGGCAATCATAGTTCACTTCAACTTTGAACTCCTGGGCCCAAGTGATCCTTTTGCCTCAGACTCCCAAGCAACTGGGACTGCAGGCACATATCACCATGCCTGGCTAAATTGCTATTTTTTAAAATTTTAGCAGAGATGTAGTCTTACTATATTTTCAAGGCTGGAACTCTAAAATTTGATGAAAAACATTTAATCTCTATATCCAAAATGTTTAATGAACTTCAAGTAAGATAAACTCAGAGAACTGCACCTAGACACAAAATATTCAAACTGTTGAAAGCCAAAGACATAGATTCTTAAAAACAGTGAAAGAAGAAAAACTTATCACATACAATGAATCCTCAATAATATTAATAACCAGAATACAGTACAATGACATGTTCAAAGTTCTAAAAGAAAATATCAGTCAGCCAATAATTCTACGTCAAGTAAAACTATCCTTCAAAATTGAAGGGGAAATACAGAGATATTCATATAAATGAAAATGGAGAGAATTTGTTACTAGCAGACATATCTTATAAGAACCACTAAAGAAAATCCTTCAATCAGAAATTAAGGCACTAAAATTTTACTTGAATTCACATCAAAAAGTAAATGAGAGCAGTAAGGTAACCACATAGGTCAATATAAATGAAAGTATAAATATATTTTTGTTTATAATTATTTTCTTCTCCTACTCGATTTAAAAATAATGGCTAAAGTATTAAAACTGTATCAATGGGCTTATAAGTATGAAAATAAGAACATAAAGAAGCGATGATGAAATGGAACTCTATTAAAATAAACTTTCATATACTATTATTGAAATCAATTTGGTCTTAATCTGA